>NC_000001.11:16849163-18099163 GCF_000001405.40 Homo sapiens | reverse complement strand
CTGCTAGCACTGGGAACATAGAGGCATTGTTCATGCTTTTAATGACTTCAAAGGAAGGTGCCTAGGCACTGGGGGCATGGCAGCTGAGAGGCATAGGCTCAGCCCAATCCCTAACAGCATTACACCAGGGTCCCTAAACAAGTGGTTCTAGTGGATCACTGCTACTGCTGAGGGTTCGAATAACACACATGTTTATTGGGCTTCTCTGGACCAGGCACTGAGCTGGGTACAAGGGACACAGAAGCAAAAGGACATGGTTTGTGCCCTGAGGAGCACACAGTTGGCAAGTGTTGGTACAGAATCAAGACCACCTGAGTGCCAACATCTCAGGGCAGACAGCCTGTCTCTGCTCACCAGATCTCGTTGCCAGCAGAGCTGTACCCACTGCCTGATCCACTTACTTTCTGCTTCCCAGATGCCTCTCTCAGGCTCCTTCCCTCCTGCTGTGTCCCCAGACCTCACCTCACTCAGGCCTCCACATAAAGGAAGGACAGTTGAGCCTCCCCAGAACTGACATCTGCTCAATTCCTTGGACCTCATTTTCTGTACAAAGCACCACCCTCAACTATCCACATCCAGGTTACCTGGGTATACCCAGGGTTACAAGCTGATCAGGTTAGCCCCCTTAAAATCCTTCACTGGCTCCTCAGGGCCTGTACACTAAAGCCAGCATTCCTGGAATGGTTTACAAGGGTCTTCAGCTCTATCCTGGGTTCACTTCTGCAGCTTTGTTCACATGTTCAGTTCTCAGAGTTCACGAAGCTCTCTCTCTTGATTGCAGACCTTTCTACATGCTGCCCCCTCTGCTGAGATAGCCATCCAAGCTCCCCTCCCTCTCCCATCTCCCCTACCCTGTCCCATGCACCCCACACACATCCTTTAAGCTGGCTAATTTCTGCTCCTGCTCCAGAGCTCAGCTTTCTTTGTCATAGTTCAGGAAGCCTACATTGGATGCCTTCTCTTGGCCTTTTCAGCCTCTGTGCTTGCACCAGGGGATTAAGACTATAGTGGTCAGATGGGCAAAGTACAGGGTGGGTGTATTAGTCCATTTTGTGTTTCTATAAAGGAATACCTGAGACTGGTAATTGATAAAGAAAGAGGTTTATTTGGCTCATGGTTTTGGGGGCTGTACAAGCATGGCACCAGCATATGCTCAGCTTCTGGTGAGGCTTCAGGAAGCTCTTACTCCTGGTGGAAGGTAGAGGGGGAGCAGGAGTGCCACATGGCAAGAGAGGGAGCAAGAGAAAGAGGAGGAGGTGTCAGGCTCTTCTTAACAATCAGATCTCACAGTAACCTCAAGAGGTAGACCTCACTCACTACTTCAGGGAGGGCACCAAACACCTCCTATTAGGCCCCACTTCCAACACTGAAGATCAATTCCAACAAGAGATTTGGAAGTGACAAATATCCAAAATATATCAGGGAAGAAGAAAGGAGAAGGGAAAGAGGGAGAGAGGAAAGAAGAAAGAAAGAAAGAAAGAAAGAAAGAAAGAAAGAAAGAAAGAAAGAAAGAAAGAAAGAAAGAGAGAAAGAGAGAGAGAGAGAGGGAGGGAGGGAGGGAGAAAGGGAGGGAGAGAGAAAGGGAGGGAGAAAGGAGGGAGATAGGGACTGGGGAGGAAGAGAGAAAGGGAAAGAAGGAAAGAAGGAAGGAAGGGAAGAAAGAAAGAGAGAAAGAAAGAGAGAGAGAGAAAGAAAGGAAAGAAAGAAAGAAAGAAAGAAAGGAGGGAGGGAGGGAAGAAGGAAGGAAGAAAGGAAGGAAAGAAAGAGGGAGAGAAGGAGGGAGGAAGGAAGAAAGGAAGGGAGGAAGGAAGGAAACAAGGAGGAAAGGAAGGAAGGAAGAAGGGAGGGAGGGAAAAGAGGACAGGCAGGAGCAGAAGTCTAAATGTACAGCAAGGCTCAGCACCAGAAATCAGAACAAAGTCAAGGAACCATTGAAAGGTTGCCATGGCCAGAAAAGAAGCTCAGCTTCTTCTGAGAATGGCACCTTTCTTAGCTACAGCCTTGACCGGACAGGAGCAAAGTTGCTGGTCCTCACTCCAAGAGGTCTTAACTCACGAACGCCTCCTGGGACCTTCCTTTAAAGGAAGAAATGGTGTTTGGTGGCACATTGGGTTTTGGAGGGCAGAAGGCTGGAGCCCACATACCTGCAGGCAGCTCCCAGGGAGTGGGGTTCAGGGGTCTGTAAAGAGATGGATGCTGAGGGGCCCGTGCACTCCTTTAGCTGGTACCGTCCTCCCTGGCAGGACCAGCTCTCCATCCCAGGGAGGCCAAGGGAGTCCCCGGTGCCCAGGGACCCACAGTCTTCCTGGCTCCTACTTCCACGTCCAGCACTTACTCGCCAAGATAATTAAATTCCACCTCCCTCCAGCTGCCCCCTTGCAATGTCAGGAGGGACACACGCCTCTCCTTGAGAGCCGCTCCTTGCCTCTGTTCCATAAGCCCCGTATTTCACACCCCGAGTGGCTGCATTTCAGCGGTGGGTGAAGTGGTTTTACTTTTATCGTGCACGCAGGCATATAAATATGTACGAGCAGCTCAGAAGAACTTTAGGGTCTCTCTGGAAGGAAGGCTCAGTATGAGTGTGAGGGAGCATGGTAATTAGTTCATCCAGGGCATGGGCTCTGCTGGGTACGAAGGTGCCTCTCCTGGCCTGGCAGCATCCCTGGCCCCATCTCCTGAGAATGATGTCTACCCTGATACACTCCTGAGAACAGGGTGAGGCCTTGGCAAACTTTCCATAACAAAGCTTAAAAACAAAACAAAAGCAAACAAAAGCACCCTGATCTGGGTTCCCACCTTAACTCAGCCACTTCCTGGCTCTGTGACCTTGGATGAGGTCCTTGCCCTCGCTGGGCCTTCGTATCTCTATCTACAAAGTGGAGTTAAATGTGCCTTCCCTGGAAGCCTCCCAGGTTTTTTTTCCTTAAGGAAGAAATATGACGAAGAATTTGTATATTACTCTGAGAACAGTAATATACAACTGGAAAAGGCCTATCATTATTCCTCCCCAGTCATTCATTTGGAGCAGGTGAGAGACAGTACAAGGCCGCATCTAGTAATGCAAACAATGGCTGCTCCAGGCATTGCAGGTTTCCTCACCTGTCTTAGAAAGGAGGACAGGAAATAGCATTCATTGACCTCCAGCTCCAGGGCTGGGTGCTTTACATAGATAATCACATTTGAACATGACAGTAAGGCAGTGCAAGGCATGTTATTACTGTTTACTGATGAGGAAAACTGAAGTTCAGAAAGGGTAAGGAATTAGTGCCAGGCCACAAGGCTATGGAGTGGTCCAGCCCAGGTTTGACGGCAGGTGAGGGTGACACTTCTCTAGCTGGCCTATAGAGTTGCTGTCTCAGGTGCCTGCTTTCCACAAGGGATGGTCTGTGTGCTCCAGTCAGAGGATGTGCCGTACTGTGCTGAGTCCCCCAGAGCAGCCCCACAGTGACGCTGGCTGAAGAGCAAACACATGGTCTGGAAGAAAGCTCATTAGGCCAATGCCCCCTCTGAAAGCTGCATCCCAGCAACCCAGGTCCAGCTTTCATCAGGATTAGGTTGTTGGGTTGGAACAGATAGAGGATGGTTTCCATCTGCCAGGTCCCCAGAGTCAGAGAGAGAGAGAGAGAGAGAGAGAGAGGAACCAAGGGCTTTGGTGAGTATGTGCCTGGGAAAAAGATGGATTTTAGGGCAATTACAGGTCTCTGATGGCCAAGGACAGGGGTTAGAGGATGCTGAGCTCTGGCCTCTCAGCTCTTGAACCCACACCCCAGGCTGTGGAAGATCAAGAAGAGATCTTTCTGCAAGGTTGAGTCACCCCAGGAGGCCAGCTGCATGACCCAGAGCCCCAGGGCTCAGAACTGGCTGCCTTTCTATCCCCAAAGGGCTGTCCCAGCCCCCAGGCCCTGGGTCAGGAGGCCCCAGCTGTATCTTGAAGGTCCAGTGGAGGTGCAGCCCATAAGAGCAGGTGCCAAGTTGAAGGGCCCAGTGACCAGGCTGGATTGGACAAGGAGATTGCCTGGGGCTTGCTGACATCAGCCTGCCAGAAGTGAGAACCCCAAATAACATGGTTGATAGGAGTTGACTGTGTCCCCACTCAGGTCTCATCTTGAATTGTAGCTCCCACAGTTTCCACGTGTCATGAGAGGGACCCAGTGGGAGGTAATTGAATCATGGGAACAGGTCTTTTCCATGTTGTTTTCATGATAGTGAATAAGTCTCATGAGATCTGATGGTTTTATAAAGGAGAGTTTCCCTGCACACGCTCTCTCTTTGCCTGCTGCCACATAAGAGATGCCTTTCGCCTTCCACCACGATTGTAAGGCCTCCCCAGCCACATGGAACTGTGAGTCCATTAGACCTCTTTTTCTTTATAAATTACCCAGTCTTGGGTCTTTTTCTTTATAAATTACCTAGTCTTCATCAACAGCATGAGAACAGACTAATACAATGGCAAAGGCAGAGGAAGAGCCTGTGAGGCTGGTGGTGGTCTTCAGCCCCAGCAGTGGGGACGTAAGAGAACTCCATACCAACTAGGTATAGCTTCCATATACGAAAACCATCTTTGTTTCTAAATGAAGAATTAAATGAGGCCATCAGAGGGCAGCCCCTCTGGGATGGAGCAGGGCTCAGAATACACAGAAACAGTTTGGCTGTTGTTGGATGGCGGAAACATGGTATTCCAGCTTGGTTGTTCTATGTTTATTTCCTTTCTATTTTATTTCTTTTTTTAGGAAAGCTGGAAGTAGCAGCTGAAGTCAGCTGTGATCAGTGGTTGTAAGAGGAAAGGTGTGTCCATAGTCAGGCCACTGACAAACAAGGGAGGGTTGCTGAGTCTGGCGGGAGAAGAAGTGAAAGCTGAAGGCAGTTAGGGAGGAGGTAGGGCTCAGAGGCCAAGGTCAGATCCCCCAGGGCCATTCCTACCTGCTCAGGTGTTCTTACCCAGAAGGCCTTCTCTCTTCCTCTCTCTCTTTTTCCCTTAAATGTTTAATTGTGGTAAAATACACAAACCATAAAATTCACTGTCTTAACAATGTTTAAGAGGACAGCTCAGTAGTGTTAAGCAGATTTCCATTGTTGGGAAACAGCTCTCCAGAACCCTATTATCTTGCAAAACGGAAACTCCATGCAGATTAAACAACTCCCCATTTCCCCTCTCCCCCAACCCCTGGCAACCATCTCTCCCCTTCCTGTTTTAGATACCTCATGTAACTAGTGTGACACAGTATTTGTCTTTAGGTGCCTGCCTTATTCACTTTGCATAATGTCCTCAAGTTTCATCCATGTTGTCACATGCATCAGACTTTCCTTCTTTTTGAAGGCTGAATAATATTCCACTGTATGGATAGACTACATTTTGCTTATCCACTCCTCAGCAGATGGACTCTTCATCCATGTTGTCACATGCGTCAGACTTTCCTTCTTTTTGAAGGCTGAATAATATTCCATTGTATGGCTACTCTACATTTTGCTTATCCACTCCTCAGCGGATGGACTCTTGGATTTTTTGGTTTTTGTGTATAATCCTGCTCTACACACATGGGGGTACAAATATCCCTTTGAAATCCTGCTTTGTTTTGAAATATATACCCAGAAATGAAATTGCTGGATCAGACAACTGCTCCTCTTTAAGGAGAGAGACCTGCCCTGCACCCCTGGCTGCCTCTGAAGCTGCCTCTGAGCCTGGTCAGAGAGGCTGAAATGCACACAGGAGCCTGGGAGGCAAAGAATTCCAGATTCCCCTCACTGGCTGCAGCGGATCAGGGAGGATTTCACAGCTCTCTGCCTGCAGGGGTCCTGCATCTGGCAGGCCTCACTATAGACACGGAGCAGAGCCACAGTTACCCAGTGGGGAAGAACAATGTCTAGAAACCTTGGAGAATGGCCCTTAAGGACAGATTGAGCTGTAGGAAAGAGGGACTCAAGTGCCCTGAGCAACAGCTAATGACTGCCACCAGGGAGCTGGAGACATTACTGGGGTAACTGAGCACACACAACCATGGTAGACAGTGGTAGACAGATGTTTGTTGACCAAATGAATCATGGCAGTTCCAACATCCTAAAATGAAAATTCCACCGGGCTCTTGTTCATATGATAGAAGCTCAGTGAATGAATGCATGAATTAGCATAAAATTGTACTGAGTTGCTTTTCTCTGTAAAGGAAGAATATCCAGAGAAGAGGAAAGGTCGAGGACATTCAGCAGACTCTCCCTAGACCCTACTTGGCATAAAGTAAATATCTTGGCAGGCAGGGTAAGGGAAGGGAGAGGGAGAAGGTGTGGTCCTGCCCAGAAGGGGCAGTGGGGACAGAGGAGAATGGGTTCACCCCAAGTGCATTAGAAGAAGATGAAGTATGAAGGAGTATCACAGGTTACCACTAAACCTGGAAAGGGCCTCACGTCTGCTTGACATCTCCTCGGGGCCAGAGGCTTTCTTATAAGGTGTTTCATTCAACGACTCTGAGAGTCAGAATTGTTCCTACTGAACAGATTCAGACACAGGGAGTCATATACTCATTTGCTCTGCAAATGGTAGAGCAGAGATATGGACCCAGGACTGACACCAACTTCCAAGTTCTTCCCTCTTCACCAAAGAGGCAGTCAGGGAGACTTCCTGGAGGAGGAGATGAATTGAGATGAGGATGCATTTTTTTGTCTTGCAGAGGAGAGAAAGGCTTTCCAGGTGGAGGGAAAACATCCCTGCCAAAGCCCTGAGATAGAAAAGAGCAAGGAGTGCTCAGGAATGCAGCAAATATTCCAGTTTGACCAGAGCATGGGGTGGATGGAAGGGAATGTTAAGAAATGGTTGGCTGGGTCCAGTCTGGAAGCTGAGCCCAAGCGTCCCTGATGCTACTGAGTAATGGGAAGCCACTGAGGGCTTCCAGGGTGGGAGGGACACGTTCAGGGCTATGTTTTCCCTGGCAGCTATGTCCTGAGTGTGTTGGAGGAGGTGAGTCATGGGCAAGGCAGGCAGCGGGGAGGCTACTGAAATCCTGCAGGAAAGGGGAAATTCATTTGTCCTACCATGTGCTGAGCCTAAGGGATATAGCTGTGACCTATTAGGCACCTCCATCCTCATAGAATTAATTAAACCAAAATGATTACAAGTTGTAATCTGGACCAGGAAATAGGTAAACAAGATGATGAGAATGGTAATAATGGGAGCATAGTGCAGTCAGGGAACGCTTCTCTGAAGAGGTGACAACTAAGCTAGATAAGAAGGATAAGGAGCCAGCACTGCAAAGAGCCAGGGGAAGAGCCCAGGCAGACAGAACAGAGCCAAGTCTTGGAGGGAGGAAGAGCTTCCATGTTTCAGGAACTGGCGGACCATGCCTGCGGCAAGGGAGGGCCTGGGATGTTTTTTAGGAGATGAGCTGGGAGAGGTGGCAGGGCCAAAGCCTGCAGGGTGGGAGTTGGGATTTTATTCCAGAACAACAGGAAGCTAGGAGAAGGCTTTAAGGAGAAGAATTACGTGCTCCAATTTGTGTTTTTGAAAGGCCTCTCTGGCTGCTTGAAAAATGGGAAGGAGGGGGGCTGGGTGGGGATGAGGACACCAGTCAAGGGACCACAGCAAGGGACAAGGAGAGAGATGAACGTGGCCTGAGCTGGGCAGCAGCCAGAGAGATGGCCCAGAGGAAGCTGGTAGAAGTTCATGGGCTCTGATTCCAGAAAGGAGGGGCCACGAGTGAGAGGCATCATTTGGAGAAATATTCTGTGTTTCAAAGGCAGGTGACAGCCAGGATAAAACACAGCAAAGTTTGACCCTGGCAGCAAATCCAATTTTCACACATCTCCTTCTGGATGAAATTTGCCTTCCCTCAGAGGGGGAGGTCAGTAGCAAAACACTGCAATGCAACCAGAGGCTTTTCTGAGTGGGGAAGGCTCTCCCCAGGGGGATTATTCTGGGCTCAGGGCTGCAATATTCTGTCTGGGTGCCCAGAGGGGGATAGAGGGGAGACGAAGCTCCTCTTTATCCAGCCCCTGCCCCAGGTACCCTCATTCTGATACACTGGACAAACATTTGTGGAGCTCCTGTGTCGTGCCAGGCATTTTTCTAGGTGCTAGAGACAGAGCCGTGAAGGAAAAGACAAAGCCCCTTCTCCCCATCCCTTCTCACAGGCAGCCTCCAGTCTAGGTGTGAATGGCAACTTCCAACGTGGCCCTGATGAGGCTTCCTGGTATTCACAGGTCTTTGCAATCCCCTCTGCTGGACAGACTGACTCCCTTCTAATGAATAGAATGGGGAAAGTGATGGGAGGTCCCTTCTAGGATTAGGTTACAAAAGACTGTGGCTTTGTCCTGCCTGCACTCTCTCCAGGCCCCTCCCCCGCTGGCTCTGATAACGCAAGCTGCCATGTTGTGCGCTTCCCTATGCAGAGGCCCAGGTGGCAAGGAAAGGAGGGAAGACAACGGCTTCCCAGGCTAAGGCCCAGCAACACGTGGGGGAATTGATCTTGCCAACCGTGGGTGGAGGGAGCTTGGCAGCAGATCTGTTCTCAGTCGAGCCCTGACATAAGCACAGCCTGGGCTGATACCTTGATCAGACTGCAGGACACCCCTGACCAGAGGACCCAGCTAAGCCACACCTGGATTCCTGACCCTCAATTCTTTAGCAATGTTGTTTTATGCGACTACATTTTGGGGTATGTGTTATGCAGTAGTTGATGACTAGTACACAAGTGAATAGTTATTAAACACTTAATATAAGCTGGGTATGGGGGAGGGTGCTGCATGTAGTTCCAGCTACTCAAGAGCCTGAGGTGGAAGGCTCTCTTGAACCCAGGAGTTTGCAGCTGTAGTGCCCTACACTGCACTCCAGCCTGGGCAACATAGTGGGACCCCATTTCATAAAAGATAAATAAAGAAAAATTTTAAAAATCACCTAATGTGGGCTTTGCATACATATATTTTATGATATAGGAACCACCAATATCCCCATTTGATAGACATGGAAACTGAGGCTCAAACGGGCCGTGTAACTTCCACAAGGCCACACAGCCAAGAAGTGGCAGAGAAAGGATTCAAACAGAAGCAGTTGTCTGCAGAGCCTGTGCTGTCAAACACTACACTGACAAGGGAGGCACAACCCCTTCCCAGGAGAAGGCCTGATCTGATGGAGGAAGCACACTCCCCACATTGAGAGCATTGCTGTTTAGTTGAGAAGATGGCTGTCTCAAGTTTGTACCCATTTTTAAGTTAGCCAATGCATCCCCACACCCTCTGGCAAAATCCAACCAAAGGACTTTCCTGGACGGTCTTACCTCATCCTGTCTTGAGCTGGGCTTCCCAGTCTTTTACTGCATTTCCTCCTTGAAGCCTGACCTTTTGCACTGTTCCCTGATAGAGACTCACATTTACTCCTTGGGCCAAACCCTGGACCCTACCCCTACCTCCCCAACAAGTCCTGGGCACCCACCATGTGTCCGGCCTTTATTGTACCCTTTATTTATGTCATCCCATTTTACAGATGGAGAAGGTGAGGCCCAGAGACATGAACTGCCTAAAGTCACATGGCCTGTGGCCAAGATCTGTCTGACCCACTAGGCTGTGCTGCCTTCCTGGTCCTGATCCCACTGTGCTTTGCAATTGCCTTGGATGTTACAACCCTCAAACTGTAGATCTCTTCCCAGGCCCCCATCCCTTGTGGGACCTTGTGACTAGCATGCCCTCCATAGTGTGCCCCTGGGGGGTGCATTGGGGTCTCTCTAATGCTGCCTCCTAAAGACCTCCCCGTTAATTCCTTAAGCACAGCCCAAGGTGCCAGCACATAATAGGCACCTAATACATCTTTGTTGAATGAAAGAAGGGCACTTCCTTAAGGGGGAGGCAGAGCAGGCATTTTTCCTTGTCTGTCCAGCACCCATTCCTGCTTCCTAGCATGGCTCTGATTTCCTTTGGAAGGATTAACCCTTCCATAAGGTGTCAGTGCAACGGTGACACCCTCCCATTACCGAGGGGCTGGCAGGTGATCCAGACCCCCTGTCTGGAATTTGAGCAGAAGAACTGACAAAGATTATTTGCTTGTTCAAACTTTAGTCGCGTTCCAGAACTTTCTCTGAGGCCCATTTCATGCACTTCCTTGTGGAATCCAGTTTTAGCAAGAATCCTGCTAAGTCGGTTTAACCAGAATCCTCCATCCTCTATATCTGATAGGTTCCCCATCCTCCACATCCCCCAGGTGTTGTTTCTCATCCCTTGGTATTGCCTGGGAAACTCGTTCTAGGACCAAAATTTGAGAATGCTCAAGTCTCATATAAAATGATGTAGTATTTGCATATAACCTATGTCCATCTTCCTGTTTACTTCAAATCATTTCTAGATTATTTATAATACCCAATATAAGTGCTATGTAAATAGTTGTTATACTGTATTGTTTTTATTATTAATTTTTTGTTGTTGTTATATTGTTATTTTTTATGTATTTATTCTCTGCAAATATTTTTGGCCATAGTTGTTTGAACCTGCAGATGAGAAACTGGCAGATAACAGACTATACCCCAACCTGCTCCTTGGCTAAAAATTCACACTTCCCCAGGGTGTATTCAGAAATGAGCCCAGCTCTACACTGGTCTCTTTTCCTCTATTGCAACAGTCCTGAATAAAATCTGTTTTTTCAGCCTCAACTACTGTTCGGTTCGGTTTTTTGTTTGTTTGTTTGTTTGTTTTTTGGCAGAACAAAGAGCCTGGAGAAGGCAGATGCCACAGCAGTAACCGTCTCTGCTCTAGCTCAGCTGCCGACGGGAGGGATCTGGTTTCCTGGTCTCCAGACTGGCCTGGACAATGCTCCCCAACCCTGCCTGCAGCCAAACAGTCCTCCTGCACTCGGGAACTGCCCATCCTGCCTCAGCCTCTTTCTCATTAGGACTTTGAATCCGATTCACAAGCCAGAGGCTCTCGTGACCTAGATCCAGCGAGCTGAGGTTGTGTGCAGACACTGGCTCAAGGTAGGGATACCTGAAACCTTCTCTGCCCTGGCCTGACTTCCTGGGACCAGTCCAGCAGGATGGAGAAGTTGGGAACCCAGCGCCTTTCCTCCTTCTCTGAACCTCACCACCATGCCCAGCCCACTTGGAAATCACAACTTTCTGCCAATATCTTTCCTGACCTTTTTCCCCCCAAAGAAGCCTGTGTACTAATTAGCGAAGTGATAACATGGCAAGACTTTGATTCCTCATTAGCACGGGAGAGATTCCCTGCTACATGACTGATATGCATCTGCAAGAAAATGAACTCCAGTGCGAAGACTCCCTAATCAAGATTAATGAAGAGGTGGGGAGGGGGATCATGGGACCCTGCGAAGACTCCCTTATCAAGATTAATGAAGAGGTGGGGAGGGGGAACATGGGACCCAGAGCTCGAAGATCTCCAGGGTCCAAGGGGTCTCTACCAGGAAGGGGTGTTGGGGAATGGAGGTGGGGAGGTGAAACATAGCAGGGTTATTCTCAGAGGTCGAGGCTCTGTTCTATCCTCCTTAGGCAAAATGGTTCCCTAAGTGAATGCAGTATATACACCTATTGTGTGCCAGGAGAAAGGATACTGAAATGATTAAGTCACAGTCTTGTCTAACTAGGTAGATAAGTATAGTAGAAGGTGATGAGTAAGTGAATGCAGGGAATAGCAAGTATCTATTGAGCACCTACTATAAGCTTGGCATCATCCTAAGTGCTTAATATGCATTAATGTCTTTAATCCTTACAACACAACTATTAGTGACCCCAATTTACAGATAGGGAAACTGAGGTATAAAGAAGTCCAGCATGAGGCCAAGGTCACAAAGTGTATTAGTCCATTTTCACACTGCTATGAAGAAATACCCAAGACTGGGTAATTTATAAAGGCAAGAGGTTTAATTGACTCACAGTTCTGCATGGCTGGGGAGGCCTCAGGAAACTTACAATAATGGCAGAAGGGGAAGCAAACATGTCCTTCTTCTCATGGCAGCAAGAGAGAGAAGTGCAAGCAGTGGAAATACCAGTCACCTATAAAACCATCAGATCTTGTGAGCCTCACTCACTATCATGAGAACAGCATGGGGGAACAGTCCCCATGATCTAATCATGTCCCATGAGGTCCCTCCCTCAATACGTGTGGATAACAATTTGGATTACAATTCAAGATGAGATTTGGGTGGGGACAAAAAGCCAGACCATGTCAGAGTACTAATAAGAGATGGAATAAGGATGTGAATCCCAGCACTACAACTCTGGAACCCCAGCTCTTATGCACCATCCCACAGCTCTCCAGTGAGCACACTCTGATGGTGGTGGTAGTTGGTGGGGAGTGGGTATGGGTTTGATAGAAACCCAAGAGGTGGCCCTCAGTGCTATCCAGGCAGTAGGCAAGGTTTCAGGGAGAAAGAACCTTTGAGCTGTATCTTGATAGATAAATGGAATCTCACCCAGGAGAGTTGATTGATTGATTGATTGATTGATTGATTGATTCATCCCACACGTAAGTACCAGACCCCACAGGAGACACGGGAAACATGGAGCTGAACAAAAACAGACACGGAATGCCCAGAGTAGGCAGAGAGGCTGACATTGAACAAACAACCACACAACCAATTTATCTACGCCAGGGCCAGGACTAGGGTCCTGCTGCACTTCTGAGAATGAAGGTCTCCTAAAATTGTGTACCCTTGATGTCTCACCCTCGTCTCCACCATGGCCTACCCAGGCCCTGCCATCTGGGACTGTAGAGTGGTAAGGCCTCATTCACACAGCCAAAATCTGCAGCTGGAGTTCAAATGAAATCTTTGCATTTGTCAAGCAAGGGCATTTTACTGTCTACACTCCAAGTTCCCAGGTCCTTCCTGCCACTGGTCAAGGCAAGACCATTGAAACACGCTCAGTTTCTTTCCTTCCACATCTTGCAAAGCTTCTAACTTATCCTTAACTCCCCTCAATAACAAAAAAAAAAAGAGTCATTCCTTCAGAATGGAGAGGATTCTCCATGAACCTTCTTAAAGAAGCTTTGTCTTTTTGTTTTTCTCTTCCTGAAGGTGTTAATATCCACTGAGCTCAACAGAACAGATTGAACGCAGTGCTTTGCTCCAGTGGTCTTGCCACCCTCCAGTGTTCCAACAACCTGGAGGTAGAGGACTGGGGCCAGGAGGCTGGAGCTGGAGCACGAGAAAGACTGATCTGATGTGCCTCAGACACTGCCTTTTCTCCTAAGTTGCATTAGTAGGATGCAGCACCCATGGGGTAATTGGCTGAAGCAACTCCCATTAATGTAATAGGGCTACATCTGTTGTCAATTTCCCCTTTCTTCATTCTCCTGGTGCACCAACCCTCCAGGGGTTTGCTTAGCGGGCCTACCTCACATTCTCCCAATCACCGCTTCCCACTTCTCAGCCCCTTTTTAATGGAGCAGCGTATAAAAGTCTAAGCAAGACAGCCACAGTCTCAGATGACCCAATGAGGCCAAGAACAATGAGGGGAAAAGTCTGATGGGCTGCTTCTACAATGGTTCCCAATGATCCCCATCTCCTGCATGTGTGTTATCTCTTCCTGCTGAGTGTGGGCTGGACCTAGTGACTCACTTCTAATGCATAGAATAGGGAAAAAGTGATGGGATGTCACTTCTGAGCTAAGGTTAGGAAAGACTGTGACTTCAGCTTTACTAGCACTCTCTGTGGCCCCCTCCCTTGCTAGCTCTGATGAAGCAAGTCACCACGTTGTGAGCTGCCCTGTGGAGAAGCCCATGTAGCAAGGAACCAAGGAAGCCTCTCCTGACCCCAGACAACAGCTCATGAGGAACTGAGGCCATTAGCCCAAAAGGCCGTGAGCAACTGAATCCTGCCAGTGATAATGGAGTGAGCTTAGAAACAGACCAATCCTCAGCTGAGCCTGCAGATGACTGCAGCCCCTGGAGAGAAACCCAGAGCCAGAGGACTTAGCCAAGTGGCCCCTGGATTCCTGACCCATAGAAACTGTGAGATAATAAACGTGTTGTGTTTTAAGCATCTAAGTTGTGGGGTCATTTGTTATGCAGCCGTAGATAACTAATACAGGAAGTGAGCAGGAAACAGAAGATATTCCATGGGCACACAGACCTAAAAGAACCTTGGGCACCCATTGTATATATGAGCACGTTCCAGGATAAGATAAATCTCTGACATAGCTGATTCGTGGTTGAGCTGGGTCTAGAACTAAGGCCTTCTGGCTGCCTGTCCAGGACTCTTTCTGCTAGAACATAATTTGTCAAAAGTTGCCATTTTATTTCTTTTAGATTCTAAGTATGGATTTACAAAATGCTTGCATCTCTCAATGAGAATGTGTTTAATGTATTTATGTGTGTTTTGTTTGTATCAGGACCTGTACTGCGGTGGATGGCCCTGGGGCACAGGGCTGGTAGTGGCAGAGCTGAGATGTTTCTCTACTACAGAAACTTTCAAAATACGTTCATAGATCATGGGTGGTGGAGGCAGGGCATTGTTGGACCATGAATTAATTCATATTTATAACTTTTCTTCCATTCTTCCAGGCAAATGGCTTATGTTTTCATGAGCTTTTGTTTTGACATCAGACAAAGACCTATTGATTACTAACCTACTCAGTGAATTATCATCAGTGACCAAAATGTGGTATTCATAAACTCAGGGATCTATCTTTCTTTTAAGAGGTCTGGCTGCCTCACACATGTGACAGTATCACGAAGCTCCTGCTATGCAGTGGTCATGCAGAGACTGTCAAGTCCCCCAATTCATGGTGGGGAGGGGATGCCGTTATCAGCAAATAAGCAGGGTGGTCACAAGTAAGCTGTGGTTTTCAGCTGCTGTTCCTCTTGCTTTGTAATTCGCAATGCCTGATAGTTCAACTTCACTGTCAATTTAGTTCAATTTAGTTGGTTGGGGATGGTTTGGTTAATTTTACAGTGTTCAGGTAACCCTATTAGATTTTGAAATGTGTATGTGTTGCAGTTAGCAATGAATCACCCATGAATCCTTGGCTAAAGCAAATGTGTGCAATTGCATGGATGTTAATGCTTTTCTGTTATCACCAATTTTATTTTTTCAAGTGTAAAGTGGGCACACATTGGACCCTTTTGTCCCACTGATGTAATCCGTGTAGAGAAATGTCTGAGAGTGTCTGTTACAGCCTTGCCATCCTGCTTAGGGCCTTATCCTTCCCTTCAGATGTGGTCCAGCTATATCCCTTCCATGTATAGACCCAGCAGGATTTCCCTGCCTCCCCCTCTAGCTTCAGCTGCCACTCATTCCCTGAACCCCCTCCTTAAGGGCTGAATTGTCCCCTCAGCCTCCGCATTTATGTGTTGAAGTCCTAACCCCCAGTATCTAGGAATGTGACAGCATTTGGAGATAGGATCTTTAAAGGGGTAATAAATTTAAAATGAGACCGTTCAAGTGGGCCCTTATCCAGTATGATTGGTGTTTTGTAAGATGAGGAATTTGGACACAAACACACAACAGCAAAGATGATGTGAAGATTCAGAGAGAAGACAGCTCTCTGCAAGCCAAGGAGAGAGGCCTCGGAAGAAGCCAACCCTGTCAACATCTTGACCTTGGACTTCTGGCCTCCAGAATCATGAGAAAATTAATTTCTGTTGTTTAAGGCCCCCCAGTCTGTGGTCTTTGTCATGGCAGCCCTGGCCAGCTCACGCACTCCTGCTCACGGTTTGTGGACACAGTGTACTGCTCAGCATCAGGAGAATGGAAGAGGGCCACACTAGAGCAGAGAGGCTCAGATGTAGGCTTTGGAGCTAGGATCCTTCTGTTTGAATCCCAGCTCTGCCACCTTCTAGTTTATTCAAGTTACTTGACCTTGAGCAAGTTATTTGGTCTCTCCATGTCTCTATTTCCCATCTATCAGATGAAGGTATTACTAACGTCTGCCTCATAGGATTGTCAAATAGATTAAACTAATAAGCAATGTGCAAGTTCTGACTTTATTATTCACTCAGCGAATGTCTATTGAATGCCTACTATTGCCAGGCATTGTGCAAAGTCCTAGAGTATTATGGTGAACGACGCATAGATTATAAAGCATGCTTTTGATTTCTTTCTTTTTTCTTTTTTCTTTTTTTTGCTTTTTGTCTTTTTCTCCTCTCTAAAAGGAATCTTTTATTTACATTTCTCTGCCATCACTCTCTCTAGCTTATTTGCCCTTTGGGACTAGCTCAGGAATTGTCTTCTCCAGGCTGAGTTAGATGTCCCTTCACTAGCTCCCACAGTGTCCTGCTTCTACTTCTGACTTAGCCTTACCACCTTGAAGGTGCCCAAAATGTCTGTCTCCCACTCATACATGGCAAGGGCTTTGCTGTCCTTACCATGGGGCCCCCAGGCCTGGTCCAGTCCTGGGGGAATAGCGAGGTTCAATAAATTATTCTTCCATTGTCTTAGAACAATTGTTTCCTATCCCTGTCTTTCCTTCCCAGCTCATCCAGACCCATGGTCTCTTCTATCCATCTGTCCTCATCATCTCTACTCGAGATTTTTGCAGAAGCCCTGGTGTAGATACAACTGCATTTCAGAGCCTAAGCTGGTGGTCCCAGTTCTCAGGTTGATCCAACATGAGTCATTTGAACAGACATTGACATTCAGAGGCTACTTTTTTTTCCATCTAGCTAAGAGGGAAGAATAGAACTGATTCTGATCACATGGAGTTGTATAGATAGAATGGGATTTCAGGAGCCATCCAGTTTTACCTCCCTGCCCATGGGAGAAGTCTCCCAAAGCATCGCTACCAAGTAGTCAGCCGGCCTCTGCCCACTGACTGCCCACTGCTCATGACCCCCAAGGCATTGCTGATGGCTCCCAATGTTCACTCCTTGCTCCTCATCCTGTTCTCCAAAAATGTAGCGGAGAATTCCAGGAGGCAGTGTCAGGGGGCCTAGCTTGAACCTAATTCTCCACCCATATTAGTAGATATCATTCACTTAATGTCTGTGCTGTATTAGGTATATTTAATCTTTGCAATATCTGTAGACTGACTTATTATCCCCATTTTACAGATGGGAAAACTGAGTCCAAAAATGGACCCAGTTTGGTGAAATTACTTGCCCAAATCTCATCACGAATATGAGATAAAACTAGGGTTAACCCATGTCTGGCTGATTGCCAAGTATGGACTCCAAGTGGTCTCCCATTTTTGCCCCTCAACCTCCAGAGATGGATGTGGGAGGTTGATTCTGCATGTGGCTGGTGGCTGGAGGGATATGCACTTCCCATGCCATGGGCTGGCAGCAGAGCAAGAATACAGGCACCTAGTCCAGCCTGGGCTCATCTGCTTTATGGTGCCCATGGGACAGACCCTTGCTCCTGCTGGCCTCAAACTCTCAGGACAAGACCCCGTCCTCTCTCCACCCCCCACCCCACAAGCCCCCTGGGATAGTATCTCAGTGTGTTGCCATGGGCGGATGCTGAGCTCAAAAACCACACTCACCATTCCTGGCAGGGTCTATGGGTGGGGTCACCCTATCTGAGGCCTGCTGAGACAAATTCACTGTGATCGTTTCACTTCTACTGGGGAGAAATCTCACAGCCTCTGGTAAAAGAGGTGCCACAGCAAGTGACAGTAAGTCCAGAGACACTTGGAGGTAACTGGGCCAGTCGGGGATGGGGACAGATGACAGGCAGGGAGGATATCCTCCAAGGGGGAAGGGGGAGCCAGGCAGCAAGGGGGAGCCACAAGCCTTCCCAGGCCCCCCATAACTGGAGAAAGCAGAACAGTGTGAAATCTGAAGTCAGGAAGCCTGGGCTCCAACCCAAACTCAGCCTCTGAGCCTGTGTGATCGTAGGCAAGCCATTTTGTGTCTCTGAGACTTGGTTTCCCCACCTGTAAAAGAAAGGTCCTAATGCCTACCTTTTAGGGCCATGTGTAGACTAAATATATTTGTTTATGTAAACCTCTTAACCCCATGCTTGGCTCAGCACAGGAGTTATTTTCTCCATAGTCCTGATCATATGCATCCAAAATCCTTCCCTCCTAGTAGTAACTCAAACGGCCCATGTTCATGCAGCCCCTTTTGCAATTTACAAAGCATGTTTCTGGCCATTGTTTCATTTCCTTTGTCTGAGACCTGCTGGGCTGGCAGAGCTTGGTTGGAGCTGCGTGTCAGGACTGTGGGCAATAATGGGGGATCCTGAAGCTGCACCCAAAACACATCCATTACTATCACTGGCTTCAGTGCACAGAGAGGTATGGTGGGGGTGCTGGTTGGATCTGGGAAACAGTGTAGTGATGAAGAGCTGGGAAAGTAGGACAGTGTATAAGCTGGAGGGGCTGACGTGGCTGCACCTGACTTCAGAGGTGACCACTACAGAGCTACCTGCCCTGGACAACCCCGTGCACCTGCCCCCGGGGTCCTCCCCATCCCCAATCACCACAGCCCTTATTACTCAAATCACTTCCCTGAGTCTCCATCGACTCCACACCCAGCCCCTGACAGTCTCTCCTCCTTTTAAAGTTCAAGGCCAAGTTCGGCCTGGCAGGCAGGAGCCTCTGACATTTATGAGGGCCCAGTGTGTGTGAGGCCAGCTCTGAAGGGGCCCAGGAAAGCAGCGAGCCGGGAGGAGGCCAGGGTGCAGGAGGTGCAGGATCTAGCGCCTTTGTCTGGGCCTGGGCTGCCCGGTGCCATGCTGACTGCAGTTATTAAAACGTCGATCACTCCCCAACTGCCCACCGCCTCCTTCCAGCCCCCGGAGAAGGCAGGGGGATTCATGGTTTTGTCTTTCCCGGGCATATCGATGTCTCCTTTGGGGAGCCTGTTCAATGACAGTTCCAGAAAGCCACATGGAGCAGAGAGGCCAGAATTAAAACGGCCACACGGAGGGACCCCCACAGACCCCCAATTTCCAGAGGCGTACAGATCAGAAGGCAGAAAACGCTGCATCTGTTCTTTGGCAAACGTCGATGGTTTTATTCCTCATCCTCCCACCCCCTCGTGCTCCTGCCCTTATCCTCCTCTTTATTCCTACTCAGCGCGACTCTGCAAAGAGCTCCTCTCATCTGCTCTGCACAGAAGCCTGGGGATGAGAAGGCTGACAGGTGTCTCATTACCACTCGCCCGGCGCGGGGCTGTTCTAAGGAAGATGCTGACCCGTTGTTCTGCGGCTGCCTCTGCTGACAAAGGAGTGGGAGGAGAACTGGGGGTCTGAGTGGCGGGAAGAAGCTCAACTAGGCCACATTGCAAGTCGGCCCCGAACCAGCAGACCTGGGTGGGGCACCTCCTTCTCCGTCTCACCAAGGGCACGAAAGACAACTTCCCAGGCCTTCGTTGAGAAATAAGGTCACCAATTCCTCCCTCCCAGGGTGGGCAGGAAGACAAGTGGCACAAGGTACTTGCAGCCTGTCCTCCCAGCTCAACGTCACCCTTGTCCCCCAGGCCCAAGCACATACCTTTCCCCCTCTTCCTGGCCCTTTTTCTTTTCATTCTGAATCCTCAGCCCTCACCTCTCACTTCCTCTTCTTCCCTCTCTGATTCTAGAAGAGAAGATTTGCACAGCAGGGTCAAGGCTCTGGACTTGGGATACCAGAGTCCCCATCCCTTCCAGGAGGGGTGACCTTAGGCCAGTGACTTACCTTCTTCAAGTACCATTTCCTTGACTGTAAGAGCAGAGAATCATGGACTCACCATATAGAGGCTGAGAGAGTCGGATGAGCGAACGCCCGCGCAGGACTTAGAAGAGGGCCAGGTGCACTCTGGATACTCTGTGAGTGTCTGCGATTGCTGTTATTTTACCCCACTATGTGTGTGCACGTGTGTCTGTGTGTGTGTCTCAGATTCAAGATGAATCCAGAAATAGACCCTGAGGAGTGGAGGGGCATCCCTGAAAGAAGAGGCAGGATTGCTGTCCTCCATCCCCTCCCCTCCTGCCCTGCCCTCCCCTTCCTTCCCCCTCTCCTTCATCAGGGAGTTCCTTGCTACTCTACAGGCTTCCCGTTTCTGAAAATTCCCTTTGCTGGCAGATTCTGGGGCCTTGCTCCCCTCTCTGGCCACACCCAGCTTGGGTTGCTGCGCCCACCTTCTCCTGTTTGACGCACACTGGGTGAGAGGGGCTCCATGCAGCCCTGCCCCAGTCCTGCTGCCTGAAGAGCGCCTGGAGAGTACTCATGTGGGTCTGTGGGAGACACTTCTCATATGCCTTTCCCCTCCATGCCATGGATTGGAAAACCGTGTGTGTGTGTGTGTGTGTGTGTGTGTGTGTGTGTGTTTGTCAAACGTGCATGTGTGTGCAGCTCACATGATCACCAGGCTCACATATTTGCATGAGTGTGACTTGCCCACATGTGTGACGGCACGCATGTGTCAAAACATGTGCTCCCATGTGCACAGGTATCCCTTGCCTATGTGGGTGAAGCTGCATGTGTGCCTGTCTGGTGTGTTTGCGTGTGTACGACTCCTCCTGCATGGGTACACGTGGGTATGTGAGGGTGGGTGTGCCCACAGCTGCTTCTGTGGCTTGTGAGTAACGAGACAGGCCCCTTGTTACCGTGTAGTCTCATTAAATATGTGGCATGTTAATGACACCAACGAAATCAGTTATAAAAAGCTCTGTATTAAAAATAATAAGAAACGGCCCTCTTGTTCCACAACTTCTTAGCTGCGTTTGGCCGCGCAAACTGCCAGGTTATTAAAGTGGGATCAAGCAAGCATCTTTAATACGCCTTCTGTGGCAGCTGTTTGGTGGATCTGCCATTATCAGCCAGCTGGTCCCAGCTGCCTTGGTCTCCCCAGCTCACTTGCTCCCTCCGAGACAGGGAACAGGGGAGTGGGAGGAAGTTTATGGGAAACATGCCTGGCGGGGGCAGAGGCTTTGTCCCACTGGCCTGACCTCTGAAGATTGCTTTGCTGTGGTAGCACACCGTCTCTTGTCTCTGCAGGCCACCTGGACCCATGGGCTGGGGGAGGAGTGGGGCAGGTTGCCACCCCAGAAGGGACATCTGCATCCCAGAGCAGGGCCCCCTTTGGGAGCATCTCCAAATTCCTCTGTGGTCTGGGGTAGCCACAGCTCTTCTATCCTTCACTGTCTTCTTGGCCCAGGAGAGGGGAAGCCATGGCAAGCCTGGGCCAGGATAATGAGAACATTCAGTGCCCTGCACCTGCACTTCTTAAACGACCACACACATGAATCACCTGGGGATCTTGTCAACGTGCAGGTGCTGATTCACGAGGCCTGGAGTGGGCCTGTGAGTCTGCATTTCTAACAAGGTCTCTGGGGATGCTTGTGCTGCCGGGCCAGGTGCTCTGAGGAACAGGACCCCATGTTCCTCTGCAGGAAGAACAAATAAATGACACCTGCGGTGGCCAAAGCTTTTAAGCTCACCAAGGGCAGGGCCCAGCACGCCGCTTGTACTGGGAGCTCCCTGGGGGTAGAGGCTCACACCTGCTGTTTCCCACAGACAACCCACAGTGCCCAAGCCAAGGCTCTGCACCCAGGGCTGCCTGAATTTTGAAAAGGGCAGGAGAGAAAGCTGACAGTTATTGAGCCCCTGCTCTGTGCCAGGCACTATGCTACAACCTTCAATACTGCAGTCTCAAAGCAACTCCCATCCCCATTCTAGCGATGAAGACACAGAGGCTCTGTGAGCACGGCTGTTTGCCCAAGGACATGGGCTGCTACTAGGTGTCAGAGGCACCCTTGACCCCATGCCTGTCAGTTCCCTAAACCCTGCCTTTCCCACTGAAGCAGGGCACAGAGCAGCCCCCTCCCCGCAATGTCCTCTCTCCATTCCCCTCGCGCTGCCTCCCTGGGGCTGGCTGGGACCGAAGACGCTGATGCAGGGAAAGGTGTGTTTATCTCATTATCTTTCTGGAGCATCCTCTCCTGGTTGACCCCAAACCCTTTACCAACATTAGTTGCAACAACAAAGATGTCTCACCACCTCTCCAAGATGCCCAGAGCACATGACACTGAAGCTTCCTTTGGAAATGTATTTCAAGGCACGAGTTGCCCCAGGGGGGCTCTGTTTAAAGGCCAGCCAGGCAACTGGAGTCCAGGAAGCAGCCATCCATCCCCAGCATCCTCCTTGCTCCAGATATCAATGGAAAGAAATGAAAAACAGTAGTAGTAGCAGCACTCGTTGCTAATATTTGCTGAGTGTTTGCTAACGGTGAGACACAATAGATGCATTATCTCTTTTATAATTCTCAAAATAAGCCTCACAAACTCTTTTTATTCCTACCTTCAGATAAAGGGCCTGGGGATCAAGCAGGTTAGGTGATTTGTTTGATGATACACAGCTAATATGACCCTGAGCTGGGCTTTGAGCCCCAGCATACTGGCTTCAGGGCCCACATATTTCAGTATTCTATCATGCTTCATGGAAATATTAATACCTGCGGGTGACAGAGGCCTATGGAAAATCCTTGCTTATGTCGAGAGCCACAGGATCACAGAATAGTGGGGCTAGAAAGAGGTTCTGCAGCACCTGGTCCCATTCTCTCATTTTAGAGGGGGAGCCTGAGGCCCAGGAAGGAGAGGCACTTGACCAAGGTCACAGAGCAAGTTTTGGGAAAGCTGGGACTCAAATTCAGGTGCTCTCTCATCTAGCCTGATTGCAACCTTGAGAGGTCCCGCCACAATCCTCCGGGTGTGGCTACCTGCTCTGTCTTCACCCAGGAAAGCCCAGCAGCAGCATGTCGCTTGCTGAACACACTTGAGCATTCAGTAACCTCTAGCCGTGACATTACTGTGGTTCAGACCATGTCTCCGCCACTCTGGGTTTAGGCAGGCACCTATGCCAATTCTGGATCCAGGCCCCAAATCTCCCCTAAGAAGCTCATTCAAGGTGGCCAGTGCACGGCAGAAGCATGAGAAGTCAGTTTGTAAAAGGAGGACTGCAAGCCCTCCCCAGTATTCCTGTAATATCCTCAGGTGTGCACTTCAAAAGATACTCTTGCTGGCTTCTCATCCATTAATGGTGAGAGTGTAAATTGATGATACTTCTTTGGAGGGCAATTTGACAATAATATCAAAATTTGAAGTGCACCAACCCCTTTAACCCATCTAGGAGTATACCCTATAGACTCATTCTTGTATTTACATGCAAGATACACTCACACACACGCAGACACAAATATTCAGCATTATCTACAGTAGCAAAGGAGCAAAAACAACCTCGGTGGCCACAAATAAGAGACTGGTTCCATTGAGTACAGTTTATTCATACAATAAAAAGCCCCCTGGTTTAAGTGGCAAACTAAGAGCACAGTTCTGGAGCCCAAGGGTCTGGGTTTGAATCCTTGCTCTACCACTACGAGCTACATGAACCTGGGCAAGTCACTAACCTCTGTGGACTCGTTTCTTTCCCTATAAAATGAGGATGATGCCAGGATCTGCTTCAGAGGCTGCTGGGAAGGTTTAATGAGTTACCACCTGTTAATCACTTGGAAATAAGAATAGAATACGGGCTCAAACATGGAGACTTTTTTTTTTTTTTTGTTAAGACAGAGTCTTGTCCTTGTTGGCAGGCTAGAGTGCAATGGCACGATTTCGGCTCACTGCAACCTCTGCCTCCCGAGTTCAAGCGATTCTCCTGCCTCAGCCTCCTGAGTAGCTGGGATTACAGGTGTCTGCTACCATGCCCAGCTAATTCTTGTATTTTTTTTAGTAGAGACGAGGTTTCACCATGTTGGCCAGGCTGGTCTCAAACTCCTGACCTCAGGTGATCCACCCGCCTCGGCCTCCCAAAGTGCTGGGATTACAGGTGTGAGTCACTGTGCCCAGCCGGAGACTCTTACTAGGAATGTGAAACTGTTGAAAAGAATGAGGTAGCTGGATAATGTTGACTTAAAAAGGTCTCTAATGTATATTAAGTGAAAAAGGTAAGATCCAGAATGGTGTAAGTTTCTTTCTGTGTAAATTTTAAAAGTTGATATAAATTATGTTTCTCTATAATTCTAAGTATTCTGACCATGTGTGTATATCAGAGTTTTTTTTTTAATATGTAAATGTCAAAAGGGTGTCCTGGCTATGAGAATTAAGGGCCTCTTTTTTGCTTTCTTCTTTATAATTTTGTGTATTAAAACATTTAACACATGTATAATATACACTGTTTTTTGGCATAGAGGGTCTCATTCTGTCATCCAGGCTGGAGTGCAGTGGCATGATCATAGCTCACTGCAACCTCAAACTCCTGGGCTCAAGCAATCCTCCTGCTTCAGCCTCCTGAGTAGCTGGGACCACAGGCACACACCACTACACCCGGCTAATAGTATAAACTATTATTATTATTATTTGAGATGGAGTCTCGCTCTGTCGCCCAGGCTGGAGTGCAATGGCGCGATCTCAGCTCACTGCAACTTCCACCTCCCAGGTTCAAGTGATTCTCCTGTCTCAGCCTCCCGAGTAGCTGGGATTACAGGCACATGCCACCATTCCTGACTAATTTTTTGTATTTTTAGTAGAGACAGGGTTTCCCCATGTTGGCCGGGCTGGTCTCGAACTCCTGACCTCAGGTGATCGACCCACCTCGGCCTCCCAAAGTGCCGGGATTACAGGCATGAGCCACCACGCCTGACCTTAAAATTATTTTAAATTGTGGTACAAAGTATATTACATAAAATATAGCATCTTAACCATTTCTGAGTGTATATTTCAGTAGTGTTAAGTATATTCGCGTAGTTGTACAATCTCCAGAACTTTTTCATCTTGCAAAACTCAAACTCCGTACCCAATAAACAACTCCACATTCCCTCCTCCCCCCAGTCTCTGGGAACCACCTTTATACTTTCTGTCTCTGTGGATCTGACTCCTCTAGGTACCTCACATAAGTGGAATCATGTGATGTTTGTCTTTTTGGAGACTGGTTTATTTTACTTGGCATACTGTCCTCAAGCTTTATCCACGCTGCAGCATCCTTGACAGAATCCCTTTCCTCTTGAAGGCTGAATGTTCCATTGTATGGATGTCCCACATTTTGTTCATCCATGCATCCGTCAATGAACGCCTGGGTTGCTTCTACCTCTGGGCTATTGTGTATGATGCTGCTACGAACATGAGTATGTACACATCTCTTCAAGATCTTGCTTTTGATTTTTAAAAAATCTATCTCCAGAAGTGGAATTGCTCCCACAGAGTATATGCTATTTGAAAGCCTGCTTTATAGCTTGTCTGAGGGTGATGGAGCCCACCCCGTTCCCCAGAGGGAAACAGCCACCAGCTCCAGCCTTGGCATGGGAAATGATTTTCTCTGGGGCCTCCATGGAACAGACAGCTCTTCTCACATTCCCTCAGAGCAGAATAGTTGTCCAAGAAATGTAAAAACATTCAGGAACATTTGAGACACTTCTCTTTGGTTTTTGGTTGTGCTTTGGGGCTAACATTGGCCTGGAAGGTTGTCTAATATTTGGAACGTCTGATGTTTTGGCTGACTCAGGGCCAATGAAACAAAGCTGTGTTGGTGATTTCAAGGCGGCAGCTGCCTCCTCCTTCCCCACTCACCATGGTGCTTGGGGTGAACAGTTTTCCAGCCCAGGTTCAGACTGGTGTAAATACTCAGCCCCTGTGAAATTGACTTGTCTACTGCTCTCTCTCTCTCTCTCTTTCTCTCTCAAAGAAGGAAAGAAAGAAAGACGTTGAATTGTGTGTTGATTTCTAAAAAATCTTCTCTTCCATTTTCTCCTGGACTTTCCATGAGCAGGTAGTGCCCACCTGAATGCCAGCTGAGCGGAGGTGTCAAACAAGATGCAATACAGTCAGGCCAGAAATAGACTTTCCCGTCACGTCTACTCTGCGTGAAGGAGAAGGGTTTATTGCACAATCCTGAGAGTAACAAGAATCCATGAGGGGTCTTCACCAGGAAGGCTGGGGGAGGCTTAAACCAGGGTAGGCAGGTTTCAGGTGTGGGGGTGCAGCCAGGCACTGGGATTTGGGGAGCAGTGCAATAGCTCAGCCTCCGCCCACCTTCCACATCGCCTGGGGCTGTTTAAGAGCCGCCTCCTACTCCTGCAGAGGATTTTGCCCTCGGGTTCTCAAAGATACTGTTCTGTCTCAGACAGGAGTCTGGGAGGAAGGGAGGGGAGGCAGAGTGCGGCTGTGCTGAAAGGCATCTGCCAGTCTCTGGGTTTAACGGAGTGCAAGTGGCAGAGAAGGTGACAGTCAAAGTTGGTTTCTTTCTAATAAGCAGCTATCACTCTGAGAAGACCGAACGCCTGGCAACATTTTTCCCTAGGACTTAGCTTGCTCCTTTCGGTGGCTTCTGTATCAGTTATCAATTGCTACTATAAGGCTGCCTAACAAATATCCACAAAACCTCAGCAGCGCGCAACAATAAGCATTTATTCAGCTTGTGAGCCTATGAGGTTCAGCTCAACTGGCCTGCTCGTGTTTCTGTTCTCATCTGCAGGTCAGCCGAGTGGCTCTGCTGATCACAGGTTGGGGGCTGGCTGGCTGCCGGCTACTCTCTCGGATGGTCTCAGCAGCTCAGCTCTGCTCCACACATCTCATTCTCCTGCTGGCCAGCCCAGGCACATTCTCATGGTGGAGACCAGGAAGCCAAAGACAGAGCAGAAAGGCGCGAGGCCCCTTGAGGCCTAGACTCAGGACTGGCCTCTGTTACTTCCGTCGCATTCTATGGGTGAAAGCCAGCCCAGACTTAAGGGGTGGGAAACAGAGTGGGCCTCTTTAGAGAGGAGAACTGCAAAGTGACAGGCATGGGATGTAGACACAGGGAAGGTTGACGCATGAATGCAATCCGTGCAATTCATACCACAGCTTCTAAGAGGACAGCAAACACCAGGAGTTGGCCAGAGCAAATGATGATAGTGATGACTTAACGATGACGAGCACAGCAGCATCCATCGACTGTTTACTTTGTGTCAGGCAACAACATATTTGCAGACTGGACCAGAGATCACCATAACGTGGTGTGTGCATGACAGGTGCCGGAGCGGGGGATGCAAAGGGTGGGCTGTGGGGCACAGAGCCAGGGATCTGGCCTAGAATCTGACTCCCCCTGAGCTGGCAACATCTCGGCTGCGGCTGCAAGGATGAGTAGGAGGGAGACAGAGGAAGACAGAAGGAGGGTAGAGTGGATTAGGCAAAAGAATCTGCATGGTGACAGGCTGGGGAGAGAGGACGAGACAAAGACAGAGACTGAGACAGAGAGAGACTGTGTCAAGGCAGGAGGCTGGAAAGGCAAAGACCAGGTCGAGAACACTGTTCATGCACATTTGGGAATTTAGATTTCATCCTGAGAGCACTGAGGAGTCACTGGAGGTTTTTTTTTTTTTTGAGACGGAGTCTCGCTCTGTCGCTCAGGCCGGACTGCGGACTGCAGTGGCGCAATCTGGGCTCACTGCAAGCTCCGCTTCCCGGGTTCACGCCATTCTCCTGCCTCAGCCTCCTGAGTAGCTGGGACTACAGGCGCCTGCCACCAAGCCCTGCTAATTTTTTTTTTTATATTTTTAGTAGAAACTGCGTTCACCATGTTACCCAGGATGGTCTCGATCTCCTGACCTCATGATCCACCCGCCTCGGCCTCCCAAAGTGCTGGGATTACAGGCGTGAGCCACCGCGCCCAGCCGTCACTGGAGGTTTTAAGCATTGGAGGGGCACGATCCCATCATCGCATTCGTGTTTTAAAAGAACACCCAGGCCACTGCTGTTGCTGTGTTGAGAACAGATTGGAAGCAGAAGGGAAGCGGGAGCAGAGAGGCCTATTAGGAAGCAGGTGTAGTTGTCCTGGAGAGACAGTATGCTGTAGGTGGCAATGGAGGTGGAGATGGAGAGAAGAGGATGGAATTGATGTTGAGGAGACAGAAGTGGTGATGGGTTGGCGAGCTTGGTGATGGATTGGATACGAGGAAGGAAGGAGAGAGAGATGTCAGGATGATTACAGTGAGCACTGATTGAGCACACTGTGTGCCAAGTGCTGTTCTAAGCATTTTACATATCGCATCTCACCGACTCCTAACCACAACCCCGGGATACAGAAGTACTTCATCCCATCTCCTAGGTTAGGAAACTGAGGCTCAGAGAGAGTAAGTGACTTGCTCATGGTCACACAGCCATTGGTGGTGGAACCAAGCTGTAAACCCAGGAGGCTGACTGTGCAGCCCAGGACCTGAGTCCTTAATCAGTTGTACCTTCCCTTTCTGGCTTTTGGAAGGATGGAGGTGCTATTTATTGAGACAGAAAACCCCAGACGTGGGAGTAGATTAGGGACAAACGTGAGTTTTTGGAGGGTATGTTGGTTTTGAAGCACCTTCTAAGAGTCAAATGTTCAGGTATGGGAAAAGACTAGAAAAGACATTTGCCTTTGACTAATGAACCCAGGAAGGCATCATGCAGAAAGAGGTGATACCAAAACCCCTGGCCATGAAACATAATAAGGAAGGAGATGGGACAAGCAGAGAGCATTCCATGTGGACACAGCCTCCAGGGCAGATATTTTTAAACAGGAGTGCAAGTTGGAATCACTTGGGGATGGAGGAAGCCTTAAAACAAGTACAGCTCTGGGCCAGGTGCCCTGGCTTAAGCCTGTAATCCCAGCACTTTGGGAGGCTGATGTAGGCAGATTGCTTGAGCTCAGGAGTTCAAGACCAGCCTGGGAAACATGGTGACACCCCATCTCTGCCAAAAATACAAAAAATTAGCCAAGCACCGTGGCGTGTGCCTGTGGTCCCAGCTACTCGGAAGAGTGAGGTGGGAGGATTGCTTGAGCCTGGGAGGCAGAGGTTGCAGTGAGCCGAAATTATGCCACTGTACTCTAGCCTAGGTAACAGAGTTAGACTCCATCTCAAAAAAAAAAAAAAAAAAAAGTACAGCTTTGACCTTCAAATCAGAGGCTAGGGGTGGAGCCCAGCCTTCTGTACTCTTTAAAGTTCTCCTAAGCTTTGAAGGCCTCCTCAAGACCCTCCACCCTGGCCAGTCTTCTGCAAAATCAACCTCTTATTTAGCCTGGTCTATCTGCCACTCTCTCAGTTGCCTTTCAGCCATGAGATCAAATTCCAGAGACTAAAAATCCTGGAGTCTGTCCTATAATGGAGGCTGTGTACCCTAAAGCTTGTCCCCAAAGAAATAAACAAGCCAACCCCTCCCTGCAGAGGGAGGGCACATTGACGATGTGATTCTGGAGAGCAAGCAGCCGGCCTTTGAAGGTAACTGAAGCCTTTGATGACTCCACGGTGACACTTGTCTCCGGAAGGTGTCATGCACTTCAAAAGTAGCACATCTCTCCTGCTTCCTGAAAAGAAATTTGTTCTAGAAAATGTCTGGGTATTCACAGCTAGTCAGGGGAGAGACAGAGGGATGGCTTGAGAGCTTGAGTTCTATGGTCAGATGGACCTGGGTTTGAATGCTCAATCTGTCACCATGACGTGTGTGAGTTCTGGCAAGTTATGATTTGATTTCCCCATCTGTAAAATGGCTACGATAATGAACTTCCCTCATAAGCATGGAAAGACTGAATTTGGTGCTGTGTGTTAAGTGCTTAGCCTAGTGCCTGGCCCATAGAGAAAGCTTAATAGCAATACTACTACTATTACTTCTTTTTCTGTTATTTTTTTTTCCTTTTTTTGAGACAGGATCTCACTCTGTTTCCCAGGCAGGAGTGCAGTGGTGCAATCACAGCTCACTGCAGCCTTGACCTCCTGGGCTCAAGAGATTCTCCCACCTCAGTGTCCTGAGTAGCTGGAACTATAGGCACATGTCACCACACCCGACTAATTTTTGTATTTTTTGTGTGTGTGTGTGGAAACAGGATTTCGCCATGTTGCCCACGCTGGTCTCAAACTCGTGGGCTCAAGAAGTCCTCCCACCTCAGCCTCTCAAAGTGTTGGGATTATAGGCGTGAGCCACCACACCCAGCCTATGACTGTTACTTCTAATAATCATTTTTTTTTAATCTACAGTGTGGGAGTTAAGGGCATGAAATCTATAATTGGAATATCCTGGACTTTTATGCTGGTTATGCCTGTCTTATCCGGGCTTCTCTGGAAAGCAGGGCCTGCAGCCACAATCTGCTCCTTGCCTAACACTGGCCATATTTCTGTCCTCTGAACCCTGACTTGGAACCATCTCAGGGTCTTTTTCCTTGCTCTTCCCTCTGCCACGTATGCTCCTCCCATCCCTGAAAGAGTTTGGCAGAGGTTGAATCATGCAGGGCCTTAGAGGTTAGAGAAGGAGTTTAGAGTGTCTCTCAGTTTCAACAGGAGGCTGTGTTCATCAGCCATCTCCACATAATGCTGCCTAACAAGCCACTCAATGGCTTAAAGTGACAATCACTTGTCCTCCCTCATCTTCAGCTTGGATCGGGGTTGTCTACTTTTGCTGGAGCTTGGCTGGGCTTGGCTTGAACTCTAGGTGAGGTCCAGGTGTACTCCACATGTACCCATCCTCTTCCTGGGGCCAGCGGACTGCCCCAGGAATGCCCTTCTTGAGGCAATGGCAGAAGCAGAAGATGGTAACAGGTGATGTCTCTTAAGGTCTAGTCAAAACTGACTCACTGTCCCTTCCACTCCCATGCCATTGGCTAATGTAAGTCGATGGCTGAACCCAGTATCACTGGGACAAGGAAATGGACTCTGCCTCTACTGGAAGAGGGTACAAAGGCATATGGCTGTGGGTGTGGAAGGATTAGGAGCAATAATACAGCCCACTGGAGAAGTCATTGCAGGGCTTTCAACAGTTCAGCAGAGGTTCTCAACAGGGAGCAATTTGGCAATATTTGGAGAGATGTTTGGCTGTTAAGACTGGGGCAGGTGTTGCTGGAATCAAATGTGTAGAGGCCAGGGATGCTGCAAAACATCTTACAATGCACAGAACAGCCCTCCACACAAAGCATTATCTGATCCAAAATGCCAGAGAAACCAATAGAGAGATCTTTAAACGTATGCATCATGGTTGTGTTTCTGGCTGCTGTGCTGAAAGTGGCCCATAAGGGGTGGAGGGAAGAGAGAAGCACGCCATTATTTCTTTACCTCATCTTTGCTCCCCTTCCTCCTCCTTCTCAACTTCCTTCCTCCTCCTTCTCAACTTCCTTCCTCCTCCTCTGATGATGATCACACCTAAAGTAGTGTGATACCCACAGCTCTTTAGCATTGGCCCTGTCTGGTGATCCCAGGAGAGAGACAATGTGATCAACCCTCCCAATACAAACACAAGATAAAAACTAATAGGATAAGACAAGCTTCTTTCCCTTCCCAGTTCCCACATGATGCCTTAAGTACAGAATCTGTCTGCACCACTGTTCTGCACTGATATGCAGTTAGGGTTGCTGATGGGCTCACCATTTGAAATAGAACAAGCCTGTTGAGTGAGTTGGAAGCAAAGTTTGGGGGAAAGAGCCAGAAGCACTTGGGGAAGAGCCACTCCCGAAGCCAAATCCAGAGGTCCAGGGCCATTGTAAGAGATGCAGCTGTGACCTGAACCAAGAGCTGGAGCAGGAGCTGGCCGGGGGCTCATGGGAAGGCCAGAGGGGATTGCCCCAGGCAGGGGCTGGGTGCCTGCTAGAGACGGAGTGGGCCTGGGAGGTTGGGGAGACGGTCAGGCTCTTTCAAATCCCTGAGGTGCTCTGTTTTGGACCGTAAGAACTCACTCCTGGGTAAGTCACTAAAGCCTAGGGTTAGGATGAGGACCAGGGGCCACCACAGAAGCCTCTGCTTTCCATCTGGGAAGTTGTTTCTTCTCCAGAGACCCAAGAACACAATCATTTTTGTTTCTTCCCTGTCATTCAACTTAGGCGACACAAGTCCTCAAGGGGCTGTTCTGTAAGCACAATGACCACAAATATGGATAGTATGCAGTGGTCAAATTCCAATCCATTATCTGTTGGCCTTAAGCAAGTCACATAACCTCCCTGGGCCTCATTATCCTCAACAGAATAATGGAAATACCAATACTGAACTCGAAGGGTTCCAGGGAGGAACAAATGAGCCTGGTGCCTAGAGAGCCCTCCATGAATAGTGAGTGCTCAACTCATTGCCTTTTCTGCTCCTCTACTCTGGCTTTGCCCTCTCTCCCTTTGTCTTCATCCTGCTTTTCCTATTCCCCCTCTCTCTTTTCTCCAAGCCTGTTGGGGCCTTGTGGACATTGCTTGTCTGAAACCAGTATGCAAACTGGTGGCTCCCAAACCTACTCCCTAAAAATGCAAAGTCAAGTCCCATCCCAGACCACTGAGTGGGAATCTGTTGCAGGAGGTCTCCGGAGCGCGCTCTGTAGACAAGCTCCCCAGGTGATTCTGCTATATCTAGTTCAGGTGTGGGCATTAGAGAACCACTAGAGGAGACCTCAGAATCATCCAAGCTGGCGACACCTCTTCCCCGTCTTCCCCAGCATCTCCCCTGAGGCAGTTCCAGCACCCATCTCCAACATCACCTGCCATCTCCCACTCCTCCCATCAGTCCTTCTGGGCTAGGCAAGGAGCCTCCGGGAGAGCTGGCAGCCCCGCCTAGGAAAAAGACAAAGGAAAAGGAAACTGCCACCCACTGCTTCCAGCAGCCTGAGTCACTGCTGGGGGTGGCTCATCTGTCTCACTGGGGAGTAGGAGCCCCTCCCTTTTCAGAGTAGATCCAGAGATCGAGCCCATGCATCTGTCCAAAGGAGAACATGATTTGAAGGAAGAGAAACTTCCCACTGTCACTGTCCCTTAGTCCATCTCCCTGGGTCCCTGGGTGGTTTTTGCTCACAGATGCTGTCGTAGGTTGCCCCAGACCTTGAGGCCTAGGGCCAATCCTACTCCTAGCCAGGAGCATTGTAAGGAGCCCTGGACCAGCTCAGCTGTCCCTTCATCAAGGAAGGCTTGCCCTGACCTTCGACCCAGGTAAGGGGTCTCCTACCTCACCCTATTATCAAGCCATTGTCCAGTTCTCTGTATTGACGATTGGTCCTGCCAAGTCCTCACTCCTAATTGCCTGCACAACATTTAGCTTCCCCCAGAATTTGCTCTTGCCTTTCCTCCCTCTCTATGCATCAACTGGCCACCCCTCAGCCAGTATAAGGGCATCTATTGACTAAACAAACTCCATGAATTAAGCTCTGCTTGATAAGCTTGTGGTGACCCATGAGACTGGGACCACAAAGGGTTTGACCACCACTTTCATGGGCATCAGAAATCTGTGTGAAGCTCCACATTCCCACTTCTCTGAGCTGGTAATGCCAAGTAGGCACATGTAGAACGTTCTCTAGCCTGGTTTCCTCCTTCCAAGAAGATGGGTGGGGTTCCATGTATGACCTGAGGGATTCTGGGAGACATCTGAGAAGCTGGCCCTGGCATCATCAGCACCATGGTCTTCCTAGATACATTACTTTCCATCTTGATCCTTTTAAAAATTATCACAAATTCACCGGCTAAATCAACACAAATTGCTTTTCCTGCAGTTCTAGAAGCCAGAAGTTTGACGTGAGGCTTACGGGCTAACACCAAGGTGTTCACATGACTGGTTTTTTATGGAGGCTCCAGAGCACAGCCTGTTTCCTGACTTTCCTAGCTCCTAGAATCCACTTGTATTCTTTGACTCAGGACCCTTTTTTCATTTTCGAAGCCATCAGCATGGCATCTTCTCTCTCTGATTCTGCCTCTCGTGTTGCATGGCCTTCTTCTCACACTGAATTCTCTATTCTCTTGTGTTCTCTTCCAGGACCCATTGTGACTACACAGAGCCCGCTGGAATAATCCAGGATAATGTCCTCATCCCAAGATCCTTCATGATTCTGCAGAGTCCCTTTTGCCATAAAAGTGACATTTGCAGGTTCTGGGAATTACGACAAGGACATTTTGTGGGGGAGCATATTCAGCCTACCACAGCAAGTGCCATCTATTGAGAAGAAACCATATACCAGCCCCGGTGTGAAGTACTCCTACCCACACCAACTCCTTGCATTTCTCCTAAATAACCCTATAAAGAAGGTCATATTCTTTCCTCCAATTTACACAGAGAGGTTAGGTAACTAATGGAAGGAAGTGGTGAAGCTGGGATTTGAACCCAACTGGCTCTTGGTGATACCAAAACTGTGCTCTTAAAACTAAATGAATCTACCCCTCCTTAGTGCTCCTCTCCTTCCAAGCTGCAGACTTGCAGATTTGGGCATTTCAAGTTGTCTCCTAACTACCCTGCTTCCTTTCCAGAGTGGCAGGGTATGGAGCTACCCTTCCACCCACCAGGAAAGAAGTCACCAAAGGAGACTCGGCAATTTTCTCACCCAAATCCTGCTGCTCCTGAGGAGCCCACCTGGCTCTCCAAGCCGTGCCTCTGCTCCCAGGTCAGCCTTCTCTCATGTGGAGACAAGGCAGACCCTGGGGGAGGTTTCTCAAAGGGGTAGGTGGGAGAGGAAATGTCAGGAGAGGAGACCAGAGCTCTAGAGCACCCAGCCACCTGCAGCCAGGGTGGAGAGACTGACCTCGATTGAGTCTGTCTTATCTCGGGCTGTGCTAACCTCACTCTCCCTTGCATCCTGGGCTCACGAGCTATTTCCGTCTCTGGATCAGATACGAGACCATGATTTATTGATTGTAATAAACATTGCTTAACACGGGCTTTGGCCACACAGCTCACTCACCATTTAAATAAATCCCAGCCCTAGGGGCTGATGGAGCCCTCTGTAATATGGAATGCCAGGTTAGAAGGAAGCCTGATGCTGGGCAGGGGGAGGAGGGGAAACAGGAGCCACGTGGGTGAATAGATGAACTCATTTGCAGCCAGAGAATTAAGGATCATCTGTTCCCCCCAACCCATGCTCCCTTATTACTCTATCAGTTACTCTTTAAGGGGCTCTTGCCGAGATGCTGCTTGTGGGCAGAGGCTGCCAGACCCCAGCACAAGCCACAGTGTTCTCCCCAGTCCCTTTCTGGCATCTCATGGGCATTTTTTTTTTTATTTGAGAGAGCCACAGTCTTTGTGTTATTTCATTTCCTGCTCTGGGGAAATGCAGCTGTCTCGGGATGAAGCATCAGCTCCTTTTTACACTAAAAGAATTTCCAAGCAGGTCAGACAGCCCTCCTCCACCCATTGGGCTTTGGGGGGCTACACTCTGCGGGAAACTGGAGGCGTGTCTGTGTAAGGAGGGATTTCCCTCTGTACTGATGAGAAGATAGGAAGCAGAACATGGGCTGCAAGGATGGGGTAACTTTTTTATGTGCTCAGCTCCAAGCGAAGTGCTCAGGAAACAATGGTTGATGATATTATAGTGATGGTAATGGTGCTGGCAGTCAAGGTCATGGAGGGAGTAGTGAGGATGATGAATGGGATGAATGGAAGACTCCGAGAGCTGACACTTGATTTTGTTCACTGCTGTGTCCCCAGTGGCTAGAAGAGTACCTGGCACATAATAGAGGCTCCATACATATTTGCCAGATGAAGGAAGAAATTAATGATGGTGCCGATGCAGGTGGTATGAGTGGTGTGGAGAAGACATCTATGAAATGTTGTCACAAGGTCGGGGGGATGGAGGTACCCATTATTGGGCTGATGTCATGGAAGAGTTCAGCGTGATGATGATATTGGGAGTAGCCACGTGGGTGGCTACTCAGATGGCAGAGAATATATGCTCTGGGGTTCCTCAAGGGATGAGAAACCATCCCAGCTGCTGCTGGGCCAGGCCTTGTGGAGAATGAGAGCTTTGCTCAGTGTTGGTGCCTGGCACTTGCTGGGTGCCCAGTGAGAGATCGAAAGGTCACAGTCATGGGGCAAGGCTTGGACCATCCCCATAGGCACCATCCCCATAGCTCAGATCTTTCCTTTCTGTTGCTCCTCTTTTCTCAGCTCTTTGTCCCTGCTCTTAAGACATCTATTCACCTCTGGCTTCAGCTTCCAGCCTTCTTACCTCACTTTTTGGCCACATCTGCTCTTCCCCATTCCCTGAGTGTCTCTTTCTCTCTCTCTCTTTCTTTCATGCACACATACACACACACACACACACACACGCACACATACACACATTTGCGGGCAGGGGCACTACGAACTTCATGGTTCAAGAAGGAGGAATGGAGAGCTTTAGTTAATTACCACCCCAAAGGAGAAGATAGGGAGGCATTCCTAGAGACTGCTCTGGAGTCAGACAGATCTGATTCAAATCCTAACATCAGGCAAGTTGTGTAAGCTCCCCAAGTCTGTTTTCACATCTATGAAATGAGGCATGATAATAACAGCACCAGCCTCAAAGGACAGCTGTGAGTTAGGAAGATTGTGTGGTGGAGTGCTCAGTGCTGTGCCTGGTGTGCAGAATGTGCTCAATACCAGTGACTTATTGTTGCTAGGCTGGGGTTGAACCCCCAACCCAGGCCAACTCACAGGCTTCCCATCAGCCTACAGGCGGATGATTTTGGTTCAGGCCTTGATCCCAGATCCAGTCAGCCATGACCAAGAGTGAGATCACTTCCTGAGCTATAAAGAATGAATAGAGTTGGGCCAGGCGCGGTGGTTCACGCCTGTAATCCCAGCACTTTGGGAGGCCGAGGCGGGTGGATCACGAGGTCAGGAGATCGAGACCTTCCTGGCTAACACAGCGAAACCCCGTCTCTACTAAAAATACAAAAAATTAGCCGGACGCTGTGGCGGGCGCCTGTAGTCCCAGCTACTCGGGAGGCTGAGGCAGGAGAATGGCGTGAACCCGGGAGGCGGAGCTTGCAGTGAGCCGAGATGGCGCCACTGCACTCCGGCCTGGGCAACAGAGCGAGACTGCGTCTCAAAAAAAAAAAAAAAAAAAAGTAAAAAAAAAAGGATAGAGTTGGATAGAACAGGAATCCAAGGTGCTAGGAAGTGTGCTAGAGCAAAATCAGAGCCAGGAATGGGTAAAGCACTCGTGGGGGCCACTGAGAGAGCAATGAGAGATCTGATCATGCTGGGAAAGTAGAGTGGGCTTGGCGCTGTCCATGGTCCTGAGAAACAGCAGTGAACAAGAGTGACAGAGACCCCCACTCACAACATTGATCATCTAGATGAGGTGGGGACAGTCTATGTGAAGAAGACAATGTGCAAATCAACAAATAATGGAATCCCCAAGGTGAACTGGGTGAAGGGAGTTTTGGAACAAACTGAAGTAGGGTAAGTGGCCAGAGAGGGACAGGACCCTGTCTATCTCTGTGGTTTATCTCATGCCTCTGTTGGGTCAGGTACTGTCATTACTGGCCCTACTTTACAAATGAAGAAACTGAGGCTCAGAAAGGCTAAATAACTTCTCACTGACTCTTGAAGCAGAATTCAAAGACAGGTGGTTGTACCCCAGAGTTCAGACCATTAATGCTCACAATCCTACCTTGTCTTAGGTTGGGATTTTCCAAAAGGACACCCTAAGACAAGGATTTGAGTGCATAGAGTTTACTTTGAAGTGGCTTCCAGACACACCTGTAGGAGAATGAGGGAGTGAAACATGGAAGAGAAGAGAAGGAAGCCAACTAAGAGTGTTATGGAGCAGGTTTCCGCAGGGGGCAACCAGAGTTCCAGCCTGCTGGGAAGCAGCAGGTGAGAGCACAGAACAGGCCTGTGAGTTATTCGATGAATGAACGACTGGGGTGTGTATGTACCATTTTCCTACTTTGGTGGTTGGGGGTTGTTTTGTGTGGAAGCTGCTCCCACCTCCAGCCTGCCCCTTTGGCATGTGAGTTGGGATCTGACCACCAAAGAAAGCCCTCCAGTATGCTGGCTTGTAGAAGCCATAGAGTCACCATACACAGGAACGATGAGCTCCAGGAAGAGACTTAAAAGGGCACCAGCAACATCAACCATCCCAACTGAATTATATCATGTCCAGGCACAGTGAGAGTAACACTTCCAGAGAAAGGAAGATCAACAAGGATCAGAATGTCAGAATACCAAGGACCTCAGGTGCCAACACAAGGAATTTTATTTTATTTTATTTATTTATTTTATGGTGTCTCACTCTGTTGCCTAGTTGGAGTGCAGTGGTGTGATCTCGGCTCACTGCAACCTCCACCTTCCAGATTCAAGTGATTCTCCTGCCTCAGCCTCCTGAGTAGCTGGGACTACAGGCATGCCCCACCACACCCGGCTACTTTTTGTATTTTTAGCTGAGAAGGGTTTTCATCATATTGGCCAGGCTGGTCTCAAACTGCTGACTTTATGATCCACCTGCCTCGGCCTCCCAAAGTGCTGGGATTACAGGCATAAGCCACTCCGCCCGGCCGGGAATTTCCATTTCATCTTACGCATCACTTGGCACAGACACAGAGACATAAAGAGGAGAGAGTGCCACTAACAAATAAATGCCTACAGTGAACAAAAAGCTTTAAATTCATTAAATCAATCAAAGCTTGCATGTTCTCTGTAAGAAAAAAAGGCCTCTTTTTAGCTGAACAAACTGAGGCTCAGCTTTGGACTTTTCCCAGCATCCATAGCTCACCATCACAGGGCCTGGTTTAGAACATTTGACTAGATGAGCTCCTGCACTTTCCACCACACCAGACCTTAATTTGAAGGAAACTGAGTCCGGGGGGCCTGGGAACAGAGCCAGTGCCTCGCTGACTTCGTTCCCACATTCTCTTTCCAGTGTGAATGTCAGCTACCTAAATAACTTCGGTTATTTGGCTAAATTAATCCTCCGAGGAACTGCATAAATAGAACCGGGAAGGCATACACAGACACACAGAGACGTATATATATTTAACACGTACGAGTGATGCGTCGCCGCGTGCCGATAAACAGCCTGATGACAAGCAAAGGAAAGACATAAATACAAAAAATTATAACCCAGGGCTGGGTGCTGGGGTGCAATCCAAAGGCTCGCAGTGCCCAGTGCCAACAACGCGGGAGTGTGAGTTCCCATGGGGATTGTTGTAAAGACTGAATGAGACAATGTGTAGGTTGGTTAGCCCAAGGCTAGCTATAGTGGGGTTGGTAATCATAACTACTGTGAATTCCCTCCAGGGATGGGCTGCAAAGGCGGTCAGGGAGCTCTGGCTCAAAGGATATGTGGAGCCCATGCGGAGAGAAAAGGCCAAGCTGCCCCAGGCAGGTATCCCTGCAGTTGCGCGTACAAACACGCCACCAAACCAGTGATCCCGGCCCCCACCATTCCTTGTGCCGTGGAACTATGAGCAGGCCATGCCACCACCCAAAGCCCCAATTTCCTCATCTGTTAATTGGTAATAATAATATTAATATTAGGTTGGTGCAAAAGTAATGGCACTTTTGGCCATGACTTTTATGGCAAAACTGTGATTTCTTTTGCACCAACCTAATACTTTTGTAATGATTAAATGAAATAGAACGCACACAGCACTTGTCAAATAGATTGATGGAGTTGGTGAATGAATGGCAAAAGTGTAGCCCTATTGGGCTTGCTAGGAGGCAGGTTACAGCAACGAGGAACCCCAAGAGGCTTGACAGTTTACTTTCCACCTTTCCTTTTACTTCGTCCATTGAGAGTAAATGCATCAATGATCATGGTCCCCTCCCTCAAGCAGAAATTCACAGCAGCTATGATTATCAACTCCACTATAGCTAGCCTTGGGCTAACCAACCTATACACCTTGTCTCATTCGGTCCTTACAACAATCCCCTGAGGATGTGGCAATTTTTACCCCCACTTTCAAGATGAACCTTTCTCAGGACCTAACAGGTGATGTGACTTGCCCAGGGCCACACCTTGTGCTATAGGTTGGATCCCATCCCCTCAAAATTCACGTGTTCAAGTCCTAACCCCCCAGTGCCTCAGAAATGTGAGCTTATTTGGAAATAGGGTCTTTACAGAGATAATCAAGTTAAAAGGAGGTCATCAAAGTAAAGCCTAATCCAACATGACCGGTGCCCTCGTAAAATGGGGAAATGTAAATATGGAGAAGACACACACTCAGACACACACTACGTAAAGCGAAGGCAGGCAGGATGGTGCCTTTATGAGTCAAGCCATGCCAAAGAGTGCCAGCAAAACACCCAGTGAGAGAGCTAGAACAGATTCTTCCTGTAGCACTCAGAAAGATGCAACCCTGCAGACACCTTGATCTCAGACTTCAAGCCTCCAGCACTGAGTCAATACATTTCTGACTGCTTAAGCTTCCCATTTGTGGGACCCTGTTAGAGCAGCCCTGGCCTGTAATACAGCTGCTAAGTGCAGAGCCAGGATTACACAGAGCTGGATGCTCTCATTTCAGTTCGGTGTGCTGAGATGTCCTTTCACTCAGACCCAACCTTCCACTCAGGCCCAGCCAAGGGGAGGTGGAGTGAGGATGTGCTCAGCAAATGCTTGGAGGAGGCAGGGCGTGGAAGGATGGGGGAACAAAATACCACTGCGACCCCTGCCAGCCTTTCTAATTAGAGAGCAAAGCAGATCCTGGCAGGAGCCAGGGTCAGGGGTGCAGCAGGACAGAGCTTCCACTCATGCAGGAGGACATGAGCTGGCTGAGAAAAGCCCCTCATGCCCACTGAGTCCTGAACCTCTTTAAACCTCCAAGTGGTTAGGGATCAGCTCCAGGAGGAAGAACCGGCTGTGCCTGACAAAATTGACCGCCTTGGCAGCTGCCCGGGCTGGGTTGGGCTGAGCTAGGCACAGGGTCAGAGAGGGACGGGGCTGGGTGAGCAGGGACAGGGAGCCCCCGCTGCCTGTGGGTTGCCATGGTAACCGTGATCTTCCTAGTATGAGCCAGAGGAGGCTGAGGTCTGAGGGGATTTGGTGAGGACAAGGGTGCAGGTGCCGGGGGCTAGGACGGGGAAGGCCAGGGTTTACCCAGAGTTGAGCGTGTGCCGGACATGAAGCCAAACACTAACCTTAACTTCCCTTGTTTAAAAACCCCACAATAGCCCTTTGGGATGGGATTATTTTTTATCTCTCTTCTGCAGAGGAGGAAACTAAGACCAAGGGAAGGGGAAAGCTTTGAGTCAAGTCAGACAGCTGTTACGAGAAGGAGCCAGAATTTGAATCTGACCTCTCTGTCTCCAGAGTCCCTGCTCTTTCTTTCCACTCACAAGGCTGCCTCTGGGACTCAGCGAGTCTGTACTTTGAGGCGGGGAAAGGGACATTTATTTGAGCTTCCAGCCAGGCTACAGGAGACAGAGACCCGGGAGTCGGCAAGCGCCTTCCACATTTTGGAGTAAACTAAAAAGTTTACTGGACGGTAGAGCCTCCTTGCCTCCCAAGGCTGCCACCCTCCATCAGCCATATTAGTCAGATGGAAGAGGATTAAGACATGGTGGAAACAAAGCACTAGACATTCCACACGGGCCAAGCCGGGGCTGCACTCTATGTGCCCAGGCAAATTGGAAGATTATGGGGAACAGGCAGAACTGGCATCAGACCAATCCTGGCCAACTCTACTTTCTGCCAATGGTGATGATCCAAGAAGCCAAGAAGGAGGCTGGAGCTGGGATCTAGCTCCAGCTCTGGGGTCAAGCCACAGCAAGCACCACATAGGTCAGATCCTGCTGCACAGATGAGGAAAGTAAAGCACAGACAACTTGTCCAGGGATGCAATGACCACAGCCCCATTGCACAACAGGCAGAGGGGTGGATTCTGAGGTCCTTTCCAGCTCTCGTTTTCTGTCTGCAATAGCCAAGCAAGTGACGTGCATAGGAAGGATTCCACTTGCTCTCAAGCCTCCAACAGCTGAACTGCGAGGTCTAGGCTGAAGATACAGAGTTGCCGTCTTGAAACTACATCAAAGGAAAACTATGTGAGAGTTGGCGCTGCTCAAGAATGGACTTGCTCTGCAGGTAGTGAGTTCCCTGTCTTCAGAGGCATCTTAGCGAGGCTGGAAGAGGTGTGCCCTGCTAGTCCTTTCCATGTCTGTGCCCAACCAATAGGATGTCTTGCCATTCTCTGATGATCATGATTTTTCTTTCCAAATATAATCAGGTCTGCAGTCAGAGGCAGGGAGAAATAACAGAGCAGTGGAGTCCCCACCAGTGATGATTTGCAGTTCCTACCCTAACCCCTTGTGCTTCCTATACCCAGTCCGATGGGAGGAGGTGGCCCGTGTTCCCACTTGCAAAAGCCCCTGACCACCTTGTGTTGACCTTCAGTCGCAAGTCCTAGAAAGGCCAATAATGGACCTGTTAATGGGGCCAACTTGCAGCAAAGACCTTTGCACAAAAATCACATCTTTTGTTATGAAAACAATCTAATAATTCACACTTGAGTTGCTTTTTTTCTAATAACACTTCTATTCACACCACAGGAAGACCACACATATAAGGGATTCGAAAAGTGAGCATGAGGAATTTTATGCCCCAAAGAGGAAGGTCACGTTGAGGGTGATGCTTATCCTGCAGAAGTGAGGATAGTGATGAGTGTCAGAGGAGGCACATCCCAGGGTGAGTGCAGGGCCCAGCAGGGTCTGAGCTGGTCAGGAAATTTCTAGGGGAGTTGATTCCAGAGCGGAGTCCTGACTGATGTGTAAGGTGCACTCTGGTCAGCAGCCTGGAGATGCTGATGATGACAAGAGTTCAGTTGGACCAGAGTTTCTCAGATCCTCCCTTCCCATATCTCAAATGCAAGGATTTGCATCTCCCTGTGGTCCCTCCCTCCTAATCCTGGCCCAGGGAATGCTCCCTCCTCTTTTGTGTCCACCCACTATTGTTTGCTCACAGGTTCACATGGCTCTGCTGAAAGTGAATTAACTCTTGTTAATAGCCCTGTACTCTAGGAGACTGTAACTCCTCTAAGGCAGATACCTCTACCCTGTGGGTATTCCTAACAGTAAGGCCAGCCCTGCCCTGGCAAAGCTAATGACTAAACTGATGCTTGGGATGGTGGTAATGCAGGGTCTTGGGAGGTGATGGGTGAGAAGGCACACCTTGGGGCTGACTCCAGAATCTCACCTCTGCCCCCACTGGCTTTGTTCTCTTAGGCAAGTTATGAATGCTCTGAGCCATACTTTCCTCACCTGTAAAATGGGATAATAAATAGCACTTACCACGTATGGTTATGAATACTATTTACCGAGAGCTTTTAATAAGTACTGTGCACAAATTATGTGATTTTCTTTTATTCCTCCTGCTAAGATAAAGATGAGTATTAATATCACCCCCATTTTGTCCTTGAAGTAACAAGGTGTAGTGAGCTTTACTACCTGAGCAAGGTCACAAAGCTGGGTGAGAGGGGCTGGGATTCACATTCAAGCACTGTGTTCCTAGGCCCCTTGACCCCTGGCATCTGTGGGGTTATGAAGATAACACGAGGTCACACACCGGGATCAATTGCCAGAGTGCCTGGTCTTAGCACTCCTTATCTTCCCCTTTGTCTTCGTCTTTGACTTCTCAGAATTCTTTTCCTCCAGATTATTAGTAGTACCATTATAATTAATAAAGGTGCCCTCTGATCTGATGGGGAAGAAGATAACGTCCACCCTTTTCATACATGGCTGAATTATCTCAGGATCCAAATATCTGCTATAGTGCCCAGTACTCAGTAAATGCTAGTCCATTTGTATTGAATGAATGAATGAATGAATGAATGACTTAATGGTCCTCACAGTGGAGTCTAGGAAAGGTGTGCAGTGGGAAAGGGAGCCCAGGGCACCCTCAGAGCCTCCTGCCCTCTTGCTTGGGCCTGGAGGAGCAAGCCCCTTAGAGATGCTCAAACTCTCTCTGAGCCCCACTTTCCCTACTCAGAAAATGGGATCACAGTTAGCACCCACCTCATATGGTTACCATTATAGTATTTACTGAGTGTCTTCCATACATATTGTGCACAAGAGTGACCTCTTTATTAGTGGACAAAATAGAAACACCAGGACTTCCCTGCAGGAATCTTCTCACTGGGCAACCCCCAAAATCCAAGGCCTCTGGGTGGGGCATCACTGCCAACTGGCTCGGAGGCAGAAACACCACTCTCAGGTCTAAATGTTCTCGTCCTCAAAGAGCGGAACAAATCCCACAGGGGTATTGATTGAAACCATTACGGATTCGTGGAGACAACACGCTGGCCGGGAATAGGAGCCAGCTGCTGCCGTCTATTTCCATAAGGTAATAATAAGACGTGCCTTCGCTTTATGAAGTAGAATTTGTTACGGCCGATGAGCCGTAAAAATTGCCCGGTGGGGAAAAAAAAGAAAGGAAAAAAACTATAAATAAATTTGTAGTTTTAACAGGGATTACCATGTAATTGAGAGGGGAAGACAACTAATGGCAGAGGCAAAGGCCAGCTCAGCCCCCAGGTCTTGGCTCCAAGGCAGGGCTGAAATGCTGAAGCAGAATGGGTCATGAAAGCTCTGGAAGGAAAAGTTAGCAGGCACCAAGCCTTGAGAACAGACTCAAGGAGAATGGGGAAAAAATTCATTTGGCAATAATTTACTGAATGCCTACTATGTGGGCCTGACATGAGTGGGGAAACACAATGGAGATGTCCCCACTGGCCATGAATGGGCACCATGATGGATTCTAAACAAGAGCATGACATGATCTGCTTTCTGCTTGATAAAGCCCCCCTCTGGCTGTTGTATGCAAAATGGGCTGGAAGGGACAAGAGTGGGACCTAGGAGATGAGTCAGGCGGCTACAGCCATGAGACTCAGGTCTGAACGAGTGTTGGTTTGAACTAACACAGAAAAAGAGGACACACAGAGGGAAGAGAGGTGTTAAGGATGCAGAGGATGTAGGGCCTGGGATGAATCAATGGATGGGAGAACACAGAGGAGGAATACGATGGCTGGGGCCTCTGGCTTTAGTGACCTGGGTGGGTGACAGTACTCTCACTGAGAGGGTGGAATGTTTTGTTCAATAGTTGTCATATTACATTTCAGAGGCCTACAAGACATCCCAACAGAGACATCCAGTAGGCAGTTAGGTAGCAGAGAGATCTGAGCTGCGGTGAAGGTTGGAAAGTTGCCAAGAGAAAAATGGTCCTTGTAACTGGTAGGAGATGGGGGAGAGCTGAGGAAGAGTGGAAAGAGGACAAAGAGAGGGGGCCGAAGACCAAATGTAGAGAATAGTGATGTTTAAGGAGTGGGCAGAGAAAAGACTGACAGGGAGGAATAGAGAGAGTAGAAAAGACAAAGAGTGTTGAGTACTGACAGAGCTAAGCTCACTCCAAGGACTGGGTGTGGTGACTCCCACCTGTAATCCCAGCATTTTGGGAGAATGAGGTGGGCAGACCACTTGAGACCAAGAGTTTGAGACGAGCCTGGCCAACATGATAAAACCCTGTCTTTACTAACAATACAAAAATTAGCCGGGTATGGTGGCGGGCACCTGTAATTCCAGCTACTTGGGAGGCTGAGGCATGAGAATTGCTTGAACCTGGGAGGCGGAGGTTGCAGTGAGCACTCCAGCCTGGGCAATACAGTGAGACTCTGTCTTAAAAAAAAAAAAAATACTAAGCTCACTCCAGCTTGGGTCCCTTATGACCAGAGGTGGACATTTCAGGACACTTGCCATGGCTGCCATCAGTGCACAGCCATGGAACCATCCATCTTGATTGGAAAAGTAATTGATATTTTGAAAACCTGATCTCCAACCCTATACCCTAGCCCCATCACCTCTAGGAAATGTCAAAGGGAGTGGGTTTTGAAGGTTTGAATCAAGGCTCTTTCATTTAGTGGCCCAATATCTTCTAAGGGGATGGGTAGCTCAACATTTGTGTGCCTCATTTGGTCTTCTATAAAATGGGGAAATAAAACATTGCCCTTCAAGACTGTTGCCGGGACTAAATGAGATGGATTAAAGGAACTTGCCTGGTGTGTTGCAGACACTTAATCGATTTCAGTTTGGTTTCCTCCAACACATCAAGGTACCTGACCCAGAATAATCTCATCTTTAAAAGCAGCCCGGAGATAAATCATCATTAAAATGGGCAGAGTGTAGATGGTACCAGGGAGAAAGTGGGATGCTGGGATGTAGCTCTGAGTAGTCATGGAAACTTCCTGGAAGAGAAGAGTTTCTAGCAGTTTCCACAAATGATGGTGAGTGGCTCAAAGAGCTCAGAGGAGGTGAATGTTCCAAGGTGAGCCTAAGGTCTCCAGGAGGCAGATGAAGGAGTCAAGAGGAGGATACTGGGCCAGCCCGGGAGAATGCTTGGAGCACGTGATCCTGAGCTGACAGACAGCCACATCCCCAAGTGGCTCGGGCAGCTGTGCACAGCATCCGCCACACAAGATCTCAAGTTTGTCTGGGAGTGACATGGAGAATTCCTGTCTCCAGGGAACCCACTCTGGTGGGAAGGTTGCATTTTCCTTCCTTGTTTACACTTTGGAGTTATAAAATTTCACTTTTTCCCTCTCTCCTAAACCCCATGATGCTTATAAACAAACATCCCTGATATACAAAGATAAATGGAAATCATAAGTTCCCAAGCTTCAGAGTCCAAACAAAGAAGAGGAAAGAGAGCGGGGGTGGGGAGGAGGCAGATTCGATGAAATCTAGACCGTGCCAGCTCCGTTCTCTGGTCATGATCAATATGTTCTCCAAAGTGCCTTTTAAATTACTGTCGGAGGCAATGTGCCATATTTATGTATATACATGCTTAGAGGTGACACAAGGGAGAAATGCAATTTCTATTATGAAATCATAATGTGCATTTATCTTCAGGAATAACACATTGAAATGTTGGAGTGAGAAAAGTTGAAAAGCAATCTGTCTATAAATAAAGACCGCAGACATCCTGACATTTTACGATGCGGGGAATTTCAGTGAGAACTTCTTTGGACATATCATCCAAGGGATCATGTTTAAACTCCAAGTTCTTGGAAGACAGCATTTGGAAGTCCACAAGCCTACATGCTGGTATCTAAAGCAAAGGAAATTGATTTTGCTTCCTTGACAGAGAGGAGTATGGAGTTGGGCTGGGGTTAGGGGGTACATGTCAATTCAGGATAAATTTGGTTTCTACTTTGGTGGTAGTATTTTGAGGGGTTTCTCAGAATAAGGAGAATGTAGATTTCTGCAGCCAGGTTGCTGTAGGTACACCTGTTCTTCCTTTTGACAGTGAACAATCAAGTGTGAAAATCCAGGCAAATTCAGAGGAAATCTTTGGTCTCTCAGTGATCACCATCCCTTGACATCTTGAGTCACACTGGCCCATGGACAGGTAGATTGCATTCTTAGCCAGGGGCTGGAGTCCAGAGGTCACTGTGGTCTTGACCTTCTAGATGCAGGACCAAAACAAAGAAGAAGAAAGGGGGGGGGTGGGAAGGAGGCAGATTTGGCAGCATCATAGGCAAAGATGACAGGCAAATTTAAATGCTGAGAGGAGGTGGGTTATGGTGGTTGATGGGGGTGTGTTAGGGGAAGGAGTAGGGACGGGAGAGGGATCCTACCATCCATGTCTCTGACCCAGAATAAGGCAGGATAGGAGGGCAGCTTGCGCTGGTTCTCCCATCACTCATTCATTTGTTGATTCATTCATCTGCTTATTTGTTCATTCACTCTGCAGCCATTTCGGAGCACCTTCTAAGTGCAGCACAGTGTTGGGGACATGAGACAAATATGACACCTTCCCTGCCCTCAGGAACCTCACAGTACTCTAGACAGACATGTAATTGGCAATTACCAGGAAGAGAGAGATGTTAAAGGTGCTATGGGGCCAGCAAAGGAAGTGGGGGTATGTCTAACTCAGCCTAGGGAATCAGGTGAGGCTTCCTGGAGAACTGTCTGAGAGAATGAGCAGAAAACGACCAGGTGGGAAAATAGCAGAGATTTCAGGCAGAGGAAATGGAGATTCCAGGCATGCATGCAGGAAGGCTCTGAAATACAAATGGGTTTATACCTAATTGTGAGGGATCCCCAGGCCTGGAGAAATTAGACAATGTTTACCCTTGTGGGGGATGCGTGGGGGCACTGCACCAACCTCTTAATCAACCAAATAACTACATACTACATCCGTGCATCCACATGAGCATCCCTGCATATCACATAGGTCCTCGCATGTATATAGGCATCCTGTCATTTACAGGGCATCAGGATTTGAGCCCAGGCCTGTCCAACTCCAGCTCACACAGTGACCCCCACCAAAATGTGCCCAGGTCTGTGCTAAGCTTGAGAGGGACACAGAATCATCAGAGAATCAGTCAGAACAGGTCCTGTATGAGTTTGTCCAGTGCCTTAAAAAGAGTATGGGCTGGAGTCAGACCCAGGGGCGAAACCAGCCCTGCCACCCACAGCCGGGTGAGCTAGGGCAAATCTTGGAGCCCATGTTTCCCGCCTTTACAGGGAGGCTGGCAAAATGATTCCCTCCCCAGGGGGCTGTCATGGGGGTGAATGAGATCATGTTTGTAAGACATCAAGCAGGTGTCTGGCACAGAGAAAGGGCTCAATCACGGTAGCTATTATTACCATAATGATTAGGGGTAGTATGATTTTTATTACTACTATTACTAGAGCCACTGAGGGGTTGGGGGCTCTGGCAGGACTGGGCTGGAAGTCAGAGGCCCCACTTTGCTCTTGACCTCAGTTGCTCCATCTGCAGAGCCTGGGGCCGCATTTGCTGGGTTCTGAGCCCCTGGTTCTGTCATCGGTCTGCCTCTGCCCTTCTCAGACCCCCTGAGGAGCCCAGGGACCCAGCTGGTGGCAATGCTATCCAGGTCTCAGGGGCTTTCTGGTCAGCCTCGCTAACCCCTTGTTCTCTCCACAATGGAGCGACACTGAAGCCGATTATCTCTGCACCTCCAAGTGTTGGGATGGATGTACATGCTACATCCGTGCACCCACATGCTCATCCCTGTGTATCACATAGGTCCTCGCATGTATACAGGCATCCCGTGAGGAGAGGACCCAGCCCCCTAGGCCAGTCCATGCAGCCCTCAGGGCTTCTGCACCTAACCCTCTCCAGGCAGGTCACATGAGCTCTCAACCTCAGCCCGGTCAGCAAAGCTTAACTGGAGCATGGCCTTTGTCACACCCCAGGCCCTGCAGGCACTGGTACTTCATCTTACAGATGAGGAAACTGAGGCCCATAAAGGGAAAGTGACTTGCCCAACACCACCCAACGACTCGAGGCAGCAGAATCCTTCTGTGAGTTAAGACAGAAGATGCTGCTCAGCCAGAGCCCTGCTCCTCTGTGGGCTCGGGAGAGTCGCTGTGCCCCTCTGGGTCTGTCTTTACCTGGGAATGGGAGGGGATGGTGGTGGCTCCTGGTTGGATGACATGAGACCATTTGAGAGGGTCACTGGTGCAGCATCAGGCACACAGTAACCACTCAATAAACAGCACCTGCTCACAGTATGGTTACTCACATTGTTATTTTTATCCCAGTTCCTTAAAGAAATCAGCCCACTGTGAAGAGTCTGCATTTGTGGAAGTTCTTGCATTTTCAGGGTTGGAAAGAAGAAGCTAAGATTGGAAGTGAGTCTGGGGACAGAAAGAAGGCTGGAATAATACCACCAATAACACCACCACCACCACCAATAATACCACCACCAATAACACCACCACCACCACCAATAACACCATCACCACTACCAATAATATCACCACCACCACCAATAACACCACCACCACCACCAATAACACCATCACCACTACCAATAATATCACCACCACTACCACCACCACCAATAACACCACTACCACCACCACCACTACCACCACCACCAATAACACCACCACCACTACCACCACCACCAATAACACCACTACCACCACCACCACTACCACCACCACCAATAACACCACCACCACTACCACCACCACCAATAACACCACCACCAATAACACCATTACCACCACCACCAATAACACCAGCATCACCACCATCACCACCACCACACTACCAGCACCATCACCATCACCAGCATCATCAGCACCATCACCATCACCACCATCACCAGCATCACCACCACCATCAGCATCATCATCGCCATCACCATCACTATCACTAGCATCACCATCATCAGCACCATCACTATCACCACCAGCCCAGCAGCATCACCATCACCATCACCATCACCACCACCATCACTATTACCAGCATCACCATCACTATCAGCAGCACCAGGATTATCATTACCATTATCATCACCATCACCACTATTACCATCACCAGCATCACCATCATCACCATCATTATCAATATCAGCAGCAGCATCACTATCACCATCACCATCACCATTATTATCACCATCAGCACCAGCATCACCATCACCATCACCATCACCATCTCCATCACCAGCAGCAGCAGCAGCAGCTCTATTCTTCATTTCCATTTTCCACTCCCAGCCACCCCCAGCCACTCTCCTGGCTTGGGCCACCAGGCTCCCTGAGCTTGGTACCTTTTGGGTGGTGTCTGCTGGGGCTGAAACCCCGCTTCCCTTTGCAGTCTTAGGAACTTGGGCTCCTTTTCCTTGTTTCCTAGAGGTCATTACTGTATTTATCACATAGGTTTTTTTCTTTTCTCTCCTTTTTTTATGAGGATTACTTTACAACCAGAGATTTTGCTTTTTGCAGCACCAGACATGGCACCGGCCAGGCCTGGTGTTTATGAGGGCTTTTGGGAAGGTTTATGAGGCTCCAGTTTGGGCCCTTCCTTCTGGATCCCACCAGTCCAGGGCTGGGGGAGGTGGGGGCAGATGAAGCTGGAAAAGCTGTTTGTTTGTGGGTTTCCTCTTCCTCTTCTTGAGATCTTAGGCTGTTCCTGGGGCAGGGGATCCCTCATAACTTGTCTGGGAAGAGATAAAGAGACATGTGGGTTCCCAACTCATGTGGTCTCATGCATTTCCCTTCTACCCCGGGACTGAGTTTTTGCATGTATAAAATAGGAGTGTTTGAAGTAATTACTGTGCAGGGTTGTTGTGAGGATACATGCTCAGCACAGTCAGCAGACAGAATAGGTAGGAACCTCTCCACTCTTTCTCACGCCCTAGGAAAGGCAGGTGGGCCGCCAGCCGCACTTTGCACCTAGAACTTTCTGGGAGCCTGTAGCAATAACAAACAACATCTTCTCAATGTCTACATCAGAACCAGGTACTATGCTAAGCCCGAAAGCCCTTCATTGTACTTACTCTGCATAATAACCTCAGGAGGTGGGTGTTGTCATCATCTGCATTTTACAGATGACAAAACTGAGGCTGAGAGGTTCTATTGCTTACCTAAGGCCACCCAGCTAGTAAGAGGTGGGGCAGAGATTAGCATCTGGATAGTTTGACTCTACATACTATATTCTTGGATTTGAACCCTGATCTAGGAACTGTGAGAGGAGACAGGAAGAAGAGTCAGGGAGCCCAGCGGAAGAGGTTCATCCCAGTTTAGTGCAGAGAGCTCCTGGTCCCCAGAAAGACACCCAGTTTCTACCCTCGAGAGCGCCTTTCTAGACAGAAGAGGGACTGATTGATGCCCAAGGCCCTGGAGATTTAGATCTAGGGCCAGACCTTATAGGATGACTCTGCCTTGGGGAGGACACCCCAGCCATGCTTATGAATGTTTGTTTTCCCTTTCGACCTAAGACAGCCTACCAGAATGGGGCTTGTGCAAAGGCAGGCACACTTCTGTTCAGACACTAGGTAGAATTTCCAAATAAGCCAAGCAGCAGAAGAAACTCAAAATAAAGATCCTTCAAAATGTCCTCCTCTGGGAATTTTCTAAGGGAAGGGTTGATTTCCAGGGTGCCCACATGGAGGCAGGGGTCTGAAACAGATGCCCCCAGAGCCCTTTCTGCCTGGGCCATGGACAGAAGCCCCCACTATTAAGCAAGTGTGAGACAGCCACATGCCAGGCCTCTAGGCCCTCCTTGGCTGCATGGCCTCTGCCTTCCCCACCCTCCCCATGGCCCCTGGCTCCCTCCGAGCCTCCTGGGCCCTGGAACAGCTATTTAACAGGCCGTGATGCAGTGCTGATGGCACACGGTCTTGTCTGCCAGCAGGAAGGCTCTGGGAGCGGGATGTAGCAATGCGGCTTGTGGATCCTGCTAAGAGATATTTAATAAATATGCAAATCGCTGCCTCTACCTCCTCAGGCAGGTAAGGAGTGGGGAGAGGCTGGAGTTAAGTATTAAATCTCTGCACAATGTGGAGTGCTTAGCACACAGGCAGGGACTGGAGCTGAACTCCCTGGGAAGCTTCCATCTGGCATCCTAGAGCTCCTGCTTAGGAGGATGGAAGAGAGTGGGAGAGGAAGGAGGACTTAAAAGTAGGATATGGAAAAAAGGAGTACAAAGGAAGTGTTTTACTTAGGAGTCTGAGCATAACATTGGAAGGTGAAAAGACACTTTGTGTCTTTATGCAACCATTACCACACCAGCCAGCCACTCTATTATACCACATGGATCTACCCATCCAGATCTTCACCACCCACCCAATATACACTTAACTCACCGTCCAAACCATCAACCTACCCACTCAACCTTGCACCCACCCATCCAATCATCTTTGGCCTGCTCACTCTCTCACATCCAAACACGCAGACATCAAACCCTTGTTCCATCCATCCATCTGTCTATCTTCCAATTCATCCATAAATCCATCTATCTGTCTATCCACTTAACTACTAAATCACCACTCAACCAAATGCCTATCCAACCATCTGCCTGCCTTCTTACTTTTTCATCAACTATTTATCCATCTATCCATCCATCCATCCATCCATCCATCCATCCATCTATCCATTCATGTTCTATTTCCTCTATGCAAAACCCTGTTCTAGGCACTGAAAATGCAAAAACAATTGGGCAAGACCCTTTCCTTTGAGGAGTCTTCAGCATATTCAAGGGGATCAAGTGCACAAGGTGGAAAGTGCTTCTGCTACCCATGGCTTAGGGGAAGGTCTCACCTAAGATGTACTTCCTCCTGGGAAAATCAAGAAACTATTCCTGGACAAGATAGCATTTCAACTGGAATGACACAGATTGGTTAGTCTCCTGCTCCCAGCCCCAAATTAGCTCAGTTTATAGCACATATATTTCTGGAGCTCTGGGATAGAGACATAGATGAGCCGGTCATGATCTCTGCCCCCAAGATGTTACGGTCTAGTAGGGGAGAGAGATGTAGAAAGAATAAGTAATGCAATCACAGAGGACTGCAAGGCCCTGGGGCAGCAAGTGGAGGGTGTGGTTAACCTTGGTGTCTGCAGATGGCAACCAGGAAGGTGCCAGTTAAGCCTTAGCCCATGTGGCACAGACACACCTCACCTGGAATTTAGGGCATGGCTTGCAGATGTCTGCTTTTACATTCTGGAACCCAGGCCTGGCCAAATCTTGGGTTGAGCAGAAACTGCTGAACTGTAAAGGAGGGGTCGTCTGCTCCTGTTGGCATGACCTGCCATGCTTTTGCCTGTATATTAACTTTGCAAGTCAGCAAATGACCCACTGAGGGTCTTAGTGGAAGGAGCACTGGTTTTAGAGTCTGGCAGAATTTCCTTCCAATTCAGGCTCTGCTCTTTACTGAGAGTGAGACTTGGGAATCTCCACCTCCTCCTCTTCTAAATGAGGGGAACGATGCCTTCATCAAGAGGGGTGGGGCTGTGTGATGAAATGGCCCACGGTGGGAAGGCACTTAGTGAGTGCTCTCGGGCATGTGGCAGGCTCCCGGGCCGGCCAGTGCTAGCGGGTGGCTGGGCTCCTGGAGGCCTGGGGCTGGGCTGTGTGCTGTTCTGTACACAGGTCTGCACCATCCTTCCCTCTCCTCTGCCTGCCTCCACTTGGGTCAGTAGCTCGCTCCTGGGGGAGTCTCAGGGGACCTCATGCATTCACTCTTTGAGTCATTAATTCACATACGAATTGCCAGGACAGTTCTCTCTGCCAGTGACCAGCAGGGCATCTATTTCCAACCTCTCTAACCAATTATATAAAGCACTGAAATTTTCTTAAAGTACCCTCCCTCCCTGAAGTCTTCATCTCCTTCCTCCCCCCTACTTTGCAAGCTGAAATGGAATTATATATATTTTTTGCCATCATCTGCTGTAGACTATGGCTCCCAAAGAATCATGGGTAATTTCAGATGCAAATGTCCTATGCAAATCCAGCTGCTGGTTAAAATTAGGAGGAAGCCCAAGGCAGATGCAGTTGCAGGCTGTAACTGGAATCTCCACCGAGCCTTGATTTAAAATGCAAGTGACGCTGCAGGCTTTCAACACGGAGCTACAAGCTTAGTCCCAGGTCCCAAGGTTCTGTTGCTCCGTGCATGGGGTTTTGTAAAGCAAGTGTGGGTCACTTACCTGGCAGACTGGGAGCGGTTTTTCAGGCTTGTATTCCAACCCAGTGGTTCTCAACCAGGGGTGATTTTTGTCCCCCAGGGGACATTTGGCGATGTCTGAAGACATTTTGGGTGTCAGAACTTGGTAGGTGCAACTGGCATCTGGTAGGTGGACACCAGGGAAACTGCTAAACATCCTACAATGCACAGGCCAGCCCCAACTACAAAGACTCAGCGGGCCCAAAATGTAGACAGTGCAGAGGCCGAGAAACCTTCTTCAAACCTATGCCAACCCATGCCCTGGAAGTTCGCTGGGATCCACGAGAGGAAGAGAAGGTGGAGTCTTCGTTCGTTAATCAGTCATTACATTCACCTTGAAAAGAGAGTTGGATTAGTCCAAGTCCAACACAACGTTCAACTCACCATCCATTAACATCCTGATCTCACACAGCCTCACTCTTGTTTTGCTTTGTTCGATTTTTCTCCTTCTCCCTGATGCTATTGCCTGGCCCCTCCTGACTGCCCCCTCTGTAGCTCCACTCTAAAATCTCTAATATATGTCCTCAGATACGGATGGTGCCTATAAAATATATGGTGTTGTTTATTGTGCGAATGTGTTTTAATTTACATAAATTGTATTGGGCTATAGATCTCATTCTGTTGCTTAATTTTTTCACTTAACACCATGTTTTTAAGATCTACCTGAGTTGCTGTGCATTATCTCATTCGATGTTTCTGACTGCTGCAGAGTTTCTCTAGAGATGTCCGCTGTTCCAGGGGTGGACACTAGATTGCCTCCGATGCCCCACCATGTGGGTGACCCACTGGGACCACGTGAGTGTTTCCCCGGAGTCTCCCCAGGAGTGGGATGGTGGGGTCAGAAGGCGTGCAGTACTTCATTTCCCTGAATACTGACAGGTTTCTTCGAGGACACTGGTACTCAGCACATGGCATTATCCAAATTTCTCATTTTTTTTCCAACCTGATTGGTATGACATTGTTGTTTCCATTTGGGAAAGGAAGATGGAATTTTAAAAAGCATTTTCTAGGACCTAAGAATGAGAAGTCATCTTAAGAGTGAGCTAGTCCTGGGGACCTAAGGCTCCGCCTACTTACAGATGAAGCAGCTGAAGGCCAGAGAGCTCTAGGTGCACAAACTTAGGAAGCCATTCATTCTTCAAATGGTAAATAATTACCCGGAGTCTTCTCTGAGTCAGGGCCCCTGCATTCAGGACAGGGTGGTAAACAATAGAGACATGTTGCCATCCCTTGAGGAGCATATGCATGAGTGGGGAGAGAGCAAACCATTGCAGAAACAACTCATTAAATGCCACTGTGATTAGTGCTACAGAGATGCACAAGATGCTGCATTGGAGTGGGGAGGATGGGGTGCGGTGGGGGATGTCAGAGAGAGTTTCCCCAAGGAAGGGACATTTAGGCTGTGACGTAAGGGATGACAAGAATTCCCCGGGTGATGGGGGAGCGAGTTGTCAGGCTTCTCAGAGCCTTGGTCTCCTATGTATTGATGAGATAACATACATGGGCCATGTAGCTAATGTGAGATAAACATAGTGGCTGGGCACTGTGTTAGGAGCTGAGAGATGAAGCTGATGAGATCAGGAGCCCAGCCCTCGACAAGTGATGAGCTCACAAACAGGGGTTCCATTGCTGGAAGCCATGTACAAAGGTGAGGACACTAGGGAGCTGAGAAGCTGCAGGGATGGGTGGTACAGATGGGTGGGGTGGAATTGGGGAGAGGGGTGATGGGGATGGATGGGACAGTGCAGGTTAAGTGGAAGTGAAGTGGGGTCAGATGTCTCTTTCTGAGGGACCCAAGGCAGTCAGAGAATTCAGACTAGATGCGGGGACCAAGCTTTGAAAGCAACACAGTAAGCATTGAAAGTAGGGAAGGCTCCTCTGCGAGACCCCTTGGCACAAGTCTGGGGATGGGTAAGAGGTGCCAGGTTTGGTGACTGCAGAATTGAGAGTGAAGAGGACTTCTGCGTCGGAGCTTCCTGTGCTTATGTAGGTCCTCCTTCCCCTATTTCACTGGGGACTTCCCTGTGAAACAAGAGCTGGAGCTTTCTCCTCAGCCTGGGAGCTCTCAGTACCTAGGAGGTCATGGGCTCTGTCCTCCACCACCTCATCAGGCCATCAGGTCCTAATGTCTGGGTTCTCCCTGCAGCCCTGTGCTCATCAACCTGGGAGTTCCCTTAAGGTGGCACCTTCCTTCCCTGGGTTTACAAAGAGCTGGGCGTCTGCTGCTGTGCCAGGAGGGCATCACTGCCCCAGTGATTCTGCTGAGTATCTGGTGGGCGGTGTCCTTATCCAGGCAGCTTTGTAGCAGCTTTGAAGGGGCTGACAGAGGTTACTGTTCTGTACCCTCCTCTTTACCCTGCCTGCCACAATTTATAAACGTGCCTCTTTTCTAGAACTACACTGACCCCAGAACCTCAACAATTCCCCATCTTAATCTTTTTCCTGGGCACGAAGATGCCCTCTGAGGCCTTGGGGCACATGAAACATCCTTTTCCCCTCCCTGTTTTGAGAGGGAATCCCTGATGGGCCAGGCGCGGTGGCTCACGCCTGTAATCCCAGCACTTTGGGAGGCCGAGGCAGATGGATCACTAGGTCAGGAGATCAAGACCATCCTGGGTAACATGGTGAACGCAGTTTCTACTAAAAATATAAAAAAAAAATTAGCAGGGCTTGGTGGCGGGCGCCTGTAGTCCCAGCTACTCAGGAGGCTGAGGCAGGAGAATGGCGTGAACCCGGGAGGCAAAGGTTGCAGTGAGCCGAGATCACGCCATTGCACTCCAGCCTGGGCGACAGAGCGAGACTCTGTCTAAAAAAAAAAAAAAAAAAAAAAAAAGAGGGAACCCCTGATGGCCCAGCCTCTGAGAGCAGACCTCATTTTGGAGAGCCCAGGAGCAGCAGCCCTGACGGGCTTCATCCCCCCTTCCCCAACCTGATCCGATTTTCTCCTTCAGGCTTAGATGAACAGGGTGGGACGCCCTGCCTCTGGGACCCATTGGCGTCTCTGTCCCTTCCCACCCCCGCGGGGGCCCCTGCCTCCGCCTGCACAGGGTACTGTCTTCCCAGCTCTGGTCTGCGCTCTATCTGCATACTTATCAGTCCAGGAGCCTGAGGCCAGTAGACTTCAAAGACTATATAAAATGTGTTTGTGATTGTGTGTGTGTGTTTTTAATATCAGCAAACTGTATTTTCAGGGAGAGAAGGCCAGAGCCACAGAAAGAAAAAACAAAAAAAACACCCAGGAAAAAGATTGTGGTTGTGAGGGAGGGGGGACTTACTGCTGAGAGTGGGAGCCAGGTGGCTGGTTTTGAAGCAAGCCTGGGTACATTCAGTGCACCAGGAGGTGGCGGTGTCCAGGCCCCTCTCTATTCCCAGATGAAAGGCAGGGAAGGATGGAAATTCCAAGCTTGCAGCAGGGACTGCCCTTGGAGCCAAAATTCACCTCCAATTTCTTAAGGGCTCTGGGTTAAGATCACAGGCCGTGAAATCCAACAGCCAAGAGCCCTGGTGACTAGCTGTTTAAAACGTGACTGGTAACGGAGCCCAACCTCAGGGTTGTTGGGGGAATTTACTGGGATGACAGCTGGGAAGAGTTTGGTGAGTGATAGGCTATTTTTGGAGAATGCAAGCTGAATGAGGGTTTCCTCGTGTCACCTTGATTCCCCAAGACAGGGAGGGACGGCCTAATCAGAGGCATCAGTCCCTGACTTATCTCCAAGATGGGCTCTTAGTGAGGGGTTTTAGACACCAGGCTTGGGGTCTTTGGCTCAGCTCAGTGGCAGAAGACCATTCAACTCAATACCAACTTGGCTAGAACCAACCCTAGGAGGCTAGATGCCCCACTGCAGGCTGTACACTAGGAAAAGGAAGTGAAACTTTACGAGGACAGACTGTACAGGGGGAGGCTTACCACGACGAGGACAGACTGTACAGGGGGAGGCTTACCACGCACCATCTCACTGCACCCTCACCATTATCCTGAGGGGCAGGCAGACCTTGTGGTTCCTGTTTTTCTAGATGAGGTGACCCAGGCTCAAGAGACGGTTCCCAGGATACAATGGGAGCTCCAAGCACCCGCCCCTCCAACTTTCCTACCAGCTCCCTTCTCTGCCTTCTCCAAGTCCTGCCCCTCCTTCAAGTGTATTCCAGTGTGGAGTTGTTCAAACCTCCAAAGGCAGCAGGGGAGATGTTCAGGCTGAGGAATGTGGGAATGCTGAAAGAGCACGACAAAAACCAAGCAGGGCTCCACCATCACCCGATGCTGGGGCCTGCAGTGGCTGTGAGTGACGGTTGACGACCCACTGCAAAGGCTTTATCTCTGATAAGGCTCTTTCTGAGCTCCTCCATGACCAGGGAAAAGGGAATTACCTTTTTGGTGTCCTGAAGAGGTAAAGAAAAATCTGCTTGGCCTCTCTCTTTTAGGTGTGAGGTTTGATTCTGTGCAAAAGACAGCAGGAGCTCCATGGCCAGCTGATACTTACCTTTTTGTGGGGGATGAAGGTAATGTGATTTAGAAGCCAAACATGGACCAAAGCTACCTGCCCCTACCCACAGCTGCTTACAGGTATTTGCAGGACCAGGCCAGGCATGAGTGGAGGGGGCACTGCATCGATCAGTGGCCAGGCTTCCACGTGGACTGGAGCTGGAGAGAGGGGACCTGTGGCTCAGAGGCCAGAGGCCTGGTTAAAGGAATATTATTAATCCCATAGACAATGAACAACCATCAAAGGATCAAAGGTCTTTGAGCACTTATGTGGCATTTTTAAAAAGTAGAATGTAGGAACTTTTACTAGAACGACTGGATAAGGTTGCCAGATTGGGCAAATAAATGTACAGGATGAATAATTTTTTAGTACATGTTATGTAGCATGTGATATTTGTGCATGCAATACTTGGAACATGCTTATAAAATTATTTACCATTTAATCTGAAATTCAAACCTAATTGGGCATCCTGTTTGTGTGTTTATCTGACAATTCTAACTAGAAAGGAAAAAGAAGACAGAGAAAGGGGAATTAGAGAGTTAATGTTTTTTGGCTGGGAGAGGTGGCTCACGCCTATAATCCCAGCACTTTGGGAGGCCAAGGCAGATGGAATCTCTTGAGGCCAGGAGTTCGAGACCAGCCTAGCCAACATGGTGAAAACCCATCTCTACTAAAAATACAAAAATTAGCTGGGCATGGTGGTGTACACCTATAATCCCAGCTACTTGGGTGGCTGAAGCATGAGAATCGCTTGAACCCGGGAGCCAGAGATTGCAATGAGCCAAGACCATGCCACCGCTCTCCAGCCTGGGAGCAAGACTGTCTCAAAAAAAGACAAAGCAAGACTCTGTCTCAAAAAAAAAAAAGTATATAGTTTTGTTTTGTGTTTTTTTTTTTTTTTGGTATTTTATTCAGTATTTTATTAATTTTATTTTATTTTCTGGAATTTGCATTAAACATGATATTGCCTCTTGAATTATTGTTATAACTATATCTATCCATCCTGTCCCTCCATCTTTCCTACCAGCCCCCTTCTCTGCTTTCTCCAAGTCCTGCCCCTCCTTCAAGTGTATTCCAGCCTGGGCTTGTCCAAACCTCCCAAGGCAGCAGGGGCGGCATTCAGGCTGAGGAACACACATATGCTCTCTGTCTCCCTATTTCTCTCTCTTTCTGTCTCTCTTAGTCTCTCTCTCTCTCACACGCACACACAAAAATCATGGATTCTTATGTCTGGTCATTCAACAAATATGTGTCAAGTATCTATTATGTACCAAGCACTTTGCTAAGAACTAGAAATAGTCTAGAAATGAATTCAAGAGAATATCTGGAAATAGGCTTGTCTTTGTATTTCTGTAGTGCAGCTCCATCTCTCTCTCTATTTACCTTTGCAAAATATGCACATATTTATGCATTTATTATATGTGCATGTATACTTATGTATGCATACAAATATGTACATTATGCATCATGGAGCTCGCTAGGGGTGGGTGGCATGGGGTGCCCAGTTCCAAATGGCTGGCCACTGGTATTCTAAACCAGCCATTGCACCAGCACTTCTCTGTTACCTGCAGATCATCACATGCATTCACATATATGGCCTCACTTAATTTTCAGAGACCCTGCACTAAACAATGAGACAGACTCAAAGGGGCTATGAGACTTGCTTAAGGTCACACTGCTAGGAGATAGAAGAGCCTGAATATGAACCAGGTCCTGGGTCTGGAATATAATGGGCACCCAAAAAATGCCTGGCAGCTGACCAGCATATCAGGACTCACAGATTCCCAAGGTCATTGTGTTTCTGCTGTGTTGCATAACCCCAGGTGGCTGTCTCTGTATTTCTTCCTTGATGTCCTCCCTTGACTGCCTTCATCACCATGTTTTATCAAGATATAGTTTGAATTTTTTAAAAGAGCAGACCTTCTCCTTGGATGATGCTGACTGGCATTGCTCCTTCATCCAGGGCTGTAGTTTTGCTACAGTGGGTGTCTGAAGTAGGATTTGGATGTGCAGCAGCGAAGAGAGGCTGGATCTGCTAGGCGAAGCCTAATGCTTCTGGGGCCCAGAGCAAGATAAATAAATCCAGGGAAATGGATCATCCAGGCGAGGAGCTTCTAGTTCCCAGTTCTTGGGAGAGACAGAGAGGGATGATCCATTTGAAGAGGAGAGTGGAAGACATCCCTGAACAGCCAATTAAACCACTTTTAATGGTTTTGAAGAATATATGTTCAAGTTCCAAACCAATCTCAAGACTTAGTGAAGCAGAGATAACTGGGGCTTTGGCCGTGCAAGATAAACTAGCAAAATCTGAAATGCAGGCAATCCTGTTTTACATTAAGGCAAGTGAAAATCAGCATGAATTCAGGTCCTTCTCTCATTGCTGTTTGATGCATGGTTACCCACGAGAAAATGCTCCAGCATTCAGGAGACAGCCTGGTGCAGAGAAGATACCGAATGAATGAATGAATGAATGAATGAATGAATGGGTGAATGAATGAACTGTTTGCTCTGAGGCTCTGATCATTACAGCCAGAGGACAGAGCATAAGCTGCTTAGGGGATCCAATAAGGAAAGTGGATATTTGGGATTAAAGAGGGAGATGTGGACAGTACTTCGATTTATTCATCGATTTGTAAAATGCAATATTAAGCAATTAATTTCACAAGTGCTTATTTAACTTGTGTAAACTGGGATTATGCCAGAAGGGAAAGTTTTTGCATATCAGGAAGATATCTGGCCCAAGGTACAGGTTACCAGGCACAGAAAGGTGTCACTCTTATTTCAGAAACAGCCAAGCATGGAATCCATCTGTGGGTGGAGTCACCTCCCTTAGGAGGAGCTTGTGGTCAAGGCAGGTGCACCTGCCACACCTTTTTCCTGTATCTGCAGCTCTAATGATTTCCTATCTTCCCTATGTTCATTCTGTGTGGTTTCATGGCTCAGCCCCAGGTGTCAAGAGTTCAGCTGCCTTGGTTCAAATTCTGACACTACCACTTCCTTGGACAGACTATTTAACCTTTCTGAGCATCTGCCTTCTCATCTACAAAATGGGCACAAGCATAGTAAACACTTCCTACGGTTAATGGAAGAATTAGACGAGGCGAGGCGTATAAAGTGATACTCGCCACCTTGGCTGTATATTAGAGTTACCTGGAGAGCATGAAAAAAAATGCCAGGGTCCGGTTTTCACCCTAAACCAATTAAAGCAAAACATTTGGGGAGCAGGACTCAGGTGTCAGGATCTTTTCTATCTCCTGATGTAGCTGCATTTGCAGCTGAGGTGTGTACCACCCTTGTAAAGTTCTTAGCAGAGTGTCTGGTATCTAGTAAGCACTTAATAAACATGAGTTATTGTTATCATTCAGTACCTATTTATTGAAACCCCTACTAGGTACTAGGTCCTAGGCCTGGGAGATTTCGCAGTGTAAAAGATAAACATGCGTTCCACCCTTCTAGAATTTACAGCCCCAATCAAGTGGTGCCTAATTGAGCCAGTACATGGACTGCCAGGTATGACCACAAACACTCTTGTTCCCTTCCAGGTGAGATGTAATCCTCCCCTACCCCAATCACATTTGGCCACATTCCATTAAGACAATTCAGTGCCCCCAAAGCTAACTGTTCTTGTCTCAGGGTTGTTACCCCAGCTTCTCCTGGATTCCCTTAGAATGTCATTAAGAATTTGGACAAGCTTGCTGTTAATTCCAGATGCAATGGCCACCTTGGTTATGGATAAATGTGACCACATCTCACAAGGTTCTGGCAAGAAAGAACCTGGCCAATTAGTGACTGTTGAAAAGATGGGTCAATTGAGGTGGCATCAAGCTTCTTAGCCTAGGCATTGGGCAGCTGGTACCAGCGATAGGTGCCAATAGAGGAGTCCAGTTTCCTCCTCCACCCTGCTTTCTGGCTCTGTAATTGCAGTCAAATTACTTGCTATTTCTGAGCCCCATGTTACTAATACAAGAAGGACAATACCTACAGCTTTGAGTGGCTATGAGGAATCAGTGATGCAGAGACAGCAGCTCAGAACTTGGTACACAAAGGGGCTCCATGAACACCCGCTCCTGCCAACCCCAGGGCCCAGCTTTCTTTCCCCACTGCCTGTGTGAGCCCATACTACAATTCTGCATAGCTTTGGGTGGCTGGTTTGATGCCCAGGGAGATGCTAATTGGAGGGTATTTGATGTGTTCATGAAGGAGGGTTCAGCAGGGCCTCTCCTTGGCAGCATTTTGTAGGTGGCTGGTTTGAGGCACTCTCAGATCTCCCAGGTAGCCCGGCTACTTCTCTCTTGGGGCACTCAGAGTCACCACCAGTTAGCACTGGACTTACCAAAGTTGGGCTGTATTTGTGGGGGCCTGTGCTCCTACTTAGGAGTAGTCAGTGCATTTGTTAGGGGCCCAGGCTGTAGAGCTGGACAGACCTGTTTTCCTATATTGTCGTTACCACTATCAGTGGTGAAGCCCAAGGCAAATCTGCATACTTCTCTGGGCTTCCTTTTCCATGTCCTTGAGATGTCCCCACTCCCCTGGAGAGTTTTGGAGAGGCCTATGCTACTCTCCAGCCACAGCGACTTTCTTTCCTTTCTCCAACCACATCAAGCTACTTTCTACCTCAGGCCCTTTGCACTAGCAGTTCCCTTGCCTGGAACTCCCTTTCCTGGGTTCCCTTTCATATTTCACATTTTAGCTGCAAAGCCACCTCCTCAGATAGCCCCCGACCACCTGGCTAAAAGGGTCTCCCCTCTCTAGTTACCCTGAGTCCCACCAACCTGTTAACTTTCTTCCCAGCATTTATGGCAATCTGAATTTGTCTTGTTGGTTAATTTTTTGTTACCTTATTATCTGTGTCCCCAGTGGAGGATCCTTGAAGGCAGAAACTGTCTTTTGAAGTTCACCGCTGTACTCCCACGGCACCCATCACGTAATTAGAGCAGAGTAAATATTTCCTGAAAGAATGTGTGAATGAATTATGATATTGACAATAGTAAAAATAGTACCAATAGTAACAATAGTAAAAATAACAATATTGATTGAGCTCTTATGGCAGACACTGTTCTAGGCACTTTACATGTGTGAACTTCTTTATTTCTCTTATCACCCTGTTTTACAGAGGAGACTGGGGCAAAGGAGGGTGAAGTTGTGTGTCTAGGGTTACACAGTCAGCCACACGAGGTGAAGCCAGGATTCAAACCTAGGCTGTTTGGCTCCAGAGCCAGCAAGGCTAAATGAGTGAATGTAAAGGAGTGAATGAATGAGTGAGTTAGAGATAAAGCACTTTGCACGATGCCCAGCACACCATAAGTGCTCGGTATATGATGGTGATGGTTAGTATTTCAATATCACACTTCTTCTTCCTACCTGCAAAACTATTTTGCATGTCCCCAAGGGTTCCAGCACCCCACCACGCCCTTCCACCCCTGTCATCCTGTCTATGGTGTCCATGTCTCTGTGATGAAACTGCAAAATACACATACATATATTCAAAAGTACAGTTCTACATTTTAAGTAGCTGGAGACCTAAATATTTAAAGGAGCCATGTGAATTATTGACTCTGCTCTGCAGTGGGGTCTTTTCTTTGGTCACTCCCTGGCCTCACAGTTGTCATCCGGCTCCAGCTTCCCATTCTCCCCGAGTCCAGGCAACTGCCTCCACTGCCTTCCCTTTGGAGAGGCTGGGCCCTTGAAATGGGACATCTGGGAAAGAGATGGGTACGCGGGGGGGCGGGCTCCCCCATCACGATTGCATTTGTGTAGCCAAGGCTTTCCTCTACCCAGAGCTGGGAGGGGCTATTGGAGTTTTGAGATTTGTTTGTCTCCCTTGGGGGAGTTAATTCAGTTAATTTCAACTACAGAAACATTTAATGATCACTTACTGCATGCAACCACCCCCCCAATATCATCACATCATCAGCATTATCAGAAGCTATCATTTATTGAGGACTTGCTGTGTACGTGAATTAAATACCAGAACTTCCACTTGGTTGACTCCTTGACTAATCCTCTCTGTGCCTCACTTTTCTCATCTGTAAATTGGGTATAATACTAGCCCTCCTTTATAAGATTGTTGTAAAGGATACAATGAGTGAATATAAAAAGGTTATCCTCATCACCCTTTTAAGAATTGCAGTCCTGGGCTTTCATCTTCCTTACCCCAACCTCCTTTTGGTTTCTTTTCTCATAGCACTCATTACCTTCTCACAAACTATAAACTTTACTCGTGCTTTTTAGATAGATAGAGGGATGGATGGATAGGCAGATAGATAGATAGATAGATAGATAGATAGATAGATAGATAGATAATAGATAGATGGATAAATGAGATAGATAGATAATAGATAGATGGATAGATAGATAGATAGATAGATAGTCCATCTTTCTCCTGCTGGAATATAAGCTCCATGAGGCTAGAGATCTGCCTTTTATTCATAGATATATCCCAAGTACCTAGGAAAGTACCTGGCCTGTAGTAGTTGCTCATTCAATATTTATTTAATAAATGAATGCATGAAAGAAAAAAATATGCCCTCATTAGTTCAGTAGACACTGAATACCTGTTAGCCACCATTATTAACCCCCCAACTCCCTCCTCATGCCTGTAAGGCAGGTCCTGTCATTACCTCCATCTAGAGGTTCAGGGAGATGCAGACAGTCCCTGTCCTCAAGTAGCTTATGACCAAGGGGATAAACAGCGGGACCCTGCTCACTCTTGGGAGGGATGCCCTGAGGGAACCTTGGGAACCAGGTTTCCTAAGGACCACCTGTATGGCAGACCCACCAATGCAGGGTTGTATTTCAGCCCCAGCCCTGCTCAATCATCTGTGTGTGAGAATTCTCCATTTTGCAGATGGACACACTGAGGCTCAGAGGCTTTTCGGTGGCTCCCTGTCCAGTCTAAAGGATTTGGTCTGAACCCCTTGACATTCCTGACTCTGCTGCTCACTTACTTACCTCTTTTCCTGCCCCCTGACCCCACACCCCTCACTCTTAAGCTCCAACCCCACAATTATCTTCAGGTCTCTAAGAGGGGCTCACCTGCACTTCTCTCTGCCCAGGTGCCTGGCTAATTACACCCATCCTTCCTCTCTAAGATGTCCCCCAAGGCCTCTGCCCCCATGGGCAATGTTCCCTTTTTGACCCTGCCCCAGGCTCCTTAACACCCCAGCTCCCCAACCCCTGCACCCCACACACTTTATCATGTTGGCTCAATGTTCTCTTGTCCCAGATTCCCTCAGGCTCTATGCAGGCAGAGAGGCTGCTCTCTGGCTCATTGTCCCATCCCCAGAGCCTGTTTCTGTGCCTTGTGCATAGTGGGCACTTTCCAAGGTGCGGGTAAATGAACGGGTTCATACCCTAGGCCTCTCAGCTTATGACATTATGCTAGAATTTAGACTTCGGCTGACCCTGAAGCAAACACTTCTGAGTTCAGCTTTTACAGAAGCCTTCATGGCTGAGGAATATTCTAGGCAGGCCCTGAGGAGTGCATATAACATTGACAGGCTGAGCCAATGAGGAAAAACATAGTGAGTGGAAGGAACAGAATGAGCAAAGGCTAAGAGGTTTGTGAAAAGGTAGGGTAGGGTTAGGGAACATGAGCAGCTCAGTGTGACGGAGCACAGAGGCTTTCCAGAAAAAACTGTAGACGTATCCACTGGGGGACTGGAGAGGTAGGTTGGGATCAGAATGGAGAAGGTTCTGAAAGCCGACTAAGGAACTTGCTTGTCTTCTTGTAGGAAATGAGGAAGACTTGCTGTTTAATCAGAGCAGTGCTTTAGAAGTGTCACTCCAGCCAGAGCGGGAGAGAGATGAGGAAAGTGGTTGGATATTCTTACACTCTGCTGACACAGGGTGTGCTGACCTTGGGCAGCAGCAGCAAACATAAGGCAGAGAGGTCAGATGCAAAGGGGGCATCAGGGATTGGATTTGGTGGCTGACTGCTGATAGGGTGGAAAAGACAAGAGAGAGACCTCCTTGTTGCCCTCTGGAGCCAGGCACCCTGGCCCCCATAGTAAGGATTACAGAAGGGACGGTCGTCTCAAAAAACACAGAGGTCACCTCCAGCCCGACCTCAACACAGGCTGTTGCCAGGTGACGATTCATCACAAATAAAAAAAGGGAGGAAGGAGACACCAGCCGCGAGGACCCCGACAAGGGAAAGACTTCCAAATAAATGGGTCCTTTGATCACTAGACCGATTTCCACAAAGGCTTGTTAGCTCCAAGAAGATCAAATGGGGAAGATAATGAGCAATTTTCAGGTAGTAGGTGCAGCATGCGAGGTGACAACCCAATTTAGGCAGATTCTTAATCAAGTCAGAATCCCTGACTTGACGCTATTTGTGGAGTCTATTACTCCATTATGCTGAGTGCTTTGCTGTCTATGGTCCCCACATTTCCAGTCGTTAGAGGTATTTATCTCCATGCGATTTAATTGAAGTCTAGTGTTTAATGACACAATGTGCGCTAATTATTTCTTGTTGGTTGTTGAGGGTGTTTTTTCCCCTCCCCACTTTTGCAGCAAAGCAAAAATCTCATTATGTCATCTGGAAAAGGCAAGGGGGAAGATGGGGCTGGGTTGGGCTGGGTGGACCTGGTGACAGATCAGATGTCCAGGCTTCTGAGAAAAGCAAAGAGACCCTCTGTTCCCTGGATCCTTAATGCCAGGCAATGGAGGATATGCCTCTCTCTGTAACCTTACAGCATGAAAAGGGCTTGGCACAGTGCTAGGCACCCAGGAAATGCTCATTAGGTGTTGGTCTGCATTTTGATGACTATGATTGTTATGCTGCACATGGCTATCAGCTGGTCTACCCACATATGAGAAGGGTGGAGCCACGCCAAAGCACAGCACTTCACGGGTAAAATCCTGGCTCTATTGCTGGAGTCCTTGGTGGTTTTACTCTGAGCTCTTGTCAATGCAGGACACATACTAAGTTAAAACACCTGACTGGAGAGCAGTTTAGTCCCACTCTGGAGCACCAAGCCTAGGACAAAAGATGACCTTTGAGGAGGTGGTCCATCCACACACAGTGTCCAGGGAATAAGGGGAGCCTGGGCTTTGAGGTCAGAGAGCCTGCGATGTCAGCCTTGCCACCTTGGGAGTGTCATTTCCTCACTCTAAGTCTCAGTTTTCTCATCTGTACAGTGAGACCCAATGAAGATTAGAAGCGATAAGACCATGAAGCCACCAAGCCTATGCCTGGCACATATTCCTGCCTCCATGAAAAGCAGCTGGTGTTATGATAGCGTCTCTGCTCTCAGAAGTACTTGGTGGAGGGCAGAGCCCAGCAGTTTGTGGCAGTCAGTGTCGGGGAGTCAAAGGGGCTGTCTAGGGTGTGGGCAAGAGTCACTGCGGAGGGAGGTGGTGTATCAGAGTCCCCCAGCCCATTGGGCCAGGGGGTGGGCATAGTTCAGGACCCAGAGGAGGAACAAAAACACCTCCAAAGGACAGCTAAGGCCAAAGCCCACCCCGGGGCCAGTGAGCCTTTGGCAGGTTGTGTTGAGACTTGACCATGTCCTTTCCATGTCCTTGAGATGTCCTTGAGTGGTCCCAGGTCTGCTGGGCAGCAAAGAACTATGGAGTGGCTGGCAATTCCTGAGGCTGACAGTGGGGCTCATCTCTGGACACCACGAGGCAGATGAAGTGGGACAGTCCCCTCAGATGGCCCAGAGACAAGAGACAGCTTTCAGGGAGCTGGGACAGGCAGAGGCAGGGACTGGGGAGTGGTGAGTCTGGGAACCAGGGCTGCTGGGACATGCCATGTGGGCGGTGTAAGACAGAGGTCAAGAGCACAGGCTTCGGAGTCTACTTGGGCTAGAGGCCTGGTCCTTCTATGTCCTGAAGCAGGTCACTTCGCCCCCAAGTGGGCACCCCCACTCACCAACCCAACTGCCATTTGCGCACCTGTGAAGTAGGACAAGACCACGACCTAACCCCATCAGGTTGCAAGGAGGATTAAATGGAATCATACACGCCCATACACATGGCATGCCTAACACACCATAGTTATTTTTATTGCTTGGGAATCAGGGCACTCTGGATACTAAGACTTCATCCACGGAAGCACTGAACTGGGACTCCAAGAGAAGGATTCTGCGGGTCCCCTGCAGGTTCTGGAATGCCACGGGGACTCCACATTTCTTTCACTCAACTTCCTTCCTGCTGCCTTTCTCAGTTCCCTTGGTGAGGCCAGATACTTTCCCATCTTGAAGCCAGGCCCCCTTCCGACGCCTTCCTTCCACTCTGAAAGGCGTGTGCTGCTGGAGAGGGGACCAGGAGTCACTGGGGGCCTGCCCTGCCACTATCCCCTTTGAGGAAACACACCTAGGTGTATCCCTTTTTTTTTTTTTTTTTTTTGAGACGGAGTTTCACTCTTGTTGCCCAGGCTGGAGTGCAATGGTGCGCTCTCTGCTCACTGCAACCTCTGCCTCCTGAGTTCAAGTGATTCTCCTGTCTCAGCCTCCCGAGTAGCCGGGATTACAGACACCCGCTACCACGCCTGGCTAATATTTGTATTTCTAGTAGAGACGGGGTTTCACCATGTTGGCCAGGCTGGTCTCAAACTCCTGACCTTGTGATCTGCCCACCTTGGCCTCCCAAAGTGCTGGGATTACAGGCGTGAGCCACCATGCCCAGATCCTAGGTGTATCCTTCTACAGACTGGCTTTGGCCTGTGTCGTGAGCGTGGAGACCCTGCTATCCCCAGCATACCAGGCAGGCCACGTCTGTAAGGGAAGCCCACAACCTCTAAGGAGAGCTGGGGGTACCCTGCCTAGTCATGATGCTTTGTTCCAGATGGAAGCAAACAGGACCCTCAGATTCTCTCTGTCAGGTGGTCTAGATGCTGGGGGTTGCACAGAAGGTGGGTTGGGTCATCCTAGGTATTTCTGGACTATTGCTGAGCATTTGTTCCTGTTTTTCATGAACCTAGTACATTCTGGAACCTAGTATGTTTGTATAGCTATACTAGCTCTCTGCCCTTTCTGTCCTCACAGTGACTCTCCTTCCGCTCACCAAAGGCAACATGGACAGATTCATCCTTGAAGCCTTAGAAAGCCAGATTGATACAGCCCCTGCAGAGCACCAGCCACTGAGACCAGCTCCTGACAGCCAAGAAACTCCTGCCTAGCAGGAGACGGATGTGAGAGTAGGTCATGCGGTATCATGCAGCAGGTGCTAAAATAAAAGCAGGCACAGATGAGAGAGACAGGGGACTGGGGGGGTCCCTGGGCAGTAAAGAAAGGTTTCATGGGAAGGTGATATTGGAGCTGGGTCCATGAGAGAAAGGGAGCATCCCAGGAGGGCAGTCCTTTGTGTAAAGGCACTGAGAGGTGAGAGAGAGAGGTGGGTCCCAGGGCTGCAAAGAAGGTGGGGATTGAGGGGCACAGAAACAAGAAGGGAAAATGAGGGTGGATGAAAACATCTTTGCTGAGAAGCAGGCACCTCAGCCCACAGGCAGACACGCTGGTGTTGCCTTCTCTAGAGCCAGGCGAAGCCTAGGTGCTAGAAACTTCATGAACACCCAGTCAAATCTTGGGAAAACTGAACCCCTGGGCTGACCACAGGTGAATGCCTTCTGCTGACCCTGCCTGAGCCAAACTCACTGTCCTTCCTGCCCCAGCACTGGGGCCTGGGCTTCAGGTCAACCATGAGGAAAGCAAAATGATGGAGACAAGGTACTTGCCAAGTGCCCCCAGGGATTCTAGAAGCAGGGCTCACCTTTCCTGCGGCAGGAGAAAGACTTGGAAAATCACCAAGCAATGGCTAAAGAAAGTGTGGAAAACAGAGAGGTCTTTGGATCCAAGGGGCTCTGGGACTCAAAAGCAGCAGCTTGGAAGGTTTTATGGGAGTTTCTTCAAGGAAACAGATATCTTCACTGACACTTACCAAGGCATTTTCTCTGGTAACAAGCTTCTTTATTCAGCCAAACAAAGAAACCCTCGCATACAGAGGAGTGAGGAGAGCTGTCAGGTGCTGTTCTGGGGAGAAATGAAAGAGCTTTCGCAGAAGCTAAAGCACATAAAAGCTGAAGGTCAAGGCAGAGGCCTCCTTCCGGCTGTTCTGCAGCACGCGGGACATTCAGGAAGGCCTCCCAACCCTATGTTCCCGCTCTCGGGGCCGCAGCATGCTCTGGCCCTCAGAAGTAGAATTTGACTGGGCTCTCCTGGAGCTTCAGAGTCTACTCAGCCATCCTCATGGTCTCTGCAATTCAGGCTTCTCTCTCTGAGTGGTGAGATGGGAACGTTCCTCTCCCAAATGCAGGTCTTCCCAGGCTGGGGTGGGAAGGCAAAGAAACAACACAAGCTCCCGCTAGAACCCATCATGGGCTTAGCCAACCTGAAGGGTGGTCCCGAGACCCGAGAGACCTTGATCCTTCTCACTGCCTTCACATCCCAGGCTCTCACTCTCTGCCTCCTTCCTGCCCATCCCTCTTGGTACAGGATCATCTGGGAGATCTGTGCTGCTGGTTTGGAGCCGTTTGCATCTTTGCTTGGTCGCAAGAGGGACCCACGCTGTCATCATAACAAGAAAAGTGACAACCACCAACGTCTGTGGAGGGTTTCATTATTTACAAACTCTTTGCATCCCTCGTTCCCTCTGTTCCTAACAACAAACTGGGGACCAGCATGGAGGGATTTTCTCCTTTCCATTTTACAGATGAGGGAATGGAGCCTCAGGTGATTCAATGATTTGCCCGAGGACACGCCTCTGGTAAGAGGTCCAGCCACGACTCCAACCCAGCTTTGACCTGTTCCGAATCTCTGATGGTTTCTAGCCCCATGAACACAAGATAGCAGTTTCATTGTCAGATTCTAACATTAGGGAGAAAATCCACTGGCCAGCCTGAGCTGACCACACAGGAGTGAGCCTAGTAAAAGACCTCACCCTTCGGCTATTCCCCTGCATATCTGTCTGACCACTGAACAGTTTTGTGAGTGTGACATCTGCGTCCTCTGATGCTTTTCATCACAGCTTTAACAAATACTGATAGAACACAGTGATTTTAAAATGTGCTTTAAAAGGCTCCTCCCACCACTACCCCAGCTGGGCATGAGCTCTTGAGTCAGAGAGACCTAAGTATAAACTATGATCACTCCTCTTGCTAATTGTGTGGCCTTGGGAAAGTCTCTTCACCTCTCTGAGCCTCAGATTCCCACTGCAAAACAGAGATAATAAAGCTGTCTACTACAGAGGGATGGTGAAATGCTCCATACGTGGTAGCTATTGTTAAGAGAGTGATGGTGATGATGACAATGATGAGGGTTTTGGTTAACTAAGGCTGCATATCAGACAACTGCAGAATCTCCATGGCCCACAACAGCATTTAATTAGTTCATGGTGGCTGTGGATTGCTGACCGAGGCTGGGCTCGGCCAAGGTTGTGCTGCTCCACGTGGGCCTCCATTCTCTTCCCAGGTTCGACAGAAGGGAAAGAGCACAGGCTGAATGGCGCCAGTGCATCTCAAGACTGCTTGAGCCACATCTGCTGGCTTCCAGTTGGCCAAAACAAGACACATGACTGAGCCCCAGCTCAAGAGATGGAGATGTACAGTCATGCCACCGTGGGAGGGCATTGCAAAGAAGCATGCCCAAGAGTGTGGAGGTATAATCCTATCAAACATGCCAGGAAGTCAAGAGGCAGACACATAATCCAGTCTTCCACGATGAGCAACTCACTTTTATGTTTTACCCACTCATATAAGTGCAGAATTAGGATGGTGATGAAGTGGAACCAGCTTCTTCTTTGCCACAGTGATTTCTCCTAGTAGATTGCGGGTCTTCTAAAACCTAGTCAAGGGGGATTTCTTATCTGTCCATATAACTCGCGTATTGTTAGGCAAGTATGCATGTGTGGGCATCTGTGCACACCTTGCGAATATGAATGCATTGTGTATGCGTGTGTGGAGGCTATCTGAAGATCACATAGCCAGGATAAGAAGGCCAGTTGGGGCCAGGTGCGGTGGCTCATGCCTGTAATCCCAGTACTTTGGGAGGACGGGGCGGGTGGATCACCTGAGGTCAGGAGTTCGAGACCAGCCTGGCCAACATGGTGAAACCCCGTCTCTACTAAAAATACAAAAAAAAAAAAAAAAGTTAGCCAGGTGTAGTGGTGGGCATCTGTAATCCCAGCTACTTGGGAGGCTGAGGCAGGAGAATCACTTGAACCCAGCAGAAGGAGATTGCAGTGAGCTGAAATTGCACTGTTGCACTCCAGCCTGGGCGACAAGAGCAAAACTCCGTTAAAAAAAAAGCCACTTGGAACTAAGCCGTGTTATGCTAGAAGAGGAATGGAAATTCACAAAAGCTGCTGGTGGGTGTACGAACTAGTTTCCATCACTTTAGAAAGCAGCTTGGAATTATCTAATAAAGATGTCTATATCCCATGATTCAAACGAAACTGTTGAACATATGATCTAAGTACCTGTATCAGAACATTCATAGCAGCATTGTGTATCAAAACCTGTATCAGAACATTCATAGCACCACTGGGTATCAAAACACAAACTTTGACACATCCTAAATGTCCATCAGCAATAAGATGGACATGTAAATTGTAATATATTCATACAGTGGAATACCATACAACAAGGAAAATAAATGAAATATAGCTACAAGCTACAATATGAACCTTATCATGTAAATTAAAAGAAGCAAGGCACGAAAGAGTACTACAGTATGATTCCATTTACGTAAGGCTCACAGACAGGCAGAACTAAACTATAATATTTAGGTGTGGATAAACAAGTACAAAATCTATAAAGAAAAGCTGGGAAATTATTATCATACATGTCAACACAGTGGTCACAGTGGGGTGAGGGACACGAATAACAAAAAAAGGACACACGGGGTCTTTGGAAGGTGACAAAATTCCATCTGCTGGCCTGAAAGGACTTACATGGGACTCACTTTAGAGTTATTTATGAAACTGTGCTTTTGTATTTTATGCATTTTTCTGCATGCAATATTTCACAATAAAAATGTGTTTTCTTGAGGACAGCTAGAGGAAGTAGGGGTGTTTAGTCCAGAGAAGGGAAAACATGGGGTGAATGTAAAACCTTTCTTGCAGTATTTGAAAAGCTGGGATGTGGAAAAGACATCACCATTTTTCTAAATAGTCCCAAGCAGGGGAAAAATTCAGAACCAAAGAACAGATGTTTCAGAGGGAAAGGTTTTGGTTCAATACAAGGAAGAATTTCCAATAACCAGAAATGCTTAAAGGTGAAGTGCCCTTCGTGGGGGAGGAGATAAGCTCCTTTTTATTTAATGAAAGGACTCCAAAGCACACTGATGGAAACCTTGGCAAGGATCTTGGAGGATGAGTCAATGTCAGAGAGGCCTGGAGCAGGGAAGGTTGAGGTGGGCCAACCCCAAGAAGTGAGGTCAGCGTGGATGAGTGGGGCTTTTGGAGCCAGCCAGACCTGAGATTGACATTCCGATTCTATCACTAATTAGTTAAGTGACCTTGGGCGAGCTACCTGACCCCTCTGAGTTTCCATTTACCCAATAGAAAATGATGCTGCATATAAATGATCTAGTACAGAGCCTGGCACTTAATAAGCCCTCGATCAATGATGGTCATTATCATTAATAAAAAGTCATTTCTTCGAAACTTGAGATTCTAAGATTCTCTGTGCCCATAAGTGTATGCATCAAACTAGTCAGGTTTTGTTGCAATAAAGCTGCATATCAACCCAAAATCACAATGGCTAACAACCAGCACCTACTCTGTGCTCATGGGTCTGTGGACCAGCTGCAACTTGGCACGATGGGGCTCCAGGCTGCAGTCTCCAGCTGTGGATTAGGTTTAGGTCTATTCCACATTTCTCTCATCTCAGAACCGGGAAACCTGGGGCACGCCCTGTTCATGACAGAAGACCGAAATTTTGCAAAGGACAAGTAGAAACACACACCGCGTACTGCAAGTCACCCAAGCAAGTCACAGCGCCACACTAATACAGTTTGGATATTTGTCCCTGCCCAAATGTCATGTTGAATTGTAATCCCCACTGCTGGAGGTGGGGTCTGGAGGGAGGCGTTTCAGTCATGGGGTGGATCCTTCATGACTTGGTGCTGTTTTCATGATGGTGAGTTCTCGCGAGATCTGGTCATTTAAAAGTGTATGGCACCTCCACCCCAGCTCCCTCTTGTTTGCTCCTGCTTTTGCCATGTGACATGCCTGTTCCCTCTTTACCTTCTGCCATGATTGGAAGCTTCCTGAGGTCTCCCCAGAAGCAAATGCTGCTATGCTTCCTGTACAGCCTGCAGAACCATGAGCCAATTAAATCTCTTTTCTTAGAAATTACCCAGTCTTAAGTATTTCTTTTCAGCAGTGCAAGAATAGACTAATACACACTCCCAAACTCAACGGTGCAGAAAGCTGTGCAGTGCCTTCTCTGCTGTACATTATATGGCAAAGAGGAATGCAGGTCAGTGAAAACTTATGAACAATAATGCTATCTATTGCATGCTGTATGCAGAATGTTTAAAAGGGACTTTTCCCAATCTGAAAGAACATATTTAAAAAAAATTGAGAAACCATGAGGCTATAAAATATAAGGTTCAAAAAACTCAGTCTAACAGTTAACAGTGAAAATGTAATTTTCCCATTTTATTGGCTTATATAATAAAAATCATTGCATAGCTGATTAGTTGTAATGTTCCATGGTATGTCATTGAGGAGGTAAATTCAGAGCTCTGGGGGCTTTCTTCCTAATTCTACTTCTTACCTGTTTTCCAAAAGATCCTTGAGACTTACCTATCCCCTAGCTGGAACCTGTTTTTGCCTCAGACCCCCACCCCATTGTATCTATTTTATTTTATTTTTTATTTCAATAGGTTTTTGGGGAACAGGTGATGTTTCATTACATGAATAAGTTCTTTGGTGGTGATTTCCGAAATGTTGGTGCCCCCATCACTTAAGCAGTGTACACTCTACCCAGTGTATAGTCTTTTATCCCTCACCTTCCTCCCACCTTTTCCCCAAGTCCCCAAAGTCCATTGTGTCATCCTTTTTTTTTTTTTCTCTGTCACCCAGGCTGGAGTGCAGTGGCGAGATCTCAGCTCACGTCAGCCTCAGCCTCCTGGGTTCAAGCCTCAGCCTCCTGAGTAGATGGGGTTACAGGCATGCGCCACCTGGCTAATTTTTGTATTTTTAGTAGAGATGGGGTTTCATCATGTTGGCCAGGCTGGTCTCGAACTCCTGACCTTGTGATCCGCCCGCCTCAGCCTCCCAAAGTGTTGGGATTACAGGCGTGAGCCACCGCGCTCAGTCCATTATAGCATTCCTATGCTTTTGCGTCCAAATAGCTTAGCTCCCAATTTTATTTTATTTTATTTTTCTACTCTAGGATTCCTTGGTAAGTAGGAATTTCTGTCTCAGGACCAGCATTGCCTGTTTGGCAAGCAGAGGTATTTAAGGGGAAGACTACAGGAGTCTGGGCTTAGGTAGGTCAAGAAACCAGGTGCAATCAAGCAGAGTACAGCTCTAGTCTCTTCTGAAGAATTTTTAGCGGCTGTACCAGGTCCTGGCCTGGTGGTAACCCCCTCCCTCTTGTTAGCATGTCCTCCATGGCTGGCAGCTCCAGCACAGAGGACGGTCGTTGGGGATGCATCTCTCTTGCTGTTCTGTGCCATTTCTGAACCACTTCCAGATGTGCCTGGGAGAAAAGCAGATTGCTTAGTATGGTTCCCTGGAAGGAAGAGCGGGCCATTTCTTCCACGGGGGGCTGAGTCTTTGGGGATAAGGAGGAAGCCCTGGAGGTGCAGCAGGGAAGAGAGATGACAGAGCCATGCAGCCTGGCACAGATCAAAGGATGCTCCATGGGAGGGATGTAGGGCTCATGGAATAGAACTGATGGGGAGTGGATCCGTTCCTAAGTCTGCCACTAACTTTCTGTGGGAGTGAGAGAAAGTCATTTTGTCTTTCTGTGCTGTATCTCCAAATAGAATTGAATTTGAGGACCCCACTGGTTCCTTCCAGAAAGGCACGTAGTATACTGGGGAAGGAGGGAGACTCAAGGCAGAGCACACAGGCTTTAGGTACTGTCTCTGATGCTCATCCCTGTGTGACTCTGGGCAAGTTGCTTAACTGCTCTGAGCCTCAATTTCCTAAGCAGAAAAATTATCACACCAGCCCTTGGGGTTGTCACGAGGAGGAAATAAGTCAATGTGTCTGGAGCATTTTCAGCAGTCCCTGGCGCAGAGCAAACCCTGCCTCAGCGTTCGCTACCGTTATTTTTATTCCAGCTTAAGATGCTCAAGCACTTTGCTCCTTTTTTCAGCATGATTTATGTTTTTAGGTGGTGAGGGCTATTAGGGTGACTACGTGAGTGTATAATATATGGACCAGGGGAAGCAGTGAAGGCACAATCTATGCAGAGCTGCCAAGCGATGTGGCACCTGGAAGGGGTCCAGAGACAGGCTGCAGGCATGATTCAAGGCCTGAAGCGTAACACCTCCCAGCAAGAAAGGCCAAGAGTGGATTATTTACGAGAGCAGAGGTGGAGAGGTTACAGAAAAGAATTCCCAGACTCCGGCTCACCCCAAACAGCGAGAAACTTTAGGGGTGAGATTCCAGTTGAGCTTCCAGATGATGAACAGGGAGGCAGAGAGCCGGCTGGATCTTCACCCACCTGGCAGGAGGGTGTGCAGCGTGATCCAGCCTCTCAGACTCAAGCCTCAGGTATGAGTTTTTGTCTCTCAAAGTTCACTTCACCCCTTGTGCCACCCTAAATAAGATATGAAGGTAATACTCAGGTTCTTGGAGACCTCAGAGCTGGGGAAAATGGAGAGAGGCTTTAGGGAGGTTCCAGGGACATTCAAAACACCATAATGTGTCCGTATGACCTTGAAAACATGAGCCTCAATTTCCCACCTCATCTTAAGGGGCTGAGATGAGATCATAGTTAATGACAATCGCCACTTTTTGGACCAACCTGGATAATGTTCCAGGCTGTCTCCCAAAGCCACAGTGCTCTGACATCTGATGACCTAAAAAGTAATTGAAAAAACCAAGTTCAGCTGACGGATCACCTTCTGTCTCCATGATACTGGACATTCTGTCTGATTTTTATTTCCTGAGCTGAGCAGTGACTTGTAACCCCTGGAGCAATGTCATGGCTAGCAAAAGAAAGCAATGCCAGGACCCGCCCAGCAAATGGTTCAAGGCTGAGGGATCCCTCTTCTACCTTGGAGGTTTGGGGAGTTTCCATCTGACCAGGAAATACGTGTTTAGGAGCTGTGGTTCTGAACAACTGTGCAGTCCTTGACCTGGGGATCACCTTCTTAGAGCTGGCCCCAAAGCAGGGACCCGTGTTAGTCAGGACAGGATGAGTCATGTTGCAGTGACAATGATCCCCGACTTCAGTGGCTTACATCAACAAACATTTCTTTCTCCACCTGTGGCTTATATCAACAAACATTTCTTTCTCCGGCTGTGCATCCATCAGAACAGGGGTCTCAGCTGCCTTATCGTCTTACAGGACCCAGGCTGACAGACCTGTCAAGTCTACATCTACTTCCACAGTCACTGCAGCAAAGGGCAAGGAATTCTACAGGGTCTTGCAACAGCCATGAAGAGCTGCAGCACATAGGCGACATGCATCACTTCCCCCAGAAACTCGATGGACCAGCAACTACAAGGGGGCCAGGAAATGCAAACCCACCTGGTGGCCCTAAGGTGAAAGCAGGAATGTTTGATGAGCTGCAATGTTGACCACCATGCTCCCCTTCTGAGCCCCACAGGGCTATGCCTTCAACACCCGCCAGCACAGGCTTGGGCTTTGCTCTCTGCCAGGGCTTCATCCTCCCTCTTCCTACCTTGAGCAACATCCAGTGTGTGTGTGTGTGTGTGTGTGTGTGTGTGTGTGTGTGTATCAGAGAGAGAGAGACAGAGAGATAGAGGGAGGGAGAGGGAGAGAAAGAAGGAAGAAGAGGGAGAGAGAGATGGAGGGAGAGAAAAAGAGGGAGGGAGAGAAAAAATGGGGGAGAGGGAGAGAGAGAGGGAGAAGGAGAGAGAGAGGGAGAGGGAGAAAGAGAGGGAGAGGGAAAAGGACAAAGAGAAGGACGGAGAAGGAGAGAGAGGGAGAGGGATAAAAAGAGGGAGAGGGGAGAGAGAGAGGGAGGGAAAGAGAGAGAGGGAAAAGAGGGGGAGAGGGAGAGGGAGAGAGAAAGAGAGAGAGAGAGAGAGAGAGAATGCAATCCTCAACTCCTCCCTCAAGAAACAAATGAGTCCCTGACATCCTCAAGCTATTACCAAGGTAATTCGGTCTCTGTAGTCCTTCTCATTACACACAAACACATGTTATTATTATTGTTTATCATTTGTATGACACGGCAAGTCGGTGCTGTTCTCACTCCTCCTGCAGAGTGGCTCTGCTTGGCTCTAGGTGGCCTTACTCACCTCTTTCATTCTCACCTCCTGCCCTTGGGCCTCCTTCCTGCTGCCCCACATCTGCGTCACTCCCACCAGTGGGTCTCCCTGCCTGCCCTCTGCACCCAACGTCAGAGTAGCTCCTTGGGCCACCTCTTCTCTCTGTAACACTCTGCACATCAGTAGCCCAGATAGGAAAGAGGAAGCAGCAACTCAGGTGTGAACACCTGCTGTTTGCATGGCCCCGTGTCAGATTATGTACCCATGTGGTCAACCTCCTGTGAAGCAGGCAAGTGGAAACTTTCATGCACACAGCACAGGTAAGGAAACTGAGGCTCAGGGAGGAGAGTGACTTGCACAACATCCCACGGTGCGCGGATAGAAGTGAAAGTCCAGAAATAAAGCAGCCCCTCTGTGGGCATAGATGATCTGTGTCTAGGACCTGAGTGCCGAGTGGGGCTCCTGGAACAAGTCCTGAGCTTGGAGACAGGCTCTGAGTTTGGGGAGGGACACCGCCCAGCTCCATTCGTGTGAACCTGAGAGGGACTTCGCCTTCTTAAGCCTCTGCTTCCTTTGCTGCATGAACTGGGGAATGGGCTCGCTATTTCTGTCTGCCAGGATAAATGAGATAGTAAAGTTAATATCAAGAGTAACCATGAATACCTCAAGGGAAGCAATAGGCATGGCTACCTCTTTGCAACTTCACTAGTTCAACATACGTTTGCCTCAATGGAGTCCAGCTGTCCCTAAAAACCCAGGAACTCAATCTGTAGAAGGTCATGAGCAAGTAGATGGATGACCTCCTCCCCAGGCTGCCCCAGGACCCACAGGATGGCACCGTCTGCATGCCCACTCATTCAACCAGCAAGTCACAGGCCCACTCTCTCTGCACCAGTGCTGCTTTGAACACTGGGGACGTGGCTGCCCTCTTGGAGCTCATGACCTAGTTAGGGGAGACGGACAATCAGCAAGAGTGCAAATAATCACAACAATTTCAAGTACCAACATGGGTAATGAACAGCAACAGGCGGCTGCGGCACTGCGTAGCTGCCTGCTTCACTGACCTGTACCACCGTGCACTCATTACCAGGCACTCTGCTAAGCCCACACTGAAACTCTGGTGGACCATCATCAGGGTTTCACCAGAAACTCACCTCCCCAAGAAAGGCCCCTCTGATCCTACCTGCCAAAAGTGTCCTGCCTGCCTTGAATTTCACCTCTCTCTTCCAGACTTTGAGGTTGCCTTTTGTTTGTTTGTTCTTTGTTTTTTGCAACAAGGTTGCACTCTGTCATCCAGGCTGGAGTGCAGTGGCACGACCTTGGCTCACTGCAACCTCCACTTCCCAGGTTCAAGCGATTCTCCTGCCTCAGCCTCCCAAGTAGCTGGGTAGCTGGGATTACAGGTACATGCCACCACACCCAGCTAATTTTTGTATTTTTAGTAGAGATAGGGTTTCGCCATGTTGACTAGGTTGGTCTCAAACTCCTGACCTCAAGTGACCCGCCCATCTCAGCCTCCCAAAGTGCTGGGATTACAGGCATGAGCCACAGTGCCCGGCCTTGGAGTTGCCTTTTAAAAATGCTCTTAACAGCTCTAGTAAGCAGGTATCATCTCCATTTTACATATGAGGAAGCTGAGACTCAGAAAGGTGAGATGCACACCTGATCTGGACCACGCCAGTCTCCCTCCAAAGCCTGTGTTCTTTCCACTGTGCCACGTGACCCTGGTCCCTCTCATCCTCATGTTTCAGCTATTTGTGGGCAAGCCCTTCCTCCCCCTCATTCGGGATGATTCTGGGCCTGATTTTCTCTGCATGTTTACCAGACTGTGTGCTCTGCAGGGTGTCGGCAGTGGCCGTCTTAGCCACCACTGCATCTCCCTCACTGAGAACAGTGCCTGGCATACACTAGTGCTCAGTAAATATTGATGGGTGGGTGAGTGAGTGCATGGTGTTGCCCCAGGGTCCTGGCATATAGGAAGCCCACAGTAACTGATTGAGGAAGGGAGTGAGGAAGGAAGAAAGATCCCCCACTCAAGAAGCCCAAGGCTGTTCCCAGCAATAAGGCAGCAGGCAACCTTATTTTCCCTAAATTCCTCCAGGAAGCCAATTCTTCCCCGAGGCATCCCAGAGGATGGCTCTTGCTGGGAGCTGTCCCTGTGATCACCCTCTCTCTGCCTGCCTGGAAACTGAAGCTCCCTCCCCAGGGTCTGAACTGTCCCTGGTCATTAATTAAGACATTTTGGAACTTCTTAAGGGCCCAGAAATTTCATGCCAGTGAGGAGATCCGCTGACAGGCAGCCCGGGACAAGGCAGAGAGTCCCAGGGGATGTCCTCACCTAGCTTCTCTATAACAGCCTGCGTTAGCCTCAGTTTCTCCAGCTGCGTACCAGTCCTGGGTTTGTCTAATCCCGCCCCTTCGGAAGAACTGCTCTATGGCTCCCCAGCGATATGATCAGTTTTGTGGACTGAATGTGTGTGTCTCCCCTCCTGAATTCTTATGTTGAAGTCCTAACCCACATATGATGGCATTTGAAGGTGGGGCCTTTTCGGAGGTAATTAAGGTGAGATGAGTTCATAAGGAATCCTCAGAATGGGACTAGTGGTCTTATAAGACGAGGCCAAAGAACGTGCTCTCCTCTGTCCTTTTATCTGCCACGTGAGGACACAGTGAGAAGACAGCCTTATGAAGGCCAAGAAAGGGACCCTCACCAGGAACTGAATCAGTTGGCAATTTGGTCTTGGACTTCCAGCTTCCAGAACTATGAGAAATAAATGTCTATTGTGTGAACCACCCAATCTATGGTATTTTGTTATAGCAGCCGAACTGACCAAGACCAGGAGGAGATGGACAGAGGGAGAGCCCACCGTGTCAGTGCCTGTCATCATTTATCAGCTGCCTGTTGTGTACCAGACCCCGGGTTCTACCAACAAGCAGACCAGGTCCCTGCCTTTAAAGAAGGTACAGTCTATGCAGAAAACAGACATGTGGTCAATTATTATAAAACTTTGTCCACATAATCATGGACTAAGAAGGTGCTAGGGGAGTACTCAGGAGGCCAGCAGGGCCCTCCTCAGGCCAGGGGCAATCAGGGAGGTCTTGTTTGAGGAGGTGACTTTGGAGCTGGAACTTGATGTTTGAATTGCTTGGAGAGCCTGTCCTGATCTTTAATATTAACCACTACCCCCTAAGCTGGACTGTCTCCCAATGTGCAAAACCACGCCTTCTTCTACTGATGGACATTGTTTTCTCTGTGAATAATCCTTCCAGGATAATCCCCCTTCTTGGGACCCTCCCTAGATGGCCAGGCAATGTCTATGTCTCTAGAAGGCCACTGTGAAGTCTTCAGGGGCATTGGAAATTCTCCCTTGCCTGGATGTCAGGCACTAGCTAAAGACCAGTGGAGACAATTGGATGTGTACTATGGATCGGAAAACATGTTTTCCCCGAAAAAAGCTCTGTTGTTAGCTAGCCTGCTACAAAGAGATTTTAGCAAGTCTTGCCTGAGGATGGAGACAAGTGGTGTCTGCGGCTGTCTGCACTTCCAGTTCTGAAGGATTGGCCTGTGCGAGATGGATCTGGACATCATCCCAATCTTCAGCACCATCAGCGTCACCACTGTCACCATTGTCATCACAAACTCTCTCCTTTCATCATCACCTGCTGCATCACCACTGCCACCGCCTGCATCACCACCACCTTTCTTCTACTGCCACAATTGCCACTGTTATCACGATTCTGCATCACTGCCAGCACCTTCCTTATTTCTTTGAGTATCACGACCACAGCCACTGTGACAACTGATCCCATCATCACCATCACCAAACCTTCTGCACCGCAACTCATAACCAGCCTCCCATCACCACTCTTTACCCCTAAATTAACAATCTATGCCAATCTTGCAGAAAACCCTCCAGGCCTCTTTATTTTTACTGTCTGCCTGGCCTCTGGGGCCAGGGAACCCTGGCTGACATCTGTGCAGATCCCCTGTCTTACCTGGGACATGCAGATCCAACCATGGACCTAGGAGGAGCTAGGCTTGGCAAGGTGATGACGACCATGGAGCATTAGTACTTCCAAGTAACAGGTGCTTCACCACCCAGGATGCCACCCATGACCTTTAGGCACTTCTCGGTAAATGGAGGGTTGGGGTTCCAGGGCTTGTCAGCCTCAGGTGGTCCTTCCTTTTTCCCTCATCACTCCTGCACTGATTCCATTGTCTGTTCTCTGTGTCCTCTCCCCTTCCAGACCACCAGCCTCTCAAGGCAGGTTTGTGGCTTTTTCATCTGCTTTCTCAGCTGGAAGCTCAGAGCCCTGGACTCAGCAGTCACTGGGGAATGGCTGTTGACCTGGGATGTTAAAACAGGAAAGAACAATGCTCTTCAGATCCCTGCAGGTCTGGCTGAGCCTCAGTGCTTCCTTCCAGGAAGAAATATCTTGCTGGGCAGAAGCTCCCGCTTGGCGAGGCCCGTGTAGCGGCTTGCTCTGCCACGCCTGGCAGCAGGTGGGCCCGTGTCAGCAACAGAAATGAGGTCACTTACTACCCTGCCTGCCACCCGCGTGAACCTTGCATGCATTCCTTGTTCAATGAGATGTTGTTTGCAAATGCTTCCCAGGGAATTGGTGAGGGTTTCTTTCTTTCTCCTTTTATTTTCCTCTTCTCTGTCTGGCTTAGGAACAGAGTTCCAGCTGCTACGGCAGCAGGCTGGAGACTGAGATCAGGGTTTGTTGGCAGCCCAGCTACTGAGCTCCCTGCTCCTTGGCCTCAATCAGCTCAGCCGGTGATATGGCCAAGTGTTAACGGCAACTATCCTCCACTGTCCTGTCACCAGAGGCCACAAGAGAAGGGCTAGACCCTCTCCTCTGAGAACCCAGGGAGCTCAGCTGCCATGTACAGCGATTCCCCCAAGCTCCAAGATCCCCCTGCTCTCAGCCCTCCTCTCTATCTGCCAAGGCTGTGCCCAGGCCATTCCCAACCCTGGAGGCAGCATCCCACCAGGAAGCCTCCCCGGGATTAGCTCTTTTTTTCTACCACCTGCCAGTACAACCTATGACCTCCTAAGCTCTGCAGGGGGCAATTGGTATGTCTTGTATGTGGTTATTTCAATCAATACTTCCTGAGCACCTACTAAGTGTCAGAGCCTAGAGATGTGATAGAAAACAAGACAAGCTTGTTTTGTTACTGATATGGTTTGGCTGTGTCCCCACCCAAATCTCATCTTGAATTGCAGCTCCCATAATTCCCACGTGTTGTGGGAGGGACCCAGTGGGAGGTAATTGAATCATGGGGGCAGGTTTTCTCTGTGCTGTTCTCATGATAATGAATAAGTCTCATGAGTTCTGATGGTTTTATAAAGGACAGTTCCCCTGCTCATGCTGTCTTGCCTGTTGCCATGTAAGACACGTAAGACGTGCCTTTGCTCCTCCTTCACCTTCCACCATGATTGCAAGGCCTCCCAAGCCTTGTGGAACTGCGAGTCCGTTAAACCTCTCTCCTTTATAAACTACCCAGTCTTGGGTATGTCTTTATTAGTAGCATGAGAACAGACTAATACAGTCACTGTCCTCAAGTAACTTCTGTCTAACTGAAGAGAAAGAGGTGAAAGAAGTACACAAAGGTTAAAGAACTGCGAAGGATGCTCATTGCTATAAAGAAAACAAAAAAGGATGGGAAGACAGAGACTATGAGGGGAGGGAAGGAGCCTCTTTTCTAGGGATGGATCAAGGAGGATGTCTTTAAGGCAGTGCCATGGGATCTGAAACCTGAAGGATAAAGAGAAGCCCATCATGGAAACACTGGGGGTAGAGGAACATTTGAGGCAATGGCCCGAGGCTCATGGTGGAGGGTGAGGAGGAAGAGGAGTCCTGGGGGATGAGGTTGCAGGGGGTGGCAGGGTCTGATGGTGCTCAGGGAGGACTGTGCGTTTTGCTTCTGTACAACAGATGGCTTGGAAGTGCCTTAGGCAGACATCTAAAACAATGTCGCTTTATCCCCATTGTGCACACCTAGTACCCTCAGAGAGTATCTGCCAAATAAATGAGGTGAGGCTCTGCTGGTTATTTGTACCTTTCCCTTTACTCCACGTTGGATTTTCTATTCCATTAGCATGTGGATTTTGATGCCAGGCCTGTTCCTTCCTTGGCACCCCAGTGAAATCTGGTCCCTCTAAGTACCTGGAGTGTACACTGCTCTGTGCACTATGGGGCCCTTGGCCAGTCACTCCTTTCTTGCCCTCTGTTTCTCCATCTCTGAAAATCAATCATGGTCCCTTTTACTTTTCCCAGTCCTGGAGGCTGACAGCTCACATCTGCAAAATCAGGCAAGCATGGAAACTCTTCCATACAAACGGTGGTTATGGTCACCATTGCACATAAAATCTGATTGAAATAAGAATGGGCCACACATATAGGGCTCTGGAAAGAGGAATGCCTGCCTTCAAATCCCAGTATACTTCCTAGCTGTGTGGCGACTGTCAAGCCACTCCACCTCTCTGAACCTGTTTTATTTCCTGTAAAATAGATGTTTTGAGGGCCTTCACAGAGTATCTTGCTTTGGCAAATGCTCTATTCATAGCAGCCGTCATTCTAATTGCTCCTGTTCCCATGTAACCCTCGTGGCAATATTGCAAGGAAGACATTGTGATCTCCAATTCACAGATGTGGAAACTGAGGCCAGAAGATAAAGCCATCTGCCCCAGGTAACTCAGAGACTGAGACAGGATCACTGGTCTAGGTTTCCTGACTCTAAGTCTAGCACAATTCCCGTGCAGCCCTGGCTCCCACCACGGTGGGAGACTGTTCTCTCTGGGGGCACTCTTGCGGCAGCTTCCCAAATGCCACTTATACCGGAGAGTTCCTTGAGGGGATCTACTGTGTCTGGATTCTCAGTGGGGGGCATCTTTTCTTTGATTGTTTACCAGCTGAGTTCCAAATACAAGAAAGAGAGCAGGCAGGGCCCAGGCAAGGGCTGGGGAAGCTGTCTGCTGACAATACCAATGAATTTTTACAAAATTACCAACTCCCAGCATCTCCCATTAACGAGCAATTCCTTGCAAGGCAGACATGCTAACAAGACGCTTCTGAACTCCCATCTGCATTTTCTGCTGCCAATGGGGGAGATATGAAAAGTAACGTTTGGGGGAGCCACGTTCTTAATTATTGAGTGGGGGAGGAGGAAAGCTGGAAAAGGCTTCTTCATCCTTTGCAGATCTTTAATGAACCTTTTAACATAGTTAAAAAAATAAATGAAGAGAAAAATTTTTTAAAGCCCTTTTTTAAACTTTTGGCAGGTTTGATTAGTGGTTTTGAAAGCCCTAAGCAGCCACTTAACTGGTGAGCCCCCTTGACAGCTGGTGAATGGAGGCAGGAATGCAGCCGGCCACGCTGGCCTTTTTCTCTTCTGTGTACCTTTTCCAAGATGGCTCACAGGCCCCGGACTCGCTGACCCCCCCCATCTGCTGTCCATGGTGCCCTACAGATGCAGCTGTGCCAAGCAGGCAGATGGACGCAGAGAACTTTACGAGTATGATGGGTTCCTGCCATATGCTGGAAGCAAGATCCAGAAGGAGGGTCAGAGTGGGTACAATGGGATGAGTTTGGGCAGGGCTGGGACAACAAGGAGAACTTATAGGCACAATGAAACCCTCTCCGGAGTGGGCTGGCTGCCATACCTTCGAGTCACACTCTGGTTCCTGGGAGGGACTCATGGTGTTGCTACAGAAGCGTAGGCTTGGGGACCAGGCAAGTCTGGATTTGAATCCTGAATGTGCCTCCTTTCAGTTGTGTGACATTTACAAGTGAAGAACTTCTCTGAGCCTCAGTTGCCACATCCATAAATTGGGGATAATTATACCTACCTCATAGTGTTGTAAGAAGCAAATAGTTAGGCCAGGTGTGGTGGCTCATGCCTGTAATCCCAACATTTTGGGAGGCTGAGGCAGGCAGATCACCTGAGGTTGGGAGTTCGAAACCAGCCAGACCAACATGTAGAAACCCTGTCTCTACTAAAAATACAAAAATTAGCTAGGCATGGTGGCACATGTCTGTAATCCCAGCTACTCAGGAGGCTGAGGCAGGAGACTCACTTGAACCCGGGAGGTGGAGGTTGCGGTGAGCCGAGATCACACCATTGCACTTTCAGCCATCTCAAAAAAAAAAAGAAGAAGAAGAAGAAGAAGAAGAAGAAAATAGTTGTAAGAAGTAAATATGGTGTGCTTGGCATATAGGAAGCACCCCACACCCAAAAAAATTAATTTCCTCCATCCTCAACTTCTACACCATGACCTTATTCTTCTTGGGTATCAGGAGCTATATAAAAAGTCAACCACATAAGTAAGGAATGGGAAAGCCATAGTTAGGATATGTGAAAAACACAAGGGTTTAGAAAACAGCAAGTATATTGTGGGTCTTTAATGAAATATGGTGATCCAAACAACAACGGGATACTGCTGGTCATATTAATAGAGGCAGAGTAGGTAGCATGTGGGAGGTGATCATTTTATTGTACTACAGTATTCCCACCCCTAGAAAACTGGCATCACATTTTGGGCAATATATTGACCAACAGGATTGGGTCTAGAGTGGGCATCCAGAAAGGGGAGAGGGACTCCAAACCATACCATATGGAGAAGAGCTGAATAAACTAGTCCTGTGTAGCCTAGGGAGAGACTAGATGGGTAGAGGTGAGAGACTTCTGGTAGTCTTCAAATGCCTGACATGTGGTCCCCTGGAAAACATAAAGTGTTTCTGAGAAGATGGAAACCCCCAGAAGTTTAATTTTGATTAAATATACATAAAAGGACAATATATTTTTTATTATACTTTAAGTTCTAGAGTACGTGTGCACAACGTGCAGGTTTGTCACATAGGTATACCTATGCCATGTTGGTTTGCTGCACCCATCAACTCATCATTTACATTAGGTATTTCTCCTAATGCTATCCCTCCCCCATCCCCCCACCCTGCAACAGGCCCCAGTGTGTGATGTTTCCTACCCTGTGTCCATGTGTTCTCATTGTTCAACTCCCACCTATGAATGAGAACATGTGGTGTTTGGTTTTCTGTCCTTGTGATAGTTTGCTTAGAATGATGGTTTCCTGCTTCATCCATGTCCCTGCAAAGGACATGAACTCATCACGAGGAGAATATTTTTAAAAGTCAAAGCCAATTGTGAAAATTCATGCAACAATGCATACTGGGCACTGTCCTTGGTCCTGGAAATTAAAAAAAAAGTGAAGGAACAAAGTCCTTGCCCTCAAGGAACCCACCTTCTAGTGGACAAAGCTGCCCAGGAGGAGCGAGTCCCCAGAAGTACTGCCAGCCTCTCAGGGAGGCTGTGGTGGTAAGGTTGGACTTAGTGACTTAACATCTGTGATTCCCTGTATTTCAGTTGACTATTGCCAAGATCTTGTGCTGTAGTCAACCGTCTGGCTGATAAATGCTTTGCCTTGGTCTGGGGTTGACTGAAACATGGGCCAGCTCCGAATTTGGGAGCTGTGAATGTGGTAGTGGTCAAGGGTGGGGATGTAGTGGTGCCATCTAAAGCATAAATATACATAAATATCCATCTAGGTATTGTCTGCCCAGAATGCATCTCCTTTACTTCCCATAAGATTACTCTGGCTTCCTGGGATGGCAAAGCCTCCTCCCTGTCAGTCCAGGTGTCTTTAGTGGGATCCTCTCGTTTATTGCTCCAGGAATGGGCATGTGTTCCAGCCCTGTCCAATCAGAACCACTCCTTCTTCTGGCCACATCGATTGGTTCAGAGTTGAGCATGTGACTCTAACTGGGCCAATGGGACCCCACAGGAGTCAGTGCTGGTCTTCAATGGGGATTGCTGGGCAACAGAAAGACTCCCACTTAGAGGATGGAATGGCAGCTTGGAGGTGCTGGCAGCCATCGTGCCACCCTGAAGGAAGAGCCTGGGAATAGAGAACACAAAGGAACGCAGAGCCAAGCAATGGAGAGAGAAAGATCAACATTTTTATATTGAGGACTGATTATATTTTGTATAAATGAAATATTTTTATCCTGACAATATTTTTAGAGTGACCTGGATCCAACCAGACCTGAAGTATCACCCAAACTTATGCATTCTGGCTCTGACAAATCACCTGTTGTAGTGGTGATTTGAGGCAGCTTGAATTAATTTTTTTCTGTCACTTGCTCCCAAAAGGGTTCTCTCTGATGGAGGGGGCTCTGTTAAGTGTAAGATTGTTCCCTCTCCTGTGAAATCTCAAATCTCAGGTGATCTGGTGGAAGGAAATCATTTTAAAAGAAACAAGAGGGGATCCATTAACATCTCAAGGAGTTCCCCAAAAAGGATTGTGTGGAACTCATGAAGATAACTCGTGCTTCTTAAGACATTTGAAACTGGGCAGGGAATTCGCCAATCATGCTGACGTGATTCTAGAAGAAGGAGGCAGATTAGCATGTCTGTTATCACCCCGGTTTGTGGTGATTTCAGGGAGTGATTTTTGCACCCCACCCCCAACCTCAGGCTTTCCCACCAGGCACCATGAGTCAGCTTGCAGAGGCCCTGTGGGAGGGAATGCCACTGTGTCCTCTGATTATCATCATCATTATTATTACTACGTTAAAAAAACACCTTTGGAGATTATTAAAATCTCAAGCAAGGACATGTGGGCCCACAGACCAGGCGCCTGATGGGTCCCTTGTGTAAGCCCCTGACAGGGCAGTGGAGTTGAATAATAATGCTAATTTGTCACTAATGAGCTTCCCTCTTCAGCGGGCAGGTGAGAAAGCGGCTGGTGCCAGGGGGACTCCTGCAGGCTCGAAGGCTGTCACGCTGGTTCCCAGAGCCAAGAGGGTGACCGAGCCCCTGCCCCAGATGCTGCAGAGATGAGGCACAGCTCAGGCTCTGACTTGGCTAGGTGAGGTTGTGAAAAAAACAGGGATCCCCAACCAGGATGGAAATTGTCCTGACCCCACCTCTGGCATCTAAACGCTGCAGACCCTGTTGGCGAAGGCAGTGGTGGGGTGGGGGCTGGCCTGAAAGGGGATGGGGCCAAGCCCAGCCTACGCAGCTATGCTGTGAGCACCTTAGCACCACTGGACAACAGCGGCAGCCTCTGGGAAGCTACCTGGCCATCAGAGGCAGGGGAGGCCGGGTCTGACTGAGGTGGAGCCATGGGGCTGATTCATAGGAGGGAGGGGCAGAGGACTTGCTCCTGTGGCACCAGGGAGTGTGGGGTGGGGATCCTCAGGAGGGAAGGAGGGTGAGGCAGTAGGGGTTCCATCTCATTGAGCTGTGGCCTGCCTGTGAGCTGGGGGATCTCCGAGTGGGTTTAACCAGTAACTTTTTCTTCTTTTCTTTTTTCTTTTGTTTTCTTTCTTTCCTTCTTTCTCTTTCTTTCTTTCTTCTTTCTCTTTCTCTCTTTATTTCTCTCTCTCTTTTTTTTTTTTTTTAGAGACAGGGTCTCACTTTGTTGCCCAGGCTGGAGTGCAGTGGTGCAATCATGGCTCACTCCAGCCTCGACCTTCTCAGGCTCAGGCAATGCTCCCACCTCAGCCTCCTGGGCTGGGCATGGTAGTGTATGCTGGTAGCTTTGGGAATACTACAGGTGCGCCACCATGCTCAGCTAATTTTTGTATTTTTTTGTAGAGACGGGGTTTCACCATGTCGCCCAGGCTGGTCTCGAACTCCTGGGCTCAAGTGATCTGCCCACTTTGGCCTCCCAAAGTGCTGGAATTACAGGCCTGAGCCACTGTGCCCGGCCAACTAGTGACTCAAACTGTGCACTGAGAAGCCCGGGACCTCTGTGGGTGATCGTGGAAGTGAGAGAGGAGGTGAGTGGGGAGCACTCTTACCTGGTGTAATATCAGAGACCCATCTAAGGTTTTATCCAAAGGAAAAGGTCCACGGGCTTCCTGTCCTCCGTGGTTTTTAAAAAATGGTTTGAAAATGCCTGACATGGTCCATGTTCCCCTGCTGCAGTTATTTAACTGAGGCTCAGAGAAAAGAGCAACATTTCAGAGCCAGTATATTTTCAGCTCCCAACAGGACATAGGAGCATCTGTCACAGCTTGGCATCTTGCAGGGCCTGAGGCTGGGAAAAGCCTTTGCTGGGAGAAGCTGTAGTCCATGGGAATGTAGAAATGGGAGGCCCTGGGGACCTGCAGGGAGACAGCTGAGCCCTGAGGGCCCCCCAGAGACCCAAATGAAAGTAGGAAGATCAGATCCATTTCCATGGGTTCTGGCCAATGGCAAGTCCCAGCCAGAGAGTCCTAGGGCAAAACCCCACATCCCTGGGGTTGTGGGTTGCAGGAAAGCATGTTGGCTCAGGAATCTCAGTCTGGAAACTCTGGTGGAACTCAACACCCTGACAGGGGAGCTGGGGGGCCTCCCAGGGGTAATTAGTGGGACTGTTGTGTTACCGATGCGTCTACAGATGGCCAGGTCCTGCTCTCCAGAGCCTGCCGTCGCTCTCTGGCAGGTTCAACTTGTCCTGGCTCTGTGCTCACTGCATGGCTGTGGTCCACCCATCAGACAGCTGCCGGCACATCTGGGACAGCTGCAACGGGCCAACGCTGGCACCTCCACTGTGCAGAATTATTCCATCCTCCCTACGAGCCTGGGTGTTGAGGAAGGACATTGTGGTTTAGAGAGGGTAGAGGACTCTCCATGGAGGACAGGAAGCCCGTGACAGAGCCAGGTTTATAAGCAGATTTCCCAGCTCCCCTCTGAGTGCTCAAATCCTCTCCCAATGCTGCCCTCCTCGTCACAGCCCATGAGCATGTCTCACATGAGACATCTTCCAGCGGCGCCCCTTGAGTCTGGGAGAGCACCGTGGAAGGTTTGTGCTGCCACCCTGCTGTCCCGGACACTCACTCCCTACCAGCCTTTCCCAGAGATGTTCCATTGGATATTCATGGGAAGGATGGCTTGCTAGTCTATAAGTCCAGAAAACCTTGAATTAAAACAAAGTAAACATGCTGTTCTTTTTTTTTCTTTTCCTTTCTTTCTCTTTCCTTCTTCTTTCCTTCTCTCTCTTTCCTTCCTTCTCATTCTCTTTCTTTTCTTTCTCTCTTTCTTTCTTTTTCTTTCATTCTTTCTTTCTCTTTCCTTTGTTTTTTTCTCCCTCTTTCTTTCCTTCTTTCTCTTTCTTTTCTCTCTTTCCTTCCTTCCTTCTTTCTTTCCTCTCAGATCCTTCACTATAATCATGTCTTGTGAATCCCCAAGAAACAGATAGGGGTTGCAGCATTTCCCATTCTCAGTGAGTCACTTTATCTGTGAGGCTGGACTCAGTTATTCTGCAGTAACAATAATCTCCAAAATGTTCCTGACTTATAACAACCAAGGTGTGTTTCTTGCTCACGATCTATGTCCCCTACAGAGTGACAGAGGAGTTTGCTCCTTGTAGCCACTCACAACCCCTTTCCAGCAGGTGCTTCCCAGCAGGGGGAAACTCAGTCAGGATTCCTGAAAGTCTCCCATGAGACACCCTGGTCAGAAAGTGATGCACGGGACTGTCACCTTGCAGACGTTGGCCAGAACTGGTCACATGGCTTTGCTCGGGGACAAAGGGGCCAGCCAGTGCACTGCTACCATGCGCCCCGGAAGCACACAGCTAGGAAATGTGGGGGAGCACCATGCCCAGGGGCTTGCTGGTCTGCAGAACAGGCACTGACATTCCCCAGGCCCTGTGGCTCTGCAGAGCCCAACTGGGGAAGGAGGCTCCAGGCCACGGCAGCGGGAGAACTCTTGGATTTCTGGAGTTCTTTCCCCCACTCTTTCTGCCGACATCCCAAGAGTAGCAGTTGCCCATGTCCTTCCTTCTTCTGTTCCCCCCTCAGCCTCCCTTGCCCTTGTCATTTTCCATTAGACCTGGCTAAGTCCACTCAAGGGCCCCCTTCTGAGAAGGAATCTCACCATAGACATCTCAGTTATTGCCTGACAACCAAGGGGACTGTAATTACCAGGAACACATGTTGGGATGCGAACCTCTCACTTTCCTACAATGAACAGTCCCCACACACTCCTGCCTGAGGTGTCAATTTAGCCCACCCAAGTCAGAGGGGAGTTGCAGAAAGGATCAGAGTTAGAAGATAGAGCCCATGGTCAATGTCACCCTCTGCCTACAGCTCAGCTCAACCCAGCCCCACTGAAGCCCATGCTCAGTGGAGCCCACAGAGACCAGGCTGGTGAGGGGCAGTGGTGCCCAGTAGTGAAGGTCACGAGCACTGGATCCAACAAACTAGCATGTGGCCTTGAGCAGAACAGGGAGCCTCTCTGATCCCCAGTCTCTTCATCTAAACATACAGATGTTAGCAAGATTGAATCAGGTAGTACCGGACGCATTGATCATGACTGGATCATACTGAATGTTGTTGTGGAATGGTTGCTGTTGTCATCACCAGAAGGAAAGAAGGACAGGTGTATAATGGGACCTCAAGGGCCTGGGCCCAGCCCCGGCTCTGCCTCTAACCTACCATGTGCCACTGGCACTCCGCCTCTCTTGGCCTTGGCTTTACCCAGTGTAAAGCAAGAACATTTCCAATATCTTTAAGAGGGTCTATAAGGCCCTGCAAAACTCCAGCACCTGCGAGTTTTTCAGCCTCATGTTGCACCCTCTCCCTGGCCTTCTCTCCATTCCAATCAGGACAGAATTTTTCTTCCAATAGCTCAGATCTTATGTCAGTCAGCTACAGCCCTGCCAGTGCTTCATAACAAGCCTTCTCAAAGCTCAGTGGCTGACAAGAACAAGCATTTATCCTCAAGCTTATGGGTCTGCAGGTTGGCTGAGGTTTGGTTGATGTAGGCTATAGAATGATCTCACTTCTGCTTCACATTTTTCCCCCCAGAGTCTAAGGAGGTTCTGCTCATGGCAGATGACCAGAATGCAATAAACCAAGCCAAACCAAGCCCTGCCAATTTCCTGTCTGACCAAAGCAAGTCATGTGGCTAAGCCCAACATCAGTGGGGCAGGGAAGTACACACCACCCACGTGGAACGGAGAGGGAAATGAACACTGGCTGAACAACAGTCCACACTGTCACAGGGCACAGGTATCTATGCTTCCCTCCACCCCAGTCTCAGGGCCTTTGCACATGCTGTTTCCCCAGCCTGGAGTATTCCATCTGCACCATTCTGATGGCAGCTTGGACAGCACCTTCCCCAGGGAAGCTGCCTCTGCCCCCACAGTCTGGATTCACCTCCTCCTCATCCTCCCACAGCATTCTGTGGGCCTTTGTTCCTGAAACCCTCAGGGCTGCCCTGCATGGCATCCATCAGTGCAAGCTTCCATTCCAAGCCCCTTCTCTGTTTCTTCCTGTAACTCATGGTCTGGAAGGCTGAAATCCCCATCTCCCAGATTTCTCTGTAGCTTGGATTCAGGATAAAACCAAGTTTCCACCAATCCATATACTTGCACAGCACTGAGGAGGCAGACATGAGGTGGACTACTGACCCTCTCTGCTGGTTAGATAGCTGTGATTTTCCTACAGCCAATTTCTAGGTTTATTCACCAGCATCCTGGGTGTCATAAAGGAGTGATGGTGGGGACAGCTTTTTGAGCCTTAATCACTGAATCACAGCATTAGGGTCCCTCCATCACCTCCTCCTATGTGGGGGCTGTGGATCAGGATAGGGGCTCAAATCTGATAGCAGGGCATTGGCATAATCTCAGCGGTCCCAGCTGCTTCATGATCCGGGCCTGACTTGTTCTGACATCCATTCCTGGAAGCTTAGCCTTGAACCCTGCCTTTTCAGACCTTCTTGTGGTTTTACAAACACATAATCCCCTTCCTCCTGAAAATACAGCACTGCGCCCCGACAGACACCATGTTTTAATTACTTGTTCAAATGCCATATTCCTGACAAGACTGCAAATGTCTGCTGACAGGGACCAAACGAGTTGTGTTCACCGCTGTGGCATCTGTCACAGTTCCCAGCACACAGCCAGGACATGGTAAACATGACTTTGAACGATCAAATGCATGAGTCCACGTACTGCCTCTTGCAGATTCTCACCATGATCACCAAATGATAGACAGAGATTGAAATGGTAACCCAAGGAGAAGCCCCAGCCTGTTCCGCATCCCCAAAATGCCCAAAAGAAAGACATCACAAACTTTGTCCCCCAATGCTGTCTTCCAGGAAGGTGTCATGAGGTTGTATCTCTTTCAGTAGATAGGCAAACAGATCCTATTCTTGGGAAGCCAGAGGGCTGTAACAGTTGAGGAACAGGTTGTAACATCAGGCAGACTTAGACTGAGTCCTCTTTCTGCCACTTATGAGCTGTGCAGCTTTGAGCAAGTGAATTAACCTCTCTGAGACTCAGGTTTTTCATCTGCGCAATGGGGAAAATAATATCTATCTTGCGGGTACTTGAGTACTTTGTATACACTGGGGGCTTAATAATCGGTCGCTTTTCTTTCCAAAGCCTGAAGCCTGACATGGAGCAATTGCTTGCCTAGGGCTTCCCATTTTGACTCATCAGAGGCCTTGGGATTCTCCAGGGGCTTCCTAGGCTAAGGCACTCATTGCCCCCACACATGAGCCTTTCACGGAACCAGTCACCAACCATCCCTTGGTGGGAATACTCTGTTGGGCCCCTTGGACTTCATGGTGTTTCAAGACACACCTATAACTTAGCAGATAACAAGAGCTGTTAAAAATCCAGGTGGCAGAGTCATTGTAATATGTGATCTTGCAACAGGGACAAGTTATGTTCTCAAGTGAGGATTCCCTACCACCCTCAACTTCCCCTAATGGAAGTGTGTTTGCCAGCTAGGAGACTCTCCCACCCCTCCACCTCCATAACAGCCAGCCCGGTGTGCTCAGCCCACATAGAAGACCGGATAAAGAGACAAGGAGCAAATGGGGAAAGACAGGGCCAGGATGGCTTATGTTCTGCGTAAGAAAGAGCTGGGGCGGATCGGAGGAAGGAGAAAGAGTTCTGATGCTTAGGTTTAGAGAGAGAGCGTTAGCCATGGGGAATAGAGTCAGAGATGATGGAAAACTGGCAACTGCCCTGCCCCCCGCCCCAACCTTTCCAGCTCAGAATGTTTCCTCCACCAACCGAGGCAGATGCTGGACCGAGAGCTTCTGTGATTTCTTGGGTTTAACAACACAAAGGTCACAGTAAACAAGGGTGTATTAAGTCATCATGACACAGGAGGCTGAGGGGAAGGACAGAAAGGCCTGAGTAGGTATTTTGATGAAGGGAGAAGCTCAGGGAAGATTTGGAATGCAGCCCTCACAGGAGAACAGACAGTTCTGGGTGAAGTATGGGGGCCCCCAGCCCGGGAAGCCTGGCACCACTGGAGATAAGCTTCTTAGGAGCCTTGGATCTGCTAGCAGTGAGCCCCACTCCTCCCTACATCCTTGGCAGAAAGGAGAAAGTCTTTTTTTTTTTTTTTTTTGAGATGGAGTCTCACTCTGCCACCCAGACTGGAGTGCAGTGGTGGAATCTTGGCTCACTGCAAACTCTGCCTACTGGGTTCAAGCGATTCTCCTGCCTCAGCCTCCCGACTACAGGGACTACAGGCGTGCTGGGACTACAGGCATGTACCGCCACGCTTGACTAATTTTTGTATTTTAATAGAAACAGGGTTTCACTGTGTTTCCCAGGCTGGTCTCGAACTCCTGACCTCAAGAGATCTGCCCGCCTTGGCCTCCCAAAGTGCTGGGATTACAGGCATGAGTCACTGTGCCTGGCTGAATAAAGTTCCTCATATGCCTTTGAGGGCCTCTCAACAGCCCCTCCTGACGTGTGGAATCTCCCCAGCCCTGCTCCTTAGCAGAGGCAAAGGACACTTAGGGATGGTAAGATGGGACAATGATAGAGCAGAACACTTGGAGTCAAGAGACTTGGGTTCAAGTCCTGATTCTGCCACTTCCAGCTGTGAGTGTTGGGCAGATTCTCTAGCCTCCCCTGGGCTCGGTTTCTTCAACCGTGAAATGGGCACAGCAGTACTTACATCGTGGGGTTGCTCTAGATACAAAACCATCGGGCATTTGAAAAGGCTCAGCACAAGGGCTCGAACACGGGAAGCATTCAGTCCTTGATGGTTACTATTTTCAGTGCCGTTGATACCTATTCTGTCTTGTCCTGTGTCCCTGAGCCATGACCACTTAATAACCCTGTTCCCCACCCCCTTCCAGGCTCCAAGCCCTTCTCCTGACACTTGCTGTTTCCATGACATCCCTGGTTTGGGGAGCTAATTTTAATGAAAAGGATTGATTAATACCAAATTATTACTTTTCTTTTGTGTCCCTTTTGTCATTTAGAAATGGAAACAAAAGATATTCTTGAGCTCAAGTCAAACATTTACCAAATTAATTCTACTAAGAAATTGTTTGAGATTTCAAGGGTTGGTGGCTCCCCCCCCCCCTCCTTAACTCTACTACATCATAAAGTAATTGCCTGATTAAGGGACGCGCAGCTTGGAGAGTGACACATTTTTTAAAATTAGAACATGCCTGCCAACGGACACAGTTATGCAACTGGTTTTCTCTTTTCCAAACAACTTGATTCTCAAGGAGAAACGACAGAAGGGACAAGGGCACGGGAAAGAACCGAGGAACAGGAAGCAGGCAAGAGCGCCGGGCAGAGTGTCTTTGGCAGCCCAGTTCAACTCCTTTTCCCCAGGACTCCTCACCTGACACCTCTCTGGGATCTGCAGCTGCCTTCCACTGACCTTCATTGATGTCAACCCACTGTCATGAAAACCAACAATGGGGATTGTTGTTGTTGTTGTTGTTGTTGTTGTTGTTGTTGAGATGGAGTCTCACTCTGTCACCCAGGCTGGAGTGCAGTGGCGCGATCTTGGCTCACTGCAACTTCCGCCTCCCTGGTTCAAGAGATTCTCTGGCCTCAGCCTCCCCAGAAGCTGGGATTACAGGCGCCCACCACCACATCCGGTTAATTTTTGTGTTTTCAGTAGAGACGGGGTTTCGCCATGTTGGCCAGGCTGGTCTTGAACTCTTGACCTCAGGTGATCCTCCCACCTCATATTCCCAAAGTGCTAGGATTACAGTCATGAGCCACCGTGCCTGGCCCAATGGTGGGGATCCTTGTGAAGGCATCAATTCGAACACAGACTAGACCCCTGGTGGGAACCATGCCCCATGCTAGGCAGCAGGCACTAAGAGGTCCCTATGATTTAGGCCCTGCCCTCCAGGCTGGCAGAGGAGATAACATCATAAGCAAAAAACTGCATGACTATGTGTAAATGGACTTGGGAGGGTGGAGGGAACAGAAAACCTTACCTCCTGCCACTGTGCCCAGACGGACGCCCCAGCCACACTGGCCTGTTCTGCAACCACTCTGTGCCACTCCAAATTCAGCCCCTAAATGCAGTTCCTGCTTCTTAATGCTTTTCCCCAAGACCTTGGCACGGCTGCCTTCTTCACACCAAATACCCTCTTTTCCAGGAGCCTTCTCTGACCCCCACAAACTGAAGTAGTAGCTTCCCCAGGCCAGTCACTCTCCCCAGCTTCCCTCTTTTGCTCTGTGCATAGCACTGGTTGCAATCTGACAGTTCCTTTTGTGTGTGTCTGTTTCTATGTAAGTTTCACAGGCCAGGCCTCTCTGTCTTGTTCTCCTCCATCTTTCCATTGCCTCAAACAGAGCCTGCCATGTTACTACTTGCAAGTGAAGGAATGGACGAAGGAAGGAAAGAACGAATGAATGAAGGATGGAAGGCAACTGCTTAACTACTGCTCCACCAACGGAACTCATTCCCTTCCCAGGATCATATCTTTAAACAGCTCCTGACCCCAGCTTCCTGGGGGAAGGGAGGAAGAGCAGATCAGAATAGGCATCTGGAGACTCAAGTTCTAATCGTGAGCCTGAGGGTGCTCAAGTGACTGCCCCTCTTTGGGCTTCACTTTCACATCTGAAATATGAAGGATTTGGTTCAATGATCTAAGGGAGCCCCACCCCCCAACTCTGTCCATGTGGAGGTCTATGCAATAAATCCAAAGAAGCCAGTCACAAAAGACCACATAGTATATGATTCCGTTTATGTGAAATGTCTAGAATAGGCAATTCTATGGAGACAGAAAGTAGATTAGTGGTTGCCAGGGCCTGGGGCGGTGGGTGGAGGGATCGCGGGGAGGGAGTGATAGCTAAATGGCATTCTTTTTGCAGTGATAAAATGTTCTAAAATTGATTGTGGTAATGGTTTCACAACTTTGTGGATATACTAAAAACCATTGAGTTGTAAAAAAATTAAAAATAAAAAAATCAATTAAAAACTAAGTATGATTTAAGGAACTGAAAAATGGGTGGTTGGGGCTGTGATCCTGGAAACTACACTACAGGAAGCCACCCACGCCATCTATGTGAGCCCCTTTGGGTCCCTTGGAGGCAAGAGGGGAGTCAGGGTCAAGGGTGAGGCTCCTGGACACGCTGCTCCCAGAGAGTTTGGCGCAGGACCAGGCAGAAGTATCTGCCTGACTCCTGAGTTTCTTGACAAAGCCACCATCTCTCCCTGGTGCTTCATTTTTAAGACTAATTTGCAATTCCCTTTGATGGAGAATGTGCCTCCTGTCTTGGCCAAGTGGCTTCTCACCCAGTTTCTCAGCAGCAGGGAAAGGCCTGTTTCAGCACCACCTGGCCTGCAGCATCCACAGGCTGATGACGACTGCCCCCTACACAGCACTCTCCACGGGACAAGCTCTGTCCTGGGCACTTGGCAGGTACTTCACCCTCCCAATAACCACGGGACGTACAACTTCATTTTACAGATGAGCCACAGCAAATGTAATTTGCCCCAGTTCACATGGTGAGGAAGTGGCAGAGCCAGGATTGGAACCCTCAGTCTGGGCCCAGGGCTGTGCTCTTAACCTGACACCTTGAAGCCCCTGTGAGCCTGGGAACAAATGACAGCCAATGAGCTGGAGGGGCAGACCCTCCTCCAGACCACCACCCCACGGCTGGAGTGCAAGTGAGGAGTAGGGGGCTATGGACTCTTCCTCAGTCTTTGAACTATGGGGTAACAGCAGCAGCTCCAGGGCAGGAGACCAGAGCCCTGGGTCCTGCCATGGAGCAGCTTCATGGTCTCCCTTGGAATGACCATGACCATTGCCACAGCAGACATGGCTCTTACCAGGCACCAACGATGAGGCAGGAGCTGAGCTAGGCACACACGTCATCCCACGTGATTCTTACAGCCATCCGAGAGGGAAACTCTATCATCTCCACATTATAGGTGAAAATCCTGAGGTTTGGAGCGGGGGAGGCCACACTCTCAGATTCAAACCCTGGCTCATCCCACTCCCAAACCCATCCACCCCACACTGTGCTCACCCACAGCACCACCTTCTCACTCACCGGCAGGGGGCACTTAGCAAGTCACTTATCTGTCTGAACTTGTCTTCCTGGCTTTAAAATGAAGATGATAATGCCTTCCTAGGAGGGCCATTATGAAGGTTAAATGGAAATGATACACCATGATATAATATAACATGATAAAACAAGATAAATTTCATATAATATGATATAAATTTTATATAACATAACATAACATAAATAATATAACTACCTCCACTACAGCATAATAGAATAAAACGGAATATACTACCCATGCCAGCATGCAAACTTCATGACACCAGAGCCATCCCAGCACCATTAAAGCAGGACCTAGCAAATGGGAGGCATCCGAACAAGATTTATTGAATGGATCGCTACATAAGCCTGCAGAAAGGAGAGGGCACAAGGCAGGTGCTAAGACTTGGCCAGCATTGCTATTGTTACTGTTATTGTTCACTGTTGTTAAAAGTAAACCTGCCAGCCTGGGCAATATGGCAAAACCTCGTCTCTACAGAAAATTAGCTGGGTGTGGTGGCATGTGCCTGAAGTCCCAGCTATTCAGGAGGCTGAGGTGGGAGGATCGCTTGAGCCTAGGGGATTGAGGCTGCAGTGCGCAATAATCATGCCACTGCACTCCAGCCTGGGCAACAGTGAGACCCTGTCTCAAAAAAAAAAAAAAAGTAAACCTACCCCTAAAAGCAACAGCAAGTTCACAATGTCCACAGCCTAGACTTGGGAGGGGGCGGATAGGAGCAGGTACAGGTAACAAAATTCTTGACATTGGCATAATTCTGACACAGAGACTTAACTGTGGGCATAGGTGACAGACATCTGTCAGCTCCATCAGGAATCTCACTGGATTCCCTAAAAACCTTTCACCACATACTCAGAGTTCAGTCAATTCAGTTTAGTCATTCTGACAGTGAGATACTCAGCCCAGTGTGTGAAGTTTGATAGACAATCTACCCAAGATCACCTGGCTGGTGACATCACTGAAGTTGAAGAACTGGTCAGTGAGAGCCATCTATTTTTATTTTTATTTTATTTTATTTTGTTTTTGAGATGGAGTCTCACTCTCTCACCTTGGCTGGAGTGCAGTGGCGCGATCTTGTCTCACTGCAACCTTCACCTCCAGGGTTCAAGCGATTCTTCTGCCTCAGCCTCCTGAGTAGCTGGGACTGCAGGCATGCAAAACCACACCTGGATAATTTTTGTATTTTTTGATAGCGATGGGATTTCCCCATGTTGGCCTGGCTGGTCTCAAACTCGTGGACTCAAGTGACCCACCTGCCTCTGCCTCCCAAAGTTCTGGGATTACAGGCGTGAGCCACTGTGCCCAGTTGATTTAGAGCCACTTAAATCAATTCAACAAGTATATTTTGATGTCCTGAATGTGCCTGGTTTCATGCCAGACATATGGGATGGGGTCCACTACGAACAGGCGGATGCAGCTCCTGCCGTTGGAGCTCACCCTCTGTGGAAAACGGCTGGATCAACTTCCTTTGCAGAAGAGACAAGTCTTCCCACAGCAGCTGGGAACCCTCCTGAGAAGAGAGACGCCAATTTCTCATCTCTCTGTATTCCCCACTCTAGGGTCCCTTACCCCAAGGATACCCACATGCTAGCTCTGTAGGAGGGCAAGGATGAGCTCTGCAGTCATTGAATTGCCATGAAACAGTATCAAGCGAAGCATGACCCTGCCTCCAGCCCCAGCACCCCAGGTTTAACCAGTTTGGCCAGAAGACTGGTCAGAGTTGAGCATCCAGCTTTGCACCTCCAGGACTGAACACCCAACCTGCATGTGTTGAGACACAGAGGTGCGTACATCCCTGCTCATAGTCCAGGGGATACAGAGAAGAATATGCAAATCCTGGAAGTCCAAGCAGATGTTGTGGGTCCCCAGAATGTGGCTGAAGCTGTCCAGCTGGGATCTGAGGCAGTCACCATATCTTTGGAGTTTGGATATGATTTGGCTGTGTCCTCACCCAAATCTCATCTTGAATTGTAGTTCCCATAATCCCATGTCATGGGAGAGACCTGGTGGGAGGTAATTTAATCACCGGGACAGTTACCCTCATGCTGTTCTTGTGATATCGAGTGAGCTTTCGCAAGATCTGATGGTTTTATAAGGGGCTTTTCCCCCTTTTGCTTGGCACTTCTTCTCTTTCTGCCACCATGTGAAGAAGGATGTGTTTGCCTCCCCTTCCGCCATGATTGTAAGTTTCCTGAGGCCTCCCTAGCCATGCTTAACTGTGAGTCAATTAAACTTCTTGCCTTTATAAATTACCCAGTCTCAGGTATGTCTTCATTAGCAGTGTGAGAACAGACTAATACAGGGGACTTGCTGGCATGAGAGCAGGCAACCTACACAGCTGAGACCACAAGCAGCCTGGTGGGAAGGGGGAGCAAAAGCTTGTTTATCAGGGGAGGGAGTGTGGCAAGTGGAGGACAGGAGCAGAAGCGGGCTTAGCTTGGCTGGAAAACTCGATTTTGTGGAAATCTGGGTCTGAAATGAAATGAGCCTTTGGGGATGGAATTTAATATTGTCTCGAAGCCTTTGTCTTCATTTAGGGCGATGGGATTGCATTTATCGTGGCTTCTCCCTTCATCCCGGTTACATTTATTTTGGATTTATTCACTTATGAGTCTTGCAACAAGAAGTTGAAATGAGTAAATGTACTTTTTTTCCCGAGCTACATTAATTTTGAAGTGAGATTTATTCTGCCCACTGCTCCTCTTATGGTTACTGATGAGCTGCAGAACTCTGCTAGGGGCTGAAACAGGTAGGTAAGGCTCGGGCTCATAGAGACAGAAGTGAGGTGGGGCTTCCCAGTGAGCCTGGGATCCAGGAATGTTTCCGCTGAGCTGGGTCCTCAGCCCCTCACCAGCATTTTCCCAATAGGATCATGGTGGGGTGAAGGAGTGAAGTGGTCCATTTGAAGGACTGTAGTAGGAGGGAAGAGTGAAGTTGTCTATTCAACAGGTATTTTCCTCCAATGCCTATCAGCTGACCTGGCAAATAGAAGGTGTTATGGATTGAACTGTGTCCCCCCAAAAATGTGTGTTGAAGTCTTAACCCCTAGTACCTGTGAAAGTTACCTTAATTGGAAATGGGTTCTTTGCGAACATAATCAAGTTTAAAATGAGGTCATTAGGGTAGACCCTAATCCAATATGACTGGAATCCTTATAAGAAGAGGGATATCTGTACAGAGACACATAGGGAGAGGGTGTGATGTGTGCCTCTGTGTGATGACAGAGGCAGAGATTGGAGCCAAGGGACACCAAGGAACTCCAGGGACTGATGGTCACCACTAGAAGCTAGGAAGAGGCAAGGAAGGACTCTACCCAGAGTTTCAGATCTAACACCGCCTTGGACACTTTGATCTTGGACTCTGGCCTCCAGAACTGTGAGAAGTTACTTTCTGTTGTTTTAAGCCACCCAGGGTGTGGCACTTTGTTATGGCAGCCCCAGGAAAATAGTAAGTATATGTATTATTTGAATAAATAAATGAATGAATGTATGTCTTCATTGCCAAACTATGCTAGGTGCTTGAGATGGAGAAGGTATTGTTCTTCTTTCCCAAACTTCATCTTATGGGGACTAGGACCCCGTTTCCCGTAAATGTGGCCCTTTAAGGGCCTGGGGGTAACTTAAAATAAATCAAAGATATACCTGGTTTGCAGTATTCTCATGAGACTCATGAACCACAGAGACAGGCAATGAGACTGCCCAAACTTCTCTCAAATCACGTGTTTCTGACCAAGGTGTTTATGATTTCTATGAAGCCCTTCTCAGTTTATCTTTACTGATCTTCTCTTTGTCAGATGCTATAAAGAACTCCTCAAGGCCAGGCGTGGTGGCTCATGTCTATAATCCCAGCATTTTGGGAGGCCAAGACAGGCAGGTTACTTGAGGTCAGGAGTTCGAGACAAGTCTGGCCAATATGGTGAAACCCGTCTCTATCAAAAATTAGTTGGGTGTTGTGGTGTGCACCTGTAGTCCCAGCTACTCAGGAGGCTGAAGTGGGAGAACCTGGGAGGCAGAGGTTGCAGTGAGTTGAGATCGTGTCACTGCACTCCAGCCTGGGCAAAAGAGTGAGACCCTGTCTCAACAACAACAACAAAAAGAGGACTGCTCAAGACTGGGTAATTTATAAAAGAAAGAGGTTTAGTTGACTCACAATTCTGTATGGCTAGGGAGGCCTCAGGAAACTTACAGTCATGGTGGAAGGGGAAGCAGGCATGTCTTACATGGCAGGTAAGAGAGAGTGCTTGAAGGAGGAACTGTCAAACACTTATAAAACCATTAGATCTGGTGAGAACCCCCTCATCACGAAAACAGCATGAGGGAAACTGCCCCCGTGATTCAATCACCTCCCTCCCTGGACACATAGGGATTATAGGTCCCTCCCTCAACACATGGGGATTACAGTTCAAGATGAGATCTGAGTGGGGACACAGAGCCAAATCATATGATCAGACTTCACCCTCCTCCCTGCACCACTTATTGGTTCTCTGTGCCCATAAGGTCCAGCATACTCCCTAGGGAAAGGAGAAAAGTATTCAAATATCAAGAAATAGTGGAATAGAGGACTATGATATAGTCTGGAGCAGCTACAACTCCAGACCACTGATGCTTAGGGGTCCGGAGCCCAGAATCTTCCCCAACATTGCTTAAAGTTTCCCTGCACTTGACTCAGTTGATGCACCTCCCCCAGTGTGCACACCCGCCTGCCCCTAGTCCTGGGTCTCTTGCCCAGCTTCCTGCTGGAGCAGCCCCTGGGTTGGCTCATGTCATTGCCATGGCTGTAAAGCCCTGGGCATCCAGCCCAGGCAGCTCAGTGACCTTGCCCCCACGGCTGCTCCTGCCACCTGCATCTCGGTCACCAGGCCCAGTGCCCAGGTGATGCAAGAGTGTTTGTGAATGTACAATGAGGGTGTATGAGTGAACAAATGAATGACTGAAGTGCTTGATTTATGAACAAATGAGTGAGTGAGGATGTCAGCCGGTGAGTGAGTGAGTGAATGAATTGGGGAGTGGGGTGGTAGTTGGGTCAAGAGGTGGTCTTTCCCTGAAATGGCAGTGGCAGCCTTGTCCAGATTGATCAATGTCATCTCAGGCCATCCAGGAAGTTGGGGAGCTGGGGGATTTGAATGGACGCCTGACTTAATAGCCAATCTGCCAGATAATTGCCCATTTCCTTCACAGCTAGGCTGGGTGGGGGTGTAAGACACAGGGTGGGAGGGGGTGCTGGCCTCACCAGGCCCACTTATTCCCACTGTTGCAGGAGCTTAAAGAAGTGAACACTAGTCTTTCCCACATAACAACAAGCAAAAGTAAATGCAACATTATCTGATGCCATTTTCTCTCTTTTCTCCTGGAGGCCAGGCTCCTGGGGTCCCTCTGTGCTCAGGGAGCCCTGCTTAGATGCTGACATAATGGCACATCCTAACATGCGCTTCTAGTGCCCAGTGGGTACCTGCTTTGGCAAAACAGCCCCACTGGATTTTTTTTCCCCTACTGAAATTGACCAGTAACATAACTGAACTGAGCAAACTGAATTGAGGGTAAGTTACTTCTGGGTTAGGTAGCTGCAAATTCTTCTTCTCAAAAAAGGACAGGGCATTTTTGTTTATAGCAACAAGCTGGGGCTTTACAACCTGACGCCAACCCAGACACTCCACTCTCCTCCTGCCTCCTCCCTGGAAGGCTTCCTGCTACCAGGTGGCAGTGCGGAGTGCCACCCCTGCTATTCCCTGCCCCAGCACTATTGCCCACACTAGCCCCACCATCTGGAATCCCTTCATTTCTTCCACAGACCTGGACCCTACACACCCACCCACTTTGTGAATGTGTAATGGTTAGCACGTTTTCTTTCCTCCACCTGGAGTGTTCCTGCCATCATTAAACTAATAATAATAAAAGACTGAGTTAATTTACTGAACATTAACTCTACGCTGGTCACTGTACTAGCCTAGTGTGATACACTAGCCACATTACATGTGATAAACTTATGTCATCACATTTAATTCTCTCAACAAACCCATGAGGTAGATGCCCATTTTACAGACGAGGAAACTGAGGCTCCAAAATGGTAAGTCATTTGCCCAATGTTACAGAGCTAGCAAAAGGTCAAACCAGGATTTAAAGCATGCAGTGATGCAGGACCCAAGTGACTCATCACGGTGGTCCTGCATGACGTTTCCTTAAAAGTCACTGCCCCTGGGCACCCGCTTCATTTTCCCTCCCTGTGCTCTGGGAAGGGTGGCCTGTCCCTTCCCCTGAGTTCCCAGGCACCTTGCATATACCTCTCTAATGTGCCCCACACCATGGAAATTAATGGCATCTATGGCAGTTAATGGCTAACTAGGCTGTGCACCCCTCAAGGGCAAGGACTGTGTCCAATTCATTGCTGTACCCCAAGGTCTGACACATTGGGGCTCAGGCTTCATGGCAGATGTGAATCCCCTCACAGTCCCTGGCCCTGGGCTGGCACACAGCAGACAAGGAAATCCCAGCTGGAACCAGAGTCATAGCCAGTCCTTGTCAGAGCTCACTGGCTTGCTTGTTGCAGAAAAGCCAACTCAACCAGCTTAGGAAACACAGGCCAATTTCATAAGCTCAAATAACCAAGCAGCCCAGCATGGCTGGACTCAGAGCTCAAACAGTTATCTCTCGGGTCTCCTTCCTTCCTTTGTTTAGGTGACAGACAGGCAGGCTCTTGCCAAGAAAGCTCAGGGTTTGCCTCCTCCTGGTTTCAAATCCATAGAAAAGAACAGTTTCCATCAATATCCCAGGCCTGCCTCTCATGGGCTCAGGCTGGGTCCATGTGCCTGAAACTGAACCAATGTGAGAGAGCAGGGAGAGAGTGCACATGGATTGGTTCAGTCTAGATCACATGTCTACCAGGGGCAGGGTCAGCCCCACCCAGACCAGAGGGCCTGAGAGGGAGGAGAAATGGCTCCCCTGGACACCGGGCAGGGAAGAGGGTGGCTTTGCTGATGCTGAACGTGAGTCTTCATCTCAAGCCTGGGGCTGTCCTTTTGCGCCCTCCATCCTGTGACATCGTCTCTCAAAGGGAACACACAGGGCACCCTCCAGAGTAGAGCTCCGAGTTACAGAGCCTCAAAGGTCATGGCTCTGCCCTGCAGGTGTCCAGGAGAGGTGGGCTGGACCTACCCAGGTTGTGTGAAAATCACGTTTGGGTTTTGATCTGCCCTCACCTGCTTGCAGTCTGCAGCATCAGCAGAACTTCTGCAGAGACAGGCCTGGACCAAAGCGGGGAAGCCTGCCCAGGAAATGCACCCTTCACATCTCAGCTGTCTCCTGCCACCCTCAGGAAGCTTCCCCCAAGAACTACGTATAAGAGCATAAATATTCATAGAACATGCATGTGTTCAGGCCCTTCAGAACAGTATAATGTAGTGACTCGGGACACAAACTTCAGAACTGGCTTCAAATCCCAGCTCAGCCACTTACAAGCTTGCTTAACTTCTCTGCTTCCATTTCCTCCTCTGTAAAATGGGAATAAGATAATACTTACCCCAGGCTGTTGTAAGGATCAAATCAGTAAAAATATGTAGTATGTTTAGAATGATGTTGGGCATCCAGTAAGTGCTATGTACATGTTAGCTAATATTGTTACTATTATTATTCTGCGTGTAGCAGCACTGGGCTTGGCCTGGAGGTACAGCTCTTTTTCATGTGCTCATTGGTTAGACTGATGGGATGAACCACGGAGAAAGTGTCAGGTAATACACTGGGCTCACAGGTTGAACTGCACAGCTATAAGGGAGGGGGCATCTGGCCTGGCTCAGTTCATGTAAAAATTATCTCACATTTTCTCACATGAGCTAATGGTATAAGATGATCGTTTTAAAAGCTAATAAAATCCTAGGCTATGTTAATAAAAGGAAAATGTCAAGACCAAAGTATAATACTTTTTCTCTATTGCATTCTAATCGGATCATACACTGGATATTTTTTCAAACTCGGATTTTACATTTTAAGGAAGATGATGAAGGCAAAGGGAAAAATAAGGGAAAGCAGGACTCTAAAGGGCCCCACGTCACATGTCAAGGACCGGAGATATTTCTCTTGATGAAGAGGGACATGACCTTTACCATCACATTATAGTTGAAGGACTTTCTAAAAGATAAAGATGTTTGATCTCTGAGCCCCCAGCAGGTACAATTTAATGTAATGGATAATGCTGACTGGACAGTGGGTTTGTTGTCACATGCCAGAACGTTCCAGGCACTGCAGCTGGACAGTAATGAAACAGATTACCTTAGGACATGGTGAAGGCTTGGTTAAGTGAGGTGTGAGTGTGAGGCCAGATGGTTATCTGACCAGAACACCAAAGAATAGGAACACAAATGGGCTTCATCTCATGTGCCAGTCTAATAAATTGGTGGTGGGCATGTTGAGTATTAAAGAAAGATTGGATTTTGTGATCAAGAGTTCCATCATTGATTAGTAATGCCTGCAATGGGCACAAACGGGGTATTGGGTGAAAGGTGAGGTGCATCTTAGATTTCTTAATCCTGCTGTGGAAATGGCATTGAGTAGAAGGTTGGACCCTATATTCTACAAGGTCTCAGAAATCCTGTGGTTTTGTGATTGCATTTTATTGCACCCCTTAAAGAGCAAGTCAGGTCCAAATTAACATTTTTGGTAGCAGATTAGACAACTGAAACTCGGAGGTTACCTTTGCTCCAGGATCTTAGAGGGCCAAGCCAGCAAGACTGAATGAGAGTCCCCTGTCTAGCCAATTCCAGACCCTAGATGCATTCCAGACTCTGAAACTTCAAGCACCAAGTGGAACTTGACACCATCCCAAAATTTTGAGGGTGCCTGGTCTGTAGCACCAGGCTTTACAGTTGGCAGGCCCGAGTTTATGTCCTGATGGTACCATTTTTTGCTGTGTGACACTGGACAAGACACTTCACCACACTGAGCTCTGCTACCTTGGTGGAGAAATAGGAAGTAATATGAGTAAAATAATGTCTACCTTAAAGGTTTATTGGGACTTCAGACTGAGATGGAGTAACAGGACTGAGCTCTGCTACCTTGGTGGAGAAATAGGAAGTAATATGAGTAAAATAATGTCTACCTTAAAGGTTTATTGGGACTTCAGACTGAGATGGAGTAACAGGAATTAGATTTACCCTCCTGGATGAAACAACAAAACATAGACAAATATTTAAAACAATGGTTTTCAAGACACTTGGCATCAGAGAGTGAAGGAGCTTGATCCCTAAGAGACAAGAAATACATAAAGTAGGCCCCTCAGCTTCCCCAGCTTACTACCTTGAGAGAGTTTCCAGACTTTGGGTTAGGCAACAATTTCTTGCATATATAATCAATAACATGATCCATTAAAGAAAGAGTTGATAAATTGGACTTCATCAAAATGAAAATCTCCTAATCTTTGAAATCATGTTCAGATAATGAAATGATAAGACAAAGACTAAGAAAAAATATTCACAAATCAAGTACCTGCTAAAGGACTGATACCTGGGATATATGTAGAACTCTCAAGACTCAAGAAAACAAACAATTGAATTTAAAATGGGTAAAAGACTTGAACAGACATTTCACCGAAGAAGATATACAGATGGCAAATCAGCAGAGAAAAGGACACTCAACATAATTAGGCATCAGGAAAATGTCAATTAAAACCATCAAGAGATGCTAACATACTTATTATGTTGCTAAAAGTAAAAGACTGACCACGCCAAGCCTTGGAGAAGATGCAGAGCAACTGGAAATCTCATACATTGCTGGTGGAAATGCAAAATGGTACCAGCACTTCAGAAAACAGTTTGGTGGTTTCCTTTTTCTTTTTTCTTTTTCTTTTTTTTTTTTTTTTTTTTTTTTTTAGAGACAGAGTCTTGTTCTGTCACCCAGGCTGTAGTGGCATGGTGCAATCATAGCTCACTGTAACCTTGAGCTCCTGGGTTCAAGTGATCCTCCTGCCTCAGCCTGCTGAGTAGGTGGACCTACAGGTGTGCACCACCACACCATCATGCCCAGCTACTTTTTAAAATTTTTTGTAGAGATAGGGTCTTACTATATGGCCCAGGCTAGTCTTGACCTCCTGCCTTGGTTTCTCAAAGTACTGGGATTACAGGCATGAGCCACCACTCCTGGCATTTCCTTAAATTAAACATGTGCTTACCATATGATCCAGCCATTCCTAGGTATTTACTCAAAAGAAAAGAAAGCATGTATCCACAAAAAGTCTTTTACACAAATGTTCATAGCAGCTTTATTCATACTCATCAAAAACTGGAAAAGATCCAATGTCTATCAATGGATGAATGGATGTATAAACTGTAGCATAACCACAAGCTGGAATATTAGCCATCAATAAAAAGAAGGAACCACTGATACACAACACAACGTGGTGGAATCTCAAAATAATTATGATGAAAGAAATAAGCTGTGCAAAAACAGTCAATACTGAATGATTCCATTTATACAGAACTCTAAAAAATGCAAACTAATCTATAGCGACAGCAAGCAGATTGGTGGCTGCCTGGGAATGGGACGGATGGTGGGGAGGGGAAAAAGAGAAGGTTGCAAAAGGGCACAAGAAAACTTTTGGGGGAGTGGCATATATATTCTCTATCTTGATTGTGGTGATGGTTTTACAGGTGTGGTTGTGTGTGTGTATGTATATATTTATATCAAAATCTATCAAATGTATTACTTTAAAGATGTGCAGTTTCCAATGTGCAAATTATGCTTCAGGGGTGCTATTACAAAAAAAGAGAGAAAACTCAAAGTTTAATGAGGTGATTAAATGATGTGATACGCAGTGGCTGACACTTTCATCTCCATGGTGTTTGTGGGATTTCACTACCAAGGGTGGGAAAGGCGTAGAGGGTCTCCCGCCTTTGATTGGCTTCATCCAAACCATCAAACACTGGCCAGAGCTGTCACATCTGGGAGACCCTGAAATTTGCTGGCAAAAGTTCAGAGAAAGGCAGGAAGAAGGAGCTCATTAGAGCAGCAGCGATTGAAATTCCGGGCTTGGACAAGCTTGTCTCTTGCAGCAAAGTCCCCAGGATAATGCCGCCTGCTCTCCCTCCCCAGGGGGGAGCTGCTGGTCCTGAGGTCTCCCTCTGCTCGATGTCCCCTGAGTCACTTGAAAGAGTCACTTGCCTGAAAAGGCTGCGCGTGACTCCTGTGTCCTTCCTCCTGCATCCAGAGGGGTGCCCCACTGACTGCCAGTTGCAGGCTGGTTCAAGGGGCATCTCCAGGTGCTCCACAGAAAGTGTGGGCATCTCTGAGCCCAGTGAGGTTTGAGGAGAAAGTTGAAGGATGTGAGCAAGAGTTTCAGAGCCGGAGAGCAAATCTTGACCCCAGCGCTGATTCTCCTAGGAGAATCACACAGCCTCTCTGATCCTCAGTGCCTCATGGGTGAAACAAGGTAAGATGAACTCTTCAGAGGGTTCTTTTGAGGATTCACATAGTACATCTGGGAGGGCAAGATAGGTCTGCATTCAAGAAGGGGTGCAGGGGGAAGGCCCAAAAATGTCCCTCCCCCAAAAGATATCCATGTCAAATCCCAGAAACCTGTGGATATGACCTTATTTGAAAAAAGGGTCTTGCAGATGAGATTCAAGTTAAGAGATCTTGAGATGAGGAGATAATTCTGGAGTCTCCAGGTAGGCCCTAAATCCAATGACAAGGGGTCTTATAAGAGAAGACAGAGAGAGATTGGAGATGGACACAAGAGGAGAAGGTGACATGAAGATGAAGGCAGAGATTTGAGTAATGCAGCCTGATATGGTTTGGCTGTGTCCTCACCCAAATCTCATCTTGAACTTTAGCTCTCATAATTCCCAGGTGTTGTAGGAGGGACCCAGTGGAAGATAATTGAATCATGGGGGCGGTTTCCACCATACTTTTCTCATCATAGTGAGTCAGTCTCATGAGATCTGATGGTTTTATAAAGGGAAATCCTTTTCTCTTGGCTCTCATTCTCTCTCTTGCCTGCTGCCGTGTAAGATGTGCCTTTCGCCTTCTGCCATGATTGTGAGCTCTCCCCAGCCACGTGGAACTGTGAGTCCATTAAATCTCTTTTTCTTTATAAATGACCCAGTCTCAGATATGTCTTTATCAGCAGCCTAAGAACAGACTAATTCACAGCCTCACGCCAGGAAACACCAGCAACCACCGGGAAGCGGAAGACCCCAGGCACAGGATGTCCACTGGAGTCTTCAGCGGAGCACAGCCCAGCCCACACCGTGATTTCAGGTTTCCAACCTCCAGAATTGTGAGCAAACACGCTTCTGCTGCTATCACCACCCAGTCTGTGGTAGTTTGTTACAGCAGCCACAGAAAACCAACACAGGTGCTTTGGAACAAAACAAATCTGACTTTAATTTCCTGCCAGGCCATGGTAGCCAGGCTCCCCTGATAGTCAGGCCAGAGTTTCCCGACCACAGCACTGTTTTCATTTTGGGCCAGATCATTCTTTGTGGAGGGATTTCCTTGTGGGATGTACAGCTGCTTTCCTGAACACTACCCACTGGATGCCAGTAGCACCCCCTCCCCAAGTCGTGACAACCAAAAATGCCTCTAAACATTGCCAAATGTCCTCTGAGGAGACCAAATTGCCCCCAGTTGAGATGTTAGAACCATTGCTTAGGCCAGCCCATCTGCCTCCGTTTCATCAGCCGCAGAAAGAGAGCAGGGGACGGACAGTGGCGGATGTAACACTAGCATCCACCTCGTAGGACTTCCATCTCAACAACAATTTATTGAGCATTGATGTGCCAGGCACGTACTAGGCCCTGGGGCCACGGCAGTGAACTAAACAGATGTGATGTCTGCTTCATGGAGTTTACAGTCTACCAGGTTGGTCGTGCTGAGGGTAAATTGAAACAATACATTTAAATAACTAGATGCAGGCCTGACCCATCCTATGTATTCAACAATGGCTGTTTTTTAAGTTATTATTCATTTCAGTATCATTGTTAGCATAACCCTAATTAGCATCATAAGCATTTAACACAATGCCTGGCACAGAGTAGATTCCAAAATAAGATAGACATGGTAGTGATACAATAGCATGATGTGTGGACGGCGTTTAGCCCAGTGCTGGGCCCCCAGCAGATGATCCACAGATGGTAGCTTCTTTCCTCTCCTCTGGAGGTATAGAGGAAGTTAGCAGTTTTTGGACTACAGCCCAGGTCTCCTGCCTTGTAATCTGGAATAATCAGTTCTGTTGTATCATTATTTGAGTTCCCACCCAACCCTCTGTGCCAGCCAGACCTTTACAGCAATAATGATGCAAACAAATAGCACAAAATCTTGGTGGCTTACAACCGTGAGCATTTATTCTCATGCTCATGGGGCTGCAGGCTGGCTGTGGCTTGGCTGATCTAGGCTGGACCTGGCTGGGCTGCTCCACTATAGGCTGTAGATTGGGTTCAAGTCTGATCCCTGTGTGTTAATTCTTGAGCCTAGTCTGGTGAAACAGTGGTCACCCTGGGTATCTTCTTCTCCTGTTAGGTCACAAGAGCACAAGAAATCAAGCCAACCGACACATGCCTATTTAAGGCCTCTGCTTGGGTTATGTTCACTGACTTTCCATTTTCCAGAGCAAGCCACATGGCTAAGCTCCCCATCAGTGGAAAGGAGTGATAGGCATCACGGTGGGAGGAGAAGGGAAGCATGTCTGCTGATCGGTAATCTCAATGCCCCTGCTCCCTCCAGGCAAGACCCACATCCAAACACCTGAGGCTTAGGGAAATAAAACTGCAGGCTGGAGAGGAGGGGCCAGCTCCAACAGGCATGGCCAGGGCTGTGGATCCCAAAGGAAAAGAGAGAGGGAAGGGGTGAGAACAGAAACTGACTGGAGGAGCCTTGGAAGCATTTCCTTTTTCATAGGGAGAGGGTCATAAAGACAAAGGAACTGGAAGTGGTACTCAGTTCCCAAGGCCTGGACTCCACAGGTCCCGTCCCCAGGGGCTGGCTGTTCCCTTTCTCTGCCACAGGTCCAGCCTGAGACCACAGAGACTCATTCCACCAGCATCTATTATCAATATCTAATTAAATCTAATTGGGGGGACGGGAAGGGAGAGAGAAAGAACATGCAGTCAACATAACGAATAGGGTCTAGCTATGATTAATCATCCCATGACCACAAGCTGGGCGTGACTCCCAGGCCAGGAGCTAAAACCCAAGGAATCGTTCCTTTGCCGGAATTAACCCGTATGGGTCTTGGGAATCATTGGAGCAGACTCTGCATCATCACTGTGTGGTGTGATGCAAGGGTCATAGACCTCCCTTTCCCTTAAATGTCACAGCACCCAACTCTGCTGAAAGGCCACCGTCACTGGAGCATTCCCTTGGGTTCGGCGTCGCCCTCTGTAGGTAGATTGTGGAATTGCAACATCACATATCACTCTATCCTTCCTTTTGAAGAACTCCTTGTAATTTGCAGTGTTTTCATATCTACTATCCCAGATTCCTCACTAGTCAAACTTGTCAGGTATATATTGCATGCATATTATGTACCAGACACTTTGATGAGCATTGAGATACCACAGTGAACCCAAAAGACCCAGACCCTGCCTACCCCCTGAGAGCCCACTGTCTTCTGGAGAATACAGACATTTAAAAAGCCAATGATTATAGTCTGCGATCAATGCTATGCCAGGGTGCACAGCTCTCACAGGAACACAAAGACAGAACATCGGTCGTTAGAGAGGGCTTCCTGGAGGAGGTGACATCTAATGAGACCTCAGTAATGACTGGGTGTCAGCCAGATGAAGTAATTGGAGGAAGGGTCAGAAGAGGAGAGGGAGTCCATAGTGTGTGGCAGGCAGAGAATATGATTGCAGAGTCATCAAGACCTCATATTTCAAGTGCCCAGCCCAGATGCAGCACACAGTAGGAACTGAGGTGTCAGCTGTCTTTGCCCTTATGTTTATACCTATCAATCAAACTCCCAGCTGCCCTTTGAGTTGGATGGGGCCAGGACTTGCACCCTCATTCATCCATGTGGGGAAATGACACATCAGAGGAAGTGGGACCTGCCCATAGCCACAGAGTGAGCTAGTGGGGGTCTGGCCTTACCCAGGGAGGCTGTGCCCAGTGCAGTCAGGAATACTGATCACAGGGGTCAGAGGGCTTGGGTAATCATGATGGCTCTTCCATTAAACACCTGCTTCTCCTCAACTGGCTGCTTCCTGTCTCTGGCCTTGGAGTCTCCAATTGGAACATGGATGGAAGCAGAACTGAAGGAGCAGGGTCCCTTCCAGCCCTGACGTTCTGAGATGCTAAGACGCCTTGTGAACAAGGATGATTCTGAGGCTGCTGTGAAAAACCGAGCCTGACCCTGACACTCTCCCACCCACCCTGGTTGGGTGGTGGGGATTTCCTCCACCTCTCTCCACTTCCTCTGATGCAGCAGGAAAGAGGGGCAGGTCAAGGTCTCTGGGAGGCAAAGTCACGCCATCTTGGCCAGGTCATCAGCCTGGCATATTGGAAATAAACTACTGTTCAACAAACCATAGTGCCCATTCTAGCACTGCCCACTATTACTGGGTGGCCCAATACAATCTCCTAACCTTTCCAAGCCTCAGTTTCCCCATTTTATATGCAGAAAGTCATTGCCACTTTTCTCCCTCCCAAGGTTCTTTTGAAGATTGACAAATGTATGAGATGGCTGAAGGGCCAGCACCTCCCTAAACAACCTGGGATAATCTGGCAAGATCTGCCCTCTTCCTTCTGCCACCGCAGGCCTTGGTTTTGTCCCTTTGACTGCTCAAGGGATACCTCTGCCAGTGACTTCATGAACAGAAAAGTCAAGACAAAGCCCTCAGCTCCCAGGGGCTGGGGGTCGGGGCAGTGGAAAGTAGATAGAGGGCATCTCACTCAAAGTCTACACTAGAAAGGGGCGGAGACAACAGCTACCCTTGGATTGGGGAGGCCATGGAGAATCCGATGGACTATTCCTCTGCTATTCCTCATGACCAGGGTCCTTGAGTGTCCCCGGGTCACCCCAACATCTGATGCATCTGGTTGAAAAGATTCAGCTTGCCTTCCAGATGTGACCATTGGCCACTGGACATCTGGCTCTCTGAACACTCCTGGCAGCATGGAGGGACAAAACAGTTCATTTTCCCTAGCACTTTTTCATCCAGATGTGTGGCAGTCTATACAGAGCACACATCTGGAGAACCAGAGACAAACTTTCCTATTGAAGCCAATGAATAAACATGCAGAACCTAGACTGTGGGGAACGGAAGCAGCCATCTGCCTTACACTGATCAACCATGAACCACTCACTGTCTCCCCTCTCCCAGCCCTTCGCCCATTCTTCACTGTCTCCTCCCTGCCTCTGCCAACTCCTCTGTGCCAAGGGTGGTCAAGAAATGTCAGAGGGAAAACAAGAAAAGGAAAAATAAAAGCTGAGGGTTTTTTGATGCCTGCTAACATAACTTCATGTGTTACACCTTCTTTTCATTTGGGGACTTAGTCTATGAGTCGAATCATTTTTACAAGAGTTTACGTTTTTTAGTTAGCCAAGAGGAAGACACTGTGTTACGCTCTCTATACACTTTATCTCATTTAATCTACAAGGCTGCATGATTAAGTTGGGACTATTAAGAGCGCTCTTTACCGGGGAGGAAATTGAGGCACAGAAAGGTTAAGCTACTTGCCCAAAGACACACAGCTACAGAGGCCCAGACAAAAAAGGTCTTCTAAGACAAGATTGACTTCAGCGTCTGTGTGCTATTGCCCCACAGCATGGAATTCTTGCCAAATGGGCCAGGGGAGTGATTATTTATTCAAGCAAGTGGTTTCAGTGATCCCATAATAGCATGCTAGACCACCACTCCATCTTAAAAGCAAGCCCCACAGGGCCAAGATTAAGGTAAGGCCAATGAGGTGGGGTCATGTAAGATCAGATCTTGTCTTTATTTAAAATTTTAATATTTTTTAATCATAGATTTTTCACACTAAATCAATATTTTTAAATATTGCATTAAAATATTATTTACCTTAATTACTGAGCTTTGGAAGCCCCCTTAAGTTTTGCCCCTGAGGAGACTCCCCTTGCTCTAGCCCTGACCCTGAGTTACAGAGCCTCTATTTGGTGTCCATCCTGGGTCAAGGTCAAGGTGGGTAATGAGGAGTGTAAGTACCCAACCCCTGTCTTTAGGGAATTCACAAGGTCTTAGGGAAATAAAACGTCTGTAAACTCAGTACCTAGGGCAGTAGAAAAGCAAGCACTGGCTTGCGGGAAGCACACGTAGTAGCTTTAAGAGCAGACATGGTCATGTCAGAGTGCCTGGGCCTGAATCCTGCCCCTGCAGCTTACTAGCTGAGGAAGCTTGGGCAAGTTACCTAACTTCCCCGGGCCTCAGTTTCCTCAACTTTAAAAAGGGACTAACAACAGTACCTAGTTCCCAGAGTGGGTATGCAATGATCCAGGCAAAACACTTATAACTTGCCCCAGGACACCTTCACCAAGTGTTAGCAACTGTTGTTAACACAGTCATGATTATTATATGAAAACCATGAGCACCCAGAATATTTGGAGACAGAAGAGCTGGAGAGGGCTGGGGCAGCCTGTTGGTGCTGCACCAGGAGGCAAGACTTAAGGTACAGCCGGACTGGAGCAGGTGAGAAGAGAGGGAGTGGAATTCTGCGGAGGGAATACTGTAGCCTCCTTGTGAAACTGATACTTTAAAAATTTATTTCTAATTGTGGCAAACTATCGATAGCATAAAATTTACCACTCTAAGCCATTTTTAAGCCCTTTTTAGTTCAGTGGTATTGAGTACATTCCCATGGTTCTGCTACTATCACCACCATCCATCTCCAGAATGTTTGCATCTTGCCAAACTGAAATCTGTCCCCATTAAACACTAACTGCCAATTCTCCTCTCCCTTCAGCCCCTGGAAGCCACCACTCTACTTTCTGTCTCTATGAATTTGACTGTCATATAAGTGAAATCACACAGTATTTTCCTTTTTATGACTGGCTCATTTCACTTAGCATAATGTCTTCAAGGTTCATCCATGTCGTAGCATGGGTTAGGATAAAGTCTGATAATTTTTCAAGTCTTGAGAACTACCTGAAAATGGAGAGATGGATGGATGGATGGACAGTTGGATGAATGGATAATGGGTAGATGGATGGAAGGATGGATAGATGGACAGATTGTTGGATGAATGGACAATGGGTGGATGGATAAAAGGATGGAGGGATGGATGGATGGTTGGATGAATGGATGGATGGGGGGGTGGGTGGGTGGAGAGACAGATAAATAAATGGTTGGACAGATGGAGTGATGAATGTCAATGCAAGTATTCCAGTGAATTGATTGAAAAACGAGATGGTAAGTTAGGATACAGTCAAACCCTGCAGTGGCTCACAGCCTAGGTAAGGCACCATGAGGACAAACACTCCCTAGACACTATCCTAGAGTCCACACTAGACACAAACACAAAATCCCATGGGGCCCACCCACGAAAGGCATGACAATGCCAGCTGAAGATATCACAGAACCTCCCCCCAGGCCCCGCCTTCCCTGCAACATTGCAGCCAGGTGGTGAGGGACGCTCTGGAGTTTCCCAGGTGGAGGAGAGAAGACTCGGGCACCAGGACAGAGGACACAGCATGTGCAGAGGCCCCTGAGGCAGAAAAGCATGGAACAGAGAGGCAAATCTTGTTTAAACAAGTGCCTCTGGGTCTCTGGAATAGGGAGGACCTGCGTTCCATTCCAGGAATTCCTACTGATTAACTGTGTGATGCCAGGTGAGTGGCTTCACCTCTCTGAGCCTCTGTTTCCTGAACTGTGAAATGGGGGTAATGACAGCATCTACCTCCAAGAGCTATTCTGAGGATCCAATAGGACCGCGGAGGTCAAGCATGAAGTCTGGAATAAGCTCTCAAGAAATAGGTCAGCTCTTAACTTCCTCCCACCCCTGAGCCCCTTCCCTCCCAGGGTGCTCAGGCCAGCTGGGGCCAGTCTGGGAGGGGCCTCGTTGCATCGCAGAGAGAATCAAATCCCCTGGCAGCTGTGCAGGTGGCTCCAGAGTACCTGCTTCCAGCTCCCTCTGGGGCCCCGCCTCCACTGCTGATTGGCTGAGGTTTCTCCTCCCCCTCCCCCCTTATTATTGTCTAATGTGCACCTGCCATCACTTTATTCATGAAGATTTGCATTGATTTTGCCATAAACCGTTATGAATTTAGCTTGTGGAAAAAATAACATTGATTCTGCTGCCTTGTAATTTCTCTCTGAGCTGCAGGGCCCACCGCTAATGGTTTTCCCAAAGATTTACGTTGGGAAGCAGAGGACGTGGCTCCAGCCACCCACTCCGTGCCACCACCTTTGCTCTCGGGATTTTTTTTGGCCATTTTGTCCCTTTAGTTGGACATGGGCAGGTTTAGTGGCTGCAGACCAGAGGCCGTGCCAGCTGTCACCTGGCTCACAGCAGGGGAAGGAAGGGGAGAAGATGGAAGGGGTGGGATGGAGGGAAGTAGGAGGCAAGAGGAAGAGGAGGCTTGGGGAAAGAATGGAAGGAAAGAAACATTTGCCAAGCATCTTCCATGCACCAGGCACCTTGAACTTACCTTTCCTCATGTGAACCTCACAATAATAACACTGGTGTCGTTAGCTCCATTTACAAGAAAACAGAAGCTCAGAAGGTTAAACATGTCAAGCTCCACACACTATACAAGGAATAGAGTCAGTGTTACAGCCCAGCTGTGGCAGGAGCCTTGGTGGCCACAATGCTCTATTCTCTCCCAGGCACGTGGTGAATGACTCCCTTGTAGTTTAGTGGTGCCTTTGACAACTTCTGGCCACTGGGATGTGGGCAGAGGTGATGTGTGTCACTTCCAGGCCTGGCCCTTAGAAACATCTTCCATCCCTCTCTTCCCTGCTTGAAGACTTGAGTGGTGTTAATTAACTAGTTAGAAGATAGAGAAGAGCCACTGGCTGGCATCAGGTTGATATGAGTGAGAAATAAACAATTGCATGAAGCCACTTAATGTTAGAATTCGCAGCTCACATTAATCACCCTAACACAATACCTGATGTTAATTGAGCATTTACTACGTGCCAGACACCATACTAGGCATTTTGTATTATTTCCTTGTCTAAGCCTTACAACAACCCCATGAGATAGGTGCTACTGTTACAGATTGAGGCCTGTGGAAATAAATTACCTGCTCAAGGTCACATGGGTAGTAAGTGGCACAATCAGGACTCATATCCAGGCAGTGGTGCTCACGCCTGGGTGCTGCTTTCTCTTTGCCAGAACATCCTCCATGGCCCTGGAAGGAGGCAGAGTGAGTAGGGGTCAGGAAAGGGGTGGCAATTATGCAGATGCCACTAGCTTGGTTCATAGTCCATCGTTTTTGCACACTTTTTTTTTTTTTTTTTGAGACAGTTTTGCTCTTGTTGCCCAGGCTGGAAGGCTGGAGTGCAATGGTGCAATCTCAGCTCACTGCAACCTCCATCTCCCAGGTTCAAACAATTCTCCTGCCTCAGCCTCCCAAGTAGCTGGGATTACAGGCATATGCCACCACGCCTAGCTAATTTTGTGTTTTTCATAGAGATAGAGTTTCACTATGTTGGTCAGGCTGGTCTCAAACTCCTGACCTCAGGTGATCCACCCACCCTGGCCTCCCAAACTGCTGGGATTACAGGCATGAGCCACTGTGCCCAGACCACACACTTTATTTTCACAAGCATCATTTCTTTTCATCACACGTGGTCCTTGAAGTTATGCAAAAAGGAGTGGATGACAGTTAGAAACCTGTGGTGAATCCTGGAACGGGGGTCATTGCTCCCTAATCCATCCACTAGAAAGCTGTGTGTTCTGTGGCTGGCCACTGTCCCTCTCTGGTCCTCTATTTCTCTATATGCAAAACGAGAGAAGGCAGTGAACCAGATGAGCTCTGAGGCCCAGCTCTAGCCTGCCAGGGCAGGAATGTGCATTTCCAAGAGTGAGTGGGCTTGACCAGAGGTGCCTGGATACATTGTCAGCCCCATGTCAGAAAGCAGCAGGCTTTTGTCTAGAGCAGTCACCTTGTCCCAGAGAAATGCACAATTTCTTTCGCAATATAATTCCCTTAAGAATTGCATAGAGTTTCATTGAATTTACTTCTTCTCAGTTCCATGTACAAGTAACAACAACCAAGATCTCTTCCAGATAGTTTTTATGTTTGAAAATGTTTATCTTTAATTTCCTAGTGTCTCTGTCCTGCCTAGCCCCCAACCTGAAGGTGGCCTCCTGGGGCCATGTGGGATAGTGGGCTGGGGGAAGAGATCACCCTAATGGGACCTTTGCAGCCGTATTTTATTCTATGGTCTGGCTTGAGGTGCCTGAGAAAAGCCTGAGCTTCAGTCTTCTTCTCTCCTGCCCCTGCTCAGGCTTCCTCTTCCGAATCCCTTTCTAATGAACCTGACATCACCCCTCCTGTGGGACTTTGCTAAGCACGAAAGAATAAGTCAATACATATTACATTCTGGGATTTCCAACAGACCCCCGAGAGGGACACACACTATTGGCACATGATCTGCTTCCGAGGTTTCGCAGGCAACACCAGATGTTTTGCCTCATCATAACAAGGGCCGTCTTCCTATCCTGAGATATCTCCATCTTCACCACCTGCTCCTTGGCCACTGAACCAGAGCCTTACGGTTTAAGTCTCATTATGGCTGCACTCACTTTGGAACCAGTCAGTTTGAGTCAAACTAAAGACTCAGTTGCTGTAACAAAATCCAAAACGGGGTGCTTTAAATAAGACACAAGTTTCTCCCTTGTCTAACAGTCGATCAGGGCTGATAAGGTAGCTTCCAATGCCAGGGACAAGGCCTCCAAATTTATTCCCTGCTGTTGAAAACATGTGGCTTCCATCTCAAGGTCCAGCATTCTCACCAACAGGCAGAGGAGAGAGGGGAAGTGGAGGATATTCCATTTTATTTTAAGGGCATGACTGGAAGTTGCTCCTGAAATTTCCTCTGAAATCATATTGGTCAGCACATAATCACATGGCCATACCTGGCAATACAGGAGTATGGGAAATGTAGTCTTTATCAGGGGACCATGTGCCCAGCTGAAATCCAGCAATTCTATTACTAAAAGAAAAAGAAAGATAGAAATATGGGAGACAATCATGTACACCAAAGTCAGCATTCCATAGGTAGGAGAGTGGAAGTGCAGAGAAGTTAAATAAGTCACCAAAGTGTGCACAATTAGCAAAAGTGATAGAACCAGACCTCAGACTGGCAGTCTGAGTTCAGAGTCCATGCACACAGCTATAATAACAGGCTGCCTCCTCAACACAGCTGATGTTCCTAAAATCATGCTCAAAGATTAAAAAATAATAATAATAAGGTGTAGCTACCACTGCCCAAACAGGTAAGTTTCAGAAAGACAGTGTTGCTGGTAGTGATTTCAGGAGCACGGTGGGAGGGTTTAGCAAGTAACATCCTGGGTGTTTGGGTCTCTTGAGAAAATAGTACCCAGCTGTTCCACAGCATCCATTTGACTTAATTAGGGCTATGGGGAGCACAGGGATCTGCCCTGATTTGGATGAACACCAAAGTTTGACAACCAAATGTTTGGAATTTTTGCAAGGTGCTTGGAAGATGGTCACCTGCAGCCAAGTGGTAGCCAGGTGCAGTAAATACAATGTTTGACTTCTGAGCCAGATCAACCTGGGTTCAAATTCAAGCTCCCAGCCTTGTGAGTTCGGACAAATCACTGCACTTTTAGGATCCTCAGTTTCCTCATCTGTAAAATTGAGTTGAAAACACCTGCCTCACAGGATTGTTCATTCATTCAGCAAATATATATTAAGCACCTGCTATGTACTGAGGATGAATAAAGCAATAAACAGAGCAAGTCCAACTCCCACTCTCATGGAGCTTATGTTATAGTGGAGAGACAGGAAGCAGACAAGAAGGAGAAGTAAAATGCATCATATGGTAGGTGGTGGGAAGTGTTATGGAGAAAAATGAAGCAAGGGAAAGAGAACAAAACGGTGGTGGGATGCAATTTTAGATCAGGCAGAGGGAGGTAGAGCTCATGTGATCAAACATATCACAGCTTCCATGGGGGTCCCATGATGTATCTTTCTGCTTTGGCTTCTTGTAGCCCCAACTCACTGCCGGCATGCCCCCCAAATGCCAGGAGGGGAGGAGGGGCAGGGAGAAGACCACTGGCTGTGTACATGCTGAGCACCTGTGTGGTGCTTTCTGTGTGGTGCATGTTGGTTTGTGTACCTGTGTGAAGTGGGTGGGTAGAAAAGACCTTTCCTATTCCATTTCCTGGTTCACCTGGCTGTATATGTCTGGTTGCACATAGGTGTCTATTTATTGCCATTTGTATGCTTAGGTGCATATGCATATATGTGCACATACCTACATGTGGGTCGTTGTGTGCATACATGTCTGGGTATGCATCTATATTCAGGGGCATATATGTACATGGTGCCTCTAAGGCGTGCCTTTGTGTGTTTGTGTGCCCGTGTTTGCGTTGCTGTGTGTGCATCTATGCTTCTGACTCTGTAAGAATGCAAGAGTGTGAATATGTGTACACACTTTCAGGCACTTAGCCCTTCCCTCCTGGAATGCAGGACCCTTGCCAGCTCATTGGTGACACAAAAGGCCCTCTGTCCTCTTTGGGAGGCAGGAGGCTGAGCGGACAACTGAGGCAGATGGATCTTCTGGGAGCCGGGTGCAGTGGCTCACGCCTGCAATTCCAGCACTTTTGGAGGCCAAAGCAGGTGGATCGCTTGAGCCCAGGAGTTTGAGACCACCCTAGGCAACATGGTGCAACCCCGTCTCTACTAAAAATACAAAAAAAAAAAAAAAAAGCCAGGCGTGGTGGCGTGTGCCTGTAATCTCAGCTACTCGGGAGGCTGAGGCACCAGAATTACTTGAACCCAGGAGGCGGAGGTTGCAATGAGCCAAGACTGTGCCACTGCACTCCAGCCTGGTGACAGAGTGAGACTCTGTCTCAAAGATAAACAATAAATAAATAAATAAATTTTAAAAATCGATATTCTGGGCAGTTAGATTTTTTTCCTACATGGTGAAGCGTCTTCAAAGACTGGGGTCATGGCTGGCTCACAGGGCAGTGTCTCCATGCTGAGGAGGAGGCGAGGAGGATAGCGAGGACAGGAGATAGTACAGGTGCAGGGAGAAAGAGAGGATGGAGAGAAGGATGAGAAACAGGTGGAAAGAAAAGTAACCAACTGAATAAACATGGGCTGAGGAACACGTAACACATCCCCGAACGGATTAGTTGAAAAATGGAAAAATTACACAAAATTAGGTAACAGGTGCTGCACAGAACATCCACTGCTCATTCATTCATTTTTCAACTAGAAAACGTTCATGTCTCTGCCTGACACCGCCCAGTCCAGCAGTTTTAGTTCTGCCTCCTTTGCAATGTTGGTGACATGCCCACAAGATGCTGGGAGAACCCCACGGACAAGCTGGTTGGTAATGCTTCCCGCTTCCTCTTATGGCTCAGTATAAGACGAGGACCCCTGGCCTTTAATATAAAAATGTAATTGACTCAAGTCTCTTATCAGACATTCTGTGGCAAGCCTGATGCCCTCCTCAAGTTTTCTGAGCTCTCTTAGGGGAGCAGGTGCATGTGGTCACCTCCGGCACAGAGTTCTCCCCATCAGACTCTGTCATCCCCTGCAGCTGCACTGGTCCAGCTACAGAACCCTGTCCCATTTTCCTGATTTTCTCCAAAACCATTACAGGAGGCATTGCATGTAGCAGGCTCAATTCCATATGTGGAGTGCTGGTGGGAAGGTTACCCTGCAAGGCGAGGTTACCGTAAGGCATTCAGCATTGTTCATATTAAAACTTCTCCACAGTCACTGGCCCCATGGGCCATGCTGTCCACTCCACTGTCTTTCTCTTGCTTCCCCTTGTCTGGAAGTTGAGTGGACTGGATGGCTTCTGTGGACTTTCCGAGCTCTGAAATTCAATGGGGCTAGAATTTCAGAGCTCGGAAAGTCCACAAAAGCCATGCAAGTAGAAAGAAAAGTAACCGATTGAATTTAAATAGGCTGAGGAACCCCTTCTCAAACTGATTAGTTGAAAACTCGAAAAATGCCACCAGGGCTGACAGAGCTTCTGCACCCCAGGAGGGAGTGACTAAGCACCTGAAAGTGATCTGCCACTTGTGGCTCCAAGAAAGAGCCCTGCCCAGAGACTGACACCAGCTAATTATGGTTTTGTCGCATCCCATTCTTATTCAACTACATGTTCCCCCTTATCCTCAATTTCCACTCCCGTTACCTTCGTTTCGGTAGGCAACCCTTCTGACACGTTTTATGTGTATTCTCTTTGTATGTCCTTTTATGAAATGCACATTGCTGTTTAGTCTGTGCATTTTCAGGATACTAAATGGCATTTCTGTTCCAGCCCTGGATTTTTGCAGTTGATCCACATGCTGTGGGTGCATCTGGTGTGGCGCTGCTGACTGCTCTCAGCCTCGTGATGGACACACTCTCCCTCTATTATCCAGATACTCTGTGGGAACTAACATTTTCAACATCTGCCTTGTGGCAGACACTGCCCAACAAAGGCTTGAACTTGAATTATCAGACTAAATCCTCACAGCAACCCCTGCCATAGGCTCTCTTATTATCATCATTTGATGGAGGAGGCAACTAAGGCAAAGAGAGATTAAGCAACTTTCACCAATGTCCTCTCTTTTAATCACTCTGGGAAACAGCCCCCCTCTGGACCCCTTCCAAATACAATATTCTAGAGCTAGTTGTACTTAGGAATAAGAATCACAATGATAATAACAGCTATTACCTATTACATACCTACTGTGTGCTGGGGTCTTTACATCATACACAGCTGCCATGTACTGCTGCACAGGTAGCACACTGCACAACTTCAGGGAGCATCATCTACTTAGAGTACAAAGTAAATAACATCCCTTGGAGATGGAGGGTGAGGTGACAGCAATCCAATAAGGCTGGAATTGTTATGACTATTTCATAGCAAAAAAAAATTGAGTCTCGGCCTGGTGCAGTGATCAAACATAATCCCAGTACTTTGGGAGGTTGAGGCGGGAGGATCACTTGAGCCCAGGAGTTCCAGACTACCCTGGGCAACATAGCAAGACCCCATCTCTACAAAATAATAATAATAATAATAATAATAATAATAAAATTAGCAGGGGGTAGTGGCACACACCTGTAAGCCCAGCTACTGGAGAGAATGAGGCAGAGGATCACTTGAACCCAGGAGGTGGAGGCTGCAGTGAGCGATCATGGACCCAGCGCACTCCAGCCTGAGCAACAGAGCAAGACTCCGTCTCAAAAAGAAAAAAAAAAAGTGAGTCTCTGAGAAGTTATGAGACCTGACCCAGAGCAGAGTCTGTGAACAGCAGAGTGCAGCTCTGACACTGACTGGCTGCAGAGTCTGATTCCCTGAGGCCTTTAGACTCTTCCCCCGCCTCCTGCTGGGTAGTGGGCTGCCCATGCCACATGGTCACTTAAGAGGAGTCCAGCTCTCAAGCTGAATTGACCTCCGGTGTTCCTGAGGGCTGCTGCCTAAGTGTAGATGTTGACAGATAAGGTGCATCTCCAGAGTGTGGGGACTGAGCATGGCACAACTGCCACCCAGACACTGTTGGTTCTGGGTGTGCCTTCTCACACTCACCCATCCTCTCCACCCCTACCAGCCTGTGCGTGGCAGCTTATGCTCCCTCAACCCCGCTGCTTCACCGTCTCGGTCCCTATCCACCCGCCAGGTGGTTGGTGAACTTATCATGGCAGAAGGCCTTGAGAGGGGCAGTAATTCAAGAGAAGGAGCCCTTGAGAGATCTCCAGGCTTTGTTCACAGCATTAAGACAGCTTCAGAGAAAAGCCTTTATTGCAGACAGAAGAATATTATTTCAGAGCTATTCCCCCGGCCCATTACAGCAAAATAATAGAGCTTTAGTTTCTATGTATTTGTCATGCTTAGCGCACATGTATTTCAAGTGTATTTGACAGCATATAAAATTGAGGTGAAATATTGCAAAATTGGCCAATTCTTGTACATTTTAAATGTATTTCCTTTATTTGTTACACTTATTTTACATATCTACATAATCCATCTTTGGAACTAGAGAGGTAATAAGTGATGAATCGATACTGAGGTTTTCCATGGCAAAAAGGTTCACGTTGGATGTGAAATTTCCTTCTTGCCTGGCATGTCCTGGCTCTAGCTACAGAAAGAAATGGCTGCTTTCCCTGGTCTTCCTGGGTGGCTACATCTCCCAGGAGCAGGGAGCCAGCAGTTGAAAATTACAGGCAAAAGCCTTTTCTTTCCCATCTTGGGTACCAGCTTTCTCTAATGATACGAGAAAGTTTTATTGGTCTGAGTCGGAACTCTAATTAGTTGAACCAATCTTCTTAGGTTGGAGCTCTTATCCTGAGGTTCAAGGTGGACTTCAGGGGTTTTTCTAAAATTATTTGCATAATTTTGAGGTCAAAGACATTTTTCTGTGGCTGCAAAAGAAGTTAACCATATCTATTTAGGAGTGTGGGTTGGGCTCTGTCTTACTGAAGAAAAGGGTCTCCTTGACTTCCTGGCCCCCACCTCCACCCACTCTTGTAGGGAGTTTTGTGGTGGATGGAGCCCAGGGCCATCACTCCACCTATACGACTTCTTACCTGAAGTTGGCTCCTCAGTAGCCCTTCCCACAGGTGGCCACAAAGCAAGGGGCTTGGGATGCTTATTCACAGCTGATCAAGTGCAGCAGGGGTAGGAGGGAGTGGCCATTCCTTGGGGCCCAGGCCACAGGATGATGTCAGAAGCTTAGTACCAAGGCTCCCAGAGGTACACATCCCATCACCATGGTGTTCATCCATGAAGACTCTCATGGTTCAGCTTCTTAAATGCAGGTCCACGATGGGCAAAGCTCTGATCCTCATATTCCATCCTGTGGTGTCCCTTCATCCTTTACATGTTGGAAGGCAGCATGGGACCCATCAATAGGACAGCGGTTTGAGCCTGCAGAAAGCCAGCCACATCTATCTCTAGGTTTCAGCCTGAGTACAGTTCCCTCTCAGGCCTGGGGCAGAATTTACTCTGCGTGGTTCCTTTCTCCATGCTTGGCTGCACCCAACACCCAGAATGGTGCATTGACTGATTATTTGTGTGTCCTCCCCTCTACAGTGCTGGGGCTATGTTTTATTCATCTCTGTACTGTCTGTAGCTGGATTAACAGTAGCTGGATTAACACACAGAAGGCCTTAAGCAGACTGATGGGCTGGGCGTGGTGGTTTACGCCTGTAATCCCAGCATTTTGGGAGGCCAAGGCAGGAGGATCACGAGGTCAAGAGATCAAGACCATCCTGGTTAACACGGTGAAACCCCATCTCTACTAAAAATACAAAAAATTAGCTGGGCGTGGCAGCAGGCGCTGGTAGTCCCAGCTACTCGGGAGGCTGAGGCAGGAGAATGTCGTGCACCCGGGAGGCGGAGCTTGCAGTGAGCCGAGATCGTGCCACTGCACTCCAGCCTGGGCAACAGAGCAAGGCTCCGTCTCAAAAAAAAAAAAAAAAAAAAGACTGATGAATGGAGGCTTGGATGGATGGATGGATGGATGGATGGATGGATGGATGGATGGATGCTTGGATGCTTGGATAGATGGATGGATGATTGTGGATGGATGCATGGGTGGATGGATGGATGGATGCATACATGCATGAAATAAATCCCTTATATGCAGTCTCATACAGGCTTCAGCATGTAGAAACTGAGTCTGTAAGATAGTTCTCTCCTTTGTGTCACCCTCTCCACCAAGGTGGCATCCATAAAAACTTCATTAATATCTCAAACAATGGGGAGACCAAATCAACCACATCCCCTCCTCCATTAAGAATGAATGCCTCTCAGGGCCATGAGAGACACTAATGCATCTCTCCCCATGACTCTACCACAGCTGCTGACCATCAGGGAGCCCATTAAGAAACAAGAGGAGCTACTGATTTCAGATGAAAGATGCCCAGGATCCCAGAGCAGGCACTTGCTGGGCCCAGCAGAGAAGAGGCGGAGGCAAGAGCCTCCTCCTCACTGTGGCCAGCTAGAATCCAGATGGGCCCTGGAAGCCTGGGATGAAGTGGGTCCACAAGTCATCTGAGCTAGAAACAACATCCTATGCAATGTCTTTGTTTTACAGATGACAAAACAGGGCCAGATAGAGCGAGCGACTTACCCAAAGCTCTGCTGTTGTATATGAACTGCAAAAATGGCCCTATTTCTCCATCTATCCTTGCATCCACACCCATTGCAATGGGACTTTGCAGCTCTGCCCATCAAGAGTAAGAACCTGTGTCCTTAGCCCTTGAATCTGGGCTTGGCCATGAAGGTTTTTTGATCAATAGTCATGCCTATATGCCAGTTTCAAACCCTTGTCTCAAGAGTTATATGAGTTTTGGTCTCTGCTTTGCCTTTCTACCTCTGGTGAGAACATTCTTGGATGAGACTTCTGGAGGAATAAGCAGAACTCAATCAGTTCAGTCGTCCTAGTCAGGTCCCATACGTGAGAGAACCCAGTCAAGATCACCAAAGCTGCTTTGCTGACCTGCGGCCAATGGACATAAGTGTGGGCCCTGCCTGATACCGGCCCTTCCCAACTCCAGCCTTCTCTCCTTCCTGAACCCAGCTTCCATCAGAAAGGCCTCAACTGGTTGTTCCTGGCCTTCAGATTTCCCATCTTTCCATTTCCTTTCTTTTTTTTTCTTTTTGTACATACAGTGTACTAAAAATTTAAAACAGAGTTTGACCCAACATTTAAATATTGGATGCTCACATAGAATCCTTCTTTTGAAAAATCAGATCTTGGCCAGGCACAGGGGCTCAAGCCTGTAATCCCAGCACTCTGGAAGGCTGAGGCAGGTGGATCGCTTGAACCCAGGAGTTCAAGACCAGCCTGGCCAACATGGTGAAACCATCTCCCTACAAAAAATAAAAAAGTTAGCCAGGTATGGTGGTTTGTACCTGTAGTCCCAGCTACTGGGGAGGTTGGGGCGGGAGGATCCCTTGAACCTGGGAGGTCGAGGCTGCAGTGAGCTGAGATCGTGCCACTGAACTCGAGCCTGGGTGACAGAGTGCAACCCTGTCTCAAAAAACATAATATAATATAATTAATATAATATAATATAATATAATATAATATAATATAATATAATACAATATAATATAATATAATAAAACAAAACAAAAATAAAAATGAGAAATCAGATCTTATACCCTGCCTTCCTGCACAGCACCGCCCATCTGGGTCTGAGGAGCAGCTGCCCCACTAGAGTAGAATATGCACCATCCCCGCACTCTGACCCTGTCCTCGTCACTAACTCCTGTTCCCCCATGAGGAGTCTGAGCACAGTCACCATGGATCTTCTGCTCTTGGCTTTGTGGTTTTAGAGAAAGCTCCCTGTATGTGTCTCTGTCAAAAGTTGGCAAACAAAAGATAGACCTTGAGGGCCTATGAATTCAAAGAAAATAAAGACAGCATGTTTCTTTATGGAAGTGATGGATATTTCCATGTATTTAAAATGCAGACAACAGTTGATTCCTCCCATTAATGCTGGCCTCTGGAAGCATCTGGGCTTTTCACCCTGGCTCTAGGCCAAACTTCTTCAGACTGTGGTCCTGCTCACCTTTCCTGGCTTCTCTTTACCCCATGTCCATGCGCTCCAAATCCCATGCCCAGGTGACCACTCACTTTGCCTCCTTGCCCTTGCACCCCTGCCTGAGAGGTACCTCCTTACTCAGTGGTTGGTGTTGGTTTCAGACTTGTATCTTCCTCTCAAACCCTGCCTCTTCCCAGAAATCCCACCTCACCCCAGTCATGACTGCTTTTGTTTTCCCTTGCACCCCACACTGCCCAGCCCCATAATGACCCCCCATATCAGCAGCTATCACAGACTGCCTCAGAGTACAACCCCCCAGCACAGCTCTGCCTTCCCCTCAAAGGCGGGACATGTAATGCACCCTCCCTGCCAATTACCAGCCCTGCCACAGACTTATTACCAAAAGTAGCTTTGGACTGAAATTGAATGCTCATGATTTGCATAGTTTTGCATTCCATTTGCATAGCACTTATTTCCTGTCCAAAAATACTGACATTCACCCACAGTTTTGCTCCTGACTCTCTAGGGCTCCCAACGTTGTCCTCTGTAGCCCTGTCATCTCACCTGCCCACCTCATCTGGGGCTGACCACACCTGGAGAAACACCTGGCTGGCCCAGACCTGGTGGGGATGGGCCCCTCTCCCTCTCTCCCTCCCACAATGCTGCTGGGATCTTGGCCCTGGAAACCCCAACTTGGATTCTAGGATTGATGTTGGCTGTGCCCAATGCCCAGCACATTGTCTGGGCAGGCCAGGAGTTTAGGAAGAGCCTGAATGAAAGAATGAAAGAAAGAAAGAGTGAATAAATACATGCATGGCTGAGTAAACGGATGATTGAATTAGTGATATCCAGTGAGTGGGTGGGTGAGTAATGACAGCATGGCAAAAGGAGAGAGATGGAGCCTGGAAGGAAAAGCATGCTCAGGGAAGCGGGGTCTGCAGATGCAGTTTGCACAGCAGTTAGGAGCTCAATACTAAGAGTGAGACAGGTCTGGGTCTGAATCCTAAATACCTCAAACCAGGTGTGTGGCCTTGAGCAAGCCCCTTCATCACTGTGTGCCTCGATTTCTCACAGGAAGCCATGGACCCCACCACATCCCAGCGCCCAATGCAGTGCCTGATTCACAGAAGGTGCTCAAGAAATATGTTGGATGGGTAAATGAATGAATGAATGAATGAATCAGTGAATGACAACCTCATGGAATTGCTGAGCAGATTAGCAAGATGCTGCCTATGTGTCCCTAGCCTTTCACTGAGCACAACTAGAAACACAAATATGTGTCATTCAACAGTTTAACAGGAGACAGCTTTGTGCCCAGCCCTGAACCAGATGCTGGAGAGCCAGAGCTGGGACTCAGAGTCCTGCCCAGGGGTGCTTGATGGTCAGGCTGGGAGAACAAGGCTGACTCTCGTGAGAAATAAGAGATGTGCAGGGGGCTGGAGCCCGCCAGGTGCAATGCCAAGGAGTCAGTTTTCTTGGAGGAACTGAGCTTGCCATGGCCCTGGGTCTGTGAGGTTATTTGAAGGGGAAGGATGACAAGGAAAGGGGAGGAGAGCAAGGACAAAGGAGTGAAGGTGGAAATACATGTAAAGGCTAGACAGAAAGCAGAGGAAAGCGGGGTTGGGGAAGAGAGATGCCAGTAACAGGTGCACATTGCCATGGGCCACCTCCACAACCTCTGGCTCCAAACTCTGCCACCACGAGAGGTTGTTTGCTAAATAGAGGCCCATTTTCCCAGCATCAGGGCGGATCTACATGTACTGAGGATGCCAGAGTCTCCAGTTGTATCGCTGAATGGTCCCATCAGTGTTGCACAGAGAACGCCACCCAGCTCAACAGCAACCAATGGGAGCCCAGACAGGGGACGCCCACGCTAGTTGGGGCAGGAGCCAAGTCAGCAAGGCTTCCCTGAGGAAAGTGAGCTGTGCTGAATTTGGAAAGATGATTCCAGCTAGCTGGGGAGAAATGGTGTTTCAGGCAGAGAGAGAACCATCTGCAGGGGCTCAGAGGCGAGATGTACTGCTGCAGGCTTGGAGGCAAGGGGCCTGGGAGCTGGAAGGGACCTGAGACCCCTTTTGAAGCCACAAGCACCAATTAGCCTGAACTCCAGAAAGGGTAAGTGACTTTTTCAAGGTCACACAGCGTTTCAACAGCAGAACGTTGGTCTCTGGTTCCTGATTCATGGCCCAGAGCACTGCAAGCAGAGAGTATCAAAGAGGCCAATGAGGGTTGGATAAGAGAATACAGACCACAGGATCCTCTCAGCCCTGAGCCCACCTTATTTTTAAACATATGATCAGAAGTGACCCCAAGAAGAAATTACTAGAAAAAAATCACTATTTGAATTATTCCCTTTTAATTTTAACCTCTTCTGGAGAAACATGCATTTGTTTGCCAGGGAGCCTAGAGGCAGTGAAACCTCATCCCCTCATCTGGGGATGAAAAACCCATTCCCAGACTGGCCTAGGCCAGGGGGATTTTATTTGCTCAATCAACTCGTAAGTCTAGGACAGGATGGACTTCAGGCACAGCCTGATCCAGGGACTCAGACTGTGTCTTTCTAAGCTGGATTTCTCTCTCCTCCCTCTTCAGCTGGATTTCTCTTCTGTTGGCTTCCTTCTTGGAAAGGCAATCTCCTTATCTCCCTCACATGTGAGCTTGGCTCCCACGAGCTCTGGGAAAGTCTCAGACGGCAGAGGCCTCCACACCCAGGGCTTCACCACTCAGAGCCTTAGTTTTGCAATCTGCTGCCTCACTGCTCTCCCTGCCCAGTCCTTCTATCCTGAAGATTCATGACATATATCATGATGTCATTTTCTTTAATTTTAATTTTTATTTATTTATTTATTTTTTTTTTTTGTCTGTTGCCCAGGCTGGAGGCCAGTGGCACGATCTCGACTCACTGCAACTTCTGCCTACTGGGTTCAAGTGATTCTTGTGCCTCTGCCTCCTGAGTAGCTGGAATTACAGGCACTCACAACCACGCCAAGCTAATTTTTGTACTTTTAGTAGAGATGAGGTTTTGCCATGTTGGCCAAGCTGGTCTAAATTGATCCACCCACCTCAACCTCCCAAAATGCTGGGATTACAGGCATGAGCCACCACGCCCAGCCTCATGACATCATTTTCGAAGGGGCTTGGGAAAGCTTGTAATCTTGGCTCCACCAGGACCACACTAAACAGCTGTGGTCTTTGCCAAGTCACTGCCTCTCCCTGGGCCTCTGTTTCCTCACTTGTACAATGAGGGAGTTAGAGTAGATTCGTGGTTTTCAAACTTTTTTTTTTTTTTTCAGACAGAGTCTCGCTCTGTCGCCCAGGCTGGAGTGCAGTGGTGCGATCTCGGCTCCCTGCAACCTCTGCCTCCCAGGTTCAAGCAATTCTCTGCCTCAGCCTCCCAGGTAGCTGGAATTACAGGTGCCTGCCACCACGCCCAGCTAATTTTTTGTATTTTTAGTAGAGATGGGGTTTCATCATCTTGGCCAGGCTGGTCTTGAACTCCTAACCTTGTGATCTATTCGCCTTGGCTTCCTAAAGTGCTGGGATTACAGGCGTGAGCCACCACACCCAGCCGTGGTTTTCAAACATTTTTAAGCAACAGAACACATCCTCTCAATGAAGTATTACAGAGAAGGCCAGTGCGAGGCAGATCAAAGCAGAGTAACTCTGGTTGGTGTGGGGGTGATGGGGGCAGAGTTTGGGAACTAAGTTCTTCTCCTCCCCACCCTCACCAGTCTGCAAAACACTGGACTGGTTGCCTAGAAGGCCCTCAGCACTGAGGACACATGGCATTAAGGAAAGAGCATGGACCTTAAAGACAGATGGACCTAGGGGCTGGGGTTTGAATTCCAGTCCCTCCAATCTATTGGTTAGCTCTTGCTGCCTCAAAACTCAGCGACTTCCAACAGCAATTACTTCTTCCCACTCATGCACCTGCAGGTCTGCGGGGGGTGGCTGATCCTAGCTGACCTCCATGGGGGCAACTGTGTTCCACCTGTCTCTCACCCTCCCCTTGGGGACCTGAAGGCAAAACTGGGCATGTTCTCATAGCTAAGGCTGCAGCACAAGGGAATCCATGGAAACACACACAAGCGTGGAAGGCCAAAGTCTCAGAACTGCACCCATTGGCACCTTCACCAATGTGCCAGCCACTGAAACAAGCTTCATGGCCAAACTCACTGTCAGGAGTGGAGAAGGGCATTCCATTCATAGTGAGGCCAAGGCTAGGGTGGGGTGAGGAGTCGAGGTCCACATGTCAATTTACTGCAGCCACCTTTTCAGTGGGAAGCTTTACACAAGAGAACTAAACTGTGCCTCAGTGTCCTCATCCAGGAAGTAGGACTAATCATAGCCACCTGCCAAAGTTGTCATGAGAATGAAATGGCATTCAGAGATGATATCTCCTGCTTCTCTACCAACTTAACCTGTGACATGCTGCCCAGTAACCCCCAACTCAGATGTAGGATCTGAGCAGCTGGTTGAACACATAGCTACTATCCCATGACAGCATGTGATGGGGAAGCCTGGGTTCTGAAGGTGCATGTGTGTGCACGTGTGCAAGGGCAGATGTGGGAAGCATTCTTTCTGACAGGCGGATGCCACACATACTGCGTTAGGCTGCCTCTCGGAGGCTGAAGTCTCTTTCAGGGCCCAGCTCCCAGATTCTGCCCGCTGCAGAAATCATCGCGTTATAATTACAAGTTAATTAAAGCAGAGGAGATCAAAGCCACTTTAGACAGATTAATGATACAGCGAGTGCCAGAAATTTCACCATTTTATGTATTAACCACATTGTCGTTTTTATTCCACATTTTTCCCCTCTTTTGTGTCAGCCGAAAAGCCTTTCATATCTTTTCTCTGCCCCCATCAATGCATGAGGAATTTGAAGTCCTAACAGCTGTGAGGAGCTGTCTGTGGAGAAGGAGTCCATTCAAAGGATATCAGAAAAACCAATGAGCCTTTTAGCTTCTGATTAAAATGAAGCTGCCACCGCCTAACCCTCCCCTACCTTAAAAAAAAAAAGACCTAAAAAACATCAGTCATTAAAATCAAGCCAAAGAAATGGGAGGAATTGAAAGCTGGATTTCCCAGCTTTCTACAAGGAATTTTTGCATTCAGTTTCGCCACCTGGCTGGGCATGATAGTCGAGCCATCAAAGCTTAGCCTGGAGGTGAAGTGTGATTCAGATAACCCAGGCAGGAAAGTAAATAAAGAGAGCATGCACTCACCAGGTGTTTACTGAATGTCCACTCTGTGCCAGGCTTTGGGTTAGTGCATCGATACGTTGGAGAACAAGGCAGAGGCTGTCTCTGCCACCATGGTGCTTACAGTCTAGCTGGTGACAAGAGAATTAAACTGTGTCTCATGTCCTGGCTGGCTGAGAGACATTGCTAAGGCATTTCCTTTGTCTGGGTACCAGAGTTCTTACTGTTATTGTTCGACACATACTGATCAAGCCGGGGATGTTTCCCAATTCCAAGCTAAGGGTTGAGGTCGAGGTACACAAGGGTCTTCTTGGTTGGGAGCTTATGGACACATTGAGGAGACAGAGGAAAACAGCAAAAGAATGTCCCGGAGTACATGATTAATTGGCAATGAACACGTGTATTGTTAAGATGATGTGTAGTAGAACCACCACCACCCTCCAATCTCAAGTGGCTTAAAGTAAAAGTCTATTTCTCTCCTGCCTAAAAGTCCATCTGTGGGTGAGGAAGGGAGTTCTCTGGGACGCAGGCTGATGGAAGCACCTTCATCTTCAACGTATGTTCCCAAAGTCACATCCAACTGATAGACAGAGGAAAACAGGAAGTACAGAAACTGCATAGGACATGCTTGTAGGCCAGGACTGGAAGTGATGCACATCACCTTTGCTCACAATCTCAGCAAAGGTGAACTCAGAACCTGCCAAGCTGCAAAGGGGGCTTGAAAAGGTAGCCTCTGGCTGGGTGACCGCTTTCCAACAACTACACTACCTATGGAAGGGAAGCAGAGTCTTGGTTGAATAGTCAACCTCTCTGCCAATATGAGTAATCACAACAACGCATGATGGATGCTTAAGAGGAGAAGCTCAGGGTCCTGTGAGTGCACACAGCAGGGGACCTGTTTTGAGGATGTGTTCTCATGTAAGAAACCACCCTCACAACTCAGTGGATTAAAATATAAATTTATGATGATCTCCCACAGTTCTACAGGTTAACTGGGAGTTCAATATGTTTCTTTACTCGCATGTATAACACCGCCGCTGGGATGGCCAGATCAGCTGATGCTAGCCAGGTGTCTCTCTCTCTTTCTCCCAACCTGGCCAAAATGACCTTCTTCCTAGCATGGCGGACTTGGGGCAGTGAGACTCGTTACATGGCAGCTGGCTTCCCCTGTGTAAGCATTCTCAGAAACCCAGACAGATGTTGTAAAGCTTCTTATGACCTGGCCACGGAGGTCCCAGGGCATCACTGCCACAGCATTCCACTGGTTGAGCAAGTGACCAGGGCCAGCCCATATTCAAAGGGCGAGGAATCGGCTCCACCTATAAATGGGAGAAGCAGTGTGAGAGCAGCTCTCTGTGGGGGCCAGAGAGCACAGGGCCAACCTCATCTTGGTGATCATGGAAGTCTACCTGGAGGGGGTGGCATGAACCCACTTGTGTAAGGTGGGGAAGATCATAGTCAAGCTCCTCAAAGATTTGGGTGAGCTCAATGGGAAAGAGAAGCATGGAGAAATCCATTGTGGGTGGTGCCTGAGAGCAAAGGGCACTGAGGGGGAACTGAGACTGGAGAGACTGGCAGGGAACCCATGGAGGGTTTGCAAGCCACAGCAAGGAGCCTGGATCTCAACTGAGGGCAGTGGGAAGAATGGAAGAGTTTGAGGCCAGGAGGTGATCTGGACACATCAGCACCATAGGAAGGTCCCTTTAGCTCCTGAGCAGGGAACAGATTGGAGAGAAGCCAGTCTGGAGGCAAGAACAGTTTTAGAGAAGTTGCAGGAGTTGCATCCTTCAGGGTGTCCGCTGCTTCCTTATCTCATTATCTTCTCTTAGGAGGGAATACGTAGGACAGAAGAGATCAGTCATTCACATTTTACAGATGAGGAGGCTGAGATCTGGACAGGGAAGGAGATTCACCTGGTGTCACCATGAGCCGGTTCTACAGAAGCAGCCACCAAATATTCCCTTACACAGGCAACTGCATCTATGATCCTCATGATAGGTATCCTTTTCTATAAGGCCAACATCAGAACTCTGCCCTTTTGACTCCCGGGCAAGGGACTTTCCCCTTGAAGGTCCTCTGTAAGATGATAAAACCCAGCCTGGAGTGAGACTGTGAGGAGGCAACAATGGTAAATAGGCGAGGATGCAAGCTTGGTGCCGGCGTGGTTCAGTCTGGTAGAAAGGGTGCAGACTGTGGGTCCAGAAAACAGGTATTTGAGTTAAGCACTGCTACTGGCTGGCTGAGGGACATCTGTAAGGGATTCACTTTTTCTGGGTACCAGAGTCCTTACTGTTATTGTTCCACAGATACTGATCAAGCCTGGGATGTTTCTCAATTCCAAGCTGGGGGTTGAAGTCAAGGCACACAAGGGTCTTCTTGGCTGGGAGCTTATGGACACATTGGGGAGACAGGGGAAAACAGCAAAAGAATGCCCCAGAGTAGGTGATTAATTGTCAAATGACCATGGACAAGATATAGGAATTCAGAAGGAGAGACTCCTGGGGATGAGGGTGGTCATGGAGAGCTTCCAGGAAGAGGTGAGATTTGACTGAGGCCTAGAAGGATGGGTAGTATCTGAACAGAAAAGGAAAGAGGAGAGGGCACAAATGGGGAGCATGGAGTGAGCATTCATTCCCCAAATGCTTATTGTGGGCTCACATATTAGCAGCACTGCGCTGACCTGTGTGTGCAGAAGGAATGTGGGTCACACAGGCTCGAGAATGTTTAAGGCGTGGGCGTAGGGTGATGAGGAAAGAGGTCTGGCTAAATCAGAGATTTCTGATCCAGTGTGAAGTGATGAAACCTGAGGACCACATTCCCAAGCCCTTGAATTGCCACACCAAGGAGTCTCATTCTTGTTCAACAGTCAATGGAAGCCATGGTAGAACACTGAGGAAGGCGTGGCATCTGGAAAAAGTGTTGCCGATAATGTCACTTATTCTACAGGTAATGTTAGACGAACCACCAGCAGCAGCCCCAAAGCCTCACAGGAACATAACCTCTGCCTATTTAACATAATTGTGAGAAGTTGGTAACATCAAGAGCCTTCATTCGTAAATATCTGTGCCAGACTCTGCTCCAGGCACTAGGGAAATAAAGGTTAATAAGGCACTACAGAGCAATTTGAAAACTGCCGTGCCCTGTACAAAAGAAAGAGATGTGTTTAGGATTCTTTGGTCTTGGTCTCATCTCTGACCCTCACTGGATCTTGGGCCATGGCCAAATGTCTCAGCTACCCTGAGCCTCAATTCTTTAATCTATCACATGAGAGAGGGAAACTCTGTGTTCTCAAAGGCTTCTTCTAGCTCTTTATGTTCTGTGAGTCTTCCTCAGATAATAGGAAGACTTCTATTGTGTTGGTGCAAAAGTAATTGCATTTTTTGCCATTAAAAATAATTGTGCAATTATTTCTTTGCACATATTATTATTTCTTTGCACAAAAATAAATGGTGTGATTATTTCTGTGCACTAACCTAATAGAAAATGAATCTGGCTGCATTATCCAGCCTAAGTTGAAAGAATGACATGTAACAGACAAGGAGACTAGGCAGAAGATCATCTCATGGTTGTCTTTTTGTGCATTTTGCAGTTTTCCACTCACATCATCCCCCATCCTCCATCACCTGAGAAATGGGGGCCCGAGGAGTCGATGCCTTTGGTTTTGATCGGTCACCTTAACGCATTCACCTCAATTCATTCACCTCCCTAGGCCTGTTTCTACAAGCTGAGTCTGAAAGAGCTTTTCACACTTGGGAAAATATTGGTGATGAGAGAAGCCAGAGGATCTACACAGGAATATGAAGACATTTGTGAAGTACAATTTCCTTCCTCTTGAGTGAGAGCGGCTAGAACAAGTCAGCATCCTGGTCAGTTCCTGTTCCATTCCTTACTATGGGCTTAGCCAGTTTAGTACTCCTGGGATCATCAGCTGAGTGATGGGAGAAGGAGCGCTCTTTCTCAGGGAGCTCCCAGTCTCAAAGGAAAACTCAGATCCTGCTTTGAGGGGTGTATTAGTCCATTCTTACACAGCCACAAAGAACTACCTGAGACTGGGTAATTTACAAAGAAAAGAGGTTTAATTGACTCACAATTCCTCAGATTGTACAGGAAGCATGGGTGGGGAAGCCTCAGGAAACTTACAATCATGGCAGAAGGGTGAAGGGGAAGCCAGCACCCTCTTCAGATGGCAAAGCAGGAGAGAGAGAGAGCGAAGGAGGAAGTGCTCCATGCTTTCAAACAACCAGGTCTCAAGAGAACTCTATCACAAGAACAACAAGGGGGAAGTCAGCCCTCATGACTCAATCACCTCCCACCATGCCCCTCCCCCAACATTAGGGAGGATTACAATTGAATATGAGGTTTGGGTGGGGACACAGAGCCAAACCACATCAGGGGATTGTTAGAAGAGAAGAGAGCACCCTAAGAGTCTGTCTGATCCAGTGAGTAGAAAACATACTTGCAAAAGTCACAACATATGCAGAGTTGAGGGTGAAGGCAGGATTGGAGAGTATAGAAAAAAGAAACTTAACAGTTACTTATGTAACCCCATGCCAGGTGCCGAATAGATAACAGACAGGCCCCTCCCAGCCACTGTAGGAGGTCGATCCTCATATGCCTGTTTTGTAAGTAAGGGCATGGAAGATTGGAGGAGGGAGGCAGCTCCCCTAAATCTTATACCTTGTTAAGTGCAAGAGTCAGGACTTGAATCCAGGTCCAGCTGAATACAGGCTATAGCCTTCTTCTGACCATTCCACAAACTCCAGAGAGTCCAGATGCCATCTCAGAGTAGGACGCACAGCAGGGTCTCAGTAAATATTTCCCAAATTATTGAAGGAAAGAATAGAAGAATGGCGAGTGAACTAGGTCAGTGCTTAAGCAACTGGGAGGCGATGCATCTTGAGTTATATTCAGATGCTGAACTGCAGAGGAAGATCAGGTCATCCCAACTCCTCTCTCCCCCAAGGGAGCTGACCACCTCACCAGGGTCATGGGGTGAGTTGGCTGAGGGGTTCGCGTTGCAGCAGGTGGGCTTAGGTGCTCCTCCCATCTTGCATGACTGGAGGGAATGGAGCGCCTCGAACTGGGATGAAGGAAAGAGCACACTCTCTCCCCTTCTGGCTCAATTTGCTCAGCAACAGCATAATGAAGCAATCAGTGGCATCTCTGACAGGCCTGGACACGCCCCAGCACACGATGGCAAATTCAGGCCTGTTCTGAGTTTTGTCTGACATGAAGAAAATGACAGAAAGCATCCTTGAAGAAGAAAGATAGAATGGGAGTGGGGGCTCTTACGTTAGACCTAAGGGGATCTTCCCTACAAAAGGAATTGTCCAGCCCCACGATAGGTGGGAAAACCTCACTTGAGAGCAGATTCCTGTGAAAAGGGCAGGGAATTCTCAATGGGCCTTTCTCATGCAAACCCATTGTGCAATAGAGGAACTGTCCAAAGGAGCTCACCCCACCCTCCAACTTCAGAGCTGGAAGGGCCTTGAAACAGAAAATCTCTTAGATCAACACCCCCCCTTTACAGATCCTGAGGTCCAGGGATGGGTGGGAAGACAGCAAGTTTACACATCGAGGAGGGACCAAGCAGTCACCAAAGATCCCTGTCTCGACTTCTGTCCCAGGCCAGTCACCAGACAAAAGTTTTCTCTGTGGCTCTTTGCTCTGATCTTTTTCCCTTTAGCTGTAGGATTTTTCCCACAGATGAATATCATTTTCCTGTATTATATTTCATGAAACCACTTTGAATCTGTCTACTTTTTGGCCCTGGGACTCTCCAATTAAGACATAGTAAAGAAGACTTTTATAAAGGAATTCAGCAGCACGTAAAAGCAATTAGATTGTAAGTGGGTAACGACTTGAGGGCAATGGGCATTGGCTCCTGGGAAGCTGTCTCTTCCTAAGCTGTCAGTCACTTTGAATCTGGAGCCCTATGGTCTGGGTTCAAATCCCGACTCTGCCATTTTCTAGTAGGATGACTTTGGGCAAGTTATTCTCTGTGACTCAGTTTCCCCATGTGTGAAATGGGGATAATACCACTACTTCCTAAGAAGTGAGATAAAGTAACTGAATACTTATAGAGCATTTGGAACAGAGACTGCCACATAGTAAGTGCTCAATACATATTAGCTACTGTTTTTGGCATGGTGGGGCAGGGGTATGGGAGGCTGGCTTGGCAGAGACCTGATGCTGGCTAGGACTGGAAAGCTCTTCGGAGACAGGCTGGTCTATGACTCTAGAAATGTGGGCTCTAAGTCCAGCTCAGTCATGTAGGTTTTGCTGTGTGGCCTTGAGTAAGTAACCCATCTCCAATCTCTAAGCCTCAGTTTCCCCATCTGGAAAATGAAGTAATAGTACCAAGAAATCTCCACCTTGTACTCCCAACTCTAAGATTAGAAGAGTCAGAAGGCCAGATGCAGTGGCTCACGCCTGTAATCCCAGCATTTTGGGAGGCCGAGGCAGGCGGATCACGAGGTCAGGAGATCAAGACCATCCTGGCTAACACAGTGAAACCCCGTCTCTACTAAAAATACAAAAAAAAAAAAAAAAAAAAAAAAAATTAGCCGGTGCTAATTTTTTAGTGCCTAATTATTTAGGTGGTGGGCGCCTGTGGTTCCAGCTACTCCGGAGGCTAAGGCAGGAGAATGGTGTGAACCCAGGAGGCGGAGCTTGCAGTGAGCTGAGATCACGCTACTGCACTCCAGCCTAGGCGACAGAGCGAGACTACGTCTCAGAAAAAAAAAAAAAGATTATAAGAGTCAGAGGTTTTCACTCGCGGCACAGCAAGGGGAATCTGGCTCAACAGGCCTGCTTTACTATCCTCACCCTAATACAATAGCATTTGTAAATTCCATCCTTCCCATCTAGCCTGTTCTCATCTGACCCATTCTGGGAGATTTTCTCATGGATCTTAGAGTCAGGATAGCCAGGCTGGGCCATCAAAGTCAGCTGTCAGGGCGGAAAGCTTGTCTGTGGGCACTGGGGCTGGCCACTACCTGTCACCCTCCCCACAGGTTCTGTCAACCATCCTCGGGTACCAGTCTCCCTGGCTCCTGAGCCAAGAGACAGTGGGCAGCCTGTCAGAGAAGCTGGACAGATGCTCCTCTAGTGAGGAAATGGGAAGTCCCATGCTGGCTGCTTGCCTCCCTGAGCTGGAGTGCATCTGACAGTCTGAGAAGCAAGGAGAAGGGCTGCTCCCCTTCTCTGCTGGCCTGGCATGTGAACAAGGGACAGGCTGTCCGTGTGAGTCTGGGATGTGCCACAGCACTGCCTCAGTTAAGGGACTTGGGGGAGCAAGGAGGACCTCTTGGGAGCCTTCAGAACCCTCAATTCTTCCTTCCCTCTGTGCTTAGCCACACCCAGCTGCAGATGCAGGAAGCAGGAGAGGGACAGGCCGGGCACAAGTCAGGCCTGAGTGTGGCCCCACTGTGCCCCTCCTCAGCTTCGTGGTTTTGAGTGAGTCATGTCCCTCCTGGGCCTCACTTTCCTCATCTATAAAATGAGGATCCTACTAGGACACACCTGTGGGGTTTGGGGAATGTCTAAAAGAAGAAACAGGAGAATAGCTAACATGGACCTAGCATCTCAGTTTAACAGGCTCTGATCCAAACACTTTACCTGTGTGCTTTATTCACTGTTCATCACAATCCTTTAGAGTAGACACGGAGAGGTTAAGCAACTTGCCCAAGGAGAAGCACAGCTGGTCAGAGGCAGAGCCAGTTCAACCCCGAGCATCTGGCTCCAGACTCTACTCAACTCCTGCTAGTTGGAGAGGGCTTCCAGCACCAGCTAGAAAGCTTGATCAGTGTTAATTTCCCTGCTCTTCCCCTCACTGAGACTAAGTTTGGGCTACTTTGGGAGAGGCTGTGCTCTCCGCTGCTCCAGGAGAGAGAAGCAGAGATGCTTCTGGGCAGCTGCCTTGCACACTGGGCTTCAGTGGTACCAAAAAAATGCCAGCAGCGGCCGGGCATGGTGGCTCACACCTGTAATCCCAGCACTTTGGGAGGCCGAAGTGGGTGGATCACGAGGTCAGGAGTTCGAGAACAGCATGGCCAATATGATGAATCCCCATCTCTACTAAAAATGTAAAAATTGGTCGGGTGTGGTGGTGTGCACCTGCAGACCCAGCTACTCAGCAGGCTGAGGCAGAAGAATCGCTTGAACCCAGGAGGCAGAGGTTGCAGTGAGCCGAGATCGCGTCACTGCACTCCAGCCTGGGTGACAGGGCAAGACTCCATCTCAAAAAAAAAGAAAAAAAAGAAAGAAAGAAAAAGAAAAGAAAAAAGAAAAAAAAATGCTGGCAGCAACCTGAAGGTCCCCCGTGTTGCCCAGGTCTTTTCTGGACTTACCTGCACGGATTCCCACCACCTCTCTCTCTTCCCAAAAGTCCTTAAACAGAGTTTGAAGCCCCATAACCTGGGGGAAACATTTCTTCAAGCACATCAGAATGCAAAAACTTCATTCCCTGATCACCCCATATCACCTGGGGGCACAGGGGTCGGGGGGTATCTTCTAGACCTGGACCCTCCTAAGCCACATCACCAGCCAGGAGCTGGCTTAGGGCACCCAGGCCTGCACTCTGGACCCAGCATCCTGAAGGCTCACCTTTGAGGTCCTGGCCCACAGGTTTAATTCAGTCCAGGTAGAGTGGCAGGAGGTCCAGCCACCAGCTAGCATTAGGATGCTCAGAAGACAAAAGCCTTATCCTCAGGGCAACCCTGGCTCCCAGAGGGAATGGCAAGATGGGGCAGGAATGCCTGCAATTAATTAGATTAAAACCCAAAAGCAGGAATTTTCTTTTAACTGTCTGGCATGTGTCACCATGAGGGAGGGGACAAACGCCTCTGTGGAGGGAAACAGGGTTTGCAGCCACCCAGGGCTCTGGCTTGGTGACTGGGCCCTGCCTGTAGGGACAAAAAGGCTTTGTGCAGGGCCCCAGTCCCATGGCTCTAAGGAAACCCAAGGCCAATCAGCACAGGTGACATCCCCGGCTGATGGCCCTTTTCTTTCCTAAATGTCAATCTCCATTGCCCTGGGTCAGCTTTTCTTGTTCCTGTCTCTACCTTCTAACTTCCCCTCCTCCTCCAGCCCGTCTTTATTTATTTATTTATTTATTTATTTATTTATTTATTTATTTTCTTTTATTTGGAGACAGTCTCACTCTGCTGCCCAGGCTGGAGTGAAGTGGCACAATCTCAGCTCACTGCAACCTCTGCCTCCCAGATTCAAGCAATCCTCCTACCTCAGCCCCACTAGTAGCTGGGATTGCAGGCACGCGCCACCATGCCCAGCTAATTTTTGTATTTTTAGTAGAGACGGGGCTTCACCATGTTGGCCAGGCTGGTGTCGAACTCCTGACCTCGGTGATCCACCCACCTTGGCCTCCCAAAGTGCTGGGATTACAGGTGTGAGCCACCACGTCCGCCCCAACCCATCTTTCTATGAGTCTGCTGCTCTTTCTTTCTCCTCTTCTCTGTGCTGGGCTTTCTCTGTTTGCCCTTCCAGACCCCTGCCCTGTGCTTCTGTGCCTGGCTCTGTGCCCCAAGAGGCTGCCTCTCAGGTGCATCTCCAGGGCTCCCTGACCCTGGCTTCAGTTGACCAGGAAGTACTGGTGGGTTGGAGGCCAGAGGAGAAAGTAACCCGAGACCTGACTCCCCTCTACTTCCCTTGGGGCCCCTCGGGCACTGGCCAATCCTGCAGCTGCAGCTCCTATCCAGTGGTCCTGCCATCACCTGCTGGGTTCTAGAAGCAGCTCCCTCACCTTGGGCTTTGGACTTGCTGGGGAAGGGGCCATGGCTCCTCACGGTCACGGCTCCCTGGGCACTTTCTCTCGCTGGCTTCCCCTCACCCTGCCCACATCTCTATAAAAGACCCCTTCATTAAACTCTCTTCAGTTACACCTGACCACGTGCCCAGTGTCTCCCCAGAGACCCTGACCAATGCCCCCCGCATCCCCGTCTCGGTCTCCCTGCCCCACCGGCACCTGCTTCTCGACCCCATCTCCACCCCCTCTGTCTTTCCATCTCATTCTTTCCAGCTCCATCTTCCTAATTCCATCCCCCTCCATTTCGGTCTCATTTGTTTGTCTCATTTTCTGGGTTCCCTCTTCTCTTTCTCTTCCCATCCCGACTACATAAAATCCTTCATTTCAGAGACAGGATCCACCATCCCACATGACAGCATAGAGGAACGCTCACTGAGAGGATCTGAGGGCCCCTGAAGAAAGTGCCCACCCGAACTAGTCCCTCAACCTCCCACGCCTGCTGCCTGAATTCCACCTTTAGGTCTCTCCATGAGAGTCAAAGCATTGTCAGGGAGGAGAATAAACACCCGGCGTGAGAAAGTGAGTCTGCCCCACCCCTAAACCCCAAGCTTCCTCATCAGCAAACCCCATCCATGCCTCACGAACGTCTCAGGCTCCGCAAGCCCCAAACAGGATCTTATCTTCCTCTCCCTCTCCTCCTCTCCCCCAGCCCCCATTCCTCCCTGGGAGCCACACCTGATCCTTCTTCCTGCAGCCTCCACCTCCAAACTGGCGGCGTGGCTTGGGAATTCAGTGTCTAAAGTAAATCTCCAATACGTATATTGGTCTCCAGCTCCCATGCCCGAATCCAACCCCTCTCCCCTCCTGCCTGGATAATGCGGCAAACCTTCTAACTGGCCTGTCAGCTGCACTCCTGGCTCCTTACCCCACATTCTCCAACCAATCACCAGAGTGATCTTTTTAAAGCGTAAATCAAATCAAGTCATGTTTCTGCCTAGAACTCCGCACAAACCTTCTACCACTTACACTAAAAGCCAAACTCAGGCCCCGGCCCACAGTCCCCAAGGAGCCATCCGCCAGCCTCTCCCTCTCTCAACCTGCTCCACACGGTGTCCCCACCCACAGGGTCAGATCTGCCCAGACCTGTGGGCTCCTAGGTGCAAAGAGTGGTGCTCTAGACCTTCTGGTGCCCCCACTTCGTGCCTGCTGCTGATGGGCAACATGCTGTCCCTGAGAAGGGGAAAGGCTGCACGGCAAGACATGGCTGCCAGCCCCACATTGCCTGTGGAAGCGGTGGCTCCTCCAGGAAGTCCTCCGTGATCTGCCCAGTTCTTAGTGCTTCCTATCTAAGCTCCTACCCAAGGCTGGTCTATCCACCATGTCAACATATGCAATACCTGCCCAAGTTTGTTCTTTGTTGTTTTTTAAAATCTAAATCTGTGCTCATCTATGAGCTAAGTATGTGTCTAAGTCTCATACATAAGGTTGGACCAAAGTCTCCTGAGCACAGAGGTAAGGTCTTGGATATAGGTGAGCCTCTGAGCATTGCAGACCTGCCCTGCTTCCCACTGTCCCTCCTCCACTTTCCCCTCCCACTGCGGGCACCCCTCATTAGCCTTCACCTGTCCCTGAGCCTCCCCTCTGCAGCCCCTACCTTCAGATGCAGGTGAGATCAGGGAAAGTGAGCATCAGCGGCTCCTTGACAAGGAAAGAATAGAAAGGTACCAGGAACAGGCTCCCCATGATTCAAGGCTAGATGGGGGCTCATAACCAGCGTCAGTAGGCCACGGATTTTCTCTTAAAGGGATAGCCATGAGCTCCTCTAGGGAAAAAGCAAACTTCTGCCCATTTCTGAGCCCCAGAGCCTGGGAAAGGCTAACTTTGGAATCTGTCCTGGAGGGAGAGGTTTGGATTTGCACAGCTCTGGTTCCGTCTTCAGACCCTGTCGCTTACTGCCTCTGTAACTTGGCCAGCAGGATGATGACAATCACTGATATTTATTGTATACCTGTGGTGGGCACAGTGGCCAGTGCTGAAGGTATTCACTCGTTTAATTGACACAAAAAGCATAGGAGGTAGGTACTATCATCTCCATTTTACAGATGAGGAAAGGGAGGCACAGAGATTAAGTGTCCTGTCCAATTTCACAGACCTAGTAAGTGGGAGAACCGAGGAGAGTACAGCTCATAGCCCCTGTTCTCACCCTGACCTCACTAGTCAAGGGACCGTGTGGCCCAAGGCAGGGTGGGCTTTGCGGAGTGCAGTCTGTGCAGGCACAAGGGACTTGGTTTACTCTTCTGCTGTTGCCATCCTGAAATTCTCAATAATTTTTTTAACAAGAGACCCCACGTGTTTATTATGCCCAGGGTTCTGCAAATTACATAGCCAGTCCTGCCTCCAGATGTCAAGGTGACTTTGCAGGGTGATGGTGAGACCGGGGACCAGCAAAGCATGCCCTGCTTCCAGCGGCGTGCCTGGGCCCGCAATAGCTATGACTCAAGGGAAGCGAGATCCCACACGCACAGCTCCCCCACGAGGCGGACAGTCTGCCTGACTGTGACGCTGATCACCCAGTGTCACAGTCCAGCTCCGACCCAGGCAGGCCGACAGACCCACACATGGGTGAGCACACACCCACAGCATTCACATCATCACTGAATGCTTTGCATTTTGTCACTCAACTCCCCTAGCCCAATGTCAGATGGGTGTCCATAATCACCACCCCTGGCAGTGGCATGGCACCTCTCCTCATGACCTGCACAGCAGCTCAAAGGACAGGAGATGAAACTGAGGCCCAGAAAAGCATAAATTTGCTCAAGGTCACAGAATCAGAAAAAAAAAAATGGATAGCTGGCCGGGCTCGGTGGCTCATGCCTGTAATCTTAACATTTTGAGAGGTTGAGGGGAGAGGATTGCTTGAGCCCAGGAGGTCAAGGCTGCAGTGAGGCCTGGGTGACAGAGCAAGACTCTGTCTCATTAAAAAAAAAAAAAAAGAGAGACAGAGAGAGAGAGAGTAGAGGAGAAGAGAGGAGGAAAAGAAGAGTAAAAAAGAAAAGAAAAAAAAAGAAAAGAGTGGATAAGCTGAGTCTCAGCCAGGCGCGGTGGCTCATGCCTGTAATCCCAGCACTTTGGGAGGCTGAGGCAGGGGATCACGAGGTCAGGAGATCAAGACAATCCCGGCCAAAATGGTGAAACCCTGTCTCTACTAAAAATACAAAAAAATTAGCTGGGCGTGGTGGCGGCCACCTGTAGTCCTAGCTACTCGGGAGGCTGAGGCAGGAGAATGGCATGAACCAGGAGGTGGAGCTTGCAGTGAGCCTAGATCGCACCACTGCACTCCAGGCTGGGCAACAGAGTGAGACTCCATCTCAAAAAAAAAAAAAATACACAAATTAGCTGATCATGGTGGCACACGCTTGTAGTCCCAGCTACTCAGGAGGCTGAGGCAGGAGAATCATTTGAACCCAGGAGGCGGAGGTTGCAGTGAGCCGAGATTACACCACTGCACTCCAGCCCGGTGACAGAGCGAGATTCTGTCTCAAAAAAAAACAGTGGATAAGCTGAGTCTCAAATCCACAGCTCCTGCCTCCAGTCGCACCTCTTTCCAGCCCACACCCCTACCAGTCTGCCTCTTTTGGTCCAAACTCACCCTTTGATCTGAATCTTTAGTTCCTTCTCATAAAGGCAGACAGAGGCGATGTGGCCCGGCTGCCCTCAGAATTTCCCCTAAGTCTTCAGCCCCCTAAGGTGCTGAGTCAACGTCGGGCTCTTTTTCTGTCTTATTATGAGTGTGCGACAGTGGAGGGGCGAGTGAGAGAGGAGGAGGGGCTGAGCAGAGGACACCAGCCATCACTTACCTATCTATTTATCTGCCTGTCTGGCAACCTGCCCATCTACCTTTGCTTCCGTCTTCTATTTATTTATCTGTCAATCTTTTTTTCTTTCTTTTCATCCCTCACTTGTCTCTATGTGTCAGAGCTACCCATGCCTTTGCTCTCTCGCCCACCTTCCAGTGGGAATCCAAAGGCATTCACCCTCCACAGCCTCATCCTCCAAAACCGCAGCTCTTTTCTTCCCGCTCCCGGCTGGAAAAACCCCACCAGTGTCTGGAAACTCATGCCTGTTCCTGCAGGCTGGCCAAAGGAAGGCTTCCAAGAATCGACCTCGGAGTAAAATTGTTATTATCATCAATAGCAACTAAATAAAACAGCTAATAATAAAATTAATATCATCAACAGCAATGATAATTGGGCACCACATCCATGCAGGCTCTGCGCTCCTGCCTTTTACTCACTCGGCACTTATTTTCTGAGCTCCTGTCACATGCTAAGCTCTGTGTTGGGCCCTTAATGTCAGGAAGTCAAAAGGCCACCACGCTCCCTGAGGAGATGTTTCCACCCTGGGCCACACATACAAATGGGATCATCTCCCATCCTTGAAACAATCCTTCCGAGAAGCCAGGTGACTCCCTCAGGTTCACACAGCCAGTGAGGGGGCACAGCTGCATCAGATGCCAGCCAGGTGCTTCCCAAGCTGGTCTGTCTCCTTCCTGCATCACTGATGAATGCCTTGGCCTGGAGAGGCCCCTGCAGTGCCTGGGAGCATGACAGGGAGGGAGGGATGGGGGTGGGGTGCATGCCCGAGCTACTGGTGGATCAGCATCCGACTCTCCAGGGCCACCCACCCCATCAGCTATTAATCCCTCCACTCAGCCGTGTAATTCTATAGTGTCATGTCGCCCAAGCGCTGTGATGGGCATGCGATTACCACAAACAACATGCTCGGGAGAGGGTGGCGGGGAGGGGACAGGGGGATGCGCACCTCCAGGCATCTCTCCTAGAGCCACCATCACACTGAGCTCTGGGCCTGGGTGGGACAGTTTCAGGGTGAGGGCAGGGGGACAGGAACATCATCCACTGAACCCTCACCCCATCCTGGTGCAGGATTGGACCAACCCCCACCTCTGAAAAAGCATGAGAAATCTGTGCTGAAACATGCTCTGAAAGGGAGCCAATTTGGTGTAGAGCATGGATGGGCAAACTTTCGGTAAAGAGCTGGGCAGGACATACTTTTGGCTTTGCAGCTCTCCTACTCGTCCACTGTAGCCACAGACAATATGTAAACAAATGAGCATAGCCCTGGCCCAATGATTCTTTTTTTTTTTTTTTTTTTTTTTTTTTTTTTGAGACGGTGTCTCACTCTGTCATCCAGACTGGAGTGCAGTGGCGCAATCTTGGCTCACTGCAAGCTCCACCTCCCGGGTTCACGCCATTCTCCTGCCTCAGCCTCCCGAATAGCTGGGACCACAGGCACCCGCCACCACGCCTGGCTAATTTTTTGTATTTTTAATAGAGACGGGGTTTCACCGTGTCAGTCAGGATGGTCTCGATCTCCTGACCTCATGATCCACCCGCCTCGGCCTCCAAAAGTGCTGGAATTACAGGCGTGAGCCACCACGCCTGGCCCCAGTGATTCTTTACAAAAACATGTCCTACAGGTTGGAGTCTGCTGACTCCAGGGCTAGATTCTACACCACCACCACCAACAATAATAATAATAATTAATAATAATAATGAGAGTTAATGTTTACTGAGTACTTACTATGTAGCAGGTCAGTCTTCATAATAACCTCATGAAGCTCGGACCGCTATTCTCCCAAATTTACATTTGATTTACATTTGGGGAAACTGAGGCACAGAGCTGTTAAGTAACTAACTGGTCCAAGGTATCTTAGTCAGTAAGTGGCAGAGCTAGTCAGGAAGTTCCACTTGGTATCCATCCATTCTGTTGTTCAGACTGAAAACTTCGGCATCATCTTTGACCCTGTTCCTCTCACCCCCCTACTTCTAACCCATCAGCAAATTCTATTGGATCCACCTTCAAAATACATCCACAAATCTGATGGCTACTCACCTGCTCCCCCACAGTCATCTTGGTCTATGTCCTCATCATCTCTCACCCGGTTACTGCAACACCCTCCTCCCTTGACTCCCCGAAGTGGGTTCTCCACACAGTAGCCTGAGGCACCTTTTACAAAGGTAGGTCGGATCCTGTCGCTCCTTGGCTCAACACTCTGCAACGCTTCCCCATCTCACTGAGAGCAAAAGATGAGTCCAGCCTGGGTCACATGGCGAAACCCCATCTCTACAGAAAAATACAAAAATTGGCCTGGCGCTGTGGTGCATGCCTGTAGTCCCAGCTACTCAGGAGGTCCGGACAGGAGGATCCATTGAGCCTAGGAGGTCCAGGCTGCAGTGAACTGTGATCACGCCACTGCACTCCAGCCTGGGTGACAGAGCAAGACCCTGCCTCAAAAAAAAAAAAAAACAAAGCCCGGGCACAGTGACTCATGCCTGTAACCCTAGCACTTTAGGAGGCCGAGGTAGGAAGATTGCTTGAGGTCAGACATTCGAGACTAGCCTGGGCAACATGGCAAAATCCCGTCTCTACTAAAAATACAAACATTAGCCTGGTGCAGTGATGCATGCCTGTAGTCCCAGCTACTCAGAAGGCTGAGATGGGAGGATTGATTGAGCCTAGGAGGTTCAGGCTTCATTGAGCCATGATCTCTAGCCTGGGTAACACAGCAAGACCCTGTCTCAAAAAAAAAAAAAAAAAGAAAAGAAAAGAAAAAAGAAAAAAAAAAACAAAGAAAGAAAGAAAAGAAAAAGCTGAGTCCTTCCCATGGTTGAATTAGAAGTAGCATCTGCCCCCATCCCTCCCATCTCTCTGACCTCCTCTCCTATGTCTCTCCCTCCTTCCCTCTGCTCCAACCACAATGGCCTCCTTGCTGTTCCTGGAACACACCAGCACTTCCCTGCCCCAGGGCCTTTGCACTTGCTGTATCCTCTCCTTGACATGCTCCTCCCCAGACACCCACATGGCCACCTCCCTCACCACCTTCTTAATTCTGCAACTTGTCCCCCTGCCCTCATCCCTGCTCCCCCTTACCATGTTGTGTTTGTTTCTTTTATATCGCATATTACCTCTACCACAGCATATAATATAGCTATTTATTTTGCTTTTGCTTAGTTGCCCGTCTTTCCCCACTAGAATGTATTCCTGCAAGGGCAAGGCATCTCCTGCTCTATCATTGATACCTCTCTGCCAGCAGTACTGGTCCACGCACTAAAGGAGCTCAAGGGTGTTTACTGAATGAATGCATGAATCCCACCTAAGCCTTATTCAGCCAGTGCCTACTGTTTCCTAGAGCACTAAGTAGAGATAGAGACCTTTCAGGCCCACATGTCCAGGCCATGATGCATTTGCTGGATACCCCAGAGAACGTCCCCCACTAAACTATAGATGCCAGCACTGGAATAGGAATGTCCACATCAGCTGGATCTAGATGAGCCTGAAAGAAGACCAAGTTTCTTGTGTCTTTTTATTTGAGCACACAGTCAGGCCAGTCCTCAAGAAATAGGTCATCTGCCTCCGTGGGACCCCTCACTCTTTTAGAACAAACAAATCAAGAAGAGACTTCCAGCTCCCTTGGAACCAAATGAGGCCAAGGAAATCCAAGTGACCTCTGGGGACTGGCCCAAAGGGACTCTCTCTAAAGCTGTCTGGCCAATGAGGTGGGCAGGTGGTGAAGCTTGGTTACAGCCAAGCTGGCCAGCTGTACCTGCCTGCTGGGACCAGAGGGTAAGTCAGGAAAAAGAATGTGATTCTCTGAACAGGCACAATGTTGGTCTAAGGATGATGTGAATCCCAGCATCAGGCACGTTTGGAACTGCAAGCTCTTTCCCCCACTTCACTCTCATCCCCTAAACACAGCTGTGGCCATCACCCTCTGACCCAGGTCCTGTTAATGTCCCATTGGCTTGCCTTGGACGAACTGCCTCAATTTCAACTTCTTTAATTTTCCCAACTCTAAATTGTTATTGAGGGCCCCATCCAGCAAGGACAATCTATGGTTCTGGGATTCCATATCTAATCCCTCTCCAATGACCTGGAATGGATTTTAACTCAAGCTGGAAAAAAAGGGGGAGGGGGCAGAAAGTTCCCTACAACCTGCCCTGGCAATAGAGGCAGGGAACTGATTTTGAATTGCAGTTCTATCCCTTGTCAATTGCACAAGTTTGCTCTCTTGGCTTCAGTTTCCACATCTACAAAATGGGGATAATAATTACTTCATCATAAAGTTGTCAGAATTAAGTGGCAGGGTGTGTGTCAATTGCTGAGAGCAACTTGTAGGTGGGGAGCTATTATCAATACAGAGATAGCAGGACTCTGTTATTTTATTATTATTATTATTATTTTACCAGACTGGTCTCAAACTCTTGGCCTCAAGCAATCCTCCCATCTTGGCCTCCCAAAGCACTGGGATTACAGGTGTGAGCCACCATGCCACACCACAGAGGGACTCCCAATACAAGATGGCAGTGACTCTGAGGCCTCAAAGGAAGTGGCAGTGACCTTTGGTTTTAATCTGGGGAAAGCATGTCATTGCACTTAGCTTCGTAGCTCTAAAAAGAGACCCATTCCACTGAAAGGGAAAACAAGATGTAATTTCATCTGGAAGCTGAAAAAGACAGCCAGGTAGAGGAAGGCAGTGTGTCGGCAATGCTTTGGACGGTGGCATGATAGTCAGCTGGAACTACATTTCCCAGAATTCCCTTCTCTTTGTAGTTCTAGGAATGGCCCCTGAGGGTGTCCAGTCAGGCCAAATTCATTGCCATGAATGCATTAAGCGGAGATTCTGGATCCAGTGTGTTGGCTCAAGCAGCTCAGACTGGCCCTAACTATTTGCTTGGTTGATTGACTAAAACCTGGATGCAGAGGTGGCTTACACTAAGTAAAGTTCTAATGCCAGCATCTCCTTGATAGGTTGTAAAGAAAGGTAACCAAAGGCTTGGGGGTGTTGGAATGCTGAAGTGGATTTATCATGCAAGACCTGTGCATCCATCCCCCAACAGGTGCAGGCTGCCATGCAAGCTGCTCTGCCACATGGGCTGTGTGACCAGCAGACAAAGTCTGTGGCTGAGAGGGATGCTGTACGGAGACCTTGGCAGACCCCTTTGGGTGACTCACAGCACAGGCCCTTATGATTTGGGGGGAAAGTACAACATTCTCTGAAAATAATTATTCTCCTTCTGAGAAACAACGTCTGGAAGGCTACTGGGCATTAATAGAGATTGAAAGCTTGACTATGAGCCACTCGTTATGGTGTCTTCTGAGCTGCCTGTCATGGACTGGATTTTGCCTAACCAACCAAACCATAAAATCAGGCACGCACGACAGCAATTTTATCATAAAATGGAAGTGGCATATACAATATCAGTTCGAACAGGCCATGAAGACGCAAGTCAGTTGTATGAGCGAACACTCCCCATGCCCCGTCTACTCTTCAGACTGCATCCTTCCTCTCCCTCAACCCACACCGATAACCCATGTGGCATGCCCTGAGATAAGTGGACTGTGAAAGGTCACAACTGATTCTGGCTGACACATAGTTCTGCACAACATACTGGTGCTACCCAGAAGGGCAACTGCAACAGCACAGCCTGCACTTTGGGACAATGGTGACGGACAATCCTCCAGGGGCATAACTGAGCAGTGAACCTGATTGCTTATTTAGCCTGTGGGGAGAAACGGCCACAGCCTGTGGATTCATAGGCTGTGGCTCGTGGTCTGGCTGAATAGTCAGGCCCTTGGGCCATAATTGGAAATAATAATAATTATTACCTAATTATTCTTTTGTAGAAATAATTATTATACTATATATAATATAATAATAATTATAAAAATAATAATTATTATTATTACTACAAAATAATTATCACAAAATAATTTTCTATAATTGGAAAATTGGTGAAGGAGGTCTTGAGAAGAACTATACAGCTAGAACTTTCTGAATTGGTAGACAAGGTGATAGTATGTGTGTCCCATGTAAATATTCACAGAAGAGTGACCTCAGTATAGGAGGATCTTATTAATTGGGTGGACAAGATGATCCATTTAGTTCCCAAGACCCAGCCCCCATCATTATCCAATGGGCTCATGATCAAAACGGCCACAGGGAAGGGGATGGAAACTATGTAAGGACTCAGCAACCTGGACTTTCACTCTTCCAGGCTGACTAGGCTACAGTCACTGCCAATGCCCAAGTACCAACAGCAGAGCCCAACACTGAACTCCCAATGTGGCCCTACAGTACAGCCCCATGCTTCATTCTCATTCACTTACCTAGATCCTTGCCCAGACATGGATCTGCCTTCCCTGACCACAGGGCCTCTGCCAAAACCACCATCTGTGACCTTGCAGAATGCCTCATTCACCATCAGCATGCCATATAGCTTTGCTTCTGACTCAGGAAATCTTCAGAGCAAAGGATGGGCACCAGGGGGCCCACGTTCAGGTCGTCCACTAGTCTTACCATGTTCCTCATCATTCTGAAGCAGCTGGCCTGGTGGAACGATGGAATGGCCCTTTGAAGACTCAGTTAAGGCACCAGCCTTGTGGCAACACCTTGCAGTGCTGGGGCAATACCCTCCAAGATGCAGTCTATTCTCTTAAACCAGCAAACAAGATATGGTGCTATTCATCCCACGACCAAAATTGCCGGGTCTGGGACTTGAGGGGTGGAAATGGGAGTGTCTCTTCTCACCATTATCCTATGTAATCCACTAGCTAAATATTTGCTTTCTGTCCCCATGTTGGTCCAGAGGTCTCAGCTCCCAAAGAAGGAATGCCTTCACCAGGGGACATAACACTGCTCCCATTAAACTGGAGTTGGGAGTGCTGTCTGAAAACTTTGGGATCCCCATGCCAGTGAATCAATGGATATAGAAAGGGGTCTCTATACCAGCTGGAGTGATTAATCCTGAATATCAAGGAGAAATATAGGTTATTACTATAAAATGGAAATAAGTAAGAAGATGCCTTGAATGGAAGATATCCCAACAGGCACCTGTTAGTATATGCATGCCCTGTGATAACATCAATGAAAACTACAACCACCCATAAGACTCAGGACAGCTAACAGCCTAGATCCTTAAACAGGGAAGGTTTGAGTCACTCAATCATGCAAGGAACCATAATAGGCCAAGGTTCTTGCTGAGAGCAAATGGGATAAGAAATGGGCAGCAGAAGGAAATTATAAATACCAACTACAACCACATGACCAGTTGAAGAAAAGAGGACAGTAATAGACAGTGAGTATTTCTTCCTTATTTTGATATGAAAATATTTGTGCATATGTTAATTACTTCTTCTCCTCCTCTCTCATTCCCCTACCATCTAACATAGGATTTGTTAACAGTAGCTAACCTTATCATTCAGAATTTAAATAAGAGGTCTAAGAAGGAATTTGACTCAGCTAGGAAAGGAATGAACCTCACCCAAAGAGGAGGTACAAAAGAGACTTTGTGTCATATTTTGAAAAGAAGGTTAGTGTAGCGTGTTTTCAGTTTTACAAGGGACAGTTGCATTATGTTAGGAGGAAGCATGCTTTTGCATGCTTAATTTGGAAGTTAAATATAGTTAAAAGAAGCGTGTGGGTGTGCCATGTTGACAGGGGGTAGCCTACGGTGGTTTTGTGCAGGGTCAATTTAACTAAGCTGGAAATAACATTTCTTAGAATACCTTTAACTTTCTCCTTCTGAGTTAGGTTGGCAGCAGATAAATTTGCTTGAAATTTGGAAGGCAAAGTGAAGTGAAGCAGCAGTCATGTTGCATTTAGAAGTCAGGGGAGGATCAGGCATGGTTCTCACACATGGTTGCCGATCTCCTGGCTCAACTTGTTGGGGTGGGGCAGCAGCTGGGCCCACAGCAACCCCAGTTCCTGCCACATCTCAGCCAGCATCTCTGGGTCCTGGGCTGGGTGCCGTGCAGCTCCATGATGAAGCATGCTGGCTTCTTCTGCAGGTCACCTGCATCATGGGAGTTGCAAGCTGGCGGGTGGTGAGAGACACACACAAGTTCTAGCTCATCACTGTGAGTTCTAGCTTGTTCTTTGCAGGAGTCATTGTCTTCCCCACTTCACAAGCATCTTTTTTTTTTTCCCAGTTGCCTGCTGGCTGACTTCAGGATCAACACCAGATGCAGAAGCAACAACCTTACATAGACTGTTTCACTCGTTCCCATGGTTGCAGGAGGCCAAATCCCTAAAACAAATTTTTTATTCTTTATCATTCCTATTAGTTCTGCTTTCAGGATCAAACCTACTTGATATGGTGTCTTAGGTCAGGTTTTCTACAAGAAGAGCCTGAGAGGGAAATTCCCATGTAAGCGATTGATTGAAGGAGCACTCTCAGGAAAGTTAGGAGTGAGTAAAGTACGATGGGGGCAGGGGAAAAAGCAAAATAAAGAGGTGGGGTCAGCTGAAATCTAGCCTCATCCTAATCCCACAGGAGCTCTGCAGCGTGATGTCAAAGACTTGTCCCACCTTGAGTGAAGGGCATCAGCAGTATATACCCTGGATCAATCAGCTACTACTTCCTGGGGCTACCCTGCAGGGAGGGTGTAATCTTCCAGGCATTTCCTGGTGCAATGACTTCTGGGGGCTGAGGGAAATTCTCAGGAGAAGAGGACACCTGTGAGCTGTTAGCAGCCAGCACTCCCAGCAGCTGGGGATGGGTGCATTGGCCTGGTAAAGGGGACCTGGAAGCATCATCAACAGCATCTACTACACAGTCATATTAGAAGACCTGGATTCTAATCTTAGCTCTATCACGTAATGGCTCAAGCAAGTTTCCCGAATTCCCTAAACCTCAGTTATCTCATCTGTAACATCAAAGCTACAATAGTGCATAACATATGTAAATGGTCTTGGAACAGGGCTGAGGACATTGCAAACATTTGATGAATTAAAAGTATTCTAATTCATCTAATTCATTACTATTAATTAAATTATTAAGAGTAAATATTAACAATAACTCTAGCTTAAAAAGTACGAGTCAGAGATCTGGGTTCTGTTCCTGGATTTACAACTTACTGGCTGCAGTTTCCTCAACTATAAAATGGAAATAACTGGGTGATAATGCCTGTGTTCTCTACCCTGGAAGGAATGTCAGGGTCTTTGATTGGCAGAACAGTAGCCTCCCAAAGACATCCACATTCTAATTCCTGGAGCCTGTAACTACGTTACCTAGCATGGTAAAAGGGACTTTGCAGATCTTGAAACAAGGAGTGCCCTGGATTCTCTGGTCGGGCCCAATGTAATCACGAGAGGCCTTATAAGAAGGAGGCAGGAGGCTCCGAGTCAGTAGTAGATGATGTGATGATGAAAGTGGTAGGCTGCACTGATGAGAGGAAGGGGTTAAAAGCTAAGGACTGCAGATGCTTCTGGAAGCTGGAAATGGCAAGGAAACAAATTCTCCCTCAGAGCCTTCAGAAGGAACCAGCCCTGTCAACACCTTGACTTTAGTTCAGTGAAACTGCTCTCAGACCTCTGACCTCCAGATCGTAGGAGAGTGAACGTGTGTTGTTTTAAGCAGCAGTAGGAACCGAATACAAGGTTTGGTGAGATGGTATCTGTGAGTGGTGAACACTGGGACCGATTCACCACGGTAGCGACGGCCCCAGGGCCCCAGGGTCAGGTCCTGAGAACAAAGACAACAGGCTGGCAAGATCTTAGAAGATTTTATTGGCATGTGCTATATCAAGGGAGTTGGGTAATACCCAAACCAAGCCTGAATCAGAAAGAGAGATTTTCATAAAGATTGTCTGAGCTCCAAAATTATAGAAGTTTTCCAAGTTCCTTCCCCACCATTTCCATCTTCCTCTCAGCATACTACTGAAACCACTCACACGCGTATAACAGATTCAGGGGGCAGAAAGAGGGGACACATCAACCTTTTTCCTGAGCTATCTCCCTTCACTGCTTAACATTTCAAATCATCCAAAACAGACTCTTCCATGCCCTGGATCAAACCATGGAGGTCCTGGTTCTGTATTAAGTATTTCCAAGTGATGGAGAGGACAGGACAAATGGCAAGGAAATGGGCTTTGCCCACTCAAGCCTTTTATTCTAGAAGGCTGTGCCTGAGTACTTCCTTTGGAGGCATGCTTGATTATCAGAGGAAATGTAGCTTCATTGGCTGTAATAGAACCAAGAAGAGTCATTCTAGGCCAGGTGTGGTGGCTCACATCTGTAATCCCAGCACTTTGGAAGGCCAAGGCGGGTGGATCACTTAAGGTCAGAAGTTCAAGACCAGCCTGGCCAACATGGTGAGACCCTGTCTCTACTAAAAATACAAAAATTAGGCAGGTGTGGCACACACCTGTAATCCCAACTACTCGGGAGGCTGAGGCATGAGAATCGCTTGAACCCGGGATGCGGAGGTTGCAGCAAGCCAAGATGGCACCACTGCACTCCAGCCTAGGCAACAGAGTAAGACTCCATCTCAAAAAAAAAAAAAAAAAGTCATTCTATTGTCTGGTCAGGTCATACCTAAGATGTTGCCTAGCAAGGACTGAGAGAGGAAGAAAAGTCTGAATGTTTTCTGTTTGCTTAAGGGTTACTGCTAATGTTAGATCTCATTCTGACTATGAACAATATAATTCAACAAGGTTGCTACACTCACACTGGTCTGGTGCTTAGTCTACATACTGATCAGGTTTCCTCTATACTAACGATACATAACAAACAGTCCCAAAGTCTCAGTGGCTCATACCACAAAATATGTATTTCATATTCACAGGTTTCTAGGTCAAATACAGTTCAGCTGATTTTGGCTGGATTAAGTTGGGCCAGGCTGAACTCTAAGCCTTCAAAGGGACCAGGTCTGCTCCATGTGTCTTGATTCTAGGAAGCCCCAAGGCTCAGGCTCTCCTGTGGGGAATGGAGCATCAAGAATGCTTTTGGGAATTTGCCGTGGCTCTGAAGAGCTTGTCTTGGAACTAGCACACAATTACTTCCACCCACATTCCACTGGCCAAAGCAAGTCCCATGGCCAAGTCCAAAGTCAGTGGGAAAGTATATTCTATGCATGGCAAGAAGCCATGGCAAGGGAGAGATGGAAAGAATTGAGGGAAAACAATATAATCTAACACAGTCCAGAGTCTCTGACGTATTCAAGCTATCACCCATTCCCCTGTTTATGCTTCTAGACCAAAACTGTCCTAGAAATAAGAACTTGTTGGTACTCTCCTCCTCAGCCCTGTAGGGTCCCAACCACATTTCTACAAGCAGGAGGCTGCTAACTATGGAGACATCATAGTCTCCATAGAAGAGAATGGATAGAAGAGAATCCAAAGAGAGTTCTCATTGAAAGAATTCTTAAACATTACCTCACCCTAACAATTCATTGTACGGATGGGAAAACTGAGACCCAGACATGTGGAAAGAGTGGTCCAATACCACAAAGACATTCAGCTTAAAGGCTGTAAAGCCAGCTTGCCAAGGTTCTGTTTCTGGCTCCATCATTTATTAACTGTATAACCTTGGATAAATGACCACAATCTCTCTGTGTCTGTTTTCTCATCTATAAAAATGAGATAATCACAGTTCCTATATTACAGAGTTACTATGAGTATTGATGTCAAAGTGCTTAGAATAGTCACTGACACATAGTAGGTAACCACCAACGTTATAATAATTCCACAAATAGTTATTATTGAAATGATTCTGGCTGGGCATGGTGGCTCACGCCTGTAATCCCAGCACTTTGGGAGGCCAAGGTGGGCAGATCACAAGGTAAGGAGATCAAGACCATCCGGGCTAACATGGTGAAACCCCATCTCTACTAAAAATATAAAATATTAGCTAGGCATCGTGGTGGGCACCTGTACTCCCAGCTACTCAGGAGGCTGAGGCAGAAGAAAGGCGTGAACCCGGGAGGCGGAGCTTGCAGTGAGCGGAGATCGTGCCACTGCACTCCAGCCTGGGCAACACAGCAAGACTTCATCTCAAAAAAAAAAAAAAAAAGAAAAGAAGAAAGAAAAAAAAGAAAGAAATGATTCCACAAATACCACTCTGTTCTAGGTGCAGAGGAAAGAGTTCCTGGTCCAAAGAGCTCTCATTTCATGGGCAAGACAGACAGAAATAAGCAAATTCACCACCTGTCATGCTCTTCAGTAGAGGAGGGGGAAAGTGTGAGTCTAATTTTGCCCTAACTGGGGAGAACAAAGACTGGGAAGACTTCCCAAAGAAGGTATAATCTGAAGTCAGTTTCAAATAGTGGGCAGAAGGTTTTCCAGATGGACAAGGGATTGGAGGAGACTCCTGAAGGAGAAAGAACATGCAAAGTGCCTGATGTATGGAAAGATGCCTGAGAGTGTGTTTGGAACATGCAGCCAACTCCAGCTGTGAGGTGGGGTGGAGGACCTTTTACAGAATTACAGGAGAGGATGGCAGGGGTTGGACTGGAGAACTCAGGGTGACAGGTAAAAAACTTGAATTCTTCCTACTGGTGGGTGATCTCAAACTTTCCCTCATAAGAAGAATTAAAGGCAGATAGAAGGAAATATTATCTATAGGGGCATAGACAATGGCATTTCTTTATATGCTTTCAAGACTCCAGTTTATCTTAATTCCTATAAATTTGTGTCTTCTTCAATATTATAGTAGTGTTCATTTACTCGTTCAACAAATATTTATTAAGTACCTCCTGGATGGCACTTAGAACACAAGTAAATAACACCAAGATTCTTGCCCTTGTGGCTCTTTTATTTTAGTGTGATAGGGAAAATGGTGGTGAAGAGAGAATGACAATAAGTAATGATGATAGATAGATGATAGATAGATAGATAGATAGATAGATAGATAGATAGATAATTAGTTCATTTTCATACTGCTATGAAGAAATACCCAAGACTGGATAATTTATAAAGAGAAAGAGGTTTAATGGAGTCTCAATTCCACATGGCATGGGAAACAGAAGGCAAAAGAGCAAAGGCACATCTTACATGGTGGGAGGCAAGAGAGCGTGTGCACAGGAACTGCCCTTTATTTTATTTTATTTTATTTTATTTTATTTTATTTTATTTTATTTTATCTTATTTCATTCATTTATTTATTTTTGAGACAGAATTCCACTCTTGTTTGCCCAGGGTGGAGTGCAATGGTGCAATCTTGGCTCACCACAACCTCTACCTCCCAGGTTCAAGCGATTCTCCTGCCTCAGCCTCATGAGTAGCTGGGATTACAGGCATGCACCACCACGCCCAGCTAATTTTGTATTTTTAGTAGAGACGGGTTTCTCTATGTTGGTCAGGTTGGTCTCAAACTCCCAACCTCAGGTGATCCACCCGCCTTAGCCTCCCAAAGTGCTGGGATTACAGGCATGAGCCACCATGCCTGGCCCAAAACTGCCCTTTATAAAACCATCAGATCTCGTGAGACTTATTCACTATCACAAGAAGAGCATGGGAAAGACCCGCCCCCATGATGCAATTGCCTCCTACAGGGTCCCTCCTATGACACATGGGGATTATGGGAGCTACAATTCAAGATAAGATTTGGGTGGGGACACAGCCAAATCATATCAGATAGATAACTGTTTGGGTGTGTTTAAAAGGTGATAAGTGCTTTGGCAAACAGGAAAATTAGAGCAGTATAAGGTAGGCCGTCATTAAATGAATTAAATAATGAATGAATGAAGATGGATGGATGAATGGATGGATGGATGGATGGATGGATGGATGGATGGATGGATGGAAGAATAAACGGCTGGATGGGTGGAAGAAAAAAGAAGGGAGGGACAGAAGAAGAAAGGAAAGAAGGGAGGGAGGGAAGAAGGTGGGAGGGAGGGAAGAAGGCAAGAAGGCAGGCAGGAAGGCAGGCAGGAAGGAAGGCAGAAAGGCAGGCAGGCAGCTGGTTAGAAGATGGGGAACCACTGAAAGGTAAAAGTGAGGGAATGACAATAGTCCTATCTGACAATCCCCTGCCTGATACGAGGCTTCCATTATCAAGGCTTCCATTATCTTTGGCACACTCAGGATCACGGAAAGGTGAGGCTGGCAAAGCAGGATTCCTAGATCCTACCTGGTCCCCAAGCAGGTCATCAGCTTGTTACCCACACTTCAAAGGCTGCTACACTTCCAAATGCGCAGTTGACATAAATACCTTCTGGGTGCATAGCAGTTAATGAATAACTTGGTTAAATTGCTGTAGAGGGAGGAAGCTCAGAAACTGGAGGTGGGGATGGAAGGCTGGGGAATGCTGCCCGTATTAACGACCGAAATCCAATCTCTGAAAGGAAGGGAATGATACTTTGGGAAATGAGTTTATGATAATCATTCCTTCTGCTGGCAGAGCACCTTGATGGCTCCTCCCAGAGACACAACCACCTTGAAGCCAGTAGCAGGGGCTCAGGTGGCCACTTCACCTCTCTGGGCCTCACCTTTCTCATCACTAAAGTGGGAAAGCAATTTCCCAGCCCTTCTCATAGGATCAAATAAATTAACGAGTGGGGAAACTTTGAAATCTGTTTTAAAAAGGGAAGTGGGAGGGATTTTCTTTTTAACTAAAAATAAAACTAAATTTGTTCAATATTCCCCATCTTATTTTATTTTAACTAATTTATTTATTTAGAGACAAGATCTCCCTCTGTTGCCCAGGCTGAAGTACAGTGGTGCATTTATAGCTCACTGCAGCCTTGGCCTCCTAAGCTCAAGTGATTGTCCCACCTCAGCCTCCCAGGTAGCTGGGACTACAGGTGCGTGCCACCATGCCACGCCTTCCATTTTATAAAGCACGTGGCAGTGTCGTGGTTAAGAATGGAATCACACATAGCTGGGTTCAAATCCTGACTCTGTTTCTTTCAAACTATGATTTGGGACAATTTGTTTTATCTCTCTGAGCCTCAGTTTTCTCATCTCTACAGTGGGATCATCACACCTTCCTCAGCAGGCTACTGGGAGAATTGAAAGAGACACTGCAGGTAGGTGCCTGGCACATAATAGGCACTTTCTGAAAGTCATTCTAATGACACGTTGTCATGGCCCTGTGCCCTCCGGCTGAGAGCCCTTGGATCCAGAAGGAGGTTGTCCCAGCCTGGCAGCAGGTGCGGGTGCGCAGGAAGGGGTCTGGATAGCACAAAAGCTTGGAGTAGACACCTCAGCCCCACTCCCTGACACAGCCCTGCTCTCCCGCAGATCATTTCTGGGCAAGACAGAAGAGCAGACAAAAGGCAGGAATAGGAAAGAAAGAGAGGGGTGGCTTTGATCCTGGAGGGGAGATGCAGCCGCTCCCTCTCAAAGCCAGAGGAGCCGGTGATGGAGCTAATGGGGAAGCCTCATCAGCTCAGGTCTCTCCTGACAAGATAGAGTGCCCCAGGCTCAGAGATGACACTTCCTGAGTGTGTCCAGACCCTCCACTCCCTGCACACAAGCCCATCACAGCCCATGATGTTTAAACACAGCACTGCAGGCCCCAGCTATGGGCTCCCAGCCCGGAGTCCAGAGACCCATGACATTCCACGGCCGGTGAAACAGCTGGTTTGTGAAATTGGTGTTGGCACTGCTGCTTCACCTCTGGGCTGTTTTCTCCCTGGCTTCTGTCTGAGAACCTGCCCAGACATGGAGGCCCCTCCCTGAGCTGAGCTCTGCTTTTGTTGTTGTTGCTATTCTTACTGTTTTGCTTTTTGTTGTTGTTGTTCTTTTTTTTGTTTTGTTTTGTTTTTTTTTAATGCAATTGGGATGCAAGGGTCAGGACACTGAGAGACAGAAACAGAGACAGGAGAGATTTGTTCTCCTTTTATTCCCTCCACCAAACTCAAATATAACTATATTATCTGCACGGCTCCTCCCCTCCACCTGGTGTCCTAGGAATACTCTGAATAGTAATAATAAATGGTTTACATTGACCTTGAGCCTGCTATGTGCTGGGCAGGGTTTCAAGTGCTTTGTCTACATCAACTCGTTTAATCCTCGGAAAAGCCTAGTGGGTTCCAGGGCTCAGAGCTGGTCAGGGACTTGATCAAGTGCACGTTCCCAGTGTAGGGAGCTGGTCTGACCTCGTATATTGCCCTCCTTGGGGAAGAAATGACGCGGCCAGAATGACATTAAATTCCGGCTCCTTTAATTCACTGAAAACTCGCCATGACAAGCTTCACCACGTTCTCCAATGGATCCATATTTTTCGAACCCCAAAGTGATTTCTAAACAAGAAAAAACTTTTACCAGGGAAGTCGCAAACCTCTGGGCTCTCATCCCCTGCTTCAGAGACATCATCCATCTTCCTAGAAGTGACACTCGTTGCTTCTACGCAACTTGGTTAAAAGCAGAGTCAATAGTCGCAAGCTATGAATCTTTTCTGCTCCTCTAGAGAAGGAAAAAATCATTGCATGTTAGTGTTTGGGGGTCTCAGGCCCATAATGCAGTTTCTGAGGTCTCATAAAAGGGGCCCAGCCCTTCAATGCTCCCAGCTGAGGCCTCTCAGAGTGGAGTTTGGGAGTGGGTGGATGGGTGGGAAAGAAGCTGAAGAGTGGGAGGTGGGGGACACAGGGAAGCCAGGCCGACACCATCGTGGGAGGCCACAGCACCAGGCTGGGTGTCATGAGGCCACTGGCCCTTTGTGACCTTAGGCCTGTCTGAGCCTCCTCTGAGTCTCAGGTTTTCCCCTTTGAAAAACGGCAGTAACGTGTGATTGGTCCTGTCCGGCACAGCTCACAGGGCTGTTGAAAGGATCATGAGAGATGGAGTTATGGAAATAGCTGAAAGACCTTAACATCCCATTCACATACAGGGGATGGTAATGGTGATAACGGTGATGCTGGTGGCCTGGCACTCTGATCACTTAACAAGAGCCTGGAAGTGTTGTTTGTATCCATGTGCTGTGTGACCCCAGACAACTTGCCAAACCTCTCTGGGTTTTGATGTTCTCTCCTGTCAAATAGGGATAGTGAAGGACACAGTGAGATAAGAGGTGTGGAAGGACTCTAAACACTGTTTGACAGGATTCTGCTCTTGTCGATAATCATTTGACGAGAAGAGCTCTTTTGACAATTACAGAAGGAGAGCCACACCCAGGACAGTAAACCTCCTAGGTCAGCAGAAATTGGCAAATTCAAATCTTCCCAATATTCATCTTCATAACAACAACAACAACAACAAAAGCCTTGACTTCTAAAGAGAGCAAGTTGAAGTATTTACTGTTATTTTTGCACCTACTAAATGCCCAGCCAAAGAGACAAAGAAGAACCAACAGGCGTAAACTGTTTATGTGCCAAGCACAGTACCAAATGCTTTCTGATACAGTTTGGTTGTGTCCCTGCCCAAATCTCATCTTGAACTGTAGCTCCCATAATCCCCATGTGTCGTGGGAGGGACCTGGTGGGAGGTAATTGAATCGTGGGGGCGGGTTTTCCTTGTGCTGTTCTCATGATAGTGAATAAGTCTCTGAGATCTGACGGTTTTATTAAGGGCAGTTCCCCTGCACAAGCTCTCTTGCCTGCTGCCATGTGAGATGTGCCTTTGCTCCTCCTTCACCTTCCGCCATGATTGTGAGGCCTCCCCAGCCATGTGGAACTGTGAGTCCATTAAATCTCTTTTTCTTTATAAGTTATCCAGTCTCAGGTATGTCCTTATAGCAGCGTGAGAATGGACTAATAAACTTTCCATGCCTTACCTCTTTTAATCATCACAGAAAAATAATGGATTCAATATTATTTTTACTATTATCCCATTCTATAGAAATAACTTGATGTTTAGTAGAATACTGTCACTTGCCCAAAGTCACGCAGCTAAGAATTGTCCACACCTGTTTTTGAAACCCCTCTAACATACTCAAAGGTGAGGTTTTCAACCACCATGGGACACTGTCTCCAGACTTAACCCTCACACCAATCCTTTGGGATTGGAATTGCTACTATTCATTATCTAGATGAGAAAACCGAGGCTCAGAGTGATGAAGGGGCTCGGCCAAGGTCACATGTGGGTAAATGGTGGGTTGAAACCAGGTCTGTTTTTGGGAATTCACCTTTGGGTACCAAGACTCCACATAGAATGGCAGGCACAGGATTCACCAATGCTATGAGGTGCATGCAGGGAGGAGAGGGCAGAGTCTACCACTCAGAGTGCTGGAGGGAAGGCAGAGGCAGAGGGAAGCCACTGGCTCTCCTCTGTCACCCTGGGCAGGCTGGGTGGCAGGGAGAGGAATTACAGCCATGGAGGCGGATCTGGTCAAGCACTTCAGCCCCAGCTGAAAGTCAGACCAGGAGCAATGAGAATAGATCAGCCTTGCCACTTTACAGCAAGGAAGAGCCTCCCAGAGTCAGGAGACTGAAAGCCACAGAGTGTGGCCATCCCATGCCCCAGGAAGGACTTGCAAGGCCATCCTGCCTGCATGCAGCCATCCATTCCTTCAACAAGTATTTATGAAGCACCTGCTCTGTGCCAGGCACTATACCAGGTGCTGGGTAGGCAGCATGAGCAAGTCTGAGTCTGTGCCCGCAGGAAGCTTGGAGTCTGGTGTTTGGAGAGAGAGCACACCAGATACATCAACTTTGCAGTAAGGCAGACGGTGATACATGGAGGAGGCAGTGGGTCAGGACTGAGGAGCTTATGTGTTAGCTGTCTGTTTCCTCTTGCTACTAGAATGTGAACTTCACGAGGGCCAGGACCTCCCAGGTCTTGCTGGCTTCTCTATCTGCAGGGCCGGGTGGGTCATAGAGCATAGAGAAGCCTCTCCACTGGCAGCCATGTGGTTGTTGTCACCTTCCTGCTCTTCCTGGAGTCCTGGGCTGGGATCTGCCAGATCCCCTGGGCCTGGAATGAGGCCTCCCAGCCAGTCCCCGAGACAGGGAACAGAAATAGTAACAGCTCTCATTTAATAAGCACTTGCGTTGTGTCTGAATCTTGTTCTAAGTGCCTTAAATGCATCTCTCTCATGGAAGGCACCATCTTTATTATCTCCATTTTACAGTGGAGGAAACTGAGGCTCAGGGAGGCAAAATCACTTGCCTGAGAGCCCACCCACATAGCCACCACTCCCCACTGGCAAGCTTGGCCCAGCCTGCTGTCCAGATGCAGAAATGAAGGCAAGAATCAGAGCTGGAGCAGGAAGCAGCGGCCAGGAGAGGCCAGAAAGAGGGGACTTTTCTGAGCAACACATCCCAGGGGTGACCGGGAAGTGGAGAATCCTCCCCATCACCCAGGAACAAACCAACACACTAGGGGCTGGGCCAGGAGACAGGGAGGAAGGAAGGGCCATTCATCCCAATGGGGAGCAAGGAGAGAAAACCATTTCACCATGGGCTGTTCTACTCACCAGCCTTGTTCAGACCAAAAGGATGCTTTCCCCAAATTGGGGTGGATTTTGAACTAGGTTTAAAGGCAGCTCATCCCAACTGCTGAATGGGCAGCTCAGTCATGTTCACTGATCGTTAGCTCAGTGATAATTAGTAACTGGGGAAGGGGGCTAAGACTAAGAACAATTCTGTCCTTTCTGAGTGTGTCCAGACCCCATCTCTAGCAAATCCAAAATTTCTTAAAATTATGTTTTAAATGAAAATCCATCTCCAAGGAGTACATGTGAAGCAGAGAGATGGATCTTGGCACCAATGGCCTCGTGCTCACCTACTGCCATCCACACCACCCCTCCAGGGTGTCATGATGGGGGCTCAGCGCTGCCAGGGCTCCGGACATGGCCGGATCTGCTTTGGGAATTGCCTTCTGAGTCATTGCTGAGTCCCACAAGGAAGTCCATCTAATTATGTGCTAGTCTGACCTTATATTTGTCAACCCGGCTTCTAGTTCATAATATCCATCATTGGGATGACGGGATCAGGAGAAAACAGTATCCTTTTGCAGCAGGAAAGAGTCAGGTTAGACCCCAAAGTGCACTTCCCAGTCAAAATGGCTGGGCCAGCGCCAGCCCCTGAGTGAGACTGTGCCATCCATTTCTCAGAAGCTCCTTTCTTGTTCTTCAGCTCCTCTGGGGATTGGAACTGTATCTCACCACTCGGCTGTAGATTTATTAGTCCCCAGGAAGGATTCATCATATCCCAGAGCCTGAAGCCACTGTTTTGGTTTAATGTATGTTGGGTTTGCACCTCTGCTCTTGAGAGCAGGCAGTTCGAGGTTTGTCTTCTGCCTCCAGTCCCAGAGGCTGGCATGATGCCCACATACAGCAGGTGCTCAACAAGTGCTCTGGTTTGCTGGAGATTTTCAGGATAGTAGAGGCCTGTTAGTCCATTGAGGGTGGCAGCGATGGAGGGAAGAGCCACACAACAGGACTTTTGCACCTTTATCCCTCTTCATCCTCCCGGCAGCCCTGCGTGGTAGGCATAAGCAGCTCTGTTTCACAAAAGACGAAACTGGGGCACCAAAGAACTCACCTGAACCTTTACAATCTTAGATCTCACAACAGTGGTCCAAGACGGGGGACTCTCCTTTCTGGAATCACTTGTGAGGGAAACTCCAGATTCAACCTCTAAGAACAGGCTCCATTGCTTGGCTTCAGTCCTGTCTGGTGGCAGGGGCTGGACCAGATGAAAAATAAGAATACAAATAGCTGACATTTCTCAAGCAGAGATCATGTGCTGAGCACTGTTCTGAACATTCTGACACTAACGCTTTTGACCCCTCAAGGACGGCAGGCATCACCTCCATTCTACAGTCAAGGAAAGAGAAGCGTGGAGTTAAAGGCTTGAGTTCATACGGCAAGTGAACAGTGGAGCAGGGGAGGGTTGGAGCGCAGCAGTCTTAGGCGAGAACACATGCTCCTTTCTGCCTGCCCTCCAGCTCTCTGGAAAACGTGCTTTACGTGAAGGCCCAGAGAAGCCAAGCAGGCAATCTGATGTCACACAGCAAGGCTGTGGTCCTCCTGGTTTAGAGCATAGGTCTCTGGCTTTACTTGCTGTGGGAGCAAGAGGAAAACAGGTTGGATGTGTCCATGCCAGGCACTGTGCTTGGCACTTTCTTTACACATCGCATTTGATCCTGACAACAGTCCTATAAGGTAGACATGCACCTGTGGTCCCAGCTATTTGGGAAACTGAGGTGGGAGGATTCCTTGAGCCTGGGAGGTTGAGGCTGCAGTGAGCCAAGACTGCACCACTGCACTCCAGTCTGGCCCACAGAGCAAGACCCCATCTCAAAAAAAAAAAAAAAAAAAAGGAAAGAAAGGAGCTTCTGTGAATGGGATGGCACAGCATCACTCAGAGGCTGGTGCTGGACCAGCCATTTTGACTGGGAAGTGCACTTTGGGATCTAATATATATCCGTATAATCCCTGTAATATGGAAGAGAAAACAAAAAGGTTGATATGCCTGTTCCCAGCAGCTCAGCAGCCTGGCTCTCCGCCGCTGAACTCAGGCTCCCGCCAGTGCTGCAGCTGGCCCTGTCTCCCCATCCCAGGGCACTCTCCCTTCTTCCCTCACTCCTCCTAAATTCTTCAGACTAATTTATGGATGGCAGGCAGAGCGGGTTCCAAGTCTGAGATAATGAAGGCACGGTATTAGGAGAAGGCAGGAGAAGGAAGAGAGGGGCGGGGCTGTAAATACTAATTGTTGTATCAGGAGGTTGCTTTTTATTTCCTTACTGAAGGGAAGGCTATGTTTAATTAACTCTGCCTGTGTGCTGGGGATGGGGCCTGATTGAAAATGAGTTACTGGGCCTCTGTGACAAGGCGGAGGGCACAAACTCTGAGGCAGAAAGTCCCAAAGGCTCTGAGCTATCTGTTCCCAAAAACCCTGCCACGGCCCCCTCACACCCCTCCTGCAGCCTGCAGGTGTCCAGGCCTCTGCTTGAGCCCCTCTCCCTTCCAGGGACGCCCTTTCCCGTTTCCTCTGGCCAGCACCAACCTATCCACTCACCTGCCCTCAGGCTGGCATTATTTGGGGACAAGAAACTGGAGGCCACGCTAGCTTCACTTAAGTCCAGGGAATTTGATTGTCAAGCTGTAGGTTGCCCATGAACCCCAGAAGCTGGAAGAATGGCTGGGCCTCTAGAACTCAGAAATGGTAAGGAATCAGAGGCAAAGCAGGTGCATTCCCTCTTTTCCCCCAACCCCTGGCCTCTGCCCTACTCTCCTTCTCTCCTTGGTGCTAGCTCCTCTCTGACCCTCCAGTCTGAGGCCACCACAACTCCCGCTCTCTGGTTATGTGGGTTTAAATTCTTGGGTCTGATCGCAGTCTCATTGGTCAGACGCGCACCCGGGTCCCATCAGCCAGGGCTAGCACAGTCATGTGACTGTCCCTTGAGAGTCAAGCATGGGGCTGGTTCCCTGGGGTAGAAGTGAGAGGACAGGATGGCATTGATGAGCAGAAAAGGAAGGACAGGGGTGGTCTCAGGATTCAAGGCCCACCTCCAAGCTCTCTCTTTCATAAGTGTCCCGCTCCTGGACTCCCCTTTTGGAGTTAGTTATGCTTCCACTGTGTTTTCACTACCCCTTTTACCATGTACCAGCTGTGTGACCTTGGGTAAGTTACTCGCCCTCTCTGTGCCTCAGTTTCCGCATCTGTAAAATGATGGAAATAACAGTACTCACCTCATGAGGTTGTTGTGAGAAACTCTTAAGGCAAAGAGGCAAAGCATTTGGCACATCCCCTGGGAGTACAGTAAGCACGTAGATATGTGAACTCTAATTATTGTTGTGAGTACTGTTTCATCTTTAACAGCATTTTGGGTGTCATTTGGAATCACTTTCTTATGTGTGTGTCTCACCTACTACCTGAGTGCTCCTCCCTGGAGACACTCGGCGATACTCCTCTAGCCATTTGCCTGTGAACCTGCACCTGCCCCAGCACCTGGCATGAGGTCATTCTCAGTCAATGCCTGATGGGCGAATGATACTGACAACCACTTCTGTTTGCTGAGCACCTACTATGTGCCAAGGCAGGAAGACCAGAGATGGAGTGCCCCCGGGGAACAGGGCCCCTGATACACATTTGCTGAACAAATCCAGAAGCAGGTGCTTTACAAACCTTTATGTAATTCCCACCACTGCCTTGAGAAATAAGAACTTCTGTGTCCATTTTAGAGAAGGGGAGATTCACTGTCCTCGGTGAGTCTCAGGGGGCCCAGAGTCACCAGCCATCGAGGGGACAGGCAGGACCCAGGATTGTTGACTCTGCTTGTTGAACTCCCGGCTGTGCTGGCTTCACAATGAGGCTGGAAACAGGGTTTAAGGTCTGAAAGCCCCAGACTGAGTGGGGTGGGAGATGGGTGGTCAGAGGGTCTCCACCCACCCGAGACAGTCCAGGAAGGGGTTATGGGTGGGGACGCCCAGTCCAGGCAGATGGCAAAATCACTGTATCCTCCAGAGATTCAATTCAGGTACCAGCTCCAGGAGCAGGTGTGCTTGTGTGCACACACACCTGGGGATGCCTCTGTGTGTGAATGTGTGCAGAAGCATTTCTGTGCATGTTCTCTTTATGGCTCCCTGACAGTGCCAGTATATGTGACGTGCTTGCCTTTTCTTGTCAAATTATTCAAGGCATGCAAATCTTGAAGCCTCCTCATCCCTTAGTTCCAAACTGAAATTCAGGATCCTAATCCCAGCATTGCCGTGACCTTGCTGTGTGACCCAGGGTAGGTGCCTTCCCCTCTCTGAGTCTCTGTGTAACAGCGGAGTTGAGTGAAAATATGAAAATATTTTTTTAAGTCTTTCAGCTCAGGATAGTGGAGAGACCTCAGGTCTGAGCCAAGTGCCTTGTTTTGCCCCTCCATGCAGAAAAGGCCTGCCCCCCTCCCCCCTCTGTGGGGAGAAGACGGAGGGGACAGGGGCCTGCGCTATTTTTATCCCAGATTAGGAGCCTCTTGCCAGTCGCTAGGCCCGCTGACCCCACACTTGCTCCTCTGAAGGGCGCGCGAACTGCTTAATCAGACCGCTCTCGGCACAACTGATTAATAGAGGTTCCTGCTTTTAAAAAAAGAAAGAAAGAAAGGAAATGCTTCTGTAAATCAGCTGTTTATTTAACTTTCCCTGGCATTTAATGATTGCGAAGCTTGGGAGAGAAGGAGAGATGGAAAATTAATTTGAGTCTCGCCAGAAAAGCCAGTCAGGGAAATAATGAACTTCCCAAGTCTTATGGGGAACAGAGACAGAGGAGATGCCAGGAGGAGACAGAGCCCCTGAGCCTCCATGCTGTGGGCTGGAGCTGGGCTCTGCTGAGTGGCAGACAGGCAGCCCATCCTCCCTGAGCTGCTGTCAGATAGGGAGGGTGAGAGTCAGGCAGGGTTTTCAGCTTCTTTCAATATGCAAAGCCTCGTCAATTTCCCCCCAATCTTGTTAAAATGGAGGAAAGCAGAAGCACAGCAAGGAAGAGCCAAGAAATTGCAGATAATAACAATTGCTGGATGTTTTTGTGTTTGTGTGCTCAGATACCCAGCAGAACTCCTCCCCAAACACACACCTCCCCACAAGATGGTGGCATCGGGATGGAGAGGAAATGGGACTAAGAGATGTACAACTCCAGAGTTAAAAAGTTAGTAGCACCTCGAAGGTCATCTACCTTGAGTTCCTTCTTCTACAAACATGGAAACAAAGACCCAGAGGGAGGCAAGAGTTTGCCCAAGACTACATATTGGGCATGGAACAGAGCCAGAGCTCAAGCCCAAACTTCAGTTCCTGGTCTGGCTATCTCTCCACCAGAGGCTGTGTAGAAGATAATTCCATTGGCTGTAAATGACATAAGGGATGAGGGTGATTCCAGCAAAAATCCCATGGCTGATTCTCATTGGAACATCTTGGCTCACATGCCATTCTGGAACCAATCATGTAGCCAGGAGAATGGACTCTACTGATAGGCTAGACATGGTTCAGGTGACCCAGCCTTCCTGCCAAGGCCAGGGTCAGGTGACCTCAGCACCCCTGCTGAAACCACATGCCTCAGCCACATGGTAGGCTGACACTCCTGCCTGGGCCTTGCACTCTCCCACCTCTGAGTCTGTGTCTACATTGTCCTGTCTTCCTGGGTATTCTGAGATACTGCAAAGCCCAGTTGAAATACCACCTCCTACAGGAAGCCTTCTGTGACCACCTGGTCCCAAGTGTCGTCTCTCTTCTAATCTCCTGTTGGTCCTTCTAAGATGCCACCACCCACTTTGGCTGTGTGTTTTAGTTAGCTAGGCATGTGCCTTGTCCCACTCACAGACTCCTGGAGGGCAGGGACTTTGTCTTATTTATCTCCCTTGCCCAGGGCTCAGCACTGGCACACAGTAAGATGGATGTATGATGGAAGGTTGGATGGATGAATGGATGGATGGATGGATGGATGGATGGATGGATGGATGGATAGATGGATGGATGAATGAACAAATGAATGAATCAGAGCTCATATGGATGATTCAGAAATCAGACACAACAACCTCTACACAGGTATCCACAGTCCTCTTTGATAATAAAATGACAACTGGTCCTGCCGAGATGTTCTTCCTAGTATCTGACTTAAACACTTCCTGCTTTTTTTTTGGTGGGGCTCTATAGAGACAGTCCTCCCCACTCTCCCCATAAAAGTCTTCCTTTCCAGCTCTGCTCTGACTTCTTCCCTCGCAAGCCAAATCCCTCACTTCAGGACTCAGCACGCACAGGCTGTTGCAATGTCTTCTTCCAGGGGTAGCGGGATCCAGCCAGCAACAGCTTCACTGGGTGGGTGTGTTCTCAGGAGAGACCTGGAGGCTGGTGCCTGGAAAATGCCACCGCCTCTCCCTGGCTCCTCCTGGCAAGCCCATCTCTGCACCCCTCCCTTCCCTTTCAGCAGCCTGTCAGAGGCTGATGGCTGATGAATGGGAAGCTCTCGCCCTCTCTTCCCTACCCAACATCACCACCACATCCTCCACTCTGGCCCCTCCTGGCTCTGGGTAGTGGTGAAGCTATTCCTAATAAGTTGGCACTCAGCCTGGCTTTTGCCACTCAAGGGAAGGCAGCTCCTTGCATGCTGTGCCAGGATGCTGATAAAGGAAAAGAACCATCTCCCTGCACAGCGGGCATCAGGGAGGAGCTATCCTCCAAGCCTGGCACTCAGAGTGTCCTCATCTGGACCCCAGTGCTAAGCTGCCCCTCCATATCTCAGGCTCTCCTGAGATCAGAAGCACCCAATGCCTCTGTCTTCCTGAGTTCTTCCCCGGGAGCCAGGAAACGTGGGAGCCAGAGAGGTTCTTAAGGATCTTCCTGTACAAATGTCTCATTTATAAGATGGAAGGCCAAGGCTGGGGTGAAGAAGGAAATGTTCTCAAGGAGGCAGATTTGCTCCAAATGCAGACGAAAACTGTCAGGACCATCTGGAGATGGAGTCAGAAATTCTGTTGGTGCAGCCGCCCTGGGACCCCACTCTGAATATCATGAGCTCCCCAATGACATTGCCAGCTCCAAAATGGCATAAATGTGCTTGTTTCTCTCAGCGTCGTAATGCTGATGCTTGGCATTGTGCCTGGCATATAGTAGGTGCTCAATAAATGTTTTCTGAATGGATGGTTATAGAACAAACTTCATTTATTAAGCAATAGCCAATATGGATTTAATCCTAGGTAAATTCTTGGTCCCCTTTTCGAGCAGCTGCAGAACCCCTGGGATGGCCTCTGGCGCCCTCTAGAGATCTGGAGAACTTGTGTTAGAAACACTGGTCTTGCCCACATGGATCATTCATCCATCCATTCATTCAGTCCACAGATCTTTACTGAGCACCTCCTATGTGCCAGGTACTGTTCTCAGTGCTGGGGATACAGCAGCAAACAAAAATGTGTTGTAGAAATTATCAGGTATGGGCCAGGCGCGGTGGCTCATGCCTGTGATCCCAGAACTTTGGGAGGCTGAGGCGGGCAGATCACAAGGTCAGGAGATCGAGACCATCCTGGCTAACACGGTGAAACCCTGTCTCTACTAAAAATACAAAAAAAGTGGCCTGGCGTGGTTGTGGGCACCTGTAGTCCCAGCTACTCAGGAGGCTGAGGCAGGAGAATGGCGTGAACCCGGGAGGCGGAGCTTGCAGTGAGCTGAGATCGCGCCACTGCACTCCAGCCTGGGCGACAGAGCGAGACACCATATCAAAAAAAAAAAAAATTATCAGGTATGATGCTAGATTCTCACAATAAGCAAACAAACAAAGAAATATATAAGGTAAGGGAGACAAATGCTTTAAAGAATAGGGAGTGACGGGGGTGCTAGTTTAGTTAGGGTGGTCAGGGAAGTCTTCTTCACCGAGGTGACATGTAAAGAGATTTGAAGGAAGCAAGGGAATAAGCCATGCAGATACTGGGGGAGACCATTCCAGAGGGAGGGCTGCAAGGTCCTGGTATGTTCCAGGAAGTTAGAGAAGGTTCATGCAGCTAAGGTGGAATCAGCAAGCAGGGAAGTAGCAAGACACAAAGTCAAAGAGCTGGAGAGGGGCCAGATAGACCCTACAGAGGCTAGAGGAGCCCAGGAAGGACCCTAGATGTTATCCTGAGTATAGCACAATCATTCGAGCACCTACTTTGTGCCAGGCAATGTCCCTTACTGCTATTTTGTGGCTCTGTGACAGTTGCCCTCTGTCAAGATCTCTAGGGCTGAATGGACCAATGGGTTATGAGAGAGAAGAGTGTGTGTGGCCATAGCTCAGCCACAAGCTCACCATGTGGTTGTGCCCCCCATGTTTAACTTGACCTCATAAATGCAAGGAGAACAGAAAGGGGTGGGGTGTCACCAACATGCATCAAGCACCCATCATGTGCCAGGCACCTCCCACATCATCTTACCTGCCCCAGTAAGCATGGCTGCCCTCCATTTAGAGAGGGTCTGGATGGTGCAGGTACCCCTCATCGGGAAGAGTTTCACCGCTACTCGGAGCCAGGAGGGGACAGGGTGAGGGAAGTGGTGGTGATGTTGGGTGGGAGGAGGAAATGACACCTTCCTGTCCATCAGCCTCCAATGGGCTGCTGGAAAGACAGGGAGGGGTGCAGAGATGGGCTTGCCAAGAGGAGCCAGGGGAGAGGTGTTGGCATTTCCCAGGCATCAGCCTCCAGGCCTCTCCTGGGAAACATACCCACTCAGTGGGGCTGGATCCCTCCTCTTCCGGAAGAAGCCATTCCAGCAGCCTGTGTGTGCTAAGTCCCAGGGAAATGAGAGACTTGGCTCCAGGAAGGAGGAAGTCAGAGTGTATCCCAAAAGGTCACCCGGCTGCCAGGATTCAAGCCCACGTCTACCTGGAGCCAAAGCCGAGGATGCTCCATAAAGCAGCAGGCATCCTCCAGCAGCCTCCCCAGTTCCCTCCCAACTACTGAATGGAAGGAAGGTTCTGCTCTCCCAGTTGGCACTGAGCAGGCTACTCTCACCTGCAAGAGAATTACTTTAAACTCAGGAAATGCAAACCAGTTTTGGCATCCATCAAAATAAAAGTTCCCTTCCCCCAGAAATAAAGGACATAATCTCTTAGGCCGCCTTGAGGTGCTTGCATTTTGAAATAGGAACTTGGTGAAGGCATGGCTCTGGAATGGCAGACTCCAAGCACATTGGCAGTGGATGAGCGATGGAAATATTTCGGGCAGGGGCCCTTCCCAGCAGCCATCATTCACACCATACAGGCTGCCGCCTACTCCATTTGTACATAAGGCTGGGTTTGTGCATATGTGGGTTCCTGCAAACAGTTTTTAAAAAGCTCTCATCTCAGGGAAAGTCTATTCATAGACTCTTAGAGCTGGAGGATCCTTAGAGAGCATCCTAGTCCAATCCTTCTGTTTCCCAATGGGGAAACCGAGGAAGCTCCTCATCGAAGGTCACACAACTGCGTTCAGGAGCAGAGCCAGGATCAGAACCGTTTGGCTGACTCTTGGCCAAGATCTCTCCCCACAACATCACATTGTTTAATTCACCCCCAGAGTCAGACAGACTGGGTGTGATGTTCCGCTCTGCTACTCCTTAGCTGCGTGGCCTTTGCTAAATACTTGAACCTCTCTGGCCATAGACTTCAAAATGATGGTGCCTGCATCGTCTGCTTAAGTGAGATGTGTGCTTGGCCCTGAGCAAGTACTCAAGACTAAAGTATCTATCATCCTCATGTCTCAGGACCTCATTTCCACTTCTTGACCTCCTGTGACTCAGAGAGCATCACCTCCTGCTCCCAGCAAACACAAGCCCCTCCTGGAGCAAAAGAGCAGCACGGGACAGGAAGCAAGGCTGGGGCTTCCCTTTCCCTTCTACCCTATGGCTCCACTGTGCTGGACCAACCCAGAACGTCCTACAGTGGGGGACAGGAGGGGTGGAGGAGAGAAAGAACTGGGTGGATTTTTCCCCAAGCCCTGCAATGCAGACCTCTCAGGGGAAGGCAGAGGACCAGGCAGCAATACAGGGTCAGATAGGAACAGGACAAACATTCATCTCAAAGGCAGGCACAGCCTCAGCACCTGCTGCCATGGTGATAAGAGGCAGGGGATGGGGTTTTGGGAAGCAGATAATGAAGGAATAATGGAGAGCGGAGACACTCAGGGTTCAAGGACTCCACTCACTCCAGCCAACTTTCAGATCCTCAGCGGTGTCTTGTGGGTGGCCAGCCAGGAAAGCTTGCCCCATGGGTGGACACAGGACAGAGGGTGCCATCTGCTGGCCCCAGGGACTCATGGCCTCCATCCCCAGAGGACCAGCACAGACCCAAAGCCTGCCAGAGCCTGGCAAGTCTTGGGAGAACAAACTCCTTTGCTTTGCAGATAAGAAAAGGGTGCCCCAGAGCATGGGAGGAGGACCCTCTCCTATCTCCACCCCTCAAGTACATGCACTGGTAAGGACGGACCCAGGACTCTTAAGTTCTCTCTCTCTCGCTCCTTCAGTCTTTTCTCCATGGCTCCTGTGGGCAATCTTGATTAGACACAGACATCATCGCTGGATGATGAACATTTGGGGCCCAGTTCTGGGGGACGCTTATCTTGTCAAGGGGCTTGGAGGATGAGCAGTTGAAATCGTTTCTGTGATTCGTTGTCCTTTGGAGGAAAAATCTTTCTTGAGATGGAGAATGGGAGCTGTCCCTGGTGCTGACTCCTCTCAATGTCCCGTCTAGGTGGCTGTCTGGGCTTGATCTACTTGTGTAACATTCATGGAAGTCCTTTAATGCCAGAACAACTTCTCCTGCCATTTCAAATCTTCTGGGTCAACTCCAATTAAGTGAAGTTGATGGCAGATAACATTTGGGCCAGATGCGATGGCTCACCCCTGTAATCCCAGCAATTTGGGAGGCTGAGGTGGGAGGATCACTTGAGGGCAGGAGTTTGAGACCAGCCTAGGCAACATGACAAGACCCCATCTCTACAAAAATTCAAAGAAAAAAAAACATAAAATTAACCAGGCATGGTGGCATGCGCTTGTAGTCTTAGCTATTCAGGAGTCTGAGGCGGGAGAATTTCTTGAGTCCAGGAGTTCGAGGCTGCAGTGAACTATGAATGGACCACTGCACCCAGCCTGAGTGACACAGCAAGACCCTGTCTCTAAAAAATTAATAAAAGTAAATATTTTAACAAAACTTTCTACCAAACATTACCATCAAGGCAAACATTTATTGAGCAGTTACTATGAATCAGGCAACACTCCAAGGGCTGGATATGTCATGATTTATTACGCTGACAATAGTTGTATGATATAGGTACCATTGTTAAATTCTCAGTTTCAGGTTAGGAAACTGAGGCACAGTGAGGCTGAATAACTTACTCAAGGTCATGCAGCTAGTAAGTGGTAGAGCCGAGGTACACACTAGGCAGTCTGTATCCAGAGTGCCCTTACTTACTTGATGTCATCACACTTCTTCCATCCCCTTGCAATCACGTAATGCAACTGAAGGACAAATGTAAATGATTTTGTATTATCTGCTGCTTTGCATGATTAGCGACATGGCTCCCTTCCATAAGTGCAAAAACCAGGAGCTGGCTGGTGAAGACAAGGGCTCACGTCCTTCCTCTAGAGAAGGCTTTACTGGGGTCAGAGGGAAGCCCAGAAACAGGGGAGAAATTCCCCAGGCACTTAGTAACCACATCCAATTGTCAGGTTGGGTCTGAAGGCAAGAGATCAGGACCCTGGGGACAAAAGATGCAGCCAACAGGAAGTGGGGTCAGGAACAGCAGAGCCAGGAGAAGCAGACCTGGGTCCCAGAGTGGTCAGGGTAGGACTGACCTAGAGGAGACTTCCGAAAGCCTCTGGGCTAAGCTCTGTGATGTGCTACCCAGGCAATCCTTCAGGAATGAAAGACTGGAGAGACTGGGCACCCAGCTACTGGGAGGGCTACCAACTCACAGATCCTAATTGCCAGCCCCCTTCGAGGATTGCCTCAGCTGGAGAAAGTCACCACACCCAAGTCTTGCTCACTCCCCAGGGAGACCCACACCTAGCCCTCACCCCCAACTTGGGCAGACTCTGAAGAGCCCTTCAAACTCTGGCTAGCCAAGTGCCATTGGCCAAGATCATTTTGGGACTCTGTTCCAGCTCAAATTCTCCCTCTGCCCAGTTCTGTTTCCATCCTCTCCCTTCCATGGGTGGTGTTTCCAAAAGGCTTCCTAATAAACATCCTGCATGCTGAGCTCCAACTCACAGTCTCCTTCCCATAGTTCCCAACTCGCAACAGTCTTAAATGCCCAAATTTACTTAGCGGAGATGCCCAGCCAGCCTATCCACTGGCCAAGTATGTACTGGCACTTTAGGTGAGCTACATATTGCCAAGTTGATTTTCCGTGTAGGAAAAAGAGCATAGAGAAGGTTTTGCAACAGCATTACTGAAGAGGAAAAATGTCTCCTCCTGCACCCAGACCATCCAAGTAGAACACCTCATTGGGGAAGGGAATGACAGGGTGGGCAAGAGGTGGAAGACAGTGCCAGTGTGAGTGGGGGATCTGGGCCAAACCCTTCCATGTTCATGAAGGAGACCTGTGGAAGTGACACAATGGTATGAAGCAGGTCATGCATGTAGAGGAAAATAGAATTAAAGTTGGCATTTGCACAATGTGCCCAACCCTAGTTGGCAGTGGAAATCCTGCTTGCATCCCACTTACTTTTACGTCCTGCTCACCATGCCATCATGAGGCTAGTGCACCCACTTTGCACTGTGTTTCTAGTGCACATATTTTGCATATAAAGGTATAGAGATCCAGTCGCCCACCTGGACAGGGATAGACCTGAGTAGATCTAGAAACCAGGATTTCATACCAAGTTTCCCAGCTGCAGAATCCAAGTTCTCCCACACCAGGCTGAAGGAGTGGAAAGGCCAAGACAAGAAAGGAAAAAGCAAACAGAAGAGCAAAGAAAGCAATTCAGATGGTGGTAGAGACAACAGCCAGCACTAACTCCAGGAGCTGCTCAGCCATCTCTGTGGCCAGCGTGGCCAGAGGGTGGCAGCGGGGAAGGAGACACAGGTGTCTTTATTTCCCAAAGCCAAAGCTCCATGAGGAATTTCAAAATTCTCTCTGCTGCCCTGGCTGGGACTCACCACTGACAAATGGAGAACAAATGAGACTGTTTAGCCAGTAATTAAGCAATAATGGCCTGCTCAGAGGTCTCCACCAGGCAGCAACCAGCCCAAGAAAGGAGCTAAAAGTTCCATAGAGGATCCAGGGGAGGAAGAGCCATTTATCAGATTATTAGAGTGAGAGCGACTCATTAACCTCACGCCAGGCTCTGAGCCTTCCTTTCACTGAGCAGACAGAGGGAGGCCTTGGCATCTCTGGGTTCTCATATGGGGGAAGGCCAGCCTCCTCACTCAGCCTCCTTCTTGGATCTGACTCAAGGCAGGAGACACCCCAGACACCAGAGCATCTCCCAGCCCCCAGCCCTTACCCGGGGGCTCAGAGCAGAGATTTAAGTGAGGTAGTGCTGCCTACCTTCAAGTTCACATCTATGGCTACAGACACACTCCAAATGGCCCTGTGATGTCCTGGTGTGGACTGAAATCAATTCTACAAAGAGATACTAACATCCCTAATGGTGGTGATAATAATAATAATAATAGTAGCAACTGCCACTCATTATATGCTTACTATGTGATTTGTACTCTGCTGAGCTGTTCATGTGAAAACATTGCAAACGGGTTCTACTATTATCCTATATTGCAGTAGAGGAAACACAGATGAGGCTCAGAGAAGCTGAGTAACATTCTCCAAGGTCATCCCACTCTTCTGAGGTTGTACCAGGTCTCAAACTTGCATCTGACTCCAAAATTCATGTCTCAACCACCATGCCACCCAGGGTCTGCTCTGAAGACACTCAAGAAAGTCCCTAACATGAAGCTTCCTACAAGAAAAGGTTGTTTCTAGCTAAAGGAATCAGTACAAACTTCCTGGAAGAGGGGTATTCCAAGAGGACCTTGAAGAATGAGTTCGATTCATAGGCAAAGGTGAGAGGCGATCGAATGTGTGAGACTCGGGGGGTAGGGGCGGGTTCTGAACGGCTTCATGTCAAGATTTGCCCTAGAGGTTCTTTGAAATGTTAACTAGAGTTGCAAATGAAAAAAATAAAAGTCCTGGAGTTAAATTTATTTGGAGAAAGTAAGATTGAACAACATTAAATCCGTTTGCTTATTCTGGGACTTTCTCAAGGAGTGGCTGTTTGCTTATCCACACACTGTTTTAGGAAATGACCAAGCCCTCCCCCATTCTTCTGTGCCCTGGAGAGCCCTGGCTGGAAGAGTATGCAGGGTTCTTGTAAACATGTGCATTTGTAGGAGCATAAACCTTCAGCTCTGAGGGCAGTTTGTATTGAGCAAGGGAAGCAGAACGGAGAATCCTGGCAGAGCGAAGCTGCACCGTGGAAGGAGTGACCTCCAGAGGCGGAAGGAGGGTCCAGGGTCAGGGTCAGAAGGAGAGCAGGGTGAGGGTCAGACCTGTAAACCCAGAAAATCTGGGACAGATTTCAGTTAATTTAGAGAGCTTATTTTGCCAAGGTTGAGGACACACACATGTGACAAAGTCTCAGGAAGTCCTGACTACATGTGCCCAAGGTGGTAGGGGCACAGCTTGGTTTTATACATTTTAGGGAGACATGTGACACCAATCAATATATGTAAGAAGTACATTGGTTCTGTCCAGAAAGGCGGGGACAAGCAAGGAGGGGGCTTCCAGGTCACAGATAAGTGAGAGACAAATGGCTGCATTCTTTCGAGTTTCTGATTAGCCTCTCCAAAGGAGGCGATCCGATATGCATCTATCTCAGTGAGCAGAGAGGTGACTTTGAATAGAATGGGAGACAGGTTTGCTCTGAGCAGTTTCCAGCTTGAATTTTCCTTTTAGTTTCGTGATTTTGGGGGCCCAAGATATTTTCCTTTCTCAGATGGGAAGCCTGTTTGAAAAGCCCTTCTGCTGGAAAGAGGGCAGAACTGGAGCACCCAGAGACGGTCTTCGCCCTACCGCAGGGATCCACGCAGCAGCTTGAAGTGTGACAGGGGCAGACGGCCTTCCCAGAGCTGGGCAGAGAGAATCTGCAGGAGAAAGCGCATGGGACAGGAGATGCCTCCCTCAGAAGGAGAAACAGCGGCCTAGAGGCGAAAAGCTCAGGCTGTGGCCACTGGAGTGCCAGCTCTGCCCTTCAGTGCTCTAGCTACTCTGGGCATGTTCCTCAACTTTCCTGCGCCTTGGTTTCCTCACCTGTAAAATGGGACCATTCTATAAATTCAATGAGATCTTTGTCAACTACTCAGCCCAATGTCTAGAACACGAGCTCTCCAAAAAAGGGAGTTACTGAGGGAACTTTCATAGCCCACAGGGTCTGAGTGTAACTTCTGCCCATGTAAGGAGCCCTTTGGCAAACAAATGGCAGAGGCTCAGCAGGGACAAGCCACCTCCAAGGCTGGGAATGAGAACAGGACAGGGCATGGTGTTTCATCTGAACTCAGGGAAGCAGGAAGAGGCAGCCTATATGCCGTGGGAGATGCAGGGTCTATGACAAAGGAGGACAGGAGGCAGGGACCATAACTGACACCCCCCAGGACACCCATGACCTTGAACATAACAATCCCCACAGCTTGCATTATTTTTTGCACATTTAGACTATGGGTCAGGAATTGTGGTAAGTCCCTTGCAATTAACTCATTAATTCCTCACAACAGCCATGTGAAGTGAAGACTGTTTACACGCCTGTTTTTCAGATGAGGAAGATGAAGTATGAAGAGGGTAACTAAGTTCCCTGGGGCGTCACAGCTGCTGTGCCTCACTGAGCCTTGTAGACAGTGGGAGCTCAATCATGGCTGTGTCCTCCATGAAGCTGAGGATCAGAGCCCCATCACAAGCAGGCACTGATGGATGCGGTAAGAAGAATTTGGGTGTGGGCTACAGAAGCAGACCTAGATGCCGAGAGGGGGACTGAGCCATCCCCAAGGACTAAGACTCAGAGTAGCCAGTTGTAGTCATGGAAACCAAAGCTCTTGAGCACCCAGCGCTCACTGCATGCTAAGCGCTGCACCGAGTGCTTCCCATGAGCTAATTTAATCCTTACAGCAACTTTGTGAGGTGGGTCCTCTTATCACCTCCATTTTACAGATGAAGAAACTGAGGCACGGAGCGGATATGTCCCTTGCTCAAGGTGGAACCGGTTCCAGAGCCAACTCCTCCCCACTTGCTGTGCTGCCCAGATGTGGGAGGCAGTGTCAACATGAGCAGATGAAGGAGAGGCGGTCTGAGAGCTGTCAAGGGCTTGCAGTCATGACCTGAACCCACTGCAGAGAAATTCTTTCTGAAATTTTGTTGCTTAAGTTTGGGCAAGGCTGGGACACTGGGGACACGGGCTTGGGGGAGCACTGTCGGGTCACTTGGGGACCACAGCTTGGGGGTGTGCAGGTGGGAAAGCAAGGTGAGGACTTGGTGACCAGTGGGTCCTGCCCAGGACTTGTCCTGGGGCTGTTCTGTCATCAGTTGACCTTGGCTGGCTGGACTGAGGTGTCTCTGAGGAGGACTTTGAGTGGGACAGGCTGCTTGCTGGGGCTCTACCCTGTGCCCACCATGACCAGAATGCCAAGTCTGAGCCCAGGTGGTCTCAGCAGGGGAGGTAAGAATGGCCTGATGATGAAGCATGGGGTGGCTCTGTGCCAGGGTCACAGGCCACGAGGGAACAGCGTACCTAAGAGAGGACAAGGCAGGCAAAAGGTCATGGCAAAGAGTCCTTCTCGGGAACGCCTCCGTGGGGTTCCGTCATGACTCACAGAGACTTATTCACTCTCATGAGAACAGCATCGGAAAGACCCACCCCTCTGATTCAATTATCTCCCACCAGGTCCCTCCCACAACATGTGGGAATTATGGGAGCTACAAGATGAGATTTGGCTGAGGACACAGAGCCAAACCGTATCACTCCGTGTGAATACCTTACGAGGGTGCACAGAGAGTAATGGGGCCCCCAAAACATGGCTGGGGTGAGAAAGGAGGGCAGTAGGAGAGGGAAGAAAGAAAGAAGATAGGGGAGAGAAGGAAGGAAAGAGGAAAGAAAGGAAGGTGGCAGGGAAGGCAGGAAGCATCTCAAGACCAGAAAGTTGTATTTCTCTTTATGCCACTCCCCTCCCCAGATCTAGCTTTCAGCCTTGCACCTAATATGCCAACTGATCATTATGAGTTGAATCTGAGTGAGGCACGATCAACCTAAAATATCAGTGAATGGAATCCCATAGCAAACTTCAGCAGAAGTCCTCCTAATAATGCTATCCCCGTCTTCTCAAGCTATGAGTAATAGAGTTGTTGTTTTAAATACAGTCTATCCTGGCACTCCCCATAATTCAAAGTCATGTACATTTGTATGTTTGTCTGCTACACAAATAATCACATTAGGGCCTGCAGGAAGAAAAAAAGCTCTGTGCTGTCTTCAGAAAAAAAAGCAGGAGAATTAGAAGAAATGGCAGCAATATTTCCAGTTGATCAGTGACAGTTCTGCCCATGCAGAGGAGCAGTTGGGAAACCGATGCACCGTCCGGTGCTGGGGACTGCGGGAGTCTGGAGCGGCTAGGAAAAGGCAGCAGGGGGCGGAGGGATGGCTTCTGCCCAGACTCAGACAATGGCAATGAGACAGCAAGGCTGGTCCCCTCTCTGGCCTCAGTTTCCCCACAGGGGGGATTAGGACCAGAAGAGAGAAGCAATGCAGTGCTGTGGTTTTCATCATCAGCTCTGGGGTCAGACAAGTCTGAATTCAATCCCAGTTTTGACGCTTAGTAGCCTGTGACCTTGGGCAACTAACTTGACCTCTCTGAACTTCAGTTTCTTTCTGGACAAATAGGGATTGTGGCAGTACCATCCCATGGGGTTGCAGTGAGGAATAAGGTCATGTAAATCACTACAGTCAGAGCCCAAACTACAGTAAATACTAAAAAAAAAAGTACACATCTCATATAATCTGCCATATATCATATGCAATATGTAATATAATAGGATATACACACATACGACTTAAATATTTCCCTAAAATCCAGCTGAACATGCCAACAATTAGGCAAACAACCACAAACACCAGTAATAGCATAAAAAAAATGTCATCAAGTCATAAATGATGACAGTTAAAGATGACAGGTAGATTGTAACTATTTATAAGTCACTGTTTATCACTTAATCGTCTTAAAAACAAACTTAGAATTTTCACAAGGTGGAAGAGTCAACATGGGCTCTCTGCCCTGATTCAGCAAATAAATCATTTACAAGCATTTCACTCATTTCTGGGTGTTGGTCTAATTAATCAAAGAATGTGGAATGTCTTTGAGCATCCATTTACTTCAGCAGAGATTTCACTGTGTAAAAAATTTTAGAGAAGAAAAACAGCTGAATGGTACGCAAGAACTCAGATAAGCACAAGAGAAAGGCTAATAAAACTTAAGAGGCAGGGTTAACAGAGCGTACGAGTGAAAGAAAGCCCTGTGTTGGGTTTCCTGAGGTGTGGCACATATCTGTGTATAGCAGATTTTCTGTGATTTCAGTATGATTTGTGAACTTAGAAAATCTGAGACAGGTCTCAGTTAATTTAGAAAGTTTCTTTTGCTACAAAAATTAACTTGGTGTGGTGGTGCACACCTGTAATCCCAGCTGCTCAAGAGGCTGAGGCAGGAGAACCGCTTGAACCCGGGAGGTGGAGGTTGCAGTGAGCCGAGATTGCGCCACTGCACTCCAGCCTGGCGACAGAGCGAGACTCCATCTCAAAAAAAAAGAAAGTTTATTTTGCCAAGGTTGAGGATGCAGCCATGACACAGCCTCAGGAAGTCCTGACGACATGTGCTCAAGGTGGTCAGGGCACAGCTTGGTTTATACATTTAGGGAGACATGAAATATCAATCAATATATGTAGGAAGTACATTGGTTCAGTATGGAAGGACGGGACAACTTGAAGCAAAGGCAGGAAGACTGGAAGTGGTGAGGGAGCTTCCAGGTAACAGAGAGGTGATACGCAAATGGTAACATTCCTTTGAACTTCTTCTTTTTTTTTTTTTTTTTTTTGAGACAGAGTTTTTGCTCTGTTGCCCAGGCTAGAATGCAATGGTGTGATCTCAGCTCACTGCAACCTCCGCCTCCTGGGTTCAAGTGATTCTCCTGCCTCAGCCTCTCAAGTAGCTAGGATTACAGGCACCTGCCACCATGCCTGGCTAATTTTTGTATTTTTAGTAGAGACAGGGTTTCACCATTTTGCCCAGGCTGGTCTCGAACTCTTGAACTCATGATCCGCCTGCCTTAGCTTCCCAAAGTGCTAGGGTTACTGGCGTGAGCCACCATGCTGCCCTGCCAGCCTGACTCTTTTGAGTTTCTGATTAGCCTCTCCAAAGGAGGCAAATCAGATATGCACCAGTCTCAGTGAGAAAAGGAGTGCTTTGAATAGAATGGGAAGCAGGTTTGCCCTGAGCAGTTCCCAGCTTGAGCTTTCCTTAGTGATTTCAGGTGCCCAAGATATTCTCATTTCACAGATTTCAGGTGTTAGGAGAAATGGCATTGGTGGCATTGATAACCCCAAATCACACAGGGTCAGAGCTAATCCCTCTTGAATTCTATTTCAGTCCCTCTGATTACACCAATGAGTCATCTCCCTTGGTGCTACTCTTCAACGATGTTTATTTTTTAACATTTTCCCTTTTTAACAAAGAGCCTCATATTCATGGTCTTTGCCTAAGCTGCAGGATCTAGCCAGAATTTAATTAACACTGATTGGGTTTCACGGTATTTATTTATATTGATGGCATATGATTCTGATTTTCTATGTACAGCAGTGATCAGAAGTTTTCTCCATTACTAAATTTATTAATGTGTTCAAAAATAAAGTGGAGAAAACAATGGAACACGTGGTACGCAGACACAACAGAAGTGATGACATGATATCTGAGTAAGGCAACACTGAGAAGGGGGTCAAAGAATGTCTGAACTTGAGAAACTGTTTACACCTTTGTGAGCAGGAAGAGGAGGAAATCCCGAACTGAGAAAGGAATGGTAGCAAGTGAGAAGAGGAAGACCACTTAGGACTCATAAAAGCTGACTGCAAATTACAAACAGGAGGCAATAAATGGGGACATCTATCTCCTGTGAGCGACCAAGGTGGGCACTGCAGTGAACTTGGATGCTGTACGAATTCTCACCCTTCCCTCCCCTCCCTCCATATAGATATACTTTTTACGGTCCCAGGCATTCAGCCTTGTCAATGGTCATCAGGGGGCCTGAATTTTAGCAGAATCCACATATCCCTTCTGGCTGATCCTGGGCCTGGTTGCCCCTCCTTCATTCCCCCCTAGCCCATGTTTGGTCTATTAAGCAGGGGAGAGCCCAACCCTGCAGTCTGAGTTGCCGACTCCCACGGGGACTGGCTTCTGGTGGGATTTAGCCAGTAGGAGGCACTGTTGGAAAATTGAAAGGGCAGGAGGAAGAGAAGCTAGAGTAATTCTCTCCCTTACTTTCCGCTAAGCAGTTCTCCAGTGGCCGCCCCTCCTCCATGACTCTAGCACCACTGGACAGGGACAGGGTGGCTGTGGTTCCAGCTCCCCATTGGCTGCCTGGGCTCCTGTACCACCATCTGCTCCCTTTTCCCAGCAGCCTAGGGTTCATAGCAGCTTCCTTTCCAATGTTTTATTTTCCAGCTCTTCCATCACCTGTAGATGCCGATTTACTTAGTAAGCCCTTATCTATCCCTGCTGTTTTAAATACTTACTTAGGGCAGCTTCTGTCTTCCTGGTTGGGTCCTGACTGATACACCTCCCAAAACCTTTGCTTATTCAGAAATAACCTTATGTTGCTCTATGAAGAACGACCTCTCATTAGACTCATTAAATGTTGGATCTGAGAATAGTTGGTTTATTCTGTTTACAACGAGATAGATCAGGGGTCAGAAACTTTTCCTGTGAAGAGCCAGATAGTAAATATTTTAGGATTTGTAGACCACATAAGTCTTTGTAGCAGTCTTTGTTGTGTTTTTTAATTAAGCCCTCTACAAATGTAAAAACTATCCTTAGCTGTGGGTGGCACTAAAGCAAGCTGTGGGCCAGGTCTGCCCCATGAACAGTAGTTTGCTGACTGCTACAACAGTGGAGAAATACACACCCTGCCTCCCCACTCTCCAGTCACATGGCTGAGTGTGGCCCAGTCCCCTCTCCAGGGTCAGGGCTGGTCATGTGACCTGGGTCTGGCTGATCAGAGCCTCCTATTTTCCTGGCCCTACATTGCCTCTAAACATAAAAAGTGCTTTGGGAAGGGCATCCCCACAGGAAAAATAGCATTTGAAATAAATTCACCCACTTTATGCCAGGTATTGTACTAGGCACTTTCATGCCCAATCTCTTTTAATCCTCATAGTGGGGCTTAGAGACCTGAATGAATAAGTCCCTCGAGGTAAGTGGCAGGGCCAGGTTTTGGAAGCAGATGATTTTGGCTTCAAATCTGTTTATGCACTAGGCCATCCTAAAATAAAGCCTGGGGGCTCAAGACAGAAGAGAAGAGAATTACAAGTCTTCCTTGACATATTGTCGGGAACCCCCAGGCTAAGAATAAATGTGTCTGGCCTCCTATCTATAATCATTGCTTCTATTTACCAAGTACTTTATGGTTTCCAAGGCACTTTCAGACACATAATTTCATTCCATCCTCACAACAACCTGGTGAGGTAGGCAGAACAGGAATCCTATCTCCCAGTTTACAGATGAAAAGCCTGAGGATCAGAGAGGTGAAGTGACTTGCCCAAGGCCACACAGCTCAGAGGCGGCAGAACTGAGATTAGAACTTGTGAGGTATTAAACAGGGCCTGTTTTTTGTTTTTTTCTTTCCTAAGCCACAGAATTGCAGAGCTTGGAATCCCTGGCTATCACACCCTCTCACCCATGCAAGAAGCCCTGCCTCTTCCTTACTACCTCTGCAAATCCTCCTGTCCTTCAAGCCAAAGTTCAGAGCTTCTCTCTTTCAGAAACACTTTCCTGACTGCAGCCCATGGTCTTCACTTTCTCCTCTGAACTCCTGAAGCAATTACTGTCTGTACCACTCATTTAGCAATTAATCACCGACAGCCTTGCGGCAACCCTTCTATTGCTGCCTCCAACTACTGCTCAAATCCATTGTTGTTTTTTAACTCTGCTTTCCCTGGGTAGATGGGAGATACCCCATTGGCAGGGGCAAGTCTCCTGCTCCTCCTTGCAGCTTTGCAGATAGTAGGTGCTCAATGATGCTTTATTCATTCGATTTAACCTAGTTCCAGTCTTCCAGATTCTTTCTAGTGAGTCTGAATGAGTTGCCCAGGGTCACTTGCCAGCTATGTGACCTGGACAGATTATTCATCCTTTCTGACCCTCCGTGTTCTCATCTGTAAAGTGCAGGGTGTCACGTACCTTTCTCATGGGGTATTTGTGTGAGGGTTAATGAGACTGAACTGGATATAGATTGTCTTTTTTGAGCATTCCAGTAGGACTGCCTATCATTGAACCCCACCTCCACCCCACTACACCCGCAGAGGTGGGCAAGTGATGGGTGTCTGGCCAATCACAAAATCCCATCACTCTGGAAGCACTGATTGGCCCAGAGATGGGCTTATGCTCCAGAGGAGAGCCAATCACAGGCCTTCCCTGGAATGACTATACAGATTTTGGGTGAGAGATGATCTCTATTCCACTGGGGTGAATAAGTCAGAAGAATGGAAATCTGGGGGCAGCCCCACAGAAAAAGTCTATTTCCCATAGGAGGGAATGCAGTCACACAGGAAAGTTGAATGAAGAAAACTGAAAGCAGGATTCGAGCCCCTGGATCTGGCTGTTCAGGGATCCAGCCCTGGATTTAACAATTCTATGAGCCAATAAATAACATTTTACTTGAACCAGTTTGAGTGGAATTTCTTCACTTGCAAATGAAAAGGTCACCACTGATGAAGAGACATTGCAAGTAAAATCACCTAGAATAATGCCTGACAAACAGGAGATGCCCGATAAATGGTGGTTGTTGATGTTTATCATCATTAGCAGCCACGGCAAGAAAATTAAAGGCTTTTCCTTAGGAAACTGCGTAGCTTGGTGGCTAGACGGACCTGCGCTCAGATCTTGCTTCCATACCCTAGCCATTTTGTGTCTATGGGTGAGTTAACTAACCTCTCAGAGCCTCTGTTTCTTGGTTTGTAAATGGGCTTAGTTGTGCCAGCCTCACCAAGTTGTCCTCTGTCCTGTGTCCAGCAGACAAGTATGTTTGCTGTTTTTCGTGCCTGGTACATGAGCTAGCACTCCACTGAGATTCCTGGCCAGGGTTACAGTCAGAAGAACTACATTGTGCATTCAGCCCAGCTCCCTCCTCCTCCACAGGGAAAGGGAATACACAGAGTGGGGAATCTCTTGTCCAGGATCTCACAGCTAAGGACAGGGCTTGAGTTCAAACCAGGTCTGCAGGGTTATGATTTAGGGCTCTTGCTACCCTTTTTTAAAATCATGCTACAGTGCACTTTCCTTCTCCTCATGACATCAGGCATCTTATAGCCTCTCTTTTGGGGAAGGATGAAAAAGAACCCTGAACAAGTTTCCATTCCCATCTCACCACACGCATGCAACTCCATAACCTCAGGCAAATCACATTCTCACTTTGGGCCTCACTTTCTCCATCTGTAAAATAGGGACAATCATGATAATGTGGATGACACAAGGGTGGCATGAGGTGTGAGAGTTGTCATTTGTGACCTGTTTTTAGGGGGGAAAGGGAGGCAGAGATGTTCAGTCAAGTGGCCACTGATCTGAGACTCTCTTAGAAGTCCAGCCTTGCACTCCCAGCCTCGCGAACAGTTGTTCCGGTCCAGTTTCCAGGTGGTGAAACATCTTCAAGGTCTGTGATTTTCCTGTTAGTCTTCCAGAGAATGAGGTTATTTCTCTAGCAGGACACTGCTTGGAAGAAAAAGTGCTGTGGACTCTCCCTCTGGCCCAACTCTGCCTTGTGTTAGGTGCCAGCCAGCCAGAGGCACTGCTGATGGCTATCTCCCTCTTACCCCACCCCCCCCCCACTCTCTCTCTTTCTTAGAAGTCTCATTCTCCTGGAGCTCAGTGACAATGCTCGACACCTCCTCACCAACTTTTGAGGAGAGAATGAAGAGGGGATGGAGCTGAATGGAACAAGGGGCCATTCACTTAGAGGGGGTTCTACCAGGATCTGGAGGTAAAGGCTCTCGTATGTTCACTCCCCTTAGCTGGGTTGTTCTGGCTTGGGTTTCTCTCATGAGGTTGCAGTCATGATATTGGCTGGGACTGCACTCATCAGAAAGCTTGACTGGGGATGGAGGATCCAATTCCAAGATGGTGTACTCACATGCCCAACATGTGGAAGGCTCATGCTATGCCTGGGCCTTGAGACTGCACCAATGGACCAGGAGGGTGATTTTTCTTGCAGTGCTTGCAGGTGGGTGACCACCCCAATGTGGACTCATTCATCTCCTCCTCCCTCCCCTGCTGACCCCATTATCCACTCAGTCAACCATTCCCTTACACTTTTGCCCACTCAGCACTCACTCAGTCACTCAGTGTACCGGACCCCTCTTGGGCACCGAATTCCTATCCTCTCAGCCACCTCTTGCTCCAGCCGCTACTATGATGACAGTTCTACTCAGGCTTCAGTCAGCTTTGTGTGGGTGTGAGCTGATGGTTTCTCACCTCAGACCTAATCACATCCTCTCGTTTCCTGCCTGGAGACTTCCTCACTCCATGATGTAGGATGCCCACAGGGACCCTCTTGGCATACACACACGTGTAACCACAAGTGCAGAGGAGCCAATGCCTGTGAGGCAGCCCTAAGACAATGGAAGATGGAAACCAGTGGGTTAATGCTTCCCCTATTTTCCCCTGGACAGACAGTCTTGAGATACATTTTACAGGCTTCACAGAGGTCTGTTGGACTCAAACAACTAGTGACTCATAGCAGGGGCCAATTCAATAATGAAACTTATTATCATCCAAAAACTCAATGGCTAAAAGCAACAATAAACACTAAAAATCTTAGTTTCTGTGGGTCAGAAATGTGGAAATAGCTTAGTGGGGTTGTTCTGGCTTGGGGTCTCTCATGAGGTTGCAGTCACAATATTGGCTGGGTCTGCACTCATCTGAAGGCTTGACTGAAGCTGAAGGGTCCAATTCCAAGACAGTGCACTCTTGTGCCCAACATGAGGAAGGTTCATGCTGGCTCTTGGCAGGATGCCTCAGTTCCTCAGCAAATAGACCTCCCCAAAGGGGGACCTGTCATGTCCTCATGACATGGCACCTGGCTTCCCCCAGAGAAGGTGATCCAAGAGAGCACAACAGAAGCTTCAATGCCTCCTATGACCCAGCCTTGGAAACCACATGTTATCATTTCTCCAATACTGTATAGTCACAAAGGTCAGCCCTCTTCAGTGTTGGGGGATTACGACACAAGGGTATTAATACCAGGATGCACAGCTCACTGGGGCCATCCTGGAGGCTGGTGAAACTCATGGTAGCTGTGTTCCTCCCTTTTTTCACCCCCACTTCATTTCTGCCTTGGAGTCACATTCACAAATGGATGATCTTCATTTAAGTCTTTGTTCCAGACTCTGCTCTTGAGAGAAACTCAGGCTAAGACATTCTATCAATCAACTCACACATTCAACAGTTATTGAGCACAGACCGTGTGCAAGCCACTATCAGCACTTTCCACAGTCCCTAGACTGTCGAACTTGGCACCACTACCCCAACTGGAGACGGAAGAAGGCAAGCCCTGGGGCACTGCTGACAGGTGAGCAAACTGGGAGTAGAGACAGCCCGGGGCCTGGAGCCAGGAGGAGAAACCTGCTTTGAAGGAGCTGGGAGACTGAAAATGTCGGTGCACTCCTCTGAACCTCCATTTCCTTATTGGCAAGTTTGGTATCCTAAAAATAAAGTAACTTTATTCACAGGGCCCCTATTCAGAGGTCAAGACCTATCAGAGAAGTTCCAGGCCCCTTTTGTTTATTTAGTTTCCTCATTTGCCATGAAGCTGTCAGGGAAGGTGTAATTCATCTTGGGAATCCGGCTCAGGGAGAGTTCATAGACTAGATGCAGGCTGAGTCCTCCAGGGCCTCAAAAAGCAGCCTCCTAAATTGTGAGGGTCTTAAAGAGAAGAGGTGGCAGTGGGAGCCTGGGACGTAGCACATTTCAGTCTCTGCAGCACAGAGGTCCACTCATGGTAGATGGACATAAGGGTTTGACGACATTGATGGTAACAATGTTGGGTATGTCCTTTAAGGCTGAAACTAAGTTAAGCAAAACAAATATTATTGGCTTGTATAACTAAAGAATCCAGATGTCCACATCAGGTATGGCCGGATCCAGGGGCCACAAAGATGTCTCCATTACTCCATCTCTTGTCATCTCTTGACTTTATGTTTCTTCATATTGGCCTCTTTGTCAAGCAGCCCATGGTGAAAGGAGGGCTGCCAGAAGATCCAGGCTACAACTTCCCAGATGCAAGTCCAATGGAAAAGAACGCTGCCTCTCTCTCAGAAAAGAGTCCCAACAAAAGCCTCATTTCATCTCACTAACTCTGGTTAGGTCATGCACAAAACCAAGGGAATCCAATGATCTTAGTCACTAGATCACGTGGCCACCCCTAGAGCCAGAGATTAATTCCACCTGAAGTGGACTAGGAAGGCAGAGAGAGTGGATTCCATCCAAGAGGAAATGGAAGGAGCAGTAAGAAAGCGGCAGTTATCTGCTAACTGGCCTTGGCCTCCCCCTTGCGCAATGCTCGTCTTTCATCTCTCTTCTTAACTATTGACCTCTTTTTTCTCCAAACACATTGGCAGAGCCTTCTAAACACTATTAGAGTTTAGTATCACAGAAGCACAGGCCATCAGAGTTAGAAGAGGCCTTCAAATTCAACCATCCATAAATTGCAAATACACAGCATGTTCACTGTCACTCTTCTCTCCCACCCCTGGGGTAGACATCACCAATAGATCATAATTCTCTTTCCTGCAGGGCAGAGATACAAATCCAGGATCATTTTCCCAACAGCACTCCAAGAAGCCACTACTAATTGATCACAGTGGACTCCTAAGATGAAATCTATGTCTATTCCTTTATCTAGACCAACATTTCATAGATGGGAAAACAGGCCTAGAGAGATTGTTATGCTCAACCTCATGCTGTCAGTGGATTGTCTTGCTTTCTCTTTCCAATTGGAAATATGTGGTATTGTGTGATCTTTCTGTTGCTAAGACCTCTTCTTAATAAGACCCTATGGTTCTCATTTTCCTTTCTCCTTTCCCCCTGGACCAGCTCCCTCTTTAGTACAGACAGACCAGCCAACAACTGGAGCAGCAATAATGGTAATAAGAGCTATGTTGAGGTTTCTGTTTTTGTGGGGCTTAAGCAACAGAAATTTCTTTCTCACATTTCTAGAGACTAGAAAGTCCAGGATCAAAGTTTGGTTGCTGCTGAGGGCTCCCTTGCTGGCTTGCAGACAGCCACCTTCTTGCTGTGTCTTCACATGGCAGAGAGAGCCTCTTGTCTTTTGGCTGACTTACTGGTAGTCTCAAGAGTTAACTTCTAATGGAATATTTATATACATTATGGACTCTTTTTCATAGTGCCTATGTGTGAGAGGATTAAATTAGTTGAGTGCTTAGAATGCTTAGAATGCTGTCTGGCATAGAGTAAGTGTTCAATAAAATGGTAGCTATTAGGTTAGGTTTTTAGAAGCAGAACCTTGGATGGGAATTTTTGTGCAAGGGACTTTTTTTCAAAGAATGCTCTCAAGAGAAATCTGTAATGAGGTAAGGGAAATAGGAAGAGAACAGCAAGAAATTAAGCAAAGACGCAGTTCAGACGAAGTCTAGCCTCAGCCTGATCCTGATCCCATGGGGAGTTCAGGAACATAACTGCATTGTACAGTGTGTCCCACTTTAAGACAAGGGAGTTGGGTTCCTGTATCCCCTACACAAGAGTACTCACCCTTCCCCATGCAGTCATGTCCAGTGGCCACCCCTGAGGGTAAGGTCATCACCTCCCTGATAGCCCCAAGCTAGTAGCTCTAGTCATCAAAGGGCTACCCTTTAGAGGTAGTTGTGCTTTCAGCAGTAACACCCCCAGCAACTAGGGGCTGGGCACACATAACCAGTAAAAGGGAACCAGAGGATCTGGGCAGATGCCAACAGTACCTCCAAAAATTATTACCAATCCCATGAGGAAGATAATATTGTTATCTGCACTTGACAGAGGAGGAAAAAAGCACAAAGAGGTTAAGTCACTTGTCCAAGGTGTACAGCTAAGAAGTCGTGGAGACAGAATTCAAAAGTCCTGGCCAAGCAACTCAAGTGTCAGTAGATGGATGAATGATGACTAAATAAAATGTGGAACATACGTACAATGGAATATTGTTCAGCCTTAAAAAGGAAGAGAATTCTGACAGAGGCTACAACATGGATGAAACTTGAAGACACTGTGCTGAGTTAAATAAGCCAGTCACAAAAAGATAAATATTGTTTGATTCCACTTATATGAGATACCTGTTGTATTCAATTCATAGAGACAGAGAATGGAATGGTGGTTGCCAGGGGCTGGGGGAAGGGGGAGGAAAATGTGAAGTTGTTCAATGTTTACAGAATTTCAGTTTTGCAAGATGAGGAGTTCTGAAGAGTGGTTGCACAGCAACGTGAATATACTAAACACTACTGAACTGTACACCTAAAATGGTTAAGATTGTAAATTTTATGTAATATGTATTTTACCACAATTTTTATCAATTTATTTACATTTTTACTTTTAGACTCAGGGGATATATGCGCAAGTTTGTTGCATGGGTATATTACATGATGCTGAGGTTTGGGCTTCTAATATCCCATCACCCAAGTAGCAAACATAGTACCTAATGGGTTGTTTTTCAACATTTACCCTGTCATGCCCTCTCCCCCTTTTTGGAATCCCAGTATCTATTGTTTCCATCTTTGTGTCCGTGTGTATTCCAACTTACGTAGCTCCAACTCATAAGTAAGAACCTGCCATATTTGGTTTTATGTTTGTGTTAATTCACTTAGGATAATGTCCTCCAGCTGCATCCATATTGCTGCAAAGCACATGATTTTGTTCTTTCTTATGGTTACATAGTATTCCATGGTATATATGTACCACATTTTCTTTATCCGGTCCACCTTTGATAGGCACCTGGGTTGCTTCCATGTCTTTGCTATTGTGAATAGTGCTGTGACAAACATATGAGCACAGGTATATTTTTAGTAGAATTATTTATTTTCCCTTGGGTATATACCCAGTAATGAAATTGCTGGGTTGAATGGTAATTCAATTTTTTGTTCTTTGCGAAATCTCCAAACTGCTTTCCAAAAGAACTGAACTAATTTCCACTCCCACCAATAGTGTATACACTACATTCTCTTTTCTCTACAACTTCACCAACATCTGTTATTTTTTGACTTCTTAATAGTAGCCATTCTGATTGGTGTATGGTATCTCATTGTGGTTTTGATTTGCATTTTTCTGATGATTAGTGATGTTGAGCATTTTTTTATGTTTATTGGCTGCTTATATGTCTTCTTTTGAGAAGTGTCTGTTAATGTCCTTTGCCCATTTTTTAATTGAGCTAATTCTTTTTCTTGCTGATTTCATTTCCTATAGATTCTGGATACTAAACCTTTGTTGGATGCATAGTTCGCAAATATTTCTCCCATTATTTAGGTTGTTTGTTTATTGATAGCTTTTTGTTTTTTGTTTTTGCTGTGCTCTTTAGTTTAAGTCCCATTTGTCTATTTTTAATTTTGTCACATTTGTTTTTGGGGTCTTTAACATAAGTTCTTTGTCTAAGCCAATGTCTAGAAGAGCATTTTCTAGGTTTTCTTCTAGGATTTTTATAGTTTGAGGTCTTACATTAAGTTTTTAATCCATCTTGAGTTTTGTATATGATGAGCAATAAGGATCCAGTTTCATTCTTCTGCATATGGTTAGCCAGTTTTCCCAACACCATTTATTAAATAGGGTACTTTTTCCTCTTTTCCTCATTGTTTGTTCTTGTTGACTTCGTCAAATATCAGTTGGTTGTACATGTGCGACTTTATTTCAGAGGTCTCCATTCTGTTCCAGACAATGCCTATTTTTTACCAGCACAATGCTGTTTTGGTTACTGTAGCCTTGTAGTATAGTTTGAAGTCAGGTAATGTAATGTCTCCAGCTTTATTCTTTTTGCTTAGGATTGTCTTGGCTATTTGGTTTTTTTTTTTAATTTTAGTTCCAAATGAATTCTAGAACATGTTTTCTGTGAAAAATGATGTTGGCAAATTGATAGGAATAGCATTGAATCTGTAGATTGCTTTGGGCAATGTGTACACCTTAATGATATTAATTCTTCCAATCCATGAGCATGCAATGTTTTTCCATCTGTTTGTTCCATCTATGATTTCTTTCAGCAGTGTTTTATAGTTCTCTTCATAGAGATCTTTCACCTCCTTGGTTAGATGTATTCTTAAGTTTTTATTTTTTGTGTGGCTGTTGCTAAGTGGGATTGCACTCTTGATTTGGTTCTCAGCTTGAACAATATTGGTGTACAGAAATTATACTGGTTTTCGTACACTGATTTTGTATCCTGAGACTTCGCCAAAGTTGTTTATCAGGTCTAGAAGTCTTTTGGCAGAATCTTTAGTGTTCTCTAGGTATATAGAATCAAATCACCAGACTTCTTCTTTTCCTATTTGGATGCCTTTTATTTCTTCCTCTTGACTGGTTGCTCTGGCTAAGACTTCCATGACTATGTTGAATAGGAGTGGTGAGAGTGGACATACTTCTCTTGTTCCAGTTCTTAAGAAGAATGCTTCCAGCTTTTACCCATTCAGTATGATGTTGGCCATGACTTTGTCATAGATGGCTCCTATTATTTTGAGGAATGTTCCTTTGATGCCTAATTTGCTGAAGGTTTTTATCATGAAGGAATGTTGGAGTTTATCAAATGCTTTTTCTGTGTCTACTGAGATGATCATGTGGTTTTTGTTTTTAAATATGTGTACGTGGTGAATCACATTTATTGATTTGCATATATTGAACCGTGCTTGCATCCAGGAACAAAGCCCACTTGATCATGGTGAATTAATTTTTTGATGGGCTGCTGGATTCAGTTTGCTAGTATTTTGTTGAGGATTTTTGGGTCCATGTTCATCAGGGATACTGGCTTGTAGTTTCCTCTTTTTTTGTTGTGTCTTTGCCAGATTTTGGTATCAGGACAATATTGGTTTCACAGAATAAGTTAGGGAGAAGTCATGCCACTTCAATTTTTTGAAATAGTTTCAGTAGGATTGGTACCAGCTCTTCTTTGTATGCCTAGTTGAATTCAGCTGTGAATCCATCTAGTCCAGGACTTTTTTTGGTTGGTCGGGATTTTTTTTTAATTACGGATTCAGTTTCATTACTCATTATTGGTCTGTTCAGGATTTCTGTTTCTTCCTGACTTAATCTTGGGAGGTTGTGTGTTTTCAGGAATTTATCATTTCCTCTAGATTTTCTAGTTTGTGTGCATAGAGATGTTCATTGTAGTCTCTGAAGATCTTTTGCATTTCTGTAGGATCAGTTGTAATGTCACCTTTGTGATTTATGATTGTGCTTATTTGGGTCTTCTCTCTTTTTCTCTGCTAATCTAGCTAGCAGTCTATCAACCTTGTTTATCCTTTCAAAGAACCAACTTTTTGTTTTCTTCATCCTTTGTACACTTTTAGGCAGCCTCAATTTCATTTAGTTCTGTTCTGAGTTTAGTTATTACTTTTCTTCTGCTAGCTTTAGGTTTATTCTTGTTTTTCTAGCTCCTTTCAGTGTGAGATTAGGTTGTTAATCTGGAATCTTTCTGTCTTCTTGATGTAGGCATTTAATGCTATAAACTTTCCTCTTAACACTGTTTTTGATATCCCAAGAGGTTTTGGTATGTTGTGTCTCTATTTTCATTTGTTTCAAAGAACTTTTTTTATTTCTGCCTTAATTTATTTTTTTTACCCAAAAGTCATTCAGGAGCAAGTTGTTTAGTTTCCTTGTATTTTTGTGGTTTTGAGAATTCATCTTGGTATTGATTTCTACTTTTATTCCATTGTGGTCTAAGAGAGTGTTTGGTATGGTTTCATTATTTTAAATTTATTGAGATTTGCTTTATGACTGAGCATGTGGTCACTCTTAGAGTATGTTCTGTGTACATATAAGAAAAATGTATATTCTGTGGCTGTTGGGTGGAATATTCTGTAGTTGTCTATTAGGTCCAATTGGTCTAGTGTCAAATTTAAGTCCAAAATGTCTTTGTTAGCTTTCTGCCTCAATAATTGTCTAATGCTATCAGTGGGATGTTGAAGTCCTCCACCACTATTGTGTGGTTATCAAAGTCTTTTCTTAGGTCTAGAAGTAATTGTTTCACAAATCTGGGTGCTCCAATGTTGAGTGTGTATATAGCTTGAATAGTTAAGCTTCTTGTTGAATTGAACAGTTTATCATTATGTAATGCTTTTCTTTGTCCTTTTCTACTGATGTTGGTTTAAAGTCTATTTTATCTGATACAAGAATAGTGACTCTTGCTCTTTTTTGTTTTCTCTTGCATTACTACAATTTTTTTAATATAAGAATCTGTTTTGTTTTTTGAAAGAAAGAAAGAAAGAAAGAAAGAAAGGAAGGAAGGAAGGAAGAAAGAGAGAGAGAAAGAGAGAGAGAAAGAAAGAAAGAAAGAAAGAAAGAAAGAAAGAAAGAAAGAAGGAAAGAAAGAAAGAAAGAAAGAAAGAAAGAAAGAAAGAAAGAAAGAAAGAAAGAAAGAAAGACAAAAGAAAAAAAGCAATCCTGGCCATAATTCCCATCTGCTAGCAGACCTCTGAGTAGACAGCTCCAAACCAGGAGTCAGGAAGCTCAGGTTCTAGTCCCAGCATCACCACCAACTGGCTACATGGTTGGCCAAGGCTTTTGTCATCTAACTTCTCTAGGCCTCAATTTACCCATCTATACAACGGAGAAGAATATTCCAACCAGGCAGCCAACAGGAGTCCAGAAGAGTGAGGCCCTTGACCCAGGGAAGAAGCAGGCCTAGAAAGCATTGTTCCCAGGAATCCTGTTTTAATCCTGTGCAGATCACCTCCTTACTCTCTATTGGGAGAGAAACAGCAAGTGGTCAAGCACCGTGCTGATTATAAAACTAAAAGACCCCCTCACGAATTGGTTTCCACTCAAGTCATGACCCTGGACAGGAGGCCCTGGGGCTCAGGCCAATGATGCCTGACTGAGGGGTGAAAATAACTGGATGGGGAGCTCCTCAAGGCCGTCTGAGGATTTCCATTTCTAGCGCAGCAACTCAGTGCATCCTGGAGGCAGATTCGCCAAAGCAGGAAAGGACCTACATTTGTCAGCTCCTACTCTGGGACCAGCTTCAGCTCGTGGTGGGAAATGGAAGCCCGCAGGATACATTTCTTTCCTGGGAAAACTAAGTCCATTTCTGTCTCATTCAGCCAATTTCTTGTACCTTCTGGGATGCCCTGGAAAACTCTTCTCTGGGGTTTGAGGGACAATTTAGGAGAGATTTCAATGATCCTGGCTGGTCCAGTGCTAAGACAAAAATGCACAAAACAGTTCAAGAACATACAACAGGACTTTGGGGAGTGCAGATAACATCTATGCAGCAAAGGCCAAGTGCTTTACCCACATCATCCTCATTCATCCTGACATAATCCTGCAGAAAAAAACATGATTACCCTTATTGTATACAGAGGAGAAAGAGAGGCTTCAAGAAGTCCAGCAACTTGCCCTAAATTGCTCAGCCAGTGAACAGCAGGGCTGAGAGTTGAACTGAGATCTGTCCTTCCCCAAAGCCTGTGTTCATGACTTGGGCACTCTCTACATTGCGGAGGCAGAGTGTGGGGGTGACCTGGAGGCCTGAATATCAGGAGCCTCCAGTTCCTCGGAGGAGACGTTGGGTCCCCAGAGGATGTGTTGAGAGGCCAGTAAGTGCTCCTGGGCCCCCATCAGGAGGTATGACAGCCACGGAGGAGCTGAGAGGGAGGTGGCGGGCCACAAGCTTGAAAGTATAGTCAGCAGGGGCCTGGAGGAGGGGTTCCAAAGACACCGAGCCTGACAGACCAGCCTTCAGCCTCTCCCATGCCTGGCTCTGCTGCCCGCCTGCTGGATGGGAAAAGACGGAGGCACTGACAGGCACCCACCTCTTCCCAGCCGGGCTGTCTGCTGGCTGGAGTTGGAGGCTAGGAGCAACTTAATGTTTACTGGGAACCCAAACTGTCCTCTGAGAAACTACCCAATGCCATCACCCTGGCCCTGACATCTTCTTCCCACTCACCAGCAGCCAGGTCAGCCAGCACTTCTTGAGCTCCTAGAAATGCCGGGTGTTCATGCACACACACACGTACACACACACACACACACACACACACAAGTGTTCGCATGCACGCACACGCACACGCTTCATCCTCAACACCCCCTTCAGGGTGTCAGCCCCTGCCTTGCTGTGGGCAAGGGGGCATTGATTGCTTCACCTACCCACCATCCCCTTCTCCTTTGGGGAACAGCACCCTGCTCTTCCTTATGATGGGTCCATGGAGGGGTGAGGCCAAAGACCCTCCCCACCACAGGAGTGGGCATGTGATCCACGTCTAGCCAGACAGCCTATTTTATCTCCCTGGCCACAGTGATTGGCACGGATGAAGGCCTAGGAGAATGGATAGCTGAGATAGAGAGGTTGAGGGACCTGCCCCAGGTGACACAGGAGTGACAGAGCTGAAATCAGAATGACGTCTGCCACAGACTCCAAAGCACGTTTCTCCACTTTCCCACCAGACTGTCATCTTCACCATCAGAAGCTGGTCAAGGTGACAGACAACTTCAGTGCCTTATGTATTTCTGCTGGTCTACTTACGGCCAAATGGACACCCCAAAAGAGTTTTCACTTGGATGACAGATCTCTAACAGGCACTGGCTACCAATGGAATCTACATCTAGGCAGAGGCCATAGGCAGCTATGGCTCAGTTCTTCATTGGGATAGCTGGGACATTTCCTGGGCACCTGTAACCATGTCCCTCTGTCCCCCTTTTCCAGTCACACCTCCAGTTTACAAAGCCCCATGCTGCCCACAGCCCCCCATAGCACCCCTGGCCTCACAAGGACTCCCAGAGCTATGCTCACCCTGATGTAGCCAGAGGCAGCTCCTTGTCTAGGAGCTAGGTGGAGAGGTGAGGCGTGGCATGTAAGGGCCGGAAGGGACACTGGAGAATGACTGACTGATTAGCCAGTTTTGTTTGTTGTTGTTGTTTGTTGTTGTTGTTGTTGCTGTTTTGAGATGGAGTCTCGCTCTGTCACCAGGCTGGAGTACAATGGCAGGATCTCGGCTCACTGCAACCTCTGCCTCCCGGGTTCAAGCGATTCTCCTGCCTCAGCCTCCCCTCCCAAGTAGCTGGGACCACAGGTGCGCGCTGCCACACCCAGCTAAATTTTGTATTTTCAGTAGAGACGGGGTTTCACCATGTTGGCCAAGATGGTCTCAATCTCTTGACCTCGTGATCCACCCACCTTGGCCTCCCAAAGTACTGGGATTACAGGCGTGAGCCACTGCGCCCAGCCGACCTAGCCATTTTATACACAGACAGCAGAGACCCGAGGGAGACTTGTCTGAGGTCATATAGTGTTTTAGTCCGGACTCTTTTATTGCAAAATGACAGAAACTCAACTCAAACTAAGTTAAACAAACAACAACAGAAATAACTGGCTCACATAGCTGAGATGCCCAGGAGAACATTGTCAGGCTCCGCTGGATCCAGGGGTTCACATGAGTCATCCGCTCTGATCTCTCTCTGCCTCTCAGCTCTGCTCTTCTCTGTGCTGACTGTACTCTCAGGCCAGGTTCCCTCAACCTGGCAGCCTCCAGCAGCTGCAGGCTGAATCCCCCTAGCTCAGCAGCCTTCGCAGAAAGAGCACAGCTTGTTGCCGATAACCACATCCACAGTCCTAGGGTGGACACTAATTGAATTGACTTAAGTTGTGTGTCCTTTTTGGCCAATCTCTTTAGCCAAAGAGGATGGGGTGTGCTGGTTGTTCAGGCCTGGGTCACATGCCCACTCCCGGGACCAGGGAAGGGGGATTAGTTCCACCCACCCCATGTGGACTGTGAGTCGGGGAGGGAGGCCCGCTGAAGGGATGCCAGGGTGCTGACCCTTAGGAAGGAGATGCAGACCACGAGCAGGCAAAGCAACCAACATCCACTCCACCAAGCAAGTCTGAACACAGCAGGGCTAGAACCAGGTACCTGACTCTCAAACCCTAGACCCAGGGTTCTCAACGTTGGCTGTGTGCTGGGATCGCCTATAGTGCTTTAAAAAGTGAAAGTACTAGTTGGGCATGTTGGCTCACACCTGTAATCCCAACACTTTGAGAGGCCGAGGTGAGAGAATCGCCTGACGCCAGGAGTTCAAGACCAGCTTGGGCAACATAGCAAGGCCCCTATCTCTACAAAAAATGTAAAAAATTAAGCCAAGAGTGGATCACTTGAGCTGAGAAGGTCAAGGCTGCAGTGAGCTATGATTGTGCCACTGCACTCACCTTGGGCAACAGGGCAAGACTCTGTCTCTTAAAAAAAAAAAAAAGCAAAAGTACTAATGTCTATGTTCCAGCATAGAGACTCCAATTTAATAAGGCTTCGGTGCAGTCTGGGCATCAAGACTTTTTAAATTTCCCAGGAGATTGTAATATGCACCATGTCTGAGAAACTCTGCCCTGTATCACCTGCCACTACACAGAGAAGGGAGGTGAGTGGAGAGGAAGGGAGGGGATGAGGAGAAAAGGGGAGGGGAGGGGAGCATTGAGGGAGGGAGGGGAGGTGCACTAAAGAAGCTTTTTCCACCTTTGCTGAATGCGTCCGTTGCTCCCGCATTGAGCCCAGTCTGTGCCAACAAAGCCCCTTTAGGCACAAATGTCATACTTCCACGGCCCTAAGATCCCTGTTCCCCTCTCCCATACAACCCCTGGGCCTCAATCTCCCTTCCTTCTCTCTCAGGAACCTCTAGCCACATCTTTATAAACAAAGTATTAGCTTCTTGAAGCTGCTTAAGGTATCACCCCAAACTGGTTGACATAATACAAATTCATTCTCTCACAGCTCTGGAGGCCAGAGCCTGAAATCAACATCCCTTGGCCAAATTCGAGGTGGCAGCAGGGCCACACTCCCTCCAGAGGCTGCAGAAGGGGAACGGATTCCCTGCCCCTTGCAACTTCAGGGAGTGGTCAGCGTTCCCCGGCTTACGGCTGTGTCACTCCAATCTCTGCCTCCATGTCACAGCACCTTTCTCTCTGTGTGTGTGAAATCCCCTCTGCCTCCCTCCTACGAGGACACTCGTGATAGCATTTAGGGCTCACCCAGATAGTCCAGGGTAGTCCCCCTATCTTGGGATCCTTAACTTAATCACATCCACTAAGACCCTTTTTCCAAATAAGGTCACATTTGCAGATTCCAGGGATTACAACTTGACATCCTTGGGGACACCATTTAGGGTGTGTGGCTCCATTTTCCACCTGTGGAAGCTGAGGCCTAGAAGATTTGCAGACTCTGCCCAATGTGACAGCCAATGTCATCCTCTCCACCCAGCCTCCTTGGGGAAGAAGAGGCTGAAAAAGCATCAGAGAAAAGAGATTTTCACTACAAGAAAAGAGGAGACCACATAGGACATACTGTCCTTTGAGCGACGTCCCAGACAAGCAAGCTGCTAAGAGGCTGAGCTGCCAGCAGTGACCCCAGCCTGGCTGGCAAACAGCTGGCACCAGAATCATGCCCTGGAGCCCAAGGGTGGCTGATGGCAACCTGCCATAGAAACTATTTATAGCACGTCTTGTCCCAGGTGCTCCTGGAGCTGGCCCAGATTAACCCCGCAGAGCCCAGAGAGGAGAGCAGAGATCAGAGGAAGAGCGCCTCTGCAGATGGAGAAACCGAGGCAGGAAAACCTCCACGACATCTCCAGAGTTGAAGGGTGCAGGACGCTGAGAAGTGGGTGGGGACTTTTTCTTGGTTCCAGTCCCAGCTATGCAGACGGCTGGCTGTGTGGCCTTGGGTAAGTCACTGCACCTGTGACTCAGTTTCCCAAATGTAAAATGGAGCTCCTGCTGTCACCTGGAAAGGCTATTGTGAAAACAGATGGCAGGTGAGCATGCTCCTGGCTCAGGGTATGTGAGTGTGGATTTGGGGAGTTGGGGGGTTGCTGAAGCCAACTGGGCTTGTGGGAGGACATCAGGACAGACACCTTTGGAAGGCAGGGGCTGGGCAATCAGGAAGCTTTAAATGGCAGCCAACCTTGACTCCCTGGCCTGGAGGCTGTCAGGCAACATTAGTTGACCTCCCTTTTCCTGCTCCCCAGCAGAGACCACTCAAGAGCAGAGGGGTTGTGATGGGCGGCCAGGGGGCACCCTCACAGAGCCAGCAGGCAGATTCAGCAGACAGCAGGGGTGTCTCCCCAAACCTGCTTGTGCTACACACCAGGTGGGTCCTCTTGAATTTCTTTGCCCCATAGTGCTGTTGTGGGCTGATTTTATTGCAGACCTGCTGGTGCACGCTGGACACCCAAAGAGTCTAATAGTGACACCTTTGGAAACCCCACAACGTTTGTATATGAGTGCAACCTGCCTCCCTTGTCTGCCTGGGAGGTCCTGAGGTCTGAGGTGTGTCCTCTCCCTATCAGATTGAGGGTCCCCAGAGAATAGATCCTCCCCCACTCACTGATTTGCTCACTCAGCATTCATTGAAAACTTACTGTATGCCTGGCACTGCACCAAGCACTGGGCAGAACCAAAGATGGAAACAAAATGGGTCTCTCCTTTGAGGGCATCCAGGCCGGCCATCCCTGGGGCTAATAATAGTAACAACAACAGCAGCAGCGGCGGCGGCAGCAGGAGCAATAAATAGCCCTGCGATTGCACCTCCTTTCCATTCTGCTGGGTGCCATGAGAGCTCTTCACATGTGAGCGGAGCACTGTTACACTCCTCAATTTATAGATAGGGAAACAAGTGCATATTGAGGTCAATGATTTGCCCACCCCTCAGCTTGTAAGTGGCAGACCTGAGATTTGGACCCAGAGCTGATGCTCCAGGGAGCGAGTGTGTGCCCTGCCGTGGAACTGCAAGTGTGACATGTGGGTGCACGTGGGCAGGGGGTGAGAGACGGGGCAAGGCTGGAGGAACCCAATCCCAGAGGGAGGGCTTTGCCAAGCTGAGATCTCCAACTTCGTGTCCAACAGGTGATGAGGAGAGATGGAAGGGATGGGAGCAAGGCAGAGGTGTGGTCAGATTTAGAGAGACCACTCCGACAGCATCAAGGAGGATGGGTGAGGACACGTTCATGGGGTCCTAGTGCATGAAGGGATAGGGCTGAGCAGAGCCACAGAGATGGTTGGGAGAAGCAGACGGATACTGGAGATGCTCAAAGGACAGGCAGGCAACCTCAGAACGAGTTCTCCACCCACTCCCTCGCTTCTGCTGGGAGAGACAGACACCACTGGGTGGGGGCCAGTCCTCCGACTTCTGCTTTCGAGTGTTCCAGAGGATGCAGCCCTCACGACCAGGCGCTGGAGCCCCTCCCTCATCCACGCGCCCACCTCCAATGCACGATTCATCTCCCTGACTGACCTACATTCCCTGCTTGCTCGTCCTCGCAGACAAAGCCCACGCAGGCAGTGCTGAGCTCCCCTCTGGTCCAGGGGCTTGGGGAATGGGGAGACTGGAAACAGATGTGTGAGGTCGGGGGAGGAGGAGAACAAAAGTGGGAAGGATGGAGAGGGGAAGAAAAGGCGGGAGAGAGGGGAGGGCACAGGGGCAGGTCCCTCAGCCTCTGTCGAAGAGCAGCTGGCTGTGTAGAGATTTCTGGTGCAGGGAAACTGACCTGGCTCTGGGGGACTGGATGCCGCCCCCAACTCCACCACAGCCGCTGCATGACCTTGAACAAGTCACTCCAACCAAGCCGCAGTTTCCTCATCGCGAAAATGGCAATAGGGCTGGAGCCAGCCTGATTCCAAGACCATGATGTCCCTCCATGGCCCCAGGTGCCCTCACCTTTTTCCCAAGACCTGGCTCGCCAAAGAGGAACTGCCTCTTGAGGTGCAGTGAGAACAAATCTCACCTCTCCCAGCACCCAGCAGGCAGGAACAGGCACGCACTGCTATCAAGATTAATAGACGAAAAGAAGGCATTAATTAATGCAAATGGCTCCCAGCTTAACAGGACCCTCATCTTCCAGGTAAGGGAGCCCAGCCCACTTCTTTCTGCCCAGAAGGCTCTGAAAAGCCCAGCTCCTCCCAAGAAGCAGTGTTCCTCTGAGAGATGCTCAGAAGAGAAGCATCTCCTCTGTGCCCCTCCTGAAGAGCTCAAAGTACCCATCCCATCCTCAGTACGCCACAGTCTTGGGAGTCAGAGAGAAGAAAGGGCATCAAATTCCAGCCCGGGGCATGGTGCTCCGCGTTGGGTGGGAACTGCCTCCTCGAATCTTGTCAGAGATGCTCTGAAGATGATGTGTCTCAGCCATATTCAAGTCTCTCTCCTCTCAGAACTCGTTCCTACCAAACACTTGCTGGTCCCAGACACACTGGGCTGATCTTGGCACACACTGTTCCCTCTGCTTGGAATGCCCTCTCCCCCACCCCTTCTGTCTCAGGGGTGACCATCCACCCCCTGGCCACTACTCAATGTCACCTTCTCCCTGAGCATTTCCTGATCTCGTTATGTGGAACTGACCTCACTGTGCTTTGCAGCCCACAGCCCCCACAACAACCCCTCCAAGACGTTGACAGTGGTGATGGCATAATGTCACCTGTGCCATCGTCCTCATTAGAACCCGTAACCTAGTGTGCTTCAGGGTCCTCATCTGTGAAATGGGGCTATGGACAGTACCTGTCTCATTGCATTGTTTTGAGGGTTAAATCACTTACTATATGATATGGTTTAGCTACGTCCCCACCGAAATCTCAACTTGAATGGTATCTCCCAGAATTCCCATGTGTTGTGGGAGGGACGAGGGACCCAGGGGGAAGTAACTGAATCATGGGGGCCAGTCTTTCCCATGCTATTCTCATGAGAGTGAAAAAGTCTCATAAGATCTGATAGGTTTAGCAGGGGTTTCCGCTTTTGCTTCTTCCACATTTTCTCTTGCTGCCGCCATGTAAGAAGTGCCTTTCATCTCCCACCATGATTCTAAGGGTTCCCAGCCATATGGAACTGTAAAGTTCAATTAAACCTTTTTCTCTTCCCCAGTCTACGGTATGTTTTTTTTTTTTTTTTTTTTTCAGACAGAGTTTTACTCTGTCGCCCAGGTTGGAATGCAATGGCACCATTTCAGCTCACTGAAACCTCTGCCTCCCAGGTTCAAGTGATTCTCTTGCCTCAGCGACCCAAGTAGCTGAGATTACAGGCATGCGCCACCATACCCAGCTAATTTTTGTATTTTTAGTAGAGATGGGGTTTCTCCATGTTGGCCAGGCTGGTCTCGAACTCCTGACCTCAGGTGATCCTCCCACCTCGGCCTCCCAAAGTGCTGGGATTACAGGTGTGAGCCACCACACCTGGCCTCAAGTATGTCTTTATCAGCAGCGTGAAAACAGACTAATACACTATACAAACAGAGTACACAAAGTGCTCGACATATTTAGCTAGCTATTATTATTACTACTACTACTACTATTATTATCTTTGAAGCTCCAACATGGTTCTTAGCACAGAGGAGGCATTTATTATAAATGGCTAATGAATAAAGAGATGAATCAAGATCCCCACTTTACAGTTGGGGAACGTGAGGCTCAGCGGCGGAAGGAGAGGTGGGAGGTTGCATCCGTGGTCACTCAGCCAGCCTCCAGCAGAGAAAGATCTGATGCCACAGTCCAGGCTATTCCTGCAGTTCCTCAAGGCCCTGCTCACTGAGGCCAAGTCAACAGAAGGACCTGTTCCAAGGTCATGCACTGGTCAGCCGACTGTAGAACCAAGATCAGAGAGCGGGCCCCTGGCTACTGGGCAGATAGCAGCCTGCGGCCAAGCACAAGTGGCTTTCTGAGGTGATTTTATTGACCCCTGCTTCTCCCCGCGACCAGGCCTGGCCATTCCCCAACTGCCAGGAGCAGCGACAGGTGATGGAGCAGGAGGTGATAAACACATCCCCTGACTTCCGTGAACTCCCATCCAATTTGCCATTCCCGGGCTTATGCCAAGAGTGTTTGTGTTAATAAACCAAATGGGCTTTTCAGAGTCCACCCAGAGTGACTGATGGCAGAGGCAGCGTGCAATCCTGGCGGCTCCTTGGCCTCTTTCCTACTGAGCCAGGCGCCAGCTGCAGGGGGGAGGGGGCACAGGAGAGCACAGACTTCGGCTTCAAGTCACTTCAAGTCGCAGACTTCCAGAGTCGCCTGGGCCCAGGGACACTCTCCCAACACCCTCAATGTGCAGGTGAGGAAACTGAGGCAGGGGTAGAACAGGCAGGGGCATTGCTGGGACTAGAATCCGGGATTTCCAGGTCCCAGGTGCGTGTGGGTCAGGTCTGGGGTCTGGGGTGGGTGGTGGTGTTCTGATAAGCCGAAGACTACTGGGTGGAGAAATGAAGCAGGAGCGGTCGGAGCGAGGAATGGAAACCTGGAGATCAGATATTTGACAGGGGAGGGTGTTGGGAGGGGGTTGGGAGGGAGACACACCCCAAACCCAGCCCCAGAAGAAGAACTATTAAGCCTGCTTTAGGAGAGATTTAATTGTTCTTCAAAAATGATCTTTCTGAGAGCAATCTGACCCCCTGCAGGGACGGACTGTCCACCCAAGGGTCCCTCCTCCCCTCTCCCAGCCCCCTGCTCTCTCTCAGAGCCCATACCCCATTCCCTGAGCCTGGGGGCTCTTTTCTGGAATTTGTCCCTCATCTCCAGAGCCTACTGACATGGGCTCCAGTGCCAGCCCAGGGGATATCCCTGCCCACGTCCTGACATCCCCCAGCCACGCTGGCCACACCTTCTTCATGGCCCTGTTCCTGCCCCACGTGGGGTCCTGCCCAGGCTTCCTCTGAGCACGTGCCAGTCCACAGTGAGCCATGCACAGTGTGGGTGAAGGTGTGGGAGGCTAGAGAATCAAGATCCTCTCCAAGTCCCTATTTCTAACATCAGAGGGTCAAAAGGCAGTGACTCTGAGCTACCCTGTCCAGCCCCTCTGGAGGAGGTGACTGGAGGAAGCCCAGCCTGGATAATCCACAGGCCTGGGGTCACCTACGGAGAGGCCAGCAGGGACACTCGGGTAAGAACTGGGAAGCCCTGCAAGGCCTGTGTCCCTCCCAGCTGGGAAGGTTGGACTCATGAACTTTCAGGTCACACAACCCTCTGAGTGACCCCAAGTGGCTGCTGTTACATCCTCCAGGTGAGCCTCACCCTGGGGAAGCTTTGACCCCAGAAGTACCCCAGTGGAGCCCTGTTGGTTGCAGGGTGGAAAGGAGGGATCAGAGAAGGCCCACCCCACCGACCCCCTGCTCGCCCACCCCGACTCCTGCTTCAGTCGGGTCCAGTCTGCTTTTATCTTCTTTCTATAAAGCATTTCTGGGTGAGATTTTGTTTGAACAAAGCTTCCCTTCACTACAAACATTTTGCAAACCTCTGATCCAGCCCAGCCCCTCGTGTTAGACAGTGGAGGTCTGCAGTCAGGCGGCCTTGGGCTAAATCCTATTTATAACACTCCCTAGCCGGGGGTCTCTTTCCCAGTCTGAGCCTCAGTCTCTCTGTACAATGGAGAACTTCCCAGGCTTGCTCTACAAATGTAATTTTAGGAAACCTGGTGCATAGTAGGTTTTCAGTGACAGTGAGAAAATTCCTTTTCTTTACAAATGAGGAGCCCAAGGATGTACGAGGATGTCACTCATCTGCTGGTCACCCGAGGGTCAGTGGCAGTGCCCCTGGACTGGACACCAGCAAGCTAGCTCCCCACTGCATGCGCTGCCTACCCCACCCCATCTCCAGGCCCCTCCAGGGGCTGCAGCCTGCCCAGCCCTGCTGTGTGTGCAGGCCTCGGCCCCTCAGAGATCCTCATGGTGCTGACAAAGTGTGAGCACTAACCAGGCCCGACAGGCTTTCAAGAACAGAATGGGGCGGGAGAAGGATGGCAGGCAGGAGATAGCCAATAAGCCCACACATTGTTCATAGAGCCCATCTCGGCTGTTACTGCTGCTATTTAGCATTTAGATAACGCTCTATATTTCCACAGGGTTGGCTGCCTGAGCTTTCAGTAACCAGCCGGGGGGTTCAGATGCTGGTTCCAAGCAAAGACGAAAAATTGGGTGGAAGCTGCCTGTCTGTCTGTTGAACCTCACCCCATCTATCCACCCACTTATTCACCCATCCATCCACCCACCAATCCACCCATCCACCCATCTCTCCATCCTTCCATCCAACCACTCAACACATAATAGCAAAGCCCCTAGAATATTCCATGTCTTGCACTGAGGACATGGTGGTTAGACCCGACCCCTGCCCTCAAGGTGAGTACAGTCTAGAGAGAAAACTTACGTATTTACAGTCAGTGTGATAAGTCTAAGTCTAAGAAGCATAGGTGGCTGAGGGACACAAGCATGAGACACCCACATGATCTGGACAGGGAGGAGAGTGGGTGATAGCTGAGCAAAGGCTGAAGGATAATGAAGAGTTGGCAGTAAGTAAAGTGGAAAGACAGAGCATCCCAGGCACAGAGAATAGCTTGTGCCAAGGCCTGGAGAGAGCTGGGCATTTTGGGGGAACTACTAGGAGCTCAGGAGAGCTGTACCCTCAAGTGTGATGGGAGAAGGAGGTAAGAGGTGAGATGCAAAGGAGGTGACCAGGGGTCTCCACCTGAAGGGCTTCCTGGACCTTGGCAAATAGTTGGACTTCATCCTGAAGGCCAGAGGCAGATTTTCTGTGATTTTAAAGGACTCATCACCACCTACAGCAACATCTCCCCTGCCACACCCCCTCAGTAGGGATCAACTGCTTCTCACCTCCCAGCCTGAAGTAGCCTGGGCTCCCTTTCCTTGGTACTAAGCCCTGAAAGCTTGGCTCAGGGCTGCAGGGTTTGCTGTGTCCAGGAAGGTTTCCCTCTCCCCCTCCATTAACACACATTGTACCCATGCCTGAGGCCACACCATCAGCACCGTGGAGTAGTCACCAGGCAAAGCTATCACCAAGAGGTGACTACATTCAACTCTTCCCTGAGGTTGCTAAAACAGACATGGAGGGCAGTTTCTCCAGCAGTAAGAATGGATTGCATTGCAATATCCAGACCCTCTCACTACCTGCAGGGCCTCTGCACACTCTCCTTCCACCTGCCCATTACTAACAGGAGTAGTGCCCATGAAATTTGTTGAAGGCACAGTAATGAATGACCTGCATTTGACAGACATCCACTGAGTATCGGGCTATGGGCCTAATCCATGACCAAGGTTGAGGGGCAGTTTGACCAGGGTTAGGGTCAGCCATAAGAGATGACATCTATTAGAATAGAGGCTACCTGAGGACCAAGATATTGTCTGTCTAGGTCCCCACTGTAATCCTCAGGACATACAGCAATGCCTCCTGCTCAATAAATAGACACTGAATAAATGAATGAATGAATGAATGTTAACCAAGCTTCATGGAATAGCCAGGGCCCTGGCTCAGGGACAGCCTATGTCCAGTGGTAAGTCAGTCTGAGAAGCATGTTGGAGCCTTTCTGTAGTGAGCACCAGGGCCAGGGAACTGAACGAAAATCAAAGGACCCCCTTGGTAATCAAGCCACCATCTTGATTTCCCCAGCAATGGGTCCTGCTCCAGCCCCCAAACTCACTGACACCTCCAGCCCCTGGAGAACTAGTATACCATAAGACAACACCCATCCTTCACAGATGTCTGGCTCATGCAAACTTCCCCCCACCCCACCCCGCCACACATAAGAGCTGGTGACATCAGGTGTCTTTGGACCTCAAGTCCCAGCTGATCTGGTTGTGCTGTGTTGTCAGTGCCTCCCCATCATTGTAAGAACAAGGCCAAAATCCTTGACATGGCATCCAATGCCCTGCCTACCTCTGCAGCCCCTGCCTTACCACCTCAACGCTGGCCCAGGCTCTGTGCTCCAGCAACAGTGAACACCCTGCCATTTCCTACTTCCACGCCATAGTAGGCATGGTTCCTGCTCCATGCCATACGCTTTTCCTCCTTAAAAATATGGCAAATCATTACTTCTTCAAAACGCGTGTCCTTAAATAGTTGACCAATTCATTCCGACGTTCCTCACTGTCACAAAGTATGGTAATGACCAATTCTGTTTCTCTTTCCTGCCTTTTAAAAAATCTCCGTATCCCCAGCACCCAGCCCCAGGCTTGACACTCATCACCACCACCACCACCTCCATCACTACCACCGCTGTCATCATCACTACCACCATTGCCACCACCCCATCATCACCACTCCATCATTCCCACCACCACCTCCACCACCATCACTGCCATTACTGTCGTCACAACTGACATTCACTGAGCACTTACTGTGTGCCAGGCCCAGTGTGAAGGCATCCCCAGAAAGATCCCAATAAGGAGGACGGTCCTTTATCATTATCCCCATTGTACAGATGAACAGATCGAGGCTCCTAGCCATTTGGTAACTTGTTCAATAATTCAAATTCAAGCTGTTTCTTCCTTATCCAAACCAAGGTAAGAGCCTGGAGCCCAGGTAATCCAAAAAATTCCTTACAACATTGGTTCTGTTTGACTTTGGACTGTCTTGAAGAGGTCAACCACTTAGAAAGCCACTAATATCTGTGGACTCCAGACACTGCCCCAGGTACCACATCTTAGAATGTGAACCTTTGGGGCAGAGCTCCTGAAATGCCATCTGCCCCCGTGACCCGTAACCCCTGCTCCACCCCTGGGCTTAGATACAGCACCAGGCAGCTGACTTGCAGAGCCACTGATGAGGAGCCAACATCTACTCCGTACAGCCCCACCAGGTGCCACTCGCCTCCGGAAGGATGGATCCCAGCAGCAGCCAACTCCTCAGGCAGGCAGTTTGATGGATCCTACAGGAAAAGAAAACCTCCCAGACAGTCAGCTGGCACTCTCTGCTTCTCTCCATGTCTCTCCCTTACCCCCTAGGCTGGAGAGGGAGATGAGGAGATTCCAGGTGATGTCACCCTCCTGCCCAGCATCCCAACCTTCCCTGGCATTGTCCCCTCCATGTGCACAAGCCTACTGAGGCCTTCACAAGATGTCTCGCCCTCCCATGACCCCTACCCACAGTCCAGCCCAAGCATCAGGAAAGGGCCTTTATCCCAGCATCCTGCCAGTCCACCGAGACGGGCAGGGCAGCTCCGGGGACAGCTCCCATACCTCGCAATAGCACCAATAATCCCTTCATTTCAGACAGCACAAGACAGTTTATCACTCACCTCCACACCCATTTTCTCAAGAATATTGGGGGCCCCACTTCCTCCTAGAATCAGAGCCTATTACAGAAGCATCTGATGATCATACTTACGGTCTGGTGCCTTTCACTGACCCTCAGCATTGCACAGCAGTGATGAGAAGCACAATAAAAATAGAAGCAATAGGCCGGGCGTGGTGGCTCAAGCCTGTAATCCCAGTACTTTGGGAGGCCGAGGCGGGCGGATCACAAGGTCAGGAGATCGAGACCATCCTGGCTAACGTGAAACCCCATCTCTACTAAAAATATTAAAAAAAAAACTTAGCTGGGCGTGGTGGCGGGCACCTGTAGTCCCAGCTACTCGGGAGGCTGAGACAGGAGAATGGCGTGAACCTGGGAGGCAGAACTTGCAGTGAGCCGAGATCGCACCACTGCACTCCAGCCTGGGCGACAGAGCGAGACTCTGTCTCAAAAAACAAACAAAAAAAAATAAATTTTAAAAAATCGAAGCGATCTTCATTAAGCTCTTGCTTTGGGCCAGACATGTTCCAACTGCCTTGCAGGTATTCAATCATTTCATTCGCACATGAGCCCATAAACTAGAAACTCTCATCATCTCCATTTTACAGATGAGAAAACTGAGGCTGAGAGAGGCTAAGCCACCTGCTATAGGCCTCCCAGCTAGAAGGTGGCAGTGCCAGGATTACTTTTATATACCAGGAGGGGAAATGCCTTCTGCAGGTTTCATGTGTCCTGATAACACCCCCACTCACTTGCTGTGCACCCAGCCCCTCCCCGACGTTTCCCCTTTCTCCCCTCCCCCAGCCTCTGATTGGTGAGTCTGGAGAGGGCACCCCAGATGCGTGAGATGCCCACCCTCCTCCTCTGCCTGCAGAGGGCACTTGCCTGGCCCCAGTAAAGGGGTTAGGACTGGCATTGCCTGCTCTGCCAGGGTCTGGGCGGTAGGAGGCCTGCTGAAGACAAAGCCACCCGCTCCAGACAGCTTCATCAGCAATCAGAATGACGTTTGATCTCCCTCCCTCTGACACACGCATCTGTCTCTCAGTTGGTTCTAAACTTGGGAGCGGAACAAGTTGTTTGCTGTCTGCCCAGTAGTTACAAACACATAAATAAATAAATAGATTTTTTTTCGCCCCTATTGGAATTCACTGCCTTCTAAATATATCCCATTCTAAATATAAACTTTGCCATTCTCTTACACTCACCTCACATTTCATTTAATAGTAGAAATAGCAGTATTAATAATAAGACAGACCACCGCTGTTTGGTGTCTGCAGCACGCCAGGTGCCACGGTGTTACTCTCACACTTCATTTCACAACCCCCATACAAGGACACCCTCTTGGCCCCGGTTTGGCCAAATGAGGACATTTTAGCTCCAATAAGGCTTTCGCAAGGACACACAGCTGACAAGTGATGGATCAGAATTTGTAGAGGTTCAATTGTATCCCCCAAAATTCATGTCACCTGGAACCTCGGAATGTGGCCTTACTTGGAAATAGGATCTTTGCAGATCATCAGTGAAGCAGAGGTCATACTGGATTAGGGTAGCCTGTAAATCCAATGACTGGTGCTTTTTTTTTTTTTTTTTTTTTCCTGAGACGGCATCTTACTCTGTTGCCCAGGCTGGAGTACAGTGGTGCGATCTTAGCTCACTACAATCTCCATCTCCCTGGTTCAAGCAATTCTCCTGCCTTAGCCTCCCAAGCAGCTAGGATTACAGAGCATGCTACCACGCCCAGCTAACTTTTGTCTTTTTAGTAGAGATGGGGTTTCACTATGTTGGCCAGACTGGTCTCGAACTCCTCACCTCAGGTGATCCACCCACCTAGGTCTCCCAAGGTGCTGGGATTACAGATGTGAACCACCGCACCCAGCCTTGGTTTTTTTTGTTTTTGTTTTTAATTGAGACAGAGTCTCGTTCTGTCCCCCAGGCTGGAGTGCAGTGGTGCGATCTCGGCTCATTGCAACCTCCACCTCCCGGGTTCAAGTGATTCTCCTGCCTCAGCCTCCCAAGTAGCTGAGATTACAGGTGTGTGCCACCACGCCCAGCTAATTTTGGTATTTTTAATAGAGGCGGGGTTCACCATGTTGGCCAGGCTGGCGTCAAACTCCTGACCCTGTGATCTGCCCGCCTCAGCCTCCCAAAGTGCTAGGATTACAGGCATGAATCACCACGCCTGACCTGACTGGTGTGTTTAAAAGGACAGGAAGGCTTGTGGAGACACAGAGAAGGCCAAGTCATGACAGAGACAGAGACTGGCGCGATGCAGTGACAAGCCAGGGGACGCCAAGCATTGCCGACAGCCCCCAGAAGCTGGAAGAGACCAGGAAGGATTCTCCCCTGGAGCCTTCAGAGGGAGCATGGCCCCGCCCATACCTTCACTTCAGACTTCCAGCCCCCAGAACTGAGAGAGAATCAATTTCTATTGTTTTAAGCCACCCAGTTTGTGGTATTTTGTTATGAAGGCCCCAGGAAACAAATACAGAATCCAAGAGTGACTATTCCGATGCCTCCTCCGTGCAATCTTCCCTTCCCACAGTTAGGGTCCCACAATATCTCTTTGTGCAGTCAAATAAGTATTTCCTGACAGTCAGTAGGTGCCAGGGGACTGAGGACACAGAGAATATATGGCCCCTCACTCAAGGGGCTCACACATCAGACACTGACAGTATAGCTTTCTCCCATCCTGGGTGCTTGGCTTATGGTGGGGAATAGGCAGGAAGAGGCTGGATGGATTTTGACAGGTCTTGCTTTGGAGTCTTGGCCACTCTCTGGCTGCATGGCCAAAGGCAGGTCACAGCTCACCTCTCTGAACCTCCATTTTCTCATCTGTAAAATGGGGGCACTTATACCAATCTGCCTTCTTCACATTAGGTGAGGGATGTGGAAACACTTTAGCCACCATGTCTGGCTGCAGGACAGGGTGAGTGTGTGCGTATCTGAGCATAACTGTGCAACGCTATGCTTCCGAAAGGGGAGATAAAGTCCTGGTGGCCAGTAAGTAGGGCTTGGTTCCTCTTATTCTTTGTATCTTTCTGTGTGCAGAAATATTTCTTAGGAAATTCAGAAGAGGAAGAGAGAGAGCATGGTCATGGAGGGTGTCAGGGCTGCGAAGTTCTGCCCTGGGTACATCTGTGCTCTCCCCAGACAACAGCGCCTTTGGGAGCACAGAGCCATCCTCAAAGGGCAACTGGAATCTCAAACAGACAGAGCCACACAGGAAAGGAAAGGCCCACGGGAAGAAGGCACATTTGGATCTGTCACCAGGTCCTGCCACCATCAGCTGGCAGATTTGTTTCTCCTGCCTTGGCGGCCAGCATCGGCCATGCCAGGGACTGTTCAGTAGCCCTGAGGTTTGTCAGAAGCCACATCTGATCGCTGCCATCAGCTTCCAGTCAAGTAGAGGGGAAAAAAGACCCACAAGATCAAACAAGACTCCTTTGAAAACTGCTGTTTTCAAACGGGAAGCCTTGGAGTGCAGGCACCAGAGCATGAGCTGGTGGCTGCCTCGAAGTTGGAGCATTTTCCTTGTAGATTCTGAGATGATGGAGAGAATGGGGTCCCAAGAGTGCTAGGGGAGGGCATGTCCAGCCCGGAGAGGGGAGTTGGCAGCTCCTGGTACCACTAAGCCAGGTCTGAGCAGGGCACCCCTCTTCAGAGCCTCTGAACCACTGCTGGGCAGCCCAGCCTCCAGGGCCAGGTCAGGGCAGCTCATGGAGGTCACACTGTCCTGCCTACAGGGCTGGTAACCGTGCCTTCATGGGAGTGTGACTTCACTCCCTGAATCAGAGTCCAAAAGAAAGATGGATGTGGTTGACTCAGCCCCTCAGGCACTCACGAAAACTCAGCCCCAAGTAGGCCTGGCAAAAATCATGTGGGTGATTTAATTCAATCCAATTCAACCACTGTTTATTAAGTGAACAGACAGCAAAACATGGAAGCTAAGAAGACGGACTGTGGAGCCAGGTGGACTGGGTTTGAATCCTAGCTGCAATGCTTGGACTAGTCACTTAGCCTCTCTGAGCCTCAGTTTCCTCATCTGTAAAATAGGAAGGGTAATAGCACTTACTTCACAGGACGGCATGAGCATGAAATTAGTTAACAACTGTAAACCACTTGGCTGGGCATGGTGGCTCACACCTGTAGTCCTAGCACTTTGGGAGGCCAAGGTGGGCAGATCACCTGAGGTCAGGAGTTTGAGACCAGCCTGGCCAACATGGCAAAACCCCGCCTCTACTAAAAAATACAAAATTAGCCAGATGTGGTGGCACACACCTGTAGTCCCAGCTACTCAGGAGGCTGAGGCAGGAGAATCACTTGAACCCAGGAGGCGGAGGTTGCAGTGAGCTGAGATCACGCACTGCACTCCAGCCTCTGTGACAGAGTGAGATTCCACCTTCAAAAAAAAAAAATTATAAAGCACTTAAAGTCTTTTCAGGCGTATAGTAAGTGCTAAATAAGTGCTCCATAAGGGCTTTGATAAATGAGGCAGTGTGGGGCAGTGGTATGAACACAGGCCCTGGACATCCTACCATGCACCCACACACAGACACCTGGGTCTGGAGAGAAGAAACGCCTGCTCCACGGGGGCACAGCTCAAAAGCTATCAAGGCAGGATTTGAACCCAAAAAGGCCAATTCCAGAGACCCCCCCCTCCCTCCTCCCTTAATCATTAAGTTGCAGAGATTCCTCCTGTTCAGTTCAGTATTTTCCCTGGGGAGCTGAGCCCACAGCCTGGCGCATGGAAGACACTTGGTAAATACCAAAGGAATGAAAGCCTGGCAGTTGCATCAACAGCCCTTCTTTCGCTCTTTATGTGACCTTGGGCGTGTGACACAGTCTGTCTTAAGTGTCAGTTTCTTTGTGTGTAAAAGTATGTGTCCGAATATCCAATTCACAGGGCTGTTGGTGGGAACCAAATGAAAGCTTGGATGCAAACACGCCTGGTGGGGTGTCTGACAGTCCAGGTTAAATAAATCTCACCTTGATTTTATTTCATTTGCTGGATTTTGTGTTCAGTTCCACCCAAGGACCCACAGAGAACATAAGAGAAGGAGAAAATGTATTCTTGTCCTGAAGGGCTTTACGCAAGACAGAGAAGTAGGAAGCTGTTCGTTTAGAGGACAAGCTACAATTAGGTGTTGAAGCAGAAGTCCCCTGGGAGTTCAGAGAGCACCTTGTGGACTGCAGCAGTCTGGAGGGCCTCTGGGAGGAGGTGTTTGAAAGAGCCATCCACCTCATTATCTGCCACATGAAGGGCCTCGTGGATCACGTTCCCACTAGGCAAGACTGGACCGGCAATGTGGGTGAGGACATGAAAACGCTGCCTCAAGGTTTGAAACCCACTGCCTCTGAGGGGAGAAAGAGGCTCTCAGCACTTCTCTTGGATCAAAGGATCAGGGATGGCAGCGGAACCAACTGGAGTGCTGGCAGCGGGCGAGGCTGAGTGAGTGATGTTCAAAACCGCACACTTTGGGTCCAGACATTGATATCCTTCCAGAAAGTGCCCTGCATGGATGTGAGGGAGAACAAAAGGATGGAGGAGAGAGAAAATGCTCAGCTGGGAGAGTCAACCCAAGGCCTAAATGAGCCAATTCCATGATGTTCCAGCAGTAAGGAAATCTGAGCATCACCAAGTCACACATTTCAGGCCTGGACAGTTTGGCAAGGTCATTCCATCCCGGCAAACCCTCCGCCATACCTGTGTGTCTGGCATCCTCACTGAATCAGGAAAGGATGCTGACACTCAGAGTTTCTGAGCACTGTTCAAGTTCATGGCGATGCATAAATGCCCAGAATCTAGTTTCCTCCCCAAACTGCACCCCATGTGCAATTAACTCCACCCTCAGCCCCATGAGTGAACATGTGCTGGGCTGACCAACCCAAACACTGCTACCCACCCGGACACAGTAATTCATTCTGGTATAAGCTCACAAATTTAAGTGATGAGATACAAGGTCTGGGACTGCATTAAAACTATTAAGAGGGTGGTATATTTTCTGCTGGCCTTAAACCTAGGACCCTCCGGATCTCTCCGTGTTCTAGAGTTGCCGGCAGCTACGTTGCTATCCCATGGGCCTGAAGAATGAAGCCAGCAGAGAAGCAAGCAGAAGAGACAGCTGGAGAGAGAAGAGGTCCTGATGGTATCTGTAACAGTCAGAGAAATGCTAGTTGCTGTAACAAATAAACCCTCAAATCCTAAATAATAAAAATTTATTTCTTGGCCTTGGTGGCTCATGCCTGTAATCCCAGCACTTTGGGAGGTTGAGATGGGAGGACTGCTTGAGCCCAGGAGTTCAAGATCAGCCTGGGCAATATGGCAAGACCTCATGTCTATTAAAAAATATATTTTTTTAAAATTAAATAATTAACTGGGCATGGTGACACACACCTGTGGTCCCAGCTACTTGGGAGGTTGTAGTGGGAGGATTGACTGAGCCAAGGAGGTTGAGGATGCAGTGAGCCGTGATTGCACCACTGTACTCCAGCCTGGGCAACAGAGTGAGACCCTGTCTCAAAAAAAATGTATTTCCTGCTCACATAATAGTCTTACATGGATCTCTCTGGTAATTCAGGATCCAGGATCCTTCTACCTTGTGCTTCACCCACCCCTTGTGCCTTGGAGTTCTCTAAGTTCCACCCTTGGGGGAAGTTGGAATGCAGGAGGCATATCTGCTCCTTAAGCTCCCTGGTCTGGAAGTGAGTCACATGCCACCTCTACCCTTTTCTATTGGTGAGAACTGGTCATGGTCACACCTAAATACAAGAGGTGCTAGGAAATGTAGTTCCTGGCTGGCAGGCCAGCTGCTTCTAAGCAACAGCCTACACCATAACAGAAGGAGCCTGAGCTCTCGGTGACCGGCCAGCCACCTCCACATCACGGAATGCTTCCCTCCGGCAGCTCCTGGAGCCTGCTTCACCCCCTGATCTTCTTCACTTACATAAGTTATTAAATTTTCTATTCCTACTTAAGCCAGTTTAGGCTGAATTTTATGTTATTGGTGCCCAGAGAGTCCTAACTAACAGATTCCTGCAGCCCATTTGTGCAGATAAGACCAAAACCCAGTTCTTGCTTTCCCCAGTCCAGTGCCTGTCCTACGATACCCTGCAACCTCCCCCAGCAAAGCTCCATGGCCTAGGCCACACCCCAGGGAATCAACTAATAACGCAGTCATCCCAAGGAAGAAGGGGAATGGTCAAGACCACGTGCAGAAGCCAGTGATTCAGCTAAAAGTCCATCACCAGTAAGAGAGTTAGTCTGAAACATGTTAGATGCTCTTTTTTTTGTCATTAAACAAAGGGTAAGTTATATGACCCAGGACAAGTTATTAAGTTGAACCACATGAAATACCCAATATACAACCATTTTCTGACCTACAAAAATGGTAACCTCATATGGTTCAACCTGACCCTTCACCTTCTTGTGAAATAGAGGTCATGATCCTCATGGTAAGGATTAAGCTGATAACCAAAATGACATTACAAACCACAGATGGGCTGCCCAGAGCAACAGGATGACAGTGAGTGCCTTGCCAAGGGCATAGAAATCAGCTACTGGGGAGAGGGAACAGAGAATGAAAGTAAGGATAGGCCAGTTGTTGGAAACTTGAGATCTGTCCTTGTCTCCCAAATAGAGAACTCGGACCTGAAGGTGGGATCTCAGTCTTCCTCCCGGTGTAATGGGAATAACATCTGCATGGTGCCTTTCCTGAGCCAGGCTTGCTTTTCTGGCCCATCCCTGGAGGAAGTCAGAAAGGCCAGGAAGCTGTGTCCCTGATGCTGGGCCCCACAGCCAGCAGGAGGAAGGGACGGTGGGTGACAGCCCTCATTGCTGAAGCAGGCCTCATCCCAGAGGCTGGATTTGGCAGGATTGTTCCAGAAAATGGCTCAATTCCCTCTGGTTTTTGTAGTACAAACAATCCCAGACAAGTCTTAGAGGGAGGGGGAAAAAAGAGTAATTTGTGTGGTGTAAAAAAACGTGAAGCATTGAGCGTGGCCTCACAAAGGCATTTGCATTTCTCAACAAGAAACCGCTGCTGCAGAGTGGCTGTCACTTAGTTATCTTGTTAACTCCCTCCTGCCCCAGGCAGGCGAGACAGCAGGCTCTTAGCTCCCAGGAAGCCTGGGGCACAGAAGGAGAGGCAGATAGATGGCAGCCCTGAAGAACGGAGTTCAAATCCAGCTTTGTCACTAAGAATGGAGGTGCCCTTGCGTCATCTCTTCAGTTACCCCTCATCTCTGTAAAATGGGGGGGTTGGATTAGATGACTGCTATGGGACTTCTAGAAGTAACAGTCCATGGTTATACCTGAGAGTCCAGACACCTGCACTTATTCTAATTGTGAACCTGGCATTGACTTACCAGGTGGCCTGAACATAACCATTAGACTCCTCAGAGCTCAACACTGGAAGGCATCTGTGGTATGAACTGATTCAGCCTCTGATTCCCCCTAAACCCCTCCCTAGCATTCCTGAAAGATGACCATCTGGCTTCTGTTGGAATACCTCCAAAGATGGGGAGCTCACTTCCCTGGACCAGGAGGAAGACATCCTTTCTATTGCCAGCTCGCTCCACAAGTTACAAAGTCTTTTCATAGATATGAGCTCAAATCCACTTTCATGAAACCCCTGCCCAAAGGGAGGCCCAGGAAAGCCCGGTGGACAATTGGAATCCGACAGGTGTGTGTGCCCATCCCAGCTAGGTGAGCTGCAGTGCCTTCATCCCTCCATGTCTTAGTTTCTTCATCTGTGAAATGAAAACAATAATTCTGCTTACCTCTAAGGTTGTTGTGAAGAAGCTTCGAGCTGGTTACTCAGCACGGTGCCGGCTACATGGCAGTTGCTCATGGATGTCAGCTATGTTAGTAGTGATCGTACATTGGGGGGGGTCTCCACCAGTGTCCCCACCCTGACACTCAGAACACATGATATTAATAAGTGGGGAGAGGGAACAGAGAATGAAAGTAAAGATTTGCCACCTGTTGGAAACCTGAGATCTTCCCTTGTCTCCCAAATAGAGAATTGGGACCTAAAGGTGGGACCTCAGTCTTGCCACCTGTGTAATGGGAACAGCATTTCTGCATGGTGCCTTTCCTGAGCCAGGCTTGCTTTTCTGGCCCATCTCTGGCCCCCTGGAGAAAGAAGACAGAAAGGCCACTTATTCACTTAATCATGCAGTTATAATCTGCAGCCAGGGAGGAGGGCGAATGGGTACAGGCAACTCCCCAAGAGTCCCTTAACTGTAACTCAGCTGTTTCTGTCCTCCCTAGAAAGCCCATGAGTGCAAGTGAGGGCTGAGCACAATCATCTGGGGACAGCCTGGCCTCTAACTTTTTTTTAAAGCAAATCATTCATGCAAACTGGCACTTGTGGTGGACTGGACATCAGTCATCATCCTTCATGCCCTCCCCCTATAAAATTATACCTCCACACGCTGTGTCATGTACCCTCGCACAACCACCCATTAGAAAAAGCAGAGTGAATCTCTTCCTTCCCCATGGATATTGGGTGTGGCCATGTGACGTGATCTGGCTGAGGGCTTGTGGGTGGGAGCAACAGTGTGCCAGTTCCAGGGCGAAGCCTGCATCGTGCACCATGTTTCTGCCCACTCCCTTGTACCCTGGTAATCGAGCCTGAGAACAGCACGCCCTGACAGCTGCTGGCCCTCAGCCCAAGTCCCAGAAGGAGCACAGGGGAAGCAGACCTGAGCCAAGCCTGCAGCCTGGAGCCCAGCCCACCTGACCTGCAGGCAGAAACAGAGCCATGGGACAGGCCCATCTTAGACTCATGAACCCTAGTACTGTGAGCTTGAGAAGAAATGCCTATCATAGTAGTCCAACTGAGTTTGAGGGGGATTTGTTATGCAACCCTATTGTGGCAAGAGCTGGTGCCTTATTATCCATCGGTAGCAGGTGACTTATGGCACCCCAACTTATTGAGACACCTACTGAGTCCCACAACCACTGCTGAACACCCAGACTTCATTTCCAGTCCTTCCAAAGAACAGTTTCTTGTAGGGTGTTCCCGGTCTGATGGGAGAGAACAAAGTCTCCTTGAAAATATCCAAGTCCACCCGGCAAACTTAAACTTGCATGACAGCCTGGCTTCCTGTCATCTCCCAATTCTGGTGCACCCCAACCCCAGCCCCTGGACTTCAACTTTCACACTGATATCATCAAAAGGATGAGAGAACTTGTGGAAGTTGATTGGTTGGTTTGGAAGATCCACAATACAGTCCCTCTTGAGTGCTCAGGTAGTCTCAATTTCCAGTGAATGTTCACATCCAATAGGTGGGAGTCCAGCTCCAAGATGGCCCCAGTGGTCCCAACCTTCTGGTGTTCATATCTTATATGGCCCCCTCCCACATTGCACCAGGGTTGTTCTCTGTCACCAAAGGACAAGGGGTGGCACAATACTTCTAAGACAGTGATGATATGGTACCATATTTGTTCTATGACTGACGGAACAAGTGATGGCGTGACACCCTTAAGGTTGCAAAAGACACTGCCATCCTTACAAAGATCCCTGTGGGCTTCTTTTTAGAAATTAACAAGCAGATCCCAAAATTTATATGGAAATGCTAAAGAGGTAGAACAGCAAAAACAATTCTGAAAGACAACAGAATGAAAGAACGTATACTACCTGATTTCGAAACTTACTATAAAGCCACACAAATCAAGATAGTGTGGTATTGCCACAAAGATAGGCACACAGACCAACAGAATGGAATTAAGAGTCTAGAAATAAATCCTTACATTTATGGCTAATTGATTTTCAACAAAGGTCCTAAGACATTCCAGTGGAGAAACAATCATCTTTTCAACAATTGGTGCCAGGATAATTGGATATTCACATGTTAAAAATATCAATTGATACCTTTACCTTATACCATACACAAAAATCAACTCAAAACAGATCCTAGGCCTGAAAGTTAGAACTAAAACTCTAAATATTTTAGAAGAAAACATAGGAAAAAAAATTTTATAACCTTGGGTTGGACAAAGAATTATTATATATGACAGCAATAGCATGATCGATGTAAAGAAAAATTGATAAATTGGACTTCATCAAAATTAACCACTTTCACACTTTAGAAGATACCATTAAGAGAATAAAAAGAAAAGCCACAGACTGGGAGAAAATATTGCAAATCATATATCTGATTGTGGGCTTGTATCCAGACTATATAAAGAACTTTGGCCGGGTGCTGTGCCTCATGCCTGTAATCCCAGGACTTTGGGAGGCCTAGGCAGATGGATCACCTGAGGTCAGGAGTTCAAGACCAGCCTGACCAACATGGTGAAATCCCATCTCTACCAAAAATACAAAAATTAGCCCGGCGTGGTGGTGCATGCCTGTTATCCCAGCTACTCGGGAGGCTGCGGCACGAGAATCGCTTTAACCCAGGAGGCGGAGGTTGCAGTGAGGCGAGATCATGCCATTGCACTCCAGCCTGGGCAACAAGAGAAAAACTCTGTCTCAAAAAAAAAAACAAAAAACAAAAAACAAAAAAAAAAACTTTGATAACTTAGTAATAAGACAAAAAATCCAATAGGCAAAAGATTTCAATACATATTTCATTAAAGATAATATACAAACAGCAAACAAGCACATGAGAAAATGCTCAACATAATTAATCATCAGGGAAATGCAAATAAAAACCACCATGAGATACCACTACACATCTGCTGGAACGACTTTAATCAAAAAGACAGATAATACCAAGTGTTGAGGATATAGAGGAAGCGCAACCCTTATGCATTGCTGGTGGAAATTTAAAATGGAAAACAATTTGGCAGTTTCTTATAAAAGATAAACAATAATTTGTCAAGACCCAGCAAGCCCACTCCTAGGAATTGACCCAAGAGAGATGAAAACATGTCCACAGAAAGATTTGCATGTGAATGCTCATAGCTATGTCATTCATCACAGGCAAAAACTGGAAATACTCTAAATGCTCATCAACAAACCAATGGGTAAACAAAATGTGGTATATCCATTCAACAGGATGCTACTTGGCAATAAGAAGAAATAGCTCTTGATCCCTGCAACAACATAGCTGAACCTCAAAAACATTTTGCTAAATGAAAGAATCCAGAAAGAAAACATTGCCTATTCTATGATTCCATTTCAACGAAGTGACCAGAAAAGGCAAACCTGTATAGACAGAAAGCAGAACAGGCCAGGCACAGTGGCTCATGCCTGTGAGTCCAGCATTTTGGGAGGGCAAGGCAGGAGGATCACTTGAACCCAGGAGTGTGAGACCAGCCTGGGCACAGAGGGAGATCCCTTCTCTACAAAAGAAAATTTAAAAATTAGCCGAGTATGGTGGTGCATGCCTGTAGTCCCAGCTACTTGGGAGATAGAGGCTGGAAGATCCCTTGAGTCCGGGAGGTGGAGGCTGCAGTGTGCCATGATCATGCCAATGCACTCCTGCCTGGGCAACAGAGCAAGACCCTGTCTCAAAATAAAAATTAAAAAAAAAAAAACAGAAAGCAGAAAGCAGAAGAGTGGCTGTCTAGGGCTGAGAGTGGGAACAGGTATTTACTGTAAGTGGGCACAAGGAAACATTTAGGGATAATGGGAATTTCCTAAAACTGGTTGTGGTGATGGCTGCACAACTCTATAAATTTATTAAAACCACTGGCGGGGGGAAAGACCTCACAGCTGCCCCTGCATAGCTCTTGCACTTTCTTGACCATTTGTTGCCCACTGCTGTGTCACTTGCAACCCTGTGGAAAGGTCCAAGTCATGAAGAAGTGAAGCCTCCACAAAGCCAGGAGGAAATGAGGCTGCCTGGAATAGCCATGTGAGTGCGCCACATTGGAAGCAGCTCCCCTGGGTCCAGGCAAGCCTTTGATGACTACAAGGCCTGCTGACGTCTTGACTGAAAAAACCTTCAAGAGACTCTGAGCCAGAATCACCCAGCTGAGATGCTCCCAGTACCCCACCCTCAGAAACTGTGAAAGAATATATGTTTGCTGTTTTAAGATGCTAATCTTGGGGTCATGTGTTACACAGCCATAGATAACTAACATGCACTATCTCATGGTGACCCTCATAGCCTAAATTTTAAGTAGATATCTGTATCCACATTACAGAGGTACAGAGACTGAGGCCCAGGGGTTGGTCCAAGATAATACAGCTTAGCAAGAGATAGCGCTGGGGCTTAAACCAGCCTGACCCCAGAGCTGTGGTCTTTCCACCACACTTCTCTAAGCATCCCGGACCAGGCCCCTTGGGAGATCCCAAGAAAGGAGGAAAAGTTGGGATCTCTGCCCTGCAGGACCTCCCAGGCTGATAGGGCAGGCAGGGGAGCAAAGCAGAGGGTCCTCTCAGTCACGCTGAATGACGGTCCCCCACCTGCGGCTCCCTGTGGCTCCCGTTCAGCACCACAGCTGCCAAACCCATTTCATTCAATTCTGCAAAGAGCTCAGAACACCCTGAGTGGGGGTTCCTGCCTCTCCCTCGAAGCAGAGAGCAGCGAAATTGGACAGTAATGTGTTGTCGTTCAAATATTTCAGCTGGAGCTGGGGTGAATTATGATGCCATCCCACTTTATTCAGTGTAGCATCTTTCATAAGAGCCGTGTCTCAGAAACACTTTGGAGAAGGAAATAATAAATAATTGCCCAAGGGGACAAAGCAAAGATGAAAAGCTCCAGGCTGTTGGGGAGGGGAGGAGAAACTCTGACTTGAGGAGCTGGTGTGTCCAGGGAGCCCAAGCTGGGCCCTGGGCCCCGGCAAGCCAGCCTTGGGCTTGAGTGCTGGGTTCTGGATGCTTCTGGGACCTCCAGGAGGCAAGGCCACAGGGCCCCCACACCCCAGGACTCCACAGAGACTGCCCTGCTGTCAAGGAGTCCTAGAGCTCCCTCCATCGGAGCTAGGCCCCCTGGATAAGCGACCTGTTTGTAGAGACAAGGTGCTCACTCTACTCTGAGCTGTCAGTCAAGGCACAGGTCCTCACTCTGAGCCACAGAGCCCTACACAGTCTCACTCCCATTACTCCCCTGACCTTCTCTGAGAAGGTCCCTAAAACTCTGTTCTTCCCGCACCAGCCCCACTGATCTCCTTGCTGTTCTTTCAACATGCCAGGCACATGCCTGACCCAGGACCTTCGCACTGGCTGTTCCATTTGCCTGGAACACTCTTCACTCAAATAGCCATATTGTCAACTCCCTCACCTCCTTCAAGTCTTTGCTTAAATGTTATTAGATTGGTGCACCAAACCTAATACCTTCTTGGTTAGGCCTTGTGTTAGTCCACTTCATGTCATTATAAGGAATACCTAACTCTGGATAACATAGAAAGAAAAGAGGGTTATTTGGCTCACAGTCCTGCGGGCTGTACAAGCATGGCGTTAGCATGTGCTCAGCTTCCAGTGAAGCCTCAGGAAGCTTTTACTTCTGGCAGAATGTGGAGAGGAAGCAGGTGTGTCACTTGGCAAGAAAGGGAGCAAGAGAGAGCAAGAGAGAAGGGAGGAGGGGCCAGGCTCTTTTAAACAACCAGCCCTCGCATGAACGAATAAAGTGAGAACTCACTCATTATCATGAGGATAGCACCAAGCCATTCATGAGGGATCCACCGCCATGACTCAAACACCTCCCACCAGGCCCCACTTCCAACACTGAGGATCACATATCAACATGAGATTTGGAGGGAGCAAATATCCAAACTATATTAGGCCTACTATTATTGCCCTATTTAAAATTGCTTTTCCCTTTTCCTTTCTCTTGATCACCCTTACCGTGCTCTGTCCTCCCGGCAATATGATACCTCTCACCTTCTCACACACTCTGCAATGCACGGATTCTTATGATTATAATCCGTCTCCTCCTGCTGCTGTTTCTGGATTCTTTCACTTAGCAAAACGATTTTGAGGATCATCCATGCCGTTGCGTGGATCGAGTTTATTCCTAGGAGTTTGAGACCAGCCTGACCAACAAGGTGAAACCCTGTCTCTACTAAAAATACAAAAATTAGCCGGGCGTGGTGGCACATGCCTGTAGTCCCAGCTACTCAGGAGGCTAAGGCAGGAAAATTGCTTGAACCTGGAAGGCTGACGTTGCAGTGAGCCAAGATCGCGTCACTGCACTCCAGCCTGGACAACAAGAGGGAAACTCCATCTCAAAAAAAAAAAAAAGTTTATTCCTTCTTACCGCTGAGTAACATTCCGTTGAATGGATATACCACATTTTGCTTACCCATTCTTTTGTTGATGGATGTTTCGATTGTTTCCAGATTTTGCCTGTGATGACACCTCTCACCTCTCACACACACTATGATGTACATGTTATTAGGATCAGAATCCATCTCCTACTGCAAGGGCAGCGCTTTTGTTCCCACATGGTGCCTGCCACACCCTCAGTGCTCTGTCAACATTTGTTGAGTGAATGCAGGCATGTACCAGTGGACCCTCGAGCATCACACTTACAGGTAAGGACATGCATGTTCCTACCTGTGGGTCCATCTGCAGAGGCTCTCTGACTTGGAAGACCTGTCTCAAAATGGGTAAAGTCCCAGGCCTGACCCTCCCTAGATTTTAATCCTAGCTCTGCCATGGGCTGTGAGGCCACCTTGGGCAAGGCATGTTGCCTCTCTATGCTTCCAAGTCCTCATCTACAAAAAGGAGATAATCATGATTACTGCTACCCTGTTAGGTAGAAACTAATTATTATGTCTATTGTGCAGATGGGAAAACTGAGGTATAGAGAGGCAAAGTGAGAATGAAATAATTGCAAAACAGCTGTCATCACTCAGGTGTTTGCTGAGCCTAGAAATTAAAACAGAGAGGACACAGGAGGCAGAAGAAGGCTGGAGTAAAAACCTCAAAATAGACACTAGGACTGACCTGGAATAATTTGTCCCCAATCCCTGTATGATGGAAAGTAAATTTGCTAGGACAAAGTGAACCAAGAGCCAATGTCCGCCATGTGGACTAAAAATTATCCTCAAGCATCAGTGCAGGAAGGTCCTTAGAGATAATCAACCCACGTACCCACTTTCCAAATGAGAAATGAGGTTCAGAGAGGGAAAGCCACTTGCAGGCAATCACACAGCCGATAAGAGTGTGAAATCTGGGATTTCAGTAGGCTCTGGCTGACATTTAAGCTCTTGCCCTTTTTGTTGTCTGATTTCATATTGATTCATTCTCCAGGAAGCCAGCTCTTGCCCAACTCCTGAGTCACCGAGGGGGCTAGAATCCAGTCACTCTGGAGCAGGCTCTCTGGAGGCCATGAAGATCCCTGATCCTGGGTTTGTGCTGAGGCAGCAAAGCCACTCATAGGCCAAGAGAAGGGGTCTGTGGGGTATGGGGCAGGATGCTTGTGTGCAGCTCAAGTGCATCGGTCAGATCCACAATTGCCAGCCACAGGGGCAGGAAGCAGAGGCCAGCAGGGACCTCCAGGAACAACTGGCTTGAGGCTTTTCGGGGACATTTTTTTCTTGCTTGCTCAGAAGCAGTGATTTCTTGTCAGGAAGTGAAGAAGATGTCTCAGCAGAGTCTGAATTTAAAATAATTAAAGCTGCCATGTCCCCCAGGGCCTAATAGAAAATTTAGGACTACGTACAAGAGTGAGTTTTACATGCCAATGGGAAGGGGAAAATGATGGGGGAGGGGTGTTTAATTCCTATACTCAGTCTCTGTTCAACAAAACTATCCTGGGTCCAGCACCAGGCAGGACAAGGGGGAACAGGCCAGGCACTGGGGCAGGTGGGGATTCAAGGATGAGTAAGATATGGCCTCGGTATTCACAGAGCCCACAGTCTGTTTAGAAGTAGGCCAGTCCCACGGTGTTGCCTGAATCTAGCCAGATGCAGCTCCCTCCACCTCAGTGGTCCTCAAGGGGGCAATTTTTATCCTCCAGGGAGTACTCGGCAATGTCTGGAGACATTTTTGTTTGTTGTAACGGGGAGAGTGGGCGGCCTTGCTACTGGCCTGTAGAGGATGGAGGCCAGGATGCCCCTAAGCATCCTACAGAGCCCAGGGCGGTCCCACAACGAAGAATGATCCACCTCTAAATGTCCATGGCGCTGACGATAACAACCCTGCTCTACACAAGGAGTTTTATTTTTATTTTTGTTTGTTTGAGGCAGGATCTCTGTTGCCCAGGCTGGAGTGCAGTGGTGCAAGCATGGCTCACTGCAGCCCCAACCTCCAGGGCTCAAGCGATCCTCCCACCTCAGCCTCCCAAGTAGCTGGGACTATAGGTGCACACCATCACGCTGGCTAATTTTTTTTTTTTTTTTTTTTTTGGTAGAGACAGGGTTTCACCATGTTGCCCAAGCTGGTCTCAAACTCCTAGGCTCAAGCGATCCTCCTGCCTTGGCCTCCCAAAGTGCTGGGATTACAGGCATGAGCCACCGTGCCTGGCCTAAACAAGTTTTTTTTTTTTTAAACCAGGGATTCTAGGACCCTTACAAGGCCCAGGGATGTTCTTCCAGAAACCCAGGTATCTCCCTAAAATCATAAGCAAAATTGGGGGTCTATGTGTACATATGAATTTTTCCAGCCTGACAACCATTGTAAGTTTCAGTTCCGTTTTAAGACTAGATATCAAGCTGAATTGTTTGACTGTTTTGTGCTCAGCACAGGCAGGGGGTCCTTAAAGACTCCCACAAAGACCTTGCCTCTTCTCCACTTAAGTTCTGAACAAATTGGGAAATAAGACAAAGGATTCACAGATGGAGGCCAACATGTCAGCTCTGGTATAGATAAAGGCTAATTTAGAAAACAGAACATAGAATAGTGTGAAAAGCAAGTGGGCCTATGCAGTGAACTCCCGAATCAAGCCCACCAGCCCAGCTCATCACAGACAGACTGAGTGAGGCAGGCCACCCGCCTCCCAGCCCCCTCACAGGAACAAAGCTCACGTCTAGATCAGCACTGTCCAATAGAAATATAATGCAAGCCACATATATGTTACTTTAAATTTTCATGCAGCCACATTTTTTAAAAAGAAACAGGTGAAATTGATTTTAATAATATATTGTATTTAACCCAGTATCTCTAAAACATTATCATTTAAACACATAATATAAAAAATTATTGATGAGCTATTTTACATTCTTTTTGAATACTAGTTTTCAAATTCCAGAGTGCATCTTATCCTAACAGCACTTTTTTTTTGAGACAGGGTCTAGCTCTGTTGCCCAGGCAGGAGTGCAGTGGTGCAATCATGGCTCATGGCAGCCTAGACCTCCTAGGCTCACGAGATTCTCCTGCCTAGGCCTCCCAAAATTAACAGCATGTGTCAATTTGGACTAGCCACATTGCAAATGCTAATAGTCACAAGTGGTGAGTGGCTACCATATTGGATAGCAGAGGTCATAGAAGACCAGAGAGCAATGCCTGCCCCCTGCGGACAGCAAGCTTTCAGCCGGGGGAAGAGGGAAAGGGCCAGGCTGCGTGAGCCAAAATCACCAATCAGATCAACCACTCCACACCCCTGGGACAGAATGGAGAGAGGCCAAGAATTATACTAATTGAGCCACCTGTGAAGGAAACACTGGAACTGGAGACACACTCCTCCCAGATGGATGGATGGATGGATGGAAGGGATGGATGGATGGATGGGGTGGATGGATGGGGTGGGTGGATGGTGGATTGTTAACACACAGATGATGTGAAATCCAGGGAAGACAAACCATACCAGGGCAGGGAGTCAATTTCTATTTTAAAAAGTTACAAATGTCAAACCCTTATGAAAGAGAATATTGTGCTTTTGGTAGCAATAAGTCCTTGTCTTAAAAAAGACCAGAATCCCATCCACTGTCACCTCATCCAGCCTCTGAGGGAGGAGGAAATAATACCTAAATAATAAGTAAGTCACCATTGAAAAGCTCTTGCTGTATGGCAGACAGTTGAATACTTCATCCAGAAAGAACACAGGCTATAAGCAAAGAGGGATTTTTTTGTCTGGTGATTTATGTCTCTATCTCTAGTACCTGCATAAAATGGGTACTCAATACATTTCTATTGAGTTAATAAATTATTCAATTGACTCAAAAGGCTCAGGAGGACAAGGCCAGTTCACATCACTACTAAATGGTAAAACTTGAACTTGAACCTAGGTCAGTTTCCACCACCTGTCTCTCAAGCGAATGGTGCAGAAAATCACATTTTCCCATCTGTTCTTCAGGGAGTATGGCACCAGCTCAGATCTGTGGATTACCCGCCTTGGAGACTACCTCAGCAAAAGTTCAAAGCCAAAGTGTTTTTCTCCATCTCTCCAGCTAATAATTTGGCATGATGCTCTCCTCAACCCCCAGAGTTGAGAGTGCCAGGGGGGAAAACAAACTTATTTAAATGAGAAAAAGTGGTGTGCTGGTGCTGGCTCGCAAGGGCTTGTGAGAATCCATTGTCAAGGGTTCAGGAATTCTGTGAGCCTGTTGTCAAACACAGCCATTATTAAAAAATCAGATTACATAAACTAAATACATTTTGTCTACATCTTCTGTCCAGCTGAAACTTGTCCCTGTTATAAGACTTCCTCAAAGCAATTCTTTTACATTTTATTTGATTTGATTTATTTATTTTGTTTTTTGAGACAGAGTCTCGCTCGATCACCCAGGCTGAAGTGCAGTGGCACAATCTCGGCTCATTGCAACCTCCACCTCCCAGGTTCAAGCGATTCTCCTGCCTCAGCCTCCCCAGTAGCTGGGACTACAGGCACATGCCACCATGCCTGGCCAATTTTAGTATTTTTAGTAGAGACGGGATTTCACCATGTTAGCGAGGCTGGTCTTGAACTCCTGACCTCAAGTGATCCACCCACCTCGGCTTCGCAAAGTGCTGGGATTATAGGCATGAGCCACCGCGCCTGACCTTCTTTCACTTTCGTTGCTAAGACATAGGGGACTAAGTTTTGTTGGGATTGGATTTAAAGTAAGAGAGGAAATTGAAAATCTGTACCTGAATCTCTCACTAGAGGAAAAATATCTAATTAGTGTTAACTAATAATTTTGTAGCATCTGATATTAATTTGAATGCCATTTGTTCTTCGTACAATATATTTTTCCCTGTTAAATGAGAGTGTGGACTAGATCAATTCTAGTTATATTATTAGTTTCAACATTATATAATTTATTTAAATTATGAACTATACTATACATATAGTGTTTGGTATAACTGATAATACAATTAATGAACATGATAACAATAATTTAATAACAAATATCCATGTACCCACTAGCAGTTTTCTGAATTTTGTATTAATCCCTTGCCTTTTGTACAGTTTTGCCGTATATGTATACATCTTTAACATGTTATTTTACTTTGCCTGTTCTTGACTGTAATAATGTGTGTAATTCTTTTAAAAAATTACATAACTTGCCATTAATTAAATTACATTAAAAACAAAGATGATTAAAACTCAAAATTCATCACTTTATAATTATTTTAGTATATTTAGTACTACCTATGTTTTTGAGCTTATTTCTGTCTTCTGTATCTGCAGGATCAAGATACTCTAGGATGTCCTACTGAGGTTCCCTTCCCAACTCCATGTTCAATGACGTCACATTGGATGGCTTGAGATCAGCCATGGTGGGAGTACTTACATCACAGAAACTGGCAAATGCTACAAACCAGGTCCTGTTTTTATTAATGTCCCAGAGAGACTGTTATTAAACATGTGCCAACAACGTTATGGTCACATAATCAAAGAGTATGGTTTTCAAACTCTCCACTAGGCCATACATAACTGAGAGAAAACCATCTTCACTCAAAAAAAGACGTCTCGCTTCAGAAGCCAGCACCAGCCTTGCACTTTCTGATGCTTCCCTATGGGGGATGGGAAATTCAGCACACATTCCGTTTGGGGCCTAGCTGACCTGTTCATCTCTGCAGGGGGCCTCTCTGACCACAGGATTCAGTCAAAGGACTCCCCCACAGACATCTAGCTCCCTTTGGAAATATCAAAGCCCAGCCCATTGGAGTCATTGATATGCATGTCAGAGCAGGTCTCTCGTCTCTAATGAGCAGTTGGCATGATGCCAGCAGTATCATCCCAGGCCCCCTGCTGAGATGAAGTTGATTTAACCATGTCCTGCTGTCTATATTGCCCACCCTTTGTCTCTGCTTTTAATACTCTGAAGATTGTATCAGTGGTTGGAGTGGAGACCATGCAAAGCAGAGAACAAAAGCAGAAGTCAGCCTCAGGAAGCACGTCTGCCCCCAGCCAGCCATCTCATATATACCTTGAGAGCCATCTCACATATACAGGAGGGTCTTTAATCAATTTCGCATTTCCACTTCAATGGAGTTTAGTATTTGTTGAGTATCCCCTGGGTGCCATGTATGTTGCTGGGCACTTTATAGACAATTTTATTTAACCCTTCAATTATTTCACAAAGTAGGTATCATTAGCCCCTTTTCCATAAAAGGAAATTGAGACTTGGAGAGGCTGAGCAACCTTCCCAAGGTCATGCAGCCAATGAATAGCTGAGCCAGAATGATAACACTCATTTCTGGCTGCAGAGTCACCTATTTTCTAGTGTTCTCTGCTTGCTCGAAATAGAGTTTTTAAATAAAACCTTGAAGAGTGAGTATGATTTCAACAATCAGAGTTCAGGTGGAGAACATGAGAGACATGGTAGAGAGCATCAACAAACTAACGGAAATAGGAAATGATGGGGCTTATGAAGAGCACTGAGTAGGCTTAAGGTTCACACAGGAGGTGAAAGAATTAGTGTAGATGGAGGGATATATGGACAAACCAGGAGTGGTAAAAAGGACGGGTGGGTGGGTGGATGAATGGATGGGGGAATAGATGGATGGGTAAATAGGTGGGTGGGTAGATAGGTGGATAGCTGAATGAGTGGATAGATGGATAGGTAGATGGGTGAAGAGGTGGATGGGTGGGTAGGTGGATGGGTGGATAGGTGGATGAGTGGATAGATGGATAGGTGGGTGGATGGATGGATGGGTGGAGAGGTGGATGGGTGGAGAGCTGGAGAGGTGGATGGGTGAATGGGTAGAGAAGTGGATGGGTGGCTTGATGAAGAGGTGGATGGGTGGGTGAATGGACAGGTGAATTGGTGGGTGGGTCGGTGGGTGAGTGGATAGGTGAATAGGCAGGTAGGTGGATGGATGGATAGATGAATGGATGGATGAATGGAAGGTTGGATAGGTGGATAGGTGGATGAGTGAACATGAAGTCTGGATAGATGAATGAATGGAAGAGAAAAGGTAGAAGGATGAAAAGGGAGATGGGTGTATGGGTAGACGGGTAGACAATGAATGGTGGCAGGGAGGGGAGGGTACAGGGAAGGGTGAAGGGAGAATTGGTAGGTAGATGAATAGGTGGAAAAGTGGAAAGTGAAGGGTGGATGGGGTGAGATGAATGAAAGGGTGGAAAGGTGATGGATAGATAAGGAGAAAAATGAAAATGTGAGCAGCGGCACATGGATGCATGGATGGGTGTTAACATGATCATCTGGAAGGATGAATGAGTAGACATATGGATAGTAGTAGACTGAAAATGTGGGAAGGCAGACAATGACAGGTGGATATAGGTGGGAGGGTGGGTGGGTAGATGGATGAGTGGGTGGGTGGGTTAGGATGGAAGGGTGTCTGGGTAGATAGATGGTAACATGATTGGATGGATGAACACATGTGTGGGCCTGAGAGAAGGAAGAGACAGAGGCAGAGAAGAAATGAAGGGAAGAAAAGAGGGTAGGGCTTATCCCAGCCACCATCACCACTGAGGTACATCCTAAGGCTGCTAGGGAAAGAGAGTCACCCTCACACCACATCCAAGAACCAACCAAAGCCAGGCTTCCTGGGGAACCCAAGGAACTAAGAGGTAAGCTTTCTCCAGGGGCTCAATGCCTCCTCTGAGTCCCTGGTCAAGGACTAGGCTCTGTCCCAGGCCTTCCTCCACCTGCTCCTCCCTCTTCCCACCTCCCTGCTCCTCCCTCTGCCACTCCTTCCACACAGCAGCGTTCTCTTGGCAAGAGTCTTGTTGGAGTTGAGCAGTGGGACCAGCCAGTTTGACCTTCTCTGTTCTTGGACATAATTACTGTTATCCCAGATAATCACTTTGAAATAACTCTATGTCAGTACGCACCTTTGTGCTGTTTTGCCCATTTATCTGTCAGCAGCCCTGTCCTGGGGAGTGGGGATTTGGAGGGAACAGCCTGCTGGGTTGTTTCTCTTTCTCTCTCTCCCTCTCCCCCTCCCCCTTACCCATCTCTCTCTCTCTCTCCCTCTCCTGTCCCCCTCCCCCATCTTTCTCTCTCTCCCTCTCCCTCTCCTCTCCTCCTCCCCCATCTCTCTCCTCCCCCTCTCCCTCTCCCTTCCTCTCCCCCTCCCCCATCTCTCTCTCTCTCTCTCTCCCCCTGCCCCCCTCCTCCCAGGCACCACACTTGCCTTAACCCTTCCCATCACTATTCTTGTCAACGTAGAGTTCAAAAAATAGGAGAGACAGCCCCTTCAGGCCAGGGACCAGACACCTCTGGATGGGTAAAGAGCCAGTGGCCCAGGCAGACTCTGAAGCCATACTGGACCAGATGCGCATTCTGAGGACCCAGGAGTAGGTAGGGGTGGGAGGGAGAGAAAGTCTAAAGCCAGTAGCAAGAGCTGTACATGCTGAACAGAGGAACCAGAGTCAGGCCCAAGACTGAGTCCCGGGAGGCAAGTCCAAGAGTGAAAACCCTTGGGGAAACTGACCTGGAGGGGGCTACCACTGGATGGTGATTGAGATTGTCATCAAGTGTCCCCCGGTGTCCCATGGTGAGCTAGCAGAGCTGGTCATATCTGGAGCATTCCAAGGCACAGATGGTGGATAAAATAATGAACCCAACCAGGAAGGGCACTTCCTTGGGGTCAAAGGGCTGCGCCCTTCAGCCAGAGGAGACTCCATCCTACAGGCCTACCTCTGAGTCTGCAGATGGAGTGAGGGTCCAGACAAGCCCTGCCCATGGAGAGGACTCCAACCTCCCATGTCTCAGCTCTGACTCCCCCACCCCTATCATTTTCCTGGGAGGCCCACCCACGGTCTTTCCCCTAGGATCAGCCTGCTTGGAATACTGCCTTTGGGACGAGACAGACTTGCATCTGAGCCTGGCTTCATCACGGAGTAGCTGTGTGACTTGGGAAAGTGACTTAGCCTCTCTGGACCTTGGTTGCCTCATCTGTAAAGTGGAGATAATGGTTACACCCACTCATAGGGTGGTTGGGAAGATTCGACGTGATAACGCACATAATTAGCACAGTGTACAAAACATAGCAGTTGTTCAATAAATAACAATAAGAGGAACAGTCAGCTTGGGAAACCTTCCCCCTTGCCAGTTCTGGTCACCCTCCAGACTTCTCTCTTGCCATGCCAGACCTTGGGTCTGTGATCCTCCAACTTCCCACTGGTCTCCATTTGGTTCTACTTGTCCTAGTATCAACAACGCCCATCGGCTCTGCCGTGGGACCCAAGCCACATATGGCAAAGGCTGGGAGTTTAAGTAGAGGGAATGGCATGTCACTAGGGTCAGGTGGGCTGGAGGTCAAGGCCAGAGAAGCCAGCTCAGGGAGGGGATCAGGCAGTGTCCAGCCCTTAAGCCCACCTGACGCATCCAAAGAGGAATAGCTCCCAGCAGCTTGGCTTGGTTCCCAGGCCACATTCCAAGACTCTTGGAGCTTCCTAGCCTTTCCCAACCTCTGCAGTCCCTGTTTGTTGCCTCTTCGCCTGTCCATGGTGCTTGCTAACACTCTCACTTCTGCCTGTCTGGCCTGGCTCCAGCATCCAATTTGTCTGCATTGAACGTTGCCATGACAGGTGACCGGGAGCAACTGATGTAGCCATTGCAGAGAGTATTCATGACTGGGGAGCACGGGGTTACTCAAACCTGATGGCTTTTCCATTATAAGCTCTTCCAGCGGGTGTCTTCTATCTACTTTAATTATCTTCATTACACCTTTCCATTACAGCCTTTAAACACGTCCTCTTGCTTTGAATGCACCATCACTCCTGAGCAGCTTGGCTCAGCTGCCCAGGAAAGGTGCAAGGAGAGGTGAGGAGGCCCAAAAGGGCTGAGAACAATTCAGTGGCTGAGCTCCTCCAGGGGAACTCTGAAGGGTGGCCGGGTGCGGTGGCTCACGCCTGTAATCCCAGCACTTTGAGAGGCCGAGGCGGGTGGATCACGAAGTTAGGAGATCAAGACCATCCTGGATAACCCAGTGAAACCCTGTCTCTACTAAAAATACAAAAAATTAGCCAGGCGTGGTGGCGGGCGCCTGTAGTCCCAGCTACTCAGGAGGCTGAGGCAGGAGAATGGTGTGAACCCGGGAGGTGGAGCTTGCAGTGAACAGAGATTGCTCCACTGCACTCCAGCCTGGGCGACAGAGCCAGATACCGTCTCAAAAAAAAAAAAAAAAAAAAAACCTCGAAGTCTAGCCTCAATGCTCTCTTCCTGCAGGAAGCCCTCTGTGATTTAAACCTACCCAAATAAGATCAATCAGAGTAGCTACCATGCTTTGGGTGCTCACAGCCAAAGACTGTACTTGGGGCTTTAGGAGTATTCATTCATTTAAATATTAACCCTGTATTTGGTGAGAAAATAGTCTCACTAGGCAGAGTAACAGAGCCAAGGTCACACAGTTTGTCGGCAGTGGGGCAGGGATTCCAACCCAAGCCGATGTGACTCCAGAACCAGTGTACCTCCCATAAGGCCACACTCCCTGTCACACAACATCAGTCCTTGATGCAGATGTCGCTTTCTAAGTTTTTAAACAGAGTTTCCAGTGATTCAAAACTACACCAAGGCTTTCTAATATTTTCCTATTGTCTTCATGAGACTGAGATGACCCCAAGGGCCAGGATTGTCACCTCACTAGACTGGGAGCTCCTTGAGGTAGGAGCTGTGCTTCTTCTATCAGGCTGGAAACAGAAGCGGTGCCTCCCCTATCAGACCAATAGTTCCTTGAAGGCAGAAACTGGGCCTCCTCCATCAGACTGGGAGATCTCACCTTCCCTCCGCCCCTGCCCTCCTCTGCACTCCCCATCTGTCAGTGACTCCAAAAAAGGCTGCTGGGCACCATAGCAGGACCCCCTCTCCCAGCACACAGCCCTGGTGCTGTCCCTTCCCTGGATCCCCTTTTGTGGCTCCTTCTCCTGGAAGCAAACAGCACATCCATCATCTCACTAACAGGTGCCTCATGCGGCCCGCCCCAGACTCTCCAACAGCTGGAGCAGAATGGAGTGTGCACGCTTATGTGGGTGGGGAGGGAGGGGCAGCATGGCCTTCTCTCCCTCCATGGCGGTGCAGAGCCCACAGCTGGACCAGGCCATGGCAGAGTGTCGGGAGGTCCACAAGAGAGCACACAGAGTCCACCCCACCCCACAAATACTGATTCAAAACCCTGGCTTGCCAGTTCTACTCCTGGGTCCAACTTACAAGCCGCATGGCCTTGGGTAAGTCTCCTCTCTACTCTCGGCCCGAATCTACTCTCAGCCTGGAAATCTATCTCTGCCAGACCTGCCCCTCCTCCTGCCGTTCTGCAACCTGGGAGTTTTTGGAAATGGAATGGCAATCGCCTCCCTTCCCACTTCACAGGCTGCCTCTGAGGACGGATGAGGCTGTGCGTGTGGAGGCTGTTTCTGAATGGGGGTTGCTTATGGCTGCAGCCTACAGCCTAGCAGCTCATGCCAGGCTAGGATGCCTGAATTCCTGCCGCCTAGGTCAGAGGCTCCAGACCAGCTGGGGCAGGAGGTCTGGATGCCAGGATGGTGTCCATGGGTCGTGCCCTCATCTTTTACCCTGGGTTTTGTTTTTCTTGTTGGTTTTTTTGGTTTTTTTGAGATGGAGTCTCATTCTTATCTCCCAGGCTGGAATGCAATGGTGCGATCTTGACTCACTGCAACCTCCACCTCCAAGGTTCAAGCGATTCTCCTGCCTTAGCCTCCTGAGTAGCTGGGATTACAGGAGTCTGCCACCACACCCAGCTAATGTTTATATTTTTAGTAGAGATGAGGTTTTACCATGTTGGCCAGACTGGTCTCGAACTCCTGACCTCAGGTGATCTGCCAGCCTTGGCCTCCCAAAGCACTGGGATTACAGGTGTGAGCCACTGCGCCTAGCCTACCCTGGGTCTTCCTTGAGCTTTGGAGTCAGACATATTGGGATTCAAATCCGCCTCTGGAATCTATGAAAACATAAAATGTTTATAACCCTTGACCGCAGTCCCACGTCTAGAATCGATCCTCAGACATCAAAGTACCATTATCAGTGGACACCCACTCCACGTGGCACTACTGTGAGAATGGAAACCTTGAAACAGCCGAGACGTGCATCGAAAGGGAAGCTGGCTGAATAACTACACTAATGCATGCTACTGGCTACTAAAACGCTATTAAAAACAATCACCGACATCTGTGTTATTGACCTGAGGTATCCAGAATATATTGTAAAGCAAAATATATATTGTTGAGGAAAAAACATATTAACGTGAAAACAAAGTTGCAGAGAAGACAGCAGCACCCCACATTTTTCCCAGTGCCCCCAAATACGTGTGTATATGTTTGTATATATTTATAGGTGTGGATGGAGATTGTTTACCTCTGGGAAGAGACACTGGCAGAACAGAAAATGGAAGAAAGGTAATAAAGGTTATTAATATTTTGTATACTTCAGAATTATTTAAATCGCTTTAATGAGCATATATTTTAAAAATAAAGAAATGGTTGGTGGGGCATGGTGGTTCACACCTGTAATCTCAGCACTTTGGGAGGCTGAGGCAGATGGATCACCTGAGGTCAGGAGTTCAAGACCAGCCTGGCCAACATAGTGAAACCCCGTCTCTACTAAAAATACAAAAATTAGCCAGGCATGGTAGCAAGTGCCTGTAGTCCCAGCTACTCGGGAGGCTGAGGCAGGAGAACTGATTGAACCCGGGAGGCAGAGGTTGCAATGAGCCGAGATCACGCCACTGCACTCCAGCCTGGGCAAAAGGGTGAGACTCTGTCTCAAAAAAATAAAATAAAGAAATGGCAATTTTTAAAACTTCCATCTCTGTCACTGATTTACAATGGGATTTGGGCATGTCACTGCATGTGCTTCAGTCTTTCCACCTGTAAAATGGGAATAGCAATGTCTCTCTCGTAGATGTACTGTGAGGATTAAGAGATTGTGGCACCCAGTACGTAGGAGGGCAGAGGGGAGAAGGGGAGTCTACACTGCTGCAGCCAGAGGCCCATCTCTTTCGGGGCATTCGCTTGGACTGACGTGTGCAGATTCTACTTTCATTCCCCTCCACAAATGCCACCCCACCCTCCCTGCCTTCCCTAGCCACTGAGAATGCTAAGCCAGCCTTGTCACTTTGCTGCCAAATGACCTTGACAAATGTCCATCCCTCTCTGAGTCCCAGTCTCCCCTCCTGGAGAAAGGCAGGTGTCTCCTCCCCGCCTCCTCTGTGTGTCCAGGGTACCTGGCTTCCTCAAGCAGCTCAGCACAATTCCAGGCCTGGGCAGCCTCTCCAGCAGAGCCTCTAGATGGTGGATGAGTGGAGAGGCAGAACTCCTGGGTAAACATGGCTTCTTACGCAAAAGCTCAGAGCTCTGCCCCCGAAAAGCTCACCTGAGATGTCTGAAACCAGCCAATGAATCCCAAAGCGCTTTGCAAACAGAACTTGAGCAGGCTGCTGCCCCTCGGGAATGGGGGTTAAATTCTGGGCTTCTGCACTGAAAAGCAGAGAGATTTGCTACATTCTACCAGGGAGGGGGAGGAGGTGCAGGGAGGGGAGGATGAAGAGGGGGAAGAGGAAAGGGATTGGGGAAAAGAAAGAAGAGGAAGGAGGAAGAAGAGGAAGGAGGAGGAAGAGGAGGAGAGCACCCTCTTCCCTGTCTTACTCCTCAAGAGACAGAAATGAGGCACAAACCTAATTCCTGGAGACCAGCTAGGAAGGTAGATGGCTCCAGGAAGGAGTGACCCCACTGAGGGGCCAGGCTGGCCACTGCCCACCCAGCAGAAGCTCTTGTGGACAGAAGCTGAGGACGAGGCACCGGGCACTGCCTGCAGATGCCACAACAGCCCTGGAACTTAGATGGCATCCCGAGCAGCAGGAACGGAAGGAAGTCCCAGATCAACTGAGCTTAAACCTGAAATGACTGAGTTTACCTGGAATTGTCTGAGATTACATTTTCTGCCCTCGGGCAGAAAGGGAACTTGGGACGGAAATTCAGTTCCGTGACAGAAAAATAAAGTTACAGTTCTTTGCACACCAGAGTACGTGGCTTGAAAATTCATACTCACTCTCTAGATAGCCCTTAAATTTAAAAATAATAAAAAGAGTAGCTAGGGAGCAGAGGACCCCAGACCCCACCCACTCAGCTCCCGCTCTGGGGTCATAGGGAGGCTCTGGAAACAGAGTTTGAAAAGTTCTGCCCCAGGCCAAAGTGGGATGGGGTAGGAGAAGGGATGGCTGCAGGCGGCCTGCCCCTATAGCACTGTGGCTGTCTGTCTTCTCTGAAGTCTGAGCTGTTGCCTCAGATGAGAGCAGATTTGAGATCCTGGGTCCTGTCCCAGGAGCAGGGCTGGGGGAACGCACTTCCACATAGAGCCTCATGACATCCCCTGGACTTGCAGAGCAGTGCTACCCACCCCTGCAGCTTTGGGCCCCCAAAGTAGGGCTTCTCAACCTCTGCATCATTGAAAGTGGGGCTGTTGGCAGGCGCAGTGGCTCACGCTTGTAATCCCAGCACTTTGGGAGGCCAAGGAGAAGGATCACTTGAACTCAGGAGTTTGAGACCAACCTGGGAAACCTAGCGAGACCTTGTCTTAACTAAAATTCAAAAAACAATTAGTCAGGCGTGGTGTCACACGCCTGTAGTCCCAGCTGCTTGGGGTGGGGGAGGCCAAGGCAGGAGGATCGCTTGAGCCTGGGAGGTGGGGCTACAGTGAGCCCTGATGGTGCCACTGCACTCCAGCCTGGGTGACAGAGCAAGACTCTTCCTCAAAAAAAATAAAAATAGAAATAGAAAAAAAAAAGTGGGGCCATCTTGTGTACTGTAGGGTGTTTAGTAGCATCCCTGGCCTCTACCCACCAGATTTCAGTAGCACCCCCACCCCTAATTGTAACAACCAAAAATGGTTCCAGGCACTGCCAACTGTCCCCTAGGGAGCAAAATCTACTCTCCCTCCCTTCCCCACTCTCTTATTTGGAATCTCTGCTCTGAAGAGTTTTCTAGGCCTCTTGTTGTGTTTTGAAGTTTCTCCAGGCCCTGGGCTGCCAATGGGGCTCCCTTGAGCTCCGCTCAAAGATTTGGTGCCAGCCACTTGAGGGGCCTTTCAGCAGGTGCTAGGCCTGGGTCTTTGCCAGCTCCCGTGAATGGGAAGGGAACCTGCCCATCTGAGCCTGGCTGTCCGTCCTGGCAAGTTGCTCCATGGAACCGCAGTATCAAACCCAGCATGGGCAGGAGCAACAGAGCAGCTCTGGACTCACACAGGACACAGATGCAAAAGCAGCGCTCTGACCCTGGAGGGCAGGGGTGATGGAAAGAGCCTCAAGATCTCTTGGGGAAGGTATTCTCCCAACACCCTCTGACCCGGCCCCTGGGCCCAGGGTGACTGTGCATCTCAGCCTCAGCCAGGAACCAGGCCCTGCTCTGTGAGCTCAGGCCCTGGGCAGCCACTCCATGAGACACACTGAGCTGCTCCAGGGACCAGGCCTGGTGTCCCTGGGCTGGGGAAGGAGCAGGCAGCTGTCAGTTTGGGAAGAACAGCATACGAGGTGAAGACGCTGGTCCCAGCCACACTCCTGGGCACACCATCAGGATATGCTCTACAGCTCCAAGCTCCCCGCTGCCCTGTGCATTTCCCATTGCACCCACCTCAGAGCAGCCCGCAGCACCAGACCCAAGACCCGGAGCTCAGTGAACCCCTCCGTGTACATCCCCAGGGCACAGCCATGGGCCAAGCTGCATGCTCGGCATTGGGTGACTGGAGGTAGCACAGACACAAGGCATGGGAATGACACAAGGTGTCGGGGAAACAGGCACATGTGGTCTGATAAGAGCTAACGGGGCTGTAGGGCATGAGGGCTCTCCAGCCCTAGCATCTCCTTGAGCTACCTACATGCACTTCAGCATCTCAATCTCAACACATCCCAAAACACCTCCTTGCTCTGCCTCAAATCTGCCCCTGCTATGGTTTCCCCATCTCAGGTTCTGGGCCCACCCTGGGTCATCCACCCTGGGCCCAAGACAGGAACACAGGCAAAGACAGGAACCTGCATGCAGGTGGCTTCCTTTTCTCTCACTGTCCGTCCAAGCAGGTGCCAAGTCCAATTCTCAAGCACCCCTCGTGTCTCATTCTGTCCTGCATCCATTCCTGCCCTTCTCATCTCTGGGCCCCTGGCCTCCAGAGAGGTTAAGAAACTGCATGCATGCAAAATCCAGCATCATTGTGACCTATTAGGTGTGTGATATGGAGTGAGTTTTCCAACCTTTCCAATTTTCTTATCTTCAAAATTAGCATAATAATAGTATGTACCTGATAGGGTTGTTGTGAGGATTAAATAAGCTAACACGTGTGCTGTATTGGAGCTGTGCCCGGAACATAATAAATGAGCAATAACTAACAGCTATTTTTCATTCCCCAACGCGTCCTCTACGCTGTAAAGAGTGATCTTCCTAACCCACAAATCTGACCTTCAGCTCGCACTTAAAGGGCTCCCATGAGACCCTTCACGTGTTAGTAGCTCTGCTAACTACTTGTATTAGTTATCAACTGCTTGTGACAAATTGCCCCAAAATGTAGTCGCTTAAAACAACAAGAAACAGTGTCTCCCCCAGGTTCTGTGAGTTAAGACAACAAAGCAGCCGGCTGGGTGGTGCTGGCCCTGGCCCTGGCCCTCATGCAGTTGTAGTCAGTGCGTCACCTGGGCTACAGCCATCCACACACGATTGACTGGGGCTGGAGGACCCACTCCTTAGATGGCTGATTCTCACAGCCACTGGCTGAGACCTCATTCCTTGCTGGTGGTTGTCAGAAGGCCTCTGTCTCTTGCCACAAGGGCCTCGCCATAGGGTTGTTTGACATGACAGCTGGCTTCCCCCAGAGCAATTGATCCCAAAGCAAGACAGCAAGGAGGACACCAGAGTGCCTTTGAGGAATGAGCCTTGAGAGTGACATTCCATTCCCTCTACCAGGTCTCAACACAGACCAGCCCCAGTACAGCATGGGAGGGGATGACACAGGGCGGGATGACACAGGGCAGGACACCACTGGGAGGCTGCTCCCACACCTCCCCAAGCTGCATCTTTCCCCGCTCCACAATGTTCAGGCGACACTCCTGGAACCCAGAACTACTGCAGTTCACATCATGGGCAGTGCCTCCGGGCCTTGGCACATGCTGTTCCCCTCTGCCTGAGATGCTCTTCCTTTGCATCTCAACCTAGCCAAGGTCTACCCATGTTTAAAGACTCAACTAAGAATCTCTTCTCCAGAAAAGCTTCTCTGACCCTAATAGGCCAGGTTAGGTATCTTCCCCTTGCTTATGGCTGTCACAGCAATTATTAATAAATGGCCACAATGATGATATAAACGAACATTTATTGAGCACTTACTATGTTGCAGGCACTACACTATTGATAAATGCTTGACACATGTATTAGTCCATTATCACGCTGCTGAAGACATACCTGAGACAGGGTAATTTATAAAGAAAAAGAGGTTTAATGGACTCACAGTTCCACGTGGCAGGGGAGGCCTCACAATCATGGCAGAAGGTGAAAGGCAAGTCTTACATGGCGGCAGGCAAGAGACAATGAGAGAACCAAGCAAAGGGGGTCTCCCCTTATAAAACCATTGGATCTCATGAGACTTATTTACTACCACAAGAACAGTATGGGAGAAACCACCCCCATGATTCAATTATCTCCCACAGAGTCCCTCCCACAACACATGGGATTTATGGGAGCTACAATTCAAGATGAGATTTGGGTGGGGACACAGCCAAATCATATTAACACATAATAACTCATTTTTCCCTCAACAGCCCCATGAGGGAGGTACCACGTTACAGATGGGGGAACTGAGGCTCCGAGGAAGTAAGCAGTTTTCTGAAGGTCACACACTTGGTAAGAAGTAGAGTCCAAAGCTGAACCTCAGCCCTCTGACTCTTATGCATCAAGACGGTGCTAGGTCTCTCTCCTTGACCTTGAACTCTACAAAAGGACAGAATTTTGACTGATTTATCCCTGCACTTCCAGTGCCTAGGGCATGCCTAGCCTGCACCAAAGAAAGAAGGATAAAAAGTAAGAGACAGGAAGAAATAAAGAGAGGAAAGGAGGGTAGAGAGGAGGAGATAAGCCAAGAGCTGGGCCTGGATAGATGAGGCTCCAGGCAGAATTCTGAGCACGCAGTCTGGGTCCAGCCTTCCAGTTCATCCTTCTTTCCAAAGAACTTCGAGATTCCCAAGGCCCCAGCCTGTGCATGGAGCCCCTCCCCATGGCTGGAGAGAGAAAGGCACCCAGCCTCACCACACCCAACTCCTGCAGACTTTTGGAGTACCGGTTCTTCATTTTTATGTCTGCTTAGCCACTTGTCCTATCAAAAGGATAATTTCATTAATTCCAAGAAATGTAATTAATTTTAATTGTTCATGATAATTGTTTAATACTCTATTAATAATTATAAAAAAATCCTAGTGCCCAGTTACTGTCCTATAATAGGATAATTAAATACTTGTATGGGAGACACTTCATTTTCAAGTGCCTCCATGTCACTTCGGTCTGCAGAGCAGAGCTTCCTCAGCTTAACCTTCGATGTGCTCACAGGGAGGCTCCCAAAGATTGTGACTTCATTTGATTCTTTTTTTTTTTTTTTTTTTTTTTTTTGAGATGGAGTCTCGCTTTGTCACCCAGGCTGGAGTGCAGTGGCGTGATCTTGGCTCACTGCAAGCTCCGCCTCCTGGGTTCACACCATTCTCCTGCCTCAGCCTCCCGAGTGGCTGGGACTACAGGCACCTGCCACCGCGCCCAGCTAATGCTTTGTATTTTTAGTAGAGACGGGGTTTCACCGTGTTAGCCAGGATGGGCTTGATCTCCTGACCTCGTGACCTGCCTGCCTCGGCCCTCGAAAGTCCTGGGATTACAGGTGTGAGCCACCATGCCCGGCCCATTTGATTCTTTAAATTTATTTTGCTCTGGAGAAGGAAGCAGGGGGGTGGGTGGCGGGAGGGGGCAGAAGCTGGCAAAGAGCTCTAGAGTGGGCAGAAAAGACAGGGTGCTGCTGCATCAGAGGTGGGAGAAGTCCCCGGAGAGGTGCTCCGTGTACTCACCTAAGCCAGGCTGGTACCTTGGACAAGCAGGTTAACTAGGCAGTCAGTTCACACACATTACTGACTATTTATCATATCCGGTGCCTACCATGACTCTTGATGCAGGGACTATGTTAGTGATCAAGACAGAAAAAGTAATGTCCTTATGGAGCCTAAAGTCTAGAAGGGGGAGTTAGACCATGGATGGATGGATGGATGGACGGATAGGTAGATGGATGGTGCCATGGACTGAATATTTGTGTACCTCCCAGAATTCTTATGTTGAAACCTAATCCCCAACTTGATAGTGTGTGGAGGTGGGGCCTTTGGGAGGTCATTAGGTCATGAGGGTGCAGCCCTCATGAATGGGATTAGTGCCCTTATAAAAGAGACCCCAGGAGCTCCCTCATCCCTTTGCCAGATGAGGAGGACAGACAGAAGGTGCCATCTATGAATTAGAAAGTGGGCCCTCACCAGACACTGAACCAGCCAAGACTTGGATCTTGAACTTCCCAGTTTCCAGAATTGTAAAAAATAAATTTTTGTTGTTTATAAGCCACCTAGTCTAGGGTACTTTCTTAGAGCAGCCCAAACAGACTGAGACAGAGGGACAGATGGATAGATAGATGGATGAATAGATGGATGAGTAATGTACAGATGGATGGATAGATGGACAGATGGATGAGTGGTTGGACAGATGGATGGATGGACAGATGGATGAGTGCATGGATGAACAGATGGATGGATGAACAGATGGATGGAAGGATGGATAGAGAGATGAATGGACAGATGGATGATAGATTCACAAACAAACAAATGAGTAAATAAATTCAAAGAATGATAGCGCTCTGAAGAAAATAAAACAGGATCCAGCAAAGCAAGACTTGGGAAGGTGCTTTTTAGACAGACTGGTCAGAAAAGGCTTTTCAAGAGGATAACATCTGCCCTGAGATGTGCAGAATGACAGAGTCAGTCTTATGAAGATCCAGGGGGACCGTATTCGAGGCAGAGGGAACAGCACATGCAATGTCCTAAGATAAGGCTGCACCTGGCATGTTTGGGAGACATAAAGAAGGCCTGAGTAGCCCAGGCAGAGGCAGCAAGGAGGAGGGAGCGGGGTGGTGAGGTGTGGGGAAGGGAAGCAGGGATGGCTCACACAGAAACCTGTAGATAAGGGGGCAGCAAACCACAGGCTGCAGTCCAAGTCTGGCCCACCACTTGTTCTTGTAAACCAAGTTTTATTGGAACACGGCCATGCCCACTCCCTTACAAATTGTCTGTGGCTGCTTTTGTGCTACAACAGCAGAACCAAATAATTGCAACAGAGACCATATGGCCCACTAAGTTGAAAGTATTTACTATCCGGTCCTTTACAGAAGAGGTTGCCAAGTCCTGACACAGGGCACTGAGTTTTATTCTAACTGTAATGGGAGCCCCTGGAGGGTTTGGAGCAGGGGAATGTCCTAATCTAATTTATATTTTTAAAATACCCCCCTGGTGGAGGAAAGACTGGGAGGTAGCAGGCAAGGCAAGGAGTGCAGTGACGAGGCTGGAGTCGATGCTGCTGCAGGGAGATGCGGTGCTGCGGGAGAGGTGGTGAGAAGTGGGCAGAAGTGTGCAGGAGGCAGCGGATCTGGCGGGACAGACCTGAGGATGACTCGGACGTCACCTCCCTCCTCTGAGCCGCAGTGGCCTCATTTCTAAGGCAAAGATGAGGATCAACTCCACTCCCTAAATTGAGGAAAGTTATAAGGTGGAGAAGTGGGGAACGCAGTGAACCAGAGAGGGAAGGCACCTCCGCCTGGGTAGCCTAGCGAGTGCTGGAATTGAGGAGGGAACAAACTCGTCAAAGGCAGGGCCGGCTTTCCAAACATCCCTGAACTTACTGAGTATTGAGTTGGGGGCAGAGCCCAGTGGGAGAGGCGTCAAGTGCATCCCACATCCTTGAGGAAATGAGAAATTCATGGAACATGGCTAGTTTATTCACTCACTCACTCCTCAAACATGGAGAGCACGTGCAACCACTTCCCAGGCACTGGGGAGAGTGGAGAACAAAAGCAGGGGAGGCTCCTGCTCTCAGAGTCCACAGGCTGGCAGGAAACCAGACATAAATCTCGTAGTCACATACATTAATGCAAAAGTGCACCCATGGCAATTGCCATAGGGTGTGTGGGTTTTGAGAACCTCATATGGAGAAATCAGACCCTGTCAGGGAGGCTGGGTGGGCCACATGATGCTGAAGGTGAGATTGGAAGGAATTTTCTGAAGAAGAGAAAGAAGAGTGCTGCAGGTTGAGGACACAGCACATGGAAGGTCCCTGGGGTAGAGGGAGCGTGGCGGCTACGGAAGGCTGAAAGCTGGCCAGTAAATATAGTGAAACATGGGGCCGGGCATGGTGGTTCACACCTGTAATCCCAGCACTTTGGAAGCCCAAGGCAGGTGGATCACCTGAGGTCAGGAGTTCGAGGTTTACAGGAGAGGGCAGGGATTTGGTGAGGGGACAGTGGGTGACCTGGATCTACCCAGCTCAGGTATGCCTGATCTCAGGGAGGCCAACCAAAGCTGTGCTTCTAGGCAGCTGGCCTGGCTGGAGCTCGGAGGGAAGAAGGCAGACAGGGACCCAGCTGAGAGCTTGTTTCTGAGGCAGCCAGCTGCCCTGCAGTGTGTGCACACACACGCACATACACACACACAACCAGGCACACAGGTCGGCACCTGGGGGGCACACAGTCCAAGAAGGACAGTGTCCTTAGAAACCCAGAGAGAGACCCAGAGACAGATACCACCTGGACAAGGGCACTGTCAGACAGACACACACACACACACACACACATACACAGACACACACACTGACACAGACACACAGAGGCACACACACAGTGACAGCAGCCAGCCAACGAGCTTCCCTGGAATTATCCTCTTCCCTATCTGTCCCTCCCAGGCTCTGGAAGAGAATGACATGTTTGCACCCTTGCAAGGGGACAAGAGTGGGTGGGTCTACAGAGCTCATCCCCCCTCCGAACCTGCCCTTTTTACAGCAGGCAGCAGGTTGGAGAAGGTGAGGCCACAGCTCCTCCCTCTGCACATGGGCTCCGGCCTCTGCTGCCTGCAGGTGGAGTGTAAACTGGGGGTGGGAGTTAGGGGGGTATAGATAGGGTGCAGAGACCAGAACCAGCTCCTAGAGGGACTAATCACTACTCCCTATGGTCCCCAAGGCCCAAAATGTGGCCCACCCCCATCCTGACTCAGAGGCCACATGGAGGAAGCAGGACTGAGAGAACCAAGGGGACAGAGGCCCTACTATCTGGTAGAAAGGTGGTCGGGAGAATGGGTGTGTTGTTTCTTTCATGGAGAAAGACAAGTTCAGAGAGGTTAAGCAGCTTCTCCCAAATCACTCAGCCAGGAAGCGAGGAGCCTGGCTCATAACCTGGGTCTGTCGGGTCCATGGGGACAAGAGAGGTCACATGGGGAAGGGGAAAGGTGCCAAGGGCCTGTCCCAGCAGTCTACAAGCACCACCTCCAGGAAGCCTCCTCAAAGCCCCAAGGTAAGCACCATTCTCTCCATTCCACATACAAAGAGCTGGGGATAGCATGCCCCAGCAGAGGCACTCGAGTGGCAACCCGAGTCAAGGAGTCCTCACTATGCCCCTTCACCTATTGGATTCAGTCAACTCATTTATTAAGCACCTGCTGTATACCTCACGAACAAACCAGATGGGGCCCCTGCCCTCTTGGGGTTCCACAAATGCCTAAAGGTCCCACTGTTCCCTGCAGACTCAAGGCAGTGAGGGAGACCTGGCCCCTGAGGGGACTCAGGGAGGGGTTAGAGCACAAGCCCTTGAACCCACCACCCCAGCCTGGTCTTCTGGTGTCAGGCGCCACCATCTCAAAGGAGGGTAAAGGGTGGACCCTGTCTTGCCTCACAAGACAATATGGTGGGGAGAGGGTGCCATCTGCCTGTCCTCCCTTTCCAAGCCTCTGGAGGGAGGAATGGGGGCCCTGGCACATGGTTCTGTGCTCTTCCTCCCTCCTCCCTCCTCCTCCCAGCAGGAGCTCCAGATCCAAGGGCCCAGCATCGTCCTAATTTCCACACAGAAGAAAGTACCACGGCTGCACCCCCACCCTAAGCACTTAAATATACAATTTACTCGCAGGAATTATACACTGCCGGCTGCTTTTAAAATAGAGAAGACCCCCCGCAGAACTGGCTCCTTTTCTCCAGTGGCATCATCTTCTACAGCGAATCTGCCCAAGCCTCTAATTGCACCATCTGTGCTGGGCAGGGCTGGGGCTCGGGGTTGGATGACAGTCTCTTCCCCTCTGATTTTGTTGTTAATTTCACACCCCCACCCGCAGGGCCCCTGCTGAGCGGCCCTCCCACTCTGACCCCACCCACTGCCCTTGGACACAGCTGGACCAACCCCATCCCTTGAACTCTTCCCCCCATCACTATGCATGATGTTAACCCCTCAACCCCTGCCCTGTGGGGTCCCCAAGCCCCAGATTCGAGTCAGCAGTCTCTTCTAAATTTTGTCCCTTACAGAATCTTCTGGAAGCCAAGCTGGATGTGACCCCAAGATTGACCATCCCTGGGGAGCACAGACTCTCACCTTTTGCTGCCCTATAAACAAGACCCCAGGAAGGCAACAACTCCAGAAATCCAGCTCCTCTTTCCCCCTCCCCACGTGACCTCTCTTGTCCCCATGGACCTGACAGACCCAGGTTCTGAGCCAGGCTCCTCGCTTCCTGGTTGAGTGATTTGGGGGAAGCTGCTTAACCTCTCTGAACTTGTCTTTCTCCATGAAAGAAACAACACACCCATCTCCAGGCCACCTTTCTTATTTGGGTTCCCTCCAAAGCAGACAAGAATTGGAGTACAAGTCCGTCATTAAGGAGGTGACTGCAGGAAGCACGGCAAGGTGGGAAGTGAAAGGAGAAGGAAGGTGGCCAGTAAAGGGGAGCTCATGGGCAGTTACCACCGCGGGCACTCAAGAGACCCTGTGAGCACAGCTCAGAATTGTCCCTCAAGGGATAGAGGATGAGGAACAGGCAAGGAAGCTGGGCTTCTGTCCACCAGCACCCCCACCTCTCCCCCCACCAATTCCACACTGGAGCACTGACTCCCAGGCATATCTGGTCTGTCCCAAGCGTGGCTGATCCTGAGCTCAGGCAGAGCTGTGCACGGTGAACACCTGCAGCCCACCCCAAGGAGGCACCTAGTCCCACATCTGCTGCCCCTCCCTGCAAAGTGGTGGCCAGAACAGCATCTCGTACCTGGCAGGTGCTCAGTGAATATTTGCAGAGCTTTCCCCTTTCCCAGCAGGTAAATGATCCCATTCAAACTCCTGACCTCATTATGATTAGGACGAAGGAAAGTGTCTGTGAGCTTCAGGTTGGGTATTAAGTGTAGCCCAGGCCACTGGGCCACTGTCCTCAGCATGGACTGAAGCCAAGCCAGCCAAAGAAAGCTGGGACCAGAACCCTGGCCCCAGAGAAACTGACTCTCAGGCCCCTTCTCCCCTGGCTAGACTGACTCTCTCTGCCTGACCTCCCTCCTGCCCCATGGGTCTGCCTGTACCCCGTCCCTGCCAGCCCCCACTCCCTGGTCTGATTAGCCCCTCCCACAGGCCAGCCTGCTTCATGAAGCCTGCTTCTCCCTAGGGGGAAGCTCTGCTCCTTCCCACTCGCAGCAGGCCCTGCTCACAGCCGAGCCTCCTCTCACTTCTGGGCAATCTCGGGGACCTAGCATGGCCCCCCTCTGGGCAAGGAGGCATTCAGCTTCCCATGGGCACCACCCACCAAGACATCTCCCTGCTTCTTCCTGTTTCAATATTCACACCTACCTCCCCCGGCCCTTGACTTCCACTTGGGGTCTGCACATCTGAGACCCAGCTCCTGACCCATCAGTGCAGGAGAGGACCCAGGGAAAGCTGGACGATGTGGCTCATGCCGTTGTGACCAGAGACACACATTTGCCACCTGCAGCAAATGGATGGGCAGAGAACTACTGTCCCTATTACCTCGGCCCCTTGAGATGTCCTAATGGCTGATCAGATCCCACATGCCAGGCTGTGGACTCCTTGCATGGACTGATCGGGGGATTGAGAAGATCACCCAAGGCATTCTAAGTGTCATCTTTGCACCAGGAACTTCCATCAACCCCAGGGCTATGGTGGTGAACAAAACAAACGAAGTCTTGCGGAGCTGATGGGCTAGAAGCAACAGAGGAAGTAGTGGGGGCGGGGGGAGTGGGGACATACAATAAACAAGCAAACAAACAAATCATTCCAGGTCTCTATAATCGCTCTGCAGAAGAAAAGAGAGGAGGATGATTTGACAGCATGACTAGCTGGGGAGGGGGAAGTGCATGACTAGATGAAGTATCTGAGGTCATAGAATGAGGCTCCAGCCATGCAGGGATCTGGGGACAAGGCACTCAGGCAGAAGCAGCAGCAGCAGCGTGTGCAAAGGTACTGAGGTGGAAATGCTTGAGCATGCCTGAGGGTAACTAGGTGTTGAAATGGAACCATTTTGGCCTCTGTTTTAGATGAGGCCCTAAGACAACAGATGCCAACCACATCCTCATTCCAAGGTGAGGTGTGAGACCACCCAAGCAGGATCTCAAAGGAAGTGGCCAAGAACTGGCCTTGCTGATCCTTCCTCTAGTTAAAAGAGGTTGGAGGACAGGCACGGTGGCTCACGCCTATAATCCCAACACTTTGGGAGGCTGAGATGGGCGGATCACTTGAGGCCAGGAGTTTGAGACCAGCCCGGCCAACATGGTGAAACCCCATCTCTACTAAAAATACAAAAGTTAGCTGGGCATGGTGGTGGGCCCCTGTAATCCCAGCTACTCGGGAGGTTGAGGCAGGAGAGTCGCTTGAACCTGGGAGGTGGAGGTTGCAGTGAGCCAAGATCATGCCACTGCACTCCAGCCTGGGCGACCAAGCGAGACACTGTCTCAAACAAAAAAAAAAAGAGGTTGGAGAGGCCAAGAGGGGGCTGGAGGAGATGAGGAGAGTTCTGGGGAGAGTGATGAGGGAGTGTCCCTCCAAAGAGAGAAGGGTGGGTGCTCATCCTGACCCTGAGCCCAAGCAGATGGTCTTCAGCAAGGCTACTTAGACAGCTACATATGCCTCCCTTGGGTGCTTGAGTGGGGACACAATCATATGTGCCTCGCCCAGGAAAAGGTAAGTTGATGTGGGGGAGGGGAGGAGGCACCTAAAACCTGGTGTTTGTCAGGGCAGAGCATCTCTCAGGGACAAGAGAAGGGCACGGGAGTGATCGAGGATCCCCAGGAAGCAAAGACACCTCAGCACCAGGCAGCTGGAGAGCCAGGACAGATGGCCAGCCAGAGGAGCTGCAGGTGAGGGGGCCCCGGAAAGGGGCAGGGCTCCAAGGAACCCAGCAAAGTCCCACATGAAAAAGCATGGGATTTAAACATGGGCCAAGCCCAGAGTGCACTCACCCCGGCTCACAAGTGCCACTCTGGTCCACTTCTGCCTATTTCCCTTCCTTCTCTCTTCCCACCTGTCCTACCTCTGACCCCAGAGAGCAGGACCCTCAAGAAACACTGCCAGCCATCGGGAGGAGACAGGAAAAGCAAGGTGGGAAATCGAGACCCTACCACAACCCTGCTTCTTGCCCCCAGCTGACCTGGGCCCAGGGACTGAAAAGGCCTTGAGTTTAAATGAATGAATTTGCACATTTTCACTATTCCATGAGACTGGACATTACAGAAGTAATCAGGGAAACTTTCACTGCCTAAGTGACCAGGAAAGCTGTGGGACTCGCTCTCAGTTTCATCTAGTAGCAAAGGATGACGTCGCCCCACAGAGCAAGTTGGATCAGAACACAGAGGAGAAAGCACCACTGTGTTCCCTTCACCCTGCAAGTCCCATCTGCCCAATGTGAAGGTGAGCCTGGATCAGAAATCAGGCCAGAATAAACGGAGAGGCAGGGGGCATTCAGCCTCTGTACCTAAGTTATCCTCTCCCACAATGATCACAATCAGCCCTCAGGGTGGGCACTGCTGTCTGCACATTACAGACAAGAAACCCACTCGGAGAAGTTACTCAGCGTTCATGGAGTCACCCTGCTAGGAAGTGGTTGGTGGAGGTGGGATAGGGAGGCCGAGGCGGGCGGATCATGAGGTCAGGAGATCGAGACCATCCTGGCTAACACGGTGAAACACTGTCTCTACTAAAAATACAAAAAAAAAAAAAAAATTAGCCAGGTGTGGTGGCGGGTGCCTGTAGTCCCAGCTACTCAGGAGGCTAAGGCCGAAGAATGGTGTGAACTCAGGAGGTGGAGCTTGCAGTGAGCCGAGATCGCGCCACTGCACTCCAGCCTGGGCGACAGAGCAAGACTCCATCTCAAAAAAAAAAAAAAAAAAAGAAAAGAAAACATGCCTGATTCCTTCAATCCTCTCTAGTATAACTTCTGCAGGAGAGAAAGGAGTCTGAGAAATGGTGAGGAGATGAGAAAGAGAGAGAGAATAAAAAGCAAAAGAATCTGAAGGTGTGGGGAGAGCACCGGGCAAGGGCCCTGAAGTCAACTGTCCGGAACCAGCTTGCCCTTCCCTGGGGCAGCCCTGCACCCCACCCCTAGAGCAGGACCCCAGCCTGACCCAGGCCTGTCCTCAAGCCACCCATTCCCAAAACCGCAGCGAGGGACTCCAACAGGAGACCTGGACAACCCCAGTGGGGAGCTGAGACTGCCCTTTTAAGAGCTGTGCCCAGCTGGCACCTGCTGTGTCTGCTGCTACAACCACCAACCGGCTACCACCAAGCCAAGCCTGCTGGCTGTTAATGGGCTGAAACGGGTCAGGCTCGTCCTGTAATGTGAAAGAGGCAGTGGAAATAAATAGACACACACACCCCTCCTCTTTCACCTTCGTGGCCAGCCCAGGGAGACAGAAGCAGGAGTGGGGTCTCCAAAGCCAGGACCCTTAGAACAGGCTGTCTTAGTCTGTTTAGGCTGTTGTAATGAAATAGCATGAACTGGGGAACTTATAAATAACAGAAATGTATTTCTCACAGTCTGGATGTTGGGAAGTCTAAGATCAAGGAGCCTGCGGATTTGGCATCTGATGAGGGTGCTCTTTCTGGTTCACAGATGGCACCTTCTCTCGGTGTCCTCACTTGGTAGCTGGGGAGAACTCGGGTCTCTTCAGCCCTTTATGGAGCCCTGATCTCATTCGTGAGGGCTCTGCCTTCATGGCCTTATAGGCTCCTGAAGGCCCCACCTCCTAATATCGCCCCACTGGGGATTAGGTCTCAACATATGAATTTTGCAGAGGACAAACATTCAGTCCATTGCAGCAGGGTATGTGACTTTTGGCCATCTGGCCATCTCTGGGCCTCCCTTCCACCAGAGTGCATTAATATATTCATAACAAGAACACATAGTCCACATAGTAATTCCAGGAGCTAAGCCAGGGAATACTAGCCCCATTTCACAGAGGAGCAGACCAAGGTCCTCAGAGAGGCAAAGTGACTTTACCCTGGACAACCAGCTGGTAAGAGGGGCTGCCAGAATTCTTGTTCAGTAAAGGGGACCAAGGCATGAAAGGACAACGTTCGCACAGGCTTCACTCCTTGCAAGGCGGAGTGTGGGGCGTCCAGTGTGCTGAGTCCTGATCCTGCTGGGCCACCCATTTGCTGTGTCCTTAGGCAAGCTGAAACTCCTCTGAGCTTTGCCTTTTCCATCTGCTAAGCTGGGAGGCGGGACTGGGAGAGGCAGGAATGGCTGCCCCATCTGGCCAGAACATTCTATGAATCTTCCCATCATAGAAGTCTCCCCAGGAGCTCAAGGGACAACCCCATTCCTCCACCAATAATGTGTGAAGCCCCATGTTATGGACTGATTTGTGTCCCCCCAAAATTCCGGAAGCCCTAAGCCCCAGGACCTCAGAATGTGACTGTATGTAGAGATAAGGCCTTTTAAGAGGTGATTAAGTTAGAATGAGGCCGTTAGGGTGGACCGTAATCCAATCTAACTGGTATTCTTATATAAACACACAAAGAGATCCCAGGGATGTGTGTGCATGGAGGATGCAGCAAGAAGGCAGCCATCCAAAAGCCAAGGACAGGCTCCTCAGAGGAAACCAACCTGCTGACGCCGTGACCTTGGACTTCTAGCCTCTAGAACTGTGAAAAAACACATTTATGCTGTATAAGCCACCCAACCTGTGGTGTTTGTTATGGAAGCCAGAGCAGACTAAAGCACTCCACCAATCCTACCTAATCCAAGGAAGAAACAGGGGCAGAGTGGGGTTGGGCAGGGGCAAACCTACTTAAATTCCACCCTGGCTTTGGTAAGGTTGTATATCACAGGATAAGGCACAGAACTATGGAAGCTCCACCAGCTTCCAGATAAAGCCATGCTCCTCAACCAGGCATTCAAGGCCCCTGGCTCCAGCCCTATCACTCATCCACCCTCCCAGGTCACCTTTGCTCTTGATGGAAGCACCAGCCAGTCTTCTAACTGCTGGGCCCTCCTCTGCGCCTTTGCACAGGCTATTCTGTCTTGAATGTCCTTCCTTGAGTAACTTCTACCCATTCTCCAAACTTGGCTCAATGGCACCTTCTCCAGGAAGCCCTCCCAGGCTGGGTAGCTGCTGCCCCTCTCCTGCACATCCACGGGACTCTGGGCTGCTCTGATGTTGTGATCAGTTTCTTGGATGGTTTTCTACACTGAATTGAGAGATTCTAAAGAGCTGAGGCTGCCTATGTCGTAACCACCTCTTCTTTCCCAGCGTCTGACAAAGCACTTGGAACTTGGGTAAATGGAAGGATGACTAGAAGGAAGATTGAGAAACCCGGAGTTGTTTTCCCCAAAATGCACACTCACTGCAGCTGAGCACTGTTGACCATCAGTGCTAGCCGGGACTCAGGAGACCACCTGCTCCAACCTCCTCATTCTACACAGGGGGAAGCCAGAGCCAGGAGAGGTGAAATTGCCCGCCCCCCTCCCCCAAGGGCACAGAGATCAGAGACAGGCCAGAGTCCCAGGACACCTATCTCCCAGCCCAGTGTTCCTCACACACACCATGTTTCACCACCCTTTCCCAGCCCCCTTGACAAGTGGAGTTTAATTATTTACGACGGCACTTTATAGCTGCGGGTGAACCCACCAGAACATATTTTGTAAAAGTAATGAAGGCTCAGTAATGCGAGACCTCACTACAGCTCCCGTCTCTAAATCTTGGCCTATGAGTCGGCCAGACTGTGTAGGCATGTTTTTTTTTTTTCCTTTCCCTTCCCTCTTTTGGAGAATTACAGGGTTTGCAGATTAGGGGTGGTTGCAGCACAAGGCATATCTAAGACATTTTTTCTCATTTAGGGGGAAAAGCAGCAGCCTTCATGGAACCAGTGTCTGCATCTCCCAAATGGGGATTCGAATGGCATGTCAGCTACAGTTCCCCCACAGACGCTCCCTTGGAGGTGCCACATTTGCAGCAGGCAGGACACTGTCACCAAACCCCCACTGTCCCCATCCTTGGGGTTGGTGGGGGGACAGACCGCAATCAGTAACAATGAAACTGAGGAGAGAGGGCAGGCCTAAAAGTCAGGGACCTGTGTCTCTGCTCTGCCTCTCTGGGCCTCAGTTTCCCCATATGTAAATTAAGGAGCTAGAAGAGACCCTGCCTCTCCTAGTTCCTTCTACAACATTCCACCATTTTCCTAGCAATGATGACAAGACAAAGGCTTTAATCTAAGAAGGCACGTGTGTTGTGGGCTTCCTACAGGATCTCCCTGAATCCTCCCTCCCCACAACCCCATCAGGCAGATATTAACTACGTCACACAGAAAAGCCAAGTCACGGTGCTGGAGAGTGACAGTCCGGGTTGGCACCCAGGCCTCCTGGCTCCAGAGAGAACACCTTCAACCACAGCTCTGCAAGCTTCTCGATGAATGGTTACAACAGGCCGGGCACTGCGATGGGCATCTCACATGCTAGGACTCATCACATCCTCCCAATAATGACAAGGAATGTTTTCTCATCTCAATTTATAAATGAGAAAACTGAGGCTCACAGGGAACCAAGATTTTCAACTGGATCTCCCATCTAAAAACAGAGGCTGAGGTCTCTCCACTCCAATTTACTGTTGCCCAAGGACTCTGAGATGAAGTTCCCTGGACTCCAGTAGCTGCGGTTGAGTTGAGAGAGATAAGGCTCAGCCTCCCCAAAATATCCAAGAAATAGAAATGATGCTCCAATTCATTATATGCAAGAGCCAGGACACAGGCTGAGCTGAGTACATCACAGCCTGTTGCATATCACAGCCTAAGGCACAGAACTCTGGAAGCTCCACCAGCCTCCAGATAAAGCCTTGCTCCTCAACCAGGCATTCAAGGCCCCCAGTTCCAGCCCTATCCCTTACCCACCCTCCTAGGTCACCTGTGCTCTTAATGGAAGCACCAAGACACCATGGTGTCTTGAACCAGATGATGGTGTCTTGAGCCATAGTGTCTTCGAGTCAAGCTAAGGCCTTGGTCTGCTCATCTGTAAAATGGGGCTAATATTCCCTGGCTTAGATCATGAGCCAGATTCCTTAGCCAGATGATGGTGCTTTAAGCCAGACTGAAGAGAAAGGGAGAGAGGCAAGCCAGCAAAAAGTGCCAAGGTAGCAAGATGGTCAGGGAAGGAGGTGGGGAGTGTGCCCGGAACATTGCAGCATGAGGGAGAACAGGTGACAGAGCCTTAAATGATGGATGGATGGGAAGATCAGGTGGTGGGATCAAGGGTCTAGACCGAGAGCCCCTCAAGGGTAGGAGCCATTCATCTGTGTAGCTCCAGTACCTACGCCATAGTAGGTGCCTGATAAATGGAAGCGAGGACTGTTAAATAACATGACCTGACTTGGACCTTGATTCTGCTACTAAGTGACCAACTTTGACTGCATCCTATCACCTCTCTCGGCTTCTTCTTTTTCACTCTAATCAGACCCACCTTCCCACGACAGAAAGTTCTACCAGGCAGCTAACTAAATATACATCCCTGCAGATGAGAGGCTTTCAAACCTCCTAGAAAGGCATCTCCATCAATGCACTCACAAGGCTATACCAATCTTTAGCTCAATGCCAGAAAGTTTTACAAGCGGATCACCTCAATACCTCCTGCTGGATGCTGGAGCCACATGCCTTTGTTTGGTTCTCAGAAGAGAAGGAAGAGTTGACTGCCCATCCTGTGTGTAGATTATAGACACACCCTCAGGGAAGGAAGATTCCATCACTAATTCATTTGATAAACATTTATTGAGCAACTACTATGTGCTGTCACTGTTCTAGGCACTGGGGATAACAGCAGTGAATGAAACAAATTCCTGCCTTCATGGAGCTTCATTCTAATGGAGAGACAAATTAGAAAAAAAAATCAAATAAATCAGGAAGAGGGAAGAGAGGAGCTGTGGGGGCTTTTAATTTTTAATGGGAATGGGGGCAGTCAGGGATGTCCTCTCTAGTAAAGTGGCATTTGACCAAAGACTTGAAGAAGCAAGAAAATGCACCAGCAGCTGTCTGGGGAAGGTGCTGCAGGCAGAAAGAACAGCAAGGGGAAAGGTCTGGGCAGAGCACACTTGGCAGGACCAGGGAGCAGTGGGGAGGCCGGTCTAGTTCCTGGGGGGCCTGAAGACTGAGCGAGGGAGAGGAGAGGCGATCAGAGTGGACCAGGAGCCAGACTGAGCAGGCCCTTACAGGATGCAGTGGGGACTTGGGCTTTCTACTGTGCATGAGATGGGAGGGCTTTTAAGCAAAGGGGCTGAATGGCCCGACACGGCCTTTCACAGGTTCCCTGCGGAATGGGGGTAGAGACAAAGCTGAAGACAGGAAAGGCTGGTAAGAGCTCCTTGCGGGAACCCAGGTGAGAGACGGTGGCCTGTGGAGCAGGTAAAGAGTGGCAGTTTATGGAGAGAGTCTGAAGTCAGAGACAACAGGGAAAGTATTTATTGTGACTCCTGCTTATCCAAGGTGAATCTGACTTTCAAGGTCATGGCCACCAGGTCAACAGTTTAGCCTAAAGGAGTCCTTACCTGACACTGACATTCTCTTTTTTGACTCCAGTCCTCCAGAAGCTGGAGGAGAGGCAGCTTTTCACATTAAAACTCTTACCCAGCACTTAAAGGAGAGGCCTGGTCTGAGCCTGCTCTGAGACGTGCCATGAGGCTCTCAGGGGTGTCAGGATGAGAGCATCCATCTACATCTGGCAAGATGCTGCTCCCTGCAGCAGAGTCACCAACTCACAGCCTCCAGCCACAACTGATAACCCCAGACCAATTGTGTCTGTTCATGCCAAGGACCCCCTATGAAAGCAGCTGAAAAGATGAGTAAACATGATCGCAATCACGATAATCATAGCAGCAGCCAACACTGCACATTCACTAAGTGCCAGGCCCCGCGCTAAGCTTTCTGCTTAAGGTAAGCTCAGATAATGCTTTATAAGCCATAGGGTAGATACTATGATTATCCTCATTTTAGAGATGAGGGGTTTGGAGCTCAGAGACGCTAGGTAATCAGCCGAAGGTCACACAGCTAGACAGTGACAGAGCCAGGGTGGAAATTCGGGCTTCTCCTCCAGCCTTTATCCTTCCAGACTGAGCGGCTCTTGGCTGAACGGACCCTCTCAAGGGCTCACCAGGCAGATCCACCTTGTTTCACCTCCTCATCGCCTTGGCCCCGGCTCCACCATCCCCACCCTTCTCTTCCAAGACAGGGCCAGCCCTCGACACGTACCCCCTTTCCCTCCCCATGCACAGATGGTTCCACTGACTCCCCAAGTCAAAGGCTCCCCCATTTCCTACCTGGAGCGAGACCACATTAACTCCAGGTAGAGAGCCAGGTGGTTGGAACCAGGTGCTGCTTTTAGAGAGATGAAAGCCAAGTTGGTCTTTGCTTATTGCAGAGACAACAAACTCATACCTTAGCCAGGCCCTCAGGGACCATCTCTAATGACTATGCAATGACTATGGTGTTTGATAAAATAACACGACCACAGGAAGATTGTTTCCGCCACCTCCATGGCCTCCTGATGGGCCAGGCCCTGTGCTAAATACACAGCCACACACAACCCTGCTGCACAGCTGGGGCTGATGGCCAGTCTGTACCATTTTGCAGATGTGGAAACTGAGGCTCAGAAAAGCTAAGTAACCTGCTCAGGGTTTTGCAGCTAGTGAGGGGTAGGGGATGGGCGGTGGGGGTGAAACAACAATTTGCACAGTTTCACTGTCTGCACGGCCCACTCTCCCAAAGACTATCACGCCAGCTAGGCGAGGGAATGCGTCCTGAATCATGTTCTCTTCAGCAGGTTAAACATCACACCTGCAATTTTGCTCTTTTACTTTCAACCAACCCATTCTTTGCTCCATAAATCACGCAGTATCCTACCCTTGTCAAAATCATCAAAGGCCCAATTAACCCTGAATGCCGTGGCCCCTTCTCTGCAAACTGCCCCCAAAACCATGGCATTTCAGGCTGGGAATATTACAAAGCTGGTGGAAAACCAGCCCAGCAGGCAAGCAAGCATTCACTCTACAGTGACCCCGTAGGGGGAAGGGAAAGCCCACATGGGTAAGAAAACCACCCACAGCAGCTAAATTCCGACTGCCAAGCCTTTATTAGTGGTGACAAAAGGTAGCAAAAACAGCACAGAGCTTTCTACTCCCAGGTGGGGGTTGCAGTCCCAGGAATTAGTCATGTTTTGACTGGTAGAGTTATGGAATTCATAATGGAGGCCCTGGAGAAATTAAACCCGGATTACGACCAACCCCTTCCCCCTGCCGAATGTCTCCAGTGGGAGCAACATGGCAAGGCTCTCAGTCGCTCCAGGAGACTGATTTGCTGGCTGGAAGAGCTGGGCTAAGATCATGACCCCACAAGCACAGGGTTACAGAGGAGATGGCTCTGGCCTGCCCCCCACCTCCCTGGGGGTATGTCCACTCCCATCAAACCCTAAGGAGTGGGAGTCAGGTCTGTTCTCCATGTCCCCAGCAGCCCCACCTGGTGTTCAGCAAGGCTTGCCAAGATGAATCTGTGTCTTCAGTTCATCAGTGTTGTCCTTCCTAGGTGAAAGCAATGTCCTCTCCCTGGAGGGAGGTAATTGTAGAGGGGACAACCACAGATCTAGGTAATCAGGAGAATGGCCTGAATTTGGGCGAGTGTCATTAACTCTGTATTAATTACAGAAGAAGAGTAGACCCACCTCTCATACTCTGATTTTAGGGCCTCTTAAAACTCTGAAGATTCCTAAGATGGTTGTATATCAAGATCCTAACACGTTAGTGGAAAAGTTAATCAAAAGGACAGGATGAAAAGGAACCTTTCCTAGTAGCATGAATGTGTGCTGGGGCCCGTGCATCATCGTGGAGTCTCCTGGCATCCTTAGTCCTGGATTTTTCTTGCAGTGATTCAGGGAGAAAAATTACCTTTATTGAGCACCTACTATGTGCCAAGCTCTGCTAAGCCACTTTACAAACATGCTTCAATTTAACAGAGCCTAGCAAAGGGCCTAGGACACAGAGAAAGTGCTTACTGAATTTCACTAAATGGATAAATGGCTTTAATTCCCATATCAGCCTTATGAGTTAGGTATTATTATCACCACTTTACAGATGAGGCCATGGAACCAGAGACGGGCAGTGCTTTGCCCAAAGCAACACAGCTTATAAGTGAGGAACAGAGATTCCGGCCTGCATCTGCCTGACTTTGACAACAGAGTTTGTCCTCTCCGCCAGGGTTCCTGCTTTCTCAGTAGGGACTGGCTTCTTGGAACCAGAAATCATGAATGAGAGGGGAGAGGAGGTGAGAAGCCCAGGGGAGCTGTCCAAGACTTGTAGTGCTGAACGGAAGAGCTAATGGAACAAGCACAGATGTACGCAACTGACGAAGAGCTGGTCTTGCCCTCAATGTGAATTCATCTCATTTTTCCACCTTGAGATTACTCTTCCGAAGTCTTTCACTCTGGGCTGCCTTTCCTGCCATAACCCAGGCACTAAAATAGCTCCAAAATTGATAACTAATTGCAACCACTGCTGGAGGATAGGGAAGATCTGTTAGCCCCTCAAACTCACCAAGACCCCAAGTATCACTGAAGCCAAATTCCCAACCCAAGACATCAGAGGGGAACAAGGTCCCAGGTGATATAGAATTGTTAGCCTAGAGTCTAGTGAAATATCTATTTTATGGTGTATGTTATCACTCTTTGTCTGATCCCTCTCTGAGCCCCTATATTCTCCGAGCTATACCCAGAGAGCCCTGCGTTCTCCAGTGATGTCATAATTCTGCTTACAAGTCTGTCCTTGATGTGACCCCTGATGTCCTTCAAGAGCTGAGCCTGTCAACAACCACCTTCATCCTTCCCTACTCCCTCTCATTCCCCAGCCACTTCAAATGTTCCATCTATTTAACCCCCCATACCAAGGTGTCAAAGGCAACCATGGGGGTGGCAGTGGGGAAAAGCATTCCAAACAAAAGGAACAGCATCTGCAAAGTCCTGTTCCTCTGGCAAGAGCCACCTCAGGCATCATTTCCTACAAGAAGACACCTCTGGCTGTTTACCTCTCCCTGGTGCCATGTACCCTCCGACACCTGTGATACCTCCGTGTCCAGAATGTGATTCTACCCCATCACTCCATGTCTTAGTCTGTTCCTGCTGCCATAGTAAAATACCACAGACTGCATAATTTACAAAGATTAGAAATGTTTGGCTCACAGGTCTGGAGGTCAAGATCAAGGCACCCACAGATCTGGTGTCTGGTGAGGGTCCACTCTCTGATTCCAAGACCGTGCCTTATCGCTGCATCCTCCAGAAGGGAGGAATGCTGTGCTTTCACATTGTGGAAGACTGGAGGGCCAGGCACACAAGGCCCTCTTCTATGGGGAATTAGTCCCATTCATGAGGACAGAACCCTCATGACAATCACTTACTTCCGAAAAGGCCCCACCTTTTTACCACCACCACTATGGGGATGAGGTTTCAACATGAATTTTGTAGGGATACAAACATTCAGACCACAACATTCAGACAAGAAAAGAAATTACCCTGCAATGCCTTTCCCCGGGGAAACTAAGCCAGCACTTTATGTTTTAACCATGTTGTATCACTAGCATCTATCTGCCTGTGAACAAGTACATATAAAATGAGCCAGGTGTGTGCCTAGGGATTTGGCCAATAGAGGCTGGTGTGTACGAAATAATAGCTAACCTTCATGTGCCTGGTGTTCGCTTAGTGTTTTATGTATGTTAACTCACTAAAACTATATGGCAATCATCTAAGCCACCCTGAGGTAGGCATCTTTATTGGGCCCACTTTACAGAGAGGCAAAGTAAGGCATAGGGAGGTTAGCAGAGCCAGAAAGCAGCAGAGCGGGGACTGCAGTCCATGAAGTCTGGCTTCAGAGCTCATGCCCTTGTCCATTTTACCATCTGTCTAAGAAAGGGCCCTGGAGGTGGGAGAGGCCACACACTTCTCCTCTAGAGCCAGGAGGGTGCTCAGTGTCAATGTCGACTTGGTTCTCTGCATCAGCAGAACCTAAAGTTTCTGCCAGGGTTATCTTGGGGAACTCAGGCATCCAAACCCTACCCACACCCAGATGCAAGGGTACTAAGCCCCAGCCTTGGCAGCAGAAATTGGCAGGACTGTATCCTCAGAACTGGGGATGGGTTGCCTGGGGGCTCTTTCCCTTTGTCCCCTCTGCCAGCCCCACCCAGCCCCTGACCCAGCTGCCAAGACCCTGCCTCCCTCCCCTCTGCACCTGGCTGCCCCTGGCAGGCAGCCCCAGACCTCTCACAGAGGATGAGCCTCCTCGAGCTCTGAGCAGCTGCCAGGACTTGCTGGAGCCCAGCAGGCATCTTCTGGGCACCACGTACCACCCCGCCAGGCCAGGCGTGCCAGCAGTTCCGCATTAGGTTGAAGGCCCCACACGGCCCATGGAGCTGCTATTTTTAATTTAATTGGAGAGTCAGAGGAGAGAGATAGTACCCAACAAGGGAGTTCTAAAAGCTTTGGGAGTGGGGGAGGGGGGAGAGAAAGTGAAGAAAAGTTCATAATTATACACTAGGCAGCCAGATTTGATGCTTGAACAGAAAGGTTAAATGTTACATTCAGAATGAAATGAGGAAAAGGGTTCTGATGACAGTTGCCCAGAGCTAAATAAGGAAAGAAAATGCCCCTTGCCCATCTCCTCTCCAGGCCCTCCTTTTCCTTGTCCTCATTTCTAAGTTTCCCCCACTTCTGCCTTTTAAGGCTCAGGTGTGTACAAATATAGGGGTTTCAAATGCAAAGATTTCTGCCCAGGGTGCCCACACCTCGACTGCTATCCGAAAGCAGCTTTCACACAAGCCTGGAAAAAATCACACATCCGCATCTCAGGCCAAGGGAACCAAGAAGGCCCAGAAAGCTGAGAAGGCAGCCTGCCACTATCGGTGATAACACAGGCTTTAGTATGGACAGACCTAGATTCAAAGCCCTCCTCTGCCAAGGAACAGACACTGTGAATCAGCTCACTCAAACCTGTGTGTCACCTATTTCAGCTACCTCCAAGTAATGAGCCAAACAGAAATCTGCTAGGTGACAACTTTCTAATAGCAAGTGACAGACCCAGATAAGACACTCCCTTCATGCTTCCTTTTCCTGCAGGAAATATAGGGGGTGATGCCTGGAGCTGCCACAGCTGTTTTGTGACCACAATCCAACAAGCCTACATGCTGAAGGTGGAGAAATGGAAAGAAAAAGAGAGACCTTGGTGATGTAGATTTGACACTGTTCACCTGGAGTGTCTACTTGTTGCCTGAGACAAATAAATCTGTTTCAGCCACTTTTAGCCTAGTGTTCTAGGAATGCTGAATCCATTCCTAACTCTGACAAATCATGATTAGCTTGAACTTGAGTGTGAACTTGAACAAGTGTTTAACATCGCTCATCTTTGGTTTTCTTATTTGTAAGTGGAGACAAACGTCACTCATTTCACAGTGTGCACGTGAGGATTAAATGTGATTCCATTTGTAAAGCTCTCACCACAACGCCTGGCAAGCGATGGTAGCTGCCATTGTTATTAACACTCATGTTTAATAGGCGAGTGACATCAACTTAAAAGCTTGAAAGTCATTTCTCTTACCTCAGTAGCACGTCACAGCTTCAAAGTGAGTTCTCATCCCCTATCTTAGTTCATCTTCAACTCCAAATCTCTGAGAGAAGGTGGTTATTACTTCCTATTTTATACTTGATAGACTCAAAGAGGTTAAATAACTTGCCCAAGGCAGCTCAGCTCATGATAGGGCCAGCCTGAAACTCAATCTGACACCAAGTCTGGGGCTTGCACCAGGCTGGTTCTGAGTTGGTCTACCTAAGAATTGTTATTCCAGGCCCCCACTCTTTTCCCTGGGGACTGCTGATGCTTCAAGTGTGGGAGCAAACACATGAGAATATGGCTCATGTGTTCAAAGACAAGGTGAGTTGGACTCTGCCCTCCAAATTCCTCTACTTGCCCTGAGATATCTGGGTTCCTTGAGCTTCAGTCTTCCAAACTACACTTGTTACTCTATTCCAGCTCTTAACATTAAGGAGCCAAGAATCCCTTTCAGAAACAGCTGGATAACACTGTGGTTGAGAGTCCAGGCTGGGTTCAAACCCCAGTTCTGGCACTTAACAGAAAACACATTTTATTAAATAAATAGTATATTGTGGCTCCCTTCTCTGTATTAGTCAGAGTAAGCAAAACAGTTGCTGTAACAAACATCCCCACACTCTCAGTGGCTGAACATAGATTCCTCATGCCACAGGCTAGTGTTGGTGGGGTTGGGCAGGGGTTTCTGCTCCACCTAGGCACTCAGGCTCCTTCCATCTGCAGCATTTGCCATCCATCCCCTAGGGCTTACACGTCCTCCCCATTGACCCATCCCACAGGCTGTGAAGGAGTATTTTTAAGGTCAGGTGCATGCCAACTGAGCCAGAACTCAGCCACCTGGCCCTATATAACTGCTGGAGACTTGGGAGCATTGCCTCACAGTGTGCCGTGGAAGGAGAAGACACAGTTACTGATGGTCCCTAGCAACCTCATCTCAGTCCACTCCATTGAAAGTGGCCATCCCTCCACCTCCAGATCACATGACCGTGTCACATTTGATTCATTTCATTCTTCATCATCAGAAATATGTTTACTTATATACTGTCTACAATAGATCCCACAGGAGGCTGTAAGCTTGAAACCAGAAACCTTGTACATCTTTCTCAAGTCCCCAAGGTCCAGCACAGCTCCTAAAACATGCTAGGTACTTGAATATGCATCAGATATATACCAAACAAATACGAATAAGAAGGGAAACTTTAAACAGAATATTGGGACACCTGGGATGGATGGATAGAATGTGGCAGTGAAAGAACACGGGGTCCAGACCCTTGCCTATTCTGCTCAGTGGCAGCCACTGTTCATAGGCCCCAGACACCTCAGAGCCCGCCCTGGCCCCCACCTGGCTCTCTCACACTTACACTCCCTAAGTCTCCCCAAGGGGCTGCGCACCCTACCCCCATCCATCACAGGAGCCAGCATTGCTTCCAAACAAGCTATTTATTTGCAGATATAAAACAAGATCCAACCACGGGTGGCAAGGGCATCCCAGGCTCACCTGCAGCAATGCCTCCCTGGCCAGAAAGGGCCTGTAGGACCAGAAATGTCAACTGTCCCCCATCCCCTAGTCAAAAATAATTGGGACTCCTAGCAGGAGTGCTACCCCAGTTAAAACCTACTCAACCAAGAAGAATGAGACAAACCAGGGGAAATGCCAATGAAAAATCAGTGGCTCTCAGGCATGGAGATGGCAGTCAGCCACTCATACCCCAATGATAGGCCACCCTGGAAAAACTGTCCCCTGCAGGGTTTCCAAGGATGACATCTTGTCTTCCCCCTTGGGTAGGTCCCACTCTTGCAACAAGATAAAACCTTAGAACCTAAAAAATACCCTCATGCCCCTAGAATTCCAAAGCCAGCTCACCCCACCCCACCTCATTCTACCCCCACCCAGAACATTTTGCTAAAATTAATCCGCCCGTGCCCATCTAACAGGAGCCCATTCTCAGGAGTGAGCCAGTAGGGTCACATCCTCATATGCTCACCATACTCCTCTCGGGACATCCACTCAGACTGGTAGGTAGAAAGGTGAGCCACCACGGACGCTCCTAGCCAGACACTAAAGTTTCTATTGGAACCCTCCCAGACTGTGGCCTTGGTGGAGGAGACGTGATCCCCCATCAGCTCCCTGAACAGGCGCTTTGTGAACCCGGGATAGAGGGTGTTGCCCCCGCAGGCCATCACGTGGGAGACCAGCAGGGGGCGCAGGGAGATCTCGCAGGACTCCACGGATTCCACAATGGCCCGTGGGATGCTGGGCCCCGGCTGCTCGAACACCTGCGGGCTAAAGAACATCTCAGGAGCCACCCGCTGCATGGGGGTCAGCTCCACGCGGGAGCCGTCTGGGAGCTGATAGGTGTTGCTCTCATCCAAGGCACTCTGCTGCCTCTCACGAAAGTCCAGGGCCTCCCCCAGATTCTGCGGCACGTAGCACTTGTTCATCTGAGTCACGGCGACTGTCTCCAGCTGAAACAGGCAGCGTCTATCGCAATCTTCCTTAAAGAGACTCTTGAGGAGATAGGCGGAGAGATCCTGGCCGGCGAACTCCAGCGTCTTGCCGCTGGCGGGCAAGGGGCGGCCCTGGTGGAAAGGCTGCACGCGGGTCAGGCCATAGCCAGAATCAACCACCACTCCGGTCAGGAGGCCAGAGGCATACAGGGACATCTGCAGCTGGTCGGCCAGGAGGACCGATGGGACATGCAGCAACTCAAACAGGATCTGCAACGAGGGAGAATTCACTCAGTGCATTTCCCCCCAGCCTGCTCAGCAGTCAAAGCTGAAGTCAGCACAGAGCCCCATCCTCGGGGGGACTCTCGGGCTGCCCCAGGATGCTGCGCCCAGGGCCCCTGGAGCTTATGCAGTGAGGATAATGCAGCAGCTCTGGAGGATTAGAAGGGGAGCTGGGTTTGCCCTCAGGAGCTTGTCTGGTCGTGGCTGTTCAGAAGACCACTTCGGTGAAGAGGTGAGAAGAGCTCTGTGGCTGCAAGAAATGGTTCTGGGACACTGGCTGCAGGAGCAACATGGCCACGGGTCACATGTGCAGCCTGAACCGCCTCTTTAGAAGGAAGAACAGATTAGAAAAGAAACAAGTGTTGCGTATTCACCACTGTCTCCAAACAGTGGAGGAAGACTGGAAAAGACAGACCAGAAAGATAAGACAGACAAGAAAAAAGACGCCAGAACGAAGGAAAAAGGAAAGGAAGGAAGAAAAGAAAAGAAAAGAAAAAAGAAAAAAAGGGAAAAGATGCTCACTGCCTGGCAGGAAAAGCCTTATTTTTTCTTTTAAATAAAAACCTTACAAACGTCAAGACAAACCCGGAATTCTGGTATTTAGGGTTTGCCAGAGTCCCTGGGCTGGTTTTCTCCCCCTGCTCCTCACCCCCTGAATCTTTACAAAGCCCCCCTGCCCCCCATTCCTCAGCTCTGGCAGCCTCCCCAAGGTTCTAATCCCATAGAAGCAGAAAGATCCTAACAGTCAACCCTTCTGTGGTCCCAGCCACTTACTCACCTCTTCAAGCCCCCACAAGCCCATCGTCTCCCCTCAGTGGGAGGGGGCTCCCTCCATTACTACTCTCAGAAAATTGTCCCCCCACCAGCCATTTCTCAAAATAGCAGCCAAGGTCCTCTTTTTCAAATAGAAAATCAGATACAACTCCCCCATTTAAAACTCTCCATTTAAAACTCCCCAGGAACTTCCTATTCACTTAGAGCAGTGGCTGGCAAGCATTTTCTGTAAAGGGATAGACAGTAAGGGTTGCCAAATTCAGCAAATAAAACTACAGGATGCCCAGTTACATGTGAATGTCAGATCAATAATAAATAATATTGTAGTGTAAGTATGCCCCATGCAATATGAAACATACTTAAATACTAAGACATTATTTGTAATTTATCTGAAACTCAAGTCTAACTAGGCATCACGTATTTTACCTAGTAAACCTACAATAGTAAATATTTTAGCCTTTAACTTGATGTATGGTCTCAAACAGTCTCTGCTGCAACAACTTAACTCAGATGCTGTCGTATGAAAGCACACTCTGCCAAACCCTAAATATCAGAATTCCTGTTTTGTCTTCATGTTTGGAAAGTTTTTATTTAAAAAATAATAATAGGGCTTTACCTACCAGGCAATGAGCATATGTTCTTTTTTCTTTCCTCTCTCTTTCTATCTTACATAACATATAAATGAATGTGTGTGGCTATGTTCCAATAAAACTTTATTTACAAAATAGGTGGTGGGCCGGATTTGGCTCACTGGGTTGCCAATCCTTGATTTAAAGTAGAATCCAAGCACTCCCCACAGCCTACCAGGCCTACAAGGCCCAGCCTCCTCCAACCTCACCATCCTATTTGCCTCTTGCCGCTCTTGCTGCTGAAATCACCTCCGTCAGAGAAGCCCTTCCTGAGCGCTCTCTTCAAACAGGTTCCCCACCCCCAACAGTCCACCATGATCCCATTTCATTATGGTTCTAGAACTCATCACTACCTGGAATTATTTCTTAACCCCTTCATGGAAGCTCTCTGAGGGCCAGAACATGGCCTGTATCAGCAATTATGGAATCCATAAGCAAATATTCCACGTCTCCCTGGTAACCCCCTTTCCACCAAGCACGTTGGTTGCTGCATGTCCGTCTGCAGGTGGGGCCTCCGTGAGCTCCCCTGCTTAGTGGCACACCAGGCATTCACTAGGTTCTTGGGAAATGTTTGTGGGGCAATTTGTTGGTTTCTGTTGGGTTTTTTTGTTTGTTTGTTTTTTTGAGACAGGGCCTTGCTCTGTTGCCCAGGCTAGAGTGCAGTGTCGTGATCTCAGCTCACTCTATTCTCGACCTCCCGGGCTCAACTGATCCTCCCACCTCAGCCTCCCAGGTAGCTGGGACCACACCTGGCTAATTTTTGTATTTTTTATAGAGACAGGGGTCTCACTATATTGCCCAGGCTGGTCCTGAACTCCTGGGCTCAAGCAATCTGCCTGCCTGGGAGTCCCAAAGTGTTGGGATTACAGGCATAAGCCACCACACCTGGTTGGCAATTTATCTTAAAAAGCAGAATTCCTGGTGCCCAATCAGTCCAGACATAGTGTCAGTCTGTTTCCCGCTCCCGAGTGGGAGCAGGCCCCGGCAGGCCTCACCTCCAGCATCTTCTTTCGGTCCGCAGGCTCCCTCAAGGGTGTCTCCGTGATGATCACAGGGGGGACCTCTTGCTCCCGTCTGTGGTTCTCCAACACAAATGACCAGAGGTACTGCACACCCTCCCAGTTGAGGATGCGGCCCCGCTCGATGGGGTAGCTAAAGGTGTCAGGATGGCAAATGTCGATGCCCAGGCTCACACGCCTACGGGCATAGCTGGGGCCAGGGTTCTCCTTGCACGGTAGGTAGTTCACGATGTTCGGGAAGACCATCTGAGGCTCATTCCAGCCGGCCGTGCCAGCCTTCAAAAAGCCAGACCCGTGGTCAATGATAACGGTTCTTGCAGCCATGGCGGAGGCAGAGGTGGGTGGGACCTGCGGAAGCAAAGGATGGGGTTAGTTGTGCAGGCAGCCTAGGCCACCATAAGCAGCTTCCCCCTCTACCCAACAGTCAAACCTCAGGCTCCCCCTGAAGCTTGTCCACTGCCCCTTCCAAGCCTTTACACAAGCCATTACCTGTGCCTGGAACACTCCCCCCATCCCAAATTCCCAACCATCCTACCAGGCTCCCTTAATGGGCCACATCCAGGAAGTGGCCCCCACCCCTCCTGCCCACTCAGCTTCTCCCACTGCACTTTGCACACACATGTATCCTGCTAGGTGAGCACTTCTGCCCCACAATCCAACTCTGCAAAGGGTTGGATTACTCTTGGCAGACTCAGCAAGAAGCTTGCCACTTGGGAAGTCCTTGTAGACACTGGCTGCCTGATTAGAGGGCACAAGGAACATGAAACATCAGCCTCAGAGCCACCACCTTCAGTAATAACAATGTCATAGCAACAGCAGCAGAAGCAGGCATTGTATTAGTGAGCATGGCAGCAGCTACAGGGACCATTTTCTGGAGAACCTACTCTTTCTCCAGTACTACAAGGAATGCTTTGCATGTTAGGTTGGACTAGGTAAAACTGTCATTTGTGTCTGTGAAAATGGTCAGAGATCAGCAATTTCACATGGTTTCACTTGATACATGGACTCATTTAATATTTGCCACGATGTATAAGGCAGGTGACGTCCACTTTACAGATGAAGAAACTGAGGCACAGGGGGTAAGATTACTTTCCTAGGGGTATACAACTAACAAAAACAGAGCTAAGAGTCAAACCCAACCCAGACTGCAAAGGCGATGTCCTGAGCATCAAGCATGCGAGGCACCAGGCATTAGGTGTTAAACATGAGCTAAGCATCTAACACCTGATGATAAGGGAGACTATCAGGAAGACTCCATGATTGTGGTTAGTTTCTTCATCTGTAAAGTGGGGAGAACAGCAGCCCCCCTGCTGAAAAGGTAGGTATGGTCACTACCTGATGTTCAGACTTACTCAAAAGCTACAGTAGCCAAGACAATGTGGGAGGTACTGGTAAAAGAATAGTCAAGGCCAGGCACGGTGGTTCACGCATGTAATCTCAGCACTTTGGGAGGCCAAGGCGGCCAGATCACCTGAGGTCAGGAGTTCAAGACCAGCCTGGCCAACATGATGAAACCCCATCTCTACTAGAAGTACAAAAATTAGCTGGTGTGGTAGTGCGCCTGTAATCCCAGCTACTTGGGAGGCTGAGACACAAGAATCGCTTGAAACCGGGAGGCGGATGTTGCAGTGAGCCAAGATTGTGCCACTGCACTCCAGACTAGGCGACAGAGTGAGACTCCATCTCAAAAAGAAAAAAAAGGGAATAGTCACAAACATAGATCCATGGAACAGAAAGTCCAGAAATAGGCCCACACACAAAAAAAGTGTCATTTGCTCTTTGACAAGGTCGAAAAATAATTAAATGGAGAAAGGACAGTCTTTACAACAAATAGCAAAGAACAATTGGATGTCCATATACCAAAAAAAGAACCTTAGCCCATACCTCACACCTTACAAAAAATTAACTTAAAATGGATCACAGAAATAAATGTAAAACCTGAAACCATAAGACTTCTAAAAGAACACCTAGGAGAAACCACGAAGGCAAAGTTTCCTTAGAACATTAGAAGTCTGACCCACAAAAGAACAAATTGATAAACTGGATTTCATCACATTTAGGAACTTTTGTCCTTCCAAAGACGCTATTTACTACAAAGAGAATGAAAAGACAAGCCATAGACTGGGAGAAAATACTTACAAATCATATATTTAATACAGAACTCTCAAAACCCAGTAATAGGAGAAACAAGCCAATTTTTTTTTTTAATGGGCAAAAGCTTTGAAGAATCACTTCACCAAAGAAGATAGATGGATGGCACATAAACACATGAAAAGGTATTCAGCATTATTACTCATTAGGAAAATGCCAGTTAAAATCACAAGATATTTCTGTACACCTACCTATTAGAATGACCGAAATTAAGGCCCACCCTTACCAAGTGCTGACAAGGAAGTGGAGAAATTGGAAATCCCATGCACAGCTGGTGGGAATGGCAAATGACACCAGCACTTTGGAAAATGGTGTGGCAGTTTCTTAAAAAGTTCAGCATACTTTGGGAGGCCAAGACGGGCAGATCACCTGAGGTCAGGAGTTCAAGACCAGCCCGACCAACATGGAGAAACCCTGTCTCTACTAAAAATACAAAAACAAAAAAAATTAGCTGGGCGTGGTGACACATACCTGTAATCCCAGCTACTGGGGGGGCTGAGGGAGGAGATTCCCTTGAACCCAGGAGGTGGAGGTTGCGGTGAGCCAAGATCGCACCATTGTACTCCAGCCTGGGTGACAAGAGCAAAACTCCATCTCAAAAAAAAAAAAAAAAGTTCAACATACACCTACCGTATGACCTGCATTTCCACTCTTACGTATTTACTCAAGGGAAATGAAAACGTACGTTCACACAAAAACCTTTATGCACATACGTATAGTAGCCAGATAGCCTTATTCCTAACTGCCAAAAATAGAAACCAACCCAAAGTCCTTCAGCTAGGGAATGAATACACAAATCTCCATTCAGTGGAATACTACCTGGTAATAAAACAGAATGAACAACCGATACACCCCATAACATGAATATGTGCATAAATCTCAAATGCCCGAGGCTGAAAGAAGCCAGACCCCAAAGACGACAAACTGTATGACTCCATTCCCATGACATTCTGGAAAAGGTAAAACTATAAGGACCAAAATCAGATCAGTGGCCGCTGGCAGCCAGGTGGTGAGAGGGGATGACCAGAGGGGACATGGCAGAATTTGGGGCCATGATGGAACTATGCTGTATCTTGTTTGTGGAGCTGGGCACACTTCTGTATGCATTTGTTAAATTCCCGCAACTATATTATTTTTAGAGTAAACTTTTAGTAAAAACAAAGTTTTTTTTTTTTGAGACAGGATCTCGCTCTTGCGCAGGCTGGAGGGCAGTGGCACGATCGCGTCTCACTTCAGCCTCAATCTCCTGGGCTCAAGCAATCCTCCCACCTCAGCCTCCTGGGTAGCTGGGGCTACAGGTGCAAGCCATGCACACCCAGCTAATTTTCCTAGGCAACAGCCTAGGCTGGTCTCAAACTCCCGGGCTCAAGCAATCCGCCCACCTAGGCCTCCCAAAGTGCTGGGATTACAGTTGTAAGCCACCACACCTGGCCCTAGTAAAAAAAAATTTTAAGGGAAAAATCCAGCGGGTGTGGGAATATTCAATGAAAGGTGTATGAACTCATCTTGCAGAATACAAATTGTCAGACAGACAGCAGACTGGGTGCCTAGACTGTATGTGGGTGTTTCCTGTAAGAGAGGCCTCCGGAAAGGCAGCTCAGCCCGAAGGCAGCATTCTGGGGCTGTCGCTCCCCCAGCTATCTGCTCGGCTTCCGTTTCTGGACAGCAGTTGCATCTACCCATCACTATTGAGCATGAGAGCCATGGCCTGGCCCTGGCCAGTGGCTCCCTGCTGTCACCGGCTGCAGGGCAGAGAACAGGCTTATCTGCCTTTAATCGGCTCTGACATAGACCTGGGGAGAGCCAAGAAGGAGCGTGGAGATGGAGCTGTGGTGACCGGGCCTCCTGCCTCGCCTCCTGGCAGGCTGAGTGATAGATTCCTCACACTCAATCATCCAGAGTGACAGAGAACTGGCCGGCTGCATGACATTCCGGGAAGCGGGCTCTGCCCTGCTGAGAGCAGGTGACTGATAAATGCTTCTCGGCCCTGGCATGTGGTGTCATGGGAGACGCTGGCAGAGTGATCTCCACTGTGGCTGTGAAACAAGGTGCGCATGGCAAGGGTAGGGGATGGAAAAGGACTCCAGGTTGGTGGCCCAAGTGACCTGACCTGGGAGGAGGAGGCTGGGAGGCAGGGGCCATTCTTCCCCTGGCACATGACTGTAAAAGAAAGTTTGGATGGGTCCAAGGAGCCAGCTTTGAAGACAGAGATAAAATCTGTATATTCAGAAGCATTTTTACTAAGCCACCAATTCTACAAATCCCCATTAGCATCTACCTAGGTATAAAACCGGTTCTAGGCTGGCATGATTTCTCCCCTTCTGGAGTTTACATTCTACTAAGAAAGAACATCCATAAGCACCAAATCAAACACAGCATGTCAGGGAAGATCAGTACAGCGGAGAAAAAGAAAACCTGGTAAGGACAGGGAACTCAAGAGGCACAGAGGCACAATGCCATTTTAAGCAGAGCAGTCATCAAAGGCCTCCTTCTAGGGTGACATCTGAGCAGAAAACTGAATGAAGTGAGGGAATAAGGCATGTGAATACCTGGAAAAGCATTCCACCCCAAAGGAACAACAAGTGCAAAGGCCCTGAGGAAGACAAGGTCAGATGAGTTCTAGGATCAGCCAGCAGGCCTGTGTAGCAAGGACACGGTGAGTGGAGGGAGGATACTGGAGATCTGAGAAGGGCCTTGCAAGCCTCTGTATCATGCTTGCAGATGTGGGAGGCCACTGGGGGCTTGGCCAGAGGAATGGCATGATCTGACTTCACTTGTGAAAGGATCACTTCGGCCAATAGAAAGGATAGACTGCAGAGAGCAGAAGAAAGATTACAGGAGGTGAAAGGTGTGGGTAGCCTGCGCTAAAGTGGTGGCCAGGAAGAGGGTGCAAGGTGATCAGATTCTGGATATACCTAAGTAAGGCTCATAGACTGAAATGTTAGACCAGAAGAAGAATGAAGGAAGATACCACAATTTTTAGCCTGAAAAGCTGGAAGAATAAAGTATCCATTTACTATGATGGAAAAGACCATGGGGGAAGAGTTTGGCATTTGGGAGGAAATTAAGAAATTTATTTGGGACATGTTAAGTTGGAGGTGCCTATTAAGTGTATGTAAAGATCTCTGAGCTAGTGGTGTAATTGGGAGTTCCTGAATGGATGGAATTGAACGTGGTTGAGGTCAGGCACGGTGGCTCACACCTGTAATCCCAGCACTTTGGAAGGCCAAGGCAGGTGGATCACCTGAGGTCAGAAGTTTGAGACCAGCCCGGCCAACATGGCGAAACCCCGTCTCTACTGAAAAATACAAAAATTAGCTAGGAGTGGTGGCACGCACCTGTAATCCCAGCTACTCAGGAGGCTGAGGCAGGAGAATTGCTTGAACCCAGGAGATGGAGGGTGCAGTGAGCCGAGATCATGCCACTGCACTCCAGCCTGGGTGACAGAGTGAGACTCCATCTCGAAAAAAAGAAAAGAAAGAAAGAAAAAAGAAAAGTGGTTGGGATGGAAGTGGTCATGAAGAGATGTAGTGTAGACAAAGATTTGTGCCTGAGGGCCTCTAAGGTCTAGTGGCCAGGCCTTGGGAAGGCACCAATAAAGAGGACTGAGTGAGAATGGCCAGGGAGGAGGGCAAGAAACCCAGAGGGAACAGTGTCCCGGGACCGAGCAGAGAAAGTATTTCAAGAAGGGAAGAATCGAATGGGATGAGAAATTAGGAGGAAAACAAAGGACTATCCATTGGATTTAGCAACATGGAAGTTACCAGCAGCCTTGGCTAAAGCATGTCCATTGAAGAGGTGAGAAAAAGCTTGAAAAGGTTGATTCAAGAAAGGGTGAGAGATTGAGAGCAATTCTACCAAACTGGCCCAGGCTCTGCAAAAATATCACAGCATACACAACAATGAAATATTAAAGAAGTGTTCAAAATTGAAAGACATGGCAGCCAACACCACGCACAGTTTCTGATCCCAGATCAGAAAAAAAAAAAAAATGGCATTAAGGTACATTACCACAGGCTTCTGATGCTCACCAGGATGAAGTAAGCCTCCTTCAGCCCTCTTTCCTACTGAGTAGGACTAAAAATTCTAGACAAAATGAAAAAACAAATAAAAAACAAAAAACAAAACAAAACAAAAAACCCAACAACCTGAGGACAATGAGTGAAAAAAATAACAGGCAGACTGAAGAGAATCAAAACTTGGAGAAGCAACCTGCAGAGGGTGAGGTTCCTATTTGTTTTATTTTCCTGTTTTCTCTCAAACTTTGACCTGAGACAAGTTTCCAGCACAGCCAAGACTGAGCAAAATCCTGTCTCTCTGGACATAAGACCAAGAAAAGGAACCTATGCAACTCAAAGAGTTGGGGAAGAATACTGAAGAAATGGGAGCCAGTCAGAGAAAGGATTCCCCAGATTCTATATATGAACGGGCACAGGTCCCAGCTCACCTGTGCATGGCTGGGACACACCCATGGCAGTAGAGCACAGGCCTTTGTACTGAACTCACAGCGGAATCACCACCCACAAAGGACAAGACGGAGTTGCAGGCTGCGTGCAACAGGGGTGACTGAAGGCTAAAACACAACCAAATAAATGTTCTCCATAGGATGTTAAAAGAACACAGAGTCTCACAGCATAATGCTCAAATATTTTTAGCCTGAAAAGCTATTAATATTTTAGGCTGGGCACAGAGGCTCACGCCTGTAATACTAGCACTTTGGGAGGCCAAGGCGGGTGGATTGCTTGAGCTCAGGAGTTTGAGACCAGCCTGGGCAACATGGTAAAACCCCATCTCTCCCAAAAGTACAAAAAAATTAGCCAGATGTGGTGGTGTGTGCCTGTGGTCCCAGCTACTCAGGAGGCTGAGGTGGGAAGATTGCTTGAGCCCAGGAGGCGGAGTTTGCAGAGAGCTAAGATTGCACCACTGCACTTCAGCCTAGAGACTATGGGAGCAAAACCTGGTCTCAAAAAAAAAAAAAAAAGCTATTAATATTTTGAGTTCTATTGCATAGCATGGTGAATATAGTTCGTAACAGAGTACTGTACATTTCAAATTCGCTGACAGTAAGTTCTGAAAGCTCTCATCACAAATAATGTTAAGGATTAGAGGTAATGGATGTGTTAACCAGCTTGATTTACTTATTCCACCTTGTATTCATAAATTATAACATGTTGTATCCCATACATTTATACAATTGTAAATTCTTAATTTAGAATAAAAAATAAAAACAAAGAAAAGTTCTGCTCCATAGAATAGAGACGACAGAGGAATGAGTAAGGGGATTTTCAAATATCAATAGAAATTATTCAATCTAAAACACAGAGAGAAAAAAATTTACTGAGCAAAGCTTCAGAGACCTGTGGGGCAATATAAAGAGATCTAACATTCATGTCATTGAAGTTTCAAAGTGAGAGGAAAAAGACTGGCTCAGAAAAAGTTTTGAAGACATAATGGCTAAAAATTTCCCAAATTTGGTCAAAGACAAATCTACAAAGCCAGGAAGCTCAGCACACCCCATAGAAAATAAATTCAAAGAAAACCATGCAAACCATCCAGAAAACCACATTATAACCCAACTGCTAAATACCAAATATTTTTTTAAATCTTCAAAGAATCCAGAGAAAAATAAAACACTAAATATAGGTGAATATCACTTTGAATGACTGCAGACTTCCCACCAGGGGAAAAAAAAAATGGAGTCCAGAAGACAGTCAGGCATCTTTAAAGGACTGAAAGAAAAGAGATATCAACTCAGAATTCTATACCCAGCAAAAAATCTTTCAGGAATGAAGTTAAGACATTCTTAGATGAAGGAAAACTAAGAAAATTACTAGCAGAACTGCTTTAAAAAGAAATGCTAATTAAAGCTCTTCAGGCTGAAGGAAAATAATGCTGAATCTAGCACTCAGGAATGAAGAAAGAGAAACAGAAACGGTAAATATTTAAAAAATTATAAAGTATATTTTTCTCCTCCCAAAATATGTATGGCCATTGAAAGCAAAGATATGGTATAGCCTACTACTTACCTAGGTTGTATGGTATAGCCATTTGCTCCTAAGCTACGAACTGGTACTGCATGTTATTGTACTGAATACTGTAGGCAACTGTAACATAATGGTATGTATTGTCTTGTTTTATTGGTAGATATGGAGTCTTGCTATGCTATAAACGGGTACAGCATGTTATTGTACTGAATACTGCAGGCAATTGTAAAATAATAGTACGTACTGTTGGTAGATATGGAGTCTTGCTATGGTACAAACTGGTACTGCATGTTATTGTACTAAATACTGTAGGCAATTGTAACATAATGGTATGTATTGTCTTGTTTTGTTGGTAGATATGGAGTCTTGCTATGCTACAAACCGGTACGGCATGTTATTGTACTGAATACTGTAGGCGATTGTAACATAATGGTATGTATTGTCTTGTTTTGTTGGTAGATATGGAGTCTTGCTATGCTACGAACTGGTACTGCGTGTTATTCTACTGAATACTGTAGGCGATTGTAACATAATGGTATGTATTGTCCTGTTTTGTTGGTAGATATGGAGTCTTGCTATGCTATGAACTGGTACTGCGTGTTATTCTACTGAATACTGTAGGCGATTGTAACATAATGGTATGTATTGTCTTGTTTTGTTGGTAGATATGGAGTCTTGCTATGCTACAAACGGGTATGGCGTGTTATTGTACTGAATACTGTAGGTGACTAACATAATGGTATGTATTGTATTGTTTTGTTGGTAGATATAGAGTCTTGCTATGCTACAAACTGGTATGGCATGTTATTGTACTGAATACTGTAGGCAACTGTAATATAATTGTATGTATTGTTTTGTTTTGTTGGTAGATATGGAGTCTGCTCTGTTGTCCGGGCTGGTTTTGAATGCCTGTCCTCAAGCGTTCTTCCTGCCTTGGCTTCTCAAAGGGCCAGGAATACAGGCATGAGCCACCATATCCAGCCAGTAAGTATTGGTGTATCTTAACATAGAAAAGGTACAGTACAACTACAATATTATAATCTTATGGGACCACCATCATATATGCCATCTGTGGTTGATCAAAATGTCATGTGGTGAATGACTGTAATCGAAATTGAAAATGGAAAACAAATAGTGAAAAGTCAATAAAGCCAAAAGCTAAAAGCTAGTTCTTTGAAAAGATCAAAGACTAAGAAAAAAGAGAAAAGACACAAAAGACTGCGATCAGGAATGAGGTGGCATCACTTCAGACTCTACAGACACAAAAAGGATAACAAGAGAATATTAGGAATAACTTTCTACCTGACACTTTGACAATTTAGGTAAAATAGATAAATCCTTTAAAGACATAAAGTACCAAAGCTCAATCAAGAAGAAATATATATTTAAATAGCCATATAACTATTAGAAATAGACTTTTTAGTTATAAACCTTCAACAAAGAATACTCTAGGTCTAAACGGTTTCACTGGAGAATTTACCCAACATTTAAGGAAGAAATAATACTAACGGTACACAATCTCTCCCAGAAAGCAAAAGAGGAGGCAACACACCCCAACTCAGTTTGTGGGGCCAGTATTACCTTGAACCAAAAGCAAAGATATTACAAAATAAAACAAAACTCAAACCAAAAATCTTTCATGAAGATATATTATTCTTTAATAAGATTTTGGCAAGCCCAGTAATATATAAAAAGAATAGTACACAATGACTAAATGGGGCTTCTCCCAGGAATGCAACACTGGTTCAATATTTTAAATCTGTATGATTCAAACGAGTAACAGACTGAAAAAGAAAAACCATATGACCATCTCAACAGATGCAAAAAAAATCAATGGATAGAATTCAACATGCATTTATCATAAAAATCTTTAACTAGGAACAGAGAAGACTTTCCTTATCCTAATAAAGAGAATATCCAAACACCTACAACTCACATAGGTAATAGTGAGAAGTAGGATGCTTTCTCCCTAAGACTGGGAACAAGGTAAAGATGTCAGTCCTCACCACGCATATTCAACATTGAACTGAAAGTCCTAAACCAGTGCAATATGGCAAGACTGAAGAAACAAAAGACACATGAATTGGAAATAAATAAAACTATCCCTATTTGCAGAAGACATAATTGTCTAAGTAGAAAATGCCAAAGAATCTACAAAAAAGATCCTAGAACTAATAAGTGAATTTGACTAAGTCACAAGATACAAGTTAAATATTTTAAAAACCAATTATATTTTATATACTATCAATAAATCGCTGAAAAGTGTTTCTTTAAAAAAGTATCATTGACAATAACATCAAAAATTATGAGAGAGATACTTTGGTATAAATCTAACAAAACATTAAATGTGCTTAAAACTACAAAATACTGATGAAATAAATCAAAGAAAACCTAAATAGAGAGATGGCCAGGTGTGGTGGCTCAGGCCTGTAATCCCAGCAATTTGGGAGGCTGAGGCGGGTGGGTTGCCTGAGCTCAGGAGTTCACGACCAGCCTGGGCAACACAGTGAAACCCCATCTCTACTAAAATACAAGTTCATGACCAGCCTGGGCAACACAGTGAAACCCCATCTCTACTAAAATACAAAAAAAAAAAAAAAATTGACAGGGCGTGGTGGCGTACGCCTGTAGTCGCAGCTTCTTGGGAGGCTGAGGCAGGAGAATTGCTTGAGCCCGGGAGGCGGAGGTTGCAGTGAGCTGAGATTGCGCCATTGCACTCCACCCTGGATGACAGAGTGAGACTCCGTCTCAAAAAAAAAAAAAAAAAAAAGGAAAAAAAATAGATATGCTATGTTCACAGATTAGACAATTCAATATCATTAAAATGTCATTTCTACCTAAGCTGCTTTATAGATTCAATCCTAATCAAAATCTCAGAATCCCAGCAGGATTACCGTTAGATATCAACAAGTTGATTCTAAAGTGTATATGGTAAGGCAAAGGAATCAGAATAGCCAAAACAATTTCTAAAAGAACAAAGTTGGAAGACTCACACTATCTGATTTCAAGGCCCACTATAAGTTTATAATAATCAAGATAGAGCTGGGTGTGGTAGCTCACACCTATAATCCCAGCACTTTGGGAGGCCAAGGCAGGCAGATCACTTGAGCTCAGGAGTTCGAGACAAGCCTGGGCAACATGATGAAACCCCATCTCTACTAAAAATACAAAAAATAAAAAAATTAGCCAGGTTCAGTGGCATGCACCTGTAGTCCCAGCTACTTGGGAGGCCAAGCCAGGAGGCAGAGGCTGCAGTGAGCTGACATCAGATCATTGCACTCCAACCTGGGCCACACAGCCAGACCCTGTCTCAAAAAAAAAAAAAAAGACAGAAAACCCAGTCATCAAGACAATGTGACATTGGTAAAAGCACAGTCACATGGATCAGTAGAAAAGAACAGAGTGTCCAAGAATAGACTCACACAAATCTAATCAATTGATTTTGACAAAGGTACAAGGACAATTCCGTGATGAAAAGATAGTCTTTTCAACAAATGGTGCTGGAAAAACTGGACTTCTCCGTGTAAAAATAATAACCTCGACTCATTCCTCACTTGTTTACAAAAAACATAATTAACTCAAAATGGATCATGTAAAATATAGATATAAAACAGAAAATTATAAAACTTCTGCAAAAAACATAAGAACATCTGTGTGACCTTAGATCTAAGAACATCTAAGTTTCTTAGGTACAACATCAAAAGCACCACTCATAAAAGAAAAAGTTAATATCCTGGACTTCACCAAAATTTTAAAATTCTGCTCTTTGAAAGACACTATCAAGAGAATGAAAATGAAAAGCCAAAGACTGGGAGAAACTATTTGCAAGTCACACATCACACATCTGCTAAAGGACTTGTATCCAGAATATATAAAGACCAACTAATAATCAATAATAAGAAAGCAAACAACTCACTTCCAAAGATGGGCCAAAGATTTTCACACTTCATCAAATAAGCTACACAGACGGTAAGTAAGCACACTGAAAGATGCTAAATGTCATTAGTCACTAGAGAAAAACAAATTAAAACCATAAAATTTTAAGGACAATACCAAGAGCTAACAAGGATGTGGAGAAATTGGAACTCTCATACACTGCTAGTGGGAATATAAAAGTGTACACTCTGGAAAACAGTTTAGGAGTTTCTTTTAAAGTTAAACATATACTTACCATACAAACAAGTAATCCTATTCCTATGTACTCCAGAGAAATAAGAACTTATGTTCACACAAAAACCCTTACACCAATGTTTACAGAGGCTTAATTCATAATCACTAAACAACCCAAATGTTCTTCAGCTGGTAAATGAACAAACTGTGGTACATCCATACAATGGAATACTACTTAGCAATAAAAAGGAACTATTGATATACATGACAACATCCATGACTGTCAAAATTACTATGCTACATGAAATAAACCAGACTTACATACTGCATATTCCCAATTATATGATATTCAGGAGAAGGCAAAACTATAGTAACAAAACAGATCAGTCGTTTCTGGGGCGGTGAGAAGAGTTAACTATACAGGACTGGAGGAATTTTTGGAGGTGGTGGAACTGTCTCATATCTTGATTGCCAGAGTGGTTACATGCCTGCATGCATTTATCAGAACTGAGAACTATACATCAAAAAAAGCGAGTCTCGCCACATGACATTTTAAGGTGAAATTTTTGAAAGAACATTTTGGGGACAGATGGTAAAATTTGAATATGGGTTATATTTTCAATGTTAAATTTCCTGTGTTTGATCACTATGTTGTGGTTTTCAAAGAGAATATTCTTATTTTTAAGCAGATCCATGAAAAAGTATTTACAGGTAAAATATCATGAGATTTACTTTCAAATAGATCAAGAAAAACCCAGCATGTGTCGATAGAAAAGGTGTCAAAGCAAATGGGGTCAAAAGATAGTAACTAGTGAATATATATGATGGATATTGGAGAACGTATTGAACTATTCTTGGACCTTCTCTAAATGAAAAGCTTTTAGGAAAAGAAAGGATGTGGGGAGAGATATGGGAGACAGCAAGACAACTTTGAAGAGCTCTGCTCTGAAAGGAAGCAAAGAAAGACAACAGTAGATTGTGCAGAGAATTGGGGCCCCAGGAGGTTTTGGTTGTTTTGTTCAAGAGAAGAAATAATGTATTAAGGTTTTATGCTGATGGGAATAATCCAGTGGAAGAAAAAGTTGAATAAAATCAGAACAAACTGCAGTTAAATCTAGACACTGTATCAGCGATCCCCAACCTTTTTGGCACCAGTGACTGGTTTTGTGGAAGATAATTTTTCCACAGACCTGGAGTAGGGGTTGGTTTACGGAATGATTCAAAAGTGCATTACATTTCTTGTACACTTTATTTCTATTACTATATTGCAATATACAATGAAATAATTATACAAATCACCATCATGTAGAATCAGTGGGAGGCCTGAGCTTGTTTTCCTGCAACTAGATGGTCCCATCTGGGAGTGATGGGAGACACCGACAGATCATCGGGCATTAGATTCTCATAAGGAGCACGCAACCTAGATCCCTCACATGCACAGTTCACAACAGGGTTCATGTTCCTATGAGAATCTAATGCCACCATTGATCTGACAGGAGGTGGAGCTCAGGCAGTAATGTGAGCAATGGGGAGTGGCTGTAAATACAGATGAAGCCTCACTGGTTCACCTGCCTGCTGCTCACCTCCTGTTGCCTAGTTCCCAACAGGCCACGGCCTTTCCTTTCTCTCTGTCCCTGGACCACAGCCTGCTTCTTCCTTCCTCAGCCCCTATGTTTGCCTTACCCTCTGTGTGGAACCCCCGGCTAGCCCTTCCAAAAACCAGCTCTCATCACTCTTATTTAGCTTGAGTGAGATCTGGAGCCTTTCCTGACCACTCAACTCCAACCCAATATTGCATTGACTAGTTTTATTATTGTCATAGCACTTATTACCATACATAATTATGCTGTGTGTTTGCTGGCTGTTGTCTACCTCTCCCAAGCACCACCAGAACGTAGGCTCCAGGAAGACAAGTTCATATTTGTATTTTACTTCCCCATTTCTACCACGTAACTGGCATATTTTTGTTAAATCAGTTTGTGTTGAATGAATAAATTTTTAAAAATACATTGGTTTGCTGGCGGCATGATAGCTCCATATGGGCTGCACTCCCGTGTCCCTAAAACATGGGTTTCTTCTATAGGCTTCTGGTTACTTTCCTGCTCCAAACTCTTCAACAGCTCCCACTGCCAACAAGATGAAGCCTAAACTTAGCTTGACACACAAAGCCCACCAGTCTCTGGCCAACTTTCCCCATCTTCTCCATGCACCTGAAGCTAAAGCCACGCTGGAATGTTTGCTGCTGGAGAATTCCGTCCTTTCTACATCTCCTCTCTGCCTAAAATTCACTTCCATCACACCTCTCAGTCCTTCAAGATCCACACCAAACCTTCACCCCATAAAGCTTCTAACACCAGACAACTTGCAAACAGGAATTCATTCCTCCACGGACCACTATGAATCCAGAATCCTTGCTGAGCACGCTTACTAAGAACCAGGCACTGGGTATGATACTTCTCACACAGTATCTCTCTTATTTGCTCCGCATAAAAACCCAATGATGAGGGCATAGTATCATTGCCAGTTTATAGATGAAGGAATGAGGCTTAGAGAAGTGACAGAGTTGTCCCCACGCCACCCACCTTTGAGTGTAGTCAAGATTCAAATCCGTACCTGTGGGTTCACAGCCCAAGCTCTTAATCACTGCCATGATTAATTATGTGGCCTGAAGTTAAGCACCTCTCTACACCGTAGTCTTCAGATGAAAATAACTATCTTTCACAGATGAAAGGACTAACAATAACATTTGAAGGAAAAAGGGTAGAGGCCTTAGTGTGTTCACTCACATTGGTCTGTTGAGCTCTTATTGCCATCTGCCTCCTGTTAATGTGTCCCTGGGGTCTTGTGTCCCTCAAGTCTGTGCAATGTTTGCACACACAAGCTCTCCAGAGTTTGCTCATCAAGACTCCATCAGGGACCCTTATGAATTGCTTTGTGATTGTAAACATCTTGCAAGGAACTTTCCACTTAGCACTTTTACCCACATTCTCAGTGAGTCCTAGACAACCTCTTAAAGTAGGCAACATCATTCCAGTTTCCATCTCATTTTATGGGTATCAGCACTGCTACTGCTGCTAACATGGCATACTTTTATTATTATACTTTAGGTTCTGGGATACATGTGCAGAACATCCAATTTTGTTACACAGGTATACACGTGCCATGGTAGTTTGCTGCACCCATCAACCCGTCACCTACATTAGGTAATTCTCCTAATGTTATCCCTCCCCCAGCTCCCCACCCCCCACAGGCCCCAGTGTGTGATGTTCTCCTCCCTGTGTCCATGTGTTCTCATTATTCAACTCCCACTTATGAGTGAGAACGTGTGGTGTTTGGTTTTCTGATCTTGTGATAGTTTGCTGAGAATGACGGTTTCCAGCTTCATCCATGTCCCTGCAAAGGACATGAACTCATTCTTTTTTATGGCTACATAGTATTCCACAGTGTATATGTGCCACATTTTCTTAATCCAGTCTATCACTGATGGCCATTTGGGTTGGTTCCAAGTCTTTGCTATTGTGAATAGTACCGCAATAAACATACATAACACGGCATACTTGCTATGATCCAAACGCCAGGCCAACTACTTCACTCCTCGTTTCCCCAGCACAACTCTAGGAGATCAGTACTATCATCTGCCTCAGTTTCATAAGGAAACTGAGGCACAGTTGGGAAACTTACTCATGTCCCCACAGCTATTGAGGAGCTGAGCAAGGACTGAACCAGGGTATCAGGCTCCAGGGTCTGTGCCTCCAACCTGTCAGCCGTCTTGTTTCTCATCCTGTCAATGCTGCGGTCTCCAAAGCACAAAGATTCTGATGCCCTAATCCATGGAAACTGTGACTATGTCAGATTACAAGACCAAGGGGAATGAAGACTGCGGATGGAATTAAGATTACTGGTCATCTGACTTTGAGAAGGCAAAGATTATCCTGGATTATCCATGTGAGCCCACAGTAATCACAAAGGTCCTTTAAATGTGGAAGAGTATGGCCAGAGTCAGAGAAAGATGTGCAGATGCAGCAACGCTGCCAGATCTGAAGATGGAAGAAGAGGCCATGAGCCAAGCAATGCAGGTGGCCTCCACAAGCTGGAAACGGCAAAGACATGGATATTTCCCTAGAACCCCCAAAAGGAGGCAGCCCTGACAACACCTTGACTGTAGCCCAGTGGGACGCATCCCGTGCTTCTGACCTCCAGAACTGCAGGATAATGAATCTGTGCTGTGTTGGGCCACTGCATTTGGTAATTTGCTACAGTAATAACAGCAGATTCATGCAGATGCAAAAGCAGCTCCCACTTCTCTCCTGCTCAAAGCGCAGCAGGTCGCAGGGCTCTGCAGAAGAATCTAAAGGCAAAACCCCATCCCAAAACCCTCCCTTGCTCCCTGTGTGGATGTCCTCCTGAGGCCCACCTGGGCTTTGTCTGGCTACAAGGTGTGACCGGACATTGTATCCTGAGGATGTGGCTCAGCTTCCCTGCAAATCAGGAACCTCTGCTACAGGCCTCTTCTGCTCCAAAGTCCCCTTCCTGGGGACCAAGCGCTAAGCAAGTCCCACTCCCAGCAGCAGCTGGACTGGGCCTCATTACCAGGGAAGTCAGAGCCTCCAGGGACAGAGGGAGACTTGCGCCTCTTAAAGAGCAACCGGGTTCAGGGAGGGCTGTACTGAGAAACAGGGGGAGTACCAGAAGAAAGAGAAGGAGAAACAGAGAAAGACATCAAATTTGCATGAGGGGAGGACAGGGTTTTAATTATGCCTCTTCTTAACCTCATTGTACCTTGAGGTATCTTAACATTACTCTCCCTGGCAGGAAGGCTTGATTGATTGTCTCTTGGCATTCAGAAACCCCCATTAATGTAAAACTAACCAGTCGTTCTGAACTCTGGAGAATTAATCACTTAAATGTGAGAATTACTCAATAAACCATTCAAACATGCAATAAACCAAGCCATTAAAAATTAATCGCTCGACATCCCGGCTGTGTAAACAGGGCTAATAAGATCCTGGCAGCCTAGAAAGAGGAGGAAAAGGAGGAAGCAGGAAGATGATGCCTTTAATCAGCCACTCCCAAGGACCGGAATGGATACACCAATGTCCAGGACACATATCACAAATCATCAGGGTAGGTGACATCTTGTCCCTACGGCCTCCCAGCCTGTCCCTAGGACAAGAGTGGATAGGTAGGTGAGAGAGAGGAGACCCTCAGTGGGCTGTTAGGAAGAGGCAGTGGGGTTAGAGTTACAGCTCTCAACAAATACTTACTGAGCACCTTCTATGTACCATACACTGCACAGGGCTCTGCAGATATAGCCATGAACAAGACAACAGTGGCTGCCCTAAGGAAGCTGACATTGGAGTGGAGGGTGTGTATGCATGTCTGTATGTCTGTTAGAAAATACATCTATTTTGGCCGGACGCAGTGGCTCACGCCTGTAATCCCAGCACTTTGGGAGGCTGAGGCGGTGGATCACAAGGTCAGGAGTTTGAGACCAGCCTGGCCAATATGGTGAAACCCTGTCTCTACTAAAAATACAAAAATTGGCTGGGCATGGTGGTGCATACCTGTAGGCCAGCTACTTGGGAGGCTGAGGCAGAAGAATCGCTTGAACCCAGCAGAGGTTGCAGTGACCCAAGACCGCGCCACTGCACTCCAGCCTGGGTGACAGAGGGAGACTTAATCTCAAAAAAAAAAAAAAAAAAAAAAAAAAGAAAAAGAAAAAGAAAATATATCTATTTTATAAAGCACTAGCTATAAAGAAAAATAAAGCCAAGACTTGTGAGGGGTAGAAGATGACAGAAGATGAAAGAGTTCCTGTTTTAGACTGAGGAGGGTCCCAGTTGGCCAAGACCCCAAAGTAGTGAGGGCAGGAAGCACACAGACATCTGGGGAAGAGAATTCCAGGCAGGGTTCTGGGCAAATGCAAAGGCCCTGAAGTGGGTGCTTCCCCGTGTGGCTGGAAGGGAGCTGGAGGGAGAGGAAGTGAGGTCCTGGAGAAGTGAGGTGCGCAGGGCATCTAGGGCCTTGTTAGGAAATTGTAAAGAATACGGCTTTGGTCCCTAGGGAGACGGAGAGCCACTGAAGGTTTCTGAGCAGAGAGGAGGTGGGTCCCGTCTGTCCCAAGTGTTAGGAGAATGACACTGGCTGCTGGGTTGAGGATAGAAGATGAGGACTGCCGGGCACAGTGGCTCACACCTGTAATCCCAGCACTTTGGGAGCCCAAGGTGGGTGATCATCTGAAGTCAGGGGTTCGAGACCAGCCTGGCCAACATGGTGAAACCCCATTTCTACTAAAAATACAAAAATTAGCTGGGCTTGGTGGTGTGTGCCTATATCCCAGCTACTCAGGAGGCTAAGGCAGAAGAATCGCTTGAACCCAGGAGGCAGAGGTTGCAGAGGTTGCAGTGAGCCGAGATGGCACCATTGTACTCCAGCCTGGGCAACAAAAGCAAAACTCCATTTCAAAAGAAAAAAAAAAAAAGATGGGGACAAAGATGAAAGGAAGACGACCAGCTGGGTGGTGGCTGCAATGGTCAGGGGCAGCCATTTGCTGGGTCCCTGTGTCCTCGTTGCCTCCCCAGTCCACAGCACCCAGGTCTTGCTTTGGACCTGCCCTTTCCCCATGTCAGCCTGTGGCCTAGATGAAATGTATTCACCCCTCTCTCAGCTCAGGGGTACAGCCCAACCTTTTGACAAAGTGAAGGTTCAGGGAGGACCATGTGACCCAACTCAAGCCAATCAGAGGAGGAGACACTAACTAAGGGCTTCTGGGAAAGAGGCTTTCTCATTCCTCATCACACAAGACCCCCAAAGACCCATTTGCTCGTGTTCAGCTGGTGGGTGTCAGCTCTGAGACCACCACAGCCTTTAGTGTTTCCCACTACAGCCTGAAGAAGAGGCAGGCCTGTGGAGAAGGACAGGGCCAAGAATGTCACAGAGAAATATGGCCAGGGCACATCACTGTGAACTTCTGGATCAAACTGCTCCTGAAGCATGAACTACCTTTGGGGCTTTAAATTCGTTGAATCAATCAATTTCCTTGTTTTCTTTGAGCCAGTTTGGGTAGGTTAGATTCGTGACAGAATTCTTAGGGTTCGTATGTGATGTCACTTAGGCCATATGAGGACCCTAGGAAGTAAGCGTATATCCAATTTTCCAACTTACAGGTACAAAAACTGAGAACTAGAAAAATAAACTGTCCAGAAGCATAGTGATGGAAATTGGCAAAGCTGACATATGAACCAAGTCTTGCTGGCTCAAAAGTCCTACTCTGTGCTTAGACTCCCTATCACTCTCCCTCGCTCACTCTGTCTGCCTTTACAGTCATAGAGACCTTCTGCTGAATTTAATGATTTAAGTCAGAAATGACCAATGCAGCATACACTCTCACTCCCCACTTATACCCTTGGCAGGTGTATTAGTCCGTCCTCATGCTGCTAAATAAGGACATATCCAAGGCCCAGGCACAGTGGCTCACGCCTATCATCCTAGCACTTTCAGAGGCCGAGGCACATGGATCACCTGAGGTCAGGAGTTTGAGACAGGCCTGGCCAACATGGCAAAACCCCCTCTCTACTAAAAATACAAAAATTAGCCAGGCAAGGTGGCAGGCATCTGTAATCTCAGCTACTGAGAAAACTGAGGCAGGAGAATCACTTGAACCCAGGAGGTGAAGGCTGCAGTGAGCTGAGACTGCACCACTAGTGCACTCTAGCCTGGGCAACATACCCAAGACTGGGTAATTTATAAAGGAAAGAGATTTAATTGACTCACATTTCCGCATGGCTGGGGAGGCCTCAGGAACTTACAATCATGGTGGAAAGGTAAGCAAACACCTCCTTCTTCACATGGCGGCAGCAAGGAGAAGTGCCGAGCAAAAGGGGGGGCGGGAAACCCCTTATAAAACAATCAGATCTTGTAAGAACTCACTCACTATTACGAGAATAGCATGGGGGTAACCGCCTCCGTGACTCAATTACCTCCCACCAAGTCCCTCCCACAACATATGGGGATTATGGGAACTACAATTCAAGATGAGATTTGGATAGGCACACAGCCAAACCATAGCAGCAGATATCACTGTTTGTTATTTTATTTTTATTTTTGAAACAATCTCACTCTATCACCCAGGCTGGAGTACAATGGCACGATCTCGGCTTACTGCAACCTCTGCCTTCCGGGTTCAAGCAATCCTCCTGCCTCAGCCTCCCGAGTAGCTGGGATTACAGGTGCCCACCACCACGCCCAGCTAATTTTCCTGTATTTTTAGTAGAGATGGGGTTTCGCCATGTTGACCAGGCTGGTCTCACACTCCTGACCTCAAGTGATCTGCCTGCCTTGGCCTCCCAAAGTGCTGGGATTACAGGTATGAGCCGCCATGCCCAGCCATCACTAACTGTTTGAAGATATCTTTTCTGCAAAATAAAGTATCAGCTAGCTAAGTCTAAGAGTTAAAGACAATATGGTAGAGAAAGTTACATGATGTTATGATCGGGGATATGACTCGAATCAGGCAGCCTGAGGTCACACCCCAGCTCTGTTCCTTACCCGCGGTAGTAACTCCTTTCAGCCCAGGTAAAAGGGGATTCTGCCCTAAGCCCCATCATCTGATAAATATGTGCACCACTGCCCTCCAACACACACACACACACACACACACACACGCACGCACAGTCATCCGGGATCTGCTGTTCAGTGCCAGCACGATGCAACTCCTGACTCCACGTCCACCCTCATGACTAGTACCATTCAGGGCCCAGGGAAACACTCCCCAGCAGCCCCGGCTCAACTTCATAGAAACAAACAGCAACCTGAATCCACACACCGTGGAGGCTGGTTGTATGTAGTGCTGTCGACAGAAGGAGGGCACAGCTCTGAGGTGCAGGGAGGATTTGAGCTGCAAAAGCACTTCGGTAAGAGAAAAGACAAATTAACCAACTTATCAAATCTTCCTGTTAGCACTCCTGCAATAGATTCCCACGAAATGAAGACTCATTTCCTAGAAATGCAGGGCATCCATTTTCTTGTTTCTCTTCATGCTCCTCATTGGGATAGTAGAGGTATACGAATTAGCAGCTAAATTAGAACAGCGTTCACAACAGCTCAACGCTGCAGCTTGGGAACATTTCGAAACCCTGAACAATTCATATGACCCTTCATATACCCATCTGTAGATATAAGGGTAAAAGCATGAGACCAATGATTTATGCTGGTAACTAGATGGACACCGAATGCTAACATTGTATTTTCAAAGCATGAATAAATTTCAGTTTTAAATACATTTAATTTAAAAATTCATACTGATTTGTATTTTGCTTCTTAATGTTTACAGATAATTCTCAATTTTAGATGAAAAACTTTTTGAAAGCTTCAGAAATTGTTTTTTTTACATTTACTTTCACTTCTAGGTGGTAAAAGTTTAATTTTGTATGCTTTGAGCATAATTATGTTTTATTTTTAATCTTTTATATCACTACTATAATAGAACACAAACTACATGAAAATCTTGATTACATCAGAATTTATTTTATTGAAGGCAAGAAAAATTTTATGGAATACATAATTTATGAGTTATGTATGACTATTACTCATCCAACTATCTCAGACTTACAATGGAATGCCAAAATGTGCAATAATCATTAAATTTGGCCATCTTGGTATCTTGTAGATTTTATCTTTATCAACGTATATTTCTCAGATAAGAGGATAGATGTTTAACAGTTTGTTATCTTGTTTTACAGCTTTAAATATCTAGAATTGCTGTGTGTCCATTTATACTCTTCCCCAGTATTGCAAATGCTAGAGATGGGCCTGACCAGCTGTGTGACCTTGAGTAAATTAACCTCTCTGTGTCTTGTCTCATCTGCAAGGAGGAGATAATAAACAGTATCTAGCTCTATAGAGCTGTCATAAGGATTAAGAAAGTAAATATTTACAAAGCACCTACAACACAGTCTGGCACACAGAGCTTTATAAGTACTTTTAGGCAGAACAGAGTTTAGCACAGAAGTGCAAGAATTATTTTAATAGATTGGCAAAAGCATTTGACCAAATTTAACATGTATTTACTTTTAAAAACTCAAGGAATTGAAGAGAATTTCCTTGACTGGATGAACACAACATAGTAAAACCTACAGCAAATGCCGCCCTTAGCTGGGAATTTTCACCTTATTTCTCTTAAGATTGACACCAAGGTGGCCGGGCACAGTGGCTCATGCCTGTAATCCCAGCGCTTTGGGAGGCTGAGGTGGGTGGATCACGAGGTGAGGAGTTTGAGACCAGCCTGGCCAACATATCAAAACCCAGACTCTACTAAAAATACAAAAATTAGCCAGGCATGGTGGTACGCACCTTTAGTCCTAGCTACTCGGGAGGCTGAAGCAGGAGAATTGATTGAACCCGGGTGCAGAGGGTGTGGTGAGCCGAGATCACGCCACTGCACTCCAGCCCTGGCAACAATAGTGCGAGACTCTGTCTCAAAAAAAAAAAAAAAAAAAAAAAAAAAGATTGACACCAAGGCAAGGAAGTTTGCCACTGAGCAACAACTCAACATCAAACGAAGTCCCGGCAAGGGCAGTAGGGCAAAGGAGAAACATCACGTAAAATAACTGGAAGAAGAGACAGAGAGACCACCATTGTTCACGTTTAAGATAATATCATCTATAGAAAAAATCCAACAGAATCTGAACACGTTCAAAGTGACCAACTTAAAAATTAACAGCATTCTTTTGCCCTAGCAATAACCAACTAGAAGAAAACACAACAGAAAATGACACCCCACTCATATTATCAACGAAAACATATACACTATTTTAGAATTGAATCAGATGCTCAAGACTTGTATGGAGAAAAGTTTTACATTATTAAAATGACCCAAAAGGGAAACTGTCATGTTAACATTAGTCACATGTTAACTCCCCAAAGTAGTGTAGACATTTTCAAGTAATTTCAATAATAATTACAGCAGGGTTTTTAGAGAATATGGTCAATAAGTTCTAAAATTGTCTAGAAGAAGAAAAGGGTCTGCCAGTTGCTTAATCATGAAAAAGAAGAGCAAAACTTCTGGCCTCCGAGGCATTAAGAGATGTCCCAGAGGTACAGCAATAGAAACGGCTAAGACATTCGTATAAAAACAGACAGACCAACGGAACAGCAGAGAGAGCTCAGAAATAGAACCTCCTGTGTGTGAAGAGCTGAATTCAGCACCATAAAGGTGGTTCCTGAAACCGGAGGAAAAAGGATGGATGTGGGTGGTGGGGGCGGGGGCGGAGCTGATTTACAGTACAGAGAAAAACGAGGTTGTGTGCTTATCAGACAGAGAACACAGGACAGAACCCAGATGGATTAAAGACCTAAATTTATAAAGTAAAACTATAAAGCTAAGGGAAGAGATTGTGGGAGAATTTTTTTGGTCTTGGTAAAGGGAAGGACTTCTAAAAACAAGACAGAAGGCACACACACAATTTCTAAGGCCAGAGAAAAAAAAGAGAGGAAGCAACAAAGAAATAGATTTCTGCTCAGTGAAAACACAGACACCTTTAAGACAAACATATCAAAATGGGAGATGATACTAGCAACATCTAAAAATGACATGGAACGAACTTAGAAACCAACAAGAAAAAAAAAAAGACAAAAAGATGAGGAAATTGACAAAGTGTATAAACGCATCCATTCAGACACCAGCAATCCAAACAGCAAGCATATAAGGAGATGATGTTCAAACATACATTGATCAGCAACACACACAGTAAAGGGATGAGATGTTTTACACATATCAGATTAGCAAAACTAGACGATCGCCAACAGGTGCTGGCACAGATGTGGGAAAAGGAAGCTCCCAACCCCGCTGGTGGGAGTGAGCCCAATGGGACTGGCTGGAAAGGCATCTGGGAACACGGTGAATTTGATGTGCGTGTCCTGCTGACTCGGCATTTCCCAAACCTTGGCACACCCCCCAGAGAAACCACGTCCTCCAAGCTTGTGATGGGACTCTACAAGGGCATTCTCTACAGCATCATTAGTAAAGTGGAAAACCAGAGAGGGGACCAAAGTGGGCATCGCTTAGGGAGAGGCTGAGCCAGGAATGCATCCGTGGAGAGCTCGCTCGTGAGTGGACTTCACAGCAGTGCAGACAGAGCTTTCAAACAGCGTGTGGGGTAGATATGGTAAAGATGTAAAACAAGAACTTAAATAGCACAAGACTAGTGATGTCGGTTAAGGCAAACGCCTGCTTATTTTACACGGATGCACACATATCTGAGGACAACACACACGTGGCTTCCCACCAGGAGGGTCCAGGAGCTGGAATGGAGAAGGAAAGACTTTAAAAAAGTGAAAACCAGAGAGGGTCCTTGGCCAGACAAATGGTAGAATGACATGAACTTGTTTTACCTGGGGGAACAAAGATAGATTTTTTTAAAAAGCAGTTTTGCTTTTGAAAAGCATGTTTGGAACAAATGCAAGTCAATCTCATGCATCTCAATCATCCTGGTAGAAATTAGGATGTGACTCAGACTAAAATCTTAAAACAGAACTCCCAAGAAAACTCTCTGGTCCTTTTGAATGGCCCCCTCCACCAACTCCCTCTCCCAAAATGTCCTTCTCCAAGCCCAGCATCTGCCAGGCGAGCTGTTGTGGCTTCCTTTAAGAGCCAGCACCTCTGCCATCACCTACTCTTACTCCCGTCTGGGTCCTCCCTCCCAGCAGCAGTGGGTCTTCTGCCCTCCTGGCCCCTCCCCAGTCACCTATTCTAATTCTGCATTTGCTGGTCTAGCTCCCACCTAGACCATGAGCTCCTTAGGGCACCTCGGGCGAATATCTTGGGGTAGATATTTGTGGCATGAAGTGATGACATGTGCCACACCCTGCAGCACTCCCACTGCATATTTCAGGAAAAGGGAAGGCAGAGCCGGGACTGATGACTGCGCAGACCCATATGACCTCTGCCTTCTAGGCACACCAGCCTAATTAGCTAATTCCTTGAGATCCTAGGAGAGAACCCAGGTGCCCCCAGACTGAAGATGTGGTGGAGGTAACACAGATTGTCAATCTACTCCGGGACAAAACGCCTTTATGGAGGGAGACTCAGTTCCGTCCTCTGCCCCACTCAGATTCGACAGCATTTCAGTTTCTCAATGATCCTGCTCCCACCTCCTCGCCTCCTACAGCCAAGTCAGATTTCCTGCTCCCCTGCCCTGTACCCAGCCCCTGCCAGGAACATTGGCTCCCGTTTGCTGGAAGCCCACTGACGGCCAGGCCCTGTGCAAACCGCTTTACTTCCATCCCACAATTTAATTATCAGCCACCTGGAAGGCTGGGGATTCATCTCCCCACTCCTCAGAGGAAGAAATGAGATTCAGGGTTCAGAGAGGAAACAGGCAGCAAGTACAGGAAGCTGCCAGAGCCACACCCAGGCCTGTGGGCTTCCAGAATATTCTCTCGACTGCACACTACACTGCATTCTGAAGGCAGGACAGGAAGGTCTGATTATTGGTCAAGCTTGAGAAATGCTGGATACCTGGCCCTGTCCGCCTGCAGAGTCACAATGCTTTCTGCCATATTAAAGATCCTGAGAAGGCTACTGAGCGCAATGCCTCCGATGCACGGTGGTTACAGAACACTCCTTTTGGGAACATTCTTGTCTGCAGAACACAGCCTGGGAAGCGCCGATATGGCATGAAGTAAGCTCCAGGCACTTCAAAGAGGTGGGGTCCTTAGCTCCAAAGCATACGTGGTCTCATAGGAGGGACAGAGAGGTCCTAAATTATGACTAATAGCTACCATGCATCAAGTGCCCTCATGACAGGGCTTGGGCACAACATCGGCATCACCGCGAACTGCCACAGTAGCCCTAGCAGGTGGCAGCTGCTGTCCTGCCTGGAGAGGTGCAGAAACTGAAACTCTCAGGCAGCAGGGACCACAGAGAGGCGGGAGGGATTTGGATCCCAACCCTGGTGGGTTTGGAAGTCTGAGCTCTTTCTGCTTAAACAAGAGCTTCTTAGTAGCAGGTGCCCCAGATCTCAGCTACTGGCCTGAAACCCAGGAAGCACCATGCTAGGAGTGTGGATACCACCCCTAGGGAAGGCCCTGTACGAGCCATACTTGAGCAGCGTGTCCCTAGAAAGTGCCAGAGCAGAGAGCAGACTTCTGCTGCCTTCCGAGGCCCTCAGGGCTGGCCCACTTGCCACGGCAGTGCCGGTGCTGTGCAAACTCTATCATTCTAGAAATTCCCAGCTTAGAAGTTAACACTCCGACAAGTAGCCACCTAAACCTCCCTACTCGTTGCAATCTAAGTCTAGAGCATCCTCTCAGCTGCTGAAGAAGCTTGAAGAGGTCGGAAGACTAGATCAAGAAGCACACGGCTGGCTTTTGAAGCCGGGTGGACCTGGGGTTTGAATCCGGTATGAGCCACAGGGTAGCTGTGAGAGCTGGGGGTTGGAGAGTCCCAGCATTCCCTGTAGGGATTATGCCCATTTACCCCAGAGGGGGTGGAGGGCAAAGCTGAGTGTTTAACAAAGCTGGATTTGTATCTCTCCAAATATACCGCTGGCTGCCACTGACCTTGGACAAGTTGTTCTCCCATGCGAGCCTCAGTTTCACCTCTGGTAAGTGGGGGCGTGATGCCGACCTCTTGGGATGGTAAAGATTAAATGAGATACTGAAGGCACCTGCATGTATGAGCTAACTCACCTCCAGCTGCCCATCACTCCAGCAGTGCTAGAGAACGTTTAAAACAGTGGGAGTGCTTACCTACACACACACACACACACACACACACACACAGGTGCACGCATGCACAGAGCCATCCTCCTCCCTCCATCAAGTTAAAGCCCACCCCACCCAAAACCACCTCTTCCTCCTCTTCTTCCTTCTCCTCCAGGGAACCAAACCATCCCCAGCAGAGTCCGTGTCTGAGCATGCTCAGTAGCCAGAGCAGCTGGGGTCCCCAGGACCTGCTGCCCCATTGCTGACTTCAACATCTCCACCCTGGTAAGACACCCAGGAAAGAGCAGCATTTCCCAGCAGCCCCCACTGAGCAGAGCGAGCCACCAGCTGGGCTCTCTCCCTCCCTAGCTCAGCTTTTAAAGGCCCCAGGGGACTTCCTGAGGGTTCAGCCCTGGCAGAAAGGGGCATCAGGGGAATGAGATGCTGAGCAATGCTGTACCCCATGCCAGTGTGCTTGGTGTGCAGACAGTCTTGGAAATGCCCGAGCTCATCTTGAGGATGAAAACAGCTGCACATTCAAACGCAACCCGCCTTGCACATGTATTGCACTCACCACCTCGAACTCGGGGAAGGTGATCACAACAAGATTTTGGAATCAAACGGCACGGGAGGTCCTTCTGAGGGTCTGTACCCCATTTCTGCACCTATCTAACCTCTAGTGATTGACGCGGGACCCCCACCCTTCTGTTTAATTTCAGTTTTACTGCCTCCCTGATTGGAGCCAAAGGGAATCTGTTATCCCAGCTTCCTGGTGTGTGCTGCAACGTTTCCTCTTAAAGAGTTTTCTTTTTTTATTGCTCCTAAATCTTTCTTCGTGTAGCTAAAGCTTCTCTCTTAGACCCAAGTAACAGAGGGAAGGGAAAACTAAAAATAGAAGCAAATTTACATTTGCAGAACACCTGTTATATTTTACTACATTCTTATTTAATCCTCACACGAACCCTGCAAGGCAGTCAGACTGTTTATAGTGGAGGAAATAGGCTCAAAGAAGCCCAAGTTTGCACAGAATGAGGACTCCTTTCCCAGGCCTCCCTAGAAGCTAGGCCGGTCCTGAAACTAGTCAATGAGGACAAAGTACGGTGGGGAGGGGCTGTCTTCTGCAACTTCTAGGAAGTGCCCTTCTTTGCTTTGCCCTCCCTTCTGAAATGCAGGGTGTGAGGGCAAACGACAGTGACTCTGGACATGGAACATGAGTGACTTTGAGAATGGAAGCTATTACACAGCAGTGCGAGCGAGAATGCTATTAACGTACCTGGACTCTGGGGCCCCATGCCACCCCAGGAATGGACCCTCTTCTAAACTATTTGAACATGAAAGTGAAATCAACTATTGGATTGTTTAAGCCTCTCATTTGGGGATTTTCTGCATCAATCTTAAACTGATACAGTGAGCTGCTAAGCATTCCTCCTTCTGCAGATGTCATCAGCAGATTCCCCTACCACACACCTCAGCATCCAAAGAGTTAGAAGGAAAGTCCAGTCTCACTAACCAGCCCCCTCTCCCACTCCCACAAGGGCAATTCTGTTTTCAAAGGTGCTTTTCTTTAAGGAATAAGAACTGGACACGATCTGGGAGAGCAACTCTCTGTGGGATCTCTACGTTGCCCTCAACTTCCCCTCTGATGGCAACATTGGCTTATGACAACAAGAGCTTGATACAGAAATTTAAAATGTTAATACAACTTCATACAGTAGGAAATAAGACACAAATAAAAATTATGCAAAGAGAAAAGTAGTAAAAAAATAAGATGAGACCAGGGAGGCCTATATACTTTGAGCAATTTCACTGAGCTTCCTAGTAGCCAAAGCAAAGAGGAAAACACAATCAATTTATGGTAACTGTTGCTTGTTTAACATCTATTTTCCAGACATCATGGCCTGAAAGCCATTTCTCCTGTGGAGCCTAGAGGGGATGGTGTAACTGATGGACAATGCCACCAACAGTCCTGGTAGCCAATGCAATCATGAGTCTTATGGTATACAATGTATTGAATCGCCCCAGAAACCCAGGATATTGTTGCTAGTCATCCTCCTCATTTTATAGATGAGGAAAAGGAAGTTAAGTAACTATGTCCAAGGTCACACAGCTAGGAAATGGCAGTACTGTGATTCCACTCCACTGGGCTCTTAACCACGGGCTAAAAGGTCAGCCAGACCTAGGTTCAGATATTACCCACTCTCCACTGCTGAGCAGCCTTGGCCAAGCGACTGCATCTCTCTGAGCTTCTATTTCCCCATCTGTCCATAGGAATAATCCCATAAACAGGGTGATTGTGAGGCGTCAGCAAGAGAGATTGCCACATAACAGAATGTGAGAGGGACTTTTCATGGTGCCCTGGAATGACAGCTGAAGCCAAAATGAAGGACAAGGAGGGCCAAGTATCCCGAGATTCTAAAGAGAGCTGACAAGAAGCTACTCACAACTGGAGCCAGACCTGCCCCCTTCCCATCCTCTACCAGGCAGCACTGACCGCAAGCCAACAGAATCACCCCCAATACCAATTCTCCCCACACATATTCTACACAAAGGATGCCAACCTTGCAGAGAGCAGAGCATGGGCCAGGAGAGGTGACACAGGCCGGGAGGTGGAGGTTGTCAGGGAACAGGAGCCAGGAGGTGCCACCACAGCAGAAGATCACCAGAGTAGGCAGAGCTAACCCAGACCAGGGTAGGTGGCCACTCACCCTCTGCAACCTGCCTGTCCAATAGAGAGTGAGATTCCTTCCTTCTCCCCACTCCTGGAGCAGCCTGGAAAAGCTGTAGGGGAAGGGTTTAGAGTGCTTTAGATGAGATGTGAGGTCCCAGGTTCTAAAATGAATCAGATTATATTTTAACTGGAAATGGCCGGAAAATAATGAAATCTGCCTGAGGACCTTAAGGCTCAAAAAAAGGAGAACTTGAAGGAATTCCATTAAAAGCAACAAGTGGAAAAATGAAAACCATATCCTGGTTTTACCCATAAAGCATTAAGACTCCTCAGTTAACTAGCTGCGCAGATAAAACCTTTTGCACAGGCTGTGCACACAGTAGGTGCTCACAGTGCATCAGCTCCACATATGCAAGAGTAAGAGGGCTCCAGATGGCCACTCCAGACCCTTCCAGGGAGCCCCAGGATTTGAACATTTCAGACCAAGAGCACCCAATGCAGTCTAACCTGGAGACACTAGATCTGGCACAAAAGAGAGGGAAGTCCAGCCCTTGCTTAGGAAATGCTGTTCCATTCCCAGGCCGGCATCTGTTGTCATTTGTGTGGTTATCGTCCCCTCGACAGTGCAAGAAAGTCAGAAGACACCACTCAGGACAGGCTTGGGCAGGGTGGATGGGAGGGGACCAACTGTCCCGCCCCTGCTTTCTCTCTCCCAGGGCAAGAAGCCTTTGGTTCCCAAAAAATGCAGATGTGAACCTGATGGTGGTCCTGTCCCTTCCCACACCCCAGAGAGAGAGCCTATGTCCTCCTGTCTCCACTCTCCACTGACCTCTGTCTAGTTCTCTGGGATCTTCAGTCTGCCACCTCCCTGGATGATAACAGGGTCTTCTGTCCTTGCCTTCTCTTTGGTCTCCCATATACACCCCTGCTAGGGAAGGTTCTTAGTGAGCCCTAAAGTCATGTCAAGAAAAGTCATCACGATGAGCAGGAGGGCAGACACTCTGCTCAGGAAAGAGCCTCACGATCTCCAAGAGGAGACAAGGAGCCACTGTCCCAATGTCAACACAAAGGTAATGGCAGGATGAGCAGGGCCCCAAGGGAGTGGGGGTCAAACGGCAGAGTTAGGAGGAGGATGAAGATAAGCAGAAGGGGCTTCAAGCTCCTTATCTGAGGCCCGAAGACAGCAGAACATGAATGTTGTACACGAATCTCTGGTCTATATGCATGGTGATGTTTGATTATCAGAAAGATGGACGCTTGCCTGTATTGGATATGGTCTGAAGACCCTTCCAGATATTTGAAGGCAAAACCACAGGGTTACACAATGTTCACATGGTACTTTATAAATGGAGAGGGGGTGATTATACACATTTGATCAAACCAGCCATGGGCCTATGAAAGCTAACTCCAAGCCTCAGTTTCCCCATTTGTCAAGAAGGGTTAAAAACACATCCGTTAGGAAGGTCAGAGTCGGGATGACTGGAATAAGGCAGGTAAGGTACTGAGCAGCGAGACTTGCCTACTGCAAGAGCCTAATAAGCGCCTGGTCCACCCTTTCTTGAGCTCCACCTGGGGCAGCTGTCCTGACCTGGCTGAGCCACACAGTGCTTTGATGCAAAGAGGGGCTCCTCTTCTTTGAACTGAGAGGGGCCCATTGGGGTTAAGAGGCCCTGGCTCCAGCCCCAATGATAAGGGTTCCTGATGGGGTTGATGAGGGGGGGCAGGATCCCAAGCCAAGGATGCCACAAGTCACAAACTCTGCAGATAGCAAAGAGATGGTGGCAGGAATGGGAGTCCCGGCTTCAGTTGGAAGAAATCAAGTTGGGGGTGAAGCTCTTATTTTTTCCCTCTCTCTTCCTCATAAGATGTGTTTCTGACACTAATCAGGGATCCATCCCCCTGGGAGCCAACAATAATGATTAATGGTGTTAAATATAGCCAGAGACTGCCAGGGCAAAATTAGGCACCATGCATAAAACATCACCCTCCTCGTTCCACAGGCAAATCAGGCTGGCTTCGGGGCCTGGTGCCCATGGCCCGGTGCCCACTCGCAGGGCGGCTTGATCTAGCCAGCCTCCTCACCATGCTGATGGCCCCTCAGGGAGGCATCTGCCAGGGGAACCCACATTCACTCTGCACCCCGATGTGCCCGATGCAGACCTCAGAGCCACCACCAGGCACTTGAGCTGACTCAAAATAAAGGAAATTGCTGCTGGGGTGGTGGCAAGAGAATGTGCCTAGGATTCACACAGACCTGTGTTCAAATCCCGGATCTTCCACTCCCTAATTGTGTGGCCCTGGAAAGCTGCTTCTCATCTCTGAGTCTCAGTTTACTATTCTGTGAACACAGTTTCCTCTTCGTAGCCAATGAGGTGGTATCAAGGTGATGGCAGCAGCGAGCCATCTGAAGCAGCTGCTGCCATCACGCCTGCTGCAGCAGGGAGGCGTGGCCAGGGCTGTACACTCCGTGGAGCTGGCGGGAGCTGGGGACAAGCAGGAGGCCTGCCCCTTCCGAGTTGGGGCAGGAGATCCCTGGGTGCCGCTGCAGCTGTCTGAACTATGGCAGCAGACCCAGGCCTCCTGCTCCATGGAGTAGGCAGGAGCCCGGCCCCACCCCCTGCCAGGCACAGCTGCAGCCACCCAGTCATCTCTGCACTCTTAGGGGCCCAGGAAGGCCCCCTCCCCCCAACCCTCATAGGCTCAGAAAAGCCTGCTCCCACTGCCTGGCTTCCCCCTGCTGTTAGCATCTGCTCCAATCTCAGAGCAAAGTCAAGGCCAAGCCCAGGCCCTGTCACAGCCCAGCCAGATGTGCACACGGTCAGGAAAGTGCTGACACACCAGCCTCCTGCTGCCTCAGCCCCCTCTGAATTTTGGATGCTGATGAGCACAGGAGGGAAGCCAAGGGAGGGCTAAGGGCAACTTGGCACTGGCCTGCAGGTGCCCCTTGGCACCTACAGCCTGGGGCACTATGAACAGCAGCAGGAGGCAGACAGTTTCCTGGGTAGAAGGGGGTGGGTCCCTGGTGAGGCCCCACCTTCAGATCAGGGAGGACCTGAAGGCTGGGGGCCAGATGCCAGTCTCACAGAGTGGGAACTTGTGGTGCCTTTTCTGGGCCCGCCCATGGGTGCCCATGGACCAATCAGCATGCACTTTCTGAGGCCCATAAAAGCCCTGGGATCAGCCAGAGCTGAGCAGACATCGGGACAACAGGCTGCAGAGAGGAGTTACCCACTCCAGGGCCTCCACTGAGCTATATTTGCTCAATAAAGCTCCTCTTCGTCTTGCTCACCTTCTGTTTGTCTGCCTATCTCATTCTTCCAGGGCATGGGACAAGAACTTGGGAACCACTGAATGAGGCTAAAAGAGCTGTAACACAAACAGGGCTGAAACATGACCCTTGCTCACCACATTGCAGGTGAAGAGAAGAAGAGAAGAGCTGTGGCCCTTCAGGGAGCCCAGACCTGGGAGCTCCCCATGCCAGGGCTGTGACTCCCTCACTGGGGCCCTGTGGTTCCTGGCATCTCCAAGCTTCCGAGTGCCTTTGTGTTCCCCGGTGCCAGCCGTGGAAGCTGCTTGTGGTACACCTGGTCCAGCCACAGACCCACAGAGAGCTGGCACCTGTGCTGGCACCCAGAGCTGCCTGCCCCACTGCAGCAGCTGGCATGTCTGACTGTGTGCAGTGGCCACACACCACGCTTGCTCACACACCCCTTGCCATTCCACACTTGACTCTCCCTTGGCAGGCGTGGGACCCAGGCCAGTGGCATGAGCCAAGTGCAGCCTTCCAGGCTGAGTGCGTGAAATGAGCCCAGCAGGCCTAAGCAAAACTCAGGCAAAGGTGCCACCAGCCACAGAGGTTTCCAGCCAGAAAAATGACACCCCAAAGGTCCTATAACAACGGTATGGTCAGAGCCAGGCATTTAGCAGGTACTTGGAAAATGTTATCTCTCTTTCTCCCACCTCTAGGCACAAACAGCTGTGTGACCTAGAGTAAATTACTCAACCTCTCTGAACCCAAGTTTCTTACCTACAAAATGGAGATGATGATGTCTACCTTCAAGGACATAGAAATAAATAAGGTATGGAAAACACTAACATGTGCTTGGAACATCCACTCATTACGCTCCCCAACTCTGTATTGAGGGCCAGTTTTGTTGCCTGGCACTGTGCTAAGTGCTGGGGACACCACCAAGACTGAAACATCCCATCTCTGCTCTCACAGAGCTTACAGTCTAGTGGGGAAATAGGAAAAAGGTAAATAGGCAAAATCACTACAAATTAGAAGATATCTTGGAAAGAAAAAAGGGGGCTAGAATAACATGCAAGGGGCACTGAGAGGGACTGCTCTAAGGGGTGATATGTGAGAAGGAGATGGCCCTTCTGGGAGCATGGGAGAAGTTATTCCCTTCCCAGCAATCACTTTCCCAGTCCTCCCCTGCCCACACGAGCATCCCTCCCTTCTATGTCAGGGGATCCCCTCGCTCTTGGGAGTCGCTGAAGGTAAGAGGACCAAGGGCTGCCATACATCATGCCACTAAGAGCAGTTGTCTCCAAACTCTGATTATGTATATGTCCTGATACATATTTGTTTATAATTAAGAACATGCACTGCCTTCTTAATATTATGTACATCATTAAACACACACAAAAATACACCTTTAGAGGAAGAAATGAGAACATAAATAGAAATGCAGTTCTAATTCTGTCTCCTGCACTCTGCAGGTCTTCTCAAACTCTCCTGCAAATTCGTGTATACCTCTTTGATGACCACTGATCAAGAGCAGCCAGGAGAGATGACCTGAGCCATGCCAGGAGGTCAGCTGTCACACAGGGGCCCTGCCCCTCCCACCTCAGATGTACTAAAAAGGAGGCAAAGTGTCCAACTCTCCTCTCCCCAACATCCCCGCTATGGTGGGCACCCACTCTGGGTTCCTTTCTGGTTTGCACTGGGCCTTCTGCAGCCTGGTGGTACACCTCCCCACATGCCCATTGCTCCCCTGTGCCCACCTCTTCCTATGGCCCAGGGTGGGACTCCTCAGGTAGGACAAGACCCCCCACCCCACTCCTCTTGCTGTTTCTTCCTCCAGGAATTCTCTCATACCACCCTCCTCCTCTGCACCTGGCTGACTCAGCTGTCATCCTTGAAGCATGCAAACTTGGAAAACAGAAAATATTTGTACGGGGTAAAGGGATGAGGCCGTCCATGGCAGGCAGTGATCTTCCTCAGGCTTTGGCTACCCCAGGCCCTGCCTGGCTGCTCCGAGGGCTGAGGGCATCAGAGCTGGGCACACTTGTATCCTGGCTGGGAAGCTCTGAGCTGAGGCAGCAGCCCACCTTGACTCCCGGCCCCAGTCCAGAGCTGTGGATGTGAAAGGAAGGTAGGCATGTGGCAGGAGCAGGGGGTGGAAAGGAGGCTTCTTAACCAACCTTGGGGACCCAGAGACTGCAGAAGAAGACACAGATTTTTTTTAAACTGACTAACAATAAGAACTTCTACATAGCAAAGGATATCATAAACAAAATGAACACACAACATCTCTGGCAAAATAACTGCTACACAGAAGGCAAAAAGAGGGTTGATATCTATGCTATACACAGGGCTGACAGTGGACAAGAAGGGGCAGAGGACCCAACGGGGAAATGAGCAAAGGATCCACAGATGCAACTCACAAGAGCACGGCCAAAGGGCCAAACAGATGAAAGGCTGCTCAGCCCCCCTGCTTGTCAGGGAAATGAAAATGGAAAGCAACAATGAGATCACTTTATACCTCTCAGCCCCCACAAAACTAACAAGGCCAATAACATCTCTTGCTGGCAAGATACAGGAAAACGACCTCTCTCAAATTACCAGGGTAAATGTGAAGTATTACAGCCTCTGGGGAAATCCAGCTGGCAACAGCTATTAAAATTAACAGCACACAAACCTTTTGACCCAGCAATCCAATGCCTGGGATTATACCCCAGAGAAATAAAACTAGCTCTGTAGGATGTATGTGCGTGCAAGGAGGTTTATCTTGGTGCTATTTATTATGGCAAAAAAAAAAAATGAGAAATGAAACAAATACCCATCAATAGGGAATGGTCAGTTGAATTACAGCACACCCACGCACTGGAATATTATGTAGCTGTTAAAAGAATGCACTAGAGGCCTGGCGCGGTGTGGCTCACGCCTGTAATCCCAGCACTTTGGGAGGCCAAGGCAGGAGGATCACTTGAGGCTGGGAGTTGGAGACCAGCCTGGCCAACATGGTGAAACCCTGTCTCTACTAAAAATACAGAAAAAAATTTAGCTGGGCGTGGTGGCACACACCTGTAATCTCAGCTACTTGGGAGGCTGAGCATGAGAATTGCTTGAGCCTGGGAGGAAGAGGCTGCAGTGAACCAAGATAACTCCACTGCACTCCAGCCCCAGTGACAGAATGAGACTGTCTCAAAAAAAAAGAATGCACTAGATCTACAGCTATTGAGGTGGGAGGATTTCCATAGGACATGGTTGAATAAGAAAAGATCCAGGAAAGCATTCATATATGTTTGTAACTGACTATAAGAGCATGGAAAAGTATGAAAGAGATCTATATGAGATCATTAGCATGAGTTCCAGGGTGGGAGTGAGGGGGGATGTCACTGAAGGAGGGTTAGGAGATAAACAAAACAAGGGAAAAAATATACTGAACTTTATAAATGTAACATTTATGCACTTATCTAAAACTGTCAGGGCCAGGCGTGATGGCTCACACCTGTCATCCCAGGGTTTTGGGAGGCCAAGGTGGGAGGATTGCTTGAGGCCAGGAGTTCAAGACCAGCCTGTGCAAGAAAGCACGATCCTGTCTCTACAAAAAAAAAACATTTAAAAAAATAGGCCAGCATGGTGGTGCACACCTGTAGTCCCAGTTACTTGGGAGTCTGAGGCAGGAGGATTGCTTGAGGAGCTCGAGGCTGTGCTGAGCTATGATCATGCCACTGCACTCCAGCCTGGGCAACAGAGTGAGACCGTATCTCTAAAAAAATAATAATTAAAAATAAAATTGTCTATCAAAAGGCATTTGCATATGTACGTAAAGAAGGTCCATGTATATGTCCCCTCTCTCCTCTATCCCTTTTGAGGTCCTGCTCACTTTCCTCCCCTGTTCTCCATTCTTCCTCTCACTTCAGGCCATTTAGACACAAAAAACAAACAGTAACAGGCTAAGTAACAGGCTAAATAACTTATTTATCTGGCACCCTTCACTCTCCAGAACACAGCCTAGAACCACAAGACAAACAGACATCTGATGGTCAAAATGCATTGTATCTGCTTTAAACTAATAACTCTTATTTTGTATTTCAATAAGCTGTCAGCTTACTAAACTCACCAAGGCAGACACGCCTGAAGGCGAACCCAGTGATCCACATACTTGTATAATTCCCTCCCCTTGAGGGTGGGTGAGAGCTGCAGCTTCCTTCTAATCAATAGGGTAAGGCAGAGGTGATAAATCCTCTCTCCTGTGATGGCGTTTCATTCTATTTCCTGTTCCTGTTAGACTCTGTCTGAACAGGCTGGAGAGAGACACCCTGTCCACCTTGAAGAAGCAAAGCACCATGCTGGGCTCTGCCTATGGAGAGGACCACATGGCAGAGGCCTGCGGGAGCCTCTTAGGGGCTCAGGGCCACCTGCAGCACCCAAGGACAGGCCCAGCCAAGAGCCAGAAATAGGCTGGAGCCCTCAGTCACACAGCCACAGGGAATGAATCCTGCCAGCAATCCAGATGAGTGTGGAAGCACTTCTCTCCCAACTCCAGCCTCTAGATGAGAACACAGCCCAGTCACCACCTTGACTGTGGCCTTGTGAGATCCAAGCAGGAGACCCAGCTAAGCTTTGCCTGGGCTCCCGACCCAAGGAAATGGTGAGATAACAAATTAATGCTGTTTTCAGCCTCTAAATCTGTAGTCATTTGTTATGCAACAAGGAAAAAACTAACACACCCATCAAATTAAGAAATAAAAGAGTGGAGTGAAAAAAAGATACTAATAACTGTAAGAAGTGAAGATTGAGATGAAGAATAGCAGATATAAACTAGCTAACAACTATCTGGAGCCATAGTGAGTTAGGGCAAAGGACCCTACAAGCATCCCTGTCACAGTGGGATGAGAGGGTTGAAATCTAAGACCCTGAAGGACCAGCAAGGCAGTGTACATCTGTGCTGTCAACTGCTCTAGGAAATTTACCTGCATTTGCTCATTTCATTGTCACAACAACCTATTAGGTGCGTCCTCTTATCTCCCAGGACAAAAGGGGATAGTCCAAATGTTCCTATCAAGAATCAGAGACATGTTGCAGAATGGAACCTTTCCAGTCAACATGGCTCACCAAGTGTTTGCCAGCACACACCCAGTATGCCAGGCCAGCTGCTGATTGGGCAAATGGGGCCAGACACTGAAGTGGGCCCCATAGGCCCACCAAGAACAGGTCTTACTTCCAGTCTATGGATGAGGGAACAGAGATTTAAAGGTCATACAACTAGTAAGTAGCCCAACAATCATATAGACTGGCTCTTCTGGGTACCTGATATGGTTTGGCTGTGTCCCCACCCAAATCTCATCTTGAATTCCCACATGTTGTGGGAGGGACCCAGTGGGAGGTAATTGAATCATGGGGGCAAATCTTTCCCATGCTGTTCCCGTGATAGTGAATAATTCTCATGAGATCTGACAGCTTTAGAAAGAGGAGTTCTACCGCCCAAGCTCATTCTCTCTTTGCCTGCTGCCATCCATGTAAAACAGGACTTGCTCCTCCTTGCCTTCTGCCATGATTGTGAGGCTTCCCCAGCCACATGGAACTGTAAGTCCAATTCAACTTCTTTCTTTTGTAACTTGCCAAGTCTCGGGTATGTCTTTATCAGCAGTGTGCAAACGGACTAATACAGTACCCAAGCCCATGTTGTGTCTCATCTGACTCCACAACCTAGGCTTTGAACACACCATGCTATCTCTTGAGCCTCAGTCTGCTCTACCTATAAAACGGGAAGAAGCGTGGTGCTTATCCCATGAGGAATAAATGGGGTATAGCATTGTATTGAGAAGAACACCTCATGGTACCCAGCATAGGAAGATGCTGAATCTCTTTCCTAACATTCTATACTGCTCTCAGAAAATATGAGGACAAAAATAACAAAAGTTCAATTTCAGAACAATAACAACTTCTGGGAAAGTGGGTTATGACAAATCATTCTTCCAAACATATGGTACTTGTTCTTCACCCACAGAGGACAATGGAACTCGCTTTCTAATGTTCCTATGAGGCATGGAAGGTAGAAGTTCAATTCCTGATATGGTTTGGCTCTGTGTCCCACCCAAATCTCCTGTTGAATTGTAATCCCCAATGTTGGAGAAGGGACCTGGTGGGAGGTGACTGGATCATGGGGGCGGACTTCCCCCTTGCTGTCCTCAAGATAGTGAGTTCTCATGAGATCTGGTTGTTTAAAAGCATGTAGCAATTCCCCCTTCACTCTTTCTCTCTCCTCCACTCCACCATGTTAAGAAGATGCTTGCTTCCCCTTCACCTTCGGCCATGATTGTAAGTTTCCTGAGGCCTCCCTAACCATGGTTCCCGTACAGCCTCCAGAACTGTGAGTCAATTAAACCCCTTTTCTTCATAAATTACCCAGTCTCAGGTAGTTCTTTATATCAGTATGAAAATGGACTAATACGATTCCCATATCACAGACTAGACAACTAAGGCTCAACATGCTTAAGCAGCTCGGCCAAGTCTGCAATTTGAGAGGCAGAATGGAAGGTGGATATCCATTTAGATCTAGAGGGTGATGATGCCAGACCCATCCTAGAGACTCTTAAGCTCCAAGCTACTAACAATTCAAAGGCTTTCAGCCAAGGGCCCAAGATATCCCCTTTACACCAACTCAAGGCAAGAGCTATTTCTCATTTGAGAATTGTAGGCCAGTGGAGCTTAAGAGAAGCTTTCCCCAGAAAACGGAGCCCTTCCTTAGAATGAAAGTGAACATAGGAGCAGCTTGTCTGCAGAAGAGGCCTGGAGGTGACATCTCCAGCCCGACGACCGTGCAGTTCCAGATCCCTTTAACATCACGAGAAATAAACTCACCTCAGGGACACACAAGGAGGCCAGAGTTGCGAAGCTAGAGAGCCAAACGGCAGCAGGAATGGAACTCCTTTTCCTCTATTCTAGTCCGGCATGGAACACAAGTATTAAGTAATCAATGTTTTCGTATATGTGGTGCTGCCAAAGCGAGCACAAGTGATGAATGCTTTAAATACGGACCACCACCTTCACACAGACAGCCTCCAGGCATCATCCGACACATGGGACTAGTTAGGGTCACAGGCCCTGGAGTTTTTTTAAAAAAAAAAAACAAAACAAAAAAAAAAACTCCTCTTTTTAAAACCATCAGATCTCATGAGAATTATTCACTATCACGGGAACAGCATGGGAAAGATTTGCCCCCATGATTCAATTACCTCCCACTGGGTCCCTCCCACAACATGTGGAAATTCAAGATGAGATTTGGGTGGGGACACAGCCAAACCATATCAGGTACCCAGAAGAGCCAGTCTGAATGATTGTTGGGCTACTTACTAGTTGTATGACCTTTAAATCTCTGTTCCCTCATCCATAAACTGGAAGCAAGACCTGTTCTTGGTGGGCCTATGGGGCCCACTTCAGTGTCTGGCCCCATTTGCCCAATCAGCAGCTGGCCTGGCATACTGGGTGTGTGCTGGCAAACACATGGTGAGCCATGTTGACTGGAAAGGTTCCATTCTGCAATGTGCCATTGATTGAGTGGGGAATTAACTTGCCTAAAGCCAGTTCCCAGATGTGGGATGGGATAGCTGAGGACTAGCTTCACACAGATTCAGCATCAAATAAAAGGCGTTTGAGATGTGTACATCAGTAAAGTGCTTTACGGTTTAGAGTCTGTGGCGTACTTTCCCCTATAGAAGCAGATGCACAAAAGAAACTCCAAGGATGTTCACTACAGAATTGTTTACCAAGAAGGAAACGATGCAAAACAATTTGTTCAGAAGCAGAAGACTGGTTAAGGTGCAGTACAACCAGACAACAGAACTCTATGTGGCTGGTAAAGACGTTTCATGAGCACTTCTTCACGTGAAAATGTGAGTTACACCGTTACGTATGTTATGGTCCCATTCATGTCAAATAAAATACAGAGAAGAAGGTTCAGAAGGTCATATACCCAGGTGGCCGCCGTGGCGATCTATGCATAATATGATTAAAGGGATTTTCCTCCTTTGGCTTATCTGCATATTTCCTCATTTTTTCCTACCATGGACAGATATTGCTTTATAGCGTTTAACAAAAAAAAAATGACAAGATAAGTCATTTAACTTTTAAAACCACAGAGCACTTTCGCCCGTATTCTCTCTTGTAATCCTCAATGCCAGAAGCGAAAGCAATGGCCCTTGTCTTCCTAATTGTCAGTCTGCCTCAAGCTGTCTGCAGCATTTAGTGCTGTTCCCTCCCCCTGTCCTCAAACTCTTCTCCTCTAGCAAGGTACCCTAACTGGAGTCTGAATCAGGGTCTCCAGAGGCCCAGGGATGGGCTTTGGGGTAGCGGGGGCTCGTGTACCAGAGCTGTATACCAAAGGTGTGTGTGTTCATTATGTACATTCTTGTGGGAATAGATCCAAAAAAATCAGGTTCTTAAAGATGCCTGTAACACCTAGGAGGTATGGCCAGTCTCCCAAACCCTCCAAAACATCTTTCTGCCATATCTTCTTGGCTCCATCTGGCTCCTTCATGGATGGCCCATTCTCCACATTCCCCTTCTTTCTGTGTTTGTGGCCTGTCCTCTGTCCCAATAGCCCTATCTGCCAGAGATGGGTCCTGGAGGAGCATGGGTCCCCGCATCTGTGGGGGCCCTAACAAATCAAAGAGAGCTGTGTGTCTTTCCAGGGGAAATGTATGCATGGGATTTTACGTATGGATCTAGGTGGTGTGCAGCCCTCCCGAAGCCCACCCATAAATGGCCCTTGTAGTGGGTTGAATCATGTCCCCCAAAATTCATGTCTACCCCAGGACCTCAGAATGTAACCTTATCTGGAAATAAGGATCTTTGTAGGTGTAACTAGCTAGGGATCTCAAGATGAAATCCTCCTGGATTTAGGCTGGGCCCTAAGCCCAATGACTTAGAAGTTCCTGGTATCCTGGTTGGGTGCAGTGGTTCACACCTGTAATCCCAGCACTTTGGGAGGTCGAGGCAGGCAGATCACCTGAGGTCAGGAGTTCAAGACCAGCCTGGCCAACATGGCAAAACCACGTCTCTACTAAAAATACAAAAATTAGCAGGCGTGGTGGCAGGCACTATAATCCCAGCTACTCAGGAGGCTGAGGAAGGAGAATCGCTTGAACCTGGAAGGCAGAGGTTGCAGCAAGCTGAGATCGCACCAGTGTACTCCAGCCTGGGTGACAGGGTGAGACTCTGTCTCCATTAAAAAAAAAAAAAAAAAGAAAGAAAATGTTCCTGATATCCTTCTAAGAAGGGGAAAGAACACAGACACACAGAGAGGAAGGCCATGTAAGGACAGAGCCGGAGATGGCAGTGATGCAGCCACATGCCAGGAACAGGATTCCCCAGAAGCTGGAAGAGGAAGGAAGGATCCTCTGCCAGAGCCTTCGGAGGTTACTGGGGATCTGCTGATACCTTGATCTCAGTCTGCTGACCGATCTCAGACTTCTGACCTCCAGAACTATGAAAGAATACATTTCTCTCAAGCCATTCAGATTGTGGTCATTTGTTATGGCAACCAAAGGAAATTAACACAGCCCCCCAGTCCCAGAGAGACCACAGACTCCAGTTTAGAACCTCCCGGATACAGACCAGCAGTTGCCAAATCTGAATGTCCAGGCCAGGGCTCCCTGGCCACTACCCGGAACTATCTCAAGGCCCTTCAGCCTCAGTGTGTCCCAAATTGGGTTTATCCTCCCCACCCCCACCCCCAAAACACACTCCCACCCCTGCTCTTCCTCCAATGTTCCCGATTCAGGACTGCACTGTCAACCAAGGCACTGAAGCCAGCATCCTCAGTCACCATCGGCTCACACCCTCCCCTCACCTCCCACATCCTATTAATAAAACAAAGCAAAAATTACATTACTTCGAACACACCCCCAGTCTGCTTTCAAGAGGGCTGGATGGTTTGAAATTCTAATTTGTTTTCCACGGTCTTAAAATAATTTCACAAGAGCCCCAGAGATGACGCCCCCATCCCTGCCTGCATCCCACAGCAGGAGGCCAGGCTACAGTGAGCAGAACAAGGAAGGAAGAATATGGCCTGGACTGTGGGAGAACTAGGATCTACAGCCCCTCCGCAGACTCCACATGCCATCTCAGGCAAGGCCCCAGCCCTCTCTGAGCCTCAGTTCTCCCACCTGGTCTTTAGACAAGAGCATCCTAAGGTCTTCCCAGGCTAATGCCACTTCTTTGCTACAAGCCGGTCACTAAACCAGAGGGTTTTTTGTTTTTGGGGTTTTTTTTCAAGACAGGGTCTCAACTCTGTCGCCCAGGCTGGAGTGCAGTGGCGCAATCACAGCTCACTGCAGCTTCGACCTCCTAGGCTCAAAGCAATCCTCCCACCTCAGCCTCCCAAGAGGCTGGGACTGCAGGTGCACACCACTACAACCAGTTAATTTGGTTATTTTTTGTAGAGAAAGGGTCTCCCTATGTTGCCCAGGCTGGTCTCAAACTCCTGGACTCAAGCAATCCTCCCGCCTCAGCCTCCCAAAACTCTGGGATTACATGTATGAGCCACTGCACCCAGCCAAAAGGTTCTTAAGCTTTATGGATTCATGGACTGTAGTAGATTCCTTAGTGCTTACCCCTAGCCAGGTCTCCCTCCCCAGGAACATGGAAGACCCACTCCAGGTAGGGCCATGAGACATTTTAGCCTATAAAGTTATGAGCAGAAGTGATCACCTCCATGCTAAGACTGTTAAAAAGCAGCGGGACGTCTGTGTGCTTGTGGTCTGTCCCCTTTAGCGGTAAACACGGAGGCCCCATGTTGAGAGGGTGGAGCCATAGATGAAAGCAACCCTGGATCTCTGAGTTACTGCATGGAAGAGAGCCACTCCAGAGAGGCACCCAGCTCATCTTAGCGCTTTGCAGGGGGAAGAACCAGACTTGGGTATTTTAAGCCACCAAGATTTCAGGACATATTTATTAGTGCAACACAGCCTGGCCTATCCTGACTAACACAAGTACTGTCTCCTTTTGCAGATCTGATGATGAGGGATCTAGGCAGAAAGATAAAAGGATTTTCCCAAATTCACACAGCTATAATGTGGGGAAGCAGCAATCAAACCCGGACAGGGTGGCAAAGGAATTTAATGGGGAGGGAGGCAGTCTTGGATGGCCTCTGACTCAAGCCAGATGCAAGGTACAAGGCGAAGGTCAGAGAAGGCTTCTGTGGTGGCTTGCCCCAGCTGAATGTTGAAGGAGGTGAGAAGGGGTTGTGGGAGGGAGAGGGGTCCAGGAGGCAGAGGGGTCCAGGAGGGAGAGGGTCCATGGGTACAAATGCCCAGGGGAGAAATCAAACACTGAGCTGTGAGCCTGTGAGTCGTTTAGCACATCTGGAATCTCGGGTATGTATAGGAGGAACAGGGCTGGAGAGGCAGAGAAAGAGTACAAGGTAAGTGGGGAGGCCAGGGACGGGGACATTTCTAGAATGGGTGCCTATCCCACCTCCAGGCAAAAACAGTCCTGGGGAGAGGCAGGCAGGGCCTGGCTTCTCATGACCCGGGTCGGGCCTGTGTCATCAGCCCCTCTATCATTCCCACACTGGCCACTCAACTCCAGCATCTCTTCTTCAACTCATCGCCCAACACACGAGCACCAAATCCATGTCTGGGAGAGCAGCCTCCAGGACTCATCATCCCTGAGCTCAGATTCTCAAACAAGCCCCACCGAAAGCTAATCAGACACATTGTGCCCAAGACAGCCCATCTCATCAGTTAGGGCAAAAAGGGCCCTTAGATCTCTAGTCAGTCCTCTTCCTTGTACGGAGAAGAAAGATAGGCCCGGAGTAGGGAATTAACTTCCCTAAAGCCACACAGCAAATCCAAGGTACAGCTGTGCGACTAGAATGCAGATTCATCCCCGAGAATACTATTCTTTCTTTTACTACTGCTTCTTGGGATCCCAGGGTCCTTGGGATTTTTGCTTCACCAAAAGTGGCCCTTCTCTGAATCAGGAGCCACACCCGACAACATGCTTTCAGCCAACTAGACATCAGTTCTAGTCTTGAGACAGAAGGGAATGAAATGATGATTCAGGGTCTCAGTGGGAGCAGCTTAGCTTGGGCCCCTTCATACCCTCCCCCACCCAGGATCCTGAAAGACACCCTGGCCTACAGCTTAGGAAATGCTTCAGCCTTACAGCCCCTCGGGGCCAGTGAGATGCCACCAGGAAAAGAGCAGGCCCTGCACCAAGGCTGGAGGGATCCCAAAGCCCCATGCCTGGATAAACCCTTTCTGTTTACCAAAGCTGCCCCAGCCTACCCCAATGCAGGGGCCAACCCACAGCTTTTTGCTGCTAAGCACAGAGCAATTCCCAACTGTTCCCCAAACTGGTTAAGACGAGCAGAGCTTGTCTCCCATTCAGCCCTCAAAGCAGCCAACATGTGCCACCATCCAGCAATGTCACCTTCCACAGTACATGGCATGACAAGGAACCCAAGAGAAAAAGGCGGCGGGGCTAGGAACGGTGGCTCACGCCTGTAATTCCAGCACTTTGGGAGTCCAAAGCAGGAGGATCACCAGAAGTGAGGAGTTCAAGACAAGCCTGGCCACCACGGTGAAACCTCATTTCTACTAAAAACACAAAAATTAGCCGGGCATGGTGGTACATGCCTGTAGTTCAGCTACTCGGGAGGCTGAGGCAGAAGAATCGCTTGAACTCCAGAGGCGGAGGTTGCAGTGAGCTGAGATTGCACCACTGCACTCCAGCCTGGGTGACAGAGTGAGACTGTTTCAAAACAAAAGGCAGCCGGCCTCAGATGGCACTTTCTAGCACACATACCACCAATCTTTTCCATCACAGAGGTGGCAGACATCACGAATCAATCAGCAGATGGATTCTTTCCCACGAGCCCAAGCACAGCCTGGAATGGCTCCACACCATACTCTGGTAAGCAACGGCCAATCTATCAGAGTTGGCACAGGAGATGAGCACCCCGTCTCACACCTGCTATCACCGGCCAAGGATCTCAGACACCTTCCACCACCAGGCACGTGTTTATCTGGTGGAATGTGCGAGAGAATGGGGACACGCTTCCAAGTGGGAACAGCATGAGCCTGGGGCTGAGGGATGAAGGATTTCAGGGGCGCTGTGCCACCCAAGAACTGCTGGCCAGGAGAAGTTGCTGGTAGAGGAAGTAGCATTTCTACGATGTAAACAACCAGGTGGCGCTCCGGGGAGGCTAAAATGTTCCTGGAGAATCAGGATGTGGGACCTTGGACTTTCTGAAAGTTCTGACCCAGGACAATAGACACATGATTGGCATTTTTCAAAGAGAGGCGCTTGTTCTGCCACAGGTAGGTTATTGGCTTAGAAAAAGGAAATAGCCAGGTTCTGCGGCTCACACCTGTAATCTCAGCACTTTGGGAGGCTAAGGCAGGAGGATCACTTGGGCCCAGGCCCAGGATTCAAGATCAGCCTGGGCAACATGGCAAGACCCCCATCTCTAAAAAAAAAAAAAAAAAAAAAAAAAAAAAAAAAAAATCATTAGCCAGGAACGGTGGTGGATGCCTATAGTCCCAGCTACTCAGGAGGCAGAGGTGGGAGGATTGCTTGAGCCCAGGAGGTCGAGGCTGCAGTAAGCCATGATCTTACCACTGCACTCCTGCCTGGGAGCTAGAGCGAGACCCTGTCCAAAGAAAAAGGAAAGAGGAAACAAACAATAGGATCAAATAAGGTCCTCTGGAAGGAATGCATAAAACAGGAGGTAACCCTAGGGACCGGTGCTAGAATCGGCCTTATTTAAAACCCTTCTGAGCAAGCTGGGTACAGGAACGTATGTGACACTGCCAAGTTTGCAGATGGCCACTGACTCTGCCTGGGAGGAAAAATGAGGCCATTAGGAACATATGGCAGGAAGAAGGGACGACGGCAGAGTGGAACGGAAGCAGACTCAGCTTCACAGAGAGGGGGTCTGCAAGGAAGCAGCCGTCCAAGCTCCTGGGAGACTGCAGAGGAGCCGAAGCGAGTGAGCCTCACCCCGCAACTCCTGGAACTAGCTGTACACCAGGGGCACAGCGGGAGGGCCAAAACAGGAGGAAGGCAAGTTCAGGACCAACCCAGCAGTCCTCACCATCAGCTCCAGGCACCGAGCAACCAAACTCATTGACCCTGGAGTGGCTGTACACAGGATCTGGTTTGAACCCATGATCTGACTGTCTTCTAGGTCCTCTCAGAGAGGACAGCTGTCACCAAAGCCTGGTGGAAGGGGCAGGGTGAAGGCTCCTTGGGCAAGTCCCATCCTGCCTAGGACCTTCGTGCTGTCTTCATCCTGAGCTGCTTTCTGACCACTGCTCTAAAGCTTCCCATGGCTCCCTGTGGCCCTCAGAGGCAGGTCACAAGTTTTGGTTGGGGAGGCAAGGCTAAGGGGGACAAATCCTGTCCCCATCATTTACAGGCTATGTGACCTGGGTGAGAGACTTCACTTCCCTGAACCTCAGCATCTGGATAGCACAAACAGTGACAGATCTGGTCTGAGGCCTCCTCCAGGAAGCCCTCCCTGACTCTTCCAGGTAGAATAGATGCTTCCTTATACTGTCCCGGGAATCTTCTGTCCTAGCTCTAAGAAGCCCCTGCCTCACGCTAGGTTCATTAGCCTTGGTCTGTCTACTCTACTAGACTGAGAGCACCTAGGGCACATGAATGTTAGGAGGGAAGGAGGATGGGGGAGGAGAGGAGAGGCCTCAAGGAGCCCCAAAAGGGACATTCTCAAAGTTAAGCAGGTGCCTGGAGTGGAGTCAAGCCAAAAGCTCAAGAGCGTTTCAAGAAAGAATATCTTTAACTCTGCTGAGATCAGGATGAGGACTGACGTGGCTGTTAGATTTAACTACCATGGGACACAGGTGACCTTGGCAGGAAACGATAGCCTTTTGGTGGTATACCTGGTCCAGGCCTGTGATGGTTTCCTTGTGATGTCACCTCTGGGTCTGCCTGAGCTTCTAATGCTGACAGTACAGCCCTGGCTGGACCTCCTGGCCTCTGGTACCTCTCTCTTCACTTCCCTCCGGAATCTTCCACCTCCCCAGCCCGGTGCTTGGTTAATAAGCTTCCTGGCCATTCCCATCCTAAGAGCCAACCCTCCTCCTCCTCCTCCAGTTCCAGGCAGTGAGGACTCAGGCCCCAGGAGTCAATCAGCTGAGTGGGGAGGGATGGGGTGGCCTCTGCAGGCTATTCCTGGGACCCTGCCCAGCTGGACCCCTGGGCTCCAAACGTACTGGCTGACATCAGCCCTCGGTCTCTAATTTGCTGGGTGAACTCAGGCCAACCCCTGCACCATCTGGCCTCAGCCTACCCACCTGTATTTAGAGAGCATCAGGCTAAATTTTGCTCTGATGTAAGGAGTCCTCTCAGAGTACAGACAGGGCAGCTGCAGAAGGCTGAGCCAGCAGGGGTGTCCTCCTAGAACTTTTGGGAAGGAGCAAGGAGCACCTCCCAGGAACCTCCAGGCCTCTCTCTCCTCACCTAGATTCCAGAGCCCACGCCTCCTGTCTAGGAATCAGGTAAATGAAGATGACTGGAGAGATGAAAGGGGAGCCTGGCATGGCAGGTACATCCACCCAGCTGAGAGAGGAGCATCATCTCCTGGGAGACGTAGACAAAGATGCTAGAGTCAAACCTTCAAAAGAGGCGGCCCTCAGCCCTCTTCCAGCGGCTCCAGGGGTCAGGTGCCTCTGTCAACACCTCTACCGCAGCTCAGAGCCTGGCCCGACAAGCTGCTGTGGTCCCAGAGTTGGCTGTGGCCTTGTCCACAAGGCCCCCTTGCGCGCTGCACTCCAGCCTCCCTGGCTCCCTTCTGCTCTTCAAACACTCCAGGCACATGCCTACCCCAGGACCTTTGCACCTGCTCTTCCTGCTGCCTGAACACCCTTCCCCCTGACAGTGGCACACCCTGCTCCTTCATAACCTTGGATTTCTCTACTCAGATGGCACCTTCTCAGTGGGCCTTCCCTGGCCCCTGAGGAGTTGAATTTTCAAGGCTCCCTAAACACCCCCTACCCCCAGTCCCCCAGTATCCTGTCCCCATTCCATTCTGACATACTGTAAGCTCCACGTGGGGCTGATATTTACGGAGCACCTACTATGTGCCTGGTGCTGGGTCTGGCCCTGGGACTCAGCAGCCTACACCCCGCCCCCACCCCCCAGCGTGGGCAAGGGCGCCTAGCTGTTCAGCTGGTGGAAGAGCTTTCCTCATTAGCAAAATGAGGGAAAGGCAGGAAGCGATTATTCGTCAGGCTGCCGAGTCCTCGGTCACAGAAAGTACCCCCCAAGCCCCTGCTGGAGCTAAACGAGCCCAGATTTTGGCCTCAGAGGACCCCAGGCTTTAGTTCCGACTCTGCAGTCCTCAAGTGTGAGACAGAAGGTGGCGCTACCTCTAGGCCATGACAGCAATGTCCACAGGTGGGCATCTAATTTGCTAAGGTGAACTCAGGCCAACCCCTGCACCATCTGGCCTCAGTCTACCCACCTGTATGCCCACCCCACCACCTCTGGCTACCCTCTTGTGCCAGGCATTACATAAACGTCACTCTAGTGCACCCTCTGTGGCCCTGCACAGACAGCCTCTTCTCCCTCCCTTCGCAAAGTAGAAGACGGAAGCTCAGAAATCCTGTTAATCTCACAATAACCAGCATCTGTTCGGCATGGGCCAAGTGCTGTTCTATGGACTCTGCATGAATTGCCTCTCCTAATCCTCTCATTAGGCCTGTGAGAGAGACCCTTTGATTATCCTTGCTTGGGCACAGAAAGGTCACGAATGTCGCCCAAAGTCACACAGCTAAGGGGAGAGCAGAAATGTGAGCCTTGCAGCCCCGCCTCCTCTTCATCAGGCTAAATTGCTCCCCAGCTTGTGTCAAGTAACTAGGACAGAACCGGGCACTCTGGAAATGCTCAATCCTGATACAAAGCTGCTCCACTCTATGGCATCATAAATAAACGCATAAGGGTAGAGCTAAGCCGGCACCTACCACTGTATTTGGCTATTTTAGAAGAGCCTGCATTTGTTAATGCTTGCTGCGTGCTAGGAAAGGCTTCCCCTGCATTCTCGCTAATTGTTATTACTTGTGTCTTCTCATTTCACAAAGGAGGGACCACAGAGGTGAGACAGCTTGGCTAAGCTCACAGAGCAAGGCACAGCGATCGGTGAGCCAGGAGCTGGAGCTATGGCCCCAGGGTCCAGACTCTCAGCCTGGTGCTCTCTAGACTTCAGAGGGGCCACCAGTAGGTACACAGCCGGCAGCCAGGAGCTACTCGAACAAAGAAAAGCTCTGCTTCTCCTAAACACATAGAACAAGCCTCTAATCCTTGTTATTAACGTAAATAATATTCCAGCAAAGAAAGCAAACTCCCTATCTTCTCGAGGGGCTTCGGAGGATTACGTCGACAGTGTCCGACGCAGCGAGGACAATAACCAATTGACTCTTATTAAAACTCCAATAATGCTGGTATGATTGCTGCTTTGATAAGCTCGCTGCTGTGAGCGAGGGTCAACCACATTAGGAAAATGTAATTAGACTAATAAATTCCAGGCAATCCTTTTTTTTTTCCTTTCCTCTTTGCTCTAAGGAAGAGGTACTCACAAGACCTCATTACCCACACAGAGGCCCCATGGTGGGCTTTGATGCAAAAGAAAGCGGTTCTTAGACTGCCTGGGTCTGGCCCCAGAAACACCCCTCTGGGTCCCTGTAGCTCCAGAGCACGTGGGACTTACTGGTCAAATGGCAGAGGCTCCAGGGAGCTGGGAGCTAGGGATGCATGGCCAATTCCTGCTAAACATCACTGCTCCCCTCTCGTTCAAAAGGGAGCCCCCCAACCTCTTCCCACCACTATTGGGCTCCCTCTCTCCGGTCCAGCATGATCCTGCATAAACTACATCTTTGCTGAGTTTGTGTGGTCAGAATTGTGGAGCTGCCCCAACATCCCTGGTGTCAGCTTTCCCCCAAATAATGGGTGGGATCAGAAGTTATGAGGGATCCAGTATGGTGCCTTGAGATCCCAAAAGACAAGCTGCTGGGGTCTGGGGGAGAAACCGACTTTAGGAGAGGATCAACCTCACCGAAAGCCCAGAAACCTTCACAGGCCCTGAAGTGCCGAGTAACAGCCCACCTTCTGGGGTGAGGTGAGCCTTACAAGGAAGTCCCTATCTAGAAAAGACCCTCCCACCGCTCATAACTCCCGATCCAAAGTGCAGTTCATGCTGCCATAACACTAATTTTTAAAATGCGTATTTGTTCCAATGCAATCGATACATTAGGGAATAATCTGAGCATTATGCAAACTTCTCATGTGTTGATTCAGGACTTTTCCCCTAGAAACACTAGGTGAACACGGAAGACTACACCCAGCAGAGCTCAGCCTCACGGGGATACACGAAGCGCATGCACTGCACAAGGTCCACAGCGAAGGTTAGCGCTGCATCCTGTCTCCCACCACCTCCCTGTTCTCCTGCTTTCTGTCTCTGTCTCTCCTGTTCAAATGGGGAGAATGTGGCCTGTGCATGTCACTGGATTATTTGAGAAGGCAGGAAGAGGACAAGATACTTCACGAATTAAGAAAAGGACCGTGGAAGAATAGGAAAACACCCCCTCTTCCATTAGCCTTGATGGTGCTGCAAGAAACGGTGGTGACCCCAGCACCTCAGTGTCCATTTGTCCAGCCGGTGAGCACGCCCCCTCCACTGCAGCATGTCAGGAGTATCTGTCCTCTGCTTGACACCCCCAGTGACAGGCACTCAACTATGCCCAAGGCAGTCTATAGCAACTTTCAGTACCTCTAGCTGCTAGGGGCCTCGAAGCCAAAAATCTACCTCCCTGTCAATTCTGCCAATCGGGCCTGGAGGACACACCTCTGGGACAGTGCAGGACAAATCCCATCTTCCCTTCCTGGTAGTAACGGTTTATATGCTCCTTCCCCCAAACCAAGTCACCTCTTTCTGAGCCAAATATCTGACTGTCTTCAACCCGCCCTCCTGAGATAAAAAGAATAATGATAAAGATCAAGGTAATATCAGTGACTGACATTTAATAAACACATAATAGGCATTATTCTATACTAGGAGTCAGCAAACTATGGCCCACGGGCCAAATCCGGCTCACTGCCTGTTTTTATATGGCCCGAGAGCCAAGAATGGTTTTTGTATTTTTAAATGTTGAAAAAAAAAATCAGAAGAAGACTATTTTGTGACACATGAAAAGTATCTGAAATTCAAATTTCAGTGTCTATAAATAAAGTTTTATTGGAACACAGCCACGCCCATCATTTACATATTATCTATCTATGGCTGCTTTCAAGTTACAACAGCTGAGTTGCAGCGTCCGACAGAGACCATATGGCCCACAAAGCCCAAAATGTTTACAATCTGGTCTTTTACAGAAAAAGTTTGCCGCCCCTGTTCTATACGCTTTACAAGTATCATCTCAATCCTCACGATAACCTATGAGGCGGTAACTGCTGTCATCTTCCCATTACAGATGAGTTCTTAGAAGCTCAGAGATGTTAAGTAAATTACCCGCGCCCCCAGCCTCACAGCGGTGAAGCCAGGATCCAAACCCAGGCATTTGACTCCAATGTCTGTATCCTACCCACTTCCCCTATTCTTCCCGGTCAGAGCCCAGGACTGACAACTGCTATCAGCACCACAATCTCAGTGGAGCCACTTCCCTTTCCTGACTATACAGTCCATCTTGGTTTCACTGTGCATGGCGAGAATGACCAGCTCATTGGCCACTATGACCTCTAGATCCTCTTCTGCCACTACTGTCTCTCTGAGGTCTTTCCCAAACTCTGCACTGTGCATGGTAGAAATGACCAGCACATTGGCCAGTATGACCCCTAGATCCTCTTTTAAGCCTTTGGTTCCTATAGGTCTTTCCCAAGCCCACCCTTAAAAGGGCCTATAAACTCACTGCTCTCTGGATACTAAAGAAACTAATCCACGAACACCCTCCAGACTGGGGACTAAGGTAGCAGCTAATGTGATAAAGTCGGTAGCTCTTAGCCAGAGGTCTCTAAAAATTTATGAGAGACAATAAATCTTGCTCTTGGGCTGCCCACTGGCTTCAAATAAACCTGTCCTGCCCCTGATTTTGCAGGTGTAGAAAGTAGAGGTCCCTGGAACTGCTGTCTGAGTTATGAAAATCTCAAGGCCACCCTCCCTGCTTCCTTCTCTCTGAATCTACGAGGAGAGAAAAGGTAGCATACTCTGTTGCCACAGAAACTAGGCTAGGCTAAGTCTGCAGCAGGAAGGATTAAAGATAGATGTCAGGAGGAGGAAGTAATCTGGAGAGAGAGGTATAAGCACACCAATTCTACATCTCTGATTAAAGTTTCTCAAAGAGGCTTCTACCCCATTATTAACTCTGAGCTCAGATGCCAATTATAAACCACAGACCTCATCAATAAATACAAATCAACATATCTAGAAGGCAAATATTTTATTTTTATTTATACGCCTATTAAATGTAGCCATAGCTCATCTGGCTGGAGGAGACCCAAATAATCCAGACACTGCAAGCTGGTGACTCCACAGGCCAGTTTCAGGCCATGGAGCTACTATTATTGGCCTATACTATCTTTCAAAAATTTCAAATAAGTTGCTAACATTTAAAATTTCAATTATTTTGGAGCATAGTTCAGATTTCTGGATTTTCTTGAAAATAATCCAAAGATGTGGCCCAAGAAGCCCTACACAGCAACAGCTGGTTGGCCCCGAGCTGGGGTTGACTCTATGAGCTGAGCACGTGCCCACCAGGCCCCTTGTATTCCCATGCCCTCTTCTGCCCTGCGCCTGGTTTATTTCATGCCTCTGTCTCTCCTGGAGGGCCCCTGCAGGCATGTGGGCTTGTAACACCCTGCCACGATCACCACCACCCCCTTTTTACTGGTGGACAAACTGAGGCTTACAGAGAAGAACTGTCTTGCCTAACAAGAGGCAGGGAATTCGTGACAGAGCAGGTCCCCAATGTCCAGGGCAGGACTCAGCTCAGCCCTGTCTGGAAGGAAAGTCTAGAAGGTGGGTTACTATCTACCAGCTACAAACGTGTCTAAGGTGAAAATTAGATTTTTCTGCTGACTCTGATTTTGCTAGCTTTGTACCAGCTCTTTACAGAGGAAATGGAGAGAAGAGAAACAGCTCTGCAGTGACAAGGAGAAAGTCTCCCCAGACCCTCTCCCTACACTCTGCCACCCCTGCCGGCCCACAGCCATGCCCAATGTGCTCTAGGGATACTGGGGAAGGGAAGGCTGAAGGAAAAGAATCAAGGCGCTCAACAGGACAGATCAGCAGCTGCTTGACTTCACAGCTGGCGATTCTGCAACACAGACCAGTGGAGAATATTGGCCAGGCCTGGGCGACGTAGCAAGAAGCAGGACCTTCTTTGCGACTGACTCACTATGTGACTTTGTCCAAGTCACTTAACCTCTCTGACCCCCCGTCTCTTCATCTGTATAAAAGGGAAATAGCAGCATCAGTAGGTTAAACAGGCTACAACAAAGCACTATTAGTATAGTGTCAGGCACATAGGAGGGATGTCATGAAGCAGTGGACCACTCCTCCCGCTCTGCTTCCTGACACAATTACCCTCCCAAGACTACACTCCTCAGCCTGGTGTCCAAAGACATCTTCAGCCTGCAGCTCCAGCCTCACTCCCCACTCCCTAGCAGTGAGTCAGCAACTCTGCCCCTCACCTCCACCAAACCCAGCCTCCAGGCCTTCGCCCCTGCAGTGAGCCTGACTCAGAGCTCCATTCCCCAAACGCCCCTCCTATTCCAGGCAACCCAGCCCTAGAGGCCCAGCCGGATCACTGTGTCCAAAACTTCCCCAGACCTGGGAACCCCTCTGCACTCTGAGCCCAGCCCGTTCACTGGCTCAGAGGAACTCGGTCCTGTACTTTAACATTCCATTTGATGATATCCTCCATCCTTAGCATCTTAAAAGACCAAAACACAGCTCACATGTGTGGCTCTTCTAGGGTACAGGAGGTACTTGTAGCAGCCAAGTGCCCAGCCTCTCTTCTTCTGACACCAGCACCCCAAAATTCCTTTCCAGGAGTGATCCTCTCCCCAAACTGCAGTCTTGGCAGGACTGTTGAACATGAGCCCTGCACACTGCCAGGCCAGGCCTCGCCACAAGGTCAAATCCCCACCAGTTAGGTCCCCTCTCTCTGGGTACATGGATTTCCAGTCTTGCAAAATTCTCAAGCTGGCTGGAGCCACCCATCCTGGTGGGGTCCCCAGAGGGCCTTGAGCAGATCTTGCTAGAAACACCACCCACCCACCCCCACCTGCCCGCCACCCTATTCCCAACCAGAGTTAGCTGGGTTCCCACCTTTTCCCAGCCAGTCTTTTGGCCCAACTTCAGATACAAGAGTTTCCTTCTGATGATTCCTTTTCTGCTGCAGTTGGCCAGAGGCAATTTCTATTGCTTACACACACGGAGCCCTGACTGATTCTCTAAAACCCCACATCACATATATGCTCACCCCTGCCCCCCAGGACTGAACCCACAGACACCCAGTCCCACCAGAGGGATTCACGAGCACCCATTCTGCACACCCAGGGAGGCTGGGGCCTCATGCTTTCGAGAAAAGCCACACTGCCACCTGCTTGAGTAACGCAGTGTCATTCCTCCCGTGTCAGCAGTCACGGCATCAGACTGAGCCGAGAAGCCAAGCAGGGACATTGTCTCGTGTGAAATAAGTAAATAAAGGCAACAATGAGACATAACTGAGCAGGCAACACATAAAGCAGGTATTTCTGCAGATGCCAAAAATAATAATAAAGCACCTATGGAGGATAAACATGGTGAGCACTGATCTACAGTCAATACCCAAAAAGCAAAGGGCTTACTGCGCACCAAATAACCACTGGACAAGGCAGCCACAAAAGAGCAGTGCCCGGGAGCCATGCACCCAGCCACGGGCTTAGACAAGGCCAAACTCAACCCCCAGGAGAGCAGGGAAGGTCTTAGCCGGGAGAGAAGGATGTGCAGACGTCAGTCCGGGAGGAAAGGGAAGAGAGCGATATCTAAGAAGAGACTCTTTAGAAGCACCCTGAGGCTAAGTTGCCAGCATCGTCTCACCCCTGTACCACAGGGACGGCCCCCACACTGGCCCCCCTGCCTCCGCCTCATCCCCCGGCTCTGTCTCCAGCAGCGAAGTCGGATCCTATCATCCGATGCAACCCCAGCATCTCCTCACTCTTACCGTTCTGACCTCACCTCCTGATGCCCTCCTCACTGTTTCCAGAGCAGGCCTCCACAGTCCCACCGCAGGGCCTTTGCAGACGCTGCTCTCTGCCTGGAACCCCTTCTTCATGATGCTCACCCGTCTCGCTTCCCCCTCAGGTGTCTGCTTCCCCCGTCCCTGACCACTGTGGCCAAAGTCACCTTCTTCATCACTCTCTGTTCCCGTTCCATTCATTGTTCTCCATAGTTCTCCCAACCTGAAACCACATTCATCATCTGCATATCTTGTCTCCCCCAACTAGAATGGAACTGCACGGGGGCAAAACTTTGTCTGTTTTGCCCAGGACTGAATCCTCAGCACCTAGAACAATGGTCAGTACATAATAGATTCATTCATTCATTCATTCAACCATAGCTTAGGAATGAATGAACAAATGAACACCCCTGAGAAAAAAATGCAGTAAGTTCCAGGAATTATGGCTTTCTAGATGATTTATATGGCAGTATGGTCAAAGCTTGGTCTCTGAAGACTACGTGGGTTCCAATCCCAGCTCCATCACATTATGGCTCCCAGTCCTGGGCTAAATATACCCTCTCTGGGCATCAGTTTCCTCATCTGTAAAGTGGGGATAATCACAGCCCCCACCACAGTGGGCTTCAGGGAGGAATAAATGCATTAACACATGGCAAGTCAATTAGGACGGTGCCTGACAGGCTGTCAGCGCCCAAGGTTGTGACTTTTGCTTTTGCTATTGCTACTCTGCAACCAACTTTAGATAGTGGTAGAATAATCAGGAGGCCCTCTTGAATGGGATATTTGCACAGAAGAGGTCCCAGACCGAGTGTGTGTGACATGGGAGCAGAAGACCCGGGTTTGAGCCAGGCTCTGCCACTCATACGCTGTACAATTTCAAGGAATGCACAAGTTCTCTGCCGATTAAGTCAGGGCCAAAGTACCAGTCCCAGCCTCACGAGGCTGCTACAAGGCTCCAGATTGGATCAGGGATGTGAACACAATTTTGGGAAGACAGGGGAGTGAATCAACACATCACATCTATTAGTCACTACATTTGCAAAGCAGCCAAAGTCAAAAAGCCAGGGTTCAGAGGTCCCACCTCCATCACAGCCGTGGAGCACCCAGATGCCTTTGGAGACATCAGCAGTGCTTTCAAAGCCTCAATTACAAGGGCTGGGAGTGTCACAGGGTGTCATTGCTTCTCACATTTTGGTCACAATATCATCCAAAGGCTGAGGGTGACACTGGGAAAATTACAGTAATTACTCTGCAGGAGGGCAGGCCACAGGAAGTTGGCTGCTCTAAAACCTGGGGTGAGATTTAACTCCCTGGGAGTTGAGAGAGGTCTCGAGGGAACCTCTGCCTCACATCCTAGGACCCGGGAAATGGCGCCCATGCCAGATGTAATGAACCCACAGCTCATCAAACCAGGCAGGCAGGAAAGCCTGGTGGGTAAGAGCACAGATGTCAGGTCAGACCAGTCAGCTCTGCCCTGCAAGGGGCCAGACATTGTCCTGAGAGACCTCACATTCCGGGGAGTGGAGACAGATCGTGAATAAGTGAGTGAATCAGACATTTATAGAGAGCCGGGTGACGTGCTACGAGGGAGCAACAATGACATCATGTGTGGAATGGAGCCAGGGCTCTGGTCAGACCTCTTAAGAGGGGAACCCTGAGCTGAGACCTAAGAGATGCTACATAGCCTGCCATGGAGAGGGGCTTGGGCACGTTACCTCACTTTCCTGGGCCTCGGTTTCCTCACCTGTCAAATGGGTATGTTATCACACCAACTCCATATGGTTATTGCGAGTGTCTGATGAGTTAATGTGTAAAAAGCACAGGGTCCTGTCTGTAGGTAGAGCTCAAGCAGAGGTGGTTTGGAGGCAAGGAGTGGGGGACAGTGCGGCCTCCATGCCAGGCACTCTCCTAGGCACCAGGACACCACAGTGAACTAAGGCAGATAAAAATCCCTGCCCACGTGGAGGTTACTCTTTAGTACACTTGGCCTGGACAGCCAAGTTGACATGTTTCTCTTCCTTCAGGCCCACCACACTCAGGGACCCAGAGGAGGAAGGCCAGCCCCAACCTGCTCCACACAGCCCCAGACCCGGTGATCGCTGCCTGCTCATCTCAAAGAAGGAAGCGTCCAGCACCTCCAGTTGGTACCATCTCCCCACAAGCTGGATTCCAGCAGCATCCCTTCCAACTCCACTCTGGCTGGAGCCCCCAACCGCTGCACAGTTGGCACCTGGGACTTGTGCATCATGGTGGCTTTACCTGGGTGGATTCCAACATCTGGTGTCTATACAGCCCCCCTACCCAGATCCGGGGGCCCCAAGTCATGTGCCATCTTGAGCCACTAGGCAAGGGCACAGAGAGCCAGCGACCAGGCCATCTCCAAGGGAGGCTAAATGGAGAGATGGAAAGGGAGACACTGCAGCCTGTTAACACATCAGTTTCTGCGTGAACTCCCCCGGGGAGCCAGGCAGGCAACGCTGGAGGAACGCGGGCCTCAAGACAAGTGGAATTTCTTTTAAAGAAATATTCAGCTATTAAAACCCAGGCTCTCAGGCCACATCAGGCATGCCAAGTGGGGCTGGAGGATCATCAACAGCGTGGGGGCGACACAAGGAGGACGAGGCTGAACCCAATAGGCATCAGGATGAGAGATGCTGTGGGGGGGTGCCCAGAAGCTTAGGCTGCTGAAGTCACAGCATCACCAACCCCACCTCCAAGGGTACCCAGGACTGGAAGCTGCCTGTCAGAACCTCGTAGCATTCCTGACCATGCCTAACAGAGCAATAAGAAGAAACATTGGGCTGGAAAGAAGTGAACCCCCAGTTTTCAGGCTGACTTTATGACCAGTCCCCCCTGGCTTGCCCACTGGTGTTCATCCAAGCTTTATAGAGAGCCAACTATGTGCCAGGCATGGAGCTTGAGGGTGTCTCAACCTGAGCACTGTTGACATTTGAGGCAGGATGACTGTCTGCAGCAGGGGCCGGCCTGTGCACTGCAGGATACAGAGCAGCTTCCCTGGCCTCTACCCACCCCTTGCGTCACACCTAAGGCCAGCCCCACTGTCAGCCGGGAACTGGACCATAGCTGCCCACCAAGGGAAGGGACCAGCCAGAGGCTTCTGCCTCCATGAAAGCACCAGCACCCCCACCCCCACCCCCACCGGGGTTTCCCGAGCCCTGCTCAGCTCAACACAGAGCTGCTTTCCAACCTTTGCTATTCTTGTCTGGGACATATTATCAAAAATAATGATTATCATGATAGAAGGCACTAGATCAATCATTGTCCCAGTTAGCCCATTTAGTAAATGGGAAGCTGAGGCTCAGACCTGCTGAGTCATCAGCCGGTAAAGCATGGAGCTCCATCGCAACCCCTGTTTCCAGAGGGCCAACCCCTGTTTCCCGAGGGCGGAAGCCCCCACTGCACACTCACAAAACCTGTCAGCCCCAAGGCTCCCAACCGCTCATCCTTTTCTGCAGGGGGAGGGAATGGGGGAGAAAAGACTAAGGAACATTTTGCCATAAGCCTTCCCCTGCCCTAGGTGCCACTAAAACTCAGAAATCCTGGCAACCCTCTCATGGAGAGCACCTGCGGCTAATGAGGAATAGGATGGGGAAGACGTAATGAGCTGCTTACAAAGGCTGTGGAGCCAGCAGGGGGATCTGCAGCCCTCCAATTCGTCAGAACCTCCTTCCAGGCTGGAGGCAGGGGACACGGGGAGGGGCCGAGGGTCCCGCAGAAGTGGGGAAAAGGGTTGAGGGACCCACTCCACCCCGAGTTTGAGATGGGAAAGCCATGGAGGTCACATATTATGACTAAGAGGGAACCAGGGATGCCAGCACCTCCGGGGAGGCTTTCTAAAGACCACACCCCAAAGCACCCCCACGCTACCCCGTCACTTGACTCTACGGTCTGAAAGCGAGGTCAGAGGAGCGTTGGGCCAGCTCGGGGCCAACACAGGGGTGCATCAACACAGCCCCCACACACTCCCGCTCCCCAGCCCACCTGGTTTTAAACAACGTGAAACCCAGACAGAATGAATCCCTCAGCACGATAGAAGCCATCCAAAGACAGAAATTCCATAGCTGTCCCAGAGCCCACAGTGTCTGGGGACCCGCAGGCCAGGCTCTTTCATTGCAGGATGAAATGAAAATTCCCAGAGACCTAGGCTACTCTGGCCCAAAGGTCTCAGTCCAAGAGACATCAACTTGCCACGGCAAGGTAAGCACTTCCCCACCGCTTCTCCTAGCCTGGCCCCAAAAGGCGAACGAGGAATCAGAGGCCTGGGGTCCCCCTCTCTCACACACACTCATTCCATTATTGCGCGGGCCCCACCAGGCAGCCCTACCACCCCCATGGACGCAGAGGAAAACTGAGTCCCCGGGAGGCCACGCAGAAAGCGCCAGAGGTGGGAGCCCCTCCACTGCCACCTGGGGCCCACAGCTCAGGAGTCACCGGGGAACAAGGCCTTGGGGGGCGGGGGGCACCAAGGAGAAGACCACCCACACAGGCCACAACCTGACCAGAGAAGCTTGGTTTTTCCTGCAGCCCCACCACAAACGCCAGCCCCTGGGCTCCCACCTGCAGCCCAACCCCCTGGGGTTCGATATCGGGGACCAGGGGCTCCAGACACAGTGCACAACCACTGCCAAACAGTCACACTCAAGCTGCCTGGCCGAGAGAAAGGGACCCACGGTGAGACCTACCTGCCTGGAGGTGAGCCAGAGCCTCAGGAAGACTGAATTCGGATGGCTCCCGGCCCAGGTGTGAGCCTTTTAACAGCTGACTCTCGGTCTGAAAGCGTAGCCACAGCACCTGGGCCTCTGGTTTTAAATGGCCCAGGGGGTGGGGCCTGGTCTGTGCTTGATGGGGTGGTGGTCAGGGGAGGAACAGAAAGTAGCCATCCTTCCTTTCTGCGTGGACCAGCGACAAGACCCCTGGCCTAGCAGTCAGTGGACCTGCCACGAATTTGCTGCACGACCTCAGAGTCTCAGGCCCCGGAGCCCTATATCTGAAGGCTCGGACTCTCTGGGATGGGATTATTCGTCTCCACCCTGGGTCCCGGGAACTCAGTTATGCCGGACTCCAGGCAGAATTTCCAGCACCAACCATCTCACGGCTCTCCCCAGCTACCAGGAGGCCACATTTGCTCCCAAGTGGTCTTGTTCTCAGTATCTTGAGTAAGGTGAAGGTTAGGGGTTGGCCTTTTAAAGCCACATTCCTCCAAGAAGGCAGGAGCATCTGGGATCCAGGTGACCTCAGGTGAGCGCATGGACCCCCGAGACCTTCCCACCTGAGATGAGGAGAAACCCACGATGTGATCTCCTTCCCTAGATGCTGGAGGCATTAGAGCTAAGTCATGTGTTAAGAACAGGGCCGGGCGCGGCAGCTCACGCCTGTAATCCCAGCACTTTGAGAGGCCGAGGAGGGCGGACCACCTGAGGTCGGGAGTTCGAGACAAGCCTGGCCAACATGGTGAAACCCCGTCTCTACTAAAAATACAAAAATTAGCTGGGCGTGGTGGTGGGTGCCTGTAATCCCAGCTACTTGGGAGGCTGAGGCAGGAGAATCACTTGAACCCAAGAGGCAGAGGTTACAGTGAGCTAAGATCACACCACTGCACTCCAGCCTAGGTGAAACAGCGAGACTCAGTCCCAAAAAAAAAACAGAACAAGTTTGGGCCCACATACCCAAAAGCCTGCCTTCCCCGTGTTCCTTCGGTAATTAATTGTCCCACTTTAAAGTCGAAGCTATGAAGACCCAGCAAGATTACCTGGGCGGATCACACAGAGTCTGTGCCAACAAGAGCCTGGCCCAGGGAGACCACTTCCTGCATCCTGTAAGCGGCCCAGCTCAGTCCCCGGAGGTAGGAGGGAAGCAGGTAAAGCAGAAACATGCATTTATTAAGTCACTGCTGCATGCCAGGCACTGCGCTAGGCCCTTTGGCATCTAAGATCTTTCTAAATGCCACAGTGGCCAAGCACAGTGGCTCACACCTGTAATCCCAGCACTTTGGGAGGCCGGGAGGGCTGCTTGAGCCCAGGAGTTTGAGACCAGCCTGGGCAACATAGCAAGACCTTGTCTCTACCAAAAAAAAAAAAAAAAAAAAATTAAGCCGCAATGACCCCTGTCCCCGAGTTTGCATAGGGTAGCTCCTCTTTCCTCCCTCTGCAGTGAAGCACCCACCCCCACCAGTCTGGCCACATTCTGGGCCCAGAGAGGGATAGGGACCTGGCTCCCTCCAATAAGGACTTGTGCTACCTTATTTAAACGTCACTGCCGCACATAATTAGAGGCACTTACCCCCTCGGATCCATCTTTCTCCTCAGATCGGTTTTATAGCCAGTAATAACTCTCGTAAATTCTTCAACAGATGGAAATTTTATTTGACTAATCATGGCCGCTTGACTTGCTGGGGCACAGCAGCTCGGGGCTTGGACAGGCAAGATGCCAGCTGAGGTGATTGTCAGGGGGCTGGGCAAAGTGCCCAGAACCCAAGGCCACCTTGTCCACCCACTCCTCTGAGGGATGCCACAAGAAGGCATCAGAAAGTGCCCAGCACTGCACAGCAACGGGCAGCTGTGCCCCACCTTCTAGGTCCAGAGTTGTCTCTAAGCAGGGCACCAAGACCCTTTGCCACCCCCCTGGGCTCTTGGACTGTGAACACATAATGGCTAGCACCAGGGGGAAGCTAGGACATCCTGCCTGAAACACCTAAAAATGGCAGTCCTGTTGGCTGCAACCACTGTGCATCTGCTCCATGCCAGCCCCATGCCAAGTGCCCCTCATGCTTCATCCCACTCAGTCCTGCCAACGATCCTATGCACGCCTGTGAAAAACCCATTTCACAGTTTAGGAAAAAGACAATGGAGCAAAGTCCCACACCAAGTCACCAGTTTGAGCTGCCACCCTCATCTGGGGAATTGAAGACTGGCATCTCCCCTCCCATTCACTCCTTCTAAGACCCACATCGAATCCATCAGTGTTACTTAAAATAGACCCACAAAACTTCCAGCAGCTCCTCAGCACCCTCTAGACAAATTGAAAGCCCTGTGGCCTGGCCTTCCCAAAGGAACCTCATTCGAGGTATTTATCCAAGAGATATGAAAACGCATAACACAAAAAAGCCCATCCACTCAAGAATACACATCACAGATTATTCATAATAGCCCCAAATTGGAAATGTCCACAGGAAAACTGTGGACAAACTGTGGCCAGTATGCACAATGGGCATCACTCTGCATCCTATTAGGAGGGGGAAGCTGCGCAGTCATTTGAATAGGTAAGTTTCATATAAAGGATTATTAACCATAATGGGAGGTGGAATTAACAAGAAACTGGCTAGAAAGTAAAGGGAACTCTGAAGAATATAGGTTTAGGAGACAAAAGGAGCAGCTGCTGCCCCCCAGGGCTGAAAGAGACCCTCAGAAGCAAAAGTCCCCCACCCCACCCAGTGCTGAGCTAGAGTATCAAGCAAACGCACCTTCTCTAGGGCTGACATCCAGCCCTCAAGGAAGAGGCTTCTACTCCAGCGTTATGGCAGAGCCCCTAAAGAACAGTTCTTCAACCTGAGCTGACAGAGTGCCCAAGGAGGAGCCTCCACCCAGAAACAAGCATCCTCCCACAAACACCCCTGAGGGCTGATATCCAGGCCTTGCTGAAGAGGGTATGGCTGTGCCTCACTACATTGGGGGAGAAAAAAAGTTGGTCTGGTGCACACCAGCAGAACTTGCAAGAAAGCCAACCTGTAGAACTTACCAGAAATCTGCCCCGCAGGGTGCCACAAAAGCTGCTCACAGGAGGTGTCTCACCAGAGGCACCCACTACAAAACTGCCTAAAATAAGGTGCTGCTGGCCTCTGCTGAGCACGGCAGCAGCCAGCACTGAGCGGCACGTGCTGCAGGAGCAGGCCCTGTGAGCACGTGGCAACCAGGAAGCAGAAGGTCCCTGCTGCAGAGGCTCCTCGGCGCCCTCTACTGGCAAAGCCCAGCTTGCTGCCTGGACAGGGAGAAAATTTAAAGGGCCCAGATCCATTTTCACCAGGCAGGCAAGAAGGGTGATTGGACACAGAAAAGCAATAATTGATAACCAGAAAAGCCCATCTCTTTGACTACTTAGCTTCCATATGAATCCTCCTGCACACCACTGAAGTCCTGTACAACAACACAACTGCGTATTTCTATCTAAAAAGATGCAGCTATCATCCTTGTAAGTTCTCACTCACTCCCCAAAACAAGGAGACTAATAGGCCCAGGAGTCGTCATGGACTATATTTATTAGGACTTAAATACCGATCACAGTTCCATGGAACATTCTGTCACCTAAAGACTATAAAGTCGACTTCCAAAAACTTGCATATAAAACAAAAATGGGAAGAAGAGAGAAGAAAATGGATAATTACCAAGTGTGCTTACTCTAATTGTTTATTCAGGAGCTCAGAAAATAACTTCGGGGTGGGCATGGACCAAGCAAATCTACTGAGAGTCAGACTACAGCTAAGACTCTATCCCTGACCATCACAAGCCCCACTTTGACTTATGAGCCAGAGTGGCATTTTAGATCCCCAGGAAACAGCATCAGTTCAGAGTTAGTGCCAAGTAACTCCAGAACTGTCTGGGTATGTCCATTTCCCTATTATTTTGGTAAATGGTCACAGGTCCCTTTGGAGGAAGGTTTGGAGGAAGATTTACAATAAGTATTTATGGCAATGATGCAGGCTCCTTCCTCAAGGGGACCCGGCCACCCAGGGATTCTGGGTCTGTGAATTGACTTAGGGTCTGGAAACTGAATGAGAAGCCATGACTATCAATTGCCAGGTTTTGGCTACCGGGCCTAGAACTTTCTATCACATATAAAAATACATGAAATAATACTCTAGTAGGCTGCCCACTTATTTCATTCCCAGAGACACTCTAATCAATTCACCACCACTAGAAATCCCTGTGGGCAAAGGCATTCTGCCTTCCCATACATTCCTGCTACCCTCTCCAATGTGTGCCCACCTTGTCCTTGACAGTGAAGTGCTGCCCCTCGGTATCTGCTACTCCAGGACCCCCTTATCCCCACTGAAATCAGGGAGCCCATCTCAATGGAGGCAGCCTCTATATTCACAGTGGCCTACAAAAGAGAGCAGCCACTGTGCATTTCAAGGACAAAGGGGCTCCCTCACTAATGGATCTCTCTATGTCTCTGTCTTTGGGTCCTTCTTGTGGAACATAGGTGGTGGCAGCAGGGGAGTGCAGATTAGACATGATACATGCAGTCCAACATTGCGGTCTCCCCAAGCCTTTGGATTCCCTCTTCCACATCATGACATCACAACCCTCATTAACTGCAGGTTACTGTCAAGTCCAAGTTTCAGTCAACCAACCAAGCTGTTAGAGCCACCTCCAGCTGCAGAAGCTAACAGCCAAATTCAGAACCTCTAATGAGTGTGCCCGTATCAATGCATCCAGCCCAGGCTAGTGTTACATTCTGCCTTCCTGGATCTAAAACCCTTAGAATCCACTCCCATACATGTCACCAGTCTTGTCGTTCTTTTTCTGTTTCCTCCTAGGTCTGTGTATACCCGCCACCGTGGAACATGCTGAGATCTGACCACAGCTAGGGGCTAGTGACAACAGCAGGTGGCTGTGATGAGTCTTGAGAACAGCATCTGCTCCAGCCGAGATTATCACAGGGTTTCTTAACAGAGAAAAAGCAGTCTCCTCCAGCACTGCGGAGGGAAAGGTATTTCCACTTGATAAGTTGGGGTGGGGGTGGGGGGGGTGGGCTCAGAGTGACTTGCAGTTTAGATTGTCAGTTTCATCAGAGTCCAACAACTGCCCCCATTCCATGTTTCAGGACCCCATTCTTTCACGATTCATGCCCTAATTTGTCCAGATGTGATTCCAACTGTTGTCATAATTCAGCAACCAGCACAATTAAATTTTTTGTTTTATTTTCAGCAGTCTCAGCCTTGTGGCTGCAAGAAATAAGAACTTCCTTAAGGGCTGCCATGGAAGCTGTCTGATTCTCAGACTGTGGCTCGAAGGAAGAGTTAATGGACCTGGGCTTGTCATTTTCTATGTCATTATCTACACATTTTTCAAATTCTTATTATATTATTATTTTTTAGAGCTAGGGTCTTGCTCTGTCACCTGGCTACAGTGCAGCGGTGCAATCATAGCTTACTGCAGCCTCAAACCCCTGGGCTCAAGCAATCCGCCTGCCTCAGCCTCCCAAAGTGTTGGGATTAAAGGCCTGAGCCACCATGCCTGTGCCCGGCCTGCCTATGTATGTTTTAAATAGAGCATAGTATCTGGTTCCTTGAAGACAGGAGCCCTCAAAAGGATCCATCCCACCCCACAGTTCTCACAGTCCTCATTATGGCCACACAGTCAAGTGCAGCATCACTCTGGCTCCCAACAGACGTGCCTCAGGTGGCATTTTGTCTTAACCGCAAATGATAGACTCATATAATGTCACCACATGCCTTGGGTAACTAGCACCCCATTTCCCATTGGCAAGGAACTTGACACTACACCCAAGCCCAAAATCACCAGAAAACCACTCCCAAAATGGTACCTCTGTGGTTCCATCTCCTGATACCTATTCCTGACACCAATTCTGTATCAGTTTGGGTCCAGTCAAGGAAAGGACACCATACAGTGATTTTTACAGGGAAAGTTTCATATGAAGAATTATTAACTTATAATAGAGAACTGAATTAACAAGAAATTGACTGATAAGGAGTAAAGAGAACGATAATTAATACAGAAACAGCAGACGCAAGGAGCAACCACAACCCACAGAGCTGAGATGGAGTCTCTGAAGACCAGACCCCATCCAGAGCTGTGATAAACAACCCCCCGCTAAGAATCCCCCAAACCAGAGCTGGACAAAGCTCTCAAGGAAGAACCCCTCAAGGCCAAGGTAGAGTCCCCAAGAAAGAGCCCCTGGGGGCTTTCATAGGTTCCCCAAAGATAAGTCCCCCACTAGAGGTTTAAAAAAAAGTTCCCAAGAAGAGGCCCCCAGGGCTGAGGCCCCCTGGGAAGAGCCCCTATTCAAGGGATAAGATAGAGCCCCAAAGAAGAGCTCCCAGAGCTACCAAGGAAGGGGCCCCCTACCCAGGGCTGTGATTGATCCCCCAAGGAAGAGTCCCCTCCGAAGGCTGAAATAAAGTCCACAAAGAAAAAGCCCCTGAGGGCTGCGGTAGAGTCCCGAAGAGACACCCTCCTGCCACCTGTGACAGAGTAAACGTCCTCAAAAAAAGAGCCCTCCCAGGGCTGACGTGGAGCCCCCAAGGAACAGCCCCCCACCCCAGGACTGAAATAGAGCCCCAAAAAGAGACCCCCATATCAGGCTGAGATAGAGACCTCCAGAAAGAGCCCCTCACCCCAGGGAAGGGACCCTCCACCAGGCTGAGATAACCCCCTCCAGGCGGTGCCCCCACAAGGGGCTAAGCTTGGGCCCCCAAGGAAGGGCCCCCAGTCCCACACATGTGGCTGAGGTACAGCCGCTATGGAAGAGTCTCCTCCAAAAGCTGAAATCAAGTCCCTAAGGAAAAGCCCTTGGTCTGAGGTAGAGCCTGTCACTCCCCAACCCCACAAAGAAGTGCCCCACACACAAACCCTTGGGGGCTGACAGCCAGGCCTTGCTTAAGAGGGCATGGCTGTGCCACAGGAAGGACAAAAAAAAAAAAAAAAACAGTCAGGGGCCACAACCAGCCAAAGTTAGAAATTCAACTTTTAGAACGTACCAGAAATCTGCCCTGTAAGATGCCACAAAAGCTGCTCTCAGAAACAGTGTCTCACAAGAGGCACCCACTGCAAAACAACTTGAAAGGGGTGCTGTGTGAGCTGCCGAACTCAGCTGCACACTGCAAACGCCTGCACGAGAGCGGCTGCACGTGGTGCCGCAGCCTACTCTGTGAGCACGTGGCAAGCAGGAAGCGGAACCTCCCCGCTGCTGGGGCTCCCCAGCGCCCTCTACTGGCAAAGCCCAGCATGCCTGCTGGCCAGGGAGAAAATTTAAAGGGCCCAGATCCATTTTTACCAAGCAGGCAAGAAGGGTGAATGTGGAGCGGAGAGGCAATAATTTGACAACCAGCAACAATGAAATATCAGCAGTGAAAAAGAAAATAACTACTGATACATAAAACAAATGCATTAATCATATACGTATTATGCTGAGTAAAAGAAACCAGACGCAAAGCAGCACAATCTGTAAGTTTCCATTTACATTATGCACAAAATTCTCTGAAAAGAAATTTAGAGGAAAGAGACTTTAGTACAGAAAACAGTTTGCAAACTTGGAGATGCACCCTCCACTGGAAAATGAAGGGGAGTTCCCAAGAATGAGGGAAGCATCAAGTTTTGCGCAAAAGTTCCTGCCCAGGTTCCCAATCAGATCAAGATGTGCAAATGAAGGATTGAAACTTGCTTAGTTCTGATTGGTCAATATAGCTGAGCTCTCATTGGTTGATACAGCCAAACCCTGATTGGTTTATACACTTGAGCCCTGATTGGTTGGTTCAGGTGAGCTGAGAAAGTACCAAAGATAAAAAGGTGCAGGTTTTCTGGGGAAGTCAGGGTAGTTGTGTAACCATAGTCAGCAAGTGGCTGCTTCATTCTATTTTAAATTTAGGCCCACTTACCCATTCTTATTTGGGGGGGGGGTAGTATTTATTTATTTTGTAGAGAACAGGGTCTTGGTATGTTGCCCAGTCTGGTCGTAAACTCAGGGGCTCAAGTGATCCGCCCACCCTGGCCTACCAAAGTGATGGGATTACAAGCAAGAACAGCGGAGCCTAGCCCACTTAGCCACTCAGGATCCATCTTGAAGGTCTGGCCCTTTCAGGTTCACATTTGTTCACAGAAGTTCAAGAACAGGCAAAGCAACCTACAGTGACAGAAATTAAAAAAAAAAAAACAGGTGGAGATGGGTGTATTTAGCTGGAAGAGGGCACAATGGAATTTTCTAGGGCAATGGAAATACTCTCTATTGCAATTGGGGTGCTGTATACATTTGTAAAAATTCATCATACTGAACACTAAGATCTGTGTGTTGCATTGTAGATAAATTATACCTCAATTTTTAAAAATTAGCCCCCAAACTTGGTTTCAAATCCAGTCACTGTGTACTACCTGTACACAGTGGGTGATATGGTTTGGCTTTGTGTCCTCACCCAAATCTCACCTTGTATTTTAATAATCCCCACGTGTCAAGGGTGGGGCCAGGTGGAGATCATTGAATCATGGGGGCTGTTTGCCCCATACTGTTCTCATGATAGTGAATAAGTCTTACGAGATCTGATGGTTTTATAAACGGGAGTTCCCCTGCACAAGCTTTTTGCCTGCCGCCACGTAAGACGTGACTTTGCCCCTCCTTTGCCTTCCACCTTGATTGTGAGGCCTCCCCAGCCAAGTGGAACTGTGAATCCATTAAACCTCTTTCCTTTATAAATTACCCAGATTTGAGTATGTCTTTATTAGCAGCATGAGAACAGACTAATACAGTGGGTAAACAAATATTGTTGAATAAATAAGTGCACACATGAATCACACATTCTTTTTGCTCCCTCACAGCAAATTTCTGATGGTTCCCCCAAATTACTAAGCTATTGGCCTGCTTTTCTGGGCTCCCATAGTCCTCTCCTCTTAGTCCGGTTGCAGCTTTTATTACACTAATGTTAGCTTCAGAGAGGCAAAAATCTCTGCTTCTACCAGAGAACCCAGCATGTCTTGAGTGCTCTGTGCCTGACACTCTTTTCAAACTCTCATAGGACAATAATCTATGCGGTAGTTACTCCTATCATCCCCATTTTACAGATGAAGAAACTGAAGTATAGTTTGTCCTAGGGCCCACACTCTTTATCACTTTGTCTTGGAAGTCAGACCATCCTAGGTGCAAATCTCAGCTCTTCCACTTACTAACCATGAGTCTTGGGCAGGACAACTGACTGATGCAGGGCAGGCAGGCCCCAAAACAGAGCTTAGCCCATGAGGGTTCTTGGCTTCCTCCAGGCAAAAATTCAAGGGCGAGAAGAAAGTGTAGAAGAAAGCAGAGCTTTATTGAAGGGCCAGTGATAAAGCTCCAGTCTTTGACTGCTCCTGCAGAGCAGGGCTACCCCATAGGCAGAACAGCAGCTCAGGGCAGCCTCACAGTCGTATTTATACCCATGTTTAATTACATGGAGATTAAGCAGTGGTTTATACAGCAATTGCTAGGGAAAGGGTGGTAACTTTTGGGTTGTCAGGTCATTGCCATGGAAAGGGGTGGTAACTCCTGCATGTTGCCATGGCAATGGTAAACTGACATGGCCTACTGGTGGATGTGTCTTATAGAAAGCTGCTTTGCCCCCTCTATTTTAGCTAGTCCGCCATTTGGTCCGGTGTCCAAGCCCCACATCAGGAGTCAAGTCCTGCCTCCCACCTCATGATCACTCTGAATCTTGCCCTACTCATCTTTGAAATGGGGATAATAATATTTTCCTCTTGGGTTGTCTTGAGGTACAAATGAGCCTGTCCACATAGAAATTTTAGCCACAATGTCCACCCTAGAACAACCACTTACTCTCAGTAAATGACAAATTTCATCCGTTCTAAGACACACATTTTCACATTTTCACATCCTTGAAGTCAAAATGTGTTTTACAATCGATGGCATCTCATAATCTCCTTGGACAGTGACAGTTGTGACAGTCGTCATTGTCTCTGCAAGAGCAAACCTGGTTCCAACTGTTCCCATTGTTGACACTTCCATGCCTCAGCATCAAATAGCTCTTTCAGTAAGAATAAAATAAAAATATGATGGGCTAAGAAAGCATCATGCCATACTTTCGTTCACAGCCACTTTTCTTTCTTAGTGGTACATAAATTAATGGTGTGTCTTGCAGCTTAGGTTTGATAGAATGCAGTACAATATTATTATCATAAGTCTCTCGTCCACACTGTGGGTGATTGGATTATTGTGACCTATTCTTCCTGCCTCCCTGTTAGAGAATTAGGCATCCTTGCTTTTGCTATGTGATTTTGCAGTGCCTCACATCAGAGGAGGCAAAGTGTATTTCCCCACCACACTGATGATGTAGGCCTTGCCCGTGTAACCTGTCTCCATATGTGGGCAGCATGACAGTACCCCAGTTCTAAGATGAACCCTTAGGAGACATTGTGTGTTCCTTCCCAGTCATGAAAACAGGACCTGAGTATTTTTCTTTTTCACTGGTGCAAGGAGAATGAGAGACAGGTGAAGCCAACCTGGCCAACCTGCAGCCTGAAGCAGAACCACCCCAGCCGACCCAGCCAGCTGGGAACAAGAAGGATAACTGCTTGTGGTTGCAAGCAACTGAGATGTGGGAGCTGGGGGCTGCTTGTTATGGGGCATTAGCATAGCAGCAATAGCTAATACACTCACTAAACTACAGGTGCTTTAAGGGCAAGGCTCATGGCTCGTTTATCTCTATATCCCTAGCATCTAGACTGGTACCTGGACATGGTGGGTGTAGAGGGCACAGGGAGAGACCATGGAAAAAGGCAGGCTTTGGAGTCACACAGATTGGATTCAAGTCTCAGCACTGCCACTGAAAAGCTAGGTGAACTTGGGCAGTCCTCTGGAGTTCCCAAGCCTCAGTTTCTTCATCTGTAAAATGGGGAACCCCATATCACAGGAGTGATTCAAAGGGAAATGAAGGATGTGCGGGGGCCTCGCTCAGTCCCTTGCAGCAGGCGCTGCAGACGCACACTGGTTCGCTTATCACGGTAGATGTTTGTGATATAATACATGACCAAGCCCCCTGTAACCCATTTCTGTACCCCCAGACCTGCCAGAAAACTCTCTTCCAGATGTTCCTGGCACATGGCAGCAGGTTCTAGCGAGGAGGGAATATTCCTGGGATAGAAGGTCTGGAAGGAGCCAGGAGAGGCAGTTGCCAAGCTGCTCCCAGCAGCCCAGTCCCCCAGGGACCCCTTTACCAGTTCTATTTCCAAGTGCCTGGCAGCCAGGTGCCTGGGTTGGTGCCAGGTTTAAACTTGGCAGACTTTGTGCTCCCCTAGAATTTTCCACCCCAGTCACTCCCTGTGAAAAGGCAAAGGTGGAGAAAATAGCAGAGGAGAGGGCTGCCCATCTGGCCCAGGGAGGGGGCAGGAGTGACCCAGCTGTCCTGACGGGAGTTCTGCCAGCCAGGGGGGCCCACATGCACAGCACATTCTGGTCCACCCACTGTGGGTCCTACCCTGGGAGAGTGTTCAGCAAGGAGGCCTGGATTCCAGGCCTGACTTTGCCACAGCCTGCTGTATGGCCTGGACAGGTCTCTTAACCTCTCTGTGCCTCCATTTCCATGTCTTTACAATGGGTAATATCTAGACAGTCTCCATGGTTTGGGTCCCAGACCCATCTGAGAACCTGGTGGAAGCCATGGACGGCCTCCTGAAAACAATGCATTAATTTCAGCAGTCCAGGGCCTGGGAGCCAACGACCCCAAAGGAACCATCTACTGGGCCCAGAGAGGCCTGTGCTTCCTGGACTGTTAGGGCTACAGGCCCAGGGGCTTATCTCCCACCTGGACCCTCTCTGATATCTCTCTTCCAAGGAAGCCCACATGGTCACGGAGAGAAAGCCCAGTGGACCTTCCTCCCAAGCTGCTCTCCACGTGGCCTCGGGGACACCAGGTTCCTGGCCTCCTCCATCCCTGATCATTAATTATCCCGTGGTTGCCATGGTTTTTCTGAGTCTTCCACACAGACCAGGGCCAGAAACAAGCAGCAAATCAGATCATCAGCCAGTCTTGGGCTGGAAGGGTCTCCAGAGGTGACCTATACACACACACACACACACACGCACACACACACACACTCACTCCAGTCCTGTGCCTCAGTCTTCCACCCCCAGTACCCTGGGGCTGCTCCCCACCCCAGGGGCCCACTGACTGGCACCATCACTTCCTCTTCTGCTCCCCACCCTCTGACACTGTTGTTCCATTTCTGGCAAAGCCTGTGGTGCCCACCACAATCAATAAGGATTAGGGGGCACAAATGGTTAAAACCGGGCAGCTAGGAACTGCAGCATCATCAGCCCTGTCACACCCTGGCTACATGACCCTGGGGTTCATCGACGATATTTTCTATGCTGCCATTGTTTTCTTACATTTCACACAGCCTTCAACATACATCGTGTACTATACAAAGTGCTTACGTGAATTTAATCCTCACAACAAACCTACAAGATAGTTATCCCCACATGTTATTTATCCATTACTGTGTAGTCAATTACTCCAAAACTTAGCAGCTTAAAACAACAAACATTTATTATCTCATGCAGCTTCTGGGGATCAGCAATCTGAGAGTGGCTTAGCTGAATGGCTTTGGGTTTCCCGTGATGTTGTAGTCACCTGTTGGCCAGGACTGTGGTCTCACCTCAAGACTTGACTGGGGCTGGAGGACGTGCTTCCAAGCTCATCCAAGTGGTCACTGCAGGCCTCAGTTCCTCACTGGCTATTGGCCATGTGGGCCTCTTCACAAGCTGCCTGAATGGACTCAGGGCATGGAACTGACTTCCCCCACAGTGAATGGCCAGAGAGAGAGAGAGAACCTAAAACAGAACCCACAGCATCTCTCATAACCTCACCTCCAAAGATACTAACATCAATTCTGCTATATTCTATGGGTCACACAGAACAACCCTGGGACAATGTGGGAGGAGATTGACCAAGGCTATAAATACCAGGGAATGACACTCTTTGGAGGCCATCTTGGAAGCTGGATAGCACATCCAGTTTCACAGATGAAGACGCTGAGACTCAGGGAGATGAAGGGACTTACCTAAGGTCGTGTAACCAGCAAGTGATGGAGTAGAGATTTGAATGCAAACTGTCTAGCTCCTACATCTATACCCTTGATTGTATATTGTCTCCCCATCCCCAGTCTGGCCTCAGGTTCCTCAAATGCTAGTGTTAGACTGGATAATCTTTAATGGCCTTTCCATTTAGAAAGTTCAAAGGCTGAATGAGCCAGGTACAGCACTAGGACCTGAATCTCAGTCTCCTGACTTCCAGCCACCAGGCTCTTGTCTGCTTCAGTCCTCAATCCTAGGCAACTTCTCTTCTGTATAAAATTGCCTCGTGCAAGTCTCAAACATCTCTGGGTCTTGGTTACCTCTTCTGGAGAATGTGAGGAAGGGAAACAAAAGACAAGAGCTGATGACGATGCCAATCACAAGGAAGCCAGTGATGATGATGGTGGTGATGATGATAAAGAAGATGATGCCGGTGATGGAGATGAAGATGAAATGGCGATGATGATGTTGCCAACCACAAGGAAGCCAGTGATGATGGCAGTAACGATGATAAAGAAGATGATGCCAGTGATGGAGATGAAGATGAAATGGTGACGATGATGATGATGATGACAGATGTGGTGATGATGATAAGTAGTGTGTACTTTGAGCACTTCCTACAAGCTAAGAACTTACCTTGCATTTTGTCTTCACAACCTTTGCCTTTCAAAATGTGGCCCATGGACCAGCAGCATGGCTGTCACCTGAGCACTTGTTAGAAATTCAGAGTCCAGGCCGGGCGCGGTGGCTCACGCCTGTAATCCCAGCAATTTGGGAGACCGAGGCGGATGGATCACAAGGTCAGGAGATCGAGCCCATCCTGGCTAACACGGTGAAACCCCGTCTCTACTAAAAAATACAAAAAAATTAGCCGGGCGTGGTGGCAGGCACCTGTAGTCCCAGATACTCGGGAGGCTGAGGCAGAAGAATGGCGTGAACTCAGGAGGTGGAATTTGCAGTGAGCCGAGATCGTGCCACTGCACTCCAGTCTGGGCAACAGAGCAAGACTCCATCTCAAAAAAAAAAAAGAAAGAAAAGAAAAAAAAAATTCAGAGTCCAGAGTCCATCTTACCTCCACCTCGCCACCTGCCCTGGTGATTGGTGTGCACAGTGCCATTTACATCATCTGGAAGGGGAAGCGTTATTCTTGCCCCCCTTTTGCAGATGACAAAACTGAGGCTTGGAGAAGTTCCCCAGCCGACAAGGGGTAGAGCCAAAATAAGGGTCTGGGTCCTCACTCCAGACTCCTCCCCCGCCACTCCGTTGGGCTGAGCCTCTGTTTGCCCCTGGGTGAGGTGAGGCTGCAGCCATCCTGGGCCCAGCCCTGAACGCATCAAGACTGGCCCCGTGTGGCTCCCCAACCATGCAGCCTCCTGCTGTCCCAGCACCTCAGCCTTGCAGGCCTGCCAGCAAGTAGATTGGGGGTAAGGAGGCGCGCCTGGTGAACAGTGACCTTGTCCCAAATTACTCTGGGGGAAGGACACGCAGAATCAAGAGATAGCACTCGGTGCAACTGCAGACAAGCATTCCTGAAAGAGGGGGAAAAATTAAGTCTTTGAAATAACATTAATCATGATAATGCTTTTGCTGGTTCCCTCCCTTGGTGGTTGCTAGATGTTGTTTCTCGAGGTAGATTTAACCCTCAGTAGCCCGGCCTCCTGAAGGGTCCCCAGGGCTGTGTACTCTCCCTCCCTTGGCCAAGTCACTTGCCAGTTCCTGGAAGCACCGAGAGCACATCTGTTCCCATCTCCACCGGCCTTCCTGGGTCTAGTGGTCACTCCCAGGCAGAGGCAAAACTCAGGAGCCAGGCAGGTAAAATAAATGATGGAAATGGGTTGAGGTTAGGATGAAAGCGACAAATTCAAGCAGGTGTGGTGGCTCATGCCTGTAATTCCAGCACTTTGGGAGGTCAAGGCAGGTAGATCACCTGAGGTCAGGAGTTCGAGACCAGCCTGGCCAACATGGCAAAACCCTATCTACTAAAAATACAAAAATTAGTTGCGCATGGTGGCATGTGCCTGTAATCCCAGTTACTCGGGAAGCTGAGGCAGGAGAAACGCTTGAACCTGGGAGGCAGAGGTTGCAGTGAGCCAAGATCGCACAGCTGCACTCCAGCCTGGGCGACAGAGTAAAACTTGGTCTCAACAAAAAAAGAAAAAAAGAAAGCAACCAATTCATCTTGGTTTGCCTGGTTTTAAAATAGAGAGTTCCATCCCAGGCACCCCCTCAGTCCCAGGCAAACCCTAAAGGTTGGTCAGCCTAAGTGGGACTGTCATGAACAGAAAAAAATATATATATCCTGTCCTGTGGGGGCAGCAGCTACTCAGTCTTGGGCCGATTGCTACCATGTGGTGTTATGGGCTGAACCCTGTCCCCCTCCAAATCCATATGTTGAAGCCCTAATCCCCAATGTGACTACATTGACAGAGAGAGCCTCATAGGAGGTGATTAAGGTTAAATGAGGTCCTAAGGGTGGGACCCTAATCCAGTGTGGCTGGTGTCCTTGTGAGAAGAGGAAGAGACACCAGGAGGACCCACACACAGAGAAAAGGCCATGTGAGGGCACAGCAAGAAGGTGGCCATCTGCAAGCCAGGGAGAGAGGCCTCAGAAGAAACCAACCCTGCCTGCACCTTGATCTTGCACTTCCAGCCTCCAGAACAGTAATGGCAGCCCTAGCTGCCATAGTATCTGCTGCGGGGGAAATAACAGTAACAAAAGTTAACATGTACACAGCCCTCAATGTGTTCTAGGCTCTACATGGATTAATTTACTCAACAAACGAACCTATGAGGCAGGTTTTTTTTGTTTTTTGTTTTTGGTTTTTTGTTTGTTTTTTTTTTTTTTTTTTTTGCAGGAGACTGGAGTTTTATTATTACTCAAATCAGTCTCCCCAAGCATTCAGGAAGCAAAGTTTTTAAGGATAACTTGTTGGGTGGGGGAGGCCAGTGAGCCACGAGTGTTGACTGGTCAGAGATGAAATCATAGGGAGTCAGAGCTGTCTTCTTGTGCTCAGTCAGTTCCTGGGTGGGGGCCACAAGATCAGATGGGCCAGTTTATTGATAGGAGGCCAGCTGATCCATCAAGTGCAGGTTCTGCAAAATATCTCAAGCCCTGATCTTAGGAGCAGTTTAGGGAGGGTCAGAATCTTGTAACCTCCAGCTGCATGACCCCTAAACCATAATTTCTAATCTTGTGGCTAATGTGAGTCCTACAAAGGCAATCTAGTCTCCAGGCAAGGAGATCTGCTTTGGGAAAGGGCTGTTACCATCTTTGTTTAAACTATAAACTAAGTTTCTCCCAAAGTTAGTTCAGTGAGGCAGGTATCATCTCCATTTCACAGATAAGAAAACTGAGGTACAAAGGGTTTGAGTCACTTCCCCGGAAGACTAACAGCTAAAAACGGCAACACTGGGATTGGAACCTATCAAGCTCAATGCAAAGCTTAGGCTCTCTGCCACTGTGCTGGGAGCAGGATCCCATGTTGCCTAACCTTTCAGTTTTCCAAAGAAAGTTGAAAAATCACCTGATTTTAAATGCTGGCTGCTAATTAAGAAGAAATAAATACTATTTGTGGATGTACACAAAAGATACCTGTGTCTCATTCTCAGCTGCCAGCTTATAATTGCTGCTCTTAGAGAATTTCAGCAAGTCAGAATTAAAATGTCATCCACCACCGCCCACACCACTCCCTTGGATTTACAGGATGAATGTGGATCTTACAACTGTGGAGTTTGGAGATTTAGAAAATTAGTGAACACTGAGGCCCAATGGGATTTTAGGAGCTGTGGTATCTAAGCCCTCATTTCACAGATGGCATCATTACATTCAGAGAGAATCAATGGATCGCCAAGTTCACACAGCAAGCTAGCATCAGGGCCAATGAGACTTGTTCACTCATCGCCCATGAAATTGAGAACAAAGAGATCCACTGTGCAGCCTGGCTTCATTACCTGTTTTTCTCTGTGCCTCCAAATCTGGCTTTCTGTCTGTCTATCCATCCAGCTAGCCAGCCAGCCTGGTTCAAGGTCTCTGAACTGCTTGACATCAACAGCTTGACTTGCCTGGTTTTGTGTCCTCAACTTGCCGCAGGGTGGCGTCCGGCACAGTCTTCCCCAACTTAGCCCCTTGTTAGCTGTTATCCTTGGACAAGAAACTTCACCTCCCTAAGCCTCAGTTATTTTATCTATAAAAGGGGGACATGACATCACCTACCTCATGTCATGAGGAGGAGGAGGAGATGCAGGCACATAGTAGGTGTGCATTCACAGCTAGCTGTGAGCATTGGCTGTCATGATGAGTAGGAGCCCAGGCTCCAAGGCCCCTCCCAGCTCCACACCGCTGTGACATGACAGGGCGGCTGGGCAGCCTTCCTGCATGAGAGGAGACTGCGGTGGGTCACAGATTGAGGAGTGCAGGCCAAGACTGCAGAAAGCTGACCAGAGACTCAGCCTTGCAGAAGACAAACAGGGACAAAGAGAGAGGTTAGCTTGGCTGTGAGGCCAGTGAGGTCTGCCCCGCAGTCCAGTCGGGGGGAAGACATGCCCGGCCTCGGTGTCCCTCCTGGGACAGCACATGCTCAAGGAGGCAGGGACACCCGCCTGCTCCCTGCCTGGCACAGCTACCAGAATCACACAGGGCTGCTCCAGCTTCCCCATCACCAGCCTCTGTGAAAAATCAACTGTGATAGCTGAACTTCTGTTCCATTGTTGTTATTGTTTTTTAATTACACCTCTTTAAAGAGAAAAAAAAAAGCCTTAGGAACCAAATTGGATCTGGCCGACCTGAAACTAATTTGTAGCATAACACAGGGGCATGGAAAACTGGGCCATCAGCTCTCGGGTTGCCGGGGGTGGGGGGTGGGAAGGTGACTGCTCAGCCTTTCTGCCTCTTCCACTCTCTGCAGGGGGAAGCCCTTCTTTCTGCAGCTTTTGATACCTTCATTCTTCCACAACTGCTTATGAGCACCTACTGGGCGCCAGGCCTTGGCTGGGCATTAGAGAGGGATACAGCCGTGAATGTGCTGGTCAGGGTTTCTGCCCAAGGAGCTTGCAGCCCAGCTTTGTCATTGAGAATCTTAAGATTCTAAAGAACAAAAACAACAGAAAACAGTTTTCTCCAGAGCCTCCTATCAGCCTGAGGTTTAGTACAAGATTTTATTGATGTCCCCAATTAGATTTTATCAAAGAAATGCAGGAAGGAATGAAAAATCACTCTTGTATCTTTCACTGGGGTAGACACTTTACACAATGAAGCATCTCATGTCATCCTTAGGGTGCTAACTTTATACCCATTTTACGGATGAGAAAACTGAGGTTCAAATGGGGCCAAACTGGCCCATGATGAGGAAGTGACAAAGCTGGAACCTGAACTCAGACCTGAGTGATTCCCAAACCTGTTCCTAGAACCATCAGGCTGTTCGGCCTCTGACAGAAAACCACTGTGTCTTGGGCCCTTCCCTGTCCCCAGGAGCCGAGGGTCAGACCTGAGTGTGATCCTGTGATCCTAGAACGCCAAGTGCCAGAAATGAGTGAGGGCCAAGGTGTGTGATGGCCACAGTGGGGACTGTGGGCAAAAGTCTCGCCTTGGCAGGGGGCGATGTTCCCCATTCCTGCCCCCCAATCCTCCTCTCTGCCTTGAAGTGGAGATGGACAGCTGGTTCAGGTGGCCTTTTTGTCCTCTTCCTTTCTCCTTGATCCTGTCACCATTAGGGAAAAAAAATATGTCCTCCTCTGCGGATCTGAGACTGAAGATAAGCCAGTGCATGGGGATGTGGGCCTCTGTTTCAGGGCTCGGATGCTTCAGTGTCTTTTTGCTCAAGGTGGAGGGTGGGGGAGGAGAAGGAGCAGCCTCCCACAGCATTCAAGGGGTCCTCTTGGAAACAGCCTCTCCTCCCCTCCAGAAGTGGACAGATAAGCCCAGAGGCCCAAGCTGAGAGCTCCTCAGGGCAGCCAAAAACCAGCCCTGTGCGGCTCAGGATTCATCTTGCAGCTGTCCGGGACCCACTGGGATGTGCATCTTGGGGTCTCGCGGTCCCTGCCCCATGGCTGGGTTCTTGCAAGTTGTTCCCAGCAGCTTCTGAGCTCCCAGCAGGAGCAGGAGCAGGAGCAGGCCCGGCCCCCTCCCCTCCCCGCCTCTCCTCAACCCATCCCTCCTCCACCCATCCCTCCTCCACCCTCAGAGGCATCAGGCAGCTCCCTCAGAGGGAACACCCCCAGGAAAGAGAAGTCTACTTTGTCCATTTCCTATCACCCTGGACTTGATTTCCCAACGGCCGTCTCCAGATTTCCTTTTTAAACCGGAGTCCACTTGGGACTCAAAATACAACAGCCTCTGTAAATACGGTCTGTATAAGATGGCCTTTAAATAGAACATAATATTAGGGCAAAAATACATACAGACATTAAACTGTGAACTTTGAGCAGGGGAAGATTACCAACGACTTCCCCCTTCTACCTTTCTGTATTATTTTAATGTTTTGCTATAAGCAAATGTTACTTTTTCATCAGGAAAGCGAAAGAGAGTTGTTTCAAAAACAGACAAGAGCCAGAAACATTGATTCCTCTAAGAAACCCCCAAAGAGTTTTCAGTCTCTGGAATAAAGCCAGCAAACTATGGCAGGCGGGCCAAATCCAGGCCACTCACTCCCTGTTTCATTGGAACACAGCCACTTCCACTCATTCACACGTTGCCTACGGCTCCTTCGGCACTACAGCAGTGGAGTTGAGTTGTGCAGTTGTAACAGAAATCATATGGCCTCCAAAGCCAAAATAATTTACTTGTTTGGTCCCTTACAGAAAAAGTTTGCAGAAACCTGGTCTAGGAAAACATCACTTTGTGAAGATTAGTTGGACATCACAGAATCCTGGGTCATTCAGGATTCAGAAGCCATTCAGTCCATCCCCTGCCTCCATGCCCCGTAGAAGAGGGTCTCTGCTCTGACCACTCACCCAGGGAGAGCAATACCACAACCATCTACTGCAGGTGAAGTTCCTTTTTTTTTTTTTTTTTTTTTTTTTTGTGACAGAGTTTTGCTCTTCTTGCCCAGGCTGGAGTGCAGTGGTGCGATCTTCATTCACTGCAACCTCTACCTTTCAGGTTCAAGCGATTCTCCTGCCTCAGCCTCCCAAGTAGCTGGGATTACATGTGTGCACCACCATGCCCAGCTAATTTTTTATATTTTTAGTAGAGACTGGGTTTCACCACGTTGATCAGGCTGGTCCCAAACTCCTGACCTCAGGTGATCCACCTGCCTCCCAAAGTGCTGGGATTACAGACTTGAGCCACCAAGCCGGGCCCAGGAAGTTCTTTCTTAAATCTGACTTAAATCCTGCACCCCCTAATCCTCCTGTTCCCAGCTCAGACCCTTAGCCAACTTTGGTAGGTCTCTAGCTGTTATTGGTTAAGGCTTGGAGCTTGCTCAGTGCCCTGTCAAGCCTGCAAGACCTCAACCATCCGGAGGGCAATGGCACTACGGACAAACCTATGACCAGCCAGCCCTGCTCCTCCCCTTCTTGGGCTCCACACCCCAGGGATGTGCACAGGCAGGGGCTGACCAAGCGGGTCACCACACCAGCATTAAGAGAAAGTCGATGGCTTTGGAAGCAATCGCTACCACTTCTGGAAGAATGATTATTTGAGCGCTGCATAAACACCCATCCAGACCTGTTCTGTGGGGGTAAATGAAAGTACAAGAGCATCCGGGCTGATTTATCTTGGCCAGAGGAAACCGGAGAAATTCATTTCCCCTCTAAATGATCTGCTCCGGCTCCTAAATATTCAATAATTTCCAAGCTGGGAAATGGATTTCCTCCCCTTTCCCCGGCAGCCGGTTTGCATTCTCATGCACGACCTCCTTGAGGTTTTAAGGGGCGCACTCTATAGCAGGTTCTGGTCTGTGGCCCCCAATCCCTTTCTAGCTCAGGGAGGCTTAGTAGCATCCCAGGACCACCCTTCTGAGCTGTGTCCAATCAGCCCCACCTGTCCCTGAGCCAGGCCAGAGCCAAGGGCTGCAGCGATTGTCCGAGCCTAGCCCGCTGCTGGGTCTGCTCAAAAAGAGGTCTGGCCACCCAGACCTGGAATCTGCTGAGAGCTCTGCACTCAGAGCCCCCCAGTTGTCTGTCTGCTTGTCTGTTTTCCCCACTAGGGGGTGACTTTGAGGGCAGAGATTGTCTCGGGTTTACTCCTATACAGTAGTAGGTGCTTGCTATTTACCGAATAAATGAATGGATACATGAATGAATGAATGAATGAATGAATGAATGAATGACAAATGGATAGAAGGGTGGGTGAATGGCATCTTAAGCATTATCCTTTTAACTCACCAGGGTAAGGACTGTGACTATTTCTCTCTCCCTCTGCCTGAAGCACCACAGGCAGTCAATACCTGTCACCAAATTAATATTGATCAGAGAATGAACCACAGCCACCACCCCGACCAGGCTTGAGGACCTCGCTTCCTGACCCAACCAAGATTGAAACCTGCCCATTGGGGGCTCTGCCCCTTGAGTAGCCCCCTGGTGCACAAGCCTGGGGAGAGGGGAAAGGCGGGATGCTCCGTGTGCCCTCACCAGGGAGGGAATCTTATATCCACAGGTAGTGGGAGGGAAACAGGTCAAGCAGTTGCCAAAGGGGTCTTGGAGCTTGAGGTTTGGAAAGTGTTTATCAAGAGGAAGGGGGTGTGGGCAGGGAAGAGAGCCAACCAGGAAAGGTGCTGTCCAAGGAGACAGAGCTAGAAAAAAATCCAACTGTCCTAAGGTGTCAGTGGTCCGACTGGGTGCTGGAGGGGTGGAGATAGGCAAACAAAGGAGAAACAGAGATGGAAGGGGTCAAAAACCGGAGACAAAAAAAAAAAAAACCCTTACCTGGCGCGGTGGCTCACGCCTATAATCCCAGAACTTTGGGAAGCTGAGGTGGGAGAATTGCTTGAGCCCACGAGTTCAAGACCAGCCTGGGCAGCATAGAGAGACCTCATCTCTATTAAAATTTTTAAAAAATTAGCCTGACATGCTGTTATGCACCTGTAGTCCCAGCTACTTGGGGGGCTGAGGCAAGAGGATCCCTTGAGCCAGGGAAGTTGAGGCTGCAGTGAGCCATGATCATGCCACTGCATTCCAGCCTGGGTGACAAAGCAAGACCCTGTCTCTAAAAAAAGAGAGAGAGAGAGAGAGAGACTGTCAGCCAAAGAAGGAACAAAATGGGGCAGAGACCTAAGATAGAAGGGGCTCCTAGACCACCACCAGGAGACAAGCCCATGAGTAGGGGAGGCTGCTGCCATCTTTGCTGCAGGCAGGAGTTGGACTGGGTGACCGTGAGGTGCCTAGAAACTGACCAACGTCTGCCAACAAGAAACAGTCAAACCCCTTCTTGGCTGGTTTTGGAGAATCTCCCCAGAGGGTATACAGAGAGCCCACCCGCTGTCCCCTGCCCAGCCCTGACTCCACTGCCTGTCCCAGTATCTAGCTTCCATCACCTTGACAGTCATGAGTATGAACAAAGGGAGCCTTGGGTGCCAGGACACCTTTGGACCATGAGTGTGGTCCAGTGTGGTCCATAGCCACATTGATGCTATGAACTGCTTGATGGTGGGGAGCTCTGTCTGCCTCATTCATCCCCATGGTCTAGAACAGTGCCATGTCTACTGAATACAGGCAGGTAGATGAATGAATGGACCCCCTAGCAGTGCTACCTCAGTAGCTCCAAGGGGAGGCCCCTGCGCTGCCTGGCCCTGAGTCTGGGGGTTCCCCACTGGGAGCTAAGCCCAAGGTGTGTCTTTTGCCTCCCCCATCTCAGAACCTTTAGCAGGGTACAGGTGCTCACTCACCTCACCCCAAACTTGGCTGATTCCCAGCTCATGACTGCACCAGAATCACCCAGAGAACCTTTTAAATGTCCTGCTCCATCCCAGACCAATTAAGTCAACCTCTAGGAGTGAGGTCTGGGGCCCCTGACAGAGTTTTCAAAGCTTCATGGACGATGCCCGGGTGCAGCTGGGGCTGAGAACCCATCATCTCACCTCTAGAACAGTGGTCTTCACAGTGTGGCCTCACAGACCTTGGAACTTGTTACAAGTGTAAATTCTTGGCCTCTACTCCAGACCTGCTAAATCTGAAACTCTGGGAGTGGGCCCAGCAGGCTGTGTTTTACAAAGCCCCCTAGCTGATTGTGATGCAGCTCAAGTGTGAGAGCCAAGCTCTGGAATGTTCCTCCAAATTCCCTCCTGGAAGAAATCACTCACAGGGACCCCTGCTGCCCCTAAATGAACTCAGGGAAAGTCAGGTTGCTGAGAGCCTGGAGAGTAGAAAGCAAAGCTCCTGGGGTATCAACAGCACAGTAGAATCAATACTTGCAGGGGATCAATTTCCTGAGATGGGCACTCAGTACTTCTTAAATAACAGTGTTCTTGGGCAATTAATGCTCCTACAATCACAATTTCCAGAGCTTGAGGTCCCAATAATCCTTAAAGATCAGTATTCCTGGGGCATTCGCTTTCTGGGGTATCAGTAATCCAATAGGAACATTACGAGACCAACAGGGTTGGGGCATCAGTCTCCCAAGATGGGATCCAATCCCCCTTCAATATTGGGTCTGGCAGGGCATCGTTTATTTCAAGGCTGTTTCTCTCCACTTTCTGGGGGATCCCTTCCTGTCTTCCCCACTCATTTGCCAAATGGGGCCAGTTTCCACAGGTTTTTTTTTTTTTTTTTTTTTTTTTTTTGACAGAGTCTCACTCTGTCGCCAGGCTGGAGTGCAGTGGCGAGATCTTGGCTCACTGCAACCTTAGCCTCCTGGGTTCAAGCGATTCTCCTGCCTCAGTGTCCCAAGTAGTTGTGACTACAGGCATGCACCACCATGCCCAGGTAATTTTTGTATTTTTAGTAGAGACGCGGTTTCACCATGTTGGCCAGGATGGTCTCGATCTCTTGACCTTATGATCCGCCCGCCTCTGCCTTCCAAAGTGCTGGGATTACAGGAGTGAGCCACCACACCCGGCCTCCACAGGTTTTTTTGGAAGGTGTGCCACAGATGGACACAGTTTGTAACTGGCCAGACCCATCAGAAGAGGCATAAGAGGGCTGAGCCAAGAAGCCACAGAACCTGCAGCTGGGATGTGGGTGACACCACCCACCAGGTGGGGAGGATCCTGAAGTCTCAACAAGGAAGGCCACCAGAGGTGACTTCTTGGACCCGGGCTCTGGATGCTGGAAACTTCTGGCCCTGGCTGCATCCCAAACGCTGTGTAATTCTGGAAGCTCTCTCCTTTTCTCTATGCTTTAGTGACCATAGTGTTAAAAGGACAGAATGAGCCTGGATGGATTCTGAGGCCCCTTCGAGTCTATTCCATTCCATCTAATCAATCCTCTGCCTTCTTTCAGCAGAGGATATCACCATCTTAAAGGTGCAGCAACAGAGGCCTAAAGAGGTGAAGTAACTTGCCTGAGGTCACATGATGAGTCAGGGACAGAGGGGAGACCCAGAGCCCTGGGCCCCTGTCCGCAAAATAAGGTGGAAGGATTTAGAGATTTAAATCCCAGCTCTCTAAGGTCAGATGCGGTGCTCATGCCTGTAATCCCAACACTTTGGGAGGCCGAGGAGGGAAGGATTGATTGAGGCCAGGAGTTCAAGACCAGCCTGGGCAACACAGCAAGGCCATGTCTCTAGCATAAATAAATAAATCCCAGCTCTCCCTTCAAAGCTATGTGGCCCTGGACAAGTTCCTCCCCTCTCTAATCCTCAGTTTTCTGATGACCTCTCAGAGGGTTCTCACATGAAGATCAAATAGAAGAATGACCACAAATGCTTACACAACCCTGACTCTGGGCCAGGCATGGTTCTAGGCACTCACACAGATTGACTCGTTTGCCTCTCAAAATCGCCTGGTACTCCTTACTGCCAGTGTCCCCAGCTCACAGAGGAGGAACCTGAGGCTAAGAACAGTCAGATTCCTCACCCAGAGACCCTGGCTTTCGAGTAGCAGAGCCAGGATGCCACGAGGTCTGACCAAGCCTCCACATTCTTTGAGCTGTGTTGAGCCACCTCCGTGGTGAGCATCTGAAATGTGGGCCCATGTCACAGGGGTCAGCTGTTTCTCTCTCCCTCCAGCATCACAGCCAAATCTGGGTCCCTTTACCATGACAAGGGTCTCCCAGCAGAGCAAGTGAACCAGCTAGAGTCAGCCAAGGAGGCAGAGACTTTAGGTAGGGCAACAGCAGTTTCACCTCTCTACTGCCTATGAGGCAAGAGCCCTCAGGGTACCCCCGAGAAACAGAGCCCCCCTCTCCACCATGGCTAGGAGGAAAATGAGCCAACAGCCAAAGAGGATCAAGGGGAGCGCCATCTTTTCTTTCTCAAATTAGGTACTGAGACCCTTCCCTGCCAGGCCAACACCAGTCCTTGTCCTTGCAGGTGGGAGCTCATAGCCTAAAAGTGGCCCTTGCCATGACACAGCCTCCACCCCGAACTAGACAAAGTACCATCATTTCCAGGGGAACACCGTCACTCCCTGCTTGGTGACAGAGGCAGGCACCAATGCATTGCATGGAACCAATCCAGCACTGAGACTTCACACAAGCAGCTCGGGGTGCATTTCCCAACAGAAGCCCTGGGCTTTAAGGAATTTCCAGGTAGTGGCTGGGCACTCGCAGCAGCAGCTGGGGGTGGGGAGGGGAAGCAGCCAGCAGACCAGATAATTGTTTCATCTTGTCTGAGAAGGAAAATCTGAGCGCTGCCTGCAGCCTGATAAAGAAGCCCTCCCCACCCTGGGCCAGAGGTGCGCAATGGCCCCAGATTTGGCTGGGGTGAGATAAGGTTATTAATTCACCATTCGAGCCCTATTCAATGGTTCTCATCCTTAATTGCAATCAAGCAGGCATGAGGCTGAGGGAGGGATGGGAAAGGAGGGACCTGCTCCCAGGACCAGGGACTGGGGCTGAGGCGGCCCCAGTACAGCAGGCAGCAGGGTGCTGGGGGCTTCAGGGATATCCCCAGACCCGTAGTGGGGGTGGAGGGGCTGCTGTCAGAGTTTCACCCAAGCTGGGTTCATTCTCCATTATGCATATGGATCCCAGCATCAGATAAATGGGTTCCAGTCCCAGCTCTGCCCCTCGGGGGCTGTGCAGCCTTGGAAAAGTTACCACACCAACCTGAGCCTGGTGTCTCCACCTGAAAAGGGAATCCTAATACCCCCATTTCAGATGGTTACCTAGAGATTAAACTAGATAATCCATAACAAGCACCAAGCCCAGCACCTGCTCCCTGTCCACAGTCAGTGAATGAGAACTGGCACCATCCGAGTCAAGAATAAAACAAAAGACTTTTTTTGTAAATAAACTTCTCTGCAGAATGCCCGCTGATGGCTGTAAAGGGAGGCCTGTGCCTTTAAGAGAGGAATCGATCCAGCCCTGGGCCAGGCCAAGGAAGAATAGCAATCCTAGGGCACATTAGGAACAGGGATTGATTGGGAGCACGGAGGGTGTGAAGAGCCCTGACTCTGGCCAGCCCTCATAGGCTACCCCTTGCAGTGGGGCTCAGGGAAGCGGGGGCTGTGGGACCCGTGGGGGTGAGAAAGCCACTCCAAACCACTACTCCGAGGCCTTTTCCCACAGGAGCAGCTGGCATGTGAGACCCCTGCCCAGACACACACACACCGAGCCATGCCCACGTCCCACCGATCACTGCAGGACAGCTGTTTACAGAGCACCTACTAGTGCCAGGCCCTGGTGCACTGACCGGAATGGGGGACAGGCCCTGCCCTCAAGAGGCTCACAGCCCTGTTTGGAAAATAGATGAAATAGGGAGTTACTGCCTGGGTGATTACTATGCTGAGAGAAGCAAACCCAGGGGCTGCAGGAACCCAGGGGAGGGACACAAGCCCAGGCTAAAGGCAAGGAGGGCTTCCTGGAGGAGGCAACCACTGTGCTGAGCCCAAAAGAGGAGGAAGGGCTTTGTTAGGCTACGAAGGGAGAGGGAAAGGTGTTCCAGCTGGGGGAACAACATGAAAAAGAGCCAGAGGCAGAAAAAAGGGTGGGTGTGTCCAGGGCTTAGCAGCCATTCTGCAGTGGGACAAGAGCCAGGGGGAGAGCAGGGGTCCTGGTGTTATCTTATGTACTTTTGAAGAATCAGTTCTAGGCCGTCTCTCTGGAGTGGGGCCTGGGTGGGAGAGCGGGTGACATGGAAGAGAAGGGTGTTATCCAGAGCTCCAGGGAGGCCCCAAGCAACCCCAGATTCTCCAGGATCCCAGTCTATCCTTCTGGAAGCTTTGTGACCTCTGCTGGGAGTCCAACAGAGCAGGGAGCCATCCTTGACTCACAAAGCGACCTCCGCAGCTGACACTTGGGCAACAGTCCTTTCGGTGAGAGTTGAAGGGAATCCTGGATACAGAAGGGAGGTTTATCACCACCTGATTCCAGTCCAGGCTCCCTGTGTGACCCAGGCCATTCACTCCAACCCCTGGGTTTTCTAGTTCTCTTCACTGTAATACCCCCTTCCTTCCCTTGGTGGGAGGGAGGGAGAGGGGGAAGGAAACAAACTTAAACCTAGTAAGTGCCAACTATGGGTCAGAGGCTGCCGTTTGTTTCTCTGTTGACCACTAGAAAATTTCTCTTTGCCGAATTTGCTGTGTGATCTTGAGCAGGTCACATTCCCTCTCTGGGCCTCAGTTTTCCAACTGTAAAATGCCATGGTTGGTTCTTGTCTTTAGGGGTTCAATCGGTGCTAACACTCTGGGTAGGACAAAGAAAATTCTTTTTCTGTTGTTTTTTGTTTTGTTTTTGAGACTGAGTCTCACTCCGTCGCCCTGGCTGGAGGGCAGTGGCGCGATCTTGGCTCACTGCAACCTCCACCTCCCAGGTTCAAGCGATTCTCCTGCCTCAGCCTCTCGAGTAGCTGTGATTACAATCGCGCATCACCACGCCCGGCTAATTTTTTGTATTTTTAGTAGAGATGAGGTTTCACTATGTTGGCCAGACTGGTCTAGAGCTCCTGACCTCAGGCGATCTACCTGCCTCGGTCTCCCAAAGTGCTGGCATTTACAGGCAGGCGCGAGCCAAGAAAATTCTTTAGGAGTCAAATTCCTGGCTTCCTGATTATTAGGTTGTGTGACCTTAGGCAAGTTCCCCAAATCTTCTGGGCCTCATCTTCTTCTGGAGAATGGGAATAATAACTCTCACCTGGCCAAAAAGAGCGGGCATGCAGTGAGACAGCTTATGCAAAGCACCCAGCACATCTTGGGCACACAGAGACGCCTTAGTACAGAGCTTCTGATTCCTGGTGAGGAGCTGACCTTCTCCAAGCCCAAACCAGCTCCGGCCAGGCCAAGAAACTAGCTGCAGCAAAGGACAGGGGCAGCCGAAATACACACAGGCGCCGGCTGTTTGTTCAGGCTCTCAGCTTGGAATGAATCTCCTTTTATCCCAGCGAGTGAAGTCGCCTGCGCTGGGCCACTCGCGTCCAAAGTGAGGGTCTACAACCACGCGGGTCCCCATTTATCACGCGGCGTTTGATGGAATATTCCTCCTTGAGGAATCGTGCTCCCAGACACTCCTCATGCTCTGCAAGGGTCTTTGAAACTTAACAGCGGGCTCTTTAAAGGGACAGGAGAGGCGTGCTGCATCCCAATATGAGGCTTTGAACATGTCAACATTAATAGAGGTCACCGTTCCAGGGGACGCCGGGCCCTTCCCAGAAATAAATCAACAGCTGCTCCTGCCGGCCAACCGATTCATTTTGCTTGAGTTTCCTTCTCAATCGTGTGCTGGTGTCGGGGCCGGGGGGTGGAGGGTTAGAGGGATGGAGGAGGAGGCAGACATATCTGCACCCGCATTATTGGACCTTGAGGGGAAGAATCCTGTCTGAAATGGGCCTAGAGAGGTCATCTGTCATCCTGTCCCTTCCACTACTGCTACAGAGGATGGCGGTGTTTGGGGCTGGGACACCAGGGAGCATTACGGAGGGTTTACTGGGTGCCAGACCCCCGACTAAGGGTTCGGGGTACACCCTCTCATTTCATCCTTATAGCTATCTGGGAAAACTGAGGCCCAGAGAGGTTAAGATCCTTGCCCAAAGTCACACAGCCAGGAAGAGACTTATCTGAACCTCAAACTCCAGTTTCCCCAATCCAAAGTCTGACCTTAACCATGCAGCAAGCTGCCTGTCAGAAAGGCTTTCCGATCAAGAATGCGAGGAAATGGGATTTCCTGACCTGTAGGCCCACTGGGCCGAGGGCCATCTATCTACCCTGACCCAGCACCCTGGAGCAGGGCTACTGATTTAGGAAGACTGGAGTCAGTATGACCTGAAAAATAAGCCTGGGAGTTTGCAACCAGATACAGCTGGTTTGAATCCCAGCTCTACCATGTCCTAGCTGTGTGGCCTTGGGCAAATGGCTTGAGCTCTCTGAGCCTCAATTTGTACACATTCTTTCACTCTTGGTTTGAAGGCAAGTCCCCTCTGGCAAGGCCTTTGCTCAGTAGGATCTGTGTGCATCACCCTCATGGCCTCAGGTCCCTCTGACTCTTTTCCCAGCCCATCACTGTCTGCAATGATGCAGGCACAGACCAGCTTGCCCCTGCGATGGTCCTGCCACATTTAAAACTCCTAACAAACAGCTAGATATAGATTGTTTTATGTTTCTGTCATTTCTCAGTTACTGATTGTTTTATCAATAGTGCTGTTTATGTGACTTCCACAATTTATCTGGTTCTTCTCCCACCTCCCTATGTGGCCCTGGGTGAGTCATTCATCCTCCTGAATCACAGAATACAGGCACTGGAAGGGAGTGACCTCAGAGATCATCAATCCAGGCCTTTCATTATAGGGATAATAACCACAGTAACAACTCAAACTACCTATGGATCTGCGGCAGACCAGCACATCTGCTGGTGGTCCCAGTGAACCATGCCTCTCAGTGTTTCTGCCCTCCTGAAGTCCCCTCTCACATTGACTCTGGGGGAGGCCATGCCCCTTGCTTTGGTCTTTGGGGCATTAGCTAGCAGAAGCAAGTGGGTGCTCTATGGGTGCTCACTCCTTGGGTTTTGTTTTGTTTTTGTTTTTTGTTTTTTTTTTTAGACGAAGTCTCGCTCTGTTGCCCAGGCTAGAGTGCAGTGGTGCGATCTTGGCTCACTGCAACCTCCGCCTACCGGGTTCAAGCGATTCTCCTGCCTCAGCCTCTCGAGTAGCTGGGATTACAGGCGCGCACCATCACGCACGGCTAACTTTTGTATTTTTGTATTTTTAGTAGAGACGGAGTAGCTGGGACTACAGGCGCGTGCTACCACGCCCGGCTAATTTTTTGTATTTTTAGTAGAGGTGGGGTTTCACTGTGTTAGCCAGGATGGTCTCGATCTCCTGACCTCATGATCCACTCGCCTCGGCCTCCCAAAGTGCTGGGATTACAGGCGTGAGCCACTGCACCCGGCCTTGTGTGTGTGTGTGTGTGTGTGTGTGTGTGTAAGTGACAGGGTCTCTGTCTGTCACCCAGGCTGGAGTGCAGTGGTGCAATCTTGGCTCACTGCAACCTCCGCCTCCCAGGTTCAAGTGATTCTCCTGCCTCAGCCTCCCAAGTAGCTGGGATTACAGGTGTGCACCATCACACCCGGCTAACTTTTGTATTTTTAGTAGAGACGGTTTTGCCATGTTAGCCAGGCTGGTCTCAAACTCTGACCTCTAGTGATCTGCCCACCTTGGCCTCCCAAAGTGCTGGGATTACAGGCGTGAGCCCGGCTGGGCTTTCACTCTTGGGACACTCCCTCTTGGAATGCTGCCTTGAGAACTGCATGCTGTAAGGAAGTCCAGGCTATAAAGAAAAACCTAGAAGCCCTGGCAGAGAGTACTAGCTGAGCTCCCAGTCCACAGCTAGCACCAACTGCCAACCACATGACTGAAGCCATCCTGGATCCCCCCAGCCCAGCAAGCCTACAGCGGCTGCAGCTACATGAATGATCCAGGCAATAACAAGGTGACCAACTCATCTCAGGTGGCCTAGGACACTCCCAGTTTTCAATTCCCAGGAACACTCCCCCCTGCCCCTACCCCACCACCCTACGGAACACAGATTGAGCAGAAAACTCAACCCATTAGCCCATAGAATTAAGAAAACGATCAATAGCTGTTGTTTTAAACCTCAAAGTGTTGGGGTGTGTTGGGATGCAGCAATAGATAACTGGAACAAGTCCCTAATATGTGCCAAGCACTGGACTCAGCCCTTCCTGTAAGAATTTGTAGTCTGTACGACAGTCCTGTAAGATGGCTTGATTACCCAGCAAGGGAAGGAAATGAGGCTCAGACAGGCCAAGTGATAAGTCAAGTTCAGGCATGAAGAAAGGGGTGAAGCTAACGTTCAAACCCCAGTCTAATTCTAGCAACGAAGCTTAGCGAGAACTGTCACCACGAAAGCCCTGGGTGTTAAGACTGCCACTTAGCAAATAGGAACTCACAGTTCAGAAAGATGTGACTTCCCCAAGGCCACATAGCAAGTTAGTACACAGGGCTACCTCTGTCATTCTAAAGTAAATCATACAAGTATCTATATCAGTTATCTAGTGCCATAACAATGCTGTGTAACAAACCAGCCCAAAACTCAGTGGCTTGAAACAACTGGCATTTCTTAAGTTTATGAGTCTGTGGGTCAGTTGGATGGCTCTGGTTTGTGTCATGGGGTTGGTTGACTGATCTGGGCTGGCTTCAATTAGGGCAACTCAGCTCCTCCCCATGTCTCCTCTCCACTAGGTAGCCAGGAATGTTCTTCTGACAACGGAAGTGCAAGAGCATGCCAGTGGAAATGTACAAGGCCTAGACTCTGATCTGGCCCATCATTGCTTCCACCACATTCTATGGCCACAGCACATCACAAAGCCAGACCAGGTGCAGAGGATGGGGAGATCACCTCTGCTTCTTGAGTGAAAGCAACTTCAAAGTCTCATTGCAAAGCCTCTAGGTATGGGAAAGACTGAAAACTTGAGGTTGTTAATGCAATCAGTTTATCATAATAGAGTCTCTACCAGGCACCAGGCACCAGGCTGTGTGCTGGGTGTTTTACACTTGTTATCATTTATTTCTTGAGTCATTCCTATAATTTAATTACATATTGTTATTAGTCTCCATATCCCAGTTAGGGATGCGGAGTCAGATGAAGGTTAAGCAACTAGCTCAAGGTCAGACAGAATAAATGGCAAAGCCAGAATTCAAGGCCAGGGTCGCTTTACTCCAAAGTTTGCGCCCTCAACAACTGAGCCACCCCCTAGTCCCTGCACTAAGCAGCCAGAAGTTTCTGCTGATGCGGCGGGAAGTCCTATGCACAGAGATGAAAGCCTCTTTGCCGGGCAAGGCAGCTCTGCTGACAAAGGACAGGCTTCCTTTGGAGTCAGCCCTCTGGGAGGGGAGCAGGTGGGAGCCACTGGCAGCGGGGGAATGCGGCAGTGGAGAGCCTTCCCTGAGCATGCAGGTGGGGCGGGAACCCCCAAGACTTACCTGCGTCCGTGGAACCCAAGGCAGCATGGGGTTCAGAAGACAAAGGCTGCCTGAACTACTAAGGAACCAGGGATTATCCAGGCCAAGGGCTTCTGGGACAGATGGAGAAACTGAGGCCGGAGAGGTGCAGAGACTTAACTGAGCCACACAGCCAGATGGAGGCCAACGGGACCCTGGGTACTCGTCTTGCCAGCTGGTAGCCCAGCTCATCCCTGAGTCATGTTGGGGGCCTCTCTGGGTGCTCCCCCTGAGAAAGGGGCCTTATAAAAGCAGGGGTCTTCCACGGTCTCACATTGCCTGGTCCTTGTGTCTTCTGGGGAAGTCAGGCCTTGGGGAATGTGGAGCCCGCAGAGCTATTTCTGGGTTTTTTTTCAAGGAGATTCTTCCGAACACAGCGCCCAACGGCAAACACCATTTATTAAGTCCGCTCCTGGAGCTCCGCTCTCTGAGACAGATAATGCTCCTTATCTCCACCTGGAGAGCAGGGTGCAGGAGGCCCGGAATGAGATGCCCGCTTTAGTGATAAGGCTTTGGAAGCACCAGCCTCTGCAGCTGTGAGCAAACGCAGCACCCGGGCAGGCGTGGCATTTGCATAGGGGATTTCACAAAGTGCAGCTCTGGAAGGCTCCATGGAGACCCCCTGGCAATGTAGAGGACTCTGGGGAGACGTGCCTGGGACACCATGCAACTCAGGCCTTGCCTCTGCCCCTGACTCCTCAGATGACCTTGAACAAGTCAGGAGACCTCACTGGGTCCCCTTCCCCCACCTGCTCAAGGAGGGGTATGGACCAGACTAGGGGTTTTCAAAGTACATTCCTTGGGACCCCAGGGTTCTCCACAATGGCCTCAGGGGCATCTTAAATAGGAGGAAGAGAAAGTGGCACCCTGTCCCTGACCCTGACTGCCACCAGACCAGACCTGCTCTAATCTGTGTGATGTGCCGGGAGTCCCTGTAAGATGTCATTTCCACAAAGGATTTCACTACTTTAAGGGAAGTCCAGACTAGATGGGCCATGAGGACCTTCTGGGAGTCTAGGCGGGTGAGGAAGAGATGGTGGAGAGACAAGACTGAGGGCTGCAGGATGGCTTGAGGTGGGGGCTGTCAGGACTAAGAGTGGGCACAGCCGCCACCTGGCAGAGCTATGGCCACCTATTTCATCTCCTCCCACTCGGCGCCTCCCCAGGGCTCCCTGCCTTGTAAAATATAGTGCCTGCCTTTCACCTGGGTGGTCTGGCCTGGAAGGCCGAGCTGCAGAGGCAGGGGATGGAAGTAGGGATGCAGGGGACGTGATGGTGGGGGTCAGGGGGCAGGGGGGACATCTGGTTGCCAATCCTGACCCCACTCCTGCCCAGCCAAGTAACCTGGGGCTTGTTTCTTTACTTCTTTGAGTCTGGTTTCCTCCCTTGTAAAATGCAGAGGGAAGTAACGACTGCCTTGTAGAACTGGGAGGATCAAATAAGATGTTAAAGTGGCCGGGTGTGGTGGCTCATGCCTGTAATCCCAGCATTTTGGGAGGGATGCAGGAAGACTGCTTGAGGCCAGGAGTTCGAGACCAGTCTTGGCAAAGCAGCAAGAGCCCCTACTTCTCAAAAAAAAAAATTAGCCAGACATGGTGGCTCAAGCCTGTAGTCCCACTGCTTGGAGTGGAGAGGGCGACATGAGCCCAGGAGTTCAAGGATGCGGTGAGTTGTGATTGTGCCACTGCACTTCAGCCTGGTGATATGGTTTGGCTGTGTCCCCCCACAAATCTCCACTTGAATTGTATCTCCTAGAATTCTCATGTGTTGTGGGAGGGATCCAGGGGGAGGTAATTGAATCATGGGGGGGCCAGTCTTTCCCATGCTATTCTTGTGATAGTGAATAAGTCTCATGAGATCTGATGGGTTTATCAGAGGTTTCTGCTTTTGCTTCTTCCTCATTTTATTTTGCCACCACCATGTAAGAAGTGCCTTTCACCTCCTGCCATGATTCTGAGGCCTCCCCAGCCACGTGGAACTGTAAGTCCAATTAGACCTCTTTTTCTTCCCAGTTTCAAGTATGTCTTTATCAGCAGTGTGACAACAGACTAATACACTGGGTAACAGAACAAGACACAGTCGAAAGAAAAAGAAGGAAAGAGAAAGAGAGAGGGAGGGAGGGAAGTAAGGAGGGAGGGAGGGAGGGAGGGAAAGAAGGAAGGAAGCAAGCAAGGAAGGAAGAAGGAAGGAAGGAAAGAAAAAGAAAGAAAGAAAGAAAGAAAGGAAGAAGGAAGGAAGGAAAGAAAAAGAAAAAGAAAGAAAGAAAGAAAGAAAGAAAGAAAGAAAGAAAGGAAAGAAAGAAAGAAAGAAAAGAAAGAAAGAAAGAAAGAAAAGAGAGAGAGAGAAGAAAAAGATGTGAATATGCCCAGCACAGGGCTGGAACAGAGCAGTTGCTCATCAAGAAAGACACAAAAATGGCCAGGCATGGTAACTTATGCCTATAATCCCAGCATTTTGGGAGGCTGAGGTGGGTGGATGACTTGAGTTCAGGAGTTCAAGACCAGCCTGGCCAACATAGCAAAACCCCAACTGTACTAAAAATACAAAAATTAACCAGGCCTGTTGGTACATACCTGTAATCCCAGCTACTCAGGAGGCTGAGGCATGAGAATCACTTGAACCCAGGAGGTGGAGGTTGCAGTGAGCCAAGATCGTGCCACTGCACTCCAACCTGGGTGACAGAGCGAGACTCCATCTCCAAAAAACATGGAAGACACAAAAGCATGGAAGTCCAGCTGTGGTCTTGGAGTCTAGGGACCGAGAGGGACTATTACTGCAGGGTACCCCTCAGCACTCCCAGGCCAGGGGTTGGGGACTGAGTGACCCAGCGAGGCAGAGATGCAGGTGTGCACCCTCCTTCACGCCTATTGTTTCGTCCCTGCAAATCCATAGCTGGAATCACCCCAAAAAACAATGGCAGGGGAGTTCGCGCAAAGGAGTGCCCCAAGCTGTACTAGGACAGGGCAGAGATTCCAAAGAAAGAAGCCCTAAACGCCAGGGTAGTCCGTGCAAAGTACTCATTAGGGAACTTACAGAGTGCTATGACAATCCTCTGAGGGACCGTGAGAGAAAAGGGGCATCTACTGAGGTTATGTCAGCAGCGAGGGGGTGAGGTATGGAATTTACATGAGGGCTTAAGGAGTTTGGCTAAAGGGCTGGGCCAATTTCTTTCTAGTAACCCTAGATATCTTTTGCAGTGCCTAGGAATGTTCAAGGTCCTAGTTTGGGTTCAAACGTGCTGTGAAAAAAATTGAAGCTGGCCTGGTCACAGGCCGTGGGTCAAGGCACTCTGATTTTTGGTCAGCACACAGCAAAAAAGCCGGGGACACTGGCGGATTCTACCCCTCTGCAAATCCTCTCACTGCCCCTGCCATGCCTTCTCCAGCCACTGCTGCAGGGACCAATTCTACACAGACCTCCAGCAACATCTTGCAAGGGTCACCTCACAGTGCTTGGAACTCCTTCTCTGAAGCAGCAGAGGGATTCACAGATGCACAGTCCGGACACAGGGGAGTTAACACCTGTGGGGCCACCTCTACTGGCAGGGACACAGACTGGTGGGTAAACGTTCCATCTCCCCTGGTGGACAGTTCAGAGATGCATTTCCTAAGGCTTCTCAGAATGTTCCAGCAAGAGGGAGCACTGTCCCCCACACCAAAGTCTAACTTGTAGCACTTGAATCCTCTCTTCTCTTCCCCTGGTTCCCAGAATCAAGCCCTACATAAACTACCTGTAACAAGCACTGTCTTGGGGTCTGCCTTTGGGAGGGGGACCCCAAAATGAGAGAGATACGCTCCAGGAAACGATTCTCTAGGGTGATGTGCCTTTGGTGCTGCCTGCCAGGCAGGTTTACAGGGATTCTTCTGGGGATACCCCAGGGCCCACCAACAGCCACCAACTGGCCATCTCAGGGTCAGGCCACACCACCAGCCACCAGGTGGAGAGGGGGCTGGGAGCACCATCTGCAGGTGGAGAGTGGGCCGGGAGCACCAGCTGAATGACTCCTGAAGCCCAGCTCCCTGGCAAGCTCCAGGAGAGTATCATTGCCCCAGCAGGGAAGATTCTATAAGCTTGAGGGATTAAAAAAACTTTGAGGGGCCAGGCATGGTGGCTTACGCCTGTAATCCCAGCACTTCGGGAGGCTGAGGTGGGTGGATCGTTTGAGGCCAGGAGATCAAAACCAGCCTGGCCAACATGGTGAAACGCCATCTCTACTAAAAATAAAAAAATTAGCCAGGCGTGGTGGCACAGGCTTGTAGTCCCAGCTACTTGGGAGGCTGAGGTAGGAGAATTTCTTGATCCCAGGAGGCGGAGGCTGCAGTGAGCTGAGATTGCATCTCTGCACTCCAGCCTGGGCAATAGAATGAGACTCTGTCTCAAAAACAAAAGGTGGGTTTTGAGACAAAGGGTTATTTATGCCTCAGGGAGAGAGTCAAGAGGAGCCACACCCTGAGTCCCCAGCTGCCCGCACTCCCCGGGGAATAATGGAGGCTGCTAGAGAATCCCTGGGAAATCCTGAATCCGGCTTCACCTTGAAGCTCTTCGCAGGATCAGAACTACTGCAGCCATAGCCAAGCACAAGCGGGACTGAGAAAGAGAAGGGCAAGAGGAGCTCAGGCAGGCCACGGAACCCCAGCTCTGCCACCTCCACGCTGCATGACCTCAGGCAGGTGACTCAACTCTGAGTATCCACCCCATGGGGTGTGATGAGGAGCAAATGAAGTTAGAGGTGGGAAGAGTTAGGTTGGGGCCTAGTAGATAGTGAGAGCTCAAAGAATTCAGCTAAGTCTGTATGTGGACATTGTATACTGTTACTTCTCTAGGGTCAGAGGAGGCATTATTATACCTGTTGCTCAGATACAAAGCCCAAAACCAGAGAAGATAAGGAACTTCTTCAAAACCACAAACCTGGAAACGGGTAGAGCTGGGATTCAAACCCAGGTCTGTGCGACTCCAAAGTTTATCTTCGGAACACGATGGCAGACTTTCCCTTCTCACTCAAACTGGTCCTTTTTTTTTTTTTTTTTTTTTTTTTGAGAAAGAGTTTTGCTCTTGTTGGCCAGGCTGAAGTGCAATGGCACGATCTCAGCTCACTGCAACCTCCACCTCCTGGGTTCAAGCAATTCTCCTGCCTCAGCCTCCTGAGTAGTTAGATTACAGGCATCCACTACCAGGCCCAGCCAATTTTTGTATTTTTAGTAGAGACAGGGTTTCGCCATGTTGGCCAGGCTGGTCTCGAACTCCTGGCCTCAGGTGATCCACCCACCTCAGCCTCCCAAAGTGCTGGGATTACAGGTGTGAGCCACCTTGCCCAGCCTCAAACAGGTCCTTTAAAAAGAATCCCTACAGAAAGCTTTCCTGGATTCATTAGCAAAGAGCTAAGCCCTTGTCGCCTCTTCACCTCGAACCTCATAACCCAAACTCTGGCCTCATTCCCCAAAGGACCCTGTCAGTGCTAGAAGTCTAAGAGCAGGGACCACACCTCCTATTCACGCCCCCTAATGGAGTGAGATGAGCATGAGTCGGGGAGGTTCAACCCCACGCTGCCCCTCTCACTGGCTGTGTGACGGGGGTAAGTGTCTTCACCTCTCTGAGGCTGTTTTCTCAACTATTTAAGGTGAATCATCACATAGGGCTGGTGGGAAGATCCGATGAGATGGCATATAGAGAGAGAACACAACAGTAGGTGCTCAGGATTCCACCCCGCACCTCAGACAGGAGTGGGGCTGGATGTAGGGGTGGAAGGAGGCTGGATTTCCCAGCCCCACCATGGAAGGAGCTAGCTAGCCTCCAAGGCCCCCATGCAAAATGCATCTGCTGCAAGAAGCCTCAAGGTGGATCATTCAGCAACTCCACAGGCAGAGCCAAGGTCAAGGCCAGTGGGCTGGAGATTTAGTTGCTGCAGCAGAACATTGGCCCATGAACTTCTCAGAGTGGCTCAGCCCTTTCCAGGCGCAGGCAGTTCACAGCAGCAGGGAGCAGGAAAGGGGGCTGACCCTGAACTTCTTTCCTCCTCCAGACCAGCTCTGAGCCCCCAAACCTCTCCAGCCCCGCTCTCAGCACCAACACCCCTCAAGGCCCCTGCTGGCCACGGGAGAGAATGATTGGGAGCAGAAAGTGTGGAACTGGACTGCCTAGGTTCAAAGCCCCGTCCTACCGTTCCCAACTGTGTGGCCTTGGATGAGTGATTCCCCTGTCTGTGCTTTAGTTTCTTCCACTATCAAAGAAGGTTTCACAACAAATAACTGAGCAAATCCACGTAAATCAGTTAGAATAGGGTCTGGCACCTAGCAAATGCTCAATAAATACTAGCTGTTCTTATTTGGGGTTCTAACCAAGGTTCCTCCAGAGTCTTCTTCGTGTACCACCCCACCCCCAAAAAGTTCAGAAAGCTGGGGCATTCTGTGCTAACTGCCTAGCTTCTGACACAGGCAGAAGATGTGGAAGAAATCAGGAGGTTCGTTTAAAAGCAATGGTTATTACCACAAGCCAGCTAAGGAATCCCCAGACCTCCATGAAAGCGTGGGGATCTGAGACAGAGGGAGTCTATGCTGCCAATCCCAAAGGAAGCAAGGAGACCCCAAAGTCCCTGCGTCAGCACAGCATGAGAGCAGAAGAAAAGACTGCCTGACCACCTGTGGGGTCCACGCAGAGGGCCTGACTGCCTGCCGCATTCTCACAACCCAGACAGAGAATGTTTTCTATACACAGAGAACCGTGGGACCAGAAGAGCCTGTAGGATCAGGAATGGAGAGGCACAGGCGGTGGCCAAACAGATCAAAGACTGACAACCACACCACACCAAGAACCTCATAGGTGCCAGTGCAAGATGCAGTCCAAAGGGGGAAATGTGGTGGGGGTCCCTGAGCTGACAGAGACTAGGTTTTTGCCACTTGGTCATCTCAGAGTCTTGAAATAAAAATTAAACTCAGTTCTAGAACAATAAAGAGGGTTGCATTTTTCTTACACATGGCAGTTGGCAGACTGAGATGGATACTAATGACATGTAAGCATAAAAAATCAAGATCACGGTGGTGCCAGGTTTTCCCCGCTATGAGTAACACAGCCGTGGATGGCTTTATATATCATTCAATGTCCATCTCTCCCATTATCTGAACATGAATTCCTGGAAATAAAATTTCTGGAAGTCAAAGGGTACAAAATGCTCAAGACTCTTAAAACAATGTAGAAGCTCTCACTTCCAGAAAGCTCATATTAATTTCTATGTTATCAGGCAGGAATAAACAACCTGCATCACTCCACACTCCCCAGCATCAAGAAACATGGTTTGTTGTTTGTTTGTTTGCTTTGTTTGTTTGTTTTTGAGATGGAGTTTCACTCTTGTTGCCCAGGCTGGAGTGCAATGGCATGATCACGGCTCACTGCAACCTCCGCCTCCAGGGTTCAAGCGATTCTCGTACCTCAGCCTCCCGAGTATCTGGGATTACAGGCATGCGCCACCATGCCAGGCTAATTTTTGTATTATTAGTAGAGACAAGGTTTCTCCATGTTGGTCAGGCTGGTCTCGAACTCCCAACCTCAGGTAATCCACCCACCTCAGCCTCCCAAAGTGCTGGAATTACAGGCGTGAGCCATCACACACAGCCCAAGAAACATGGTTTTATTCACCTTTGCCAATTTGAGGGGCAAAAATTAGCCTCATCTCCATTTGTATTCTTTGGTTTCCAGAGTGAGGTACAACAGTGGATTTGGGGAAAGAAGTATGAAGACTGTGTGCGCCTTGTTCAGCATATGTGTACACACAGGATTTTTGCTGTAAGAAACCCACAATGGCAAGCTGGATCTCCTCTCCAGGGAACACACCGTCCCTCAGCAGACAACGCCATCCTGTTTCCTGGCTGCTCTGATCGTCAGTTTCCTCCTCCATGAAATGGGGGGAATAATATCTCTCTCGTGGGAAGAAAGGAGTGGGTATTTATTTGTCATTTGCCTCCTTGATATTCTCTTTTCTTTTCTTTCTTCCTCCCCTTGTCCTAAATTTCTTGCCCATGCACTTTGGCCTTGAGAGTGCTTGACTGGCTTAGACCAATCAGTGTCTCCCACCTCTTCAGCCACAGTGATTGGCTCAGGAATGGGCTTGTGTCCCTAGTCTGACCAACCACAGGTCAAATCCTGAAACTGGGATTTGAGTTATTGGGTGGAATAGACCCTCTCATTTACTCACAGATGTGGAGGAGGAAGCTGCTGGTGACTCTCTTGGAGGCAGGAGGGACATGCCTGCTGTGAATGATGCTGACACTGAGGAAGCAGAGCCTAGAAATGGAGAAAAAGAAAACTCACTGGTCCTATTCATACCAATCAATGCATTGCAGCTGGATCAATCCTTGCCTGAAGCAGACACTACCTGTTTTTCAGTTATGTAAGCCAGTGAATTCTCTTTATTATTTAAGTCCTTTGAATTGGATTTTCTGACATTTGCAACTAAAACTGCAGTAATCGGGATGGGTATTAATGCAGAAAACAGGGCCCGGTTTGGCACAGAAATGTCATTTGGAAGATCACAGACTTGTGCACAGAGGGATAGAGCAGGCAAACTAAGAGCATGGGCCTCCATATCAGGCAGATCTGGGTTCAAAGCTCAGTTCCATCTGCTCTGTGCTCTGCTGTGTGAACCTGGGCAAGGGACTTTACCTCTCTGAGGCTCAGTTTGCCTAGCTGTAATTAAGGATAATAACATCTGTCTTCTCATCGTTTGTAAGAATTAAAATAAAATCCATGTAAAGCTCTTTACATTTCCTAGCCCGTAATAAATACTCAATATTTAGTAATTATTAAAGATGTTGTGACCGTAATTTTATTAAAGATGTTGTTTCCTATCTCCCATGCTTGGCTATGAGCTCCTTGGGGGTAGGGGAGGGTTTGAGTTGCCTTCTGTGTCTACCACACCGATCTGAATTATCACTTAATGGTCAACTGTGTTTTGTGTTTTGCCTCCTTGAACCCAGGAGCAAGTTCTCTAAGGACAGGAGTGAGGACACATGGCTTAGCTCTGCAGTGGGCAGATGGGCCAAGTGCCCCACACTCTCCTAGATGCATGAATCATAAGCCCTGCTGCGTCTAAGAAGCATAACACCCAGCAGGAGGCCATCACCATGCTCCAGTTTTGACCAATGAAGAAACTAAGGCCTGGTATGGGGAGGTCAAAGGCCCCAGGGTCACCGTGGCAGGTGCCAGGACCCGCGTCAGAGCCCAAGTCTGTCTGACACCAGGGTCCAGGCTCTCTACACAGGCCTGAGCTGGCATTCAAGATGGTGAGGGGCATCGGTGAGCTGGTGATTCACCCAATGGGAGAAGTGACAAAGGCAACCCCCCGAGCAGACAGGACTAAGGGTTCAGGAGCAAACATCGACTTCATTATGGTTATTGTTGGCGTGATTGATATACAGTTAGACCTCAGTTCTGGTTGCTGCAGCTTGAGAGAAAGAAATGGTGGAGCTGATGAAGAGTAAATGGCCAAGAGGATTGGTGAGGAGGAGGCCTAGGCAGGTGGGGGAGAAAAGGCTGAGGAGTCGAGGCCTCTCAGTCTGGGGTTCCGGCCTCTGGCTCCTGGGAAGCTGGACAGGAGGGTGAGGAGCCTCTGCCCCTGACTTCACATCCTCCCCTCAAGGCAGTTCCTTTAGGTCCAGTAGGAGCCCCCTCCCAACTCCCACACAGGCTGTGAGCACACAGCGGGGGCAGTGGCTAAGGGCCTAGAAAGACCTAGAATATTCCAGAAATTGATCCAAAAAGAGATACTGAGGGGGATTCCCTCACCTCGGACACCAGAAAACAGGCTTCCTGGTGACTCAGCAAAACCACTGCAGAAACTGGGTCTCCGAGAATTGTGTGGCTCACCCAAGGCCCCACAGCTGGGCAGAGAAAGCCAATTAGACTTAGAGTCCACACTCTTTCCCGGCACCAGGAGCCTCCTTCTCAGAGGACATAGGCAGCTGGGCACCCCTCTGCCCGCCCTCCCTCAAAGGCCCTGCCCAATGGGGACCAGGGCTGCCTACACTGAGTCAGGCAGTGTTTGGCACCCACATTTGTCTCTGAGGCCTGAGATGGGAAATCCTGGTCTCCTACCCTCTCTGCAAGGCCAGGGCAGGCCTGAGAGGCTTAGCATAGCCATTGGACGGATGAGGAAACTGAGGCTTATAGAGGCGCATGATATGTTCCTGTTCCCCAGCCAGCAGGAGGCTCTGTAGAAGTTAGATCCCAGGTCTGTTCCCACCTTCTGGTCCCCCCAGGCAGCTCTGAGCTTCTGCTGCAAAGCCCGAGGCTGGAGGCCCTTCCCAGCAAAGCCTGTGTCTGACAAGGTGGGGAGGGTCTGGAGCTTCCAGGCGGCGAGTTTCTCAGGATGCAGAAACACCAAGGTGAGGAAGCCAGACACTCTCTCTCCTCCGAGGAGGCTATCGGAGGCAGAGGCGACAATTTACAAGCACCTTGCGATGATGGGGGAACCATCTCTGCAGACACCCAGCACCTCTAAAAGCAATTTAACTTGACGTCCCTTCCCCTCCTCAGCCTTCCTCTCTCCCCACAACTATCGATCCCCCAGGGTCTCCTCTGTTCCTCCCAGCAACATATCCAGCCCCCGGCTCAGCCACCAACCAGCCACACCACCAGCAGCACCTTCACCTCTGCAACCCCGCCTCCTCATCTGAAACTGCAGATGACAATGGCTGCACCCCACAGGACTGTTTTTAGGGTGGCTCCTGGCACTTCGCAAACACTTGGTAATGTGGGTTTCTTTTTTTATTATTTTTTAAATTTATTTATTTATTTATTTTGTTGTTGCTTACTCTTTTTTATTTTTTTTAATTTTTTATTTCCATAGGGTTTTGGGGAACAGGTGGTATTTGGTTACATGAATAACTTCTTTAAGTAACGTTGGCTTCTTTCCTGGCCAGAAGCAGCCACAGGCTCAGGCCCTGCAGCACACCAGGCCTGTGCATCCCTCCCCTCTCCCTGTGGCTCCAGAGAGACCCTCGCTGTGCCTCTGGTACTTGTCTTCCCTCCCTGCCTTCCCAGAACCCAGGGTCACACATGTCCATTTTCTCGGGAGTCATTTCCCCCAGCCTTGTTCCCTGCTGTCCAACCAAGGCCTGGAGCAGGGCCCAGCCTGTTCTCAGAGCTCAGTGAATAACTGTCTAGCGACTGACCAACCAACAGGGAACACCAAATCCAGCAAGTTGCTGCCAAGAACCCCCTCTTCCAGGAAGACCTCCCTGACCTCCACCCGGGCCAGGTTAGGGGCTCTTCATGCAAGATTCCGTGACGCCCAGAACTGTAAAATAGTTATAAAGTGTAGGTTCTGCAGTCCAAGTCTCAGCTGTCACTGATTAGTTGTCTTTGGGCGAGTGGCATAACCTCCCTGTGCTTCCATGTCCTCACCTGTAAAATAAGAATAACAATACCAGTGCCTGCCAGAGAGCATCCTCATGAGGCGTCACGGGACACGTACAACACGCAGAATGAGACCCAATGCATTCCGAACACTCACAGGCGTGAGCGGTGTGTGTGGTCGCAGGGAGGGCGCTGTATTGTCTCATTTATTTGACTGCCTTCTGCCACCTGCCTGTGAATCCGTCAGCACCTGTAGCTGAGCCCGTCAGGTGTTGCTTCCCATCCCATTGTCGTCCCTGTGAGCCTGGCTACTGACCTCAGCCTCCCCTCCAGTGGCTGCATCTGCAACTCTTCAGCAGCCCCCACCACCACCGTGCCCACATCTTCAGGGAGCTGAGCTGTGTGGGAGTCGACACCCCAAAGCCTGGCCCTTGGCCGATGACTGACAGGCCCCCGAGTCAGGACCAACTCCAGAGTGCCCTATGGTATGAGGCTGAGGCCACTCTCTCTGGGGCTTTTCTGGAAATCACACCCTGGCTTGGCTGCTCCCACCTCCCCAGCACCTCCCCCACTTTCCCTACTCCCTTGCTCTTTCTCCTGGGAGCACCGATTGTACCCAAATCTTTATGCCCCGTTGCAGCCACCTAAGACAGTGACTAACATCTGTTCACTTCTATCTCATGCCTAGCAGTGCCCAGATATGGACTTGGACAGTGTGAACAGAGCAATGTCATCAGGAATAAGACTGAGGGAGTCAGCCTCAGCCAAGGGAGGAATCCTAAGAGGAAGAAGTGGAGGCTGAGAGCTGGTGGCCTCCCCGTTCCAGCCGCCTCACCCTAAGCATGCGCAGCCCCCTCCCTTGCCTGCACGGAGGAGCCATTTGCAGCCATAAATGTTCAATGGAGCGTGTGGTCTTTAGTGCATGGGCCTCGAGCTGCATAAACAAGGTTGTAAAATTTAAAGGCAAACCAGGCTGGGATCCCATGGGCAGCCACGCTGACATCACAGACAGAGGTGGGGCTTGCGTGGAGGAGCAGGAGGCAGCCATGGCAGCACTAAGGCTGGGACAGAAAGAAGGGGCATCTCGCCCTACCTGATGGCGGCTCACGTTTATTCGTTTTTTCGCCGTTGACCCGAATGGAAGCAGGCCCTCCGTGAGACTGTGCCACAGTTCCAGGGGTGTAGATAGATTATCTTTTCCAAAGAGAATCAATGCTCCTCTCTGCTGGTGAACCAGCGACCCAGCACGGAATTGTACATGTTGGGGATGAACCAGCAACTCAGCACGGGATTGTACATGCTGGGGATGAACCAGCAACTCAGCACGGGATTGTACATGCTGGGGCTTCAGCTTCAAGTGAACAAGATGAAGTCCTTGCCCTCCTGGAGCTTACATTCTAGAGGAAGGGAAAAAAAAACACGCAAGTAAAAAAAAAAAGTAAACCAAGAGAGTCATGATAATTTTAATACTGATCAGTGATAGAAAAATGAGATTGAGGCCAGGCATGGTGGCTCATGCCTGTAATCTCAGCACTTTGGGAGGCCGAGGCGGTCAGATCACTTGAGGCCAGGAGTTCGAGACCAGCCTGGGCAATATGGCAAAATGCTGTCTCTACTAAAAATACAAAAATTAGCCGGACGTGGTAGCACACGCATGTAATTCCAGCTATTCGGGAGTCTGAGTCAGGAGAATCGCTTGAACCCGGGAGGTGGAGGTTGCAGAGAGCCAAAATTGCACCACTGCACTCCATCCTGGGCAACAGAGCAAGATGAAAGAAAGAAAGAAAGAAAGAAAGAAAGAAAGAAAGAAAGAAAGAAAGAAAGAAAGAAAGAAGGAAGGAAGGAAGGAAGGAAGGAAGGAAGGAAGGAAGGAAGGAAGGAAGGAAGGGGAAGGGAAGGGAAGGGAAGGAAGGAAGGAAGGGAAGGAAGAGAGAAAGATGGGATTGGGAGGGAAGCCTACTTCAGATGGGAGAATCACAGTGAAATGAGACTCCAGTAACATTTGTGGGACTTCTGGCCTCCTGAGTCCTCAGGAAGGAGGCGTTGGCCACAGAGTTCTTTGCTGCTGAGCAGCGGCCAGCTACTCTATCAGCAGGCTGTTCCATCAGCAGGCCACTCCAGCCTTCTTCCCTGCCTCCCTTCACTGCAAATCAGGCAGCTGTTTACAGATCAGGCCCATCTTTTCTTTTTCTTTTTTTTTCTCTAGTGTCAGGATCTCATTCAGTCACCCAGGTCATAGTGCAGTGGCATAATCATAGCTCGCTGCAGCCTCAAACTTCCTGGGCTCAAGCAATCCTCCCACCTCAGCCTCCTGAGGAGCTGGGACTAAAGGCACATGCCACCATGCCCAGCTAATTTTTTAAATTATTTCTAGAGACAGGGTCTCAATATGTTCACCAGGCTGGTCTCGAACTCCTGGGCTCCAGTGATCCTCTTGCCTCTGCCTCTGCCTCCTGCCTCCCAAAGTGCTGGGATTATAGGCATGAGCCACTGTGTCTGACCTGGGCCCATCTTACGGAGCATCGCTGAGTTGGGAGTTCTCCTGGGAGAAGCCCAGCTTCCAGACTCCCCACATCATCACTGGTTATGCATGTGGACTCTGGAGCCACGGTCCGGGGTTCCATTCCCACCTCTGCCATTTACTATCTGTGTGCCCCTGGGCAAGACACTTCCCTTCCCTGAGCCTCATTCCCTGCACTGTCAAATGGAAATAATGACAGTACTCACCTGGGAGAATTCAGTGAGGCAGGGCACGGTGTATGCTCAGCCTGCCACAGAGCTATTGTTTTTGCTGTCATTATTCCCTCCTTCCTGTGACCAGGGACGGCTCTACCGCAACATAAGCTGATCCAGCAGGCTGGGAGAAGGGGTGAAGGCAAAGAGTGGGGGACTCAGGGGTGCCAGCTGCAAGAGTCTGGCTGAGTGAGGAAGAGAAGCACCCAGTCAAGTGGGGATGGAAGTAGCTGGCATGGTGAGGAAGGGGCTTGGGCAGAGAGGCGAGGCCCTGAGTGCTTGAGGATCAGGACAAGAATGAACGTGGAGCCAGGTGGGGGCTGCATGGCCTCATTCAAGAGATACCACAGCAGATTCTGCAGGCAGGGAGGACAGTCCCTTCCAACTCTGGGGTGCCTGTTGAAAGTTACCCCAATTTGTGAGATGAAAGAGGCAGCAAAGGGGGACAGAGGTGTCTGATAGGCCTGGGCCAAATCCTGGCTGCAGGGTCGTGTGAACTTGGCCAAAGTAACTTGCTCTCCTTAGGCCTCAATGGCATCATCTGTAAAATGGGGACAATCCTAGGATCCATCACACAGTCGTTGCGAGGACTGAGGGAGACGATGCATGAGGTCTGTGCTCACTGGGTGCAAGTTAATAACAGTCACAGTGAAGAGTCTCTGGTTTTAAGATTGGGTGAAACCAAGACTCAAAATTTTAAGATTCTAAGTGAGAAGTTTAAGCCTAAATTCTTACTAGAATGTTGGGTCTGTGAAGACAGGGGTTTGGTCTGTTTTGTTCATGGCTTTATGAACGGTACTTGGCACCCACGGCCTGGCATACAATAGGTGGGCATATGTGTGTATATTCACATGTGTATTTGGTGAGTGAGTGAATGAGTGAATGAATGAATGAATGAATTGGCAAGGCTGACCACTCTCTGTCCAGTTGCTCAAGCCGGAAATGAGGCTACCTGCACCCCGTCCCCCACTCCTCCTAAGGAGCAGGCCTCCCGGCAGCTCCCTGTCTTCCTTCCCATAATGACAGCCACCCTCGCTCACCTGGAGCCGCCACAGCTCCGTATTGGCCTCTCAACTTTCAGTCTCGCCTGTCTTCTCCTCCCATCTTAAAAATCTCATTTACAGAAAGAAAAGAAGTTCATTTACCAAATTGGGGGCATTCTGCTGCAGGGCTGAGCCATTAGCAGGCACAAAAGAAAGTCATATCTCAGTCACTTACAAAATTAACAAGGAGGAGCTTGGAGCAAGGAATCTGTCTGTGCTAGAATAAAAAGGCCTCCCAGGTACTGCAGGTCGCAGCACATCCGCCTGCTCAAGAAGTCCTGGAGTGATAAACTGGCACCTGGCAAAGTGAGGACTTTCGCAGGGGGAAGGAGGAAATGACCAGCGGTGATCATTCACAGCCCTGAACGAGGACAGAGCGGGAAGCCCACAGCAGTCACAGTCACGCTGACAGCTCCACTCTCCTCCACTCCAGGACACTTGGTACCTGAGTCCAGCCACTCCTGCCTCATTAAGCAGCCTGCACAGGGCCCTGGGAAATGACCTCATTAGGTGGCCACACTGGCTTGTGTAAATTAATTTGATAAAGATAATGAAGTTCATCAGAGCAGAGCTGACCATGTTTCCAGGAGCAACTATCCTGAGGGCTGAGCTCTGAGGACCAGGAGCCAGGAAGTGGTGAATGGGCTTTGGCAGCAGTGCCTCCGGGGCACACTGTCCCCCCAGCCCAGAAGCATTTTATCCTCGGCAGGCTGAAGGACCCAGGGAATCCATGTTGTCCTAATGGTTTCTGGAAGCAAGCGGGTCTTCAGTCTTGGCTTTGCCATGTGCTACGGGCGTCTAGTCACCTGGTTTCTGACAGCCTGTTTTCTCAGCTGTAAAATGAGCATAACAGTTCTGCCTCCCAGCACTAGTTAAGCAAGAAAACACACATAGGCCAGGTGCAGTGGCTCACGCCTATAATCCTAGCACTTTGGGAGGCTGAGGTGGGTGGATCACCTGATGTCAGGAGTTCGAGACCAGCCTGGCCAACATGGTGAAACCCCATCTCTACTAAAAATACAAAAAGTAGCCGGGCGTGGTGGTGAGCACCTGTAATCCTAGCTACCTGGGAGGCTAAGGCAGGAGAATTGCTTGAACCTAGGGGGCGGAGGTTGCAGTGAGCTGAGATCACGCCACTGCACTCCGGCCTGGGCAAAAGAGCAAGACTCCATCTCAAAAAAAAACAAAAAACAAAAAAACAGAAAACACACATAAAGCATTTGGCACCTGCCTGGAGTACATAGTGGGCCCTCAATACATCAGAGCAGTTATTTTCGTCACTGAAGTGAAACAACGGAAGCCCCCCTCTCTGAGCCTGGAGCGTCCATTTGGAAAGTGGCTCTTTTAGCTAAACCTTTCAAGCCTGGTTTTCGTAAGCTTCTCTCATGCTGCTCTGCTCCTTTTGGGGTTCAAAGCGTTGATGAATTTGGCCAAGGTCACACAGCTGGTGAGTAGCAGATGTAACATTTGAACCCAGATCTTCCGACCCCGCAGAAAGGCCCATGAACGTGCTAAGAAGGGCAGCGTGCAGATGTGTGGGCCTGCAGATAACGGGTAGAGCCAGCGCCTGTACATGTTGGATGATTCTGTTTCCTCTCTGATCCGGATTTACCAACATGGTCAGCTGCAGAGGAGATTTAAACAACCTTGAGGCCGCATTGGCCACACACAGTGGGTGGAAAGACTGTCAGCTTAGGGGTCAGGAGAGCTGGGGTTCAGGCATAGGTCAGTCACAACCAACTGTGGTACCTTAACCAAGTTGTATCCCTCTCTGAGCCTCAGTTTCCCCCATCTGTAAAAGAGAAGGAAGGTTTCTGGCCCTGAACAGCTCCCAGCCTGATTCCTTCCACAGATTCTCCTCTGAGCCACCTGGTCTTTGGGTTGGAGTACCTGAAATTTGTCACCATGCATCCTGCATCCTGGCACGGTGTCATCCCATGGGGCTGAGTTCATTGGAGCCATCTGCATTCCATCTCCTCAGAGAGCAGCCAGAAGACCTAAGGGTAGACATCAGGGGTTCCCTGATTCTAAACAGTCTAGTATTGCAGGGATGAAGGATCCTGAAACTGAAGTTCTCCTTGGGATGTAAAATCCAAGGAGAGCTGGGGTGACAACTGCTGCTCAGCAAGGAAGAATAACAATGAGAGTGCAAAGCATTTGTTTCCCTTGCTGTAAATGAAAGTGATGAATTGGGTGTCTAATTAGCAAAATATTCGATAATTGGTGTAATCTGGTACTATTCCCTTTCTGACAGCCTCTGCCGTGTTGTCCCATTTCAAGCTTGAGCTGCCGGTAATATCGGGCAGATAATTGTAATACTGAAAATGAAAAATCAAATCAGAGTCATCGGAGGCTCCCATTAAATTGATTTAGGACTGGAAAAATTAATGGGATTCCCTTTCCTCCCCCCTTCTCCCCCGCCCAGTCTCTGCTTCATTCTATCCCAGAGCAGGGACACCGCACCTTGAGAGGGAATCGGGGGCATCCTGAACCGCAGATCCCACCTCAATGGGTTTCTGCCTCTCAGCCTCTGACCTGCCACCATCTTACCCTGAAAAACAGTCAGGAGGCACCTCCCTGGAAGGCAGCGGTGAGTGTTTGGTAAGAGGAAAGAGGAAAGCACCCAACACTGGGGCCTATGACAGAGCACGTGTACATTTTCTTTCCTTCCCCATGAAAACTGAGCCTCTGAGACAGAGAACAGCACAGCCCGTGCTATTTCTAGCTAGATAAGGAGAAGAACAGAATTGGCATGAAATGGATCCCATCAGTTGCAGTGACAGAAATCAACTCAAACTAACTTAAGGAAAAAAGAACATTTATTGGCTCATGAAACTGGGAAGTCCTGAGGGAGAACTGGCCCAGAGACGCAAAGAGCCCAAAGGTGTCACCACCACTGCTCGGTCCCTGTTTTGGCCCCCTTCCCTCTCATGTGGCTGGGACTGCTCCATACTGAGCAGAGGTGGGAATGGAGTGGGGGACATGACCACACCAATTCAGGGTTTACATCTTCCCAACTTAGCAATCCCAGAAAAATCTGAGTTCTTCTCCCAACAAGCATCAACATGTGAAAGCCAGAGAAGGGCCCTGATTGGTTCCTTTTGGGCCACATGCCCATCTCTGGACCAATCACTATTGCCAGGGGTGAGTCATTTTACTGATCAGGCCTGGGTCCCACATCCACTCCTGTGGGGGAAGGGACAGTGTATGTTTTTTATTGGCATCCCCACCAGGTTAGCAGGTGAGGGGGGATTTCAAAAGGATGCTTTTACTACCAAAAGAGGAGAGATGAGGTCACACAGAACAAACCACCCCAAAACTGAGCATCTTAAAACAGCAAGCTTTGTAATGATCTCATGAGTCTGTGCTCAGCTGGGCAGTTCTTCTGCTCGACAAGATGGCGTCTGGCCACTTGAACAGGCAGCAGTGTCTGAGATGACTCCCCAGTGTGTGCTGCCTGGGTGAGGCCAACTGGGGGTGCCAGGCCTCTCTCTCAGGTCCTCTATGTCTCCATGAGTATGCCCACATGATTTCTCCATCAGGGTACCTAGACTTCTTTTGGGATCAGGGTTCCTAAAAGCATGAAAGCAGAAGCTGCCAGGCCCAGAACTGGCACAGCACTCCTTCCATCATATTCCACAGTTCAAGCAAAGACCAACTCAGATTCAAGGGGAAGGAAAATAAACTCCACTTCGCAATGTGGGGAAGTGGCAAAGAACCTTCCAACCACATTTAACTTACCCTGGGAGGGTTGGGCACATCAAGAAGCACCTATGGAGGTCCTGCTTGGGGCCAGGCCTTGTAGTGGGGGCTGGGGCTGAAGTTCCTTCCCTCAAAGGACACAGGATCTCTTAAAGGACACAGGATGTTCTCATAACGAGCTGCCCCACCACCCTGCCACATTGCCATGGAAACCTGGAGGTTCAGGGGCTCCTACTGTTCCTGCCTTCCTTGTACCTGAGGCAATCCAGTGAAACAGAAGAAGAGAAGTCCTTTCTCTGGAAAAGAAGGGAGGTTCAGGAGGTTCTGAGGAAGGCATGGAGGCCACCACACCCATGGCTCCTGGGACTGCCAGAGGTTGGGTTTCTTACTCTCCTAAATCAAGACAGTAAAGTTCTGGAACCAAATCAACCTGTGTTTGAGTCTAGGGCCTCCAAAGACCAGTCACATGGCCTTGGATAGGTCACTTTGGGTCTCTGAACCTCAGTTTGCTGATCTCTAAAATGGATTTGAAAGCAGCACACATCTAAGTCTCTGAGGAGACAATGGGCTGACAGAGCAGGCGCGTCACCGTGTTTGACAAACACCACTATTTTAAGTTCACCTTGATTTAAAAACTGCCCAAATCCGGCCCCAAAACATCAGCCTAATAGCTAATGTCAGCATAACCAGAAACATTCCAATCCTAAGATAAACTCTCCTCCAACGAGAAACACACCAACCCCAAGATGGCCTCCGCTCCAACCAGAGACATTCCAACATCTCAATCAACTTTCCCCCACATAGAAACATTCTGAGCCTGCACTAAGCTCTCCCCTTCCTAAACCCTTAAATGTCCTTAGACTGTAAGAGAGAATGCCCCTGACCAAAATCGGCCAGAAGCCCCTCTCAGATTTACTCTCCAAAATAAAGCTGTCTTTGACTGTTGAGCTGCTTTTTGTGTTTCTTTCCTCTTTCTTTAACTGTTACACTAACATTCCTGAAGACTCTGGTGCAGTGCCTGGCACATAGTAGGTGCTGAACAACCAGGGCCTATTAGAACAGGTGCCACCATACCCCGTCTACACCTGTCTGCAGTTCTGAGGTCTGTGCTGGGCAGCTGAGGATGCCCTGTGCTGTGGTTTCATCTCAGCTTCTTTAGCTCCTTTGCACCCAGCTGCCCAAAGCTCCCCTTTCCCCCTGGTCCAGAGTTACACAGGAAAGAGCTGACCCCGGGGTCCCTCCCTGCTCTAACCATCCTTTGGGGACCACCCACCCCTCTGAGCTCCTCCATCCCTGCCTGTGCAGTTCAGGCCAGCTAAGAAGGGTAGACTTAACACACTTATTTTGTTTTACACACTTTGAGTTTGGGCCTCTTGAACCTCACACCCAGAGAAACATGCAAATAGGATGTAAATAGGCCCTCTGGTGTATGCAAAACAGTCTATAAATGCATGGCCTCAGAAAGGAAAAATGAAGCAAAACAACAAAAGATAAATAAATGAAATAAATGCACGGCCCTGGATTTGCCAAAGAAAAAATGCCTGGTCATCCAATTTAGCATAAATAACAGGAGAAGAAGACTGTATCTCCTCCTTAGAGTTAGGTTCAGACCAGAAAGAACTCACAACACCTTCTGGAAGGGAGCTGAGGGATCCCTGGCCACCCTGGGTCACAGCACTCCCCTGACAGCCCAGTTCCTGAAGCCACAAGCCCCCAGCCCTGGGTTTGAGAACAGAGTCCAGCCTCACAATGGTGCCCAATTCCCCTGCAGCTGAGCACCTGGATCTCTCCACCTTCCAGATGGGGTCCTCGCAGAGGATGGTCCCCAGCCCCAGGCTCAGTCCCATCATACCAGCCCCACCCACACACAACCATACACTCACAACAGGTCAGGCCCACCATTAATGTTATTACCATTAAAAATAGTTGCTGTTCTTTGGGAGGCCGAGACGGGCGGATCCTGAGGTCAGGAGCTCGAGACCATCCTGGCTAACACGGTGAAACCCCGTCTCTACTAAAAATACAAAAAATTAGCTGGGCGTGGTGGTGGGCACCTGTAATCCCAGCTACTTGGGAGACTGAGGCAGGAGAATGGCGTGAACCCAGGAGGCAGAGCTTGCAGTGAGTGGAGATTGCACCACTGCACTCCAGCCTGGGCAACAGAGCGAGACTCCATCTCAAATACATACGTAAATAAATAAATAAATAAATAAATATAAAAAAATAGTTGCCGTTGATGGCACACCTCCCCTTCACCAGGCCCTGTGCTAAGCACTGTGTACACATCATCTCCTCTAATCCCAGCAGCAGCCCAGGATAAGTCCTGTTACCACCATCTTACAGAGGGGGAAACTGAGGCCAGTAGAGGGTAGAGCCCCAGGAGTGGAGCCAAGTGGGAGACTCCACATCTGTGAGGCCCCAAAGCCACCAGCATTCTCTTCCCTGAACTCTTTTTTTTTCATTATTTTTTTTCTTTCTTTCTTTCTTTGTTTTTTTTTATTTGTTTGTTTGTTTGTTTTGAGACAGGATTTCACTTTGTCTCCCAGACTGGAGTGCAGTGGCACCATCACAACTCACTGCAGTCTTAACCTCCTGGGCCCAGGTGATCCTCCAATCTCAGCGTCCGAGTAGCTGCACCACAGGCATGTGCCACCACCCCCAGCTAACTTTTTCATTTTGTATAGAGACAACGGTCTCCCTGTGTTGGCCAGGCTGGTCTCAAACTCCTGGGCTCAAGCAGTCCTCCCACCTCGGCCTCCCAAAGTGCTGGGATTACAAGTGTGAGCCACTGTGCCCAACCAAACTTTTTCTTTTCAAGCCTGTCTCACCTATGAAGCTAGAGGCTCAGATCCAGGAGGGTAGGGCTGTGTCTGTCCTCCACTGCCCAGGTGCCAGAGCCCAGCCCAGAGCCCGGCACACAGTGGCCAGCAGTAGACATTTGCTGAATGAATAGGTAGCACTTACCCAAAGCCAACTGGGTTTTCTGCAAATTCGCACCACCCACTCTCTAGACCACTGTATGGGCCATGATGGGATATGTATTTGACAGTACACTGCCTACTACAGTTTGTCCTTGTTTTCTAAAAATGCTTCGTGAGTGGCATCAGTGTTTGTATGCCCTAAGCCAGCAGAATGGAAAGAAGTTTCTACACAGACAGCGGGGCTTTCCAGCAAGCTTAAGGGGGACTGTGCCACTCTTAAGAAGGTGCTAAGGGCTGCTGGGCATGGTGGCTCATGCCTGTAATCCCAGCACTTTGGGAAGTCGAGGCAGGAGGATCACTTGAGATCAGAAGTTTGAGACCAGCCTGGCCAATATGGTGAAACCCCGACTCTATTAAAAATACAAAAATCAGCCCGGCATGGTGGTGGGTGCCTGTAATCCCAGCCACTCAGGAGGCTGAGGCAGGAGAATCGCTTGAACCCAGGAGGCAGAGGTTGCAGTGAGCCAGGATCACGCCACTGCACTCCAGCCTGGGCAACAGAGTGAGACTGTCAGGAAAAAAAAAAAAAAGAAGGTACTGAGGGCTCAGCAAGATGCCTATGCCTGGGTGTGTGACCCTCCAAAGAGGGGCCTCTCAGAACACAGGTAGACACCTGGCAGACCCTGCGCAAGACGGTGATAATCAAGTTAACGAGGGCCCACTAGAGGCCGGGAGCTGAGTATTTTACATGAGTCAATTCATTTCATCCTTGAAACAGCCCCTGCAGTGAATGCTGTGAAAAGCCCCATGTTCTGGAAGAGGAAACTGAGGCCCAGGGTTTGCAAGCATTCTGCAGCTTGTATTGACACGTCACCTGTTCTCACACAAGGTCCTCACACAGCAAAGTGTTGGAGGGTTGGGGGTTGCTGGGAAACAGGCTTTGTTTTCTGACTGAGGATAGGGGCAGCAGTCGGGGCACGGTTAAAGCTATGGTATTGAGTCCATAGCCCTGGGTCCGCTTCTGTTCTGTGTGACCCCGGGCAAGTGACTTCACCTCCCTGACCTCCGTTTCCTCTGTAAGGTGGGGACAATAATAGCACCTCCCCCTGGGCGTGGTTGTGAAGACTCCTGTCATGGAAGGTGGAATGCACGCATCCCAGTACCGGAACCCAGCGAGAGTGCAGCACATCTGGACAGGATTGGATTCACAGAGGATCACCCAGCAAACCGGTGACAGAGCCAGAACTCAAACCCAGGTCTCCCAAATCCAGGACCCTCTGGAACCTACAAGCCCGGCACCTGGAAGGGCCCACGATGCAGAGGGGGAGCCTCAGTTCCCTGCCTCAGGCGGAGAGCCCAGAATGACCGCCACTCACCAGGAAAGGTTTTGTGGTTTCTGTGGAGATTAAGAGTTGACAAGAAATAGCTCGGGTAATTATATTAATTTTCCTCAATTTACACATTCTTGCTACTTGCCATTTCCCCAGGAACGTGTAAATGAGGAGTTTAGAGTGGTTGGCAATGCCGTAATTAGGTCTGCATTGTTAAAAAGTGTCTGCTGCGTGTCTTATTATTGGGTCTCTTTCACGGTTGGGCGACCTGTCTCCCATTCAGACTGGGAGCTCACCAAGGGCACGGGTTTATCTTCCACTTCAGCCCGGGGATCGGATTGGAGCATCCTCTGAGGACAGGGAAATATCTCCCCCAGCAGCTTAGAGTCTCCCCCTGGGCAGAAATTAGATCTTCCCCCATGGGAGAGCAGGGTCAGGGCTCCCTAGCAGACTTTTGGCTTCCCCATCAAACCCGGTGATAGGAGCTATGCGTCCTCCAGCAGCCTGGGAGCTCCCTAAGAACAAGGCCATCTCCCCCAGCAGGTGGGGAACATCCCGGGTCAGTGGCTCAGTATCACCCATCAGAGCGGTAGGACTGTGAAGACTAAAGTTCAGACCTCATCCTCCTGCGACCACCCCACCACCCCATGGCCTCCTGCATGAACACACAGGCTCGTGCTTTGGAGTCTAAAGAAAGCAGGCATTGAGGCTGGAAGCGGTGGCTCATGTAATCCCAGCATGGTGGGAGGCTGAGGTGGCAGATTGCTTGAGCCCAGGAGTTCAAGATTGGCCTGACCAACATGGCGAGATCCCGTCTCAACAAAAGATTGGAAAAACTAGCCAGGCATGGTGGCATGTGCCTGTGGTCCCAGCTACTCAGGAGGCTGAGGCAGGAGGATCTTTTGGGCTTGAGCAACACAGCAAGACACTGTCTCAAAAAAAAAAAAAAAAAAGCAGGCACTGGGCCCTTCAGAAGGCATGCTTCAGAGGCTCCATTACCCCCAGGGAACCACAGGGAAGCTCCTGGGCTGTGTGTGTATCCTGGGCTTTCACAGGGCTGGAGCCAGCTGGGGGGCCACACAGAACAAATTGGTGGCAGGAGGGCCAGTTCCACTCTGAAAGGGCAACAGACCTGTGGCCAGGAGCCTGACATGGCTCTGGCCCCAGGGAGTGATGGCTGGGGTCTCCTCCTGAGCCCAGGTTTAGAAACAGATCACACCAGCTTGGACTGAAACACAGCCTCAAGCCCCAGCCTCAGCCCTCCCAGGACCAGATCTCCCCAGGACCTCTTCAGTCCTCCCTCCCCCAGCCCCAGCTCTAGCCCCAGCCCCAGCTCATGGCCCAGCCCCAGCCCCAGCCCTCCCCAGGGCCTCCCTCAGTCCTCCTTCCCTCACCCCCAAGCCTGTGAGCACTCCTGCAGGCCACTGCATCCACCGAGGCTTCATTTCATCTGTCTCCCTTTCTGGTTAATTTTGAGGATTCCCAGAGATAATGCTTGTAGAAGCAGCGGCAGGGCCTGGAGACACACTACAAACCGCTCACACCTGAGGCCCCCTAGGTGCTCACAGCTACCCCTTAAGGAAGCCCTCAAAAGCCCATTTGTTCAGCTGAGGACACAGAAGCCCAGGAGGTAGCACTCGTCTAAGGCCACACAGTCAATATGTAACAGAGCCAAGATCCAAACTCAAATCTGCTCCAACACCTACATCTGCTGTGCCACACCTCCCTGCCTCCAGGAAGCCTTCCTTGGTTGACTCTCCTTGGCGCCAGCATCCTGCCTATTGGACTACATGTTCAGAGAGGACAGGGACACTCTTACATCCTCAGTACCTCTAGCCTAATGTCAGGTACAGCAAAGGTGCTTAGTTGTGTAGTGGGGGTGATTTGGTGGAGACATAGCCTGAAGTTTATTTTTATCCTTTATTGTATGAGTCCTTTCTCACAGTGCTATAAAGAAATTCCTGAGACTGGGTAATTTATAAATAAAGGAGGTTTGATTGACTTACAATTCCCCATGGCTGGGGAGGCCTCAGGAAACTTACAATCATGGTGGAAGGGGAAGCAGACGCCTTCTTCCAAGGCAGTAGGGAGCATCTGAGAGCAGGGGGGCCGGGCGCGGTGGCTCATGCCTGTAATCCCAGCACTTTGGGAGGCTGAGGCGTGTAGGTCACAAGGTCAGGAGATCGAGACCATCCTGGCTAACACGGTGAAACCCCGTCTCTACTAAAAATACAAAAAAATTAGCCGGGCGTGGTGGTGGGCACCTGTGGTCCCAGCTACTCAGGAAGCTGAGGCAAGAGAATGGCATGAACCCTGGAGGCAGAGCCTGCAGTAAGCCGAGATCACACCACTGCACTCCAGCCTGGGCAACAGAGAGAAACTCCGTCTCAAAAAAAAAAAAAAAAAAAGGGCAGGGAAAGCTGATCTCGAGAACCATCAGATCTCATGAGAACTCACTATCACGAGAACAGCATGGGGCAAACTGCCCCCATAATCCAATCACTTCCCACCAGGTCTCTCCCTAAACACTTGGGATTACAACTCAAGATAAGATTTGGGTGAGGACACAAAGCCTAACCGTATCACTTAGAAATCTTGATGAGTTGATGTTTCCCCACCTCCACCTCACTGAGTCGGTGCCATTTATTACATGTTGTGCGGTGGGGGGTAGGAAGAGTGTTATGGCCTTAACATTTGTGTCCCCTCAAAGTTCATGTGTTGATGTTCTAAACCCCAATGTGATGATATTTGGAGGTGGGGCCATTGGGAGTTGATTATGTCATGAGGGTAGAGCCCCCATGATGGGGTTCACACCTTTATAAAAAGAAGAAAGAGGCCGGGCATGGTGGCTTACACCTGTAATCCCAGCACCAGCACTTTAGGAGGCCGAGGTGGGCGGCTCACCTCAGGTCAGGAGTTTGAGACCAGCCTGACCAACATGGTAAAACCCTGTCTCTACTAAAAATACAAAAATTAAGCAGGTGTGGTGGTGCGCACCTGTGATCCCAGCTACTCAGGAGGCTGAGACAGAAGAATTGCTTGAACCCAAGAGGCAGAGGTTGCAGTGAGCCGGGTTCGCACCACTGCACTCCAGCCTGGGTGACAGAGCAAGACTCCGTCTCAAAAAAAAAAAAAAAAAAAAAGGTGAAAGAGAGACCAGAGCTTACACTCTCTGCCACGTGAGGACACTACAAAAAAGCAGCTGCCTGCCACCTGGGAGGAGCCTCCCAGACACTGAATCCCCCAGCTCCTTGCTCTTGCACTTCCAGCCTGCCGAACTGTGAGAATAATTGTTTGTTGTTTAAGACGCCTGGCAAGTGGTGTTTTGTTAGAACGGCGTGAGCTGAGACAGGGGGATATAACCTAGAACAAACAACCAGCTTTGAGTTCCAAATTCCACATCTTTGTGTCCACAGCAAGACTGTCCTCTTGAAAGTCTGGCTTTGTTGGGATGGAAAAAATTTTCAATGATAAAAGCCACAGCTTGCTATGGGCACTTGCTATAGCGCACAGGCAAGCCTGCCGGCTCTCTCCACCTTAGTCCCCTCTCTGGCTAACAAGGAAGCAGACAGAACTGACAGGGACTCACGCCTCCAGGGGCAGCTCAGCCAGGCACCCAGCTGGTGGGGGTCGGAGGAGAAAGCTCTGCACCGTCTCCCAGAGCCCCTCAGCAGACTTGAGCCCGAGGTACCCACTTAGTAACATGTTCAATACCTCCCCCGGCACTGGCTGCCTTCTCTTCCCCATTTTATGCCCCCATCGGGGTTCCCTGGTCTCCCCTCCCAAATAAACGACCTGAATCAAAATCCTTGTCTCAGGCTCTGCTTCCTTTTACAAAGCAAGAACAGAGCTCAGCGCCTGAGCACACAGCTCCTACAGGCCGAAGGGCAGCTTTCTCGTTAGGAAATCCCTTTGTAAGCAGCAAGTCGGCAACGGGATGGACTGGAGGGACCTGCCTGAGGTTGGACTCACCTGGCCTCTAGGAGTCAATCAGAAAGGTTGAAGGGAGCACGAGAGCCCACGGGCAGGGGTCTGATCCCCGACATGCCCCCCAGGGTGGGGATAGCAGGGCAGAGGAGGGGTCTGGGGTACACAGGTCTGTGAGTGTCCTGGGGGTGGAGGCTGGTGGGGGTGTGGAAAGGTTAAGGGGGACTGAGATAGGGTTGGGGGGTACAGAAGGTGAGGTGCCCAAGACCAGAGACAGGCAGCACTGATGATGCCAGCCTGACACCAAGGATGCCAGCCTGACCACCATGGCAGGGGACCTAAGGGCATGGAGACCAAAAGAAGCCAGAATAGAGAGTAGGGACATCTCCAATGCCTCTGCCACTGTGCAGACACCTGCACCCTAGTTATTACCACTGCATCCTATTAGTGTCCCCCGGGTTCATATGCCAGGCGGGGGACAGAAGGGAAGGAAAGGGAAGGAGATAGGCCTAAAAGACTGTCAGTTCACCCCAAATAGACTGTGTTAGCCCCAAGAAGCAGCTTAAGCTCCAGAAATGACTATGTCACCTTTAATGAAGAATTAGAGGCCAGGCACAGTGGCTCATACCTGTAATCCCAGCACTTTGAGAGGCTGAGGTGGGTGGATCACCTGAGGTCAGGAGTTCAAGACCAGCCTGGCCAACATGGAAAAACCCTGTCTCTACTAAAAACACAAAAATTAGCCGGGTGTGGTGGCCAGCACCTGTAACCCCAGCTACTTGGGAGGCTGAGGTAGGAGAATTGCTTGAACTCGGGAGGAGGTTGCAGTGAGCGAAGATGGCGCCACTGCACTCCAGCCTGGGCGAGAGTGAGACTCCGTCTCAAAAAAAAAAAAGAATTAGAGTTTTCTGCTATGGGGTGTCCAAACTACAGTAAGGTCAGTCATCGGAACAAAGTGAGAGGGCCATTTCTGTGCCCCCCACCACAGGCAGTCAGGCTCCAAGGAAGGGGACTGCTCAGATGCTGGATGAGGACAGCCTCTGCTTCCCTCCCACCTTTGGAGTCCATGTCTCGGGGCCAGAAGTGCCCAGAGAACAACCCCCACCTCCATCTGAGGGATGGGGATGTCAGGCCTTGACCTCCCCAGGCCTGAGCACAGAGACAGGAACAGAGGCCTTTGGCAGTAACCCAGCATGGCAGGCTGGGCTCCCCACGGGGTGGGGTTGGGGCAACCTGTCACCAGCCGGAGATTCTCAATCAGCCGCTGCTCAGGATTCCTGCTGGGAGACCGGCCTGGCTCACAGCTGCCTCCTGATAACTGGGCTTGTCTGCAGCCTCGGCCTGCTCACCAGGGGTAGAGAAAGTGATTCTCCCCCTTGGGCAAGGGCAAGGGGATGAAGGCCCATGAACTGATAAACTCTGGGCCCTCTGAGCTGTGGCTTGCATGGCTGGGGCATCTGTCACGGCCCCTCCTTCCCTCCACCGAATCACTGGGGCCTGAGAACCACCCAGGACCCCGCTGCTCACATGCTCCTCTCCCAGACCCTCCCTCCGCATCCTCAGGCTTCCCCGCCACCACTTCTGCCCACATACCTCTCGTAAGGGCACAGAAGGCCTCCGTGTGGCTAAATCCAAGGTAGGCCTCAGGCTCCTCCTTAACCTCAGCAGCATTCAGCACAGATCACCCCCTCCCCTTCCAACCCTCACCCTGCCCTTCCGGTCTTCCACCTTCATCCGGGCATCTCAGCCTCCCCCGTGCTTCCTGATCAGCTCCTGGACCTCCCGACACTGGCCTTCCCTGGACTCTGTCCTCACACCTCCTCCGTCTACTCTGCTCCCTTGGAGGCTGCATCCAGGCTCAGGCACCCCTGGCATGGACCTCTCTGCTGACTCCAAATTCACACAGTCAACTGTCCTCCCTACGTCTCTGCTCGGATGCTCAAAAGCAACTTAAATGTAGCCGATCCAAACCCCATTCCCGCTCTTCCTGTGGAAAAGCTGCCCCTCACAGCCACCCTGCCAGGGAAGCTGGCAGCTCTGACCTTCCAGTCGCCAGGCCAGACCTCAGAGGCATGCTTGACTCCTCTCTTTCCTTCCCAGCCCATCTATCTGCAAACCCAGTGGGCTCTGGGACATCAGAATCCACCCGGAAGCTGACCGCTCTCTATTGCTGCCCCCCACCTTGCAAACCTGGCTGACTGCAACAGCTCTCAACAAGGGGACTCCTGGCTCCCACACTGCTGTCCCCCTCTCCATGGATTATTCTTAATTTAGCAGCCAAACGTGATTGTTTGAAAACATCAGACAGACAGTGTCATTCTTCTGCTCGAAACCCTCCAGTGATTTCCCACTGCCCACTGCCTCCCCTCCCCCGCCCGCACCTGCTCCAGCCACACTCCTGCCCCCACACTTTGCTCCTGCACTTGCCCTCAGCCCGAAATGTTCTACCACCCGATGTCTGCTCCACCTTCAGGTCTTAGCTCGGACGTCATCTCCTCAGTGAGGCCTCTTGACCACCCTCTTTGACATCATGAGCCCCCTCCCCAGCCCTTCCCATCCCCCTTCTCCAGAGCACAAATATCATCTGACATATTTTTCTCCCGGTCTGTTCCCTCCTGACCCTGCCAGTAGAATGGACAACGAGGTGTGCCTGGGATTTGTCTTTTTCACTACGCCCTACCCAGTGTCTACTTGAAAACGGGTCCAGGCACGTAATCGGCGTTCAATGAATACTGAATGAATGATGGTCCGTTCCCATGGCAGGGTCTCCCTGAGACACAGATTAAGGCACTTGCCTGTTAAGGCAACTCTGCTCTGTTTGTCTCCAGAGTTTTGCTCTGGGGGGCAAGTAGTCTGGTAGTTAAGAGCCGTCTTGGTGGCAGACAGACCACAGTCCCGGGCCTGACTTTTAGGCTCTGAGGCTTCCTAGGCAGGTTGCTTAGATCCCTGAGCCTCAGACCCCTCACCTACAAAACGAGGCAAACAAAAGCAGCCTCAGAGAGCAGTTGTACCGACGAAAGGAGCTCAGGCACCCGGAGCGCTCTGGGTATTATTACTCTTATCAATATCTAAGGCCAGGCCTCCACTCACATGTGATGCACGTCCTCAGTGGGTCTCAGGAGCCATTCGCGGCGCCCCCGACCCTCCCTCGCTCTGTTGTCGGAGGCATGGGAGATGAGCTGGTGACTGATGTGATAATTTCACTGAAGTAGCAAAGTCAGTCGTTTTCTCCGTGACGTGATTTAACGGGCTCCATTCGATCTCCCAGGTCCCTTTTAGCTGAGCGATCTGTAGGTCTAGGATCTAACAGGCCCACGGAGATCCCAGATGCCAGCTCCAGCACCAGAGGAGACTCCTCAGTAAGAACCACTGGCCTCAAATCGTTTGGAGCGAGGATATAAGGAACCATCACCAAAAATGCCACCGGAGGGCTGTTCCAGATGCTTTCTGTGGTTCTGGTACCTTGAACTCTGTGACACATCATCCCCTCTGTTCTAGAGATATGGAAATGGAGGGACGTGCTGGGAGCCACGGAGGGACGTGCTGGGAGCCACACAGACGCGTTTTGGTGGTGCTGGACTTGATCACAGGCCTGCCAGACCCTAGAGTCCAGGCTTACTCCTTGTCCCAGGCAGCCTCGACTCACTGGTCTCTGTCTCAGGAAGTCTTGGTTGACATTTGATTGATGAGATAAACACACCCCCTGGGAGTCCCATCCAGAGAGAGTATTTATTCAATAACCCACTTGTGCAATAAAAATGGAACTAGCGTACTTTATTCTCTTCCAAGAGAGGTGGACAGGGCAGTGATGGTTCTTTTGATACAAAATGGGATCCTGAGGCCCAAAGGAGGTGGACATGTCTGAGCCGTAGTCAGTGTAGGAGCCAGACCTTCAGGTGTACTGGTTCCTCTGGACCAGCTTCCTTTCTCCCCTTCCTGGGGACCCACACTGGCTACCTCCCTCTGGGAATAGCCAACCTCTGTCCACCCTCCACCTGAGCACGGGCTGCTCCTCTATCCCCCTTCCTCCTCCGCAGCACCCTCGATCTCCCCAAGCCTTCGCTCGCTGGTGTTTATGCTTGCCTTCCCCGCTACAACATGCACTTCCTGTGGGCATGGACGGCTGCAGTCTTGTCCACATAGCCCAGTGCCCAGCAAATAGCAGGAACTCAAGGGGTTTGCAAAACGAATGAATGAATGACTTCTCTAGTGGGCGAGAACCTATCATGAGGTTAGAACCCGGCTGGAATGTCCACTCCTTGGTGGCTTTTCCACTGGGTTCCCAGAACTTCAGTGGAAAGATCTCAATGCAAGTACCGGTGGGTGGTGGGTAGACAGATGACAGAGAGGTAGAGGGTGGAGAGATGGAGGAAACACTTCCCTTTTGGGTGGCGGCTTTTGGTTTTGATTTTCTTTCCTGCAAGCAGCTCTAGAAATCTGAGGACGAACTGCGACAGAAGAGAGGAGCCAGGGCCAGAGGCAGCCCCACCCGCCCATCCCACCTGCAGCCTGGGCTCTGCTCCTGCAGCTGATGGACCTCACCTGAAGCCCACCCTGTCCTCCCTCTGACCCCAAGTCCTGGGACATGGCTGCCAGCCTGCAGAGAAGCCCCTCATCTTCCCCTCGCTTCTGGCTTGCACTGTTAGACACCAAGGCCTTCTGCCCCCATGCTACTCCAGACCTGGGGTGAACCAGTCTTTTTTCCAAAACATATTCACAAAAGAAGCTCCCAGAGCCCCTTCTGGAGCAGAAGTGAGCTTTCTTCTATAGCAGAAATGGTCATATCTGTGCCGTCTCATCCTTCACCACTCACCACTCAAGCCACATCTGAAATGTGGCTACGGTGACTGAGAGATTGAATGTTTGATTTTTCATTAATTTGAAAATTAATTAGCCACCTGTGGCTAATGGTGACCAGATTGGACTGTGAAGTTCTAGAGCTGATTCCCGTAGCAGCTCCACCCTCCCACCAAGCCTAAGAGTGGCTCCTGGGTCCCGAATAAACCCTCTCTACCAATAGCTGCTCTCTCTATCTCTTTCCCATCATGCTTTAAAAAACCACAACAAAACCTCAATCCAAGTCCAGATGTAACTCTTGTCTTTTATTCCAGCATCTCCCAGAGCTCCAATATGTACAGACTTTATTTATACACATATAATATACACCATATATACTTATTTATAGATATTCACACACCAGCCCACACACTCGCACACACTCACACGCACACACCCTTCCAGGAGGGGCGTGTGGCTGCCTTGGAGTCCCGCTAGGGCCCAAACAAGTGATACTGGGCTTGCCAGGCAGTTGTGAGGTTTTGTGTTTTTTGCTTTTAAAAAGAAGGCCATTTCCTCCAGATGTGTCCTCCCTCTCCCCAAGCCCTAAAACTCCTCCCCAAAACACTCTGAAAAAAATTTTTTTAAAACAAGAGGTTTTCCTTTGCTCTGCCCAAGTAGTTTCTGGAGAGTCCAGGCCCATCCACAAGTCCCGTGCAGGTCCTAGAGCACGAGAGCCGGGCGTGGCCTTGGTCAGGCCTGCAGCTGTGCCCTCTGAGGGGAGAGGGGAGGCGCTATAGCATCAAGGGCACCTGCCAGATGAGGAGGGTGCTGTCCGTCTCCCCACACGGGGCCTGCCTCCCACTGCTGCCCAGAGCGCTGCCAAAGTTGCGGTAGCCCTGCCCGCCGGAGATGATGGCCACAGAGCAAATCTCCTTGCGGTGGGCGTCGCGGGCGCAGGGCCGGCTGCGCACCCAGATGTCGGGGTCGTCGGCCATCTCGTAAATGGAGCCGTCCTCCTCGCTGTGCTCCAAAGCTGCGCCATCAGCAGGCGCCGGCTCCCGCATGGAGAGCAGCGGGCCCGGGAGGTGTGCGGTGGAGCGCAGGCGGTACTGCAAGAGGATGCCCTTCTTGCGGGTCAGCTCTCGGCCCACGTGGCTATCGGGCATGGGCTCGTGTGCCTGCCCGTCTGGCTTGTCCTCCTCAGCCCGGGGCCCCTCAGCCTCCTCCTGGTCACTCCGCAGGATGTCAGGGGCCAGGATGCTGGTAGCCACAGCCAGGAAGGCCACAGGCCCACAGTGCCCGTTGAGTGAGACCATGCCTTTCCCTGCAGAAAATGGGGCGAGAGAGAAAGGGGCCCAAAGGCCCAGCGCATTAAGGGAAGCACCTGAGTCTCTCTCCTGGAGAACATTCTGGGTGGGTATTTGGGGGGGTCACTTCTGTCTATGTTGGCACCTCCCCCGAAGGCCACAGGCTCTGGCTATCCCGTGCTCCTGCACAACTTCCTCAGGGGAGTGGAACAGAAACCACCTTATACACCACACGGGGGAGCCTCAGTGTGAAATTCCAAGAATTTCCTGAGCCTTTGCCAAGCAGCTCCTCTGCCTAGAAATCCTTTCCTGTCTACTTGATTCTGCAACTCTTTCAGCAAGGCCCAGCTCACACTCCTCACTGTGAATCCCTCCTGAATTCATGCATGGGGAGCTGCTCGCCCCAGTCTCTGTGTCCCCAGCCCCCGGAGCACCCTCATCCCAGCACCTGTCACCCGAGCTATGATGACCCCCAGGAGACCATCAGCTTGTTGAGAGCAGGGTCTCTGCCCGATTTCATCCCTGCATCCCAGGATTCTACCTGGAAATAGACCCTCCACAAATGCCCCCTGGATGGACAAAATGCCCTATTTGATGAAACCTTGAAAATAGAAAATCTCAGAATTTAGAAGCAACTTTTTTTTTTTTTTTTGAGATGGTGTCTCACTCTGTCCCCCAGGCTGGAGTGCAATGGCGCAATCTCGGCTCACTGCAACCTCCACCTCCCGGGTTCAAGAAATTCTCTTGCCTCAGCTTCCCAAGTAACTGGGATTACAGGCGCACACCGCCATGCCCAGCTAATTTTTTATTTTTATTTTTTTTTATTTTTTAGTAGAGATGGGGTTTCACTGTGTTGCCCAGGCTGGTCTCAAACTCCTGAGCTCAGGCAATCCACCCACCTCGGCCTCCCAAAGTGCTAGGATTACAGGTGTGAGCCACCGCGCCCAGCCAAAGCAATTCTTCTTTATCAGAAGGACTTGAGGTCTGCGCAGGGAGCCAGCCCACCCCCAGGGCTTCCTATTGGCCCTGCTCCCTTGCTGGAAAAGACCACAGTCATCATTCTCAGGGTGGTGGAGGGGGACCCGGAGCTCCAGGCATCCAAGTGTGGGGGTCTTCTCTGATCCTGCCCTTGTTGTCCTGGGCCCAGTAGTGCAGATCAGAGCAGACCTTCCTCTGATCTATGTGAACACATTCATTTGCACATGGACCCCACGAGCAGGCCGGGCCTGGCCCCAGAAGCACTCAGTTATTTCTTTCTCTGGAGCCTGGACATCTTGAAACTGCTATGGGAAGCAGCAGAAAGGGCCAGTGGAGCCCCTGCCATTAGGCAGGTGTCTCAGCCAGGCCCCAAGCCACTCTTGTGTCCATCTGCCAGATTAGGAAACTGACACTCAGAAAGGTGGGAGACTGGGGCCAGGACGATTCAGTTCTACTGGCCACCATGCCACCTGAGATGAGAGGAAGCTGGAGACTGGAACCCCATCCCTATACCAATGAGGGCATAATACACCCTCCCCGCCAAGCCCCACTGGCCACCTGCAGCTGACCCCCTGGTCCTGCCAACACCAGCTCCCAAAGCCTCACCTGTGATCTTGGGGATGCCTTCCAGCCGAGGCACGGGCAGCAGGACGATGACACCCTGGTCAGTGCCCACCCAGAGCAGACCCTGGCAGATCAGGAGGCTGGTGACACACAAGTGCTTCTGGCCTGCAGAAAGAGAGGGCGGCTGAGCAGTGCCCTCCTGGGGAGACAGCATGGGCTCTGGGTACCACCACGAGATGAGGGCCTGGCACAGCGGGCTCCTCCCCTGAAACCAGCAAGAAGTTGGGCGGTGGGGTGGGGAAGAGCTGGGGCTTTGGAGGCTGACCTGCCTGGGGTCTGGCCACGAGGTCCTGCAGCTGAGCACTCCCCTAACCAGCCTCAGTTTCCGCCTGTGTAAAGTGGGGCTGCCATACGGATGCATTGGGGGAACACCACAGGCACAGCGCCTGGTCTGTGTGCGCTCTCAATACACGGCGGCCAGGTCATCCGGCACAAAGGGTTGTCCAAGGGCAATCCATGCAGGGATCCAGCCAGCCAGCTACGAGCAAAACCAGGGAAGACTGGGGAGGTGCAAGCTTCTCATCGGTGTTGGTGCAGATGGAAGGCATAAGTAGGGCCGGGTGGGGCTCGAGAGGCATCGAGGTGGCTCTGCTGCAGCCCCTCAGGGCCTGCCCGTGTGGGTGCTTCTTCAGATGAGGTCACAGCACACCCTGCAGGCCCTGGGCCCAAGAGTGAAGCACAAAACTCGCTGGTGGGAAGCAGCATGTTTCTGATGCCAGTCCAGATTCATTCTTTTTAGCTCTCCCCTCAGCTCTGTCTCTTCATTTTAGCAAGAATAGCAATGTCAGAGAGGGCGTGGGGGCAGGCCCCTGCTCCTAACAGAGAGGATGCCAGGTGTGGGCTGCCCAGCACGGTGGCTGAGAACAGGGCTCCAGAGCCAGGTGCGGGATTCACACCTTGGCTCTGCCACTCTCCAGCTACATGACCTGGGGCCCATCCTAAACTCCTCTGGGCCATGGTGTCCTCACTTGTAAAAGGGGCCAAGGATAATACAGTCACATGTCACATAATGACCTTTCAGTCAACAACAGACCATGTATACAATGGCAGTCCTATAGGACCGTATTTTTACTGTCCCTTTTTGATGTTTGGAACACAGATACTCTCCATTGGGTTAAATGAATGAACGTAAAACAACCCCGTGCCTGCACATGGCAAAATGGGCGCTACCTGCTGTCATCGCTGCTGCTGCACTGTTGCCAACAATTCTAGCAATGGGAATGGGCACAAGGGAGAGGCTGGGAGTGCAGGGGGCAGGAGGCTTTCTGAGGGGGCTGAGAGGCGTGGGGTACAGGCTGCCGGCTCAGGGACAGACCCTCCACCATGTCACACACAGGGTGGACGGCGCTGCCACACTTCCTTAGGCTTCACTGGGCAGCTGCCTTTCTAAAGGGCTGTCTCCTTCTTGCCCTGATCCTGCTGCCCTCTGGGAGAGGCTTAGGCTGCATTCCAGAAGGTTTCCACTTTCTGCTGCTTCTGGTCCATGGATCACATTTGAAAAAACACAGCTTTGGAGTTTCCAAAGCACTCGTATACCTGCTCTCATCTGACACAAGGCTTGCAACAGCCAAGACGTATGCAAGACACAAATGCCGGCCCCATTTTCCAGGCACGGATGTTAAGGCTCAAAGAGGTCCCCCACCTGGTGAGTGCAGGGTGGGGTGGAGTTGAGGTCTGCTGCTCACCACTGCCCAGTGCTTCCATCACCTCTCCCTCCTTGGGCATGACACTTCAACTCCATACATGTGGGTGTATGTGCTTCCTCTGCAGTGCAGGCACAGAGAGAAATGGTGTGGCTCTCTCACCCCAAAAGGCAGGTTACCGACTCGGGGTACACCCAGCATTGCCTAACACAGTGTGCCATCCCATCACCAATCCATTTACCTCCCAGATGCCTACTGCATGGCAGACCCCACACTAGGTGCTGGGGGCACAGCTGGGACCATGTACATAGAGTCCTGTCTTAAGGAGCAGACACTCTAGAACTTTCTTTGATGATGGACATGTTCCCTACCGTGCTGTCCAATTTGACAGCCATCAGCCACATGTGGCTTCCGAGCACTGGAAATATAGCTAGTGGCACTGAGGGACTGAATGTGTTATTTTCTTTCATTGTAATAATGGCTACTGTATTAGACACAGAGGTGTAGAGAGGAGATACAGGAAACAAAAACAGAAACAAGGGATGTAAACACCAGGCAGAGGATTGAAACAGGGCGACAGGGCAGAGCCAGTGGAGGATTCCCGGGTCTTCAGGCCTCCCTCTACTTCCTGGAAGGATAGGGAGGCAGGCGTGAGGCTGCTGGGTGACAAGGCGGAGGTGGCCACACCAAGACCTGAGCCAAGGCCCAGGAGACAGGGCATGCAAAGGCCCTGTGACAGGAATGAGCTCATCCAGTCCGCCGAGCAGAGTGAAGCCAGTGCACCTGGGGCACAGAAGGCAGACTCCAGATGGTCAGAAGAGGGGATGGGTCAGGGCCAGGACTGGGGCTCATAATTCTGGCTGCAGTGAAAAGCTACCGGAAGGCCTAGGCAGGGGAGTAGCGTGACGTGATTTGAGTGGAACGTTCTAGCTACAGTTGTGGAGGGTGGGAGTGGGAGGAGCAAGGAGCCCAGCAGGGGCTCCCGCAGCTGCCCAGGTGGGAAGGGCGGCGGCAGTGAGGTGAGGAGAGCCCAACCTGTTTTAGACCTGTTTGGAGCAGAGCGACAGAGCTGCTGGGAGAGGGGAGCAGAGGTGGAGCAGAGGAAGGAACCCAGGATAGCACTGAGGCTCCTCTGCCTGGAGCAGCTGGGTGCATAGCAGTGCCATGGCCTGGGATGGCAAAGGAGCCGGTTTGGGGGTTGAAGCCCAGAGCTCCTGGTTGGATGTGTGGTCTGAGACACAAATTAGACACACCCGAATGGAGCTATCAAGCAGGCGGTGGGATTCGAGTCTGGCAACATGATGCAAACTCAAAAAATCACATTCATAGCGTCCCTGCAATGTGGAAATGCAAACTAGGCTGAAAAAAAAAGCCCACTAGTGACTTACAGCCTTGGCCAACAGGGGCTATTTCACAAACAGTACCTGGGTGTCTGTGGAGCTGGGACTATTTCCCACACCTAAATCCATTCCAAAAGTGAAGGCTCAGAACTATGATGGCAGCCTCCGGTCCAGGGTCAGGCCCCCAGCCCTCCTGGAGTTGGCCAACATGGGAGGCTCAGGCCATGAGCCCCTTTCAACAGCTGACTTCTCTTCTTAGCCCTGGTCAAGGTCTGTGATGACCTTATTTTGCTATTTGTTTACTTATGACAAGCTTTGTGAGGGCAGTGACTTATCTGTGTGCTCATGGTTAACTCCCCAACTCCTGGCCAAGTACCTTGGCTCATGGTAGACTCTCAAGAAGTATCTGTGAGTGAATGAGTAAATGGATGGATGGATGGACAGATGGATGGATGAAGGAAAGGAGAAAACTTGGACAAATCATTTCTCTCATCCATCAATGAGTACTACAAACCTGCCTTGCTCAATTTTATAATTATTAGAAATATTAAATATATACACACATATATATATACATATAATATATATACACAATTGAGCACAGCTCTTAGCCCATAGTATACAATCAATAAATAGAGGCTATTAGGATAATGTTTATGATTATTAAAAGGATCTGGACGCTAATGTCTTAAGATCAGCTCCATCAGAGCCATAAACCCACAAGAACAATTAAGCCAAGAGAGGGGACAGTGGTGAATTTTTCATTCCACAAGCCTCATCGCCTCCCTCTCCAAGACCCCCAGGGCATGGAGACCGGCAGGAGACCATTTCCTGCTGCCCCTGCATCCTCCCAGCCCCCACTGGACGGCAAAACCGACAAATGGGAGGAAGGCAAGCAAGAAACCGAAAGAGATGCCGGAATTGAGAAATGGCTTCATCTGCAGACCTCATTCTGGGGCCTTCCCCCTCCCCCTCCACCTCAAGGAAAAGAGCAAGACACTTCACAAACAGTCCGAAAGAAAAAAAAAATTCTAATGGTGAATAAATATTTTATCACAGAGACTTAATGCGGCAGTGTTCAACTCACCCAAGCCATCTATCTGGAGATATACAACTTTAAAAAGCTCAGGCTCTTGGAGAACATTTTATTAATGACCTGTCTGGTTAAAAGGAGGAGGGAGTTTAGGTTAAAAAATGCATTAATACCAGTCGAGTATGCGAGTGGAAGAAAGGGGTCAGGGGAAGGAAGTGCAATAAATTGTTAACACACACTAAAAAAATCCACACTTAGTGTAGGAACAAATTTATTACTAATTATGCAATTATTTCATTTGCTGGTGTGGGGGAAGAAAAAAATACTTAAAAGCCTTTTAAAAATATCTCTAATAAAGAACTTAAGAATCCTGCTGTGTTGCGCTTCTGCAAAGGCACAACGTGGGGTGGATCTGCAGCTGCCCCCCACGCTCTGGTCCCCAGCATGGTGGCTGGGGCTGGCTCTGGCTCAGCTTGGAGCTCAGGGAGCCACTCTCAGATATGAGGGGTCAGGAGGAACTGGTCTGGCAGGGCCCCAGGCTCCACTGGGTTACTGATTGGGAAAGTTCAGGCCTGAGGGAAGAGGGAACCTTCGGGAAACCCCACACTCTGGAACCTCGGCCTACATCCAGCCTTCTCCAGGGTTCAGCCTCAGGGAGGTCTGCCAAAAGAGCGGTCACCTCTGTCTGCACTGATGCAGCTGATGCGACAGGAATGGCACACTGACCTGGAGGGTCTTAGGAGGGGCAAGGAGCCCTCGCAGGAGATGCAGGGCGGGTATGCCGTAAAGACGATGACGGCAAAATGTCACCATCATGGACCGCTGCTGGCTTGAGACGGGGACTGTGGGCACTGTCCTCACACTGTCTCACACAACACCTACACCTGCCCTGCGGGGTAGGGACCGAGGATGGGAAGCTGGTGCTCTGAGTGCTCCCAGTCAGAGCTGGAAGACAGGGGAGGGATTCCAGGAGGAATTCTGGCTCCAGGCTCTGGTGTACCCCACCCAGCATGGCCAAGCTGACTCAAATCTCAGCCCTTTGTTATATGAATGGGGAAACTGAGGCCCAGGACAGGGACACAACCGCCCAAGGCTACACAGTAAGTGTGAGGAAGCTCTAACGAGAGTCCGTGGGGCTGCTCCTGGCTCTGTCCATATCAGCACTGCGATAGCAGACCAGTCATTTCACCTCCTGAGCCCCAGTTTACCTGGCCCTCAAATCATCATCATAACAACGAATGCCCTTCCTTCCTTAAAGGGTAACTGCAAAGAGTAAGTAAGACAACGGGCGTGAAGGTGCATGTGAAACACAGTAAAGTCAGGGTTGTACAGGCAGGAGTGGCTGTTCTAACTACAGCCAGGTCTGTCCACACATCCTGCCTCCCACCACTTGATCAGCTTGACTCTCTCTCACTCTCCTCTGCGCAGACAAGACGAGATTCCAAAGATTTTTAAAAGCCCATGAGATTATCCATTTCTTCATTGTTCCACTAACTTGAAATAATTTAGCTATCAGAGGAAATGTGGAGATAGTTTTGTGATACAGAGACATTTTTATCGTAGTTAAAATGGATTGAACCTGTATAATGGCTAAATACTATGAAACAAGAAAGGGAGGAAGGAGGGAGGGAGGAAGGAGGGAGGGAGGGAAGAAGAGAGGGAGGGAGGGAAGGAGGGAGGGAGGGAAGAAGAGAGGGAGGGAAGGAGGGAGGGAGGGAAGAAGAGAGGGAGGGAGGGAGGCAGGGAGGGAGAGAGGGAGGTAGGGGAAGGAGGCAGGGAGGGAGGGAGAGAGGGGGAAGGAGGCAACCCAAACACAGGTCCCATCAAGCCTCTCACACACCCCAGGAGAACGTGAGTGAAGGGTTCAGTCTCATCGGGCACCTGCCACCCTGCCGGCCCAGGACAGCCACCTTCCCAGCCCACCAGCATTTATCCTCATAACAGTCCCTGAGCTGGGACCTACATCCCATCTTACAGAGGGATGAGGGGCTCCGGGAGATTAAGGGACTTGTCTGATACTGTGTGTTGGCCAAGCCAGGCCTCAAGCCAACTCTCTTTCTCCATTACATACAGTAGGATGCTGGACTGAGTCCGGCCTGATGTGACTGTGGTCCTGCCTCTGGTCTACTGCATGACCACGAGCAAGACGCCCGGCCTGCTGAACCAATCTCAGTGTCTGCATCTGTAATGTGGGGATAATCCCCAGCTCGCAGGGTTAGGGTGAAATGAGATCCTGCACATAAGCACTTGGGGCCTCATCACCTCAGGCCCGGGCAGGGTGGCAGTTATTACACCATTGTGACTGCCGTGGACTGTGTTGTTAGTAACCACCATCCCCGTGTGATCAGTTCAGACTCAAGGACCATCGTGACTGGCTAGAGGGAAGCAGAAACCAGGGTGATTTCCAGGGCCTCGGGAGGGAGTTAGGGACCGGGCCCCTGGGGTAGGCAGAGGTCCCTAAGGCTCCTGCAGTGCTGGCTAACATGCCTGCCCTCAGTATGGCCCCAGAAGACAGGATGCTCAACCCTGCTGGGCATATGGCCACTCCCAGCCTCTGCCATGGCCCATCTGCCAGGTCCTGTGACAATCAGCTCCAGGCCCCCACCTGCCACACGGGCTGTGTTTCCCTGGCCCGAGGGCCCTTTGGCTCTCCCAGCTGCTGAACCCAGCCCTGCCTGGGGCACTGGGACAAGACAGAGCCACTGCACCCTCCCACACTGGCCGCAGGTCAGTCTCTCTGGGGGAAGCTGGGCCAAGGAGGGAAGCAAGGTTAGCTGATGCCTGCTGGCCCCGTGGTCTGCTCTGAAGCCAGCTGGGGTGAGGATGGGCATGGTGCCTGCATCTTGAGCAGCAGATGGCAACGAAAGGCTGAGAGCCAATTCCATGGAGGCCTTGGGGGGCATTTGGTGAGCTCCAGCCTTAATCCTTCGCCGCCATTCCCCTCCACCACCAATCCTGTCCACTTCATCTACACACAGCTACGCAGGAGGGGCCCCAGCCACAGCAGATGCCATCCAAACCCACAGACTAGAAGGCCCAAGAGGGGAATTTGCCTTTCTCAGAAAAAACTCCAAGGACAGAGACCACCCGTTGGCTTTCTCACTTTCCCATCACCTCATCCTGCAGGGCATTTGAGGCAGAATTGGGTGTTTGGTCAACCTGGGCAGTGGGGCAGAATGAAAGGCCTGGGTTCCTGCCCAGCTTGGCCTTTCCTTAGCAGCTGCCTGACTTTGGAGGGTCCAGTGGGCTGGGGGCCATTTCCTGAGCGCCCCAGGCTGCTGTGATGCGGTGGCTGGGCACAGTGACAGGCAGGGGCTTTGAGATGACAGTCCTAGGTGTGAATCCCAACCCCACCACTTCCTGGGGAGTGCCCCAAATTAAAGCCCCAGTTTTCAGGGCTGATGAGGGAAAATGGGATGGGCTGCCCAGGTCACACCACTACCTGGCCGTGGAAGGTGCTCTGTGACTGTCCGCTCCCCCGTGCCCGAGGCAGCCTCACCTGGCAGGAGGAAGGTGGTCCTGGTGGCGATGTTGATCTCTTGCAGATGCTCCAGGGTCTCAGTGTGGAAGAGGCGGATGGAGGTGCCGGAGGAGAAGGCCATCCAGACGCCGCTGCCCGCCTTCACCATGTGTGTCACGCTCACTGCCTCGTCCTGGTGCGCCTCGAAGCTTTGCTGTGGCACAAAGGGAGGAGTGTCGATACTGGCTGGGCCTGCCAGCTGAGCCTCCCTACAAGCCCCCACCCCTGGGCCAGCCATTCTCACATTCTTCAAAAGCTCAAGCTACTCAGGGAACATTAGAAGCCCAGCTATGAGGTTGGCCAAAGTTTAACAACTGGAATCTTAGAAGCCCAGCTGTGCTGTGTTGGCCAAAGTTTAACAACTGGCAGGGAATCCTGGTTTGCAGCGTTTGCCAATTTCCATGGTGTAAACATTCTAACGTGGCCAGTTGCAAACTACCAGCATGATATCACCGAGTGAGGAGCAGGAAAGACATGCACACGCTCACTCACGAGCAGACAGGACCAGGCATGGTCCCAGTGGCCCCTCAGAGCTTTACCTTACGGAAGGGAAAGATGGAGCCGAAAATCATGAAAGAAGTTGTGGTTTATGTAAATGATTTAAAGTGACAAAGGCAACCGAGAGAATGACCGGGGAAGGAACGGGGGTAATATGGGCCAAATCCTCATCATTCACAGCAAGGAGACAACAGGTGATGTCCCAAAATTGATACATCAAGAAGCAGCAGAGTGAACAAGTTTGGGTCCTGAGGAAAGTGCCAGGTGGATTAAAAAAAGAACAGGTGAAAAGCATTCTCTTCCAAAAAGCAGGACTGAGATGTGGAGTGTGGACGAGCCTTTCAGGATAAACCACTCCATGCTTTTTTTTTTTTTCTTGCAAGTATATGTACCATTTTGATCTTAAAACAAATAAAAACTTTTTTAAAAAAGAAGATACAAATGATCAAGCTTCCCATCCACTGCAGGAGAAAGTCCAAGTTCCTTAGCTCAGCATTCGGGGCCCCAGTGCTGCCCCCACTCCTGCCCTTCCTTGTGGGCTCCCTACGTTTCAGGCCAGCCAATGCTCAAGATGTACCACACAGCCGCACCCCTGCCCTGGCCATGACTTGCACACAGCACGCACTGCCCCCCCGAACTGTCCTCCTCCAACATCTGAAGACTCCACTTCAGAGTGGCGTCCTCAGTCCAGGAGGCAGGCCCCACCCCGCCACGGACCAGCCACTTCCTTCTGAATGGCGTGCTCTGCTGTCTAGCCTGGAATACCTACACCATTCTGTGGTTCTACTTGGCCACTTCCCACATAAGACTGTGGACTCCAAGGACAGAGCCTGGGCCTCATGCCCTTTAGTGCCTGTCACCTGCTTGGCACAGGGCCCAGCACAGTAAAATTTGGTCAAAAAAATGAATGGATGGACACTTGAATTCTATCTACAACACTCAGATGTCACTAACTCAGGCACAGCAGACTAGAAACAACCCAAATCCCCAAGCCATGGGGACAGTCAGGTAACTCTGTGTATCCAGCTCTGTACTGTCCTCCCTGCATTTAAACTCACACTTACAGACACTGCATGACAGACACAGAAAAATGTGAATGCTACAGAAAATGCAAAAAAAAAAGAAAGAAAGAAAGAAAGAAAGAAAGAAAAAAAACAAAACAAAACAAACACACCAAAAGCTGGGGGAAGAAGCGGGACAGGGGAGGAAGAGCTGCACCCTGAGGCTTACTCCAGGAGCAGGACGGGATGATTTTCCTCTTTTCCAGTTTTCTGGCTTTTCTCCTTTTTCCATAAAGAATTTGTCCTGGGAGGAAGCCCAAGACTGCAGGAGGATCCTGGACGGGGCATTTATTTGAGATCCAACCTGCTATTAAATCTGACTTCCTTGGCAGCTTCACAGGCCCAGGCCTCAGTTTCCTCAATTGTAAGTACACGCTGCTATGAGGATTACAGGTACCTGGGTGAGGAGAGCTTGGCACAGGCCCAGTGCCTAGTAGGGTCTCATTTATTCAGCAGATGTTCTTGAGTCCCTACTATGTGTCTGGTGTGGGTGTAAGTGCTGGAAATGTCGTGATGACTGCAAGACCCACTCTTGTGGGGCAAACGTTCTCAGGACAGGAGGCAATTAAAACAAAGAAAGATTACATCAGATAGTGAGAAGCACTGCACAGAAAAAATACTGAAAGCCATTAAGACTGGGGTCAGGGAAGGTGTCTCTAGGAGGTGACATTTAGTGAGAGACCTGAATAATGGGGAGGAAACAGCCCCTCAATGATTGGGAGGAGGGGGAAGAGCATTCTAGGCAAAGGGCACAGCAGTGCAAAGGCCCGGAGGCAGGAATGAGAAGCAGAGGGACCCGTGGTGGGGGGCACAGCAATGGGACAGGCCAGAGCAGGTAGGGCCAGATTGCACCAGGCCACCTTGGAATCCATGGGGAACAGTTTAGATTTTATTTGCCCACTGGAGGGGGTTGAGCTGGTAAGTGACAGAGTCAGTTTTACTTTTAAAGAAGCTCAGTCTGACAACAGTGTGGGGAAGGCTGGCTTCTTTGTCCAGCCCCCGAAGACCTCGCGTGGGCTTAGCAAGTGGAGAGGGAGGAACAGGACTCAGCTTCTTTTGCCCTGGAGGATGGCCCCAGCTCCTTCCCAGCTCAAATCACTAAGCGGTTTCCCACTGAGTTAAGGAAGCTTGTGAGGGGCGGGGGTCTCCATGCGGAGCTAAGCCAGTGAGCTCCGGGCTCATTCCTGATCAGAGTGTGGGGACCAGGAGGGCAAGACTGTGAGCTGTCCAAGGAAATTGCTTTTTCTGAGCCAGTCCCTGATGGCTGAGCTGCGAGTAGCAAGGGAGGCAGGGGTAGCAGGAAAGGCCAGGCTCCCCAGAGGAGGGGAGGGGAGGGGAGAAGAGACAGCAGTGTGGTTCCTCTCCCCAGGGTCAGGCTGCTCTTGGAACAGGGGTTCTACTGCACAGCCCACCCCTGACCAGGGGGATGCCCCCAGAGCAGAAGCTGTAGTTTCCTCAGACCGAAAGTTCACCAAAGGCAGGGGTGCGGTGTCTCCATTGGGTGGGGGCCCCCCAAGAGCAAGGACAGAATCTTGTATCAAGCTGGGCATGCTCAGAGGAAGCGAACTGTCTCCTGTCTCAGATTGGGGGCTCAGGCTAAGGGCTCCAGAGGTATCGGGGGTCTCTTCCTCTTTTCTTAGCCACCCACTCCCGGCCCTCAGAGAAGGCCCAGGTGCAAGAGGCTCAGAGCCTCTGATTTTTGGGAGGAGGCCACGCCTCCTCACAGCCTGTGCAAAGTCAGGTTTAGTAGTCCATGCTGTGTAGGGGAGAGACCATGCCCCCATCTCTCTAGCCCTCCGCCCATATCTGCTGCCCACAGCCCGGGCCGTCCTGGCTTTCAGTTCTCTCTTCCTGCGATGTATGTTCCTTCAAGGAAACATGCAGAATGATTTTGTTTTGCCAAACCAGCCTGTAGGAGGAATCCAGGAGGAAGGAAACCTCCCATGAGGCCTTGCTGGGAAAAGCCAGCTGAGGCAGCATCAGCCCAAATCACAGATGAGGACAGTGAGGCCAAGGGGACCCCTTCAGCACCTGCTGTCGGCGAGCAGTGGGGCGAATGGATGGGGTAGCAGGACAGTCAGTGAGACCCAACATGCTTTGTCTGCAGGCTTTTCCAAAACACAGCACGCAGCTCCTTGCTCACGGATGCACAAACATGCACACACTGAGAGAGGTATCTGCATGCTCACACGCGTGCAGCCAGCCTGCCGCTCGACTCCCGAAGAAAGGTCAGAAGTATTTTCAGCCTCCGAAAAAGCCAAGCGCACTGAAACCCAGAGGCCTGGGACCAAGGAAAGCTGCACCTGAATCTGCAGCCAGCCAACCCTGTGTGCTGCTGTCAGAATCTAATTAAAAGAGAAGTCGGTGGTGGAAATCCAGGCTCATTTCTCCAGTGGCATAACAAGTCTGTCTCCAGGCCCAGAGGGCTTAGCAGAAGGCTTGTGCAAACCTGCTGAGCCCAAAGCGGGGAGGCCGGCGGGGGAAAGGGCAGGAATGAATAGGGAGAACAGCACAGCACCTCCAGCCCCAGCCCTAGCCCCAGCCCCAGCCTGGCATGTCTCAGCTACCTCTGGGCTCCTGGGTCCCCTTCTCACACCACGAGCCTGGAGTCCTGCCTGAGCCTCCTGGGCCCACAGGGCAGGGAGTAGGTGGAGCCAGAGAGACATGCCAGGATCACGGGTCCCAGAGGGGGCTGAGGGACTGAGCCTGGCACCCAAGTGAGAGCAGGGGGCAGTGAGCACCCGGGTGAGAGCAGGAGGCAGTGAGCACCCCGGTGAGAGCAGGGGGCAGTGAGCACCCCGGTGAGAGCAGGGGGCAGTGAGCACCCCGGTGAGAGCAGGGGGCAGTGAGCACCCGGGTGAGAGCAGGGGGCAGTGAGCACCCCGGTGAGAGCAGGGGGCAGTGAGCACCCGGGTGAGAGCAGGGGGCAGTGAGCACCCGGGTGAGAGCAGGGGGCAGTGAGCACCCCGGTGAGAGCAGGGGGCAGTGAGCACCACGGTGAGAGCAGGGGGCAGTGAGCACCGCGGTGAGAGCAGGGGGCAGTGAGCACCCCGGTGAGAGCAGGGGGCAGTGAGCACCCTGGTGAGAGCAGGGGGGAAGCCCTCACTGCTCACTGGTCTTGCTGCTGCCAGGCCATGCAGCTCATTTCATTTTCCAAACACAAGGTATCCACGTACCCTGAGAGAGCTCAGAATTCATTGCCAGGGGAGGCTGTCAGCTCATCAAACTCTGCTCTCCTCCCAACCAGAAAAGGGTGAAACCCTGCTCACCCAGCACCCCAATCCCAGGCCAAGCACCTCCAGACCTGTGCCCTCATCCTTGGCTGGTCTGGGAGGCCCAGAAGTGTGGGGTTGGTGGGGTCAGGGGCTGTCCTACTCTCTAAGAGGCCTCTAGCCCCCTTATCCCTGAAAAAGGCCACCTGCCCACCCACCACCAGGAATGCCCAGTGCTTCCTGCCCCCTCAGCCTCCATTATCCAGACACAGCTATTTACTGGGTGAGCGCTCACCCTGCACCAGAAACCGTGCTGTTAGGTTTATACACTAGAGCAGCCGTCTGCAAACAATGCCCCTCAGGCTACAACCAGCCTGCACCAGTTTTGGTAAATGAAGCTTTATTGGAACACAGTCACATCCGCATAGAAAAGAACCCATTCAAGTAGCTCAGGATCATGGCATTCCAACTGTACACCCCTGGTCCCTGCTGAAGGACAAAATGATCTGCAAGGGAAACCTCAACTTCCTTGGCAGGCTTGGAGGTGGTGGGGCAGGCACAGTGATTCTGAACCTATGTGGTGGGACTGAGATACACTGATGTTATTGGGAACCAGGGTTTGCACAGAGAGAAGAGAGTCCGGTGTGGAATGGGAGAGACGAGGGTAGACTCCAGGATCTCAAATCTAAATCAGAGGTATCAAAACGAACCCCAACTCGAGAGTTCTTCCCTGGCCCTGTCCACTGAAAGAGCCTGAAGGCAGTGACTCTAGCCAGGGTGCCCTGGAGAAATGCCTAGAACTTCTCACAGATGAAAAGCAAGGAAGGGCTCAAAGAACAATGGGGATGTGTCCAAAGGACCCAGGAGCCAACACGAAGGGGTCCCCGCTGGCCAAATTCAAGACAATGTGAACATCAAAAATAATAATGATGGTCCTGATTAGAGCACGCTGGATTTTTTTTTTTTAAATCTAGGAATTTGTAGTGATAGTAAGGGCAGGGTGTGGAGTGGGGTCAGGTGAATCTCTGTAACTAGTGACAACTAGTCAATGCAGAAGGCAAGGCAGAATTAGACAATGGTGAATTAGCAATCACCAAGGATCACCCATGGATGACAAAGCCCCAGGGGGAAAGTTTGTGGAGGAACTGGATATTCACACAGTCTCCAAGAATCACCCAAAGGTGACTGAGTAATCACAAAGGGAAACCAGCACCTTTAGAAGGAGAGATCCAGCCGACGCTACCCTAACCAAGTGATCAGGACGGGGCCAGCTGCTCTTCTTCCTCCCCGAGGACTGCTGTGGGAGGTGTAGGGCTCCCCTGACCCCCAGCCCCACAGCACCTGGCCGAACACTGGCAGCTCATTGGGAGGAAATAACCAGGCAATTCCAGACTGTGGAACTTCTATGAGACGCTGGCTTGGACTTGTCAACAAAGTCAATATCATGAAGAAAACAAAAAAGCAAAGGGATTATTCTAGATTAAAAGGAGACTTAAGAGACATGAAAACCAAAGGCTGCCTGTGATTTCAGGCTGGATCCTGGATGGCATTTGGGGGAGTAGCTCTGAAAGATATTTTGGGGACAACTGGGAAAACCTGTACCTGGACAGTATTTAGATAGCATCAGTGCATAGACCTAAATTCCTGGGTGTGATATGCCATGCAGTTACGTTGAAGAGACATGCCGAAGTATTTAGGGGTAAAGGGTAATGATGCCTGCAACTGACTTTTTTAAAAGTGGGTGTATGTCTCTGTGCATGTATAATATGGGGGAAGATTGTAGCAACATGTTAACAGTTACCTGGGTGAAGAATATCTGTGTATTGTATTATTCTCTCACCTTTCCTGTAGTTTGAAATTTTTCAAAGTAAAAAGTTATGGGGGACCAGGCGTAGTGGCTCACGCCTGTAATCCCAGCACTTTGGGAGGCTAAGATGGGTGGATCACTTGAGGTCAGCAGTTCAAGACCAGCCTGGCCAACATGTCTCTACTAAAATTACAAAACTTATCTGGGCATGGTGGTGGGCACTTGTAATCCCAGCTACTTGGGAGGCTGAAGCAGGAGAATCGCTTGAACCCGGGAGGCAGAAATTGCAGTGAGCCGAGATCACGCCACTGCAATTCAGCCTGAGCAACAGAGTGAAACTCCGTCTCCAAAAAAAAAAAAAGTTATGGGAGAAAAGGCAAAGTAATTTAAAAAAAAAAAAAAAAAGCTGGCAGTTGGAGGGGAGGGGTTGTGCCCGCCTCCTCCAGCTCCCAGATCCCCACTACCCAGTGACTCAGTCTCCTCTGTCATCTGTACACGGGGACAAAAAGAGAACACGCCTCTGGGGCACGGTGAGGATTCCAGGGAGAGCATTGGCGCACTGTGACCTGGAATGAACCCAGGTGAGCTGAGACAAACCTGTGTGTCCTGAGCCTGCCCACGGAGCCCCTCCCTGCAGCCCCCCATCCACCCGCTACAGGCGCCCACACAGTCAGTTTCAGGTGGGTGATACTGCTCCAAATAGTGCTGACACAGCCCAACCTCCAGTCCTACAATATTTATGTGCCTCCAGGTGACGCTTCTGTGCATGGTTTCCATAAATTCCCAGGGTGAGCAGCTCAGCACTCAAAGTCATTAGAGCTGAGATGTCGCCAAGGGGCCGGAAGGCTCGCTGGGCACAGGGGCTCTCAGGGGCTGCCAGCTCCTGAGGAAACAGCAGGATGCTGGTGGGGCTTCTACTTTACAGGTACCCACCGTGTGTCAGGACTTTCCAATGCCTGACTGGGCACTGTGCGCGCAGCGTCCCACCTCACGGAGACTCTATGAAAAGAGAGCGAACCAACCCCGGGTGGCCCAGATGGGCAGGGGCAGGGCAGGGCAGGGGCAGGGGCAGGGTGGGGCAAGGCGGGGCAGAAGCGTGCACCTCGCTCCAAGCTCACATGCTGTCCTCCGAGGGTCTCATGGGGGACTCTCAACGCTGAGCACCAGAGCTGAATGTGAGCATGAAGGGGCTGTGCCACCCATTCCCGGCCCAGTCACCACCGAGCTGGCCCTGGGAGACACAGTCGTGGGCCCAGAGATCACCCACGATCACCTGCAAGCACCTCACCTACTCTGCCTCCCTTTAATCCCCACAGACACCTGGCAGGTGGGTGCCACCATTCCATCCTCATCCCATAGCTAGGGCACAAGAAATGACCTGTGCAGGGCCACCCCGCCAGCAAAGGGCAGGGCTGCGAATTCAGACCCGGGGTCACGTCCGCTCTGCACGGCTGCACTGAGCATGTGGAAGGGCCATCTTCTACAGGCAATTAGCACAACTCCCTTCCCTGTCTTTATCTCATTCTTATCAACACTTTACCGCTGAGGAAACAAACTGACAGGCTAAATGATGTGCAAAGTCGCGCTGCTTAGGACATGGGAGGAAAGCCAAATTCAAACCTAGGGTGACCAGTCCTACCCGGTTTGCTCAGGACTGTCCAGGCTGCGGCACTGGAAGCCCCAAACCCAGGAAATTCCTCAATCCTGGGCAAACCAAGACACTTGGTCACCCTAACGGGACTCCAGTGCCAATACTCAGCCTCCAAGCCATGGATGGATCCCTCTCTGTGAGCTCTGTCTGATTCCCCAACACTCCTGCCCTCAGAGTCTGACCTGGTTGAGGCCAAGAGGTTGTGCACCAGGAGCAGATCTGCCCTGCCTGACGCATTTCTCAGGGAGGCTCCGGGTGCAACGACCAGTCCACCTCTTCCCAGCAAACTGGTTAAGGTCTCTGGGACTCTGTTCATTCATCTGTAAGGTGGGTGTGAGGTCATCCTTTGGAGCAGAGACTTCACTGGATGCTGGACTCTCCTAGCTCAGGGCCATCATGGGAGCCTGCAAGGGATGGAGCGATGGACGTCCTGCCAGCTCCAAGACTGGTGGCCAGACCCCAAATTTCCTTTAACAATCCATTTTGGAATTGATTGTACAAAATTTGGTATTTTTGGTGTGTCTTTCTAGAAAGATCGTTAACTATTTTTACTAGCATTTCCAAGAGGTCTATAAATCACCCTTGCCTACCTCCGAAAAAGTTAACAATTCCTACAGTAAGGCCTACTTGTTACTAAGCACACAAGAAGGTGGACACAGATGTTGGTGTCAACCCAAAAACCCAGACCAAGGCATACAGAAAGTGCCACTGCAGAGAACGCTGTCCTGACCTGGCTGTGCCAAAATTTTGCCTTTAAAAACAAAACTAATCTGAAATCCAGCCGGGTGCGGTGGCTCATGCCTGTAATCCCAGCACTTTGGGAAGCTGAGGTGGGCAGATCACCTGAGGTCAGGGGTTCAAAACCAGCCTGGCCAACGTGGTGAAACCTCATCTCTACTAAAAATACAAAATTAGCCAGGGGTGGTGGCGCATGCCTGTAATCCCAGCTACTTGGGAGGCTGAGACCGGAGAGTCGCCTGAACCTGGGAGGCAGATGTTGCAGTGAGCCGAGATCACGCCATTGCACTCTAGCCTGTTCAACAAGAACAAAACTCCATCTCAAAAAAAAAAAAAAAAAAACCCTGAAATCTATCAGTGCACCTGGCTATTCTGGAGGAAGTGGAATAGAAAAAGCATCTTGAAGTATGGGCTATTGATATTCTCCTCATTAGTCCTATTTAATTTCCTTTTGTTTTCTTCAATTATGACAGCCAGCCTAGTGTTTCTTCTCCAGCATCGACACTTTAGGACGGAGGGTTGGGCAGCCAGCCACCTGGGTCACCTGGGGCCAGCAACCACCTTTGCTGCGAGTCTTACCCTTGGCAGCTACTCCAACCTTGCCCTGTACAAGCAGGTGCCAGGGCTGAGCTAGTGCCTGTGCCTGCCCACCACCCTGGGGACCCGGTGAAGACTGAGCCATAGAGAGGGGGCCAGGCATCTTCCGGCTCCTGCACGTGCTGGGCTGCCCACAGCTCAGCTCAGCTCAGCTCAGCTCACCCGCAGCCCCCATGAGGAAGGAGGGACCACCGAGCCTCTAGTCAGAGAGGACAGGGAGGCCCAGCAGGGGAGTGACCAGTGCAGGCAGTGATGGCGCCCAGCCTGGGTCTGCATGACATTCACCGTGGCCTGGGATTGTCTTGTTATCTGTTCGCTATTTGCAAGAAACAATAAACCCACAGGCCCGGAGGCAGACCTACAGGGTTCAGCTCCTGACCCCACCACTTCCTGCCTTGGTTTCTTCCATTTTAAAGTGGGTGTGATAATATTAATAGTACCTACTGCACAGAGCTGCCGTAAGATGACTCAAGTTGCTGCTAATGGAGAGCTCAAAGCAGCCTCTGGGACCCATGAGTCTTAATACAGATTAAGTGGATGGTGGTGGTCTCTCCCCCCCTGATCTCCCTCCCCTACCATGCCCATATCAGAGAGGCAGGTCCATGAGGGCAGGGGCTGCTGCTGGAACCCAGTGCCAAGCACAGGGACTAAAGCTCCAGCCAGTGCCCACCCTGGGCCAGAAGGCCTGGAAGAGCCGGGGCGGCACCGATCGAAGGAGACACCGATACAGAGTTAGAAGCTGAGATCAGCAGAGAGTGAGCGTGCAAACCAGACCACCAGGGAGGAAGAGACGAGTGAGTGCTGAAAGAGAGACAGACAGACAGAGGTAAGGCAGAAGAAAGAACGCCTGTGCGTGCACGAGGGTGCAGGTGAGCAGGTGCAGTCAGGGTTGTTTCTCTGGATTCATTTAACATCTAGAAAGTGAAGCACTGAAGGCAAAATCAGGTCCCTGGCTGAGCCCCCGGCACACAGTAGGAGTCAAAACTCCTATCGGCTCCTCACCTGACGTAAAGGGATTTCCTATGCCCTGCTGATCGCAGGCAAGCGACTGCCTCTGCCCATCTCCTTTCCTTGGTCCTGCTAGCTCACTCAGCAAACCTCATGGAGCGTCCATGCCTGCCGGGCCCTGAGGACACAGCACGGCCAGGGAGATGCCCAGAGTCCTGTTTACGGCCCGATGCAGAGAGTGCGATGGAGGAGGGAGTGAGGACTAAGGGAGCCCAGAGGAGAACTAGTGGAGGCAGTTGGGCTCCATGGAGAAAGGGGCAGGAAGTCAGAGTGACCACGAAGATTCTGCCCAATCAGAAGACAGCCTGAGAGTCCCAGCAGGGAGAGCAGTGGGTGCAAAGGCCTGGGGGAACAGAGTGCTCAGGCAGAGCCTTTAGGGGACTGGGACCTGTCCAGTGGCTGGAGAAGGGGAACCCAGGGGATATCGACCAAGTGCAGCCTGGGGGGCCTTGACTTTGGGCCACAGGCAACCTGGATAGTTCTGATGCAGGGTCAGATGTGATAGGAGCTTTGTTCTATCACGTCTGCCTCATAGCAGTCAAGCCTCAGCATGAGGCCCAGAAAGCGTCCCCAGGCACTGGCTGTGGCTGCCCTGCTCTGCTCTGAGCTCTGCATAGGGGAGCCACATGGAGCCTGCAGGCCTCGCCTGCATGATATTGAATGGTGGAATCCAGACAACTCACCTGGCCCTCCACCACCCCACACCTGCACCCACACCTGCACCCATGCCTGCACCTACACATGAACATACACCTGTACCCACACCTGCATCTACACCTCACCCACACCTGCACCCACACCTGCACCCACGCCTGCACCCACACGTGAACATACACCTGTACCCACACCTGCATCTACACCTCACCCACACCTGCAACTACACCTGCACCCACACCTGCACCCACGCCTGCACCCACACATGAACATACACCTGTACCCACACCTGCACCTATGCCTGCACCTACACCTGTACCCACACCTGCACCCACGCCTGCACCTACACCTGCACCTACACCTGCACCCACGCCTGCACCCATGCCTGCACGTACACCTGCACCTACACCCGCACCCATGCCTGCACCTACACCTGCACCCATGCCTGCACCTACACCTGCATCCATACCTGCACACATACCTGCATCCACACCTGCACCCACACCTGCACACACCTGCACCCACACTTGCACACACACCTGTACACACACCTGTACCCATGACTGCACACAAACCTGTACCCACACTTGCACACAAACCTTTACCCATGCCTGCACCTACACCTGCACCCACACCTGTACCCACACCTGCACCCACACCTGAACACACACCTGTACCCACACCTGCACCCATGCCTGTACCTACACCTGAACACACCTGCACCCATACCTGCACTCATGCCTGTACCTACACCTGAACACACCTGCACCCACACCTGCACACAGGCCTGCACCTACACTTGAACACACCTGTACCACATGTGCACCCACACCTGCACCCATGCCTGCACCAACACCTGCACACAAACCTATCCCCACACTTGCACACAAACCTGTACCCACACCTGCACACATCCCTGCATCCACACCTGCACACACATCTGCACGCACACCTGCACCCATACCTGCACCCACACATGCACACAAACCTGTACCCACACACCTATACACACACACCTGCACACACACCTGTACCCACACCTGCACCCACACCTACACCCACACCTGCACCCATACGTGCACAGTATCTGCTCAGCACCCATTTGCCCGTGCTTAGCCAGAGGGGGCATCACCAACATCTTGAGGCTGAGACTCTAAGTTCCCCTTGGTGACAGTGCGGGGAGGTGGGGAGGCCACAGGGTGGGATGGCTCAGCCAAGGCGGTTGCCCTGCTTCCCACATAGGCTGTGAGAACTGCAGGGAAGGGTGGTTCTGTTTCCACATGTAAATCCACATCCAAGACTGCTGGGCGGTGTTGGGCAAGAAAGGTCAGAATTGATGCGACCAACACAAAGCTGGGACCAACCCAGAACAGGTAGGGCTGGGGAGGGGGAGTGGGAGAGTTGGGGTTTCCAGGCTTGATCAGACCCCCAGCTCCCAACTGGACATTGCCCAAAAGACTCAAGCCACAGTCAAGAACTTATATGATACAGCCACGTGTTGCTTAACGACAGGAATAATGCCGTTCTGAGAAAGGCATCATTAGGCAATTTTGTCATGTGATCATAGAGTGACCTTACACAGATCTAGGCGGTAAAGCTGACTGCACACCTAAGTCATGCTGTACAGCCTGTTGCTCCTAGGCCTCATACCCGTACAGCATGAGACGGTACTGAACACTGCAGGCGACTGTAACACAATGGTATTTGTGAATCTGAACATATCTAAACATAGAAAAGGTACAGTAAAATACTGTATTGTAATCGTATAGGACCATCATAATATGTGTGGTCTGTTGTTGACTGAAAGTCACTATGCAGCACGTGACTATGTTAATATAACTGACCAGTTTCCCACCCTCTCACAGGCATGCACAGGCATCAGCTCACGCTTCTCAGGGGCCCTCCCGCTAAATGCCCTCCAGAGAGCCTGGCCCACCCCGCTCTCACTCCCCTCTCTCGCTCCCCTCCTGGGTTCCTTCCTGGGCTCCTCGGATCAGTGGCAGGTGTGTCTGCCTCACAGCTGGGCACGTGTATGCGGCTGACCCGCATCCTCTCCTGTGGGTGAGACTCCCTCATTGGGGCACCTGCTCTGCAGGACCTGTGCTGTCACTGGGCTGGTGTCACCACCCACTCTATGAAGCTCGCTTCTCTCCCCAGGTACCTGGGAGGAGCCAAGATCCCGGTCTTCACCTGTGGTCAGCAGCCCCAATCAGGGCCCACTAGTCATGTAAACACCATGGACCAAGGGTCCCAGGGGTAACTGGAGCCCTGGAAGGCTCAGGGTCAGGCAGAAGGGAAGAGCTGGCGTGGGAAAAAAGGGGAGATTTTGGGGAGAAAGAAAGCAAAGGAGAGAGAGAAGCCAAGTCAATGCCTGTACTTGCACTGCAGGACAATACAGAGAGGATAAGACACTGGCCCTGCTCACAGATATTTTGCCATCTGGAGGGAGGATGGTGCGGACATACGCACCCACAAGACCCAATGGAACACGGGGCTGATGGGGCAGAGGACGGCAGACCAGGTGGGGGCTTCAGAATCAGAGGCACCCTGAGATCCTGGCTCCACCAACGAGTGTGTGGTCCCAGTCACCCTGAGCAAGTCCTGTGACCACAATGACACAACAACTGACACGTGGTGCTTCCTCCCACCAGGCACAGCCCTGGGACCTGCATGTACACGGAGCTGCTTAGTCCTGGGGCAGGTTCTATAATTATCCCCCATTTTACAGGAAGGAAACTGAGGCCATCAGTGGGAAGGCCAGCCAACCCAGCCCCTGAGCCCACACTGACCACCATCCAAGCCCACTCAGACAAGGCATGCAGGGGCAGCCGGGAATGCCTCCTGCAGAGGTTGCCTCCTGTGGACCTTCCCTGCTACCCCGCTGCCAGGCTCACAGAGGACCATTGCGTAGCGGCCACTCTGCCTGAGTGTGCATTAGGCACTAGCCTACACCCTCTGCACATGTGACCTCATTCATTCTTCCCAACCACCCAGGGAGGGAGCCTCCCTAATTACACCCAGGGCCTGACCTCCACTGCATTAAGCCCTCAGCCTAGCAGCTGACATTCAGCGGATCCATGTCCATGGCTCTATTTGTTCCTTGCCAAGTTCCAAAAGGACTGGGCAGCTGCCCCTTGGGCATCTGCCCTCCCCCTCTCCCTGCTGCCGGGCTCAGAGGGGAGGGGGATGTGGAAGAGACACACAGAGTGGAGGGGAGGCGAGGATCGGGGGCTGGCTGCTACCAGCTAAGACTGGGGGGTGGCTCACAAGGACAGGACTGCCCCTGCCGTGCCAGCTCCCCTTCCTCACCTCCCGTCCCATATGTCCTCTCCACGATGTCTGTTCATCCGCCTTCCCTGTACCGGTTCCCTTTTTCCTCCAGGTTCCCTCCTGCTCCAGGTCAGGCTTCACCAAGCCTGTTCCCTGAGCCATCAGCGACCAACTTCTTTTTAAAATCATGAAATCTTTTCATCACCTAAATCTTCTGGTTGGGGGGAATCCAAGTGCTAGACACAGGAAAGATCTGAGCTCCTCCAGGTGAGGAGAGAGGGGCCTGGAGGCCTGACCCTCAGCCATCTACTGCCCCACAAGACATGCCTTGAGATGCTCTTCACCCCCTCCAGGCCCGAGTTTGCAACCAGCCAACTTATTTCTGACCCTCCACATAAGAAGGCCCTATGGGGTCCCAAACCCACCCCTACCTCCCATGCCTCACAAACTTCCTGAAAGGGAGTCCTTCTGAACATCTAACTTCAAGCCTTCCTGATGCTGGAAAACACTCATCTTCCTTGTGAACTTGTTCTTGTCGGAGCCTCCTGGGAAGTCTCCACAATCTTTAGAAAATCCATTTCTCAAGTTTTGCTTGCCAACTTTTAATTTAAAAAACATAACAGGGTGACAACCACAATGACACACACATTAACAAAAAAAATTAAGACAAACTGCCGAGCAGAGCCGACTCCATGCAGTGATAGGACGCGAGACCCTGCATGCTCTGGCAGTGGCCCAGACACCAGGCGCTCCTCCTCGGCAGCTCCTGGGCGCTGGGAGGGCCTGGTGCATCTTTTCACCCTCACGCCAATTTGCATACCATTACCCAAGAAGCCCTGCGCCTGAATTTCTCTTTTGCAAATTCCCACCCGTTTCATGTCATAAATAAGATAGGAGACAGAAAACTAATACAGCCCAGTGATGCATTATTCATGCCGCATCACACTCGTATGATAGATTTACAACAGCTAATACATGCAAACTAAGTTTAGGCACTAAACATGAAAATTAAGGGTGGGGAAGGCGGCTGGGGCGGGGGGTGGGCAGGGGAAATCAAGGGGCTGTTGGTGTTCAGGAGCCCAGAGAAGTTTCTTCTCTGTCCTGCTTAGGGACAAAAAGCATGAGAGCCGGTATGAGAGGCCAGTGCAGAGGTACCGGCAGGAGGCATCAGATGCAGAGCAGATTGCTGACCGCACGCGCTTCAGGAAGCACCTTCATGCTCCGAAGCCGGTTAAAACCAAGCCTCGGTCAGCTGCTCTGCAATGCCCCCACCCCCCACTTGGGGAAACATTACAGACAGAGCCCATCTCCCTGAGGGGCTTCTGGCCTTAACCACCCTTTACTGAGCACCTGCTCTGCGTCAGGCCTGGCCTTGGGCCATGGGGATAGGATGGTAACAATGGGAGCCAGCCAGGCCCAGTCCCACCCTACTCAGCTTCAGTCTGGTTAATCCCATAACCGGCCCCAGGATGTCAGCATGTAGCTGTGGTGTATGTAGGAGGTGAAATGGTCCAGACAGGCTTCTCCAAGGATGGGAAGCCCGGGTCTAATGGGGGAGGGGCTGCCCCAGTTAACCCCACCACAGCCCCTCAAGGCAGGAACCAGGCCTGGGGTCCAAATGCTGACGCCACTTGCCCTGAGTTCCAGCACTTTCCAGGAAGGACCCAGGCCTGTGCTTCTTGCAACTGCACCAGGGAGGCTGAAAATCTGCTTGGGGGAAGGGGGTTGCCATAGAAACACCACAAGGCTGGTGCGGGTGCAGGTCCAGGCAGGGTTCTCACCCTTGAGTGACACTGTTGTCCATCTGTCCCCGGCTGCCATCCAGGCAGGGACTATCCCCACTGGCCACAGACCCTCTGGACAAGCCCCTTCTGCGAATTCCTCCCTCCCTTCTCTTGGGAGGGGACTCCCTGCCCTACTTCCTTGAAGGCACAGTTCTTCCCAGGACACTTCCCTAACTGCCCCAGCGCAGAAAGAATGCCTAACCCCCCGAATCTCACCTTCCTGCAGAGTCCTGCGAGGGCCCTGCGACCGCCCTGCACAGGCGGCTCCGCCGTGGCGGAGGAAGGTGCCGGCACACTCACCCCTAACTGGCTGAGAGGCTGCGCCGTGCCCGGCCCTGGGACTCACTGGTTAACAAGGCAGTGAGGCGCCGGTGCAGACGGACAACTGCACTCAAGGAGATAATTGCAGAAAGTGACCAACACTCTGAAGGCAATAAAGCCGGGTGATGTGCTGAGACCATGAAGGGGTAGGGATGACTCGGCTGGAGCAGTCAGGGTGGCTTCACTGAGGAGGCGGCAGTTAAGCCGAGACCCAAGCTAAAGAAGAGCCACACAGGAGGGGAACAGTGCTCCAGGCAGAGGGAACAACAGAGGTGAAGGCCTGGTGGTGGGAAGGGGCCAGCATGGCTGCACACTGCAAGCCAAAGGGCCTGGCTTCTAGTCCACATCCCCATCTGTAAAATGGGCCCAGCGGGTCACTCCTCAGCGTTGCGGAGATCCAATAGCATAATGTGTATTCATAGCCCAGCCGGGTCCCCAACGCCCCACGCTGTCACTACTGTTGTCCTCCCACAAGCCAGGGTGGCAGAGACGCCAGCTCACACCTTGTCAGGGAGCAGCCTTGCAGGGCACTGGCCCTCCATGCAGCCGAGCACACCTCATGTGCCGCAGGCCTGCTATCAGCCTGTTCCCAATAAGTTTTTTTAAATTAAGATGCAACAATCATCCCACAGCCAGCTTCCCCCTCCAGCAATCGGTTAAAATGAACTCCAAACGACTGGATTAGACTTTGAAGGCGGTGCGATCTAGATCATGAACGCGGAGGACGCGGTGTTGACACGGGCCCCGGTGAGCGACATTATTATTTAACAGGCCTCGCTTCTGCCTCTGCTGGGATCAAGGAGCTGAACAAGCAGTTGGTGGGCAAGCGTAAAACCCAGAGACAGACCGCGGGTGCCAGCTCTGCAGGGGATGGTGGCACAAAACAGGTCAAGGCAGCCCAGCAGGGACCAGCTGGACAAGGCGCAGAGTCCAGGCCATGTGGGCCTCAGGGAGGCAGTCTTCAGCTCAGGCGCCCCACCCTTGGAGGCCTTCTGGCCACTTGCGGGCTGCCTCTGGCCTAGGCGTGGCTCGCGGTGCTTTCTTCTGGCCAGAACATCACTTCCCCTCTTCCTTCATAGTCACACACCAACTCACCCGCATAGCCGAGCTCGGGGATCCTGGCCTCCAGACAACTGTCTCCTGCTCCTGTCCTGCGTCCAGCTGGGTCTGGCACCCCTCTCGCCTCCTCTGGGATCCCGCCTCCCCTGGGCTTTCCCTGTCCCTGGTCTCATGACACTGGGCGGAAGCTGACAGTCCCAGCTCTGTCTCTGCACACTGGACTCCGAGCTCCTGGACTGCTGAGCCCACCTTGCTCATTTCTGTGCCTCCAGCACCTCATACAGAGAGCCTGGAATTGGGAGCCCCTGCTAGATGCCAGTGATCCAGGCACTGTGGAAACAAAGATGAACACAACACAGTCCTCGGCCCGGAAGGCGTGCTCATGGAAACAAGAGGAGCTCCTGGGAGTTACATCTGACGCAGACAGAAAGCTTTGGGGGGCCCAGGCACCCCAAGGAAACTGAGACTTCTGCCCACCAAGGTGGGTGGGTTAAGCACAGGGGTTAAGACTCAGAATGCCTGTGTTCAAATCCCAACCCTGCCTCTTCTAGCTGTGTGACCTTGGGCAAGTTACTTAACCTCTCTGTGCCTCTGTTTCCTCATCTGTAAAGTGGGAATAATCGTATTCATCTCAAAGCGTGATTTGAGGATTAAATGAGATCCTATAGGTAAAGCGCAAAACTCATTTCTGGTCCAAAGGAATCGCTCAGTATACATTGGTTTACTTCCCGAGGGTGGGAGGAGTCAGAAAAAGCCCCTTAGAGGTAACACAGTCCTAGATTAAGCCCCTGTGTTTTCACATTTGGTCCTGGGCCATGCTAGCCACAACCTCAGCCAAAGCACATGCCTGGGTCTCCTGGCTTGGAGCATTGAACGGCTCTAAGAATCTCAAACCCCATAGGGGGTTTTCTCAAGCCTGGGGCAGATTCTGCCACATGGCTGCCAGCAAGGAATGCCCTTCCTCTGAAGGCAGGCATTCTGCTGCAGACATCACACGCGAGGCACAGCCCACAGATGCTGAGCCCTAGGCACACATACGAGACCACAGCCAGTGAGAGAGCAGCAGCAGCCCCGGCTCCAGGCGGCTCCCCCAGGCCTGGCTGGCCATGCAGTGGCCACTGTGGTGAGCGTGGAGCCGGGCAGCCCAGGAGCAGGTCAAGCAGTCGTTAGCAGCAACCAGACGGAGCCATTTCCAGATCTCCAGCGCCAAGGTGGAGCCGGCTTCCCCTGTATTCCAAGCAGCAGGAGCATGGCTTATTAAATACGCATAGCGATCACCTTGTTACTGTGCCGAATGGTTGTGTGTACTGAAGGCAAGCTGCCCGCACCGCGCAGCGAACAGAAACTTTTCCATTTCCCTGGCTGCACATGGGGGCGTGTGCTCCCTCTGGCCCCTGCTGCAGAGGCTCCCTGGCCACCCCTTCCTCCATCTCGCCTCCCTCCAGCCAACAGCCCTCCTGATGCCCCCGAGGTGTGCAAAGCAGGTGAAAGGCCATATTGATCCCCTTCTTTACAGCAGCTGGTCCAGAACTAATCTTAAATCATCACAGCCTCGTGCTGTAGCCTGGTGGCCATTGGGGCCCCAGGGATGGTCACGCCAGAGCTGAGCTCTGTGGGCTGGGAGTTGACTGCACTACGGCTGGCAAGGGGCAAGAACAGGTGAGAGCCAGGCAGGGCCTGACCCGGGCCCCTGTCCTTCCCTTGGCCATCCGTCCCATGCTCCTGGACAGCTGTCGGCAGGAGGAAGGCTGTCTTCCAGTGAGGCGAGAGGATGGCAGACCTGCAGTGTGGGCTCGATGCCCCACACCCACTGACAACACCGACCCCGGGAGCAGCTTGATTTTCCAAATAAACGACATATACAGCAATGCGGATTTAAGATAGGTAAATTATTACAATGACAGCAAATAATGTTCACCCTGCCCTCGCCACGTGCCAAGACCGTGTGAAACGGCCCTTTCGCTTGAATGTTCTCGGTTTGTCCTCCTGCTAACTCCCCACTGGTACTGTTTTCATTCCATTTTACAGATGAAGTAACTGAGGCCCAGGAAGGCTCCATGACTTATGCAAGGTTGCATAGCTTGGCAGGGGCACAGCTACGGTCCCGTCTGAAGCAGCCTGCTCTCCAACTGCACACCTCCAAGGGGGTAGGGTGCCAGCTGCCCGGAGTTGGAAGTGGCCGGGACACAGGCAAGGGCTGCTGTCTTCAATGACGCCTCCCCAGTCCTACCCACTCCTGAAGTCTCAAGTGCTCCTGAGCTGCCTGAAGAGCCTGGGAGGAGCCCCACAGGCCCAGCTCACAGGGGCAGCTCTGTGCCCTGGGGCCGCGCCACTCACACCTCCCCTGCCAGCAGCCGGCAGCCACTTCTCTGCTCTCGCAGGCCCCTGCCTGTAATTTCTGGCTTCCCCTCCCTCCAGACCCTTTCATTAAAAGATTCTTCCTTGGAAACCCCTCTCAGTTTACCCTGCCTCCTGTTTCCTGAGCTGCCTCCTACCTGGTGTGCCCCAATTCTCCTACTGGCAGCACTGAGAGAATGTCCTCTGACCAACAGGGGGCTGAGGGCCTGCACCCTCCCATCCCATTCTTTCTCTGTTCTCGGCTTCTTCCTGTCTCGGGCCCCACTCCCCCCAATATTGAGAACAGGGACTGGGTCTCCCTCATCAGACTAGAGGCCCTCAAAGGGCAGGCTGTGCCTCCTCCGTTAGACTGGAGGCCCTCCAAGGGCAGGCTGTGTCTCTCTCCACAGACTGAAGCCCCCACCTCCAAAGACAGGCTGTGTCTTCCACATCAGACTGAAGGTTGCCCCAAGGGCTGGGTCTCCCCCAGCAGATTGGAGACCCCCAGAGCAGGCTGGGCCTCCTTTCCTCCTCACACCACTGCCCTGAATGGGCGCCCAGCACACTAGGCCTACAGGCCGAGCACCTGTCCACCAGTATACTCCTGGGCTGAGTCAGACGCTGTGCTAGGGGGTCTGCAGGAGACCGCTTGCAGAGCAGTCAGACCTGCTGTGAGGACAGTGCTCAGACACTTGGGGGCTACTGGGAGAGGCAGGCCAAGGGGTCAGACATGTCCTTCCTGGCTTGAGACCCAGATGGGTCAGAGGACCCGAAAGGGCCTGGGAAAGCTAGTGCTCCTCGCTCACCTTCCTCTCAGAAGGCCAAGGAAGTGCAAGGCCCTTGGAGGAAAGAGATGGGGTGGGGTGGGCTGGGGTGATAGCAGGGAAGCCCCCAGCGTGAACCAGGGGCTGGGAAGGGAGGGGGTGGGGTGGGCTTGGGGTAGAGCAGGAAGCCCCCAGCATGAACCAGGGGCTGGGAAGGGATGAGGTGAGGTGGGCTGGGGGGATAGCAGGGAAGCCCCCAGCATGAACCAGGGGCTGGGAAGGGAGTCTGCAGCTGCAGTTGCTCCAGCTGTTCTTGGGGGAGAAAGGGGACCGAGGAACCGGGAGTGCTAAGGCAGGAGTTTCCCTCCTGTTGGTGTCTCACTGTCCCTTGGCCCAGCCCAGTAGCACCAGTGAGGTTAAAGGTCCTCACTGCCAGGTCCTGGCATGAGTCCAGGAGATGAGGTTGGAGCTCATGCTGCCCATGAAGGGTGCCCAGCCCAAGAGTCACCATCAGCCCCCAGGCCCCTGCTCCTCAAAAGAGCAAAAGCTCACCCACTGGTCCTGCACATGGCACTGCCTCTCCCTTCTGTCTAAGGAGCTGGGCTGGGTAACTCCACCTCCCCTTCCCAGCACCCAGGAAGAGCTGCTGATCAATTATCTCCTGGGCTGGCAACTGGCCAGGTACCATGGCTTCCAAGCATCATCTCACTCCATGAGAGATGGTTAATTTTATGTGTCAACTTGACTGAGCCACGAGGAGCCCAGATATTTGGTTAAACGTGGCTCTGAGTGTGTCTGTGAGGGTGTCTCCAGATGAGATTAGCATCTGAATGGTAGGTTTAGTCATGCACATGGCCTTCCCAGTGTGGGTGGGCCTCACCCAATCTGCTGAAGCCTGAATGGAAAAGGCTGGGAGGGGAGAATTCGCTCCCTGCCTGACTACCTTCCACTGGTTCTTTCCTGCCTTCAGAATCACACTGAAGCATCAGCTCTTTTGGGGTCTCAGGTCTCCCAGCTTTTGAACTGGAAGGCACACCACCGGCTCACAGGTTCCCAGGCCTCCGTATTCACACTGAACTATGCCGGCAGCTCGCCTGGGTCTCCAGCTTGCTGTCCACAGATGCTGGGGCTTCACAGCCTCCATCACCCCATGAGCCGACTCTTTATAATAAGTCTCTTTCTATATACGTGTGTATACATATACTTGCGCAAACACACACTCACATACGTTCCATTGGTTCTGTTCCTCTGGACAACCCTGACTGATACAGTAAGGAAAAGGATTCCAGGAACGGGACACTTATTCCCATTACAGACTGGAAGCCTCGTGCTCCCACGGGAGCCAGCACAGAGGCGCCCAGATGTAAGTGGCAGAACTGAAAGACGGTCTGGTAGGTCCGGCTCCAACGACAACACCTCTGTGCTGCTACAACACCAGAAAAGCAAGCCAGGGAAAGGGGCGGACCACATCCCCCAGACTCAGCCCCCAGTCTCAGAGCTCATCCATAAGGCCCCGTGCCTCAGTTTCCCCCTTTGTCAAATGAGAGTTGTGTCATCTGGAGCCCAGCCCTGATCATCTGTGCTCTTAAGATCCCAGGACTCCACTTAGTGTCTCTGCCAGGCTGTTGAGCAGCTGATTTACAGCTGCATGAGAGAGAACTAGGCAGGCGAATGAAGACTGCCCCTCATGAGGGAGCGCCCTGGGAGAGCTCCACTCCAGGCCAGGTGGCGACTCATTGCAATCGATAATCCAAACAAATCAAATATCACCAAAATACCTCTTGGGGAACCATGCTGAGTCTCCCGCCCAGGATGGACTGCAGGTGTGAAGGTGAGCGGGCAGTGCTATTGGTCAGAGACAGGCACGGGCCTAGGCTGAGCCAGGGATGAGCCCCCCAGACCAGTCCCTCATCCTGGGGGCCAAGGCATGGGCAGTGCTGGAACCAGGGCAAGGCAGGACCCAGGCAGCCTCTCCCTCCATGTGGTTTGAAGAGCCCAGCGGATGGCTGCATCCACCCTGGCCACACCCTCAGCATTGCCCGGGCTCTGTGGGTACAAGTCCTGGGTACCAGTCCAAGGACAGGGACCCCAATCCCACTTCCACAGGCAGCAACCGACACAACTCAGGATCCAGGCCACAGTGCAGTGCAGCTGGGCACTTTCTGTTCTTGGTAGCCTTGGCGATGTGTGGCAGAGGAAGAGGTCAGGCCCAATAGGGACCTTGGGCCCCCTCTGCTTCCGGACAAACTCTGCCCAATCGATCCTTGGAATGCCACTGGGAGCTGAAAGCGGTGCCGGGGTGGACATAAGAAAGGGTCAGCAAAAGGAAGGCAGGCCTCCAGGGCCACAAGCCAAAGGATAGTGCAGTACCTGAGGCTGCAGGGTGGTGGCTTCCAGGACAGTGACCCGGGGCCCACAGCTGGCCCACACGGCATCCTCCAGGCTCAACAGGGTGCGGACAGGCCCGGGCCCCACAGTCAGGCACACGGGAGGGCTCTCCAGGTCCCACAGGACACCTCCTGCAGGGAGAGAGGGGAGGCAGGTCAGGGGCCAGGAGCGGCAAGCAGGTCTCCTGGGAACGCAGGCCAGCAGCAGGGGGCTCAGCAGGGCCCCCCACACCCTCTCCCCGCTCTCCAGGGCCTTTCTCTCTCCATCAGCTGGGTGGTGGCTGTCCCCATCTGCCTCCGACTCCCACCATTCATGTCCCACACCCAGCCACCCCTACTCTCAGATTCGTCCCTTCCTTCCTCCCTCCATTCTCTTTCCCCCTTCCCTTCCCTGCCTCTCTCTCTCTTTCCCTCTCTCCCATTCATTCATTCCGCACACATGCAGTAAGCACCTACTCCACCCATGCCATGCACTGGGTGCTGGGAAGACAGAAAGGAATCAGACACAGGTCTCGCCCTCTAGGAAGCCCCACTGGTCAGAGCAACCAACAGGTTAATCAACAGTTATCACATGACACGCCAAGCACAAATGAGCAGGTGTGCACAAGGGCCTTGAGAACTGCTGAGATGGAAGGAACTAACTCTGCACCAGGGGAAATCCAGGGAGGCTTCTCAGAAGAGGCAGCATGATATGGTGGAAAGTGTCCTGGACCCGGAATCGGGAGACTTGGGGTCTGGCCCTGGTTCTGCTACTACTAACTTGCTAAGGACCTTGAGCACATCTCTACCCTTCACGAGGCCTCAGTTTCCCCATCTGTAAAATGGGGTGGGGAGCTGACAAGATTGTCTCTGAGGACTTTTCTGATGCTGTAGCTTATCTAGACTGAATCTTGATTTCTCATGAATCTTCTGGCCGACTCCAAGGCACTTCTGTCAAATTTACCAAGATCTCTTTCTCTTCCAGAAACACCACTGCTGCCAGGTGAGGTGGAGGGTGGTTTTTTTTTGTTTTTTTTTTTTTCTTTGAGACAGAATCTCACTCTGTCTCCCAGGCTGGATTGCAGTGGCATAGTCTTGGCTCACTGCAACCTCTGCCTCCCCGGGTTCCAGCGATTCTCTTGCCTCAGCCTCCGAAGTAGCTGAGATTATAGGCGCCCGCCACCACACCCAGTTAATTTTTTGTATTTTTAGTAGACACGGGGTTTTGCCATGTTGGCCAGGCTGGTCTTGAACTCCTGACCTCAAGTGATCCACCCACCTCGGCCTCCCAAAGTTCTGGGATTACAGGCATGAGCCACCGTGCCTGATCCAGAGGATGTTCTGAGAGGCAATGAATCCCCAGTCGGCCATCCCTGAAAACCAAACAGACCTAGGAGCCTGGCCCAAGCAAGGTCCTCCCCTCCCCTGGGATGATCAGCGCACCCAAGAACCATTTTCTCCGGCATCCAAGCGGCGCGCGCCAAGATTGTTTCTTCTCAGAAGTCACACCTGATGCCACACAGAACCCCGGTGGCTGCCCTGTCTTGTCAGGGTGCCAGGTGGGAAAGGGGGGTTGAAGAGGAAGCTGGGTCCCAGCCTGGAGCAGCCTGGGCCATGGCATGCTCTGGAGAGACAGGCAGCAGTGGCGGGGGACTAGAAGGCAGGACACAGCTAGCTGTGAGCTTGTCAGAGCCCTGCTACCCCACCTGCCCTCCACTGGGTCCCTGGTAAGAGTACAGAGCAGCCCATCACAGGCAGACCCTTCCCCTCTGAGCCAGCTGCTTGGTGGCACGATGGGGCACAGCTGTCTCCAAAGCCGGAAGGGCCCCAGGGTACGTGATGGAAGCCACTGCTGGGGTGTGGTCACAAGAGCCAAACTAGACTCCCACCCCCTCCCCATCCTTCCCTACCATACCCTGGCCTACCCCATGCTCTGCCAGGCCCAGTTTTCCCTCCCTCCCCACCTCTTTCCCATCTATAAAACAGGTTCCCCTTCTGCCCTTATGCCCTACTTAAAATGGGCAGAATCCAAGCTCCGCAAAGAAGCAGGGGAACAGGGACTCCCCTCGACCTCCAGGCACACAGAGCGCTCTGCCCGGCCAGCCAGCGTGAGCACCAAGGGAAGCAGGCAGAGCAGGGCAGTCCTCGGCCTCAGAACTTCTGTGTGAACTTGGACGGGGGCTTCGCCTCTCTGGACCTCAGTTTCCCTTATCTGCACACTGGGCATGATAACCACGCCTGCCCTTCTCCGGATGTTGCAGGGAGTCAATACAATATGCAAGAATATTTATCTGGGCACACAGTCAGGGTCTTGACAGCGGTTGTTACGCAGCGTTCTGTGTCCGCACACCAGGCCCTCCTTCCTTGAATTATTTCCTTAACTCCCAACAAGCATGTGTGGTAGATACTATTATTATCCCTGTTCATAACGGAGACAACCGAGACACAGCGAGTTTAAATAACTACCCCAATTCACTCAGCTACAGAGGAGTCTGTGTCCGTGGCTCTTACTGTTTGATGCCATTTGCCACAACACAACAGTGTGTGGAAGCAAGTGTTGACTTCACTTAACCAACGTGACAACGGCGACCCATGGAGCTAAGGCCTTGCACAAAGACACCCAAGGGGTGACAGGCCAGACGGGTTTTGAACTCGGCTCTGTCTGACTCTGGGCCTGGCCTGCTTCTCCAACCCCACTGCCCTCTCAGGTTTCTGAAGGCCTCTGCAGCTGGGCCTGGTGTCCAGGAGGGGCGAGTGACCCGAAGGCGGCCAGGGCTCCGCCAGGGATGCTGGTCCACAGCAGGAGGCTGGAGCCAAGAAAATGCAAGGCTTTGAGCGCCCCCCAGTGGCCAGAGGTGAGTAGTGTTCGTGGCTGGAAGCTGGAGTCTAATTAGGCTGCTATGGCTGAGATGGGGGCTGGGACCCCTCCCAGGGAAAAAGCAGCTAGGGATGCTGAGAAAACACCCCCCCAAAACTGGAAAGTGGGGCTCTATCCAACAGTGATAGCCACCGGAGCCCTTGCATCCACTCCCCTGGAACAGAGCCTCGCTGTGGAAGCCTAGGGTAGGAGCTAGGGTCTAAAACCCTAAGGACTGCATGAATGCCATTCCTGCATTTGCTGGGAGTCTCCAGAAATCCTCTAAGAAGTCGACTCCAGGGCAGAATGATGAACTGTGATCAAATTTAATAATGCTAATACTGATAGATCAAAAAACTCATAAAGGCCGGGTACGGTGGCTCACGCCTGTAATCCCAACACTTTGGGAGGCCGGGGCGGCCGGATCACCTGAGGTTGGGAGTTCGAGACCAGCCTAGCCAACATGGTGAAACCCCTTCTCTATTAAAAATACAAAAATTAGCTGGGTGTGGTGGTGTGCGCCTGTAATCCCAGCTACTCGGGAGGCTGAGGCAGGAGAATCACTTGAACCCGGGAGGCCAAGGTTGCAGTGGAGTGCCACTGCACTCCAGCCTGGGTGACAGAGTGAAACTCTGTCTCAGAAAAAAGCTCATAAGGGACACTGGACAGGAGTCCCTGAGTAGAGGGCCCATGGTGGGATCCTGAACAAGAGACTTCCCCTTGCTGGGACTCAGTTTTCCTATCTGCACCATGAGGACAAAACTCTGTCCTCTGAGATTATTTCCAGCTCTCACACACTGTGATTCTGAGATCCTAAACCCAATTGCTGTGAGCTCTGGTGAGAGCCGCCCCTGCCTGATGGGAGCCCCGCCCTTTCCACCCCCTCCTCACCTTACCCTCCAGTGGCTGTGGGAAAGCACGCACATATTCTGGAAAACAGACCCACACGCACAAGCCTGCCCCTGTATGACAGCCCATTCTTCTGGGCCTGGCACCAGCTCTTGTGGCCAGCGCCAGGGAGATGAAGGCCCTGTCTCAGCAAAGGCACCTTCAGGAGGCTGGCATCCCTCCTCCCCCAGCCAGCAGTGGAGAAAGCCCCTGGGTCTCCCTCAGGGGTCGAGATTGGGCTGGAGCCAGAGAGCAGGTCCCAGAGTGAAAGTCATCACGGCTGAGAGGGGCCCAAAGGGCAGCCCCTGCCTGGTGACAGTAAATAGCGACTGTGATGATGATGACTGTGATAAAGGGACACGTGGGAGGTGCCAATCCTCCAGGCTGTGTCGCGGCACTCGTGGGAATTGCCATGTCTACCCTTCACAACCATTCTATGAAGTGGGGCTGTCCACACCCCCATTTCACGGGTGAGGAAACTGAGGATTAGAGGGGCAAAGGAAAGGCCCAAGCTCTCACAGTGAGGACTCAATCCCGGCAGCCTGATGCCCAACCCATCCCTTACCCATTATGCCATCTGCCTCCTCAAGGGGGGACTCCGAACCACAGCCCCAGCGCCCAACCAGGGATAGTCCCGCATCCCCACCCAAGGCGTGGCAATGCCCTTGTGCCTTCTCAGAGGCAGGGGAGAACCCAGGTAGCACGCCAGCAAGGACAGTGGCCGGCTGTCTCAGCTCCGGGCCCCAGCACCCTGCTGCATGCCTGACACCTCAGGGGCACTGGCTTCTTGAGCAAATGAAGGAGTGAATGAATGAATGAGAACAAGCAGATGCTCCTGAGGACAGCAGAGTGACTGCCATGGCCACATTGCTCTTGGCCTCAGTTTCCCTGTCTCTCAGCTGCAGGTGGGACTCTGAGGCCACTCCAGCTCTGCCAGTCCATTCCTCCACGTGGCCTGGTCACCCTGGAGCCTGGACAGTCTACTCTCAGCTGCTGGTTCTGTGGGTTCTGTCCTACAGACCTATATGTGTCTGGTCCTGTCCTTCTCCAATAAGCCAAAGCATGGCCAGGAATGCCAGTTTTAGCAGGAATGCCAGTCTTGGTCTCAGCCTAACCCGGCAGGACAGTGAACATGTCACTTCAAACACCAGCAAATATTTCATGGAGTACCTGCTTCTAGACGAAGATGAGGGGTCTAGATTTTCACAATCCCTGGACCCTCCACACCACCAGGGCCACTATGGTGGGTTCTGAGGTTGATACAGAGCCTGCGAGGTTGATGCGGGTGCAGTTCCAAGCCCTGGCTCTGCTGCTGGGATGGGTGGGGGTATCTGAGGGGTATCTAAGGCCTCAGTGAATCTGGATGAGGGCCAAGCTGATGCCAGTCCCACAGCTGGTCACGGACCAGGTGGATGATTCAAGACCTGGCCGCATGTAATCCAGGTGGAAGGTGATGGGGGTGAATCCTGCCCACCACATACCATGTAGCAGGTCCTGAGAACACAGCTGCCTGCTTGGGCCACCTCTGAAAGATACCACTGGGTACGGGTGGGGAGACCAGGTAAGGCAAGCCCCTTCTCAGGGGCCTCCTTGGCCACAGCCAAACTGGACACCCAGAGAGTAGGTTCACTGGGAGAGCGTGACCACCAAATTCACCTGCCCAGGTGGTGCCTCAGCCTCCCAGCCAGCCAACCTGCCTCCCCTCCTGTCTACCAGCCAGAGGGAACCCAGTGCTTGGCCACCTCTAACATGCCTCTCTACTCCCTGACACACTGAGACAAGTTGGAGCCCTCGCAAACAGCTCTGTCTGCCCCCGGGTCACGCCCAGTGCCACTTCCTCTTCCAGCTGTCCAGCAAAATGGCTTCCTCTCCGGGTTCCCCCACCAAATCAAGCATTCTCCTGCCTCTGGGCCTTTGCGTATACTGTTCCCTCTACCAAGAACACCATTCCCCCAACTCTCCACTTGCCTGGCTTCTTAAGATCTCAGCCCCAGGATCCCCCTCCTCAGGGAGGCCTTTGCAGCACAGCTTGCCCCACACTTGGGCAGTGAGGCTCTCACACAACACTCTTTCCTTTCCGTCGGAGCCCTCGGCATCATGTACAGTCTTATACTTCTGCTTGTTTACTAACCGATTCCCTCTCCCTCTATAGACTGTAAGCTCCATGAGAGCAGGCGGCCTGTCCATTTTGCTCACCACTGTGTCCATGGCATATAGTACGTGCTCAGTAAGCGTTTGGTACACACATGTTTGCAAGGCAGGAAAGCTGGTAGAACATCTCAGCCTTCAGACCCCATGTCCTCCACTCTACCTGGACAAGCCAAAGCCCCCTCACATCTGCAGAGAGCTCAGCCTGGGAGGCAGGGTACTGGGTGCAGGTTCAGCTCAGTCAGGGGGCTCTGGACAGTCTGCTCCCATCCAGAAAATGAGGGCGTGGGGTTCAATGGTCCCAGTGGCTCTTTTGGTCCTGACTAACAGGCTCCAACCCCAGACTAGAAGCCAATGGGTGGACCCCAAACCCCATGTTTTGGGGTAAACTGTGCCTCCTCATCTGTATGTTGAGGTCCCAGCCCCCAGTACCTCAGAATATGACCTCCTTGGGAAGTAAGGTCATTGCAGATGTAATTAGTTAAGATGAGTTCATACTGGAGAGGGACAGGTCCCTAATCCAATATGACTTGTGTCCTCATAAAAAAGTGAAATTTGCACACAGACACACAGCCAGGGAAAACACCATGCAGAGGCTGGAGTTCTGCTGCCACAGGCAAGGAAACACCTGAAGCAGCTGGGAGTAAGGCCCTTCCCTAGTGCCTTCTGAGGGCACATGACCCATCCAAACACGGACCCCAGGCTTCCAGCCTCTAGGATATGCGACGCTACATGTCTGCCATTTGTGGTCCTTGTCAGGGCAGCCTCACCTCCTTCCAACCCAGGTGCCCAAACTGGTGAATCGAGCAGTAAGAGGGAATGGGCCAAAGCCAACCCAAGCTGGGGACCAGAGCGCCAGGGTGGCACAGGCCGGGCTCACAGTGTTCCGTGGGAGCCGGTTGGGAGTGGTCGCTCTAGAACTCCCCATGAGTCTCCGCAGATCTGAGCCCATATTTACATTCACATGCACGCTCTGTCTGACGGTGAGAAGGGTTTTTTCCCTCCCTCTTCCCCCTTTAATTAAAAACTATAAATGCCTTATCAAAAGCTAATTAAAAATACCAACACAGTGCCAAGTGGCAAAAAAAAAAAAATTAGCTCAGTACAAATATCCGTTTATAACCCTGTAACAGGCTGTGATGACGCGGCAATCACAGCCTGGCTGGCGGAAAAGGCAGGGGAGAAGAGACGCTGCGGGCCCTTCAGGCTCCTCTGCCCCTTCCAGGGGACTGGGGGCTGGCTACACTCTCTACTCAGCCCCCTTCATCAAATCGGGGCTGAACAAGCCCAGAGGATGGGGACCACAGCACTCCACATGGCTGGGGAGAAGGTGCGTCTGGTCTCCAGTCAGCATCATCTCAGTAAAGCAAAGGAAATTCTCAAGGGGTGCATGAGAATTAAGATAACACACACGCATTAAGCACTTTACCCCTGCCCTGGAGCACAGCAGTCCAAACACGGTTAGCCCTGCCCTCCTGCCCTCCTGACATCGTAACCTGTGCTAGGGATGGCTCAATAAAACAACCCAGATGGAAATACTTGACTCCACTGAGCCCTTGGCCTGGCCCTGTGCTTTGCCCTCATGGAGTTGTCTAACCCTCCAGGACCCATGAGTGGTGGGCACTGCCCTTATTCTCATGAAGAGTCCCAGGCACCAAAGAAGGGAGGCCACGCAACAAGGGATACAGCTGTCATCGGGCAAAGCCTGAACGGGAAGCCAGGTCTCTCCAACCTGCGAGTACCTCTCTTATCCACTACAGTCTCCTGTCAACAGGTTCCACTGCCCACATGGTAGTGAGCACCCTATTCCAGCAGGTATTCACATATGGGGGACCACCCATTGAACCCCAGCGGGGCTCACGGATCTCCAAATGCCCTCAGCACTGAGATTTCCCAATTCATTCCTGCCCAGCCTCCTGTATCCTCTCTTGGTAGAGAATCTGGCACCCAGCTGGCATCCAGGACTGCCCCCCTTCCCCCATTCCCCCCAGTCCTCACCGCTGGTCCGAGGGTAAGCAGCAAGGGTCCCATCCTGCAGGCCAGCGAGCAGGTGGAAGGGGCTGTGTCGCAGGCAGAGCACAGGCTGCAGACCTGGGCTCCTGCAGCTCACCAGGCACTGGGTGCCAGTGTCCACACTGCTGTAGAGGAGGATGCTGCGGGGAGAGGTTGGAGAAGCGGTCATGACACACTGAGCACTCCCACCCACTCACTGCCCCCATGCCCTCCTAGGGAGAGGGCCCCAGGGAGCTGACCCCTCTCAGCCACGCCTTTCGGCTGTGTGGCCAGGCCATAGCTCCACCATGCGGGAGCTCACTTTTCCATGGTTTTCTGGGACGGTACCCTCCCTGACACCTCTGTCACGAAGAGGACTCAGGGAGGCAAAAGAGCCAGCCATTCTGCCTGGGAGGAGCCAGGCAACTGCACTGCAGGCCGCTCCCGACACTTTGGCTCCCACACTGGGCAGCTCTGGTGCCCACCTTCCTGGAGACCAGGGGCAGAGAATGTTGGTGGGCAACAGGCAGATCCGGAAGGCTACAGGGACAGCCCCCACCCACTGCCCAGCCCTGCAGAGGCTGCTCTCACCCCTCCTTCCGGGCCCCTCACCTGCCATCCTGGAGCCCGAGGCAGATGGTTGGATGCACCGTGGCCGAGGGGTCAGCAACTGTCGGGCTCTCGTCTCTGCTCTCCGCCTCCTCCTCCAGCTCCGGGATATACTCCATGCAGAGCACAGGGGCTGCCAGTGGGAAGGACTTGACGGTGCGGGGCGAGGGCCGGTTCAAGGAAAAGATTTCCACCTGGCCCCCTGCGCCTTCCTGTCCGCCCCCGACCTGGGAGCAGAGACCCAGAGAGGCCATCAGGTGGGAACCACAGGAGGGAGCAGAGGAGGACCTCAGCCCCTGCTTTCCCAAGGACCCCATCCCCTGAGAGAAGCATCCCTTCTCCTGCCCACACACATCCTGCCTTCACAAAGGTCATTTATCCCCAGCTGCCATGGCAACAAATAAGCTTCAGGGCCCACAGGAAATCAGGTAAGGAGCTAAGGTGGACTAAATACTCAGTCAGCTTTCTATTTCCTCCTCTGCAGGGTGCATTTCAACCAATATAAAGTAAACATCTACTCCATCCCTTTAAAATGCCCTTCTCTGTGTTGACCATTGTTTTACCTCTGTGTCTAGCATATGATAGATACATACTCAATATATTCTTGTTGGATGGATGGATGGATAGATGGATGGATGGATGGATGGATGGATGGATGGATGGATGGACAGATGATAGACAGATAGATGGAAGGATGTATCGGTGAATGAATGGATGGGTGGGTGGGTGGATGGATGGACAGATAAATAAATGGATGGATTAAATATATATTCTTGTTGGATGGATAAATGGATAGGTAGGTGGGTGGGTGGATGGATAGATGGATAGGTGGGTGGATAGATGGATGGATGATGGATGGATGGATATACCATGTGCTAGATCATGGGAAATGATGAGGAACAAATCACTCTCAGAAGGGAAGCAGCAATGACAGGGCACAATTTGCAGCACAAGGAACATAGTGGAGGGTACCTCACTTGAATCAAGGGAGGCTTTGCCAGGAAGCCCAAGGATAGAAAGGTGGGCTGGAATGTCTGCATGAGTAGGGCACTAGCCAGCCCTGCCTCCTGACTCCAGGGGTGAAGATCCTGAGACCCAGGTCCTCTGCACAGCTCCCCCTTTCACTTCCTTCTCAGCCCTGTCACCATTTGCAAAAGGCACACTCTCTTTTTAGCTCCCTGGTTTTCTGTTGCCCCAGATGAGGTTGCACCTCCCAACTCCAAATGCAGTGCCTGGCACCAGAGGTGCCCAGGAAGACCTTGGTGGATGAAGCTGCATGAGATGAGGCAGGCAGCTGCTGTCTCCAGCACCCCCTCCCAGGTGCCGCTCTCCCTACTCCTGTCCTGAGGCCAGAATGCCCAGCTGGGCAGGGGGGTGACTCACCCAGAGGTAGCCCTGTGGAAGGGAGGTGCTGACTGCTGAGAAACCCAGCAGGGGACAGTTGACAGGACTGTGGACCAGGGCCCCAAGCTGCAGAGACAGAGACGGTACATGTGAGGTTAATCATCAAGGTGCCCAGATGCCAATATTTGGCAGATTCCTGGGCCCCATCCAACTCTCCCTGGATTAGAATCCCTGTGGGTGGGGGCCAGGAAAGCAACATGCTTCACGAGTGCCTGCTTCTCCAGGCAGTTCCTACACGCTCACATTTGTTCTTCCTTTCCTAGAACCTTCCGGCTAGAAGAGGCCTGCAAGAGGCTCTGTATCAGCCCAGGGTCTCTGAAAGTGAGCAGCTTTCAGATAAGATTTCTTGAAAGCCACCCACCCCTCCTTATTTTACAAACAGGGAAATGAGGGTCACAGAGGGCAGGTGACTACCCTAGACCACAGAGGAGGTGAGTGGCAGGGCTGGGCGGCTTGTGAGGGCCACGCACAGAAACCAGGGCTCAGCCTGTCACCGCTGTCACCAGTAACCACCTTCCGCCTGCTCCCCCCTGAATCAGCTGCCACAGACCCCATGTTGGGTGGCCTCTCTCTGAGGCCTGTCTCCTGAGCTAGACCTGGTCAGTCCCTCTCTCTGGCCAGGACAGCAATTCTAGGAAATGGCCTGGCCCACTCATGGGCCACACTGAAGGAGAAGACAGAGTAGAGACTGCTCTTGGCTGGAAGGAGGATGCAGCCGACCACTGGGCCCTTTTCCAGGCAGCTGCTGCCCTCTGCTGGTGCTAAAGGCCCCAGCCGTCCCTGGACCCATTGTTAGAATATTCTAACAAAATTTCTAATGGCCATGGGCGAGGGCCCTAAGAGGTCACCTCATCCAGCCTCCTCATTGCGCAGATGCCAACTTGAAGGTCAGAGGGAGGCGTGCCTGGCTCAATGTCACACAGCATGTTAGTGGCAGAGTGAGGGCTAGAATTCAAACCTTCAACATCTGGTTCAGGGCTCTTTCTATTCTGGTTGAATTTTACCCCAGAAGCCTGGCTGCACACCAGAGGCCTTGGCACTCTGGGGCCCCAGTTCTGCCTGCTGAAAAAGTGTGTCCTCACATTCAGAGCAGGGGGCTTCGCTAAGCCCGGCCTCTGGGCTCCCTGTCTTCTCTGCTTCCTGGTGGCAGCATCTAGTTGAGGGTGCATGCCCTTTCTGCTGGGCTGATGCTCTCTCTGCTCCCTTGGTGGAGACGAGGCCACGGCAGCCCCTGCTGAGGCATTTCCATGGCAACTCCAGTGGGCCCTGATGTCAGCTGAGTCAACAGAGCCGGGTCGAAGATGGTGGAAAATACTCAAATGGCTCCTCTCCTTCACAGGCAAGGCCCTAGCCCCTAAATGTCTTGCCTGTGCCAGGAAACTGGGAAGTCAAGGCACCCTATGCAGAAGAGAGGAGGGGAGCACGAAGCTGTGAAGGGAAGCAGCTTTAGGTACAGCCAACACGGCTCCAGCCCCAGCTCAGTGGTTACCATCTGGATGGTACTGAACAAATCAGGTCCTCACCTACAGAGCAGAGACCCTGAAATCTCTCAGGATGGCCGTGGGGACTGGAGAGGGAAAGTGTAAAGCACCCGGCCCAGGGCCAGGTACCCAGTACCCTGCAGCTACTAAGGCTTACCAAGGGCCTCTCATGGGATATTCTAGCACTTCACACACCTTAGCTCATTTCATCATCAGAGCAAGGCTATGAGGGCAGAGCCATCAAGGATGAGCAGGAGACAGGGTACACGGCCAACAGCAGTTCTGGCTGAGGTTGGTGAAGGTCAAGACACAGCCCAATGAGCTTGTGAGCTTTGGCCTAAGCAAGCCTGGCCACAGACCCCCTGTGGGTCTGGGCTACACCCCTTAGGCTCCCAAGGTGCTCGAGTTTTAAAGCATCTCAGAGCAGGCAGCACCCCCAGCCCCATCCCCAAGGCCCTGTCCCCAGGTGGGCTCTGAGACTGACCATCAGGGAAATGGGTTTGCGCTGAACCCTCCCTGCCCTCCTGCCACCCCTCCAGAGACAGCATTCCCCCTTGGATGGAGCCAGGGGTCCAAGAAGAACCTTCGACACCGTAGTAGTCAGGCGTTCAGAAATGCCACAGAATAGACTCCGGTGTCCTCACCTTCCTGGGGACCAGGGTGTCCTCAGGTGTTTGCTTCTGTTTCTTGACCCCTGAGCGCACCCCATGCAACTGGCTAAGCACTTGACCCAAATCATATCCTTTAATCCTCAAGGTGACCCAGTCAGGAAGGTGCTGTGACCACCCTAGTTTAAGATACCATGAGCTGAGGCAGCATTCCTGATGTCACACTGTTGGGACTCAATCCAAGGCAGGTGGCCCCTGCTGATGCTCCTTCACACTCCCAACTGATTCCCTTGAGTCAGAAGGCCTTGGTGTGGCCCAGCGTGGGCAGGGGCCACTGTCAGCACAGACAAGAGACCTACTCCTGCCTCCTGCCCCAACACCCCTGATCCCTTGAAGGAAAGAACCCAACACATCCTCATCCACTGGTACAGAGTGCCGACCCTGTCTACACTGTGGCCAGCAACTCCCTCTGCCCAGCCCAAGCCCTCCCTAGACAAATAGTCTGGGCCACTGCTCGCCATGAGGCCAGCCAGAGCTGGAGTCACCCCCTGCCCCAGGACCACCTGGAAACGTGGTGAGCTGGAAGGGGGCCTGGGCAGAGGTTCACACAGTCACATCTGCTTCTGCAGTAATTGGACAGGGCCTTGGTACTCCCAGGCCCTATTTCATCAGGCTGCCAGCACACAGCTGATGGGGCACATTTGTCTGGACTGGTGGTGGGGTGGGGTAGGGTGTGGGCAGAGGGGGACAGCGATTTGAGGCCTAGCTAGTGCAGCCAGGCAGGCTCTGCTCTGGCTTCTGGGAGCTCCACAGGCCCCTTACCACAGAGAGTCACTCGCCTCCCTCCACTAGCCCTGGCGCTCCTAAGGAGACAGTGAGCCGGGGCCAGCAGGACTGAGGATGCTTCTGGCCTACATATTCCTGGGCCCTGAGAGCTCGCACTGAGGAGGTTCGTGGGCCCTGGTTCCCCAGGTTCGAGGTGGCAGAGGCTCCCCACCTGGATGGGGGTTTCTTTTGGGGAGGCCTTGGAGGCAGTGGCCAGTTCTGTGACTCCACCACTGGGGTCTGATCTGTCAGGGCTCAGCCTGCATCCTGTGCTCTCAAGAGACCCAAGGCCCTGGGGGAGACAGGAGAATCCAACGCCCACCATAAAGTCACCCAGGGCCAGCCTTCTGCAGGGATGCGCTAAGGCCAAGCTGGCCGCAGGCACAGTGGGCCCTGATACTCCCTACTCCATGGTCGCTGCCTCCAGCCCAAGGCCCCAGGGCCCACAGGTAACCCCCCATCTGGCATACGCCATCTATCACCAGTTAAGCCTGTCCCACCCCAACACATCCCCAATGTGTCCACCTCCCTTGCCGACGGCCTCCACCAGGGCCAGGACTAGGGTGATAGACTGGGGCACCTAGCTTGGGTACAAAATTTAAAAGGGCACCAAAAACTCAGTCACAAAAATGTATATATATAGAGAGAGAGTAAGGCAACTTTAAAAAAATCAATATTAATGCAAAAAATCCACACTGAATAGTTATTTAAAAGTTTAAATACAGACAAAACTTCACCCTACACTTGCACGACCCTGGCTCACTTGCCTCACCCTAATCCTGGCCCTTTATGTATCAAGAGACAAAAAGAGCGGCCAAACCACAAGGAAAAATTTGCTGATTTGATTATATTTACGCACTGCATTAAAATAGTATTTATCTTAATTATTGAGATTTTTGACATCGGCTGAAATTTTGTGCCTGAGGCAAAGGCGCCTTACTCCAGTCACAGCCCTGGCCTCCGCCCACATCAAGTCTTGCCACGTCTCAGCAGGACCCTGAGCTGAGCTCTGAGCTGCTCCCTCCAGGTCCATTTTTTTTTTTTTTTTTTTTTTTGAGACAGGGTCTTACTCTGTCACCCAGGCTGGAATGCAGTGGCATGATTTCGGCTCACTGCAACCTCCGCTTCCCGGGTTCAAGTGTTTTTTCCACCTCAGCCTCTCCAGTAGCTAGGACTACAGGTGTGCACCATCAAGCTCAGCTAATTTTTGTATTTTTGGTAGAGACAGGGTTTCACCATGTTGGCCAGGCTGGTCTCAAACTCCTGACCTCAAGTGATCCACCTGCCTTGGCCTCCCAAAATCCTGGGATTACAGACGTGAGCTACCTCACCCAGCCGACATCCAGTCCTTTTGTATTATTTACTTATTTATTTGAGACAGGGTCTCACTCTGTCCCCTAGGCTGGAGTGCAGTGGTACAATCACAGCTCACTGCAGCCTCAACCTCCTGGGCTCAAGCGATCCTCCCACCTCAGCCTCCCAAGTAGCTGGGACTATAGGCTCATGGCACACCTGGCTAATTTTTTTTTATTTTTATTTTGTAGAGATGGGGATCTTACTATGTTGCCCAGGCTGGTCTCGAACTCCTGGACTCAAGTGACCCTCCCACCTCAGCCTCCCAAAGTGCTGGGATTACAGGCATGAGCCACCACGCTCAGTCCCGGTATCCATTCTTATCTGCAATTCACTCTCACACACCAGCCAGAAGGATCCAAAAAATGCGAACTATATATCAAATTGTGCTAGTCCCTAGCTTGGGAAACATCTGTTTCCAAGGCTTTTTACTGCTCTGAGAACAAAATCCAAAGCTGACCCAGCCTGCAAGGCTGGCGTGGTCCAGCTCACCCACCAGCGAACCTCGGGGCCCGCCCTCTCTCCTCCTGCCTCGCCTGGCTTCCCCCACTGTTTCTGCTGCACCCTCTGTGTGGGTTTGTCTACTGGGAATATTGTTCCCATCCCTGGGCTGAATCCTTCTCGCCATTCAGTTCTCAGTTTAAATGCCACCTCCTCCAAGAGGCCATCTCTGAACCTCAGCCCACCCACGTATCTACTGTGGCCCCGATGTCTTTATTACACACCTCACTCTTTTCTATTTCCTTTGGCTTGCTGGGGTTTTGCCTCTCTCTCTCCCTGCTAGGATTCAAAGCTACATAAGGGTTGGGACCTTCTATGTCTTAGTCACCACTGTATTCCCAGGGTCTAGCACACAACAGGTGCTCAGAAAATTGCATGCAGAATGGACAAGTGAACAAATGAACTCATATCTCAAGGATTTGTTCTTTCAGCTGTTTAGATCCCCAGTCTACAGCCCAATCGGCGCATCTCTTGGGGCTCACCAATCTGGGCCTGGGTCCCCAACTGGTGCTCCTATCCCTGGAGCTGAGATGACCTCATCTCCCTGGGAAAGGGGAGGCAGTAATTGCTCTAGATGGAGGGCGAGCTAGGACAGGGTATAAGGGCAGGTAACCCGTGAAGGCTGAACATCCTCATGGTTAAGACCCTGGGTGTTGTGATCAGGCAGGGCAAGGTTCAAATTCTTACTAGCTATGTCCTTTTTGGAAAATCATAGCACCTGTCTTAGCCTTAGTTTCCTTATCTGTGAAATGGATAGAGAAACATCTACTCGCAAGGTTCTTATAGATATTAAAATAAGAGAATAGCAGGAAAGAACCAGGGGGCACAGCAGGTGCTCAATACACGGGAGGCCTGATGGCGCTGGAGCATTCCATGATGAGGGCAATCCCTGCGCCAAAGCCGGCTCCCGCCTGGCGAACCACAAAGCACCCAACCCACAGTGGCTGGCACAGCCGCTTCGGCATGATCTGGAGCCATGCCATCAACAGATGAGATCATTGCTGTTTATTATCTCAAAATAATGGAATTTTCCATTCACTTGACCCACAGTGGTCGTTCGCCTCCATTTTTGTGGTGGGAAAGCTGATTCCCGAAGCAACAAAAAGGCTTGACCAAATCTGTCAGTAAGAATTTAGAAGCCACAGCTGGAACCTGAGCCTTCCCTGCTGTGGGCGCTCCCTGGAAACTCTGGTTCTCCCAGGCGAGGGGGAGCCGCAGCCACCTTCGAGGTCGGCTCAGCAAGATCCGCTCCACTCACCTGCAGGCTGAGTGCCCGGGAGGAGAAGGCAGGGATGCAGCAGGCCAGGATCGGGCACCAGAATGGGGCTTTGCTCTTCTTGTCCTCATCCGGGCATAGCCAGCCTGGCTGGTTCTCCTCCCCTACAGCAAGAGGAAGGAGGTGGGTAGAGCTGGTCAGAGTCCAAGGACCAACTGGGCCATGAGGAGCCCTCCAAGCCCCAGGGAGCCACTGCAGGCCCCAGAAGCCTGGCCCCATCCAGTCACTCCCCACCCTACTCCTGCCGGACTGAGATGAAATCCAGCCTCAGGAGTGATGCCGTGGCCAGGGTCTCAGGCAGGGAGTTGAAAAACAAGGTCCCAGCTTGACCACCCTACCGCTGAACAACCCTGTGCCAGTCACCCCAACTCTCTGAGCCTCAATTTCTTTGCCTAGAAAATAGGAATGCTAGAAATGCCTTCGTCCTGTGGTTGTTGTGAGGACCAAATGAAATAATAGATGTAAAAGGGTTTTTAAAAAATGTTAAGATGCTGAACAGAGTCCAGACCCCTGTTGCCTTGAATTTCTGTTGCAGAGTAGGAGACAGACCATGAACGATCAGAGGACAGGAGGTCGCCATTGCGGCACTCACACTTGACCATGGTGGTGATGGAAATGCAGAAGAATCACACTCCTGCTTCCTTCAAGACAACCCTGAAATTAGGAAGCCGCCTGCCTCCAGTTCACCCACCCTAGCTGGGCCTCAAAGCTCCCAGGGACCCGTTACAAGTACAGATGCCTAACCCGACCCCAGACCCAGGACTCACCACGGGAGGTCACCATGCTAAAGAGCATCTGCTAAACCTCGTTCTCTGTGGAGGCTCCTTTACATGGCTCGGGGCTCTGCTCACATGTCCCCTCCTCCGAGAAGTCCTCCCTGACCACCCTGACTACAGTGGCCCCTTCTCTCAGGAATCACTCTAAAGACCCTGTCTTACTTTCCTCGCAGCCTTCATAATGATCTAAAATCATCCGTGGTCCATTTCCATAAGTCTCTAATATCAAAGCTGTAGTCAGTGGGGGTCTGCACTGTCTCATTCACCACTGTCCCCTGACACCCAGCACACTGCAAGGCACATAGCGAGTGCTCGGAAAACATGGCTGGAAAGAATGAATAAAAGGAAGGAGGGAGGAATAAACCACCGTCTGTCCTGAAGAATTCTCCCTGCGGAGGATCCCTTCCTTCTTTACACTCCCTATGAGGACTCCCTTCCAGCAAGCCCACAGCAGGGATGAGCGTGATGAAGACACCACCTACTATGCACCCACACATCAGGCACCACACTGAGCGCCGCCGTCTATGCCCTGGCTTAGTCTTCACAATCGCTGAGCACAGCCAGAATCATTATTTTCACTCCACAGAGGATGACACTGGCACTCAGGGATTTAGTAACGTGGCCAGGCCACAGCCATGGCTAGGGGGCAGCACCCAGATTCAGGCCTAGATCTGACACCCAAGACTGAATTCTCTGGACTAAACCAGGCAGCCTTCAGCAACCGCGCCCGCTGATGCTCCATCGCAGAGGCCTGTGGGCACGGTGATGCTAGAGTAGCTCTGTCGCAGGCAGCCGGAGCCTGCCCCTCCCCTAGGAGGCGCCAGGTCAGCCGGAGAGTTCCCGCCAGCCACACTGGGGCCCCCTGACACTACAGTCATCTTTGCTCGGCAGCCAGGCCCATCCTGCTAAAACTTACACCTGGCCTCGCCGTTCCCCTGCTTGGAAACATCAGTGGAGTCCCAGTCAGCCCAGAATAAGATCCAAACTCTCCTGGAAGAGCTGCGAAGGTCCCTTCCCTCCCCAGCCTCCTCCCTCGGCCACTGGCTCCACCGTGCTGGACTGTGCTCAGCAACCTCGCCGGGACGGGCCCAGAGGTTCCCGCTGTCCGGAACGCTGCCCCTCACCTCCCCAGGGCTGGCTCCTCTCCTTCTCAGAGAGGCCTGCACCACCCATGTCTCCATGCCCTGGCCTCCACCACCTGTCGTCTCAGCCCATTGGAGGGTATCACACCTCTCACAGCTACTCCCTGCTCCTCCACCAGTGTGGCTCTTCTTCGTTGTGTGCACATGTGCACGTGTGCACGCGTGCGTGTGTGTGCACATGGAGGTAGGCGCTCCCCCACCATGCCAGTGTTCTATGAAGGCCGAAACCTCCCACCCTATTTCCTTCTACACCTCACCCAACCCACCCACGCAGGGCTGGACCCACCACAGACCATCACTACATTTAGGGATATGAACAAAAAGTCTCTTTTCTCAGAGCCTCATTTTCCAGGTTTGTCAGATGTACCCACGACATGAACGTTAATCTGACTCGCTTTCATCAAAGAGATCCTGCCGGGTCAGAGAGAAGGGCTGGACATGAGTGAGGAAGGACCACCCTGAGAGCAGCCCTCATGCCGTCACTGCCCGAGAGAGGTGGCACCTGAATGCTGGCACAGCAAGAGGAGCTGGAATGAGGTGGCAGGTGAGGATGCTATTTGAGAAGTGAAAGACATTCCCAAATGTCAGGCTTGATGATGTGAAGGCGCCAGCACCCGGCGGGCTCACACCCTCCGGCCTGAGTCACTGAGCAGTGAACTCATTCCCGAAATGGGCCCAGAGGCATCCTCCATGTCTGGTCCTCTACCCTGCTGGGCCCTGGAAACAGAGTCATGTAAGACCTGATCCCTGCCACCAGGGAGGAAAGGCCTACATAAGAGACCCTCAGGGAAAGGGCACGACCACACAGGGCACGCGCGTTGCCATAACAGACACTTCTACGTGCCCTGCACCTCACAGTTTCCACACTGCCTCACTGCATCCTCACAGCCATCACGGGAGATACGTCCTTCTATCCGCACTCCACGCTGGCCAGCAGAGGAAAGGGGAAAGCAGGGGAAGATCCAGATGCCAAGGAACTAACCCACGGGGGCGCCTTGCACGGTGCCTGCGACGCACCTTGTCCCGGGGCAGCACGGCTCTCCTAGCCTCTGCTAGTGTGCCAGCGCTCGCCATGCTGCCTCTTGGACAAGCCCCTGGGCAGCAAATAAAGATAGGCCAGATTTGAGAGCTTGTCCCTGCTCTCAAGGAACTTACAATCAAGCAGACCCTCACCTCTACCAGCCAAGAGCTCTGGTCTGGACCCCCAATTCCTCACCCCACAACCTGTAGGAGCTGGGTGAGCGAGCATCTCCCCACCCTAGCCCCTGTCACCAGGGCGCCCAGAGCTCAGCTCCTCTCTTTCCTCCCCGAACACCCATAGCCCATCAAGTCCTGGCAATTTATTCATACGTATTTTTTTTAATGATCTGACCTTCTCCTTCCAGATGGTGCCTTCCCTGCCTGCGACTGGGGACGTTACAAGAAAATGGAGTCGTTGCTCCCCATCTGCCACTGCCATTGTTCCCGTCACAAAACCAGAGTGGCGGAGACCAAATTAGAAGACTGCTGTCGCTGAAAATTGAAAGCCCGCTTGGGATAAGTGACATTAAGAACTGGCACCGACTGCAGAACCGCAATTTCCAGTTGACGCTAAGTGGGGGCTTATTTAGCACCCAGCTCTGTTTGCCAACACCCCCTGGGCATGAGAGCTCCCCATGGGACACAGGGAGCAGCTCCAGGGTTGCAGATCCCCCGCTACCCTCAGAACAATCCCCTCTGATCTGCTAGAAGGGCCCGGGCAGATCCCACCTCAGTCTCCAACTCACTATGTGACACGGAGCCAAGTGCTTACCCTCTCTGAGCCTGTGGCCTCATGTAGAAAATGGGGGAAGGAACGCCAACCATCTGGAGTTGTGAGCACTGGAAATCATATATATCATGACCAGCAGACACCAGGCACTCCGGAAATAGCAGCCATGGTGGTCACTGTCCTCGCTGCTCATGGTCTGACTGTCGCTATTACTGAGGGCAGCTGAGCCCACCGCGGGCCCAGCCCTGCTTCTCCAGCCCGACCTGCCTCCCAGACTCCTACTGGGCTCAGTCCCAGTATCGTGCCTTTACTGCTCTTCCCGAACTTCCCAAACTTAAAGCCACCTTCAAGATACCGCTCACACCTCCCCAGCACCATGGAGATGCTGCTGGCCACAGCCACAGATGTCAGGCTGGGCTGGACCTCAGCAGGCATCTCATCCAACCACCTGTCCCCTACAGAGAGGGCCACTGGTGTCCAGGGAGGCCAAGCAAGTAGCCACAGTCTCCCAGCTGGGGTAAAACCAGGGTCGGACTCCAAGGCCACGCCCTCGGCCCTACTCCTGGAGAGGAGACCCATCCCTTCCAGCTGCAGGGTGTGGGCAGATCCCAGCACCAGCCTGTGGGACAGCAGTGAGGGTTCAAGGACATGCTGAGGTCTAGAACACACTTCACACTCTGCCAGGGCTGTGCTCAGGACCCAACAGCTGGAGTCATCCCGGAAGGAATATTGGCGTCAGTGTGACGACTATGGGCCGGAAAACTAAACCAAATGAGAGGCAGCAAGGGAGGGCCCAGCCCTGCGCTCAGGCTCACTGCCTTGGGCCACCTGGTTATGTCCCTGTGAGTTTGGCATTAGCCATGGCCTGCCAGGCCCATGTCCCCTTGAGAGGTGGGAATGAGAAGGGCCATGGGTGGGAGGAGCTCCAAGGGCCCGGGGAGGGTAAGAGGCAGCAATGCAGCTTTGTGAGCAGAGCAGGTGGTGGCGGGGGAGGGTACAGGAGGGAAATGAGGGAGCCCCCTACCTCACCTCTTCCTTCTCTGGGACCTTCCATCTGCAGCCCTGTTCTGGAGCTTTTACCAACAAGAGCCTAACCGGTAGAAAGAGGTAGGAAGATATCCTGGCCCTGTACTAAATCGCGTGTGACCTCAGAAAGGCCATTCCCCATCTGAAATGCAGACACTCCTTGACCTAGGAGCCCCTCTCACAGCTCCTATGTGCCAAGGGCTGGCTGTCTAGGCATCTTCCATGCACCATCTCCCCACATTTTCACGAGAGCCCTGTGCAGGGGGCACTGGCATTTTCCCCGTTTTCTGGTGGAAAATCCAAGGCATCTCAGAGTTAGTTTGCTGGGATCACAGAGCTGGTCAGTGGCAGAGCTGGGAACGGAACCCACATGGTCTAGCTCCATTTCCCATGGTGCTGAGGACCACCCCTTACTGCCTCTCAAACCTTCCTGTGTGCCAAAGAATGCAACAGGGCCCTTGGAGATCTATTCCAACTCACAAATAGGAAAACTGGGTCTCAGGATGGAGTCTGCCTTTCCCAGGACCACAAGGCGTGGTGGTGGCCATGCTGGGGTTTGAACGGGGTCCCCAGATTCCCCAGGGCTCCCTGCCCTTCCAAGGGGCAGAGCTGATCCCCTCTCCCAGATCGCAGGCTCCCCCACCACATCCCTCTCCTTTCTCAATCTTCAGATTATGATCCTGACACACTGTAGTCAGGGAGGGAGGAAGATATAGAAAATAAAATAAAGGAATAACAGCCTTTGTGAATAAATGTTTTTAACATATTCTATTTCTAACAGGCTCATATTATCATCCCCTCCCAAACCAGCCACTGCAGATAAAAAGAAAAAAAATACTGGCAAAATAAAAGAAACAAATTATTCAAGCCCCAGGGGAACCCAGGCATTCAAATAAGATTTCAAATGACTCTTCTTCCATTAAAACTTTTGCTGCAGTGAAGCTGTGTGGAGATAAGGCAGCCCAGCATCTTCACAGGCTGCCAAGAGCTGGGGCTGCCCGAATCACCGTCTCCCATCCCTCCAGCACCAAGCCCCATGCAGCAAAGCACATGCGGTTCAAACAGGACATTCATCTGCCTTTAAAGCAGGTGTAACATGGGGCTCGGGCACTTCTCAGGATGGAAGTGATGCATGGGGTGGGGAGGGGAGCGCATGGCCCAAGGGGCAGGGAAGCCACATTAGCCTTTCTGAGGGCCAGGATTCCCAAAGTCTTCTGCCAGGGACAGGACAGCTTCTGCTTAAAACACTTTCTGCACCCTCCAAAGGCCTTCTGGTCACCCAGAAACATCCAGCTGAGGTCAGAGCAATATCAGCACTGGATCCAAGAAGGGATGGGCTGAGTAGAAGCCTCTGGTCCAGGTTCCTCCACAGGCAACCCCTCCCCATTCCTGCTCCCACCTCCACACCTGCCCCTCCCATGCCCTCTCCCCACAGCAGCCAGAATGACCCACTTAAATGAAAATCAGATCGGGACACTATCCAGCTCTCAATGCTATAATGCACAGCTTCCCATCATGCCCAGAACAAATCCCATACGGCTCTCCCCGGCTTCCCAGAAAACCTGCCCGCAACACACCCACCTACCTCCCTCCCCTTCATCTGCCAGTGCTGGCCACTCTGGGCTTCCTTCTGTCCCTACCTCAGGGCCTTTGTACTTGCTATCCCCATACCTGGATCACTCTGACCAGATATTTGTGCAGCTTCTGAGGACCCCGCCTCAGGGGTCCCCCAGATGGCAGCCCCAGCCCAGCTCTATGCCCTGTACAGCATAACACCTGCTTGCAGATTTGCTCCCCATTTAATGTCCACCTGCCTGCCCCTCATAAATCTAAGTTCCTTGAGAGCAGAGATCTCTCTGTTTTTGTCATTATTCTTCCCCCATGCCCAAAACTATGTAGAGTCTCAACAGTTTTTTCCATTAATGAAAACCAGTGACATAGGTCCTAACTTCTTTTTTTTTTCTTTTTTTTTTCTTTTTTTTTAAGACGGAGTCTCACTCTATCACTCAGGCTGGAGTACAGTGGCACGATCTTGGCTCACTGCAACCTCCGCCTCCTAGGTTCAAGTGATTCTCCTGCCTCAACCTCTCGAGTAGCTGGGACTACAGACATGCGCCACCATGTCTGGCTAATTTTTTTGTATTTTTAGTAGAGATGGGGTTTCACCATGTTGGCCAGGATGGTCTCGAACTCCTGACCTCAGGTGATCTGCCCGCCTCGGCCTCCCAAAGTGCTAGGATTACAGGCGCGAGCCACCACGCCCAGCCAAAGGTCCTGACTTCTTTCCAGAAATGTCTTTTTGTTTGTTTTGTTGTGTTTTGTTTTGTTTTGTTTTGTTTTTGAGATGGAGTCTGGCTCTGTTGCCCAGGCTGGAGTGCAGTGGCATGATCTTGGCTCGCCGCAAACTCGAACTCCCGGATTCAAGCAATTCTCCTGCTTTGGCCTCCCGAGTAGCTGGGACTACAGGCGTGTGCCAGGCTAATTTTTTGTATTTTTAGTAGAAACAGGGTTTCACCATGTTAGCCAGGATGGTCTCGATCTCCTGACCTTGTGATCCACCCGCCTCAGCCTCCCAAAGTGCTGGGATTACAGGCGTGAGCCACTGCGCCCGGCCTTCCATAAATGTGTTAAAACCTATTGAAAATGTAAGCTTCTCTATAGAAAGATCATACCAGAAACAAAAATAAAAAAACGTTCCTGCTATTGGCTGGCATCGGCAAATGGGAACTGTAGTACATCATAGGGAATAATAGCTCTGTCTGGAGGGGACATAAGCCTCTCACCAACTCAAAAAATGGACAAGTAAAGTAATTATAACTTAATGAATGCAGTCTGCAGACAGACTCTTGCCAAGCCAAGGAAGCAGAATGGATGGGGATCGAGACTGGGCTTTGGAGTCAGGCCACACAGGGTCTGCGGCCCAGATCTGCCCCTTCCTTCTGTGTGACCTCAGGCAAGTCCCCGCACATCTCTGGGCCTCAGAATCCTCAATGGAAAAAGAGATTCTCAACAGACCTAACTCTTAAGGCTACTGTGAATGTGAAATGAAAAAGATGCACAAAAAATACTCAGAAAAGTGCATGTAAATATCCATTTATGTATCTGTATTCATACCATGGGGTGCACAGGAAGAAAAACATAGTAACGAGGTCTTTGGTCTTTGAGAATCAGTATAGTCCAACCTGCATCATTTTTCTGGGTAACAGCTTTATTGAGATACAATCCAGTTACCATAAAACGCATCCTTTTAAAGTGCACACGCCACTGATTTTTGGTGTAGTCACAGAGTTGAGCAATCACCACCATCTAATTTTAGAACATTTTCATCACCTCCACCAAAACCCCTAGCAGTCTAGCAGTCATTCTCCATTATCCTCTCCTCTCAGGTCCCTGGCAACCACTAATTTACTTTCTGTCAAGTTCCATCAATTCCTGGATGGGGAAGCTGAGGCTCAGAGAGGGGAAGTGACTTGTCCAGGGTCACAAAGCAGAGCCTCCGGCTCTGGCCCCAGCTGTTTCTCCACCGCACCACCTCCCTCCCACTCAGAAGCCTCCCTGCCCCCCGCTGACCCCGAACACCCATCCTGTACCCTCACTCACCCCAAACCTCCCCGTTCCACACCCCTGCCCCCTGAGGCACTCTCCCTGGGGCTATACTCACGGAGTCCGATTTTGGCCAAATGTAACCTGTTGACCCAGGAAATCTTGCTCAGGGGGTTGGGGGTGATGAAAACCACCATGAAGCTAATGGGGCGGCCGGACCTGTGGTGAGAAGGGTTAGAGTGGATGTGTGAGTACCCACACAAGGGCCAGGCTCCCCCAGCTGTCACGTAGTACTTCCTCCAACCCACGCGCCCTGGAGATCAAGGAGGTCTGGTCAGAGCATCCCCAAAACGTGGCCAAAGAGGTCAGTGGCTTGGCAAAGCCTCGGTCCCCTGGGGGAGGAATCCCTCCGCCCACAATGACCCCCAGAGGGAGGTACCTGGCCAGGGTGGCTGAGCCACGCTCCCCAGCCTGGCTCCAGGAGCCTCTGGCTTTGTGCCCGGCAGAGCCTCTGCAGGCTGTGACTCCACCTGGTCAGCGGTCAGCTGTCCACAGGTCTTAGACACCTTACATGTCTGACCACGTGCCTCTAGAGGGAGGAATGGGTCTCACTTGGGTCTGTTCCCAGCACCTGGCATGGGACAGTTGCTCAGTAAATGTTTGCTGAGTGGACACAGGAATGAATGAAGAAATGAATGAATCAGGTTAAGCACCAGCTTGGGGCAACCAGAGGTTGCTGTTGTCACCACGCTGTCCTCTCACCTCAGAGCAGTGGGGGCCTTCCCAGCCCTTTGGGAGGTGGGCAGGGCAGTGTCACAAGCCTCTAGGGTGCACGTGGAGAATGAGAGGCAGAGAGAAGGGAGATGGAGGAAGGGAGACGGACAGGCCACTCAACAGGGAGGCGGCAGATTCAAAGCTGCTGACTCCTACACATGGTCCCCTGGGGGACTGAGCCCATGGTCCTACCTCAAATGATAGTGCTCCAACCTTCTCTTCCTTGCAGCCACTGTGCTTGTGACACTCTATCCCCACCTTCACCCCACCCTGGAGGCCAAAACCTGGGCATTGAGCCCCCTCATTGCACTGGCCTGGGCTTCAGAGTCAGACCTCATCAGGACCCAGCTCTGTCTCTCACGATGTGGCCTTCAGCCTCTCCTGAAACTCTGAGCCTCACCTTCCTCATCTGTAAAATGGAAATAAAAAGACCCAACTTACAAAGCCTCAGGAGGACCAGAAAGATCCCGTTCCCTGTCTCTGCCAGGCCGAGCAGCTATGGCTGTCATCAGTTCCACAAACCTCAGTTGGGGTCTACTGTGCACAGCTCCTGTGGTGGGCATTCTGGGGCTAAGGTGGTGCTGGGGGGAGGCTGGGTCCAGAGAGAGGAAACCCAGGGCCTGGCCTGGGGGCCTAGATAGGCTGAAGTGACTGAAAAGGACACAGCGCAAATGGAACTGACCAATGGCAGAGTGTCTGAGTATCCTAACAGTGGGCCAGGCTTATCCAGGACATGACCAGGCTGTTCATTAATTCATTCATTCATTCCACAGTCTTTTCATGAGCACCTACTGCGTGCCAGATGCTATCCCAGACATGGCCCACGATGCCTACATATCCACTCCCACCATGGCATCTCGACAAATAAGAGGGCTCCAGGTACCCTCTCCGGATCCCCTGCTCCACTGGAAGCCCAGCAGAGGCAGCAGCCCTCCCTCCAAGACCCCCTCCTCTCACTTGTCGGGTTTCCCAGGAAGCAGGAGCCTGAGACGGCACTTGTTGGCCGAGTGGATCTCTTCCTCCTTCACCCGCATCAGCCTCTGCAGGGCCAGGCACCAGTCTTGAGCCACAGTCATGTTCAGGTTCTAGGGTTCAGGAGGCCAATGAGGTCACCACACAGCACACTGGCTCCCCAAAAGCCACACCAGATCCTATAGGAATCACAGCACCCCAGAGGAAGAGAAACTGAAGAAGTCCTGGAGCCTCACTGAGGCTGCACATTTAGCCCCACGCAGGAGGCCAACTCGCCATGCCCCAGGCTTCCCAGCCCTGGGCTCAGATCCCACCTGGAGCCCTCCTCTGAGAGGGACATGCCGTCGCAGCCAGCTTCCCCTCCACACTGGGTAGAGGCCCAGGAGGGGCCACATAACGGAATGGCCACTGTGCAGAGAACAAACAAAGGCCCCACAGCCAGGCTCCACTCAACCCAAACCAGAGGATGCGCCCGAACCAGCGGCCGCAAAAGAGACTTCCAGGCAGGGACATGGAGCTTCAGCAGCGACAGTTGCCAACAGGAGCTCAGAAGCTAGGAGCACATCGGGGACATGGGCCAGGAGAGGAGCCCCTCCCTACTCAGCTTTCTGAATCCAGGCACTGCCCACACTGGGGAGCTCAGGCCAAAAAGGTCAGGCCAGGCCACGTACCTGGTAGGTGCCGTGCAGCGTGCTGATGAGAAGCGTGATCTGCTCCACCACGGCCAGGTCCTTCTGCAGGTCCTGCAGCTCCTGGAAGAGGCGTGGGGGGCCGAGGTACACCTTATCTGGGCAGAGAAGAGACCAACTCAGGCACAGGTGAAGGCGCTAACAAGAAGCCAAGCATCTGCTCACAACAAAAAAGATCCAGAGGCTGGGCGCGGTGGCTCACGCCTGTAATCCCAGCACTTTGGGAGGCCGAGGCAGGCAGATCACGAGGTCAGGAGATCGAGACCATCCTGGCTAATACGGTGAAACCCCGTCTGTACTAAAAAATACAAAGAAAAAAATTAGCCGGGCATGGTGGCGGGCACCTGTAGTACCAGCTACTCAGGAGGCTGAGGCAGGAGAATGACGTGAACCTGGGAGGCGGAGCTTGCAGTGAGCCGAGATCACGCCACTGCACTCCAGCCTGGGTGACAGAGCAAGACTCCAACCCAAAAAAAAAAGAAAGAGTTCCAGAAAGTAACATCCAGTTCCTACCCTGACCAGAGCGCCCAGACTAGCTGGGAAGCCAGATCCTTTCAAGAGTAAAGTCTAACACCTGAGATCCAGGCCATAGTCAGTCTGTACAAAGGGCTGTATGAGACCACAAGACCAAGAGCAAGCTGTGCCTGGGAGAGAGGAGGGGCCTGCATAGGGCTGGAAGTGTGGTGGGCACTGCCAGGAGAGAAAGACAAGAGCGTGTGCAAAGGCACTGTGGCTTGAGGCAGCCCATGAACAGCAAGTTGTTCAAAGACATCCTGAGGACCTATCGTGTGCCAGACTCCATGCTAGAGACTGGAGACAGCAGTACACAAGACAGACAGGGTCCTCATTCTTCCGGAGCTTATGACCTTGGCAGGACAAGTGGCGGAGGAAGCAGTCAGTTAACAATGGTGGGTGGTAGGAGGTGGTGGGGAGAAAGATATCAGTGTGGTGGGACAGTGATGGGGTGAGGGGGCCCAGATCACCAGTGATGATACAGATGGAGTAAGGGTGAGATGGGGGTAGGGGGTGGCAGGTAGAGATAGAGCAGGAGGGTCCAGGAGGACCAGATGGGGAAGGCCTTGAACGCTAGGCCCCTGGGCTAGGAATTTGGACTGTATTCTCTAGGCCGTGGTTTTGCACACTGAGGTCTTATGAAGCCCCAGGGGAGTGGAGGGGAAGCCTTATTTGGGGTTTTCATTTAGATAATTATCTGAGTCACCTGTGTGGAATGAGTTTAAAGCCACACTCTGCTGCCTGATATCAAGGCTTCCATGGACTATGGCACCTGAATGGTCACCTGGTAACAAGCAAAGAGCATGGCGAGCTTGGGATGTGGACAATGTGCTCACATCAGAGGGGCTCTGCAGTGACCCAAACTGGGGAGCTCATGGGAAATGCAGATCCCCACAGGGCACCCTGTGGCACAGGCACGAAAGCGCAGAGGAACCTGCTCTACCAGGGCCTGAGCCACATCCACACTGTGAACAAATTGGTTTCAGCAAAACAACATCATCCATCACATTACATTAATGCTGTTAATTTGAATGTTATGGTTTTGTAGCTTTATTTTTATTCAATTTGTGATTTGGTGTTGGTTTTATGGTTCTTCAAGGGCTATAAGCAGAAGGAGTTGATTACAGGGAGTTTTGCGTTTGTATATATTTGAATAACAATATAATGAAGGGTTCCACAAGAACTTCTTTCCCCTTTCGAAGGGGTCTGGCAGTACGTGACTCTGGTTTGAGGAATGCGGCCACAGACACATCATTGTCACCGAAGGAGGGATCCCCTAAGCGTCCCTGGAGTGCATGAAGGATGCTAGACCGCATGACCAGCAGAAAGGAACCCTGTGCCCCAAGCGGCGGGGAGGGAGTGCAGTTGAGCCAGGGCAGAAGGTGCCTCCGAGGAAGGCACGTGGGGCAGAGGACTCTTCCTACCCAGCAGAGCTGAGGAAAGAGACAGCATCTGGAAGTGGGCACAGCTGTCACGGACCAGCACCCAGACGGCAAGAGTAGGTGGTGCAATCACTCCCTCAGAATTTCCAGAATTGTGGGTGGCCCATGAGGCAGCCTCCTGGGTCAGACAGCAGACAGAGGGGGAAGTGAAACCCCAGTGCCTTTCTCACCCACAGAAGATGCCTCGGGCACCAGGGTTCCTTTCTGCTGCAATTTAGCATCCTGCATGCATTCAAGGAACACTTATTAATGCCCACCGTACCCTAGGCTCCTGGACAGAGCTGCAGCCAGGCTGAGAGGAGAGACATCAACCGATCAATCACCCATAAAGGGGAAAATGTACCAGAGGTCTCGAGAGCACAGGAGGGGCGACCTGGCCCAGCATGAGGGCATAAGAAAAGGCTTCTCTGAGGAAGTGCCATTTGAGCCAAGAGCAGATGAGACAAAAACAGGATGGCAGGAGAGTACTTGGCAAAAGGCACAGGCTGGAGAGGGCGTGGTGGGAGGGAGCATGGCCCATCCAGGAGCCCAGAGGGGCTGGCATGGCTGCAGCAGAGAGAAGGGGCAGAGGGAGGTGAGTGAGGCAGGTGGTACACCCTCAGGACCGGCAATGGGAAGCCACTGGGGCGGGATGACGTGCACTGATCTGACCTGCATTTGGAAGAATCAGCCCTGGGGATGGGCAGAGGATGGACAGGGAGGGGGCCCAGGTAGGAGGAGGGAGGAAGAGCAGCCAGGTAGCTGGCACAGCAGGACAGAGTGTGTGGCAGCCAATGTGAAGGTGGAGCAAAGTGTGTGGATTGGGAGATGCACCTGCGCACACCCAGGTGAGGCCATGGCTCTGCATTAAGGTCCAGGGTGGGGCTGCAAAACCAGCAAGAGCTTCCTGGCCAAGCCACCCATCAGCCTATGTAGGGGTCCCCAAGACAGGGCCAAGCCTGGGTAGGAGCAGCCCAGGCTGTGGCTGGTGAGGGCGAGGGTGACGAACGCAGGGCACAGAGAGGGGGTACTCACTCTGAGCCTGCCCTGAGGCAGAGGCCTTCTTGGCGCCTGAGTGCTGGATGAGCACATTGTCCTTGTCATAGGTGCCACCGTCCTGGCCCACCTCCACCACCTGCACCTGGGGCAGCGCCGTGTTCCACTTCACCACATACTTGGGCCCCAGGGGCACCAGGCTGCTGATCTCCAGCTGGCCCCTGTTGGAACAGAGAGGACAAGGCCCTGGAGAGGCTGCAGCCACCCTGCCCCAGGGCTGGCCCAGGGCATTGCTCCTCCACACCAGCTCAGCCAGGCTTCACGCAGCCCCAGCGCAAGACCTCAGACCAAAACCAAGCCAGGCAGAGCAGGGATCCCTCGCCAGGGTAGAAGCACCAGGCGCCCAGGCCCCAGCCCCATATCCAGAATCACATGGCACCAGAGCCCCAGAGCCCCAGAGCCCCAGAGCCCCGGAGCCCCCTGAACCACGTACCTGTGGTTGGCAGGCCTGGGAAAAAAGACAAGAAGGAAAGGGAGATTGTTATTACAATGGAGTGGCTAATCTGGGGGCTGTGACCCCGCTGGGGGCCAGCCATGGGGCTGGGCATCGGGAATAGAAGGAGAGACAGCCTCCTGCGGGGAATGAGGGCATCAGAGGCCAGGTGTGGACAGAAGCGGGCCTTCCTTCATCTCTGGGTCTCACAACAGCCCCGCTAGGAAGCTTAGATGATCCCAGACAAGGACACTGATCCTCAGTCAAGTGAAGTGACTCAGCCCAAATCACCCAAACTGATTCCCCAAAACCGGGCCACTAGCACCCCACTTTGCACTTTGCGCTAGAGCAACATGAAGGCAGAGAGGGTATTCATCATACCGCCGGCACCACACGGTGCCCAGGATATAAACGGGACTGAAGAATTACCTTCTTTGATTGAGTGAGTGAGTAAATGAATGAATGGGTCAGCCATAAGCCCTGCCCAGACCCATGTGTGACAGAGGCTTCCTTGCCTGAGTCCCCAACCAGGCCCTGAGCTCCCGGAGGCAGGGGCTGGATCTCATTCTAGGTGTGAACTGGCACAGAGCCAGGTCTCGGACTACATTCAATGGATTCATAGACGGGTGGACAAATGGGTGGATGGTGAATGAGTGCACAGGTCCTGAAACAGCCCTGCTTGTCCCCTTCCAGGACTCGTGATCGGTAACCATGGAAAATCCCCAAACCTACTCTGTGGCCAAACCCAGGAAGGCCCAAGCTGACTCGGTACAGGGCCTAGAACTGATTCAGCTGGGAGGCGGGAGAGCTATGCTGGGATTCACATTCCACTGAGGTGATTGTTTCCCTCCTGGATTTCGGTGATGGTAGCCATACTATTGCTTCTGTGATGCTTTTTAAAGTGGTGTCGAGGTGGGGCACGGTGGCTTACGCCTGTAATCCCAGCACTTTGGGAGGCTGAGGCGGGCCGATCACCTGAGGTCAGGAGTTTGAGACCAGCCTGGCCAACATGGTGAAACCCCTCTCTAATAAAAATACAATTAAAAAAAAAATTAGCTAGGTGTGGTGGCACATGCCTATAATCCCAGCTACTCGGGAGGCTGAGGCAGAAGAATCACTTAAACCCAGGAGGCAGAGGTTGCAGTGAACCGAGATCATGCCATTGCACTCCAGCCTGGGAGACAGAGCAAGATTCCATCTCAAAAAATAATAAAATAAAATAAAGTCTTGTCAAATATTGAGAGCAGAGGTTCTCCTAAGAGCCTGGCTAGAAAAACCACAGCTGAAGTTCTCAGGGAGTATTTGATACAGGGTCCCCTGCAGGACCAAGCAGGGGATGCGAGCAGGTGAGCTGGGCAAAGCAGAAAGGCTGGAGAATGGCAGGGCCCAAGCCCCAGTGCCAGGCCCACGTGGCCTCAGGCAGCCAGGCCCCAGAATGTCAGATCTCTCCTATGTCTCACCCATGGTGTGGGCTCCCTGTGTTAGTAAAACATAAGATACCCAGGAGCCTAAAGCAACTGATGGGCCACATCTTCAGGCTCTGGCCTAAAGCCTCACCCTCACCCCACACCAGGGCTCCGGCTCCCAGGCACAGCCCAGCAGCCGGGCTTTGGGCATTTCCACAATCCCCGGCCCAGAACCAGCAAACCAGGCTCCTCTGGGCCGATGATGATGCTCCGGTCTGTGGGGGAAAGGCAAAGGCTCACACTGAGAAATTCTGCAATCTGGCCAGAGCAAAACAGATTTGAGTTAAAGCCGCAGGGATCTGGGGTAGACACAAGGAAGAATCTCTTGAATTTCAATGTGGACAAAACCACTGTTTAGTCACCAACTGCAGAGTTCCAAAACAAACAACTCTGTACCATGGACAGCTGTGTGCCCGAGGCTGAGGGCTGCCCCCGATGACTGCTCCAGGTACTTCCCAGCGTTGGGGACCAGTGGCAGAGCAGGGCAAGAGGGATGGGAGAGGAATATTGGAAGCCTAAACCAAGCTCACATGGGGTCCCACTGTAGTGCGGCCGGCCAAGAGACTGGAGTAGGGCGGGATGGGGTCTCCAGGGAGGGGTGATTGCCCCCTCCAACCCAGGCCCACTTACTTGAAGTTGATGTTGGCACAGACAAGCATGTCGTTGAGCAGGAAGACCCGACGCTCCTTGGACTTAATTAGCTGCCCGCGGTCACCGTACACGGTCTCCGTCAACGTCTCACACAGGAGCAGCTGCCGCTGGCCTGAGGTCAACAGCTGGAGGAGGGGCAGGGAAGGTCAGCATCAGCATCGCGGCCCGGCGGCTTTACCGCGCCGGAGACCCAGAATCCTCCCATGGTGCAGAAAGGGAGACTGAGGCTGGGAGAGGTGGAGGAGATGAAGCCACTCCCTCCATCCCTGGGTGACAAGATGCACTGGGGAGGAAGACCAGAGGACCACACATCGGGGCCTCCTCTCGGAGGCCATGGGGAGACTGAGCATTCACCAGCACCCGTGTGGGCCCAGCAGCCAGTGCCCCCTTCTCAGGTGAGCCAGCCATTGCCAGCCCCTCTCTGTAGGGATTCTGCCTGATTGCCACTGCCAAGGACACAGCTCTGGAGTTACAGAGGTGGCTCTGCCCCCATCCCCACTCCTGCTGTGAAGCCCTTGGGCAGGTCACTTCACATGTCCAAGCCTTAGTTTACTCAGCTACCAAGTGGGGGCAGATACCTCTACTGCTCAGATCACACAAGGTAATGAACATGTGACCGGGTCTGGCTACATGACTCTTGCGGTCCAGTGCAAAACGAAAACACAGGCTCTTGTTCAAAGTGACTATGAATTTCAAGATGACCATGGCAGAACATGAAAGCAAGCATGGGGCCCTTCTGGGCACCAGCCATGTATGATGGCACAGGTCATGTGTGATGGCACAGGTCACGTGTGATGACACGGGTCACGTGTGATGACACAGGTCATGGCCTGAGAGGCCGGCCCTGTATGTGTGCTCCATAGACAACTACTGTCTGTGATGGTCTTCACAGTGGAGCAGGCGTGGCCTTGTGCAGGGGACCCCATCCTGCACCCCAACCTGTTGAAAGCCTTGGCCTGTCTCGCCTCTTAGGTGGCCTCATGACAGAGTTGGAACAGACCTGCCAGTCAATAACACCACCCTCTGAGGACAAAGACTTTCACACCCCAGGCATCCAAGCAGGCATTTGCCAACCTCAGGCTGGATGTCAAGACCCCCCCTGCTAGTGTCAGGGCCACCAACCCATCCAGGGACACCCTGGGAAAACGTCTTTTTTCTAAAGGGGATTTTTTTCTGGGAGGGAGGGAGGATATTCAGCAAAATTCATTCCCAAAACCCGTGACTCTGACGACAACCATTACTCTCCCCTTCCTTCCCCATCCTGTCTGGGAAAAGGACAGATCACCCCGAGCCTCCCCGGGACATAAAAGGACAGATCACCCTGAGCCTCCCCAAAGAGAAAAAGACAGATCACCCCCAGGCAACCCCAGGACAGAAAAGGACAGATCACTCTGAGCCTCCCCAGAGAGAAAAAGATAGATCACCCCCGGGCATCCCCAGGACAGAAAAGGACAGATCACCCCGAGCATCCCCAGGAGAGAAAAGGACAGAACACCCTGAGCCTCCCCAGAGAGAAAAACACAGATCACCCCCAGGCATCCCCAGGAGAGAAAAGGACAGATCACCCCGAGCCTCCTCGGGAGAGAATGCTGTTGTTCTCCAAAGCATCATCTCTCTCAAGTCGGCACACAACCAAAAGTCCCAGTGGGACCAAATGCCCAGGGTGTGCCAGGCACTGAGGATGGCTCTTAATATTCCACATCTCATTGAATCAGCTCAGCGGTCCTTGAGGCCATCCCCATTGCCCAGGTGAGGAAACTGAGATTCCAGGGGTAAAGTGACTCGCTGAGACCCACCCACTGTTGATTGACAGCACAGGACAGAGCCAGGCCACGTTCACCATTCCCTGCATTGAGCAGCTAGTGCACAGTGTGACAGGAGCCAGGGGAGGCCCCACCGCTCCTAACATGCAGGAGGACTTGGGGTCCCCCACAGCTGCTAAGGCCAGGCTCCGCCTCACTATTTCCACAAGGAAACCAAACGCCAACTCAAGAGACCACTACTCGGACCTTGAAGACAGCAGGGCCCCCCGCCCCAAGGGCTGCCAAATGTGCCATGACCCAAAACTTGGAAGAGGAAAGTCCCGTGGGCTCTGGCAGTCAGCGCTGCCCCCTTGGCAGATGAAAACCAACAAAAAGAAAAAGAAAACCAGGATATTGCACAAACGGCCCTCTGGAGGCTCCTGCCTAGGCTATTTTGAAACAGCTGGCATGGTTCCGTTTCGGGTTACACCCAGTTTCGTTTCTGCTTCTCCCTGGGTGATGGTGATAGGGACATCACTAAACAGGTCACAGAACTGGCCAGGACTGTCCAGGGAGGGCCCTGGAGGGGGAAGCCCAGGGTGCGGCCTCCACCACACTCTTCCTAACATCTCACATGGTCCAACCTACCCTCACCCAGCAAATGGAGACATGGAAGCTTAGAGCCTCTAGTCCTTTGCCCAGCATCAAAGAGGTCTCCCTTACCTCCAGCCAGGGCCCACCTCACAGAGCAGGAGAGGGCAGAACGGCTCTTCCCAACCACTACGGAATTTATTTCCTCCTCCCAAGAGGCCTCTCCCCACTGTGGCTGCACAGGTGTATGAGGCAAAGCAAGAGAAAGCCTCTTGGTCACCGAAGAGGGAGCCGAAGGTGGGGAGAGGAGAAGATTCCTGAGCGCAAAGGCCAGCACGGGTGGTCATGGCGGGGCTGAAGGCTTTTTCTCCCGAGACATTCCAAACTCGAGGCTTGTGTGGGGGATGGCTGAGTTAGTCCTGCCTGGAACCAGGGGGTGGAGAGTGACCCTGCCCCTCATGCCCAACCTGAGCCACGTGGATGGGGACATCCCCAGGAGAGGGCGCTGTCCCCTCCCCATCTCGTCTTCCCCAGCCCAATCCTCCTGGAGCAGGTAAAATAAACTCAGATGCCTTAGGGGCTTGCAGGTAACATCAGTGGGAAAGGTGGGTAGGAACCAAGGGGAAGTGGGCAGCTGCCACTCGGGGGCTGGTGCCACGTGGGAAGGTGGGTCGGTGAGCCAGCTCTTCCTACCCTCCCAGGAGACCCACAAGTCTGAATTTTATAGGATCTCTCTCAATTTTTAAATGTTGGCAACTACTGCCATGTTCTTAAAACTACTGTGTGGGCCGGGCACCGTGGCTCATGCCTGTGATCCCAACACTTTGGGAGGCTGAGGCAGGAGGATCACTTGATCCCAGGAGTTTGAGACCAGCCTGGGCATCATAGTGAGACCCCATCTCTACAAAAAAAAAAAAAAAATTAATTAGCTGGGTGTGGTAGCTCGTGCTTGTAGTCCCAGCTACTCAAGAGGCTGAGGCAGGAGGCTCACTTGAGCCCAGGAGCTCAAGGCTGCAGTGAGCCGTTATTGTACCACTGTACTCCAGCCTGGGCAACAGCATGAGGCCCTGTCTCAAAATAAAATTAAATTAAATAGAATAAAATACTGTGTGGGCCACAACACAACCTGCAACCTGAATTTGGCCTGAAGCAACAGAGTCCTAAGATGTGGGTTGCCTGAAGCTTGGCACTGCAGGGGACCCTACAGGAGGCCTTGTCCCTGCCCCACTTCACAGGCATGGGGTGGAAAGCAAAGATGCTGATGCAGGTTAGACAGCATTCTATACTGTAAAGTGCAGCACACATGGAAAGGGCCACTCTCCCTCTGGGTACTCCTTCCTGGACTCTTAGAAAGGTCTACCCCGTGCTGCTGAAACCTCCCTCCTGGGAACAGCCAGCCATAGGCCTTAGTTCTGCTTCTAGGACCCCACAGAGCCAAGAGGCTCCCAGTTTATTCCCCAGAAAATTTGAACCTCTCCCTATGACCTCACACAGTATCCGTTCTCCAAAGAACAGTCCTGCAATGTGCCCAGGGCCTGGGCACCCCAGCCTAAACTATCCCAGCCCTCCCCTACCCTCCAGTAGGTGAACAGGGGGGCTGGGGTGTGGGACCTCCCAGAGACCCCAGCACAGAGCCAGGCAGTTCATGTCATGTGCTGAGAGGGAAGAAGAGGGACTCCAGTGACCAACAGGTGACTCTGTGAGGTGACCTTGTGCTTTAAAAACAGGCTCCTCTACAGACTCATTTGCAAGTCTTTTGGTTTTGTTTGGTTTTTTTCCTTTAGAGACAGAGTCTCCCTCTGTCACCCAGGCTGGAGTACAGTGGCACAATCTCGGTTCACTGCAACCTCTGCCTCCTGAATTCAAGTGATTCTCCTTCCTCAGCCTTCCGGGATTACAGGCGTGTGCCACCATGCCTGGCTAATTTTTATATTTTTAGTAGAGACAAGGTTTCACCATGTTGGCCAGGCTGGTCTCGAACTCCTGACCTCAGGTGATCTGCCTGCCTCAGCCTCCCAAAGTGCTGGGACTACAGGCGTGAGCTACCACGCCCAGCCCAATTTTCTTTTTTTTTTTTTAATAGCATGTTCCTAAGCGGCAACCCCAAAACATGGCATGGACTTTTCATCTTTCTTCTTGTGTTAAGGACAATCACGAAGCCACTTTGCCAGCTCCCTCTTTTGCGGCAGCAGCCCTAGGGCTCCGGTGCTATTAAATGCTCCTCATTTCAAAGGGAGCAAGTGAGGTTCAGAGAGGGTGGGTGATTCCCTTGAGGGCACACAGCAAGCACCTATGGCAAAATCTGGATCTAAACCCAGATTCTGACTCTCCAGAGCCTGTTCATTTAACTAGGCTTTGATTTCTGGAGACTTTACTGGAAATCACACTGATGCACAAAATGAACTTTTATCTTAAAATAACATGAACAGGAATGAACGTGGGGGTCCCGCTGAGGATCCAATCCCCAAGGTCACATCCTTGGAAGAGCAAGGCCTCCCCTCCCTCAGAGAACACTGCCACCTAGTGTGGGTGGCGTGGGGCAGGGGCACGGGCAGGAGCACAGGTGAGGGCAGGCAGGTGAGGGCAGGCAGGTGGGAGGCCCAGCTCACCTTGTTGAGGCTGCTGCGGTCACTGACGCTCTTGGTCAGCTGCTGGATCTCAGCCACCTGGTCAGCCAGCCGCTTCTGCTCGTTCAGCTTCTCAGCCAGCGTCTCCAGCTCTGTGAGGGCCAGCTGCAGCGACAGCCTGTCCGGATGGCCCCTGGGGGTGTTCTTCAGCATGTCCTGCCAGGTCAGAGCAGAGACTGAGCAGCCCACCCATGACCAACTCTACCCCAGCCTGGGGCAAAGCCTCACCCTGCGCAACCCCCTACACACACTGGGTCTGCAAAGGGCCCGGCCTGAGGCCAGGACAGATGGCACCAGATGCAGAACAAGACCTCAAGAAACAGCTAATGCATGAAAAAGAAAACAAAAGCATGGATCTTTCTAGGAATAGACCCACATGAACTGAAAGCGGGGTCTCAAACAGATATTTGTCCAGCCATGTTCATAGCAGCATTAGCCACAGTCGCCAAAATGTGGAGGCAAAAATGTCCGTCGACAGACTAACGCGTAAACAAAATGTGGTCTCTCCATACAATGGCGTATTATTCAGCCTTGAAAAGGAAGGAAATTCAGACACATGCTAGGACACGATGAATCTTGAAGACCTCATGTTAAGGAAAACAAGCCAGTCACGAAAAGAAAAACATTGTATGATTCCACGTATACGTGTTTTCCTAGAGCAGTCAGAGTCATAGAGACACAGGGTAGAATGGTGGTTGCCGGAGGCTGTGGGGAGGGAGAATCGGGAGTTGTTGAATGGGCAGAGTTTCGGTTCAGGATGATGAGAAAGTTCTGGGATGGGTGGTGGTGATGGTTGCAGAACAATGTGAATGCACTTAGAAATGGTTATGATGGTAAATAAATAAACTTATAGATCAATCACTGATCAATTGATAAATGGTATGGTTACATAAGAGCCCACTCCCACAGGCCAGCAGCACTGAGAGTGGATAGCAATGTGCCACCGGACCCCTCAGCCTGGTAGCCACCCTCTCAGCTCCCTGATGAGGGCCAGCCCCTGCCCAAGGACCCTCAGTGGTTGGGACAGTGTCCCAAGCTCTCCAGGACCCTGTGTGGGGCTAATGTCCCTTAGGAATCCCCTGTTCTGAAGCTCGAATCTGAAATGGCCAAGCTCAGCATGTTTACTGAGCATCTCCTCCATGCCAGGAGCCCTGCGGGTCCCGGGATTCCCTGTGCCTTCACTCCCTTCCTGCAACCCAGACTCAGGCCACCAGCAGTCCCTCAGCGTCCCCCACAGAGGGGCGTGCAAACTGAGCTGTCAGTTACAATCAATTTCACTCTAGAAGTGGAGAAAGATGAGGCCAGAGTCCCACAGCAGGTTGGGTGGGTTATGGATCACGGACAAGAGCCCAGACCTCCTCCCTCCTACCCCAGGAGGCACCTCCCAGCCCACAGGCAAACCCTGTGGGTTGAAGCTGCTGGAATCCTGAGCAGTACCTGAAGCAGGAGTATGAACTGTGGGAACCTCTGGATGGGCTTGACCATCAGCCCGTAGAGGGTGACACGGTCTGGGCTGCACACCTGCCGTCGCTGGTGGAGACAAGGTTCCGTCATTCGCTGACCCCCTGCAGAGAGGGCCCAGTGCCCCAGAGTCCAGACACTGTCCCCATTCTGGGCTCCTCTCCCCAGGCCCTAAGACCCTGCCTATCCCTGGGCTTGCAAGAAGAGCTGAGAGAGGTCCGTGGTTCTGCAGCCAGGGATCCCTCTCCCACCAGTGCCCCTGCATGGCCGCGCACCCTCAGGAGACTAAAGCAGTCATCTTAAGGTCTCTGAACTAAAGGCATAACTGGGAAACTCAGCAATTTATTCAAGATGTCAGACTTCTAGAAGTGGCCAAGGCAACCATTCCCTCCACTTAAACTAAATGCAGACAGATTTGGGCTAGGGTAAGGGGCGGGGCACAGGGGGACCTTCTGTCCTGTCTCTTGCATCCATCCCCCACTCCATCCACACACCTGTTACCTGGTCCTGGCCCCCATATGCTGCAATCCCACAGTTTCTCCACCTGCCTCCACTTCCATCTACCCTAGCTCAAAATCCTTCAATGGCTCCCCATTACCTGAAATATTACATCCTAGGCCCTGGGCCTGGAGGTCTAGAACCACCCAACTGAACTCAGCCGCCTCTTAGTGTGCACACTCAGGCCTTCTCTCCTGGGACTCCCCAACAGGCATCAGTGCTCCCAGAATCCAAACAGACCTGCCCATCCCTCTCCTCCTGCCTCTAACCTTTGCTCCACTATCCTTACACCTGATATAGGCTCTCCTCTGTCTTTATTTGGCACAATCCCACCATCCCCCGCCAGGGCCCATGTCAGATGGTGGCTCCTCCTGATCCCCTGTTCTCTTTGATGGGGACAGTGGGTTCCTCCACTGAGGCCGTGGCATCTAACCTGTGCTGCCGGCACATGTGTGCGTGTCCTGGCACCTAGCCCAGTTGCATCCTCTGCCAGCCAGCAGGCTCCCTACAGGCAGGGGCTCTGACTCACCAGACTACACTCCCAAAGAAATCAGCAGAGGCTGGGCACATGAGAACTCAGAAGCTTTTCGAAGCCTTTAACCTTTACTCTCCCAAGCAATGCCCAAGATACCCCTATAAGGAATTTCCTCACCCTTTTATAAATGAGGAAAAGGAACCAGCTTAGCAACCCGGGAGCCACAGCCCACCACAGGGCCAGCCAGGCAGACCCACCCACTCACCAGGGCACAGGAGGCAAAGGGTCAGCAAGATGACACAGGTCTTCCCTCCACCCTGCCAAAGCTCCAGGATCCCAGTTGCTTACAGACACTTGGCTACGCTCCTCCCAGGGGCAGGAGGGAACGATTTTCTTCCCATGGGACTGGGCTGCCCCAAAAGAAAGAGGGGAGCTGTCCAGGCCAAAGCTATGATGTCATACCCAAAGCTGGGGCCAAAATGCTCCCTTCCTCCTGAGCAATCTCCCTGCCCACCCTGACCAGGCACGGTACCACCATGGAGGCCCACCTTGAGGAACTCGAGGAAGGCAGGCTTGGTGAGGCAGGCCTTCTTGATGATGGACATGGCACTGGTGAAGTTGTTCACGTAGTCACTGTACACATCTAGCACCATGGACTTGGAAAACTGAAACAAGGCAGGTGTGGGCCAGGGAGACCGCCTCAATGCAGGGAGCAGAAGGAAACGAGGCAGGTGTGGGCCAGGGAGGCCGCCTCAAGGCAGGGAGCAGAAGGGCGCCTGCACTCACCCCACACTCCCTTGGGACCTCGAGCTGTGCAAATCCATCACCCCCACTGGGGTGTGGACATGGAGCTCAGAGAGGTAGAGAGGCTGGCCTGAGGTCACAGGTGGGATGGGGTGGTGCCACAGGAGAGCCCAGGGGACCTTCGCCTCCCAGGTCTCCATCCCCAGTGCAGCAGCCCAAGCCCACAGGTGGAGGGAGGAGAAGGGCAGGGGGAACACCCCTTCTACTGCATTCACGTTCAGGAAATCGAATGCCCCTTGCCCTCCACCTTTAAGGAAAGTGCTCCTGGCCTCTCACCGGGCAGCGTGCCCAGAGTTGAGTTACCAAGGGAGGGATGGTCGGCCTGGAGTCAATCAACTCTCTCTCCAGAGCCCCTTGATATACACCCAGAACATCAGACCTATTCAGTGACTCTATCGAGCGCTGTGGCTTTCAAAAAAAAGTTTTTTTCTTTTAGCAAAACCTAGTTACCTAAAACACATCAAAGTAGAGTGCTACCAACTTGACCTTCCCTCACCCCATGAACATCTGGGGTCCGCAGACTTCAGCTAGAAAAGCCAGAAATCCAGTGCACCCCTCATTCCACAGATGGCAAGCCTGGGCTCAGAGTGGGCCCTGGACCTGCCCTAGGTTGCAGAACTGAGCTGGGACCAGAACCAGGTCCCCCGGATCGTGAGCCAGTGCCCTTTCCCCAGCACTGCGGCACATCCTCTCCGGGCCAAAGTTGTGGTCTTTCACAGCATTTCACACTGGCTTGAAACCCCTCAAGTGCTCGGTAAGAGAGCTTGTGACCGGCCAGGTGGCTGCCCACAGTGACTGGGAGGCCAGGGGGTGCTGCCACCTGGGAGGAGCCAGGACAGCCACCTGGCTTCATCAGCACCATGGCCTGCCAGGTATATCCAAGGACATCCTGGCCACTTCAAGGTGTCACACTCACCCCTAGATCAGGCCCAGAAGACCCTGCCACCCTCTAATCCCACTGACTTGAACAAGGCAAGCAGGCAGAGGCAGGAGGCTGGACTGCATGGCCCCGGGGTCAGACTGGTTGTGGTTTTACCTTGGTGGGCTGGGGAAAAAGTTTGGGGACACTTACCGAGGCCACGAAGAGGTCCCCGATCTTCTCGGTGGAATCCCACTCAGCCACGCGGGAGGACAGGGCGATCTGGAACATGGAGTGGCAGTGCAGGATCTCCTTCACGCGGAAGAACACCACCTGGCACTTGCGGGCGCTCAGCGCCTTGGGCTCCATCTCCATCAGGGGGTTGCGGTAGTCCTGCCGGGGAGGGCGGGGTGAGGCCGCAGGCCAGGCCGCAGCCTCTCTCCCTACCTGCCCTCATGCAGAACTCGGCCAGCCATGAATGGGCCTTCCCGTGGCACGGAGGGGAGGCACTCATCCCTCACTCCTCATGCGTCCTTCCGGAAGGATCTCCATCACCATAACACCCCTGGCCTCACTGGCCACACACAACACCCCCATGCTTCTGTGTTAATTGGTCGGGAGGAAGAGGGTCTTTTATGCGCCATCTGCCTGCAAGGAGCTCCTTGGAGGCCGGCCTGAGGGCGAAGCTCTGCCTGTCACTGAGCCCACGAGCGGTAAGGTCACTACAAGCTCCCTTGGCTCCCACACCCCGCGTCACTCTCCAATTAGCTTTGTCAGAGACAGGTGATATATTCATCTCTACCTGCCTGATGCCTAGGATCCCTCTCTGAGGATCCAAACTCAAGAGGGGAAGAGAGGGTATCATTAGCAACAATTCCCCACCCTGGTGGCCTTACTCTGGTAGCCCACAACCGCCCGGAAAAGTCACTGTCTCAGGGATTCAAACACTGTCTCAGGGATTCTCAGGTTGGCACATACTAGTCACTTCATGCAAGCATCTGCTCAGCAACCCCTGGGCCTCCTGATGCAAAAAAGAGGACTCGATCCTACTCCTCTCGATGCAAGAAGGAGGACTCCATCCTACACATCTTCCCAACTAAGGATCCCAGGAGGATGGGAAGACATGGCCCAAGCCCCAGGGGCTTCCAGAGTGGCAGGAGGACACAGTGCCTTCCAGTCATAAATGGGAGTATATGCCCTCAGCTCTCCAGGAGTCATTTCAAAGAATCCCATTTTGTTCACAAAGAAGTCACTCCCGTGAACACCAGGGCATCAGGAATTCTTGCTGCCTACATTTGGAGGTTCTACTGTCCCCATAAAGCAGTGCTGGCTTATGGTCCTGTCCCCTTAAAACTGCCCACAGTCCCCAAACACTCCGTATAAAGTTACCCTCCAGGGCCCTCCCTGCTTCTCCCCAGAGACCCTTGAGAACTCCCTGAAGTCGCACCTGGAGTATCCGCTTCAGAGACTCCACGTAGCTGCCTTCGCTCTGCACGATGGAGCCCAGGATATGCCTCCGGACCACCTGCTCGGGCCAAAAAGCACGGTCAGCGCACATGACACCTGCTGCACAGGGCCCAAGTGACAGGAAGGGGAGCTGACAACTATAGGACAGAGAAACCCATCCCTCCCAGGTCCCACCTGGGACCACTGGGCCTGGTGGCCACTCTTCCTTCCAGAGCCCCTGCCAACCCTAAATAAATGCCCTGCTGCCTGGCTACAGAATGGAGGAGGAAGGGCACATCCCAGGGAAAGCCCCTCTGTGCACATACATCTGGGGATGGGGTAATCACCACGCTCCTCCATGGTGGCGGGTGACCACCTCCATCTTTGGACAACTCTAATAGAAAATCCTAGGCCAGGCAAGGTGGCTCATGCTTGTAATCCCAGCACTTTGGGAGGCAGAGATGGGCAAATCACCTGAAGTCAGGAGTTCGAAACCAGCCTGGCCAACATGGTGAAACCCTGTCTCTAGTAAAAATACAAAAATCAGCTGGGCGTGGTGGCACGCGCCTATAGTCCCAGCTACTTTGGAGGCTGAAGCAAGAGAATTGCTGGAACCTGGGAGGCAGAGGTTGCAGTGGGCCAAGATCGCGCCACTGCACTCCAGCCTGGGCAACAGAGCAAGACTCCATCTCAAAAAAAAAGAAAAGAAAATTCTGTCTTAGCATTAGCATGAACCGAATCTCAGCTCCCTTCACTTGCGAATGAAATCCTTGAGCTATCCCTCTTCCACAAGACAGGCCTTGGGGTACCGTCCCCCCACACGAGTGGTCTCTGCTTCTGGCTAAACATCCCCAGTCCCTTCTCCTTTCCCTTCCACCATCACCGTAACCCTCCAGAAGCCTGGCCCACGGAGTGGATCACAACCCCTCAGCTGCAGCCTGCAGTACCCCGTCGAGCATGGTGTGGCTTGCACCTCCCTCAGCTGAGGATCTTTCCAACACAGTCACCTGGCTCCCACCCCAGACCTTCTGAAGTTCTACCGTCCTCTGAACAAGGTGGAACCTGGATACCAGGGACTTTGAAATCTTCCCAGGTGGCTCTATTGTGCAGCAAAGTTAGGACGCTGCTCACAGGAGGTGTCACATGTGACAGGGGTCTGAAGGGGAGCCCATCCCTCTCGATCTCGGGTTGGGAGGTGACTGACCCCCTACTCTACCCCCACAGCTGTCCTGAGCGTCCATCAGGAGCCCACCACCACCAGAACCCCGGCTCCCTGCCCTACTCCCTCTGCTGCCTCCTCCTGCCTCCAGCAGGCTCTTCTCCCATCTTCCCACTGCCCTGCCTGCAGCCAGGCCTGGCCATGGCCTGGCCACACAGTCCCAGCAGATGGCAAGACCACTGTCCCATTGTTGATCCATTGTCAACAATCCCCAGGTACTCAAGTGGCACCCAGAGCAGAGCACAAGGACATCTGGGGCCAAGTAACTCCCCATAGTGGGGCTGTCCCGTGCCTCGTAGGATGTTCAGCAGCTTCCCTGGTCTCTACCCACCATCCTACAACACATCCTGCTCAGTGGCCTCACAGCCAGAGGAATCAGGGATCTCGCACCCTGTTTCATGGCTGGCAAAACACAGATAGCGAAGGGACAACATGACTGGGCTGAGATCCCAGAGCAAAGCTGCCCGACCTCAGCACGATGCTCTACAAGAAGGAAGCCATTTTTTTTTTTTTTTTTTGAGACAGAGTCTCACTCGCTGTGTCACCAGGCTGGAGTGCAGTGGCGCGATCTCGGCTCACTGCAACCTCTGCCTCCCAGGTTCAAGTGATTCTCCTGCCTCAGCCTCCCGAATAGCTGAGACTACAAGCGTGTACCACCATGCACATCTAATTTTTTTTGTTTGTTTTTTGTATTTTTAGTAGAGATGGGGTTTCACCATGTTGGCCAGGATGGTCTCGAACTCCTGACCTCAGCTGACCCACCGGCTTCACCCTCCCAAAGTGCTGGGGTTACAGGCATGAGCCACCGCACCCAGCCAAGGAAGCCATTCTTAAAGAGCCTCAGTTCCTGGTGGGAGCTTGTGGCAGCTCTGAGGCCCAGGGTGAGGACAGGTGGACAGATGGCAGGGACTGGGCACCTACACACCTGCAGCCTCACCTGAGTCTGGATCCCATCTCATTCTTCAAATGACACCTTAGTCAGAAACAGCCAACGGGACTGCTCTGCATGCCATGGAGTTGGGGGACGCAAGCGTTCTAGATGCCGGGAGCCCACCCCCCAAAACCAACAGCACAGAGCACACGGGGTAGAAAGTGGAAAGCCTGTTCAATAGCTGAGGAGAGAACCTAGGAGGCCCCTATCCAGCTGGGCTCTGCCAAGAGCCCCCAGTCATCATATCCCCTGTGAGATCCAGACAAGCGTGGCCCCAGAGAACAGGCTGGAACCCCCAAGCCACCCCTTCCCCTGCAGACCCCCACCTGCCCCACTCCCCCACAGACCTGCTGAGGGCTCAGGCCCTCTGGCATGGGGCCCAGCTCTGGGGCTGGGGGCTTGATGTCCGAAACGCTGACCTCCAGGAGCCCCATGTCCTCCTCCTCCGAGTCACCTGGAAAGTCAGATGGGCCGATGACACAGCTAAGGCAGGGACAGCACACCCTGCTCAGGCCTCAGGAGCTGAGAGCCCCCCTAGACCAGCCTTGGACCCAGGTCCTAGGGTGCAAGCAGCTCCTGGGGCCCCGTGGGGTTAGAGCCGCCCGGTAGCTCCTTCTCAGGAGTTCCCTGCTACGTCCCAGGGCCTGGAACATTCCATCAGTGAATAATTGTGAGCAAGTGAGCGAGAGGGTGAACAGGCAGAAATCAAAGCTGCGTCCTGTGGGGCCTGGGTTCTCGGCGTCCATGCTGCCAGAAGCCACTGTCCCTGCTCAGGCCCGCCCGCTCTGGCCTGGCGAAGGCTAGCTGCCCATGTCCCCATCACTAGGAACTAAAAATAGTTTTCTTCTGGAAGTCTAAAAGGGGGAAGAAAATAAGCCCCGAGAAGAACAGGGCAGCGTGGTTTGGCACTTTCCTTTTGAAATAAAACATGCAGAGCTAAAGGGAAAAAGTTCAACAGGAGCCTGACATGGAATCCCAGGAGTGAGTGGAGCTGGACCTCAGACGGAGGACGGAATGAGATGGACAGAGGCCCAAGCCTCTGAGAGTGGGAGGAGGTCAGATAGTGAGGGAGGCTCCGGAGAGGGTTCCAGCCCCCAACAGAGCAAGGTACAGGTGCCGGGAGAGGGGATCCCAGCTGCTGAATGGCTCTGACTCCAGCGGTGGCTGTGGGCAGCAGGAAATGGGAGCTGTGAGGAAGCTGGGGAGGAAAGAAGAAGCGGCAGCAACCCCAAGGGTGGGAGGGGGTAGAGACACCCCAATAGGCCCTTACCTGAGCAGGAGACAGAGGAGGAGGAGGAGGAGGGACAGCGGATGACGGCGTGGGGGTGGGGGTGGTGCAGACCCTCCTGCCGGGCCCACATCACGCCCCGGGCATCACTCCGCACCCACCCCAGCCTGCCTCGCAGCTTCCTCTTCCCCCACGAGCTGCTGGGTAACATTCTTGGCCTGTGATTCGAGCCCTGCCACGGCTATTAATATCGCCTCTGCAGGGAGGGTCACTTCAGGAAGGCGCTGGGCTTGTGGGCGGGGTGGGGAGGGCTGAGGAGAGCCCTAGCCAGCCTGGGGTTGGGAGGGTGACCCAGGAAGAGTTCCCAGCCAGCTGGCCTGGCCACGTTATCCTGTCTTCGGACCATCTCAATGAGTTTAGAATGGCCACTTGGCCTGCTCCCTCCATCATCGGGGGTCAGTGCTCCCCAAAATGCAGAGGGAACATGGACATTCACTGAGCACCCAGCCTGTGCCAGGCCTGTGCACACCCACTCTGGCTGAGCACCGCACCAAGTGCACGGGTGGGGCTCAACCCATGTTACAGATGAAAACCCATTTATGGTCTGCCGCCCCAAGAGGGGAAAAAGTGCAAGGCGACACAGCCAGAAAGCCGCAGAGCCAGGGTCTGAACAGGCCAGCACGAGGCCGTCCTGGCACCAAACGCCTCCACTTAGGGACTGACCGCCCACCAAGAATAACGTCTGCTACATGGGGCTCTCTCTCTCCTCATACTACCTAGGACATCCTCACCACAGCCCTACAAGACAGACAGCCACCCCACTGTACGGATGAGGAAACTGAGGCACAGGGAGATTACAGAATTTTCTAGGATGACACAGGCTCTCAAAGTCCTGCCTGGCTCGAGGCCTGTGTTCCTTCTGCTGCATCAGGCCATGTGCCGAGGGCAGGCAGCAGACAAAGCCTCCTTCCTTCCAAAGAGAACTGGCATCCCAGAATTCCATCAGCTGTGAGCCCACTGTACTGGGATTCCTTGTCTCCTTGTCTGTCACCTCTAAAGATGTGAGATGGGCAGCAGGGGCCGGTCTTACTTGACCCTGTCCCACCAATGCCTGGGAATACATCAGGGGCCCTGACCTAGACATTCTCCAGAGGAATGGACTGGAGCCTGGTGGGGACCAGGAGCAAGGGTAGGCACCTGAAGGGGGCTTCAGGGGATCAGGGGCAGGACTCATATTCACAGCTGTGTCCCATGGCTTTAGGACAGTTCCTAGCACATAGTAGATGCTTAATAAAACTTGTCACATGAATGATCAATTGATCAAATCTGACCATGGGACGCTTCTGCGTAAAACCCTCTAATGGGGTTTATGCAGCATCCTTAAGACCAAAGGCAAATGCCCAGCAAGGCTGACAGAGCCTGTACTGACCGGACCCTGGCCTATCATGCCCGCCCTCACTTCCGCCACCTGAGGCCTCCTCTATCCCTTCCAGGCCTGTGTGTCCTCAGCCCTGACACAACCTCTCTGTGCCTATTCCCTCATCTGCTGCGTGGGAATGTGAGAGTTCTGTGCGCCTTGTGTGGTGAGGATAAGGATGAAGTGAGGAACTGTAGGCTCATAGGGCAGCACCTGGCACACAATAAATACTCAGTCAGTGCTGACTAAGAGCATCTCTGGAACATCTCGTACTTTCCCACATCCGGGGCTCTGCACACCCGCTCGCTCCTCTTCCCAGAGCACCCACTCCGCTCTGCCTGGTGACCTGTGCCTCCTCCTTCCCTGACCTTTCATCCCCCAAGTCCATCCTCATTTCCTCCATGCCCCCCAGGGCACCCCAGTGGACCACTTGTCAACCTGTCCTGTCATTTCCCATGCCTGTGCCTGTCTCCCGCGCTGTGCCAACAGCTGGCCCCAGAGGCACTGCTGATACATGCATCGTGGGTCCCTGCATGCAGCACAGGCTGTGGCGCTTAGTAGGATTCCGTAAATGTCAGCTGGTTGGAGAGATGGGTGGATGGATAAAGGAAGGAGGGAACAGGAACAAAAAAGATGAGGACAGGTGAGCCAGACAGCGCAGGGGGCAGGAGGCCAAGACGGCCGTGACAAAAGCAGGAGCAGGGACGCTGAAAGAAGAGGCCCAGCTCTCCCAGAAGGGACAGGCCACGCCTGCCAGAGGAGGGGGAGGCACACTGGGACCTACCAGGATATTTGGGACTCAGCCCCCAACCCCCACCACCAGAGGAACCATACGCCAAGTGGTACCCACCCAGCATGACCTCTGGGGTGTAAAGCAAAATCCCACCCTCCCCGACCCCCAGTCAGAGCTGGGCACCAGACCCTCCCGCTCGGGCAGCGCCTCACCGAGGACGTCCTTCCTGTGCAGGAAGGAGACTTTGCGCATCACGGCCATCCGTGTCTTCTCCAGCCCATCCTTGGTCCCGCTCTTGGCGGCCTTCATGAGCTGGGTCATCTGAGCAAAGGTAGAGAGGCTCATCAGGGAAGGGACGGCCTGGGATGCCTGCTACCGAGGGCCACCCGCCTCCCCAGGCCTCGGCCTGCAGAGATCAGAACCACCCAGACCCTTCCCTCCCAGGTCCGTGAGCAAAGGCCAAGGACGACAGTGGGGGTGAGAAGGTGCGTTCATGCCCGGGGATCTCCCTCTTTAGGGGCAACAGGAGGCTGTAACCGATTTTTTTCCTTTCAGGACAGACTATGTGAGCAGATTTCTAATCCAGGAGATGATGTGACCTGGTGAGGAGGGGGCCGAGGGGTGCTGGAGACCTGGAGCCCTGGGCCACCCGCCAATGGCATGACTCTGGGCACGTCACTGAACGTCACTGAGCCTCCATTTCCCCAGGCAAAACTGAGGAACAGCAATACCGATCCTTGCCAGGGTCTGTGAGCACCAAACATTCCGGGTCTGGGAAAGCTCCCTGAGCAGAAAAATGCACTCCACGAATGTTGAACATGACCTTAGGAGCAACTAAAGGAGGTGTGTGCACACCCCCATCCCATCCGCCAAACCCAGGTGAGGGACCCGTCCCTTGCCTCCCCCGAAACAGCCAGGTTTCTTACTGAGCCACCATCCGGGAAAAGGAGAAAAGGCTGAAGTTGCCAGAAAGAAGAGGCAGCTTCCTCTGGCAGTGGGGAGGGGATCCATGGACACGAGCGTAGCAAGCTAAGCAGAACATGAGACGTAAGGAGACCGCGTGCCCAGAAGAGGGAAGTGGGCATCCGAGGTGCTGGGGGAACCCAGGCCTGACAGAGCTGCTGTCCCCTCAGCCAGTCCTTTGTCCTCCCAAGCCCCAGCCCTAGCACCCGCATCTTCTCCAGCATACAGCAGCACCAGCAAAGAGAAGGCTCTGCAATGACAGAAACACTCTGTATCTGCCCTGTCCAAAATGGGAGCCACGGGCCACATGCGACTATTGAGCACTTGAAATGTGCTGGTGCGAGGAAGCACCCAAATTTCTAATTATATTTACTTTTAGTTAATTTCCATTTAAAGAGCCACGTGGCTATCATAATGGACAGTGCAGTCCTAAGAAAACCTTCTCCTTCCTAAAACTCTCTGCTGAAGGTGGGGAGCACTAATCTGCGGGGTGGGGTTGTCTCTGGTCTCTGCTCTATCACCTCCAATAACCCTTTGGTCCCCACTTAAGTATCCAAGCACTTCTTGGGGGTCTGGGCAAGGAAGGGTTGCTGAAAAGCCACCAGGTGCTGTGCATGGGGAAGCAGGGGTGGTGGCTTTCAAGGAACAAGGCTGACTTTCTGGAAGGAACCAGCAGCAGGGAAAAAGAAGGAAGTCCCCTGCCTGCCCTGCATTTCTACGGGACAATCCTAGAGAAGCTGTGCTTGGCCTTTTCTGGGGTTGGGCAAGGGGAGTAATCATAGAGGCCTTTGAGAATCTAACGAAAGGGATGGCATAGACGCTCATCTTCTTCTTGTTGGGGGGTGGGAGGAGGGGGTCACACCCTCAGAGATCTGAAACCTCTGTTCCAGAATCCAGTTCCTGTCCTGGCAGAAAGCCATCAGTGGTGCTGTCCTGCGAGCCCCCAAAGTGGTCTTTCAAGGGATCATCTGAGGCCCTTCTCTTGGCATTTTCCTGGGCAAAAAAGAACAGGCCAACACCCTAGAAGGTGTCCCCGAGTACACCTGCCGAATCCACCCATTCCCACAGTGTGTGGCCGAAGCGGGGGAAAGGCCCAGTCTTAGACTCTGCCCTTCTCTAGCTCTGGGCACCTCTCTAAGCCTTGGCTTCCTGAGAGGTTAGCCCCGCCCCTACCCTGGGTTGCAGGCCTCTCGCGGGTATCTGTGAAAGGTCTCGTAACTGTAAAGGGTCTGCTCTCCTCCTCCTGGAAGGCTTCACATTCCAATAAAGCGGGCAGCACTGCAGGATGGAGGACGTTTGAGCTCTGGCACACTGCAGACCCAAGTTGGAATCCCAGCTCTGTCGTGAACCACTGCTGTGGCCACTAGCCGGGTACTTGACACTAAAAGATGCAGAAAGGCAGCTACTGCCCAGAGTGCCACAAGGACAGGGCGGTCAGGCATGTAGATAACAACAGCCACTGTCCACTGAGCTTCTAGACCCAGCACAGCACCGTACACCCAAGAGGCCTGATCGTTGACCTTCAAAGCCACCCTGGGGGCTGGTACTGTGAATGCCCCCATTTCAAAGGCAGGGAAACCGAGGCTCAGAGAGGCCAAGGGGCCTGCTCAGGATCACACCATGAGGAAGTGGTGAGATTGGGATTCAAACCAGGCCCACAGACCTCGAAAGTCCATGCCTTTAGCCAAGACACAGAGCAGGTGCTCAGTTAATGGAAGCTACTGTTGTCGATATCATCATCCAAAAGTTTAAGCAAGTACTGTGATTTCTCCTACAGACTTCCTTATCCTGGATTCCTCTGAATAGTGTGGAGAGATAGGAACATCCAATGTCAGCAACACTCACGTTTTTCAATGTGTAACCCCAACTGTGCAGATTATGAAATGTGCAGATTCCTGAGCCTCGTCCCAGACCTACGTAAGTGGCACCCTTGGGGCTGGAACTCAGGAACCTGCATTTTTAACACAGCACCCCAGGTGATTGCAAGGGTCCTAAAGTTTGAAAACCCTCCTGGGAATTCTTGTGGACTATCAGGGTTTCACTTGCAGGTGGGGAGAAAGATAGGGGTGAGAACATGGAAGGGAACATGTGGCTTAAGGCATCTGCCAGTTCCAGCACAGATGCAAGGGTGGCCAGGGTCCAGGTCTCAGGACAGCCCTGGGACTCAAGGGTGGGCCTGGTAGGCTTCGTGGTACCAGGGCAGCAGGAAAACCCTTGGAGGTAGCTGCAGCTGGAAACAGCCCCCATCCAGGGCTTGAGGGGACAGACAGACAATACCTTACAATCGTACTTGTGCTTCAGCTCCTGCATGTCTCTCCCCCCAACTCTCAAAGCCAAGATGTCTCTCTTAGTCCTGGCGTATCTCTCCTTTAGCCTAGTCAGGTCTGGAGAAAGCTGGAGCCCCAAGCGGCCAGGCAGAAGGAAAGCAGGTGAGAGGAGCAGGCGGGACAGGAAGGAGACAAAACACAGACAACAGGGGAGAAAGGAGACTCAGGTAAAGTGCGGACGGACAGCTCGGGCAGGCGGGATGCGGCACCCCAGGTCCCAGGCAGCAGTCCAGCCAGATCCTGCCCGGAATCTGCTCCAGCTGTGTCCAACCCCACCATGCCAGGCAGCTGGGGGCCGGGTCTCTGCAGCAGGGAATCTGGGCTGCTGGGGCGGAGAGGCGGGAGGGGAGTAAATCCAGGTCTCCTGTCTTAGGGAAAAGGGAAAATGCTCTGAGGGCAAGAACTGTGTCTTCTCCCCGGCCCTGTGGCCCAGCACAGGGCTTGTAACATAGGAGCTTCTCTGTAAGTTTGTGAGATAGACAGATGGCAGGTGGATGGATAGATGGAATGAGGTTGGGGGATAAATGGATAAGTGGGTAAATCCACAGAAAGATGAATGGAAGGGTAGAAGAAGAGTTTGGCAGATGGATGGGCAACAGACAGGCAGGTGGATGGGTAGACGAACAGGCTCATAGAGGGATGGATGGATGAATAAATAAATGGATGAATGAATAGATGCACAGATAAATAGATGGATGAGCAAATGGATAAATTTGGTTAGGTGACTATATAGCTGGGCAAATGGACAGATGGATGGATGAAGAGACAGTCAGATGAAGGAATAAGAGGATGGATGGACGGTAGGAGAATGGATTCAGGCAGTGCTGTGCTGGCAAATATTTAACAACCAGTTCTGCAGGAAAAAGGGCCCTGCTTTGAAGCATTTCCATGGTGTGAATACTTCCACCAATTCCAAGCTACCAAAGTGACATCACTGAATGGGAATTTGTAAAGAGATGCTCATAACTGGCTCCTGAGTTCTTGTGAGCTGACACTAGCTGCCTCTGGCACACTGCTGGAGAATGAATGGAGGGAGGATGGGTGAAGGGTAAAAGGGAGGGAGGGGGATGGGCAACTGGATGGAAGAATGGATGCTCAGCTTACAGACTATCTGGAGGATGGATGGATGGATGGATGGATGGATGGACAAACCGATGGGAGAACAGGTAGATGGACAGAAGAACAGATAGATATTCAAATGCACGAACCATATGAGCAACAGTGATATTTGGTAAAGTACACAAAAGACCAAGACAGGTGCTACTTCTAGAGAAGTAGACAGAAGGATCAAGAGTGTGAGTTCTGGAGGCATGTAGGCTCCTGCTCAAATCATGGATCTCTGCTTACTAGCTAGAGAAGTCTCTTTACCTGAGCTGCAGCTTCCTCACTGGTAAAGTGGCCATAATAGTAGCTACTGCATAGGGTTGTTGAGAAAATTAAATGTACATGCAAAGCCCAGAGCTTATTAAGTATTCAAAAAATGGAAGCCATTATTATCTTTTAAATTGCAAGTGCTCAATATTTGTTGGATGGGTGAATGGATGAGTGGATGGATGGATGGATGGATGGATGGATGGATGGATGGATGGATATACAGACAGATGAGGCACCTGTGATATTGCATTCTACATCATTTAAGTCTCTCTGAGCTTCACACAGGTTTTCTGATCAACAAAATGAGAATCTTAAGGACAATAATACTGACCACTTAGGGTACTGGGAAAATTAAATGACACTGCTTTGTAAAGTGTACCATTCTAGGCAAATGTTCAATATTGTTATGCAAAGAAGTATGCATGCAGGACAGGGGTCCCTCTGAGAGCTACCCAGACTCCCAAAAAACTGAGGAGTTTGGGGTTTGACCTGAGTCCTGTTCATCCATAAAATAGTTTCACATAATAAAACCATAAAGCCCCTGGGCCTTCTGGTGCTCCATCACTTCTCTCAGGGTCAGAAGAACTAGGAAATGTTAGGATCAGAGGCCACTTGCTGAGTTGGCCAGATCAGAGCAGGGGGTAGACCAGGCTGGGCCAGGGCTGGCGTTTCTGTAATGAATCCATGAGTTCTGCCCAGTCCCCGTCCAGCTGGATCAGAGACCTTGATTTCAAAGAGGTCACCACTGGAGAGTGGGAGAGTTCAATGCAATCCATCCCACAACTGGAAAAAAAAAAAACCACAGATCCTGGATTGGCACCAGCAGGACCACTTGTTCACATAACAGGATGAGGCAGCTGCTTCCACTTGGGTCCGTGCCCCTCTACAGACCCCATGGTCACTTTTTTTGGCAAGAGTCCACCTGCCTAGGGACGGCCTCTTCGGATCTCTGAAGAAGGGGTTCCATTAGTTCTCTTGCAGCTGGGCAGGGTGCCTGGCCATGGTCAGTCTCCAAGAACAGGACAAAACACATCCCCAGACCCCTGCTGTCAGCTTGTGCCCACAGCACACACAGCACATAGCCAAGCAGCAGTGGCCCTAAAACATGCAGCTGCTGCAATGCCAGCGGGTGAGCAGGTGCGCCCCAAGCAGCTCAGGAGGGTGAAGCACCACAGGCAGGCTCAGTAGAGTCCCTGGCAGAAGTGGGTACCAGAGGAAAAGCCCTCCGCAACCTCCTGTCTCCCTAGGAGCCTGCTGATCAGCGAGCAGGTGGGCCTTGGCCACGGCCAGAGAAAAACTCCAAGTGGTTAGAAATCCCAACAACTGTGCCACATAGTTTTTCTGCTGAGGAAGGGTCCAAAGCCCCCAGCCTGAGAGTGTGAGGGACACGAGCTCACAGGCAGCCCCCAGAGGTCCCAGGGCCAGGCCATGGTGAGTACAGCCCAGCATTTCTTGGAGTGCTCTGTGGGCCCCTTATACCCCCTGGGGGCAGAGAGCTGCTTAAAAGGCAGATTACCGGGCCCCACCCAACCCCTGAATCAGAGTCCCTGGTGAGGCCCTGGCATCTGTGATTCAATCAGTTACCCATGTGGTTCTGATGCCCGTGGAAGCATGGGGACCACCGCTGGAAAGCCTGAATTCAGCATTGTCATCCCTCCTTCCCTCTGAGAGACACGCATGGTTTCCTCCCAGTCCCAGCAAGAGGGCCGGGGACAACATGGGAGAGGAGGAGGAACGCCAGAGGCTGAGGCTAAAAGGCTGGGCCAGGACTCGAGAGCCCCATCTGGTCACACTGCCCAGAGCAGGGCTGGGACGCACGGGTCCTGCCATATGGAGAGGCTACTGGGGGGAGTGGGGGCTTCATAACCAAAGCCCCCTTCCCTAAAGCAGTGCATGCTGCCCCTTCTGAACTGCAGGAAGCAGCAACGAGCTGTTCCTGGGCTTCTGCCTGGGCCGCTCCTCCAGCCTGGATCACCTGTCCTGTCTCCTCTAGCTCCTAAGCCCAGCTCCAACTCACCGCTCTCAGAGGCGTCTCTGATTGGTCTCATCAGTCCCTACCCCTGTCAGGCACACAGCCAGGCTGGACACAGGCTCATGTTTACGTAAAGGCATTTTTGTCTTCATTATGTTTTGAAGGGCATGATAGTTTAGCTTTGAAAATTGTACCACACTGATCATGATGACCAGCATTTTGTGTTCATTTTTGACAAACTGTTTCCCATTCAGTGTCTCCTATGGACCGTAAAGGTTCACTGAGCACAGATTAGGTCTTCCTGTTCCAATGTATCCCGTCCCACAACTGAAGATATGGACTAGGCACACAGTAGGTGTTGTAAATGCTTCGCTTTTTGGCTAGCAAGACATTAAGGCTGTTTTCCACAGCCCACCCCTGGAGGCCCATCCCTGGAAACAGCAGGCTGAGAGAGACCTGCTCAGTCCCAGGCTTGCTCAGGACTCAGGGAGCCCATCTTGGTCTGAGGAATGGCTGCCTGAGGACTCAGGTGTGGGTGTTCCTCCGGCCAGCATGCCTCTCCCAGAGTGGATCCCCCAAGCCCAGAAAAGGTGGGAGGCACTGGGAAAGTCCCCTCTCTTGTCCCCACCCTGCCCATGCAGGAATGGCCCCAGGTGGAGCTCTCCCGCCCCGCTACATCTTTTAAAAGGAGCTTGAGGCTGGGCATGGTGGCTCACACCTGTAATCCCAGCACTTTAGGAGGCCGAGGCAGGTGGATCACTTGAGGCCAGGAGTTTGAGACCAGCCTGGGCAACATGACGAAACCCCATCTCTACAAAAATACAAAAATTAGCCAGGCATGATGGTGCACGCCTGTAATCCCAGCTACCTGGGAGGCTGAAGCAGAAAATTGCTTGAACCCAGGAAACAGAGGGTACAGTGAGCCGAGATAGGGCCACTGTACTCCAGCCTGGGCGAAAGAGTGAGACTCTGCCTCAAAAGAATAATTAATAAAAATAAACATAAAAGTAGCCTGAGAGGGACGCCATCCCCTCTGCTCAGTCAGGGCCTGTAAGAAGCTGTCCCCATGAAACTGCAAATCTCAGCACGGACAGACACTGCCTCTTGGTGGCTTCCGCAGAACAACAGGGAAGGAGCATGGGTGCCATGGGAAAGAAGGAACCAGATGACCTATCCCCCTCACAGCCTCAGGGGCTCCCCTCCAGGAAATAAGCAGAATGGTCTCTACTCCAGGCAGAAACACGAGGAAAGCTGAATGCATGGATGGCACCGTGTGAGGCCCTGGAGAGAAGGCTTCCAGGCCGCTCTGGCTTAGCCACAGCAGCCCCCACTCTCCACTGCCCCAGAGCAGAGAGGACTGCGCGGGCTGAGGCCTGGTCTGAGCATCAGTCCCAGAAGGCGGGGAGAGCAAGTGGATCTGATCCAGGCTCCACCTCTAAGCAAGTGGCTGGGCTACCTGGAGTGCGGCGTTGAGAGGACTCTGAAGCCCAGTCTGAGCCCGTGAGCATCAGGATCAATTGACCAGGTCTGCCATAGCAAGGGGGTGGGGGGAGCACCTGTGCCAGGTACCAGCCATGCCCATCCCGGGCTTAGGGCTGCCAACAGCAATGTCTACGAGTCACCTCCTGTTTCGGGATGACCTGGGCTTCTGGCTCCCCTCTCACCACACATACCCGGGAATCCCTGGGACCCAGACGTGAGTCCTAGGCCTGGCCCTCACTACCCAGCTCCCTCCCTCCCTCCCTCCCTGAAGGGGTCTCCGTGCCCTGACTGAGGTGAGCGACACCCCCGGTCCCCTCACCTTGGGCTGGAAGGACACTCGGTGCTTGGCGGGCTCGACCTCGACCTCCGGCTTGGCCTCCTCCCCCGAGTCCTCGCTGTAGCTCTCGAACTCACTGGAGCTCCAGCCTAGGTCCTCCGCCTGCCGAGGGGCCCCAGCCCGGTGCGCATCCTCGTAGAGCAGGTTCCTCTCTGCCCCTGCTGGCCAAGCGGCAGCCGGTGAGCCCAGGCCCTGAGGCCAAGCCTACCAGACTTCCAGCCTCAGACCCAATTTCTGAACCCAGGTGGGGCGAGGGGGGGTCAGGGAGAACATGGGGGCCCTGGGGCTCCAGCTCTACCTCCTCAACCATGAAACGAAGATGATAATACATTTTCCCCCTCGTAGGGCAAGGAGGGCCTGAGAAAATGGGGAAAACCCAAGAAATGGGTCAGACGTGCACAAGCCCGCTCACTTCCTTTTGCTCCCAGCACTGCTTTTGTATGGTCTCAGCGCTCATTGTGAGCCTCCTTGGCAATTTTGTTTTAGAGACAGGGTCTCATTGTCTCGCCCAGGCTGGAGTGCAGTGGTACAATCATAGCTCACTGTGGCCTCAAACTCCTGGGCTCAAGAGATCCTCCTATCTCAGCTTCCCAGGTAGCCGGGACTACAGGTGTGCACCATCACACCCAGCTAATTTTTTAATTTTTTGTAGAGACGGAGTCTTGTTATGTTGCCCAGGCTGGTCTTGAGCTCCTGGACTCAAGTGATCCTCCTGCCACGGCCTCCCAAAGTGCCAGGGTTACAGGCGTGAGCCACCACACCCAGCCGAGCCACCACACGTGGCCTGTTTCTTACTGGAAAAGAGAAGACCCGGAGCCAAGTCCTGGCTCAGGCCCTCAGCATCCTCAGGAATGAAACAGAGATTGTTGGGGCCTCAGGGCTCCTCACCCCAAATCTGACTTCACGTGCAGCCTGGGATCTTCCAGTAGGGGGCGCAGCTGGCCCAGAGTCCAGGAGCTCCTTTCCTTCCTAAGCCTGCGGGAAATGCCTTGGACTGAAAACTTGGGGACAAAAAGCTAAGAGTCTGGAGGGACAGGTCCCACAAGGGCCAGGGCACTCGTGGGGCCCATTCAACTCGGCTATGAGATGCCACTTGAAGCCTGAGGTGGGAAAGCCACTGTCCCGAGGCCGGAACACAGGGTCCCAGCCCCAGCTCCGTCACTGGGGGATCTTGGGCAAGGCCCTTTGCCCCACTGGGTTTCATTTCTTCATCTGTTACCTGGAGAACTGCAGACCTCATGAAACTGGGGTCAGACGCCAAAAAGTACATGAAGATGAAAATGCTTTTGTCATCACAGAAGAAATATAGCATTGGGAAGGGTTTTTTTGTTTTTGTGTTTTTTTAAAAAAAAAAAAAAAGGAATCTGACTGGTCGCGGTGGCTCACACCTGTAATCCCACCACTTTGGGAGGCTGAGATGGGTGGATCGCCTGAGGTCAGGAGTTCAAGACCAGCCTGGCCAACATGATGAAACCCCATCTCTACTAAAAATACAAAAACTAGCCGGGTGTGGTGGCACGCACCTGTAGTCCCAGCTACTCAGGAGGCTGAGGCAGGAGAATTGCTTGAACCCGGGAGGCGGAAGCTGCAGTGAGCCGAGACCGTGCCACTGAACTCCAGCCTGGGTGACAGAGAGAGACAACATCTCAAAAAAAAAAAGAAGAAGAAGAAGAAGAAAAGAAATCTGCTCAGAAACGACTGTGCTGAAAAACTGCGAGCTTTGGTCATCAGAGACCTCTCTGCAAAATGTGGCTAATAATAAGTGGACAAGTTGAGTAAATAAAACAGGCACGGAGCTCTTGGCAAAGTGCCTGACACATAGCACGCACTCGGCTGAGAGCAGTAGGCCGTCACTCATGGTGGCTCTGGGGGAGCTTGGGTGTCAGTCCATAGACCCAGGGCCCCCCAGCTTCACCCCACAGGAAAGGTGGGGTGCGAGAGGTTGGGGGCAAGAGTGTCAGCCAAAGAACAAAACAGATGTGCCAAAGCTTAGTGGGAGACGGGTCCCAGAACCAGGAGGGAACATGAGGCTATTTTTAAGCAAAAGATAATAGTAACTAATGTCTTTAGAGAGTGGAGCAGCTGCGACCTTCAGAAGGCCAGGCTGATTGTCCTGTTATTGCAGTGGAGGCCCCTGAACTAGTGGCCAAAGAGGCAGAGTTCTCAGGGTAGCCCTGAGGAGGAACCCTGGCAGCATGTGGCAGGTCCACGCCTCCACAGGGCTGAGCCGTGCACCCAACCACCTCCATCCTCGGTGTGCCACGGCTCCCAGCGGCCCTGTGCAGACAGCAGGGTGTGAATGATCACTCCTCCTATTAGACAGATGGGAGAGATGTGGCTGGCCACAGTAAGACAGTGAACGGGGCCAGGGTTCTGTACCACCTTCCGTTGAAGTCCCCGCCATCTACACATATAGAAATATCCTCTCCAGTGGAGACAGAGTCACAGAACTCTTGTGCCTGTGTGCAGCCCGAGGGCCAACTCCTCAGCTTTCAGGGACCACATAAGGGTCCCCTCATGCTTCCTGCTCAGTGTCCTCATCAATTACCTCATGGAATCTACGCTACCACCCTAGGACTGGCTATTATTGCCCCAGTTCTACAGATGGGTCAACTGAGGCCCAGAGAGATTGGTCAGGACCCCGTGTGACCCTCCCCAAAGGCCTGTGAGCTGGGGATTTTCCTGCTTTATGTGAAGAAGCCAAGGCACAAAGGCACAAAGCCCTGTGCCCAAATCAATGGCAGAGCTGGCCCGAGCTCCTCTCCAAGCTTCTGCTGAGCCCACATCAGCCCCAGGCAGGCCAGTGCTGGGACCCTCGGCAGGCATAACACTAACAACAACAGCAACAGTGGCCCTGTGTGAAAAGCATCTCCAAAACTCCACCCTGCACTGAGCTTTGTGCAGCCTTGTCACAAATGATCCTCCCACAGCCCAGCATATGGGGATCCTGGGGTGGGTACTGTGGTCCCCATTTGCAGGCTCAGAGCTAGGGTGCAAACACAGGCTGTGTGACACCCAGGCCATGAACATGCCACATCCTCCCAGACCCTGAGGACAGTGAAGACAGGAGCCAGGGACTTAGTGACTTGATTGAATTCAGGTGGGAAATAGGCCAAATGGGTTAAACAACAACTGAGGCCCCTCAGCCGCTCAGACCTCCCAGCTCTGGGACTTTTCTGAGACTCCTTTGCCTCCTAATACAGTGGGAATCCATTGCTCCCTGGACTCAAGTGAGCTACAAACAGGAAAATGTGCTCCAAGCACATCCCAGGCTTGCTAAAGGGATAAGCATATCCTTGGCCCAGGTGTCCCCGTTCCTGAGACAGGAGTCAGGAGTGTGGCTCTGGGGCCCTCGGGCCTTGCCGTGTTGTCTGTGTGTCTCTCCCATTGCGCTCTGTGCTGCTCAAGGATGGTTAGAGCTGCCCCATCAGACTCGGAGCTCCTCAAAAGCAGGGGCTGTGCTTCCCCATTGGACGGAGAGCCCCTGAAAACAGGAAGAATCGCATAGTAGGAAAAGAAGTCGCTGTTCAAATCCTGGCTGTGTACTCTGGGGCTGGTGATTTAACCTCTTCATCATGGGAGCCATAAATAAGCCTGGCCCTGCTGACCTCAAGGGGTCGTGGGATCAGTGGGATCAAATGTGCCTCATCTGTCACAAAATGCCACAGAAATCCTCCTGGGGTAGGGGACAGAGCATTGAACTGGGGGTCAGAATGACCCACATTCAAATCCTAGCCCTGCCTCTGCCGTTCCCTTGTCTGTAAAATGAGAAGGTAACATCCCAAAGTCTTGAAGCCATTACATGATTGAAAATATGCTTGGCCTAACGTGTCCAAGCAAAGACGGCTCTTCCTGTTAATTGCCAATGAACAGTCCTCTCTTCCATCAGGTGAGTTCCAGCAAGACTCGCCCCAGGCCCGCCCCATCTCCCTTCTGCGGCCACAATCGCCTGCCTGCCTGCCCACCTCAGCCCTCAACCCAGAGCAGGGCGCAGGGCTTTGCAAAGCTTTATCTGCTTCACCCTTTGAGTGTAACAGTCTGTCGTCTTCCCCAACAGCCCCAGAAAGCCTGGGGTATGGCCCCATTTTCCTGAAGGAGGAACCAAGGCTTAGAAAGGTGATTACCTGCCCGGGGACCCATAGCCGGAGCATGGCCCTGCCCATGATGCCCAAGCCCTGCCCGGCCCCGGTGGCCACGCCCTCAGCCATCTCCAGATTCTCCCCGATGACTACAGTTGTTTCTAAAGACAAGAAGGAGGGGCACTTGGCCAGGTGGGGACAGAAGGAAACGGAAAGAGACAACCCTCCCCAGTCCCAGCCTCCCTCCCCTGTCCCCAAGAGAAACAGGGAAGCACTGCAGACATCATACCGGGCTGATGCGCATCTGGGCTCTCGCAGGGGACGTCGTCATAAATCACATCCTCTTCCAGGGCGGGGAAAGTGAACCGGTCAACTGGGAGGGAAGTGGGGAGAGAGAGCACCACCGTGGGCTGTGGCAGCCTGGCCAGAGGTGCTGCAGATGACATCAGGACTGCACCAGCTGGTGGCACGCAGCACCCTCCTTTCTGATAGCCCAGCCCAGCCCTTAGCTCCGCCAGCTGCCCTCAGGGGATGCCGGCTCCCTCGCTTCTCCCCGCCCCCCACCCCCTCCAAGGCGCCCTCCCAGTGACTGCACAGACCCCACCTGGCTCCCTGCTGCCCGCAGGCCTGCCCATCTGGCTAATGGACAGCTGCTCCCGGCCCCTGCAGGGAGCATGACGCAGTCCAGCACCTGTGCCCTGGCCCTAGCATCCTCAGTCACCCAGGACCCCGGGGCTAGACCCTCGTCACTGAGCAGTGCTAGGACTTGGAAAACCAGCCCCCACCCCTGATGGGAGCCGGTCCTTGACCCACAGGCCTTCCAGGAAGAAGTCACGAGACCCACTGGCCTGTGATGCTTCCCTAGGTCCTGGGCCCCTAGAGCCCTGTCAGAGCCCCCTCTTCCTCCCCACACCAGCTCCCAGGCCTGCCCACCTCTCTCTAGACCCCTAGTTCCCACCCTCAGACTTCCTGTCCTACAAGACCACGATAGCCTCCCAGCAGGCTCCACCCTTCCCCACCTGGTCTCCTACACTGCCCCCACCCCAGTGCAACAGGACTGAAAGGCAAAGGCAGCCACATCACTGGCCTTCCTTCTGTGGCTTCCTATTGCCTTGAGAACCTTAAGCACTGCCTCTGGGGCCCTGAGGAGCTGCAGGGCCCGCAGCCACACCTCACCCCATAACGCTCCCCCACACCCCACAGATGAGGCCCTTGCTGCTTCCCGGGAGTCAGGGGTCCTCCTGCCCTCAGGCCCTTGTACAAGTTGGCCCCTCTGTCTGGGACCCTCTTTCCCCCACCCCTGCTGCCTCCCTCTCTTTCTGGAGGGCTCATCTGGGCAGGCACCTTCCCATGGCAAGGTGTCTGGTTCTGTTAACAGAGGGACCTCATTCTGGTCCCCAGGGCACTCCCACCACTGGGCCGCCCTGGCCTGTTGTGGGAACTTCGTAAGTATTTGAGGAGCAGATGAAAAACTGGGTGTGTCAACTGATCCTGGACCTTGGCTCTTGGGGGCGGTGGTTGGTCCTCCAGGGCCACAGAAGCCCCCGGTGAGGATGAACCCTGGGCTCACAGGAGCCCACATCAGCTCTCTTGGGTTAGAAAGACTAGAATATCCTGGAGCTTGCTACCTGGGGTGGGCGGTGGGCCGGAGGGGAGACTTACTGCGACGGGAACTCTTCCGCTTCCAGCTGGAGTGCCGGGCCCCGGAGAAGGCTGCGTCCGCTGCATCCCCATTGCTCACCCAGGCTGGCACCCTGCGGGCAAGAGATGGCACTGCAGAGGTGTCCAGAGGTGGCTCCCAGAAGCCTCTGGCAGCCCCTCACCTGGTCAGCGGGACATGATGGGCAAAAGTGGGCTGAGGGCCAGGCTGCTGGGGAGACCTGAGGTGGAGTTGGCCTCAGACAAGCCCCCAGGCTCCTCATCTTTAGAAGGCGTGCATAAGGTTGGGCTGGCACTTCACAAGAGCATGAAGATCAACCTTGTTCACAGTGATAAGCACCAAGCACTCTCCGCAAGGGGGCTGTCTCGTCTCTCCCTAGTGCAGACTCAAAGGGAACCTCCACCTCTCCACTCTCCCACATACAACAGAAGGGGCAGGCTGGGGGATCCCTGCCTCTTGAAAGAAACAAGGACTTGGCTGGACACGGTAGCTCATGCCTGTAATCACAGCACTTTGGGAGGCCAAGGCATGTGGATCACTTGAGGTCAGGAGTTCAAGACCAGCCTGGCCAACATGGTGGAACTCCGTCTCTACTAAAAATACAAAAATTAGCCAGGCGTGGTGGTGCATGCCTGTAGCCCCAGCTACTCAGGAGGCTGGTGCACAAGAATCACTTGAACCCAGAAGAGGAAGGTTGCAGTGACCCAAGATCATGCCACTACACTCCAGCCTGGATGACAAAACAACACTCCATCAAAAAAAGGAAAAAGAAACAAGACTTGCAAAGCTTCAAAAGACTGTAAGTGGGAGGTAGAGCTTAGTCCCTCATGCACACTTGAGGATGGGCTGGCCCAGTGAGTCCCTTCCACAGAGCAGACATGCAAATGGGAAACAGCAGAGGAGCCCAGCAGACACGTCCCGAACCAAGAGACCCAGGTGAGCATCTGTAGAGACGCCACGCAGGTGCCATGTGTCCTGATAAGACGTCATGAAATGGGTACTTCACCTCCATGGTGTTTTTATCCAAAACGCATAACCCCAGTCTAATCACAGAGAAGACACCAGACAAAATCGGAGTGGGGAACATTGTACCGAATACCTGGCATTACTCCTCAAGACTCTTTTTGTTTTTTTAGAGTTTTTTGTTTTTTGTTTTTTTTTTTTTTTTTTTGAGACAGAGCCTCGCTCTGTCGCCCAGGCTTCAGGGCGGTGGTGCGATCTCGGCTCACTGCAACCTCTGCCTCCCGGGTTCAAGCAATCCTCCCACCTCAGTCTCCCAAGTAGCTGGAATTACAGGCATGCGCCACCACACCCAGCTAATTTTTGCACTTTTGGTAGAGATGGGGTTTCACCATGTTGGCCAGGTTGGTCTCAAACTCCTGAACTCAAGTGATCCACCCACCTCAGCCTCCCAAAGTGCTGGGATTACAGGAGTGAGTCACCGCACCTAAACATCACTCCTCAATATTCTCAAGGTCTTGGAAATCAAGGAAAGACTGAGAAACTGCCACGGGCTGGAGCAGGCTACAGAGACATGACAGTTAAGCGCAACGTGGGATCCCAGATTGGATCCTGGGTCAAAAAATAAACATAAGTAGGAAAACTGATGAAATCCACACAAAATCTGTTTAGTGAATGGTAATGTGCCAACGTAGGTCTCAGCTTTGACAACTGTGCCAAGGCCATGTGAGATGCTCATAGCAGGGAAGCTGGATGAGGGGTATGTGGAGCTCTATGTTCCCTCTTCAGAACATCTCTGAAAATCTAAAGCTATTCTAACGTGAATTTTTTTGAAGTCCAGGTTCAAAAAAACAAAACAAAGACCAAAGACCACTTATGCCAACCTAGAGGGCAGAGGCCTTAGACTGTCAAGAGAACAGCACCGTTGCCAAAGAATCAACTTGAACTTCCCTTCCTGGCACCCGAGCCTGTAGCAGATGAAGAGTAGGACAGGGCAGGGGAAGAGGGAGGGGAGGAGGCTGCGAGGAGGGATCTCTGCTGTTGAGCACCTCCTGTGAGCCAGGCCCTCTGCCTCACCTTCCCAGCACCACACAGGATCCTGGCATCTTCTGCATTCTGCAGGGAAGTAGAAGAACCTGCCCAAGATCACTCTGCCAGGGAGTGGCAGGGCCAGACCATGAGGCCAGCTTGTCTAGCTCCCAAGCTGGGCTCTGAGTGCCACCCTCCACTGCCTCTCAGATAATAAGCAGAGCGGTGGTGGTGGCGAGAATGCTCCTGCCTGTCCTATCCGGTGCAGCAGCCACCAGCCACGTGGCTATTGAGCACTTGACATGTGGCTAGTGGGACTAAGGAACTTAATTTTTAACTCTATTTGATTTCAAGTAATTTAATTTTAAATAGCTACACATGACTAGTGGCCACTGGACTGGGTGGTGCAGGTCTAAGTCACCTGCCCTATTAGAGGAGCAAGTGTCAGCTCACATTTCACTGCCAGAAGTCAACAGTGTCACCCCAGGGCAAGGAAGGCAGCACATTTGGTCCTGGGGAGACACTTTCCACCAATGACAGGAAGTAAAGGCCAAGAGAGGACAGGGCTTCTCTGGACCAGGAAGGTGGGTGATGGGCTGATGGGAGCCACCTGAACCCCGATTTCTAACAGCTGCTTCGCTGAGCCGCCACCTCCTCAACACAGAAACATCCTGAAGGCGCCACATCAGTTGCTCGGAATTGCTCAGACAGAACCAAACTCTTCCGGCTGGAACAGACGTGAGCTTAGAAGAGGTTGGCTGGACAGTCTCCCGGCCACAGGTCCTCTTTGCTCTGATATGTGGCCATGACAGTGACCGTGACAAAGCATCCGCCATGCACTGCTTGCTCTGCTTTACATGTAATTGCACGTTTTTTTTTTCTTTTTCTTTTTTTTTTTTTGACAGTCTCACTTGGTCACCCAGGCTGGAGTGCAGCAGCACGATCTCAGCTCACTGCAACCTCTACCTCCTGGATTTAAGCAATTCTCCCATCTTAGCCTTCCAAGTAGATGGGACTACAGGCACGCGCCACTATGCCCACCTAATTTTTGTATTTTTAGTAGAGATGGGGTTTCGCCACGTTGGCCAGGCTGGTCTCGAACTCCTGACCTCAGGTGATCTGCCCACCTTGGCCTCCCAAAGTGCTGGGAGTGAGCCTACAAGCCCGACCTGCACATTTAATTTTGCAGGAACACACCGGAGGCAGGTGTTGTTACCCCTATTCTACAGGTGGGGAAACTGAGCCTCACAAAGTTTCAATTACCCAGAAATCACTCAGCTAATTAGTGGGAGCTGGGATCTTACACTACGTCTACCTGCAAAGCTTCTATTGTTTCAACCAGACCACCTGGAAGTCGAGAACTTGCATGTAGACATTCACCTACATCACAGGTTTGCTGTGGCATATGGTTACCTCAGATCTTGCCTGTTTAGCTACCATTTTATAAAAAAAAAAAAAGAGAGAGAGAGAGCAGTAGCCCTCGGCACACTCAGAGGCTCAAGTTCAAGTCTCCATCTGCTATGGTATGAATGTCTGTGTTCCCCTGACAAAAAAAGTCCATGTGTTAAAATCCTCACCCCCAAGGTGATAGTATTAGGCGGTGGGGCCTTTGCAGAGGTGATTAGGTCATAAGAGCAGAGCCCCCATGGTTGGGATTAGTGCCCATATAAAAGAGGCCCTAGAGAGCTCCTCTGCCCTTTCTACCATGTAAGGACACAGTGAGAAGGTGTCATCTATGATCAGGAAATGAGCCCTCATCAGACACTGAATCTGCTGGCACCCTGATCTTGGACCTCCCAGCCTTGTGAACTGTGAGAAATAAGTCTCTTAGGCACAGTGTGGTGGCTCACGCCTCTAATCCCTGAACTTCGGAAGGTTAAGGTGGGTAGATCACTGGAGGTCAGGAGTTTGAGACCAGCCTGGCCAATATGGTGAAACTCTGTCTCTACCAAAAATACAAAAATTAGCCAGGCATGGTGGTACATGCCTGTAATCCCAGCTACTCAGGAGGCTGAGATGGGAGAATCGCTTGAACCCGGGAAGCGGAGGTTGCAGTGAGCTGAGATCGTGCCACTGCACTCCAGCCTGAGGGACAGGGCAATACTTCATCTCAAAAAAAAAAAAAAAAAGTTTCTCTTGTTTATAAGCCACCCAATCTATGGCATTGTCTTACAGCAGCCCAAATGAACTCAGACACTGTCCAAGAGAAAGCGTAACACCCAGCTCAAAGGCTGCAGCACGCTTTAACCGAAAGAATGCAGTTTAACCAAGAGAACACCAGAGAAAGCCCCATGTAAACTGTAAAGGTGACGTGGAGGTGGGCAGAGGCATCACTGGGTGAGGTCAGGCAACTTCAGGAGGGATTTGGAAACACCTGATGAGCCGACTCATAGGCAGGGGGAGGCTCCTCCTCGCTGCACCTTATCAAAACCCAGTGAGCGACCAGCCCAGGTACTGGCTCTGGTGTACTGGGCTGGGGAATGGGGGTCCCCACAGCATAGAGAGGTCACTTCCTGCCCACCCCCACTACCCAAGTCACCTGACCAGCAAGTGGCACAGCGGCAGTTTGAACCCCGGTGATCTATCTGCAAAGCCTTGCTCTCAGGACCACCTCCGCTGCCTCCCTAGACTGGAGCAGGTGTTCCTCGGGCCGATGAGATGGGGAAAGGGCTTCCCAGGCAGGGGAAGAGGAATAAAGTTGGGGGAGCAGGGACACGAGCAACGTTCCAGCTCAAGACACGCATGCAAAGAGGGCACGGCAAGAAATGAGGCTGGGGGCCCCTCCTGTACCCGTGACCCTCCCTGATGCCTGCCAAGGCCCTGGACCCACCCTGTACCCACCCGGAGCAGCCTCTCCCAGCCGCTGTCCATGGAAGCCACGCAGGGCTGCCGTGTCTAATTCTCCCTGTGAACAAACACTCCTTCAGGGGCCTCCGGGTCATAAAAGAGCCATAAAAACCAGTAAGAGGCAATTATCTCACCCTTATCTGAGCTTCCTGCTCTCCTAATGCCTCTCAGCTTGCAAATGAGAGTAAGGCCAGCAACCTGAATGCAAAGGAAAGAAGCTGAATCCATGGTGAGGGGCAGGAGATGGGGAGGAAAAGGCAGAAGCAGATGCAGAAGCAGGGAAGAGAGGAAAGGACCCCTCCCAGCACCCCCAAGCAGCAACCTACATTGCCGGCAGAGGAGTTCAAGTGCACCAGAAGGCCACCTGGTGCGTTTCTGGTCCACAGAGCTCCAAGCACCTTTGTGCCCCACCTCTTCTCTCTCCAAAGAGCAGCAGGGCAGGGAGGGGTAGGTCCCCGTGTGCCACCACGCCCATCTACTTTTTTTTGTATTTTTAGTTGAGACAGGGTTTCATCATGTTGGCCAGGCTGGTCTTGAACTCCTGACCTCAGGTGACCCACCTGCCTCGGATCCGCCTAGTACTCCCAAAGTACTGGGATTACAGGCATGAGCCACCGCGCCGGGCCCCCAGCCTGTTTTAAAGATAAGAAGCCCCACTCCAGAGAATGGCACCCGCCACCCCTGCAGGGGCTGCTACAGGCCCCAGTTTCTCAGTGAACCTCCAAGGGTCCCTTCCCAGAGGCTGCACCATGTGGGTGGTCGGGGAGGAGACCCCCAAAACCAGAACAAGCTAAGGATTCCTGGCCAGCATGGTCCACACGCACAAGCATTCTGGGGCCCTTGCCAGGACAAGGCATAACAAATATGAGAAAGGAAAGAACTTCACCTTTGGGGATGGGACTAGAAAGGACTGGAATGACATTTGCCTTATAAGGCCTCAAGGAAAACCCAAGCTGCAGCACAGGGAGGGACAGGACAGGAGAGTTTGCGTAGGACAGCCCCACACAGTGTCACCGCCCGCCTCGGAAACTCCTCCCAGCATGATGGCCCGATCAAGAGACACGAAGGAAAGGGAAGAACACGCAGCCCAGGTTCAGCCTGCTGCTGGGTCTCTTTTTGGCCCTGGCCACTTGACCTGGTTGTACAGCATGTCAAAGCTGAGGACCTTAGAGAGCATCTGGCTTGGCGGCCCACTAGAGTCAGCAGGGCGCCCCTAGAAGATGTGGGCGCCAGGGCCCCCGCCCCAGAGACTCTGACTGTTGGTCAGGGGTAAGCTCCCTGCAGGCTGCAGCATGCAGCCAGGGTTGAGAACCAGGGCTCCCAGGCGTGAGGGGGGAAGAAGTAAGCACCCCGGGGCCACGACCTGGGATATGACTGTGGCTCAGCCACTTGGCTGTGTGCACCGGGACAAGTTACTGAATGTGGACCAGGGTGAAGTATCAGTCCTACTTCCAGCTGTGAGGATTCAGTGAGATGATGCAGATAAAGCACTTAGCATTTCTCCGTGCCTCAGTTTCCATATCTGTAAAATGAGGCAACACTACCTCCCTCGCAGGGTTCTGGTACGGAGTAAATAAAGAAGGCATGTAAATCCTCTGGCACAGGGGCTGGCACGTGGTATGGCCTCGTGTGTGCTGCTTCCCCGCCCCCTCCTTCCCTCCGCCTCTCCTCCAGGCACGGGGGCCTCACCTGCATGTGTTCCCTCTTCCCTCTGTGGCCGCCCATCCTGTGCACAGAGGGCTTCCAGGACCCCGTGTGTCTCTCCTGTGCCACCCCACACATGGTCACAGATCCCCTTACTGGATGAGTAGAGAGCAGTGAGAAGCCCCCCAGGGGAAGTCTCAGAGCGGCCCTCAGGTGGCATCATATCACAGACCTCAGCAGGGAGTGAGCGTCGAGGCCTCTGGGGAGCCATCTCTGTACAGGTGGCCCCCCACACACATGCTGGGCCAAAGCCCAGCCTCTGGCCTCCTGCTCTGTGGCAATGCACCTCCCTCCCTGACATCTCAGGGGCCCCAGGGCTTGGTCAGACATGGAGAGGCCCTGCACCCCTGGCAAAAATGTATCGAGAGCCATGTGGGTTGTTGCAAAACAATACAAGTTCCCCTGGGGAAATGCTCATGATATGTAATTAGCTTTAAAAAAAAAAAAAAAAAAAAAAAAAGGTGAGCCACGAAACAGCATGTGCAATAAACCACAGTTCTATAAAAACAATCATGCATACTTGCATACATGCCTAGCAAAGAAGCTGGACAGAAACACATCATGGTAGGATTAAAAGTTGCTTTTAGTCTATCATTTTCTGTACTTTCTAATTTTTCTACAACAAACTGTATTTTTTTTAAAAAGGAAGAGAGAGGAGGAGGTAGGGAGGAGGGATGGACTGAAGAGCATCTCAGGTAATGCTAAGCAATGCACAGGCCAGGGAGGGGTCCCTTGTGCCTGGAGTCAGCCCCAGACAGCTCCACACCCTTTGGAGACAGTGACAATGAGCAGCTCACCGAGTAAGCACCTAATCTCTCCCATCTCATTTCATCCCCACCAACAGTGCCATCCGGTGAGTCTCATCACCCTGCTTTACAGAGATTAGCAACTGAGGGGGCCGGGTATGGTGGCTCACACCTATAATCCTAGCACTTTGGGAAGCCAAGGCAGGCAGATCACTTGAGGTCAGGAGTTTGAAACCAGCCTGGCCAACATGGTGAGACCCCGTTTCTACTAAAAATAGAAAAAAATTAGCCGGGCATGGTGGCGGGTGCCTGTAATCCCAGCTACTCGGGAGGCCGAGGCAGAAGAATCACTTGAACCCAGGGGGCAGAGCAGAGGTTGGAGTGAGCCAAGATCACGCCACTGCACTCCAGCCTGGGCGACAGAGACTCCATCTCAAAAGAAAGAAAAGAAAAGAAACTGAGGGTTAGGCAGAGAAGCCAAAGAGCATGTCCTGGGTCATGCAGCTAACATGTAGGGCAGGCGGGATCCAAACCAGCTCTGTGTGGGAGACGGTTGCACCAGAGGGATTAGAACACAGGTTCTGGAAGCCAGCTGGGGTTAACTCTGGCTCTGCTCATCTTTCTCTGTGACCTTGGGCTGATGTCATGTCCTCTCTGTGCCAGTTCCCACATCTCTAGAATGCAGATTGTATCAGCGCCTGTCCTGTGAGAGTGTTGCAAGGATGAATGGCACTGGGGAGGGAAAGCTCTCAGAGCGCAGCATGTAAGAAGTGCTGGGTACATTCAGGCCATTATGATCTGGCCCTAGAGCCAAACACACACACAGGCACATAAAAATAACATGGCCTGGCAGAGCATGTCAGCCCCCATCGCAGTCACTCAGTAAAGAGGTGCTGGGTGAAAGGACAGGAAGACGCAAGGGAAGGGCAGGGGAATACCGGCCAGTCAGCAGAGCACCATCCTAGATGCACAGAGAGGGCCATAGAGAAAGGGCAAACAGAGCCCCTGGCCTGAGGCTTTGAGCCCAAGCACCATGCCTGCCAGCCCAGCCCCACAGACAAGTGACGCTCTCTCCCAGGTCTGGTCTGCAAAATGGTGCCCACGATAATTTCCTCTTTCCAGGGCTGTCGTGTTAGTTTCCTATGGCTGCTGTAACAGATGACCACGAACTTAGTGACTTACAACACAAATCTGTTCTCACAGGTGTGGAGGTCAGAAGGCCATCAAGGGGTTCGCAGGGCTAAAAGCGAGGTTTCGGCAGGGCTGTGCTCTCACTAAAAGCGAGGTTTCAGCAGGGGCAGCTCCAGGGGAGAAGCCATCCCCCACCTTTTCCAGCCTCGAGAAGCCACCTGCATTCCTTGGTCACAATCCCGTCCTCCATTTCCAAGGCCAGGAGCGTGGCATCTTCCCACCTCTTTCTGACTCTGGCCCTCCTGTCTCCCTCTTGTCACAACCCTTGTGGTGCCACTGGGCCCACAGATAACCCAGGGTCATCTCCCCATCTCAAAACCCCTCACTTAATCACATCTGCCAAGTCCCTTTGCCACGCAGCGTCACAGATTCACAGGTGCTGGGGATGAAGACACGGAAATCTCCAAGGGGTGGAAGGGCCATGATTCTGCCTCCCACAGTTGTGAGAATCAAAATGAGATGTAAACTGTAAAGTCCGTGCACGTGTAGGCTGTTAGTATTGTTGCACCATCTCTGCCAGGCACTGGGATAAAAAACGAGTGAGGCAGAGTCCCACCGCTGCAGGGATGCAGGGAGGAACGTCACAGGATTCCTTGAAGGCATATTTATACCATGAAGAGATGTGCCAACCAGGTACCCTGCAAGTGCCTTCTTCAATGAAGAGGCTGTGGGGGTCCTCAAAGGGCCTGGGATCCAAAGGTCCTGGCTCTGATTGGAAACTGGGAGCCCTTGTTTCTACCCTCGGAGAAGGAAAAGAAGGAAAGAAAACACAAAAACCAGCTTGTCCAATTTATGGATTTGGCAAGGGACCTTTAAAGAAAGATTTTTAATGGAAAGAAAGACCTGGTCCCCATAACCCTCCCATGGGGGACTCCATGGGCGGAGAGCCGGTATCTGCCATGCCTCACGTCCCGCATGGACCCTGCGGGACAGGACGCAGGAGGCTCAAATGTTCCGGATTTGGGAAACAGCACATGTAAGGAGAAGCCCAGGATTCCAAACAACTCCAGACTAGGTCTGCGGCAATCTGGGAAATCTTGAAGATTTCCTCCAGACGCTGCGGACCCACTCCGGCCTTGCTGACCTGCCCTTCCCATGAGCCCCTATGTCCCCCACACCTAGCAGTCTCAGAAGCCACAGGCCACCAGCGCCCTGTTTCCATCCTGTGCCAATACTGCTTTGCTGAGCCTGGTCTCCTCTTGCCCTGATCCTCTCAGCCCCTGATACATCCAGGGAAGATGAGTCTCCCTGTCCTCTCCCAGAATACGGCTGCCCCATCACTTCCCCTGGCTCCAGGCCCCAATGAGAGACACTAGCCAACAGGCAGTACAACCATCTTATCCAGAAAAGCCCAGGAAGGGGTAGGCCAGGTACCTTCAGGGAGCCCATGAGAATCCCTGCGACCAGGGCCAGGAGCCAAAACCCTGACCCACAGAAAAGTGCTGAGGTCACAGGGGGATAAAGGCAAAACTAAACAGGAAAAGCAAACAACTCCAGAGGGGGCCAGAGTCCATGGGGCTATTGCACTCAGAGGTGAGGGGTGCAGGCCTGAGTCCAGGAAAAACACAGGAAGCCAGCGATCTGTGGCGCTCACGTTTCCCAGGCACTGCTGGGTACTCAGGGCTGCTCTTTCAACCACGACTCCCCCAGCGAGAGCTCAGGGTGGACATGAGTGCACGTGCTTCAGAGTCCACCAGGAGAAGCAAACCCTGTGGGCCTCAGTAGACAGCTTTGAGGGCAGACAGGCCTAGTCCCAGCCCTGCCATTTACTAGCTCCATGAGATTTGGGTAAATTACTTCAGTTCTCTAAGCCTCAGCTGCTCATCTGCAAAATGGGCATATTCAATAGTACCTGTCTTCTAGGGCTCCTAGGGGTACAAGTAATAAGATAATACAGGCCAGATGCAGTGGTTCATGCCTGTAATCCCAGCACTTTGGGACACCAAGGCAGGAGGATTGCTTGAGCCAAGAGTTCAAGACCAGCCTGGGCAACAGAGTGAGATCTCCATCTCTACAAAAAATATGAAAGTTAGGCCAGGCGCGGTGGCTCACGCCTATAATCCCTGCACTTTGGGAGGCCGAGGTGGGTGGATCACCTGAGGTCAGGAGCTCAAGACCAGCCTGGCCAACATGATGAAACCCCATCTCTACTAAAAATACAAAAAATTAGTTCGGCGTGGTGGCACACACCTGTAATCCCAGCTACTCAGGAGGCTGGGCAGGAGAATCACTTGAACCCAGGAGGCAAAGGTTGCAGTGAGCCGAGATGGCGCCACCACACTCCAGCCTGGGCAACAAGAGCAAAACTGTCTCAGAAAAAAAAAAAAAAAAAAAATAGCCAGGCATGATGGCACATGCCTGTAGTCCCAGCTACTCGGGAGGCTAAGGCAGGAGAATCGCTCAAGCCTGGAAGGTCAAGGATGCAGTGAGCCATGATCACACCACTGCACTCCAGCCTGGGCAACAGAGTGAGACCCTGTTTCAAACAACAACAAAAAGAGATAATGTACACAGAGCACTTAGCACAGCCTGTGGCTCAGCACAGCACCATCAGCACCAGTGAGGTCAGGTGGCTCTAGCCATGTGGCCTTGGGCCACACAACCACTCTGCGCTTCCCTTCCCTGGCCTCTGTCTTGGCCTCTACAGCTGCCAGAGTCAGAATCCAATAGAAACCCTATTGACATGCCATTCATTTGGGGGTAGAGGGGTGGGGTGGTATTCTTTGGTTGGTTTTGTTTCTTTGTTTGTTTGTTTTTGAGACAGAGTATCGCTTTGTCACACAGGCTGGAGTGAAATGGCGCAATCTCGCCTCACTACAACCTCCACCTCCCAGGTTCAAGCGATTCTCCTGCCTCAGCCTCCCCAGTAGCTGGAATTACAGGCACCGTTCACCAGGACCGGCTAATTTTTGTATTTTCTGTAGAGACGGGGTTTCACCATGTTGGCCAGGCTGGGTCTTGAACTCCTGACCTCAGTGGTCCACCCACCTTGACTTCCCAAAGTGCTGGGATTACAGGCGTGAGCCACTTCACCAGGTCTGACATGCTGTTTGCTTTCTCCTTGCTTCCATGGAACACAGACCCTCCTTGTCCTTCTGTCCATCATTCGTTCACCAAGGACGTCTTTGGCACTCACCCCGTGCCTGCCACTTAAGCCATGAGGTTTGGCAGCAAACAAAACATCCCCCTCCAAAAAATCAAAAAGTCCCTGTCCCCATAGAGGCAACTGCTGGTGGAGAGACACACCTGCACACCCCTCCGCCCTCACAAGATCTCTGTGTTGGGGGAGCGAAGAGCCGGCTCTTTTTGCTCTGCTCTCATGTCAAGGGAAGGGACCTCACCAGGAATCACACACCAGGCACTGCCGCACAAGCCTCCCCGGGAGGGACCTATGGAACATTCCACCGACTGCTTAGACGCCACTCTCCCAAGAGCTCAGAGATCATCTCTGAGTGGGCAAAAATCTTTCCTCAAAAAATGTACACACAATCAGATCATTCCTATGAAGCCAGCCACACCCTCTCATCAGGGACCAGCGCATGAGCTCCTGGAGGCAGAGAAGCACGGTGGCCCAGCGCCTGGCCTCGGTGTCAGAGGGGCCTTGGTCTCTCTTCTGAATGAGCATCTACTTATCTACATGGAACCCTGAGCACATCACCTAACTCCTGGGGTCTCCAAGAGGGTAGCTTGAAGGAAGTGAGTGTGCTGACCACCCTGTGTGCCAGCCCTGTACCTCTGCTCAGGGGCTTCCTCAGCAGGCACTCCCCCTGCCCCTCTGCCATCCTGAATGGAGAATTTCCATTCACTCGCTGAGCCAGGACCTGGCCCAGAAGTCTTCCCTGACGACCCCATCCTTGCTCCCCTCCAGTCAGTGTCCCAGCTCCCTGGGCGTCCGTCTCTGTCCCACTCTGACGCATCTGCATCTCCCACCAGACTGAGTTTCTCCACAACTTCACCCCTGGCCCACCCTGGAGATATAAACCCTTGGAAGACTGCAGCCATCACGGCCCTTCCCAGCCCAGGTGCAGGACGAATGGCTGCTGATTCATTTCAGGTCCCTAATCAGGAAGGAGAGGCTGGCCTCTAATTCTCACCTTAATTACATAGTAGCAAGCTCAGGAGAAACCCTCCCCAAGTCCACCCACTCTGGACAGCAAATGAGCACATGAAGGACTTCTCCTCTGGGGGCCTGGGCCTGCAACCTGCATCTCTGAAACCTCCCGTTGGGTGACACCACCCTGAGAATTAGCCCCTCTTGCTCAGTTTGGGGCACCCCAGGAAGACAAAGCAGGGCTCAGACATGCCTCCCCTCACCAGGGTAGTGAGGATTTAAACTCAGGGTTCCAGATGCTTGGGCCATTCATTTGGAGCCTAGACCCCTCCACTGCTTAGGCAAGGAGGCTCTAAACACCTGGTCCTGAGAGGCCTCAGCTCCCACCACCTCCAGTTACCCAATTACCCTTCCAACCCAGACCTGACTTGCAGAAGACAAAGAAGAACTGTGATAAAAAGCAAATGCCTTGATTAGGCACCTACCACGAGGCTGGGCATCTTACCCGATAGCCCATTTTACAGATGAGAAAACCAAAGGGGGACTTGACTGACATGAGGACCTGTGGCCAGTGTGGGGGCCACAGCCAAGACGCAGGCCCTCACCCCAACATCCAGGCTCCTAACCACTAGGCTACACTGCCTCTGACAGGCTCCCAGGCACAGAGGGCAGGGTCCCTAATAGCAACTGTCATAGGAATGGGAATGATATTAACAAGACAAATGGCAACTGCAAAAATAATTACAATGGGCTGCACCCCCCCCACCCTCAAACCCCCCCAACCTCCCCCACTACACACACACACACACACACACACACACACACACACACACACACACACACTGGGGACCCTCCAGCTGTTTGCTTCTCCAAGACAAACCCAACAGAGGGGGTGCTCTCATTGTTTCCCCTTCAGCCGCAAACAGACTGACACTTGGAGAGTTTCTGTGACTCCTCCAAGGCCACAGAGGTAGGGTTTGGAGCCAGGCCTGCCTCCTGCGGTTTCAGAGGTTTGTGGGCAAAATAAAGGAAAAAGTACCATGAGTTTCTGGAACTGACCTCTTCCCCCAGGGCACAGGGCCTCAGTGAAATGCTTTCCTCCTTAGCCAAAGACCAGTCGGGTCCTCTGGGCCTCAGCTCCACCCCATCCCCACCCACTGCCCGGTGTCTCCCTGTTTCCAACCGCCAAAGCAAAGGAGCAAGGTTCACTTACCCTGTGCCGGGTGGAGCAGCTGCTGGGTCTGGGTCTGCAAAAGAAGAGCAGACAGAGAGCCTGTCAGGCCAGAGGCTGGCCCCAGGCACTCAGGCCTTCCCCGCCCCTTTCCCAGCCTCCCCAGGGGCGCCGCAGACAGGGCCTGGCCAGTCTGGGTGCCTGCTGAGCCCCGCCTCCCTCCCCCAGCCCTGGCTCAGTCATCAGCTCCCCTACCTGGCCTGCACCACCCCCACCCACCCCGTGGCCCACTTCCCAACTCCAGCCAGAACCCGTGGCAGCCACCCTGCCTGCTCTGGGCCTGCCCTCCACCCCCAGCTGCTCCAGGAGCCCGCTGTCCCCAAGCCTGCAGGAAGTTCCAGCTGGTCCAGTCCCCAGATTCTCTCTCTCAGATAACAGACTCTAAGAGCCCAGAAGCTGCCATTTAACACCAGCTTATCAGGGCCCTCCTGCCCCCCAGGGTTGCCAGCTCCCCAAGGCAGACAGGAGAGGGAACCTCTGGGAGGCTGCTCTTCTGGCTGGTGTGGATTCTTTAGGAGAAGCTGCAGGGAGGACTTCAGAGACACAAGCTCTGGGCAGCAACTGTCTCCAAAGCAAAACTCAGGCCAACCACTTCCATTTACAATGTGCCAAAGTGCGCCAGATGTTGCAGGAATGCTAGGAATTTCCAATTCACCAGGGAAGCCACAGACTGCAGCTTCTTCCCACTGGCTTTTCCCTTCCTGCTTTCTGGGGACAGCGGAGGGGCCACCAGGCATCCCTGAGAGCCTGGAGCTTCCGCCCAGTTCTCCATGCTCCCTGTAGCCCCAGGACCGGAAGTTCCCAGAAACATCTTACCAGTGACAGGGATGGAGTCCAAGTGGATCAGTGGGGGGTCTGTGTCCCTCTCAGGAGCAAGGCTGGGGACGCCCAGGGCTGCGCTGGTGTCCTCTTCATCATCACTGTCATCAAACTCAAACGCCTCTCCTGGGTCGTCCTCTGCCTCAGAGGAGGGGCCTGGGACTCCTGGAACCAGCTGATCTCCTGGAAGAGAGAAGGAGTTGGCCAGGCTGCAGGATCTCCGAGGTTTGGTCAATGGAGAGATGGCTGGGGTAGGTGGGCATGGCTGGAACTGGGTGAGCACCTCAGGTCTGAGCCAGGGAATGAGAGCCATCAAACTCAAGCCACATGGCCCTACAGTGCTGGTAAGGCCGGGGGGAGGGGGTTGGGTTAGGTCTCTAAGCAAGTGGCAGTTGAGGGAGGGAAGGGAGTGTGCTCCCAGGGCGAGCCTGTGCACCTCAGTACTTCAATGTATATCTTTCCTCTTCTTATTTCGTGTTTCCCTGTTTTGTGAGCAAGGGGTCTTTTTACATGTGTGTTTATGCGTGAGCACAAGCTTATTGTATGTTTGTGTGTTGATGTGTCTGTGTGCTTTGTGTGTGCAAATGAGCACAGACAGCGCATCCTTCCCACTACACTTTATTTGGTATGTGCAGCAGCATGAAACACAGCTGCCTGGGAATGCCTGGACTTGGAGGCAGCCAGCTTGCAGGTACTAGGGCACAGACTGGCTGGGGCAGGGGAAGGCACCAAGCTCTCAGCATGGAGGTCAGCTTGCTAGGCCTCATTCCCTGCTTTTACCCTCCTGGGGAACCCCTTTCGTGACTATGAACTCCTGTCCTCCTCTCCCATTAAAGCTCAACTCAAGCAGAGAGACTGTCCCCGCCTACCCTACTACAGGAGGTGTGGCCTCTCCTTCTCTGCCCCTGCCCCTTGTTTGTACTCCCCACCAAGCTCGGATCCCTGAGAGCAGACATCTCACCTGTCTGTCCCCTCTACTCTCTGGTCCTGGACCGGCCCAGACCAGGAGCTCAGCGGCTTTTGTTACATGAGTGAAGGGATGAATTCTCTATCCTAGAGAGCACGAGAAGCCATTTCCAGCCATTTCACCACATGGAGGTTCCCCAGTCCTCTTCCTAGAAGACTTCCTTCCTAAACTCTGGGCTGAATGGAACTTCAGGAGTTCAATAACTCCATCCCCTACCTTATGCAAACCATTGCAAAACCAACGGGCAGTTTGGTTCTGTTTTTAAACATCTGCCAAGCTGACCGCCCTAAGCAGCCCTCTCGTGGGCACATGACACACAGCTTAGGCATGAGCTCTGCGCTCACATGGCCCTGTCTGAGCTCCCTGCTAGCTGTGTGGTTCTGAGCAAGTCACTTTGCCTCTCTGAATTTTGGTTTCCTCTGCAAACTGGAGAATAAAAACAGCACTTTCCCCATAAGGCTGACATGAACATCAGCTGAGCTGCAGCTTAGGTTTTCTCAGCCTTGGTACAATTGATACTTGGGACTGGATAATTCTTTTTGTGGGTGGAGAGGGGGCTATCCTGTGCACTGTAGGACGATTAGCAGCATCCCTGGCTTCTACACCCTACAGGCCCAGGGGACCCTCCAGCTGTGACAACCAAAAATGTCTCCACACATTGCCATATGTCCCCCTGGAGGGTAAAATCACCACTATCAGAGAACCACTGGGTAGGAGTAGCCCTCGGCACAGTGCCCGTATATGTAAGGATTATGACAACAACAGCCGCAGATCCTTGAGGACAAACAGGATTTTCTAGCCCATGGGTCTGCGGACCCAGCCCTGGCAAATGCTCAATAAACATTAGATGGATGGATGAGTGATGGGTGAGGAGGTGGCTGGAACAGAGAGATGGGCAGATGGTCCAGCAGATGAACAGATGGACAGATGGACATATCTGATTCCAACAGTCTCTTGGACTAGAAAAATCCAGTCACTCCCCTACAATGACCTGGAGGTTCCCAGAGCATAATATTTTGGGGGCAGATGTAAGAAACCCCTTCTTCAGCTGCTCGACTGCAATGGAAGCCCAGAGTACGCCCTCCCTCCCCAGAATGAGAAGTACCCAACTTCCTCTGAGGCCACGGAGGAGGAGACACAGCCACTCCTCCTGGGGCTTTGGGGATCCCACAGGCCAGGTCAGCAGGGGTGGACTCTGGGCAGCGATGTGGCCTGTAGAGCAAACTCCTTCCCCAGGTGTCATGAAGCAAGTCCTGAGAGATCCCGAGCTGTGCCCCAGGCAGCTTCCTGATCCAGCCTCAGGATCACCTCCATTTACCCAAGACCCCAGAGACAGAAGCAAAGCAATGTGCCCACAGTCAGCAGCTAAGAGGATGGGGATGGACTGGAACCCAGCTCCATTCACCCTCCATACTCTTCTACTAAGCCCTCAGACATTCTGCCCTGCGCTGACAGAAAGGGCTTGGGTGGGAGCTGGATCTGTGGTTTTCGGACGCAGTTCCCAACCCCTGGTAGCTCATAAGTTTAATTAGGGGATTCCCAATCAGCATTGTATTTGGTGTTTGGATTGATAGCTTGTTTTGTTTCAGATGTTTCTAAACATTGTATTCTAATATTAATAAAATCATATGGGGTATCTTTTTGATATTATAATACCAAATAAAATACATTTGGTATTGAATTATTTCAGATGTTTAAAAAATAATGTATTGTGATACTAATGAATTCACCTTGGTATAATTTCAATATTGGTTTTGACACTTCTGTTTCAGTTACATATACACATTGGGTAGGGGTGTGTGTGTGTGTGTGTGTGTGCACGCACACGTGCACATGTGCGTAGAATCTTCTGCTCATCCCTTGCTCCCTCCACTCCAGCCACACTGATCTCCTTCCTGTACCACAAATGTGCCAGGCATGCTCCTGCCTCAGGACCTTTGCACCCGCAGCCCCAGGGCCTAGCACGTTCTTCCTTCGAGTATCTTCTCCTGCTCTCCCCTCTTTCAGATCTTTACTGCGCATCATCTCTCTGCATGCTGCGGCATCTCTACTGCACGCTGCCATAGAGACCTGCTGAGACTCCCGGTTTGCCCTGCCTACTTTACCTTTCTCTATGGCTGTTGTCAGCATATGATGCCATATGCTATTTGTGTTGCTGTCTGTCTCCTCTACTCGAATATAAGCTTCACGAGGGCAGGTATTTTTGTCTGTTTTGTTTGCTGTTGCATCCTCAGCATCTAGTGTAACGTCCAGCATACAGGAGGCACGTGATAAGCATTTGTCCCCCTGTTGTCATGTCTATGGGTGGTAATTTTCAAAGTTTAAAACATAGGCTGGGTGCTGTGGCTGACGCCTGTAATCCCAGCACTTTGGGAGCCTGGGGCAGGAGGATGGCTTCAGCTCAAAAGCTTGTGACCAGCCCAGGTAACATGGTGAGACCTTGTCTCTACTAAAAATGAGAAAATTAGCCAGGTGTAGTAGCATACACCTGTAGTCCCAGCTACTTGGGAGGCTGAGGTGGAGGGATCACTTGAACCCAGGAGTTCAAGGCTGCACTGAGCCATGATTGTGCCACTGCACCCCAGCCTGGGTGACAAAGCGAGACTCTGTCTCAAAAAAAAATAAACAAAAGTAAAAATTTTTTAATAATTTTAAAATCGGCTGGGTGTGGTGGTATGTGCCGGCAGTCTCAGCTACTCAGGAGGCTGTAGCAGGAGAATGGCTTGAGCCCAGGAATTTGAGGCTGCAGTGAGCCATGATCACACCATTGTACTCCAGCCTGGGTAACAGAGCAAAATCCTGTCTCAAAAAAAAATTTGTTTAAATACTGGAATAAATGACCACAAAGTCCCTACCCACTATTTTGGGGGTACCAGCTACAGGCCCATCCTGACTTACACAGGGTTTTCTTAGCCTCTCAGTGCCCACTGGTCCTTGCCTAAGTGAATCTGCTGGGCAGGGAGTGGGGGTGGGGGTCTCCCTTTATATGTGGATGGTGTCACTGCAGTGACTAAGGTTCTAGAGTCGGGCCACCTGGGTTCAGCTCAGACTCCAGCTCACCCAGGTACCAGCTGGATGAGTGTCGGGTTATTTGACCCCCTCCTAGTTTCCTGATCTCTAAAATGAGGTCAATAACAGCAACTACCTCACAGGGTTGTTGGGAGGAGGGAATGAATGAACATAAATAAAGCACCTGGTGCAGGGTGCGTGCTCACCAAATGTTAGCTTTTCTGACGATGATGATTCTGCTTATTATTATCACCATCGTTACATCATCACTGTCGTATTATTACCACCATTATCACTGTTATTATTATGATTACAGCCTTGTCATAGCCCAGTCCCTGCTGCTGGGTGAGAAGGGCAGTCCTCTCCAACTCACAGGCAAGACCCGGCCTCAGGCAACCCTGCCCCCAGCCATGTCCAGGGACTCAGGTCATTTCTACACCTTCTTTTTTTTTTTTTTTTTTTTTAAATGAAGCTCACTCTGTCACCCAGGCTGGAGGGCAGTGGTGCGATCATGGCTCACTGCAGCCTCAACCTCCTGGGCTCAAGTGATCCTCCTACTTCAGACTCCCAGGTAGCATCACCATGCCCAGCTATTTTTTTTTTTTTTCATTTTTTGTAGAGACAGGGTTCCACTCTGTTGTCCAGACTGGTCTCAAACTCTGGAGCTCAAGCAAGGTTTCTCAAAGTGCTAGGATTATAGGCATGAGCCACTGTGCCTGGCCTGCACCTCCTCCCTTTAAGAGTACAAATAGCTTCAGTTATCCATGCATGCAGTGAGCAGCTCCCAGCATCCAGTGGGCAGGGAGGGGGAAGGAAAGGTAAGACACAGTCCTGGGGTTCGGGGTGGGTGACTGTGAGCTCCCCTCCGGAGCTCACTGTGAGGCTGACAGGACAGAGCCAGCAGGAGAAAACCAAAAACCTCAGAGACTGAGACGGTGCCAAGAGGAAGGGGCTGGGGCTCTCTGGGGCTTCAGGAAGGGCTCCGAGGATGAGGCTGCCCTCGCACTGAGCCTTAAAGGATGAGAAAAGGCCTGACAAGCTCCAACTAAAGCGTGGATTCCAGGCAGAGGCCACAGCAAAGACAGAGAACAAACACCAAGTGCCCCGGGGGTGCTGAAGACACGCGCAGGAATGAAGGTCATTAGACAGTTGACAAGGTGCGTGGGGAATCCCCTACTCAGGAATTTGAATTTAATTTGGGAAGGTAATGGGAAGCTCTCAGAGAATGAGAAAATGGCAAAGAGCTGGGTTCACCCAGATGATACTAGCCAGCAATATTAGAAAGAGCTGGAACAACAAATATTTGTCAAATGTTTGCTGAACAGAACAGAATTGACTTAGTCATAAATTTTTTTTTCTCACTCCCCATGTTCAGGTTCAGGCCTCTTGGTGGGGAGAGGAAAGGGAACAGGTGCCCATGGCAGCAGGGGCGGGATGGGGCAAGGCCAGGCATGCTGGGACCCAAATCCCAGTCATGAATTGGGAGGTGAGATGTGCTTGTCTCCAAGGCCGCCTTCTATCCTCCCCCCGGCAATCAGGCATTGCTCCTTATCAGAAGGAAAACTCAGGAGGCCCATCCCAGCACAGCTGAGAGCTGAAGGAAGCCCTTCCTAATAGCCTGCAAAGGTGGCACAGCCAGAGCTGGTCACTCATGCCTCTGATGTTCCTGGACAGACCCGGTCCTTGTGAGAAAATACAAGCGAGTCCAGGAGGCGAGGGACCCTAGGAAGCCACCCATTGCCACAGGGAAGACAGGTCTGCTGTGCTGCTCCCCACCCCCCGCCCAAGAAGAACCCCGAGGCTCAGGGAGGAGGAGATGCATCATTTGGCTCTCCCAGGGGTGCAGGGCATGGCACACGCTGTCTGTCCTGCTGACACCCACGATGATAAGCACTCCCGTCAGTGAGCAATTGATTACCCCATGCCCACGCCTGACATATATTTAAACCTTGCAACAGCCCAGGAGAGGGTATCATTGTCCCCATGTTTACTGATGATGAAACTAAGCCACAGAGACAACATGTCACTTAACCAGCCCCACAGTCTAAGTGGCAGGGTCAGGATTCAAACTCAGATGGGGCTGAGGACAAAGCCCTCACTCATTACCATCTGCAATTCTGCCTCTCTCATAGTGATACAAGAGGACAGGAAGCTGCTGCCTGGGTGAAACAGCCCTGGGCCCATTTCCTCCCAGGCGGGGCCTGGATTCCACCTGCAGTGTCTGAGGCCCCAGTGCCAGGGTTGCCAAATAACATACAGGACACAGACTTGAATTTCAGATAAACGACGAATAATTTTGTTAGTATAAGTATGTATTTTTCTTTTTCTCTTTTCTTTTTTTTTTTTTTTTTTTTTTTGAGACAGTCTTGCTCTGTCACCCAGGCTGGAGTGCAGTGGTGTGATCTTGGCTCACTGCAACCTCCATCTCCCAGGTTCAAGCAATTCTCCTGCCTCAGCCTCTCAAGTAGCTGAGATTACAAGTGCCACACCATACCCAGCTAATTTTTGTATTTTTGTAGAGATGGGATTTCACCATGTTGGCCAGGCTGGTCCCGAACTCGTGACCTCAAGTGATCTGCCCGCCTCGGCCTCCCAAAGTGCTGGGATTACAGGCATGAGACACCATGCCTGGCTGTATTTTTCTTTTACTTTCTCTTTTTTTCACTAAATGCGGCAATGCTACCACTGTTCAACGGCCTGACCCTATGGCGCAACCCTCTCCTCCAACCTCAGTTCCTCACCCCTGATTTATAAGCTTCAGCCTGAGACCCCCGTGTGTTCACCTCTCCGGCGGATCTCAGGGAGACAGGAAAAGGATTGACCCTTGCTCAGAGCCTCCTCCGTGAGCAGAAAGTTACTTCTATTTTGTAGACAAGGAACGTGAGATAGAGGATGCGGCCCAGGCAGGGCCAGCAGCCAGCAGAGCAGACTTCCCACCCGGCGCCATGCTGCTCCAGAGCAAGGCCCTCCGCCGGCCCCCAGCGGCCCCCTTCTAAGAAAGGATGAGAGGGACAGGAAGCCCTGGGTACGGTACCTATGGCAGGCTGTGGAGGAGGGTTGGAGGAAGCCATCAGACAAGGTCCAGCTCAGACCAGCACCGTCCCAGCTACACACCTGTGGAAAGAAGACCAGAAATCGCATTAGCTGGAGTCAGGGCTGCAGTTTCAGCTACTGAGACAAGTCACTGGCTCACAACCTGTGCTTCAGCCCAGTGGCTCTCAGAGCACAGGGCAGCCCCAGAAAGGCCCCAGCCTCCAGCCTTCATAAATCATTAACCCATAGAAACATCAGCAGCTGTGCAGCCCAAATCCTTCTTCCCAGAAAACCCTGCAGCCACAGACCTTCCTGTTGCCAGTGCCAAGGGACCTGCAGGGACCTGCTGGGTGTCCGTCCTCATCCCCTCTGGCTTACAGGTGAAATCTGGCCCCAGAGTCCAGGATCATGCTCAGCCCCCAACCTTCCAGGAATCAGATCACACCTGACTGTCACAAATGGGGCTGGATACTTCCTCCTCCTGGCTGCCCAGGAAGCATGGGCTCCCTTAGGTCTGCCCACTCCTGTCAGTCCCTTCCGGTAGCCCTGCTGAAGGCCACTCTGACTCTGCCTCTTCCTGTCCTGCCCCATGGGTTGACCAGCAGGCAGGAGGTAACCTGGCCTTGGCACATGGGTGTGAGGAAAGCAATGGCTCCAGAGGCCAATGGCATAAGACAGGGACAGAATCCCAAATGCTCAGCGTGGGGGCACAGTTCCTCCTGGCCCAAGGTGGCACCGCCCTCCCCTCACAGTGGGAGCTCACATAAGCAAAAGGCTGATGCCTCCGGTGGGCTTCCTGGGCCCTGGAGCCAACCCTGCCCCCGCTCCCTACTGTCACCTTCAATTGTGCACTGGGGGCTGTCCTCCTAGACATCTTGTGGAGGAGAGAATGCACCCTGGAGGGAAAGCACCCAGCCCCCTGGTCTAATCTGCCCAGGCCACAAACCGGCTGTGTTCCTGTTTTCCTTTCCATTCCTAAAGGCTTTATTTTTATTAAACTGGCTTACTAAACAAAAATGAAATGCAGGTTAATGGCAATATTAGTAACAGTAGACATTCTTGCATTGCCAACGATACCTCAGACATAATTTTAAGCACTTTACAAATATTAACGTCTATTATTCCAAATTATAAATGAGAAAATGAGACCAAGAATGGTTAAGTAACTTGCCCAAGATCACACAGCTAGGAAGAGCCAGGGTTCGAACCCAGGCCATGGGGCTCTGGAGTCTGTGCTTAGAAGCAGCTACTACACTCTAGCACCTTTCAAGACTCAAACGATACAACAGGTAGACAATGAAAAGTTAGTCTCCGAGCCGGGCACAGTGTCTCACGCCTGTATCTCAGCACTTTGGGAGGCTGAGGTGGGCGGATCACTTCAGGTCAGGAGTTCGAGACCAGCCTGGCCAACGTGGTGAAACTCCATCTCTACTAAAAATACAAAAATTAGCTGGGCATGGTGGCACATGCCTTTAATCCCAGCTACTCAGTAGGCTGAGGCAGGAGAATCACTTGAACGTGGGAGGCGGAGGTTGCAGTGAGCCAAGACCGTGCCACCGCACTCCAGTCTGGGAAACAGAGCAAGACTCTGTCTCAAAAAATTAAAAAAAAAAAAGTTAGTCAACCTCCCACCCTGGTTGCCCTAATCCCCCAGTCCCCCAGAAGAGATGACTGTTACTGACTTCTCAAGAATCCTTCCAGAACTCTCCCATGCATGGGCCAACTTGCATATCTGCAGATATGCCTTGTTTCATACAGAAGGAGCACACAGCACTCACAGTGCTGCAACTGCCTTTTTAACCTAAATCTCAGTGATGATTTCAGAATAGTACTAATACATAGAAATCAACCCCACTTTTTTTAACAGCTGCATAGTAGGTTTGGTTTTGTTTTGAGGTAGGTGTTTTTTGTGGGGGTATAATTTATATAGCCCCCATCGATAGGTACTGAGGCTGCTTTGGTCTCGATTTCCCAGGTTGGAGTGCAGTGGCACAATCATGGCTCACTGTAGCCTGGAACTCCTGGGTCAAGTGATCCTCTCGCCTCAGCCTCCCCAGTAGCTGGGACTACAGGCACACACCACCATGCCTGGCTAATTTTTTAAAATTTTTTCTAGAGATAGGGTCTTACTCTGTTGCCCAGGCTGGTCCCAAACTCCTGGGCTCAAGCCATCCTCCCTTGTTGACCTCAACAAGTGCTGGGATCACAGATGTGAACCCTGACACCTGCCTGCATTTCTCACTGTGACTGATGATACCAGTTACTCTCTGCTAAGCGTGTGACTGTGCCTTTTAGACCCACGCTGAAAACTCTCAGGACTAAACTTTTACTTCAGCAAAGGATTTTGGAAAACAAACCTGTAGCTGCACGGCACTCCTGCTACAGGGCCCCCTCCCAGTGGGCTCATTCAAAACCTCTGAGGTCTGCTCAGCCTTTCTCTGAGGGCTCTGCTGCCCCAAGAGTTCCAGGAGGGAAGCAGCAGAAAGACCTATACCCATTTTACAGAAGGAAAAAGGGAGGCACTTTGCCCAGCCTCCTGTCCAAATTGCTCCTTAAATACAATTTGATGATGATACAGAAAGAGGCTGCTACTCTACCCTGGGGCCAAAACCCAGGATCCTTCCCTTCCAGGGCAGAAAGTCCAATGTCCTCCCCTTTCTTCACCCTTTGGGACTGATTCCTGCCCTCCCCTCCAAAGCCCAAGGCTTTCCCTAGAAAGGAAGAGAGACACCAACATGTATGGAGCCTGACACTTTATTAGCATTATTCTATCTAATTCTCGTAACACCCCAGCTTACGGATGAGGAAACAGAGGCTCAGAGAAGCAAATATTTGCCCCAGGTCACAGAAGCAAGAGGACAAGGTGACCACACTAGGATTCCAGCCAGTGAGCACTGACCCTAAAGCCTAATCTCAATCCTCTGATCGCACTGCCTCCCTAGCCTTTGGGGCTGGAATCTGGAAGGTGTTTGCTACAGGCTAATGCGGGGCTCTGAAGTGTCGGGACGAGGACGCAGCCCAGCAAGCCCTGCCCATACCCATAGGCCTGTGGCCACCATTTTGCACACACAGGCTGTTAGTCTCAGAAGGATGTGGACAAGGGAGTGGGGATGGCTCACAGCAGCCCCCTGCCACCACCACAGATCCTCACGGGGTTAGAAAAGAGTTCAGGTTCCCCAATACCACCTGGGTTCCACTCAGCAGCTATGAGACCTTGGATGAGTTAATCCTATCTCTGGGCCTCAGTTTACTCATCTGCAAAATGGGGATTAAAAAGTACCCACTTCAGGCCAGTCATGGTGGCTCATGCCTGTAATCCCAGCACTTTGGGAGGCCGGGGCAGGCAGATCACTTGAGGTCAGGAGTTCGAAACCAGCCTGGCCAACATGGTGAAACCCCATCTCTACTAAAAATACAAAAAATTAGCCAGCCGTGGTGGCACATGCCTGTAGTCCCAGCTACTCGAGAAGCTGAAGCAGGAGAATCACTTGAACCTGGGAGGTGGATGTTGCAGTGAGCCAAGATCACACCACTGCCACTCCAGCCTAGGCGACAGAGCAAGACTGTCTCAAAAATAAATAAATAAATAAACAATAACCATTCTCATCTTTAAAAAGAGAACTAATACAAAAGCATGGCATGTCAGAACCAGAAAGTAGCTCCAAGAGGGCAGTGTTGCTCTTGCTTTACAGATGTGGAAACTGAGTCCAAAGGAGGAGGGCACTGCCCACAGCACGGTGACTCTCCAGGCGGTGACACCGAAGGCCACGTTTAGAGGATAGGATTTGGTGCCGGGATGATTCAGGTTCAAATCCCAGCTCTGCCACTTGCCACAGCAGCAGTGAATTCCTTTCTCACTGGGGCGGTGGGAGTAAGACCAGCACCTGCTTCCTGAGCGTCCTGTGCTGATGAAATGAGGACCCAGCAGTGGGTGTGATGAATTCTACGCTCCATGCCCTGCACGGAGTAAGCTCTGGGTAGACAGGGGCCTCTGTTACCATGGGGACCCTATCCAGGCTATGCTTGGGTGGTGGGGTTATAGGAGATTGTTTTCTCTTGGAGGTCACCTTTTTAACAATGACCACCAAACCCAAGGAACAGGCGGACACTGAACAGTTCCCCTTCCTGCTACTGCGTGGAATGGCTGAGGAGGAGGCAGTGCTCAGACAAGGGAGGAAGAGGGGAGGCCCCAGCTCCCGGCTATGGGGTGTGCCCACCAGAGGCCCGGAGCAGGTTAGGCTCAGCGACGGGACCACCCAGAGCAGCCCGGCATTGGCACCTCCCTCTGCCCTCAGCTGCCCAGCTCATCACAGCAGGTGTCTTCCTGGCTTGGCTAATTTAGTCAGTGCTTATTAGTTCCCCTCCCACTAGGGTTCAAAGTCCATCTGCCCAGAGGCCCCACTAGGAAACCCTCCTCCTGCCTGCCCCTGTCCCACCCCGGGCCCCCCAAGACCATCTCCCACCCCTCACACATCAAGCTGCCCCATCCCTCTTCCACCTGAATGAGGCCTGGAGGAAGAAAACACTTGGGGGCCCTGAAAGTCTGGAAGGCTGCGCAAGTCGTGCCTTGAGGACAGGAAAGGCCGGCCTCTTTCTCTAACAAGGTCCAGGCAGAAGCGGGGGAAGCAGCAGCTGGACTGCTGGGATGAGCTGGGCAGCGGCCACCCAGCCCTGCCCAGAGAGAAGCAAGGAATCGGTTCTGGCCCAAGCACGCTTGTCAAGCTCTGGCCTCAGAGGCCCTCTGCAGGGCCCACCTCCTGAAGCAGAAAGAAGGTGGGGAATGGGGGGAAAGACCAGGTGCTTGGGCTGGTCAGGACCAGAACTCCTCCACGTACCTGTGTTCTCTGAGAGGTCTCTCTGGCTTTCAACTCTCATTAGACACACGCTAGGCCAACCCACCTGCCACCTCCGCTGCCACAGAGACACTCCGCAAACACACCTGTCACATCACCTTATTGCTTCAAACCCTTCCCCATCACTGTCAGAATGGAGCCTGGGTCCTAAGCAAGGCCCTCCAAGATTCGCCCCCTCCACCGACCTCTCGGATCTCATCGGCTCCGGGCCTGGCCTGGAACTCTGCTCTGGCTCTCACGAATGGCTTTCAGCCCCATGACCATGCCACCTGACCTGTTTGACATCTCCAGGCCTTTGCTTAAGCTGTCTGTTCCCTCCACATGGAATTCTCTCTCACAACCAGCAAGCAAATTCCTGTTCAGTCATCAAAACCAGACCCCATTTCTCCTCTGCAAAGCTTCCTTAGACCCATTTCACACAGTGGTTTCCAGTTGTGAAGCTTTTTAAAAATATTTATGTCCCAGGCCCACACCCAGAGATTCTGATTCAGTGGCTCAGAGGTGCAGCTGATAGGGGGCCAACAGGCTGTTTTCAAAGAGCATGGGTGGTGCTGGGACAGGTACATGCCTGCAGACACAGCCCCATTATAACTGTTGCCCTCCCCAAGAGCCTGTGACCTCTCTGGGGGCACTGGGCTTCTTTCCATCTCAGCATGGGTAGCACTGGGTCTGGCCCGGGGTACACACTAGACAACAGCTGAGACCTTCCCCTGCTTGGGACCCACCCAGCATGGAACCAAAGGGCACAGACCAGGAACCCATGAGGCTGGGACATCCCTGGACCTGGGGAGCTGCTTGTGTGGGGCTTCGGCCCAGAGGAGGGGAGAACAGATGGAAGGTGAGGTACAAGCCCTCCTGGTGTCCTCTGCCTGTCCTGAAAGCCCGGGGCCCGGAAGGAAGAGAAGGGGATGCAAACCACACAATGGAGCTGGAACAGGAAGTGGGGCGGGGTCTCCTGACAGAGAAGAGGGCCCACGGCTCCCCCACGCAGGGCAGCAAGATGCCCACAGCTCTTCTCAGCGCAAAGGGCCACCTGGTGGAGAGTCCGGGATGGGGAGAGAGGAGCTGCCTTCAAGAAAACACAGGCAGAGCTATAGCAGGAGGGGCGCAGGCAGAAGAGAAGGATGAGGTGTGTGGACAGGAACCCGGCCTTGGTATGAAGCCAGCCCAGACAACACTCATCCTCTGCTCTCCAGCAGCCCCACTCCGAAGCAGGCAGCCCTCTGCGCCTCCTGTGCTTACCTGTCAGGTGCAGGTGTAAATAAGATGACATTGGACAACACTGGTAGGTTTGTAATGAATGTCAGTTTCCTTCCCACGGTTCCTGCCAGTCCCTGAGGACCAACAGCATTTTCTCATTTTACAGACTGCTAAACTAAGTCCAAGACAAACGTATTCCACCGGAACACCAGGCCTGAGATCACAAAATTTGAAATGACAATAGCTGACACCTCCGAGCACTGTCTGCACCGGGCCCCATACTGAACATTTTAGTTTGCATCTCATTTGATTCCCATAGCAGATGAGGAAAATGAGGCTGACAGAGACTGAGGGGCATCCCCAAGGCCACACAGCTACGGAGCCCCTGGGAGCAAGAGGGCAGGACCCTCAGCCTGGTCCCAGGCCCAGGGTGGAAGGGGGAGTAGGGGAGTGGGTGGGTCAGGGAGCGTCCTCCCAGACCCTCCTCAACCCTGCAGGTGCCAGAGCTGCAGAATCTGGCAAGGGACCACACACCCCAGCTCCTCCCTCACCGACCTGATGGACACTCAAAGGGCTTCCCGAGGTGGGGGCGGCTCCAACTTCCTTTCCTCTTCACCAGGGAGGGGGAGGGGAGCTCTGAGAAGGGGGCCTGCCTCACTGGGGCAGGGGCCAAGTTTGGTCAATGGCTGGAGCCTCAGACAATGGAGACTCTGTCCTGAGCCCAGAGTCGGTGGCACCCACCCTCCCGCACTGACCTCCTAGGGAGCCCCTGGTGAGGATCTGCAGGCAGGAAGAGTGGGGAGCACTGGGGAGGGGGCCCTGGGAGTAGGTCTCTGTGGGAAGGAGCCGACCCTGAGGCCAGGCCAGAGGGGACCCCTGGGGGCTGTTGCCTGGGAAACCAGAGCCAGCCTGGAGAAGTGGCTGGACAGCGTGGGAGGGGGGCGGCCCCAGACTCTATCTCCAGCCCCCCTCCTCTACCTCCTCCTCCTGCTCTTCCTCCTTCCCTCCCAGCCCCCAGACACATTAACCCCTTTGTCCCCGGCGATCCAGCCCAGCAGAAGGAGTGAAGAAGCTGAAGTGCCGGAGGAAGCCACCTGCCATCAGCTGAACTGACCCCCCTCTTCTCCAGAGAACCCCAGACCCTCAGCCCCACATCAGGGGTGTCCCTGTGATGGGGCACCGTGGCTCCCACCTGGAAGCCAGAGAGGGGACAGCAGCTGGCATGACACATACTGTGTGCCATCAACTCGCCCATCAGAGCCTCAGCTTCCCCACCTACAACAGGGATGCCCGCCTCCCAGCTGCTGGGCGTCCTCGCTGCTGGGCCCTCGCCACTTAGCATGAGAGTGTGTTTAGGCTGCAGGCAGCCTGAGAGGTGGGTTTCCTCACCTCCTTTTTAGACACAGGGAAGCTGAGGCTCAGATGGGAAGGGACCTACCCAAAGCCCCCCAGGAGGATGAGGCAGGCAGGGAAAGGGAGGTCCATGTGCGTCCCTGCAACCCAGCAGGTGTACAGACGGAAGAATGGCAGGAAAGAGCTGGAGCTCACGGAGGGGCACTGCCAAGGGAAACAGTAGGATTTGGGGGCACACACAGGGGTGTCTACCACTCCCCAGGCATCAGGGTGGAGCCAAAGGGAGGGGCAGCGTTGCTCCTGCTACACCTCAGGGCTGAACTAAAGCCTCCAGGGGGCCAAGCTGAGGTACAACCTTTGGGGAATCTGTGACCCCAGTTCACCCTCCTCACCTCCAGGGGTCAGGCTCACCTCCTCCACCTTTCACAAAGTAAGCCACTCATCCTTCCCCACTCAGCCAACTTCTCACTGCGCACCTACTGCCTGCCAGGCCCCAGCTTGGCACTGGGGACAAAGAAACAAAAGAGAGTTCCGGGTTCCTGTCCTCAGGCAGCAGCCACAGGAGGCCAGCGGGTACATACCCAAGGCAGGGGAGGGCACAGTGCCCCACTTCCAGATCAGAGCCAGGGCAGGGGCTAGGGGATCAGGCGTGTTCTGATCCTGGCTCCACCACTGGCTTAGGCTTCTTAGACTCACTTAGCTTTGTAAGTAAAAGGGGGGAGTGTGCAAGGAGGTGAGGCTCTCTCCAGTTCAGATGAGGAAGAAGTAAGGTAATAAACTTGGCCCAGCCCTGGGCAGGAACTCACCTAAAGCACAACAGAGGGACAGCAGGAAGGGGCCCGCACCACGCTCTCCATCGGTCACAGGTGGGAGCTAACCCACAGCTAAACTCTCCATGCCTGCAGAGTTTTCTACCCTGATATTCCCACAAGGCCCCATGGAGCAGGGGGCTGAGGAGGGCGTCCCGGGCTCCCAAAATGGACCCAGTACAAGGCGTTCTCCTCTGCCGGTGCCCTGGTGGTCTCTCCCAGGCCGCACCCTCCCACATCGGGTGGACTGACCCCCGCAAGCAAAGAATTCGGGCTGGGTCAGGGAGATGGTTGCGCACAGCTGGATCTCAGAATTGCTGCCCATCCATGGCCCCTGCCTTTCTGAGCGGAATTACCTGCAGGGGTCCCCTGCCCATCCCATCACTGGTCCACAGGTCTGCAGATGGGCAACTGGAGGAGCCCCCCCAAACTGGCCTCTGAGCTGATGCCAGAAATGAGATGGGGTAAGGAGGGAAGGGAGGAGTCTTTTGCATGGTACAAGGACGTCTTTCTAGGGTAGAAGCCGAGGCCACCAAGAGACGCAGCTCCTCTCTACTGGATCCTTCCCAGCAAATAGAAATATGTGGCCAGACATGGTGGTTCATGCCTATAATCCCAGCACTTTGGGAGGCCAAGGCTGGTGGATCACTTGAGCTCAGAGGTCCAAGACCAGCCTGGTCAAGGTGGTGAAACCCTATCTCTACTAAAAATACAAAAATTAGCCGGGAGTGGTGACGGGCACCTGTAATCCCAGTTACTCGGGAGGCTGAGGCAGGAGAATCACTTGAACCCAGGAGGCAGAGGTTGCAGTGAGCCAAGATCGCACTACTGCACTCCAGCTGGGGTGACAGAACAAGACTCCATCTCAAAAAAGTCATAATAAATAAATGAATAAATACGCTGCATTACTGCTCATCTGATCCCATACCCTCTCCACCCACTACCCCATTTCTCTGCTCCCCTTTACAAGACTTCCCCGAGGAGTGCCCATGCTCCGTCTCCTGTCCCTGTCTCCTATTCTGTGCTGAGCTACCTATTCCCAACCAAGTGTGTGCCCACCGCTTTGCCAGCCAGCTCACGAGGTCACCTGCGGCCTCCACTACACCGGTTCTGATGGACCAGGATGGGGAGAGAGGAGCATCTCGGTCCCCATTCTGCCTGACCTGCCAGCTGCTCCCTTCTTTCACGTCTCGCTCCAGCTCCCCTTCCTCCGCTCCTCCTTCCTCCCTCCAGGTTGGCAGTTCCCAGGTTCAGGCTACACCGCGGCTCCTCCCTGGGCCACCTGGGTCACCTGGCTCACTTCGTGGGTCCTAAGCCATGGCCATAGTGATGCCTCCAGCCTGTCCTGCCCTTGAACTCCAGGCTCTGCCCCTCTGCCTGCTCTGTGTCTTCACTCAGTGATTGATCGGGCATCTCAGCCTTAACGTGCCCATACCCACCTCCTGATCACCATGCTGCCAGAACAAAGAACCCTGCTCCTCCCAGTCTTCCCATCCCGCTTGCTAGCACCATCCCACCAGCTGCTAAGGCCAAAACCTTGGAGTCATCCTTGACACCTCTGTCTCACACCCAGGGCCCACCCTTCAGCAAACCTGCTGGCTCTACCTTCAACATACGCCCAGAATCCGAGCGCATCTCACCCCCTCCACAGTACCACCATGGCCCAAACCACCATCATCTCTCACCTGGGCTATTCAAAACGCCTCCTGACCAGTCCCTCTGCTCTCACCTCTACCCCTGCCCTGACATGTTGTTCTCAGCACAGCGGCCAAGTTCATCCTCCGCTCAGAGCCTGGAATGTTTTCTCACCTCATTTAAGGAAGACCCAAGCCCTCATCTTGATCTCTGAGGCCCCACGTGTCAGAGCCCCCACAACCCCCCCGACTTCATGTCCTACCTCTCTCCACACAGCTCACTCTAGTCACCACCACCTTCCAGCTCCCTGAATGCCCCAAGCATGTTTCTGCCTCAGGGCCTTTGCACTTGCTGTTCCCACTGCCTGAAATGCTGTTCCCCCAGATACCCACACACTGCTGCCCTCACCTTCAGGGCTCTGCTCCAAGGTCGCTGTATCAGAGGCCTTCTCCTGACAGCCCACACACATGCCCTGACCCAGTGTCCCCATCCTCACAGGATTTAACACCTCTGGCAACTACAAATTTTAGTTATTTATCAGTTTCCTCCTATGAGAATGTGGACTCCATGAAGGCAGGACTGTGACCACTGTTCACCGCTCTTATCTGCACCCATGGCACAGGCCTGACACACAGGCGACCCAAGGCACAGTTGCCAAAGGAATGCAGAAATCCCTCGTCCCAAGTCGGGCCCCTGGGGAGGAGGCGGCCACAGCTGGGCCCCTCCCTTCTGAAACCAGCCTGCACCCAGGACAGCTCCTCCCCAGTAAGGTTCACAAACAGATTCACAGCCAAGTTGCAAAGGGGCAGTTCCCCAAAACCAGAGTGGAAAGAGGTCTGGGGCTGATGCCAGGAAATGGTCAGAAGGGGAGGAGTGGGACAGGGCCAGAGGAGGACTTGGACTATTTTTAAAAACTCTCTCCCAAAAAGACCACATTCTTCCTCTGATGAGTCAGAAGCATGTGGCCGGCAAAGGGGACAGGATCCGCGAGCCTCCGCGGCTGCCACCGTCACCAGGCAGGCACATACCCCAGCCTTTCCCACGGGGCAGGTGTGAGACCCTGGCGTCTATTCAGTTTCCCAGGGAAGGAGCAAGGCTGGGCACCGGTGTCCCAGGTTGGCAGGCCACAGAGAGCAAACCAGGCCTCCCTTTCAAAGCCCACAGGGTCCCATCTGGCTCCAAGCTCTTTCTTCAGGCCCAATCTCTGTCTGGCAGGGAGGGGCCTGTTCACTCTGTCCCACGAGGGAGCTCTGGGCAGGAAAGAAACAGCCTTTGCAAAGCTTAGAGCTAAAAACAGCTCAACCCACCCAACAACGGCAGGGCAAGCAGGCCAGCAGCATCTGAGGTCTCCTGAAATGCAAGCCCAGCATGGAGCCCCAGGACCCCCGGGGGCCCTCAGCCACACAGCCCAGGATAGCTCTGGCTGAATTCAGAGCAGCCAGCACTTATGATTCAAACCACACCCCTCAGTGATGTGCTGTCCTCCCCAGATAAGGGTGTGAGTGCAGTTCCAGCTGTTCTGGGGCACCTCTGGCGGGAGTTGGCTCTGAGCACTGCTCCAGGCCAGGGGATGCCTGGTGCCTCCCCTAATCCTCCCACCAGTTCCTCCAGGGGCAGAGCCAACCCACGAATGGCAGGTACCTGACCCTGTTTTACAGAGGAGGAAACTGAGGCTCAGAGAGGGAGAGAGATTTGTTCAAAGCCAAGAATCTGATCAAAGGTGGATCCATGATTAGACCCAAGGTCTTTCAGCTGTGACTGGAAAGATCCATCAGGATCAGGCCAATGGGTCCATCCCACTCCCTTGCAATTAACTTCACAATCTGAGAAGATGCGGACTGGGGCTGTGGGAAGGGGACAGGGAAGACTGGGCTGGAGGTGTTGGGGGAGGGAGAGCAGGGAGGGATGGCTTCAATCATTAAAAGGATTTGCCCTGAGTCCTGTTGTCCTGAGTTGAAGTCAAATCCGGGACCAGGATCCCCCAAGAGAACTGTTCCCAAACACCCGTCCTCTTTCCCTATCAGCTTTAACAAGAGCTGAACTGCTGCTGACCAACCCTGTGGTGCGACTTACGAGGAACCAGACAATGCGGATGCCGCCCACAGCCTGGTCCTAAACTCCCCCTAGTATTCCTTCTGCCTTGGCATGGAAGCCACACTGGGTGTAATGAGCTTCAAGCACCCCCCGACATCCTGCAGGCAGAGACACCACTGCTTGCCCAGTGAAAAATGGGACCACTCTACTCCAGGTCATTTCTGCTCTGAAGCAATCTCTGGTCCTGCCAGTGTGCCCCCCAGGTTCCCCTTTTTGCCATGTCACCATCATGCCCTGGGTAGGGATTTTTAGGAGACTGAGCTCTGTGCTCGATCCCAGCTGAGGCCAGCTGTGACACAGATGCCATCCACTGCTCCGATCCCTGGTTTCCTCTTCCATACAATGACAACTATAAGAATCACCATGCACAGGGCTGTTCTAATGATTAAATGAGATAATAATTCTCAGAAAGTGCTTCACTGAGAGCCTGGAACACAGTAAGTGCTCAATAAATGTTTGTTGAATGAATAAATGACTGCCTCCTGCTAAATGAACAGCAGCACCGGCCTACAAGAAGGGGTGGTGTCCCAGGCTAGAGCTGAAGGGTCCCAGAGCTCCCCGTCACTGCCCTCCAGGAAGGCACTGCCTGCCTGGATGGTGAAGGCAAGGCTTAGGAGGCAGCCCCTCTAGCAGCATCTGACCATGCAGTACCTGCCCTCACTGAAGTGCTACAGGAAGCCATCAGCTTGGCCCAGTGCTGAGCACCCAAAAGCCTGCACCCAGCCCCTTCCTCTTTTAAAGTCAAGATTCCAGGGAAGAGGGTCAAGGACAGGAAGGGGGAGGATCCAAAAATGAGACAGCAAGGCCAGAGTTGCCTTAGTTGGTGCGAAATGCAGCAATGACCAAGCTCTGTGCATGGTGCCAAAGAGACATTCCAATTCCCTGCATCCGCATAGTCAGCACAGGGCCAGCTTGGAGCCATCTGCAGACATGGACCCTTCAAGCAAAGCACGCCGGCTGGAGAATCAGCCCCGGGAACTCAGGTTCCACTTCCTGACTGGATCTCAAAAAATATTCTGCTAGGCTGGTCACAGTGGTTCACGCCTGTAATCCCAGCACTTTGGGAGGCCAAGACAGGTGGATCACTTGAGGTCAGGAGTTTGAGACCAGTCTGACCAACATGGTAAAACCCTGTCTCTACTAAAAATACAAAAAAGGAGCTGGGCATGGTGGCACATGCCTGTAATCCCAGCTACTCAAGAGGCTGAAGCAGGAGCATCGCTTGAACCTGGGAGGCGAAGATTACAGTGAGCCGAGATCGCGCCATTGTACTCCAGCCTGGGCGACAGAGTGAGACTACATCTCAAAAAAAAAATTCTGCTCAATTTAGGGACAGCAAACCCCTCCAGGCAGCAAACCTTCAATGATCCACCAGCATGTCCCCAATGTCACTTGACACAGGAGCATCCCAAGTAACCAGCAGAAAGAGGCCAGTGGCCTGGGAAGGTGGGATCAAGGGCTCGCTTCTTGCAGACTGCCAGCAAGCATAACAGGTGCCCAAAAATGCTAGCTGGAGGGGCGGATGCACGGATGGCCACCTGGACACTGCCTGCCAACACTGAGCCTTTGCCAGGTCTATCCAAGGTCGTCCTGTGGCCCAGTTCTTTGTCAGAGGACAGGGACACGGGGACACCATCTGCTTCCAGATCAGGGTGCAAAGCAGGAAGAGAGTGATGGCAGTCACATCTTCCACACGTGCTTTGTCAGAGCCAAGGTCTCCAGACCCCGCTCCCTCACTCTGGGGACTTTTAAGTTCAACGGCATTCGAGAGGGTGACAGAAAAGCCAGTCTGCATCCCTTGGCATCCCTCTGCCATCCAACAACCCCCCCTTGCTCATTCAGCAAATCTTTATTGTGCCCCAGGAAGCACTCGAGGTTATGGGGTTTGCTGATGAGCACTTGGTCCCCTGGTCATAGGTGCTGTGAGGTGAAGGAGAATACCGGGGCTGAACTGAGATTCAAGAGGACAGTTGAACATCTGGACTCAACTCTCCCAGGTCTGATACTGGCCCTGCATACTCCATGTGGCCATGTGATGACCGGCCCAACACTGCATCCACACAGAACAGGGCACATGAACACCTGGCAATGATCCAGTTCATTCCGCCAGGGGCCCTGCTTCTCTGTGGCCTGGGCAAGGTGCACAGCCTCCAAGGGCCCCTCCACATCCCAGAAGATGTTTGTGTTTTATGCCAAACCAGATCACTGATGCTCCCAAGGTACATGGGATGTTGGGGAGGGAGACAGTATTGGATTTCAAAATTTCCATCCCACCTTGATTTATAGTTACAGCTTTACAGATCTATGGGAGGCCATGGTTCTCAACCAGGGGCTGTTGTGTCCCCCAAGGGACATTTGGCAATGGCAGTAGACACTTTGGTTGCCACACTAGGTGGGGAGGGGGGACACTACTGGCATCTGGTGGGTGGAAGCCAGGGAAGCCGCTAAACATCCTTTAGGGCACAGGACAGCCCCAACACAAAGAATGATCCAGCCCAAATGTCAATGGATCGAGGTTGGGAAACCCGGATCAGAGGGCATTGGTGAAGTCCTCTGGGGATCTATAGCAGACGCTGGCCTGTTAATGCAGGGTTGTGTCACCATTACTAGTCACAGGAATACAAAGACCAAAGCCATTGCCACTGGTTTCCATGGCAGACAAACACCAGGCTACAAGTATCTAAAGAAACTGCATTCTGCTACAGTACTTGTTTTTGTGCCTCTCCCCGCTAGACTGTGGGGGCAGAGACCACGACCTACTTGTGTCTGTATCTGCACCACCTGGCCCAGCATCCGCAATACAGGAGGTGGGGAGAGGAGGCAGCCAGGGAGGGAGGGGGAATATGTACAGCCGCCTCTTTAAGGTGGGACTGCATCTTTTGCCTCTCCATGTCCTCAGTGCCCAGCCACGGTCCTGGTACCCGAGTTAGTAAATAAACAACCAGACTGCCGAGCTCTCCGAGGCCAGGAGCTGCACCCTCCTGCCCTGTGTCCCGGAGCCTAGCGCATGGCTCAACCCTCTATGCATATTCATCAAGTATCCCCTGCTGTGGTGAGAAAGACACAGCCACTGGCGGTCCAGAAGGGGAAGGAGAACTGAACAGTGTTGACAATAGCAGCTGGGCTTCCCTTCGGGAGACCTGGGGGCTGCAGAAACTCCTGAGAGCAGACTTGAGCCTAGATTCAGGCAATGAGGAGTTGGAGGGGGGCCGTCCACCAGTTAGTGCTCCTTGAAAGGGTGACCAAAAGCATGGATAGTTCGTCTGCAATGCCTGGGATGCAGCAGCAAGGAGCAAATGTTAAGCAGGAGGGAGAAGGGAAGAAGGTAGAAATGAGGGCTTCCAGGGCCTGTGCCTTGAGCCCCACAGTATTTGCATGTTTTTATCCCCCTAAAATTCCTATGCGGAAACCTCACCCCCAAGGTGATGGATTAGGCAGTGGGGCTTTGGGGAGGTAATCAGGTCATGAGGGTAGAGCCCTCGTGAATGGGATTAGTATCCTTGTAAACAAGGCCCCGGCTAGGCCCTCCCACCACGCAGGGACACAGTGAGAAGGTACCATCTATAAGGAACAGGCCCTCACCAGACACCGAATCTGCTGTTGCCTTGATCATGGGCTTCCAGCCTTCAGAACTTTGAGAAATAACTGCCTGTTGCTGGTAAGAGTCACGGCATTTCGTTACAGCTGCCCGAATGGGGCCTTGGGTGGGAGTGAAGTGCCCGGGTGCTGCCTTTGCTCTTCTTGTCCCTGCTGACCTGGCCCATTCATGACAAGCATTACTGAGGAAGTGGAATCCAGGTGCCAGCCACAGGGCACAGCAGAAATGCAGTGGCTCCTTGGGTTGCCCAATGTCAGTGCCAAAATCAACATCAGACACCGAACACGTGTTAACTGCGTGCTAAGGGCCCAGTGCTAATCCAAGCCCTTTACTCCTACAGCTCCTATAATTTCCTCCTAAAAACCCTCTGAGACAGGGGCCACTCTCATTCCCTTTTACAGGTTAGGAAATAGAGGCATAGAGAGGTTCAGAAAATTGCTCGAGGTCACATAGTCAATAAATGAGAGCGCTGGCCTTTGAACCCAGGCCACGTGGCTGCAGAGCCTGTGTCTTGAGCCCCTACAGTATTTACAGGTTAAAACCTCAGCCACGAGCCAGCCACCAGTCAGCTGGGCTCCTGTGCTGCTGGGGTACACTCAGGTGGGACCATGAAGCCTCCACCCATGGGAGCAAGTAGGACAGGGCCCCAGTGGGACAGCACATCAGGAGGAGAACTTGGGGGACTCAGATCAAGTGCCCAAGACCAGTGGCCCCCCTGAAGTGTTGCAGCGGCACTGCCCCTAACAGAGCCTCTCAAAGCAGCCCCCCTCCAAGTCTCTCTGGGTCCCAGCCCTAAGCTCCTGGGCATTCTGGTCCAGAACCACCTGGGGGCTGAGGGCAGGCACATGTCCCCGTGAACACCTGGGATTCACCCAGGCCATCTAGCCACCACCCTGGAGATGCACCCAGGCAGGGGTGACCTGAGACACGGGCCCCACTGTGCAGGCCAGAGCAAGCACTATGTGCCAGCTGTGCCAGAGCCAGCACCCTCCCGCTCTGTGGCTGAGGATAACGATGATGTCAGACCAAGCCTGGAAGGGCCTCCTTGGGGCTGGCAGCATCCATCTCTCTCCCAACCTGGCTCCTTGAAAGGGCACCCACTGATCAGAACAGGAGTTAGTGGCAGGAGCCATCTGCTGTCACTTGCAGCACTGACCCAGCTGTTGTCTGGGTCATTTTGTTTCTTCCCACAATCAGACGCTCTCAGACGACGGAGGGGTCTTTGAGAGGTTGAAATCCAACCTGTCAGCCACAGAAAGAATTCCTCCTTGAGGATCCTAATAGATGGGTGGGTCTGTGCACCGGCTCTGGAGTCAGACAGTGGGGACTCCAAATCCCAGCTCCACAACCTAGCAAATGTGCAACTTAACCTCCCTAAGCCTCAGTTTATTCATCTGCAAACTGGGTGTCATGACACTCCTGAGACCCAATTAGGTAATATTCATTCATTCATCCAACCATTCATTCATTCAACCCACATTTATTAAGCACCTCCATGAGCCAAGTCCTGTTCTGAGTACTTGGGACACATCAGTGAACAAACAGAAAAGAAAAAGGGCCTGGGCACAGTGGCTCATGCCTGTAACTCCAGCACTTTGGGAGGCCGAGACAGGCAGATTCCTTGAGCTCAGGAGTTCAAGACCATCCCGGGCAACATGGGGAAACCCCATGTCTACAAAAAATACAAAAATTAGCCAGGCATGGTGGTACACGCCTGTAGTCCCAGCTACTCAGGAGGCTAAAGTGGGAGGATCACTTGAGCCTGGGAGGTCGAGGGTGCAGTGAGCCAAGATGGCGCCACTGCGCTCCACCCTGGGCAATGGAACGAGACCCTGTCTCAAAAAAAAAAAAAAAGAAAAGGGCTCTCTGACAAAGCTTACTGATCCTAGCCCTGTGCCTGGCCCAGTGTGGGTATTCCATAAATGCCCCCCACTCTAAGCCCGAATCACTGACCCACATCATACCCCCATATTGAAATTCTTCCTTTGGCAGAAGATTCATCGTCCCCCAGGAGAAGAGTCTAAATCTGCCTCCTCCCCGCATCCAGCCCTCCCCTCATCCTCGAGTTTCTCAGAATGAGGCCTCTCCTCCTGCACAGGCCAGTCCTCAACTTCCGCTCCTATCCCAGGGCCCCTCTTGCCCTGGTCAGATGGTCCCATGGCCGCCTGCTGTGGCTCCCAGACCCCCGGCTCCCACGTCAATCACACTGCTAGGATGTGCCCCAGCTTGCCACTGCCTCTCCTATTAGTTCAACAAACACCTCTTGGGTGCCCAGCATGGGCCAGGAGTGGACTGCCCTAGGACAGGGCACCACATGGGCTGCGCTTCCTCCTTCAAAGGTCTGGGCACACATGGGAACATGGCAGCCTCAGCTCACAACCAGGGACTAGCTCACCTCGCCAATGTATACAAAAAATCAACACAGTACCAGCAGAAGCAGCCTCCGCACTTTCCTGCTAACAAGTATGAAATCAAAGTGACAATGATTCACCTGAAATCTCAGCACTGCTCTCACTAGCCAGGAATAAATGAATGCTCACTGTCATTTCTGAGACTCTACTAAAACCAGGAACCATATGCAGTGCTTTATGTGTTATTTCACGTGATCCTCACAACGCTATGAGGTGGATATCCAGGGCCCCACTTGACTCCCCACTCTTTTTGTTTGTTTGTTTGAGACAAGGTCTCACTCTGTTGCACAGGCTGGAGTGCAGTGGCACTATTATGGTTCACTGCAGCCTCTACTACCCAGGCTCAAATGATCCTCCCACTTCAGCCTCCTGAGTAGCTAGGACTACAGGTGTACGCCACCACGCCCAGCCAATTTTTTGTATTTTTTCGTAGAGACGGGGTCTCATCATGCTGCCCAGGCTGGTCTCCAAGTCCTAGGATCAAGTGATGCACCCACTTCAGCCTCCCAAAGTGCTGGGATTACAGGTGTGAGCCACTACACCCAACCCCGACTCAATCTTGAGGTTCCCAGGGGAGCTGCTCCACCTGCAATGGCTAATATCATACTGGGCACTAACAAGTCTTCAATAAATGTTGGTTGGATTGAACTGAATCTGAAAACTGAGGCTGAGAGAGGCAAAGCGACTTGTCCAAGGTCACATAGCTAGGGAGTAGGTCAGCCAAGCTATGGCCCAGGTCTGTGCAGCTCTGATGCCTTTGCTCGGCCTCCCTTGGAACCTTCCCGATTGAGCAGCTGTGGTCGACAGCTAACAGGAGCTCTGCCAGGACAGGCTTTCCAGGGCAAAAGGCACTGCCATCTCAGAGCCCCAAGAAAGGAGAAGCAAGGGCCACAGGAGACCGTATTAGGGAAAAGTAAAAGAAAGGAAAACAAAAAGTGGAAGGGCCAGCCTTGTGAGTCATGTGCCCCAGAATATTCCTTCATAGCTGGCTCCAGGGCAGGCCAGGGAGGCCAGGGCACCCGACAGCCCCAGGGACCTACGCCAAGGAGCTAGGAGTGCAGCATCGGGATCGGGTGGGCCTCAGGCTGGGGGTCAGCCTGGCTCTGCCACCAGCGCCCATCGACGCTGGGCAAGTCACTTCTGCTGTCAGGGTTTGTGAGGCTCCCCCTCTGCGAGACAGGAGAGGAAGGCACTCAGAACTGCAGAGGGCTCATTGGGGCTGCCTCTGACTGCAAGGCTGCGGGGGGCAGGACCAAGGAAAAGCCAGCATCTCCCTCTCCTCCCAGTCAAGCCTGGCCCCACCTCCCAGTGCCCCCACTGTGGAGCTGACGCCCGCTTCTGCCCCATCTCCAGCTGCCCACAGAACCGTGAGAGACTGCTCCCGGGCTGCCAGCATGACGGGGCGGGGGGGAGGTGCAGGGCAGGGGAAGCAGCCCTCAATCGCCTTTGAGGCCCACTGGTTGCTCTCAGACTTAGAAGACAGTCATCTGAGGTTCTGGGCAGGGGAAACCACCTTACTGAGCACCTACTACGTGCTGGGAGCTTTGCAGACACCATCTCACTTTAGCCTCACAATGCACTCTGAAGTAAGGCTTGTTATTCCCATCTTTGGAGGGAGCCCCAAAGGCTGAGCAAGGCAAAGGCACCTGCCCAAGACCACACAGCTACTAAGACCCAAGATTCAAACCCAGTCCTGGAGCCCCTAAACCTGTGTTCTCACTCTTGCTCACGTGTCAGCTCCCAGAGGACAGAAACTGTGGCTCCTCCCTGGGTGTCCCCACAGTGCCTCCTGGCAGGTCTTCAAGAGATGCTTGAGGGCCAGGCGCAGTGGCTCACACCTGTAATCCCAGCACTTTGGGAGGCCAAGGTGGGCAGATCACCTGAGATCAGGAGTTCGAGACCAGCCTGACCAACATGGAGAAACCCCACCTCTACTAAAAATACAAAATTAGCTGGGTGTGGTGGTGCATGCCTGTAATCCCAGCTATTCAGGAGGCTGAAGCAGGAAAATCTATTGAACCCAGAAGGCAGAGGTTGTGGTGAGCCGAGATTGCGCCATTGTACTCCAGCCTGGGCAACAAGAGTGAAACTCCGTCTCAAAAAAAAGATCGTTGTTTGGCTGGCCAGGTGGTTACTCCCAAATCCAAGCCCAGGCCCCATTACTGCACTCAAGTGTCCTGGGCTGGTTCCTGCCTATCAGGGACCCCAAACCAGCCTGGCCCCACTTCACAAAAGGGGCATTTGAGGCCCAGGCAAAGTGGAGCCAGAAAGCAAACCTCAGGTGCCTCTGATACACATAGCATTGCCTTGTGACCCTAACAGCAAGGAGACAGCTGGAGATCCAGGTGGGGAAAGTGTGGACTTTGCAGGGAGGCACTCCTGGGTTCTAGCCATAGGCCCATTTCTCATTAACTGTGTAAACCGAGCTGGCCTCCTCCTGATGTCTTGGTTTCCTCCTCTGCTGTAAAATAGATACAGCAGCCCCTGCCCCCGGACAGTGGTGCGAATTCAGTACAATCACCTGGCACAAAGCAGGTGACCTCGTTCCCCTGGAGGGCACCTGCTTACCTTGGCCATCAGCTGGGGGAAGAGGGGGACACTCGGAGCCTAGCTGTCCCCCAAGAAGCCAGCCCAAACAGGTTTGCATTTGGAGCTATGCGTGTGGGTTAATATTTACCTGCTTGTGAACCAAATCTTGCAGGGCATCAGGCATGCCTGAGTCACCCAACCCTGAGAATTCAAATCAAGCAGGAACATGAGGTGTGGAGGGACAGGAGTGCTGAACCCAGGGCAGGCACCAGAAACCTCAGTCTCTCCCAGGCACCCAGACCCAGTGTGGCTGGAGGAGGACAGTCACCCTCCCCAGCACTCCTGCAAATGAAATGGCACCAGCCTGACCCTCTGCCCCTGTAGCACCTTGTTCTGAAGACCCTGGGCCCCAGTCACATGACGGTCCCTTTCCTTAGGAACCTGCAACAGTGAGGGCAACTAAGGGAAAAGGCCAGGGCCAAGAGAGGTGGCCCTACAGACCCCACAGACTGACCCCCAGGCATGGCCATCCAGGCCACCCTAGCAAATGAAGATTTCACTCCTCCTGTTTAGAGTTTTCCTACCTCAATCATAAGCCCAATGCAGAGAATGAGCCATCAGACCCAGTGACTCCTCCCAGCGGCCCTGGGGGGTGTCGGTCCCCTATTCACAGATGACAAATCTGAGCTCAGAGCATTGAATCAGCCTGCCAAGGTCTCTACAATCAGTCAGAGGTAGGGGTGGGATTCCAAGCAGGTCTTCTGGCTCCAAGGCTAATAAATACCCAGCCCCTTCTAGTGTCCCGCCCCTGTGACAGGGCTGCCTCCAAAGCTCCACACCGAAGCTGCCTTGTGTCGATACTTACCATGTACCAGGATTGCACTAAGTGCTTTACCAGAAATAACTCCTAATCGTCCCAACAGCCATATGAGATAGGGACTGATATTATCCCCAACTGAATAACTGAACTGAAACAGAAAGGTTGAGACACTTGCCCCAGGACACACAGCTGACAAATGGCAGAAGTAAGACTCCCACATCAGGCAGTCTGATTCCGGAGGCCAAGGCTCTTAGCTGCCACAGCATCCACCACTCTCCCCACATCATTCTGCTCCCCCCACACCCCAACTGAGGCCGGGCCCTGTGGGTTGCAGGAAATTCACTGGTGGAAAGGAGTCATCAGCTTTCATGAATGCAAAGGCTCCAATCTACACAAGAAAAGAGCTGAAAGCCGAGGAAGCTGGGGAAGGGCCCCTCAGCCCTCCCCACCATTCTCCCTGCCCAGCCCAGGGAGCCTGTGGCACAGTGTTGTCCCCTGCCTGGACCCTATCTGTGGCCCCACAGAGCCACAGCTCCTCAGTGAGGTTCACAGGGCATCCTTTCTGACTCATCTCCCCATTCACTGACAACTCATGTTGGCTAAGCATCTACTGAGGCCCAGACCTCGTGGGACCACTTGCAAAACCAAAGAGAACCTGAGTGTCAAAAGAGGAAAAGGTCCCCACCTGCCCCAGCCACGATGACCTGCCTTCCCAAAGGCAAGACCCTTCCAGGGCCTGAAAGCCATTCCCCACCTCATCTGCCTGGGCCACTCCCAAATACACTTTGCTTAGCACATGCAGCTGGCATCAGAGCAGTCTCCCATGATGACCACTGGGACAGACAGCTGGCCACTTGTCCCTCTGGGCACCTAACACTCTGGACTGGAATCATTTGCTTAGTTTTCTGACAGCCCACTAGACTGTGAGTTCCTTGAAGGCAAGAATAATGCCTTTCATTTCTGTCTCTCCAATACCCAGGGCAGTCCTTAGCATGCCGAAGAGATTCAAGAGATGATGGGTGGATGAGTGGGTGAATAAATGGGCGGGTGGGTGGATGGATAGATGAATGAATGAGTAGGTGGATGGGTAGATAAATGGATGAATGGATGGGCAGGCGGATGGATGGATGGATGGATGGATGGGTGGATGGATGGATGGATGCATAGATGGATGGATGGATAAATGGATGAATGGATGAGTGAATGGATGGATGGATGGACAATGGACAAACGGGTAGACAGATGGACAGATGGACAGATGGATGCACGGGTGGGTGGGTAAATGAATGGAGAGATGAATGAATGGGCGAGTGGGTGGATGGTGGGGAGGAAGAGTCGATGGATGACAGGAGAATGTAAGTAGTGGTCAGAGGACACTGTGCCCAGGGCTCTATTTCAGTGTGGAATTTACTGGAGCTCAGCAACCCAGGAATCCTAGCTTTACCCCAAGTATTTAGTCTGACCCAACCATTTCCTTGCTACGTGTTTCCCCAGCCTGGCCAATCATCCCTATGTAATCACCGTCTGTCTCCTTTACCAAGCCATAGAGCAGGTGACATAATGTCCGAGACTGTGTCTGGCCTTACAATTACATGAGTCCTTCCCCGGACCTAGGCCATCTTCCCCTGGGCCTAGGCCATTCCATCACAGGCCTCGAGACATACTTGTCGAACGAATGATAAATTAACAAAAGACCTGAGAAGCTTTTCAAACATGGGGATTCCGCGGTCCCAGCCGAGATCTGCTGCTTCAGAATCTCTAAGGATGAGGCTCAGGAATTCCTATTTTGTTCAAAAGCTTCCTGGCAATTCTGACAATCAGCCAGGTTTGGGACACACCAGTGTGTGGGAAGAGGAGTCACTAGCTCTTGAAGGCTGATACTGCAGGTGAGGGCATCCAACACAGAGCCCGTCACCAACCCCAAAAGGTTAGCATGTTCCTACGCATTTTCTTTTTGTTTTTTTTGGTTTTTTTTGTTTTTTTTTTTTTGAGATGGAGTCTGGCTGTGTCACCCAGGCTGGAGTGCAATGGCACAATCTTGCCTCACTGCAACCTCCCCCTCCTGGGTTCAAGCAATTCTCCTGCCTCAGCCTCCTGAGTAGCTGGGATTACAGGTGCATGCCACCACACCCAGCTAATTTTCGTATTTTTAGTAGAGACAAGGTTTCACCATGTTGCCCAGGCTGGTCTCAAACTCCTGATCTCAAGTGATCCATCCACCTCAGTGTCCCAAAGTGCTGGGATTATAGGCCTGAGCCACTGCACTTGGCCACATTTTCTTTTTTTTTTTTTTTTTTTAAGAGATGGAGTCTTGCTATGTTGTCCGAACTGGAGGGCAGTAGCTATTCACAAGCACAATCACAGCATATTGCACCTCTTACTCCTGGACTCAAGTGATCCTCCTGCGTTAGCCTCCTGATTAGCTGGGACTATAGGCAAGTGCCGCTGTGCCCAGCCTTTCCTAAGGCTCAAAGAGTCTAACGGCCTTTTTCAAAAAGTGGTCCTTGAACTACTGACTTCAGAGTCACCTGAGTGAACGGGAGGCTTCTTTTAAATGCAGATGCTAAGCTCCTGATACCAACCTATAATACTAGAGTCTCTTGGGATGAGGCCCAAGAATCTGCCTTCTTAGCAGGCTTGTCTGGGTGACCCTGGCTCACATTAACATATGAGAATTACTAGCTCTCAGTTCCCAGGGTGCTTAGGCCACCTGCCAGTCTCCAGCACCTTCGCACACACTGCGCCTTCTGAGAGAGAAAAGTTCCTGATGGGGCAAGCCTTGGTGGACCCCAAGAAACCCAGCAAACCAGGGTGTGGCCAAAAGGTACGAAATGTACCTATTCCTCCATTACTCAGTTCACAGAACGTCAGCCCTGAAGGCAATCAACAAATCACTAAGCCCAGGCCTTCATTTCACAGATGAGGAAACTGAGGCCCAGAGAGGACTGTGCCTTGCCCAAGGTCATAAAAGGGTGAATGACAGAGCCAAGCTTACCCCCATGCTCCCAGGCCCACCCCCGTGCTCCCAGGCCCGCCCTGTGCTCCCAGGCCCCCCCCCCGCCGCCATGCTCCCAGGCCCACCTCTATGCTCCCAGGCTCACCTCCGTGCTCCCAGCCTCCCCCTGTGCTCCCAGGCCCCTCTCCGGGCTCCCAGCCTCCCCCAATGCTCCCAGGCCCCCCATATGCTCCCAGGCCCCCCTGTGTTTCCAGGCCCCCCCCATGCTCCCAGGCTCATCCCTGTGTTCCCAGGCCCACCCCCGTGCTCCCAGGCTCAACCCCGTGCTCCCAGGCTGCCCTAACCTAATTGGGAGTCTCTGCTTCTCCCTCGCCATCCTCTTTGCCTCCAAATATGCTCCCAGGTGAGCCAGCGTCCCTGGGAAGAGCCTTTGTAGGGCAGCTGCTGCTGCCCAAGACATCTCAGCCAGTCTTCCTGCCCCACAAAGGCAGGGTGGTTCCAATTACAGGAGCCTGACCTTCCTCCCAGGAAGGCTCCCGCTGTAAAGCAATGGGTGCTCCAGGGTAGAAGGGACACGACAGAAAGAAGCAAGAACAGATGCAGGTGGGGCATGGTTATGGTGCTCCTGACCCCAGAGGGGGGTTGACTGTCACAGCTCAGTAGATGTGTCCCCCAAAACTCCATAATCAGTCCACAGTGTCTGAGTTTAAAAGCTTAAACAGGCCAGGCGTGGTGGTTCACACCTGTAATCCCAGCACTTTGGGAGGCCAAGGTGGGTGGATCACCTGAGGTCAGGAGTTCAAGACCAGCCTGACCAACATGGAGAAACCCCGTCTCTACTAAAAATACAAAGTTATCTGGGCATGGTGGTGTGCACCTGTAATCCCAGCTGCTTGAGAGGCTAAGAAAGCATTTAATCCAGGAGGCAGAGGTTGCAATGAGCTGAGATCATGCCATTACACTCCAACCTAGGAGACAGAGCAAGACTATCTCAAAAAAAAAAAAAAGTAGTTTAAACAGTCCTGACAAACCACTGACACCAGTGTTGTCAATCTGTATATTTGGGGAAACATCTGTGCCCTGAAATATGTCAATAGGTGCTCATTGGGAGAAAAAAAAAAGCATTCAATACTCAAAGAACAATGGAAAACCACAGCAGAAGTCTCCCTGCTGGAGAATAACAATACTCCACATGTTAAAGGCACTGAGAAGTGCTGCAATTTCAGAATCTGCTTAAACCATGACGCAGCTAAAGGAACTTGGAGGCTAAGAGGAGTAACGTGCCTTGCCCAGAGTCATCCACCTAGGAAGAGGAGGAGGTGGGACTTGGGTACAGTCTACCCATATTGGCAACACACATGCTTAGGATTTAGCAAGATGATTCCTTTATTATTGTTGCTGTTTGTTCTTGTTCTCCTGATTGGAGAAAGAGAAGGCAAACAGCATAGTGCCTGGTCAGAAAGTCATGCCCATGAAAGTGGCCAGGGTCGGGCACAGTGGCTCATGCCTCTAATCCAGGCACTTTGGGAGGCCAAGGCAGAAAGACCGCTTGAACGCAGGAGTTTGAGACCAGCCTGGGCAACGTGGCAAAACCCCATCTCTACAAAAAAATGCAAAAACTAGCTTAGCATGTTGGCATGTGCCTGTAGCTCCAGTTACTCGGTACGCTGAGGTGGGTTGAAGGATCACCTGAGCCCAGGAAATCAAGGCTGCAGTGAGCTGTAATCATGCCACTGTGTTCCAGCCTGGGCGACAGAGCAAGACCCTGTCAAAAAAAAAAAAAAAAAAAAAAGGAAGGAAGGAAAGGAGGGAGGGAGGGAGGCTGAGGATTCAGCCTCCCAAAATCCCCTTCTATTGCTGGGTCTGGCATCATGGGCTGTGTGACCTAGGGTAAGTCCCAGCCCCTCTCTGGGACTGAGATGTCCTATGTGTGGACTAGATGATCCCTGAAAACTCTTCTAGCTCTGCTGTCTGACCCTCAGCTCCTCTGTCTCCCTCCCTGCCAGCCGCATCCTCTCTCTGCTCCCAAGTCCCCTTCTCTGTAAATAGCTGAGGCCTGCCCCCTGGGCTGGGCTCCTTGGCAAGGCTGAGCTCTGGCCAATGGTGGGCTAAGCACTGTTCCTCCCTGCCCAGCCCCTCACCATCCTCACTGTGACTCACCCATTTAGTGTTTCCAGATCTGACTCAACATCATTTCTCAAGGGCGGATGAACTGGGTGGATTTTTGCATCTAGGGCCCGGGAGAACGGGTTTTGCAGAGAGCTCCAAGTGATGGGACGTGAGGTAGAGAGGCCGTACCCACCCCCACAAGGAAGCACCTAGCAAACGTATCCTCTGCACTTCCTCTGGTCTTTGAAGTCCAGCTTTCATATACAGGTCATGCAATCACTTGACCCTTGGGAAAGTTAGCTAAACGTTTTGTGTCTCAGTTCTCACATTTAACATGGAGCTAATCATACTCGCCTCCCTGTTGAGTAGGCAAAAAAATAATTCATGATGCAGCCAGCACAGTGCCTGGCACCCAGTGGTACTCAAGTGATAGTCGTCATCATACGCTGCTATTAAGCTATATATTTTTTATTTTTTAGAGACAGGGTCTCACTCTGCTGCCCAGGCTGGAGTGCAGTGGTGCCATCATAGCTCACTGCAGCCTCAACCTCCTGGGCTCAAGCCATCTTTCCGCCTCAGCCTCCTGAGTAGCTGGGACTACAGGTGCCCACCATCATGCCTGGCTAATTTTTGTTTTTTGGCTTTTTTTTAAAGATGGGGTCTCACTATGTTGCCCAGGCTGGTCTTGAACTCCAGGGCTCAAGCGACACTCCCACCTCAGCCTCCCAAAGTGCTGGGATTACAGGCATGAGCCACCACCCTCAAACTACAGTGTGTCAAACTATAGAGGGTTCACTGAATTGTTTCCTCATCTCAGTCTCCTCGAGTCCCACAGGCAATAGAGGACAGGAAGTAGAAAAAGGTGGCAAATGTTTGACTCTTACAGATTCCTAGATAGAAACCTGAAATCTTACACTTATGAATTATTAGAATTGGTAGAGATTCTAGATTCTCAATCTACCCATCTCACAGAAGAGGAAACTGAGGCTTAGGGTAAAGGCAGGGGGCAAAGTGAAATGTTGCCCAAGCTCTTCTGGCTGGTCCAAGGAAGAAGTGGGATTAGAACCCAGGCAACTGGCTCCCAGTCCAGTCCCCCTCTGAGGCCCTGGAGGAGTGAAAGGAGCAGAAGGCCAGGAGTCTGGGATGCTGGGGTTCTGGTCCCGGGTCTGCCCCACTTGGCTGAAAGATGATGAGCCAGGGGCTGAGGCCCACTGGAGCTCCAAGTCTTCGTGATAAAACTTAAGGGGTTGTAGGGACTGGGGTGTCCCAAAGTCAAGTGGGCAGAATGCTAGTGCCCCACAGGATCCTATCAAGTGATTTGCCAAGGAAGGGACTCATGCTCAGCTGAACAAAGTTTGAAGGGGGACCACAGGGATTTCAGGGGAGGGCTCCAGAGTTAGAGGGTCAGGTTCAAATTCTGCCATTTACTAGCTGTGTGACCTGGGACAAAATATCTACCCTTTCTGTTCCTTAGCTGTGTCATCTATAAAATGAAGATAATGACCATCCATAGCTCACAAGATGACAAGGGATTGAAACAAGAGGCTGGACACGGTGGCTCACGCCTGTAACCCCAGCACTTTGGGAGGCTGAGGGGAGCAGATTACTGGAGGTCAGGAGTTTGAGACCAGCCTGGCTGATATGGTGAAACCCTGTATCTACTAAAAAAAAAAAAAAAAAAAAAAAAAAAAAAAACGAAAATTAGCCAGCTGTGGTAGCATGCACCTGTAGTCCCAACTACTTGGGAGGCTGAGGCAGGAGAATCACTTGAACCCGGGAAGCAGAGGTTGCAGTGAGCCAAGAACATGCCACTGCACTGCAGCCGGGTGACACAGTGAGATTCTATCTCAAAAGAAAAAAAAAAGATAGATTGAAACAAGATCATGCGTGGTACCTGGCACACTTCAGGCCTACAGTGGACACTGGTTATTACTTCAGTCCTATTGGTCACATTTCATATTATCTCTACAGGCGAGGGAACCAAGACTGCAGAGAGGTGAGACACCTGCCCAAAGTGACAGAGCTCATAGCACAGGGCTCTGGGAAGTGCTCCCCATCTCCCCCTCCCCTCGCCCTCTGCCTGGCATCTGCCCTTCCCAGCAGGGACTGCCTCCCTCACTGGCCTCATGTGACCTGTTAATCAAATCCTGCACCAGCCCCATGGAGTTTTCCCATCACTCATTGGGGAGGAAGCAGATGCCCAGGAAACTGCTTAAATAACCCGTGCAGCTCTGGGAAAGCCCCAGCCCTGGCTCCCAGCAGCAGCCCAGCTCCTCCTGCCCAGAAGCACCAACTGTTCTCTGAGACTGCAAAAAGGCAATGTTTAAAGCCACACGGGGACTGTGGACGGTGACCTTCAACTCAAGCCTCCAGTGAGCCGCTCCCTGGGGTTACTCACCATCCGCTTCCACCCCTGGGACTGTGGTTGTTTTAGTTAGAAGACCAGTCCCAGCCTGGATGACCTGGCACGCTGGGAGACCTCAGGCAAGTTGCTTAACCTCTCTGACTCGGAAATCTTTTTGGAAGAGAAAAATGAGCAGAATTTGGGAAGGAGTAAGGAAGCAGCAGGGTTCAGAGAATGACCTAGGAATCGAGAGCCTTTTAACAGCCTTGAAAGCTCTCCCTGGTAACTCTTCTGTCCCTTGCAGCCCAATCTCTACCCCAAACAAAAAGTTCTAATCCCGTCATCCCCTAGCTTGAAACAGTTGACTGGCTCGCAGGGCCCACAAGATAAAGTACAAGCCCCTAGTACAATGGACAGAGCTCCTGAGCAGCACCCTCCTGCACCCTCCCTGACATGGCCCTGCTATTCCCTCCCCTGAGCCTTGGCACATGCCTGGATGCCTCCTGCTTCCTGACCTAACTCTGCCTTTTCCACTGCTTGGCTTGGACACTCCCCTGGGAAGCCTCCTCGGAGTCCCTCCACCTGCATCAGGCACCGCCCACCCTTCAGCTGTTGCCCATCCACCTCCCTCACCAGATTAAGGGGCGCCACACCTTACTCATCTTGGAATCTCCAGTTCCTTGCCCAGTGCACAGCATTCAGTAGGTGCTTAGTAAATATGTGTTGGGAGGAGAGGAATGCAAGGACAGACAAATGAAAACAAATGAACAAAACCACAAGCTTTGGAATCCTCCTCTGCAACACGGGAATGCCGTGGGCAAACGAGGTGGACTGCCCCCCTTGGTGTGAATCCTCACTCCCTACACAGTCGTGCACCTGCTGGCAGGTGCACTGGGTCACCTCCGGGCCTCTTTCCGCTTCGATAAGGTGAGACGCTTAATAGCACCTGCACCTCACAGACTTATCGTGAGGACCAGGGGCCGATCCTCCCCAGGTGTTTAGTTCAGCACCTGGCACTAAAGGTAAGTTCCTTGCACCCATCTTCCCCTAGCTCCCAGGCTGCCTGCCCTGGCTCCTCCTCCTCCACCAGACTATAAATATAAGAGCTCCCAGAGCTCACCTCCCTGTGGAGGGATCTCTCCTCTGAATTGTCTCTCTGGGTGGTCACACCTGTCCCCTTTATATGTTAAGGATGCCCAAGTTTGCATCTCCAGCCCAGAGGCCCTCACTACCCCCTTGGACTTCTTTGGGGTTTTTTGGCTTTTTTTTTTTCGTTTTTGAGATGGAGTTTCACTCTCGTTGCCCACACTATACTGCAATGGCACAGTCTCAGCTCACTGCAACCTCCACCCTCCTGGGTTCGAGCAATTCTCCTGCCTCAGCCCCTGAGTAGCTGGGATTACAGGCGCCCGCCACCACACCTGGCTAATTTTTGTATTTTCAGTAGAGATGGGGTTTCACCTTGTTGCCCAGGCTGGTCTCAAACTCCCAACCTCAAGTGATCCTCCCGCCTTGGCCTCCCAAAGTGCTGGGATTACAGGCGTGAGCCACTGTGCCCGGCCTACCCCCTTGGACTTCTAACCAGCCTTTCAATGTGAACCTGCCCCAAACCTAACCCTTGGTTTCTCCAAAAGCCATGCTCCTCACTCCCTCTTAACCGTCTCCTTTCATGACACCACCACTCACTCAGAGACTCAAAAGAAGAATCTAGAAGTCATGCTCAGTTCTTCTCTTTCCCTCACCCCTGTGTACAATCCACCAGAAATTCCAGTTGATTCCAGCTGATATATAACCCAAACCCCAGACTTTTCTCCTATTCCACTGCCAAATGGGAACCTTTCCTTGCCTTTCCTCTGGTTCCCAGCTCCACCCCTCCACCCTGGCTCTCTACAGCCAGTTCTCCTCCCAGCAGACATGGGATCTTTTGCAAAGGTAAATCAGTCCCTCCCTGCCCTTGACCCTGCAAATGTTCGTAGTCTTGTTTGCTGGACCATGGGTTATTGGAGCGTAAAACTTCACCATATCTTTGTACCCATCCATCACCCCACAGCACTGAGTCAAGTGCTTCCACATCATAGGCACTTGGTAAATTATTTTTGAATAAATTATTGGAAAAAGGTGAATTTCTTAACAGAGTTTTTACTAGCTGGAATCTTGGAACTATATTTCATTAGTAAAGGTATTTATGGGAAGTGGAAAACAAACCTCCGATGGTTTCCTTTTGCACCTAGAGTAACAGTCCTAACTAACATGGCCTCTTCCACACCCTCCTAAACAGGCCAAGTTCATCTGGCCTCAGGGCTTTTGCATTTGCTGTAGCTCCTACCCGGAATACTTTTCCCTCAGATCCTTGCAGGGGGAGCTCCTGCTTGTCATTCAGGTCTGGCTTAAATGTCTCTCTTCAGAGAGGCCTCCCTGACCACCTGCAGCTAACGAATCCTGTACCCCCACCCCCACATACACCCTCTCTACCCCTCATCCCCAGTTATCACCATCCACCAGTCTGTTTCCTTCACAGGACTTAATGCATAACATGTGGTTACTTTATAAATTTGATGTGTTTGATTTTTGTCTCCTCCACCATCATATAAGACTCACGAGGCTGGGCACCGTGGCTCACACCTGTAATCCCAGCACTTTGGGAGGCTGAGGTGGGAGAATCACTTGAGGTCAGGAGTTCGAGACCAGCCTGGCCAACATAGTGAAACCCCATCTCTACTAAAAATACAAAACTTAGCCAGGTATAGTGGCAGGCGCCTGTAATCCCATCTACTCAGGAGGCTGAGGCTGGAGAATCGCTCGAACCCAGGATGCAGAGGATGCAGTGAGCCAAGATCATGCCATCACACTCCAGCCGGGGTGACAGAGCAACACTCCATCTCAAAAACAAAAACAAAAACAAAACCACCAGGGCAAGGTTAATGTCAGCTTACTCACTGTTGTAACTGAAAAGGATCAGAATATGCCATCCCAGGGCCAGAAGTGGTGGTTCACACCTATAGTCCCAGCACTTTGGGAGGCTGAGGCAGGAGAATCATTTGAGGTCAGGAGTTCAAGACCAGCCTGGCCAACATGGTGAAACCCTGTCTCTACTAAAAATACAAAAATTAGCTGAGTGTGGTGGTGCGCACCTGTAATCCCATCTACTCAGGAGGCTGAGGCTGGAGAATTGCTTGAACCCAGGAGGCAGAGGATGCAGTGAGCCAAGACCATTGCACTCCAGCCTGGGCAACAGAGCAAGATGCTGTCTCAAAAAAAAAAAAAAAAAAAAAAAAAGAATTATTTTGAGCTCAAGGTACTTGAGCAGCAGCCAATACAGGAAGAGCTCTTTGCCTCCCCTTTTCTGCCTAAAAGCAGGGCACACATTTCCCTTTGTAAAGGTGACATAAATTTCCATTTGCAAAGGTGTACCCCTCTACCTTACTTTATCTGCATAACAAACCTTACTAAACCACCCTTATCTACCATACATTTCCTAGTCACTTTCCTGAAATTTACTGACCCCTAAGAGTCCAATACTTTTCTTTTGTCTCCTCACTTCTCCACAATTTATCGCCCTTTGTTAAAATGTTACGTAAGCTCCTGGGTCTAACTGCCTCTTTGGATTTTCATTTCTTTTCTATGGAGACCCCTTACAGTAAAAAAATACATATATATAGTAACATTAAATAAAATCTATATGCCTTTTCTCCTATTAATCTGTCTTTTGTCAGTTTAATTCATAGGCTCTATCACAGAACCTAACAGGGTAGAAGAAAAGATATTCCTCCCCTACATGACAAAAGCCAACATTACTAAGCTTTGACCTGGGCCACGCAATATCATGAGCATCCTACCTGCCCTTTCTTGTCAAATCTCCATGCCTTATGACACAGCTACTAGTGTTATCCCTATTCCACAGATGAGAAAACAGATAAGAGAAGGGTCAAGTGAGTTGCCCAAGGCCCAACATAGAAAGAGCCCCAGCAGGGAGCAGGGTACCCCTCTACTCCCAGCGTCTACTCCCAGAACCCAACACAGCCTCTCCCTTTGTGGGCCCTAAATAGATACTTGCCAAATGAGTAAATGAATCACTGAATACATGAATGATATGCACCACAATATTGAGAGAGGCTGTCTTCAGGTGGCAAAATGATTTCCATTTTCTTCTCTCTGTATTTTCTCTGTGTTTTCTTCAGTGGTCATGCGATACATGTATAACTTAAAGTAAAACAAATGCCTGTTTTAAAAGAAATTCAAAGGTTGTGGGTAATGTCTAGGTTCAGGAATATTTTTCTTCAATTTCGGGAGACTGTTATTTTCCTACTTAATTTAACCATTGTTTTTCTAGGGAAATTGAATAAAAAGCCCACATTTCCAAAGCTCACTCCAAGTCTGCCCACTTCAAACAATGAAGAGAGGGGAGTAATGAGAGCTGGCTCCCGCCTTGTATGCTAATGGCCGGGATTCTGGGATGCATACCAATCAGCCAGCGACTAGAACCAGGACTTTTACAGAGAGGAGGGCACTCTGGGGCCAGGCTCTCAAGGAGAAAGAGGGGTTCCAAAACTCAGAAATGCCACCTCATCTTGGGCCCAACATGCCAACATGGGCTGGCACCATCACAAACCACCTGCACTGCCCTGGACTGGGGATGTATCTGCAAGAAGGTGGTGTTGGGGCCTGGTCTGAGACCATCCTCTCAACCAACAGGCCAGTGGGAAGATGAACCCCATGGCAGGGAGCTCAGTGCTGGCTCTAACCAAGAGGTGGGCAGACCCTGGGCCTGTGGCCAAGTGGTCAATTATCCTTCCCCATTTTCCATAGCATATGGGCACTGCTGCTAGGGGCTGTCAAAGGCACAGCCGGGCCAGGCCCTGGGAGGGTTGGCGCTGCTCAAGGAAAGACACAAGAGTGGAGAGGCAGGACTCCGGGGCGAGCAGAATGTGGTGCTTCTAACTCTTGGTTGCTCAACCCTGGGCAAGTTCAATGGAGGCAAAACAGAGATAATGATGCACCCCACCTCTTGGAGTAGCTGAGAACTGAGAAAGCTCCCACGAGCCATGCACTACCAAGGTGCCTGCCACTCTGCAATTATGAGCCATTAGTATTAGCTCTTTCCTGACACCAGGCCTAGGGAGCCCGTGTGGGTACCAGAATTCTATTCTCATCCTTGCCCCTGAGCCACAAGGTAACAAACCCAGCTATGACCAGACTGGGCCTTGCCAACACTGAATTAAAAAAACATACATTAACTCCGAACTAAGAAAGGCAAAGTGTGCTGAGATTCCAGGCATGTGATGAATCTCTCCCTCCCCTCCTCAAAGGGAAAAGGAAAACCGCATAAAGGAGGGGAGCACGGGACTGCAGAAAGATCTCAGGGCCTGCCGGGTTCAAATCCTGCCACTTACAAACACAGTGCCCTTGGATAAGTCTCTGAGACTCAATTTCCTCATCGATAAGATCGGAAAATAGGACGTACTTGCAGGATCGGCATGGAAATTAAATGAATTGATGCATGAAAAATATCTGGCACCTATAGGCATAAAGTCAAAATCAGTTGCCTTTAAGCAAACAAGTTCTCAATTATCTGCCTAAATGAAGGACAGAAGCAGCTTTTCTGGTATCAATTAGCAATGGGGGGAGAACAGGAGACCCCTCTTCCCAATTAAGTTTTGTGCTTGATATTAACATGGATTTTTTTTGAGAATCCACCAGCCACAGATGCAGGGGCTGGAAGACCAGCAAGCTTCAGGGACAGCAGGAAACTACCAAGAAACCTCAAAGATTTTTAGGGAAGCAGGGTGATCCACACAGCACAAGGCCCCTGACAGGTGAGGTTTGTCAGATTTCCTTTGCTGGCACCCAGATGATGCTGTGCCTCCTGACTTGAGGAAGGTTCAATGCTTCCCCTACTCTGTTTCAAGCCCTGCAGACTTTTGATTCACCTGACACCAGAGCCAGACTGAACTCTCAATAATTCATGCCTCTGAGCCTTTGCACATGCCATTCCTTCTGGGTGGAGAAAACACACATTAACTCCCCTGGGTAGAAGGAGCAGCATGTGCAAAGGTTCAGAGGCATGAATTGTTCCCCTCTCCCTACCCCATTCCCCTGCTACACTCCGCACATCCCTCCACTGTATGTAACATGTGCACATGTCCATCTTCCAACCAGAGATCACAGGATGTACAAGAGCAACCGTCTGCCTCTACTCTCTCATGCAGGTCCTGAATCCATATGGACAGGTCATGCCCACTGTTGCCTATGTCAGCTCTAGCCACCCATGTCCTGGACATCACAACTCCACAAGCCCCAAGCTACTTAATTTGTCCACGGTCTGTCCTCAGACACCACTGCTGCTTTTCCTCCCAGATGCCTGAGTCATCCTGAATAGGGTTACTCAATGGCAAAGTCAGCTCTCAATTAACTGAATTTCCTCCTTGTCCCATTTCCTCTCTTCCTGGTGCATGGTAACAACTCACTTGCTGGAATGGAGAGCTCCTGTGATTTGAGGGCAATTTACAACCTCTATCACCAAAGCAGGCCCTGCCCAGCAGCTGCCCCTCAGCAATGAGGACACTAAGATCAGTCCTGGAGCGCCATCACACCAAAATGTAAGTTCAAAGGGAGGGACTGAGTTGCTCATTGCTGGATTCCCAGTGGTGTGCTGGTAAACAGGCTCTTCAGGGGAAAAGATTCTGATTTGCAGTGTTTGCCAATTTCTGTGATATAAATACTCTCACTCTGGCCAATTTCAAGCTGCCAATGTGACATCACTGAATGGAGTTGAGATATGCAGTAGCACACCACTACGTACATTACACACACACCCACACCCACACTCACACCCCTTGATATGGTTTGGCTGCGTCCCCACCCAAATCTCATCTTGAATTGTAGCTCCCATAATCCCTGCATGTCATGGGAGGGACGTGGTGGGAGGTAATTGAATCACAGGGGCAGGTTTTCCCCATGCTGTTCTCATGATAGTGAATAAGTCTCCCAAGACCTGAAGGTTTTATAAAGGACAGTTCCCTTACACAGGCTCTCTCGCCTGCCACCATGTAAAATGTGCCTTTGCTCCTCCTTCGCCTTCTACCATGATTGTGAGACCTCCCCAGCCATGTGGAACTGTGAGTCCATTAAATCTCTTTTTCTTTACAAATTACCTAGTCTCAGGTATTTCTTCATAGCAGTATGAAAATAGCAGTATGAAAAAGAACTAATACACTCCCCAACGCACACACACACAAAGCAGCAAATAACCACAAAAGCACAGGTAATAATAGAATAAAATAATTAGGAAAAAAATTGAGTATTTATTACTTTATAAAATATAATTTACAGGCTGGGCATGGTGGCTCACGCCTGTAATCCCAGCACTTTGGGAGGCTGAGGTGGGCAGATCACCTGAGGTCAGGAGTTTGAGACCAGCCTGGCCCACATGGTGAAACCCCGTCTCTACTAAAAATACAAAAATTAGCCGGGAGTAGTGGTGCACGCCTGTAGTCCCAGCTACTCGGGAGGCTGAGGCATGAGAATCGCTTGAACGTGCGTGGGAGGCAGAGGTTGTAGTGAGCCGAGATCATGCCATTGCACTCCAGCCTGAGCAACAAGAGCCAAAACTCCATCTCAAAAAAAAAATTATTATATATATATATACACACATATATATGTATAAAATTTATGGCCAGTCACAGTGGCTCATAATTGTAATTCCAGCACTTTGAGAGGCTGAGGCAGGTGGACCACCTGAGGTCAGCAGTTCAAGACCAGCCTGGCCAACATAGTGAAACCCCATCTCTACTAAAATACAAAAAATTAGCCAGGTGTGGTGGCAGGCACCTGTAATCCCAGCTACTGTAATCCCAGAGGCTGAGGCAGGAGAATCACTTGAACCCAGGAGGTGGAGGTTGCAGTGAGCAGAGATCACGCCACTGCATTCCAGCCTGAGCAACAAGAGTGAAACTCCATCTCAAAAATATATAATAGCAGCCAGGCGCGGTGGCTCATGCCTGTAATCCCAGCACTTTGGGAGGCTGAGGCAGGTGGATCACCTGAGGTCAGGAGTTTGAGACCAGCCTGGCCAACATGGTAAAACCCCGTCTCTACTAAAAATACAAAAATTAGCTGGGCGTGGTGGCAGGCACCTGTAATTCCAGCTACTGAGGGGGCTGAGGCAGGAGAATCACTTGAAACCAGGGGGCGGTGGTTGCAGTGAGCTAAGATTGTACCATTTCACTCCAGCCTGGGCAAAAGAGTGAGACTCCATCTCAAAAAACAAACAAACAAACAAACTATATATATATAATTTACTTAATGATGAATGTATACACTCAAAAAAAATTTTTTTTTTTGAGACGGAGTTTTACTCTTGTCCCCCAGGCTGGAGTACAATGGCACAACCTCGGCTCACTGCAACCTCCGCCTCCTGGGTTCCAGCAATTCTCCTGCCTCAGACTCCCGAGTAGCTGGGATTACAGGCATGGGCCACCACACCCAGCTAATTTTTGTATTTTTAGTAGAGATGGGGTTTCACCATGTTGGCCAGGCTAGTCTCGAACTCCCGACCTCAGGGGATCTGCCTGCCTTGGCCTCCCAAAGTGCTGGGATTACACGCATGAGCCATCGCTCCTGGCCTCAGAATTTTTTATAATGGTTGTGTTTAACAACCGGCTCATAAAATTCCTAAAATTTAGCAATCAGCTCTTATGTGTAGGTGTGAGCTGGCTCCCAACTCACCACTGCCCAGGACCCGGCAGAGGCTCTGTAAGGACCAGTCACTCCTGGGAATGTCATCAGACCAGGGTCCTGAATGAAAATGGCTCTGATGCCCTCCACTGAGGTAGAGAGAAGAAGAACTCTCTGGGACACTGCAAGGAAGGAGCTGAGCTGGGCCCAAGGTGGCACCATGGGGCGGAACAACTCTGGCACACTCAGTTGTTAAAGAGCCTGATTCTCTCCTGGACTTTAGACCCCTTGAGGGCAAGAACAGTGGCCCATTCACCCTTGTCTAGCCGGGTGACAGGAATACAAAAGGCACTGGAGACAGTTGTGCAGAAGAAAGCAAGGACTGAGTGGCCAGGGAGTCCCAGGCTGAGTGCTGGCGCCTTCGCTGACTCGCTTCAGCAGTGACCTTCGACAGTCACTTAAATGCTGTATGCTCAGCTTCCTCATCTGTAAGATGGATATGAACCCATCTCCCTGCCTAACTACTAGGGTGTTGTCAAAACAAAGAGATAGCAGATATGAAAGTACAATATAAATCCACGTTATTATCTTATCATGGCATATATATCATTTACTTTATCTTTTCAAAATTAATCATAGAAGATTACATGTATTCTTTCCACTCTGTTCCTTCTCAGTGTGTAAGAGGTACATGCTTAAAGCATCTAGCCCAACACCTGGCACTCAGCATATACTATAAATGTCTGTTAATTAATATACTATTTCCCCAAGTAACAGTACACTTTTCTCATATATATAATTAAGACAGGGTCTCCCTCTGTCACTTAAGCTGTAGTACGGTGGCACAATCACAGCTCACTGCAGCCTCGAACTTCCAGGCTCAAGTGATCCTCCCATCTCAGCCTCCTGAGTAGCTGGGACTACAGGCGTGCACCAGCACATCCAACTAATTTTTAAAATTTTTTGTAGAGACATGTTCTCTTGTGTTGCCCAGGCTGGTCCCGAACACCTGCGCTCAAGTGATCCTCCCACCTGAGGCTCCTAAAGTGCTGGGATTACAAGCATGAGCCACCATGCTCAATCTTCTTCTTTTCTTTTCTTTTTTTCTTTTGAGATAGAATCTCATTCTGTTACCCAGGCTGGAGTGCAGTGGCACAATCTTGGTTCACTGTAACCTCCGCCTCCCGGGTTCAAGCGACCCTCCCACCTCAGCCTCCCAAATAGCTGGGATTACAGACGTGCACCACCACACCCAGCTAATTTCTGTTTTCGTTTTTGTTTTGAAATGGAGTTTCACTCTTGTCACCCAAGCTGGAGTGCAATGGTGCGATCTTGGCTCACTGCAACCTGCACTTCCCGGGTTCAAGCGATTCTCCTGCTTCAGCCTCCCGAGTAGCTGGGACTACAGGCATGTGCCACTATGCCCAGCTAATTTTATATTTTTAGTAGAGATGGGGTTTCACCATGTTGGCCAGGCTAGTCCTGAACTCCTGACCTCAGGTAATCCGCCCACCTCAGCCTCCCAAAGTGCTGGGATTACAGACATGAGCTACTGAGCCTGGCCATAATTTTTGCATTTTTAGTAAAGACAGGGTTTCACCATGTTGGCCAAGCTGATCCCGAACTCCTGACCTCAAGTGATCCACCCAACTTGGCCTCCCAAAGTGCTGGGATTACAAGGGTGAGCCACCACACCCAACCTCCTCTTATACTAACCTGGTACCTGGGCCCCAGAGCAGTACACCAGCTTTCGCCCCTCCCCAGACTACTCCAGAGTTAAAACTTGAAACAGAATTTGGGAACCATTAGTTATTGGACATTCATTTATTCAGCAACTATGTGTAGAGCACCCACTATGCACCAGGCACTGTTCTGAGCTGTGATCAAGGACAGACATGGCCCCTGTTCCACTGGAAGACTGAAAAAAGCCCCCCGCCCCCACAACTGGGGCAGGAACCCTCAGAGCACTGTGGCTACCCTGGCTCACTGGAGAGGAAGTAGCTCCCGAGTGAGAAATGAAAGAGGTGAAGGATGGGACCCACTTCCTGGATAGAGAGAACAGCCCACAGAGGCTCTTTGGTGGAAGGGGAAGGGACAGGGGGCCTCAGGAAGGCAAGCGCCTGGGGACAGAGCGAGCATCAGATTCGGGCACCCCAGGAAGCCTTCCTTACAGGAGGGTTCTGAGCTTCAGCCTGAGGGCCCGATGAAGGGGAAGGGCAGTCCCCAGCCCACAGTCACAGGGAGCTTGGAGATTTCCGGAGGCTGACCTGCTTTCTAGTCTGTGTGTCCAGGGCCTGAACACCGTGGGGGGCACAGTGCTGGGCGGATGCTGGGAAGAGCTATGCATTCTAATGAGCCCGCACAACCTGCCCTCTCTCCCCAGAACCCGAGGAGGAGCAGATGGGGCTCCCGGCAGGTGGGGCGTGGCTTCCCAGTAGCATCCTTAAGGGAGGCCAAGGACTCTGGGGCAGAAACTGAGCTCCAAAGCCAGTGGGAAAGTGCAGCCCACCAGCCACCACCTCTCTACTTGGCACTGATGCAACGCAGGGCCTCCTGGCTTTCAGGGCCAAAGGAAGATTCGAGACCCCCGCCCCAGGGCCCCGCTTTGGCAGAGGGAGGAAGAATTGTCCCCATGCCCCCTACAGTCAGGCCTGCTCTCCCTCTCGGAGGCCATCCCAGCGACTCCAGGGGGGCTGGTCTTCATCTAGGGCCCTCCCTGACATATATCCCTGTTCCAGGGAGGATCCGGGACTGGCGGCTCCGCAGCCACGGCCTCCGGCTGACCCGGCATCCTCTCCTCCCACAGTCTCCTCCTGCAGGAGGCCGTCCCGTTCCGCCTCTGGGCGGGGGTCCAGGGTGGGAGAGGCTGACTCACCACAGAGGCGACAGGGGCACTCCCTGACTTCACCCGATCCCAGGGACCCCCAAGGTCAGCGCAGGAAGAAGTGGACCACAGGGGAAAGTGAGGCACAGGGTGGGGGTGGGGGTTCCCAAACTGTCCTGACTCCAGCCGGCTGGAGGCCACACACACACACAAGCTGAAGCACAAAGGCCACTCGCCCTAGTAACACCAGAACTCCAGTGACACAAGGAGAGACCCACACAGAGGGGAGACGCGGGCTCGGGGCTCTCACACCCAGACACAGGGACACAGCGGCGGACACGGCCCCCGCCCGCCCACGGCGACACGCCCAGGACACCCGGAGGACCCTGGCGCCTGGAGCGCCTCCCGCGCACTCGCAGACTCCGGCACACGCGAGGATCCCGCGGAGGCAGGGCCCCCGCGCTCACTCACCCACCTCGGCTGCCCGGGCCCGCGCCTTTGTCGTCCGCGCCGCTCACAAAGGCGCCTGGCGGCCGGCGCCGCGCCTCCAGCTCCGCAGGCCGCCGCGGGCGCCCATGGCCGGGACGGCGCCCCCACCGCCGCAGCCGCCGCCACCCGAGCCAATGGCCGCGCCGCCCGCCCGCCCGCGAGGTCCGGGCCCGCCGGGACTGCGCCCGCGCCCGCCGCGCTCCGAGGCCTGGTCCCGCCGCCGCCGCCGTGCGCGACGCGGCGCCGCCCCCGCCCGCCCGGTCCCGGGGCGCCGCGGCTGAGGTCACCGCTTAACCCCTGGTGGCCGGGGCAGCGGCCGCCGCGCCCCCTCCCTGCTCCCAGCGCGCCGCGAGGGAGACGTGGCCTCCCCCGACCCGCTGCGAGCCCCCAGCGGTCCCGGCAGCCCACCGGCCCCCCACAGTACAGGGGGGAAACTGAGGCCCGCGGGGATGGGGCCCGGCCCCGGCCACACGGCGACCTCCTCGCTCCTTCACCTACCCCGGGGTCCCCACTTCCCGCCTCCCGGTTCTCCTTCCCCGGTTCTCCGCGGGGAGACCCCGCAGGCGCGCAGGGTGCTGGCTTCTCCTCCCCCACTTCAACATTTTGCCCTGAGGTTCCCCCAAAAGGGTGAGAATCCTGGACCGGCCCCAGGGGAAACCCTAGACTTATGACCTGCCCCTCAACCAGTCTTGGCGGCCCCGTATTGCCCCCCACCCCCGCCATGGCAACATGGGGAACCTTGCAGCCATGCAGCCAAACCTCCAAGAACAACCCTGGCGGGTTCAGGCATTGACGGCTTTGAGACCGGCAACACCCCAGTGATGTAGCCCCATTTTCCCTAGGAGAAAACTGAGGCTCAGAACTGAGAGTAACTTGGCAAAGCTCACTGAGCAGCAAAGTGCTGAGACTGAGATCCTAGCATTCCCCTGCCTTTGCAGCTCCAAAGCTGCCAAACACTAGGTACTCCCTCCTGAAATTCCAAAGAGGGCCTCTGGATATGATGCAATTAATTACAGTTATCAGGTCATTAATTAAGATTATCCGCGTTGTTGTTAAACACTCCCCCGCTACCCCTCTATTTGCAAGGAAATTCACACGCGGGCTTATCAGCAATTACTCCTGGGTTGATAATGATAAGTTCTGCAGCCTCCAAAGGGTACAGGTGCACGTAGGTTGAAATCATTTTCAGCTTGTGTTCCTTACAGCCCACAGCCAGCAAAAACTTTTTTTTTTTTTTTTTTTTAACTACTCCCTATTTGTCAGGCACCAGCCTCAGGGGCTACCAGTGAGACAAAGAACCAGACAGACCCCAGCCCCGCCCCCTCGGAGCTCATAGGCTTAGGAGAAGACGCAAATAAACAAACGGCTACAGTGCAGTGAGACAAGCCACACAGGCCACGCACTGAAATCATCTTATTCACCGACTTGTTGGTTTGTTTATTGTCCCTCTCGACACAAGAACATAAGCACCACAGAGTTGTCCTGAGCCCCAGGCTAGGGCAACACTGGCTCATAGTTTAAGTAGGCAGGAGATATTCTTTGAGCATTTTTGCTCTGTTCCAGACATCGTTCTAGGCACGCAGGAGACACCAGTGAACACAACAGGCACGGCCCCTGCCCTGCTGTGAATAAATGATGGCAGGACAGCAGACAGGAGAGGTTTGGGGATGCTAGCAAAGCAGGAAGAAGACTTCAGATGTCCATTGAGTGACCTCAGGCTCATGGCATTAAGCTTTGGACCAGAAATGGACTTTTGAGTCCTGCCGTCATAGCCAGAGCCAAGTACACATCCCAGACCAGCATCGCGGTCTTTCACAGTGTACTCCAACCCCTTCCTTGGCTATGTTTTTTTTCTTTCTTTGTTTTTTTTTAAGAGACTGGGTCTTGCCCTGTGGCTCAGGCTGGCACAATCAGCTCACCGTAACCTCAAACTCCTAGGCTCAAGCAATCCTCCTGCCTCAGCCTGCAAGTAGCTGGCACTACAGGTGCGGGCATGGTGGTGCCTGTAGTGCCTATATTGCCAGGTAGCCATGCCTGGCTCATTTTTTTTTTCTTTTCTTTCTTTTTTTTTTTTTTTTTTTTGTAGAGATGGTGGTCTTACTATGTTGTCCAGGCTGGTCTTGAACTCCTGGGCTCAAGAGATCATCCCATCTTGGCCTCCCAAAGTGCTGGGATTACAGGTGTGAATCACCGTGCCCGGCCTTCTTTATTGTCTTATTTCCCATCTGATCCTGAAATGTCTGACGCCTCCAGCTCAGGATGCCCCTTACCTTCTTTGGTTGTACTAAGTCTTACCCTCCTGTCTGAGAACCAACACAAGGCCCAGAATCTCCAGGAGGCCTTTTCACATGGCCTCCTCCATTCCCTGACCTCTCCCTCCTCTGAGCTCTATAGCACCTAGTCCTTTTGTTGTAAGTTGGCTCTGGGTGCATAACTGATTTGACCCATCTAGCTTGAGGGCAGCTATGATACAGCCTTGAGGGCAGGGGCCATGCCCCAGACCCCCGTTGTGCCCTCAGAGCCCAGCACAGGTTAGGGGCACACTCTTTAGAGGATCGTAATGGATTCTAAAGGACACCCTAGAACCCTTATCAATATAACCCTCTGGGTCTAGGGTTCCAAACCACCTGCTCATAAAACAAATTGAGTCTGCAGAAGCATTTTGTTTTGCCCACAGTGGTTTTGTTGTTGTTAGTTGCCATCATTTAATCATTGGGAGATTTCCCATAAAAAGTCAGATTGCAGCCAGGAGCAGTGGCTCATGCCTGTAATCCCAGCACTTTAGGAGGCCAAGGCAAGAGGATTGCTTGAGGCCAGGCATTTTAGACCAGCCTGGGCAACATAGGGAGACCCCTGTCTCTACAAAAATAAAATAAAATAAAATAAAATAAAATAAAAATCTAGCCAGATGCGGTAGTGCATGCCTATAGTCCCAGCTACTCAGGTGGCTGAGGTGGGAGGATCACTTGAGCCCAGGAGTTTGAGGCTGCAGTGAGCCATGATCCCACCGCTGCACCCCAGCCTAGGCAACAGCATGACTCTGTCTCTGAAAAAAAAAAATTAAAAGCCAGATTTCTAGCTTCTCTTAACAAATCGGAAGATCTGATAATGCCAGGTCCACATTCCCCCAGGGCCACACTCTGCAGGGCCCCAGGAGTGGTGGCCCTTTAGACACAGCTGTGCTCTCCACTTGTCAACGTCACTCGCAGCCCTCTGTCACTCCTCTGATTTAAGGCCCCTCCTCTGTGATAGTGTTTTGATTTCATTTTCCCTCTACTCTCCACTCTGGCGAGAAAGAGTGACATCACAAAACATATGCTGGAAAATAAATAAACCTGCAGCCCTCACAGTCCAGGCCAGCCCTCAGCAGGCCACATCTTCACGTATTCTTGCCCTCTTGACATGCACCCGCCTCTTCACTCTCACTTCCCCAGAAGCACATTCTTGTTTTTCTTTTTTGGTGATAGAGTCTTGCTCTGTCATTGAGGCCAGTGTGCAATGATGTGATCTCAGCTCACCGCAACCTCCGCCTCCCAGGCTTAAGTGACCCCCCTACCACAGCCTCCTAACTGAGACTACAGGTGTGCACCATCATGCCCCGCCAATTTTTGTATTTTTTTGTAGAGATGGGGTTTCACCATGTTGCCCAGGCTGGTCTTGAACTCCTGGGCTCAAGTGATTCTCCTGCTCTGGCCTCCCAAAGTGCCGGGATTACAGGTGTGAGCCATTGTGCCCTGCCCCAGCTGCACACTCTAAGCTCCACAGCACAAATGAATGCACAGGTGTTTCTCTGAGCCTTTGCCCTCGGCTGGAATGCCCCTGACTACTCCATCCCCCAGACACTATGGTTAACTGCTTTTTAGTGCTGTCAACATAAACAGCACCTTCTCAGGGAGCTCCTTCCAAGGACGGCCACACTGGGCCCCAGGCCCCTACCTGCAGCCTGCATTCCCTGGTCAGTGTGCCCAACCTACCACATGTGGTGGCATGTTTGCCCCATGTCTCCCCCCCGGACTGTGAGTCCACGGAGGCTGGACTCTGTTGTCTCATTCCGGGTGGTATCCCCAGCACCTGCTCCAGAACCTGGTGCAGCATAGACACGAGACAAATATGTGCTGAATAGATGAGTGGATGGGTTTCAATAGCCACAAAAGGAACAAAAAGGATTTCTGGGAACATTTCCATGTCCCAGAACATTCAATTAACCAGAATTACCCACTCACTGAGCACTCTGGTGAGGGCAGGATTTATTGTGTAAGCAAAATCATCAATGATACATTACATCTGGATGGGACTCAGGAGTCTGTCCTCCTTGTCTCCGCTGCTGACCTGGGAAAGAGAGAATGAGGGCATACAGGGGTGGTATTTCCCTGGTCAGAGAGGTTAGGTGACTTGTCCAAGATTGCTCAGCAATCTGGTGGCAAAGCCAAGATGGGGACCCAGGGCCCCCGCCGCTGCCTCCCAGTCTGGCCCCGCTCCCACCAGTCAGCTCCATAGTGCAGGGGTCCCCAACCCTCAGGCCATGGATCAGAACCAGGCTGTGGCCTGTTAGGAACCAGGTCACACAGCAGGAGGGGAGTGGCAGGTAAGCAAGCTTCATCTCTATGTATAGCCATGCCCATCACTCACATTACCACCTGAGCTCTGCTTCCTATCAGATCAGCAATGGTGGCATTAGATTCTCAGAGGACCACAAGCCCTGTTGTGAACTGTGCATGTGAGGGATCTAGACTGCGCGCCCCTTATGAGAATCTAATGCCTGATGATCTGTCAGTGTCTCCCATCACCCCCAGATGGGACCATCTGGTTGCAGGAAAACAAGCTCAGGGCTTCCACTGATTCTACATTATGGTGAGTTGTATAATTATTTCATTATATATTACAATATAATAATAGAAATAAAGTGCACAATAAATGTAATGCGTTTGAATCATCCCAAAACCATCCCCCCACCCCATCCATGGAAAAATTGTCTTCCACATCCCCGAAACCAGTTCCTGAGGCCAAAAAGTTTGAGGGCCTCTGCCATAGTAGATCAAACAGAAAGTGGCCCGGCATGGTGGCTCACACCTGTAATCTCAGCACTTTAGGATGCCAAGGCAGATGGATCATCTGAGGTCAGGAGTTTGAGACCAGCCTGGCCAACATGGTGAAACCCTGTCTCCACTAAAAATACAAAATTAGCCAGGCATGGTGGCACATGCCTGCAATCCCAGCTACTAGGGAGGCTGAGGCAGGAGAATCACTTGAACCCAGGAGGCAGAGGTTGCAGTGAGCTGAGATTGTGCCACTGCACTCCAGCCTGGGCAACAGAGCAAGACTCCTTCTCAAAAAAAAAAAAAAAATCAGAAAATGGGTGGGCCAGGCATGGTGGCTGGCCAGGCACCATGACTCATGCCTGTAATCCCAGCACTTTGGGAGGCCGAGGTGGGTGGATCACTTGAGGTCAGGAGTTCGAGACCAGCCTGGCCAACATGGCAAAACCCCGTCTCTACTAAAAATACAAAAATTAGCAGCCAAGCACGGTGGTTCACACCTGTAATCCCAGAACTTTGGGAGGCCGAGGTGGGGCAGATCACAAGGTCAGGAGCTCGAGACCATCCTGGCTAACATGGTGAAACCCCGTCTCTACTAAAAATACAAAAGATTAGCCGGGCGTGGAGGCGGGCGCCTGTAGTCCCAGCTACTTCGGAGGCTGAGGCAGGAGAATGGCGTGAACCCAGGAGGCGGAGCTTGCAGTGAGCTGAAATCACGCCACTGCACTCCAGCCTGGGTGACAAAGTGAGACTCCGTCTCAAAAAAAAAAAATTAGCTAGGTGTGGTGGCAGCTGCTTGTAATCCCAGCTACCCAGGAAGCTGAGGCAGGAGAATCTCTTAAACCCAGAAGGCAGAGGTTGCAGTGAGCCAAGATCACGCCACTGCACTCCAGCCTGAGAGACATAGCAAGACTCCGTCTCAAGAAAAAAAAAAAGAAGAAGAAGAAAGTGGGTGGATGGGAATGTGGACTTCCCGAGTCTGGATACCGGCCTCGCATAGGCAGTATGAATGGAGAGTGCCCAGCCAGCAGCCAGTCTTTGTTATGTACTACATCATCAAGCCAATCATGAACAGGCTAGTATCAAAGAGAGACTAGGTCACGTTTTGCTACAAATAAGGATGATAGAGTCGGTCTCATCAAGATGAAACCCTCCTTCCATAACATTCCTGCCCCTGTTCAATAGGACAGGCATTTTGAGGGGGGCTGGGATGCACGGAGCAACACCTCAAGCCTTCTAGGTTCTTCATAACCCAAGACCTGCATCTGGGGGGAAACAAGCTAAAGTCAAAGACAGCCACAGGTGTCCTGGGGGATCAGGTCAAAGGACGCCTCACTTCCCTGAGCTGCTCCTTTACGGGACTTAGTATCAGGAGAGACTAGTCTGAATAGCCCATTCTCCTGGGGAATGTAGTGTCAAAATCACCACAGCAAGCCGGCACAGTGGCTCACGCTTATAATCTCAGCATTTTGGGAGGGCAAGGTGGGAGGATTGCTTGAGGCCAAGAGTTCAAGACCAGCCTGGGCAACATAGCAAGACCCCATCTGTACAAAAATAATGATAAGATAATAATAGCAAATGCTTAATAGCACTCTCTAAACACCAGGTTCTGTTTAAACACTTCACATGTATTAGCTCATTTAATCCTCACAGTAACCCTATAAAGTGGATACTTTTATCCCCATTTTACCAATGAGGAAACTGAGGCACAAAGACACTCTGTCCTAGCCTTGAATGTTCGTCAAGAAGACCTGTTCTTACTCAGCACCCCCTTCACTTGAGCCACTTGAGTGGATTTTTATTTCTTGAAAGCCAAGAAGCCTGTGATGAGAGGAGAGATGAATATTCAGGTGGTACTGTCTGTCCCTGGCCACTGTCTTGGTGCAGGATGAAGGGGGCATTCCTGAGTCCTTTGCAAAGAGAGGGACCAGTTAAGGCACAAGGTATACCCAGCACCGTGCTTTAGCCTTCCTGTATCTCCTAAAACAGAAAAGGTCAAGAGGGGGTGGTGGGTGCAGTAGCTCACACTTGTAATCCCAACACTTTGGGAGGCCGAGGCAGGCAGATCACCTGAGGTCAGGAGTTCAAGACGAGCCTGGCCAATATAGGGAAACCCCGTCTCTACTGAAAACACAAAAATTAGCTGGGCATGGTGGTCTGTGCCTGTAGTCCCAGCTACTCGGGAGGCTGAGGCAGGAGAATAGCTTGAACCTGGATGACGGAGGTTGCAGTGAGCCGAGATCACGCCACTTCACTCCAGCCCGGGCAACAGAGCAAGACTCCATCTCAAAAAAAAAAAAAAAAGATCAAGGGTGAAGGGACAAAGGACAAAGCCTTAGCACAGGGTAAATGTGGGCTGGGGTATCAGAGGCAGCTGCAAACACATACAGCTCCTCTACCCAGCAGGCCAAACCCCACAGGCCCCAGGGGGCCACCTACTCCTCAGGGGTATCTGCAGCCTCCTCTAGGGATAACAGGCAGAGCACTTGGGGATGTCTGCTGAGCCAAGGGGAGGTTGGATTTCTCAGCTTGGGGCCTGGCCAAGGAGCCAGAAAGGACAAGGAGACAAGGTCTTTGCTTCCTGGCATCAGATTACTGCTCCAACCCAGGGATCAGAGCACCAGGCCAGGCTCCCAGGCATAAGAGTTGCTGGTCAGCTGACAGCAGACAGGGCCGAGGGCCTGTTCTAGAAGTTACCATGAAGATAGAGGGGATGTGTCGGTGGCTGCTGAGGAGAGGGAGCAGGGAGAGAGCCCAGGGGACACAGCGAGCCTCCAGCCTTGCCAAGCAGACCTGGCTGGAGACTGCGGGCCAGGACAAGAGGTTCTCAGGAGGGCAGGGCCTGGGCCTGGGCCTAGAGAAAGACTTCAGTGACACTTGGCTGGTGGGTGGTGGTGGGGGGTGCTCAGCTCCCACTGGCTCGCCTAGGCTGTGGCAGGAGGGCCTGGCCATGGCTGCAGCCTGGCACCAGCCCCAGAAACCTTCATCATCTCACAGTTTCACTGCCCAGGGCGGGGAGGCTCCATAAGCTCCCTGGTCTCCCAGATGAAAGACGCTTTCTAAGAGTCATAAAACCATCTCCACTCAGAACAATGGGCTCTTATCCGGCTGTGTCCTTCACATAAACTCCCATGAGCAACACACCAGAAGCTGCAGGCAGGGGTTTTATAGACTGGCTTTTTGGACCAGCCCCAGAGCTCATTAACATCTACTCCCTTGCCCTCTGTGGAGGCTGTGTGGAGGCCGCATGGAATCACACCCATCTCTCCCGTTTACAGAGGCCCACTGTGTGCTAAGCCTCCAGGCAACCCTGCAGGGAAGGTGGCTCTATCCTGCTTTATGAATAAATAGGCCCAGAGAGGTTAAGTGACTTGTCCAAGGTCACACAGTGGGAGAGTGAAAGAGCTGGGATTTAAATCCAGAGTTCATGCTCCTTCCCCCAGACCATGTGACCTTCGGATAAGCTTACCCAAGTCTTCCCCCAAGAACTCAAGGGGTTAAGCTCCCAGATATGACATCTTCTGAGACCCGAAAGCCTTCACCAGGATGGTCATGTTGACCCACCTAGTGGGTCAGCAGAGGCACAGGGGTGGGTCAGTTTGGAAGGGAGACTCAGCACGTCAGGGACGTGAAAGAGGCCCGGAGCCCCTTCCCTCTGCCAAAACCCTGAGTCCCCACTGTATCCCACATTCACCCTTCCAAAGACCTTTCACCCCACTCCTCCTCTGAAGGCCACCTGTGCTGATGATGCCCCCACTTTTACTGTGCATCTATTTACATTTACCATACGCCAGGCTCTGCAGTCTTCATGCATGATCCCATTGACTCTTGCAAGAACTCTGTAGGATGGCTGCCTTCTTTTTTTCTTTTTTTTATTTTTATTTTTATTTTTTTTTGAGATGGAGTCTTGCTGTGTCACCCAGGCTGGAGTGCAGTGGCACGATCTCGGCTCATTGCAACCTCTGCCTCCCGTGTTCAAGCAATTCTCTTGCTTCAGCCTCCCAAGTAGCTGGGATTATAGGAGCCTGCCACCACGCCCGGCTAATTTTTGTATTCGGGGTTTTCACCATGTTGGCCAGGCTGGTTTCGAACTCCTAACCTCAAGTGATCCACCCACCTCAGCCTCCCCAATGCTAGGATTACAGGCGTGAGCCACCACGCCCAACCAGAATGGCTGCTTTCAAGATCCTCTTTTTCATACAAGAAACTGAGGTCCGGAAAGGTAAGCAGCCTGCCTGAGGTCACACAGCAAGTAAACAACAGATCCCAGGTCTATGTGACTCTCCCCCACCACATTGCCCCAAAACTTCACAATGTCCAGCAGGCACTCTATCCCCACCTTCTCAATCCCACAGTACTGGCTCACAACCCTGGGTGTCACCACAGATGCATGGATAATGACAATAACAGCTGATCCTTTGTGGGTACCTTCTGAGAGCTAACCTCACCCCCTGCACCATCTCCTATCTACACAACAACCCTCAATGTTGATATTGCAATTCCTATTCTGCAGATGAGGAAACTGAGGCTCAGAAAGGGAAAATGTCTTACCCATTGTCCCACAGAGCTGATTAAGTGGGGGTGCCAGGGTTTGAACCCTCTTCTCTCTGGTTCCAGAACCACTGTTCCTTACAGGTAAGCCAGCATGATAGTTAGACCAAACCATCCCAATAGAGACTTGGCATGCATTCAACAAACATCCCAGGTGCCTAGGGTGTGCCCAGCACCATTCCAGGAGCTGCCAGTAAAGGAAACAAGACTGCTGTGTGGCCAGGTGCGGTGGCTCACATCTGTAATCTCAGCACTTTGGAATGCCGAAGTGAGTGGATCACCTGAGGTCAGGAGTTCAAGACCAGCCTGGCCAACATGGTGAAACCCCATCTCTACTAAAAATACAAAAATTAGCCGGGCATGGTGGCAGGCGCCTGTAGTCCCAGCTACTCGGGAGCCTGAGGCAGGAGAATTGCTTGAACCTGGGAGGTGGAGGTCACAGTGAGCCGAGATCGTCACACTGCACTCCAGCCTAGGCAACAAGAGCAAGATTGCGTCTCAAAAAAAAAAAAAAAAAAAAAAAAAGACTGATGTGTTCCTGGCCCCATGGCCCCATAAGCCCCATGGGAGGTTACCAGGGACCCCCTGATCATTCCTGGCTGCTCTGCTTAGAGCTCCACCTATAGCTGCCTCCTGTCATCCTCCAGTGCCACCCACCTCCTCTGAGCTCCCAGGAACTTCCCAGATAGCCTGCCCCAGCCCCTGCAAAGGCAGTTCACAGCTTGTCATTCATGGGTCATTTTGCCCTCAGATGCTTCTCAACCAGCTCCTAACTGGGCAAACCAGATAGGCAGCTGTGGTGGCCCAGGCTTCCCTGAAGAACCCCTTAGACCCAGCCCAGAAGGCATGGCTAGCATCCACAGCACCTGTGTGGAGGTGATTTGCTCATAGCCCTCCCCACCCTGAGAAGCTGGCTTGGGGTCTGCCCTATGTCACCATCCCCTCTACTGTCTGTGGCTGCCAAGGACAAGCCAACTTCCCAGAACAACCCATGGATACATCTGGTTAACTAGTTAATGCCGGACACTGTGTTAAATGATCTTAATTGGCCGGATGTGGTGACTCGTGCCTGTAAACCCAGCACATTGGGAGGCCGAGGAAGGTGGATCACTTGAGGTCAGGAGTTCAAGACTAGCCTGGCCAACATGGTGAAACCCTGTTTCTACTAAAAATACAAAAATTAGCTGGGTGTGGTGGTGCATGCCTGTAGTCCTAGCTACTTGGGAGGCTGAGGCAGGAGATCGCTTGAACCCAGGAGGTAGAGGTTGCAGTGAGCCAAGATCACGCCACTGTACTCCAGCCTGGGCAACAGAGGGAGACTCCATCTCAAAAAACAAAACAAAACAAAATGATCTTAATCATCATCATCTATATCACCATCCTCACAACCATCATCATCAACATGGCTAACATTTATTGAGCATTTGCTACACGACAAGACCTGAGCCAGCCCTTTACCGTATTATCCCATGGAAACACAATAATCCCATGAAGTAAGTACTGGAACCATCCCATGCAACAGATGAGCACACTGATAAGCACACGTTAAGCCTAGCACCAAGTACTATAGTGCTTGTTAAATTGTCTGTTACCCCTGCTATACTATTATCCCCCGAGGGCAGGATCATGTATCCAGTGCACAGAGTTGTGTCTCCAGAATGCAGTGTCTGGCACAGAAGAGGAATTCAATAAACAGTCTTCAGATGAATGAATGGATGGAGGATGGATGGATGGATGAAAATTATGGGTGGTGGACAAATGGATGGATGGAGGATGGATGGCTGGATGGATGGATGGATGGATGGGTGGATGGATGAATACAACTGAAAACCAAAAGGAGGCCGAGCACAGCGGTTCATGCCTATAACACTTTAAGAGGTCGAGGTGGGAGGATCACTTGGGCCCAGGAGTTCAAGACCAGCCTGGGCAACACAGTGAGACCCTGTCTCTACAAAAAGTAAAAATAAATTATACAGGCATAGTGGTGTATGCCTGTGGTCCCAGCTACTTGGGAGGCTAAAGTGGGAGGATCACTTGAGCCCAGGAGTTCAGTGAGCTGTGATCATGCCACTGTACTCCAGCCTGGGGGACAGAGCAAGACTCTGTTTCAAATAAATAAATAAACAAATAAAGAAAGAAAATAATTATCTTAATGAATTTTTTCAAAGTAAAGAAAACCAAGAGGAAAAGGGACAGGCGCAGTGGCTCACACCTACAATCCTAGCATTTTGGGAGACCAAGGCAGGTGGATCACTTGAGTCCAGGAGTTTGAGACCAACATGGCAAAACCTCATCTCTACTAAAAATACAAAAATTAGCCAGGTATGGTGGCTCATGCCTGTGGTCCCAGCCACTCAGGAGACTGAGGCAGGAGAATCGCTTGAACCCAGGAGGCGGAGGTTGCAGTGAGCCAAGATCATGCCACTGCATTCCAGCTTGGGTGACAGAGTGAGACTCTATCTCAAAAAAAAAAAAAAAAGAAAAGAAAGAAAGAAAGAAAAGCAAGAGGAAAAGCACTAGAGGGCAATAACCCTCGCCTCCCAGTCACCTACCCCCTCAGTGAATAGGTCGGAAACTGGATGCAGTTTTTCTGCTAACTGGAAAATCCCCTGGCAAGGATTCCAGGCAAAGCAGAGAAGAGTATGTTGATGTTTCAGGCGTAGAAAAAAAAAAAGGAGTGTCTTGGGGGTGATGAACTTTGAGAGAGCTCAGTAAAGACAGCAGTGCACAGAGTCTGATCAAGCATTTTCCCAGAAGCCACCAGGGAATTTAACCTGCTCAATCCCAAACTACAGGTCTCTGGATCGGCTCCGGGTGAGGGGTACGGGTGGTGCCATAAAATGTCTCCAATGTAGTGAGCTCCCTGCCCTGTGGCTCCAGGGTGGGGCCTGGGAACAGAGCCGTGCCAGCCTCTCAAGTTCTGGTCGGAGTCAATCCCAACCCATTCCCTGGGTGCTGTCTCAGAATTGTGTGTGGAGCACCCGCCAGGAGGCTAGAGCTTTAGGGAGATTATTCTCTGGTGTATTAAAAGATCTCATGCTGACCTACAAATCCTCCGACCACATGAATTCTGATCAGCGGCGTCAGCCAGCCACCCGGTTCTGGGGTGAGATCAATGTGAAGCAGGTTGCCCCCTTCCCCCACCCCTGCATTCCCTGATCAGAGCCCAGGGTTTCTAGTTTCCTTTGGGAGAAGCAAGACTCAGAGATGAAACAAGTCGGTAGTCCCAGGAGAGCAGGCATGGAGGCCTGTGGCCCAGTTTTGTAGTTTCCAGAACAACTTTTCAAGAAAATGAAGAAGAGAAAAAGGCTAGAAAGCAGAGTGGGATCCCGGCCCCACTTAGAGACATCCGCCCGCCTGAATGGAACAAGTCATTGCCATCCAAGACAGCACAACGAGGCATCCTGCCATCCCTGAGCCTTGTCTTTTTTTTTTTTTTTCTTTTGGAGACAGGGTCTCACTCTCTTGTCCAGGCTGGAGTGCAGTGGTGTGATCTTGGCTCACTGTAAACTCTGCCTCACAGGCTCAAGCGATTCTCATGCTTCAGCCTCTAAGTAGCTGAGACTACAGGCATACACCACCATGTCTGACTAATTTTTCATATTTTCAGTAGAGACGGGGTTTCGCCATGTTGCCCAGGCTGGTCTCAAACTCCTGGGCTCAAGCAATCTGCCCACCTCGGCCTCCCCAAGTGCTGGGATTACAGGTGTGAGTGACTGTGCCCGGCCAGCCTTGTCTCTTTGTCAGAAACAGGGAGTTGGGGCAACCCTGGTGCCAAGATATGGCCTTCCTTTCATTGAGCATTTGCTGTGCACCAGGTTTAGTGATCTGCCTGGGATAACTCATAACCCTCTCAACACCTCAGTGAGACCAAGTGACTCATCCAAGTTCACACCATCAGAAGGGACAGAGCTGAGATCTGAACCCAACTCTGACCAAAAAGTCCAAATTTTTCCACTAATAAGGTGGAAAGGACTTAGGAGGCCTCTTCTCCCACAAACGTTGGCATCCCAGGTTTATTCCAAAAATTGGCCACACAGACTAGGGGCAGGTTTTTACAGAGATCACTCCAGTCTTGGCCAGTCCCCTGAATATCGGAAGCAATAAGAACCTCCCCTGCATTCCTGTGCTCCCTGGGCTTTGCAGCCACACAGGGAGGAAGGAGAGGGAGCACTGGCAGGGAACCCAGAGAGGGCACTGGGGAGCCATCCATTTGAGCAATTCAGAGACTTTCAGAGGGGAAGGGCCCTGAGGAATAGGGGGTGGGAGATGGGGAGTGGGGGAGTTATTGCCCTCTAGTTCTTTTCCTCCTGGTTTTCTTTTTTCTTTTCTTTTTTTTTTTTTTTTTGAGACAGAGTCTCACTCTATCACCCAGGCTAGGGTGCAGTGGTGGGATCTCAGCTCACTGCAACCTCCACCTGCAGGATTCAAGCGATTCTTCCATCTCGGCTTCCCAAGTGGCTGGGACACAGGCGCACGCCACCACACCTGGCTAATTTTTGTATTTTTAGCAGAGACGGGGTTTTACCATGTTGGCCAGGCTGGTTTCAGACTCCCAATCTCAAGTGGTCTGCCCATCTCAGCCCCCCAAAGTGCTGGGATTACAGTCATGAGCCACAGCACCCAGCCTCTTTACTTTAAAAAAAAATTATTAAAAGAATGATTTTATTTATTTGTTTATTTATTTATTTGGAAAGGAGTCTCGCTCTGTTGCCCAGGCTGGAGTGCAGTGGTGTCATCACAGCTCACTGCAGCCTTGAACTTCTGGACTCAGGCGATCCTTCCATCTCAGCCTCCTGAGTAGCTGGGACCACAGGCGTGTGCCACCAGGAACAAGACTAGAACCCATGGCTCAAGCCAACATCCTCCTTTCCTAGAGAGAAACTGAGGCCCCAAGAGGTCAAGCATTTGCTCAAGGTCATGCAGGGCGTGAAGAATGGCGTGGGGAGCAGAGGCAGCCTCCTGGCTCCCAGCCTAGGGTCCCATCCCCCACCCCAGTTGGCTCAAACCAACCATGACATTGGGACCTTTTTTATCAGATAGAACGGATGCTTATCAGATTTAATTATAACATTGCTCAGGGGGAGAGACAGGGTAGACTAAGATGCGGAGGGAGAAGGTGGGCAGGGGCACTACTTAACCCCGCTGGCTCCCTCCCTCTCCTCCCTCCCCATGCTGGGGTATTGGATGTCTCTACAGTAGCTGAGCTGGGTTTGGCTGGGCCAGCAGGAAGGACCAGGGTTACCTGCAGAGCAGGTCACAGTGTGGTCCGGAGAGCTCCCTGTTTTCTTGGTTCCCCTTGAAACAAAGGCTGCCTCTGTTTCTGAGACAAGGAAGGATGGGGGAAGGGGGTCTCTGTCATTCTGCTGAAGGAAAAAATGGGAGCAGGCCTGAGCAGGGGAGAAGAGGACTTACTTGGTGGCAGCTCCAGGCCACCTCCCTCAGACCTACCTGCTAAGCTCCTAAACCTTGTTCCTATAAGACTGGCCACCTGGAATCCAAGGAGTCCATGCTCCAAACCTGTTCACTGCTTCTCGCCTGAGTACCCTGGGAGAGTCCCATTCCCCGGGGAGCTGCCTCTCAACATGATGGGAGGTGCTTACTTCTGGAGACATGAAGACCAGACCAAGTTCAAATCCTTGGTTCCCCATCTCCTGGTCCTGTGACCTTGAGTGAGTGAGTTCATGTCCCTGAGTCTCAGCTTCCCCACAATAGAACATGGTTGTGTTCCTGCATCCCAAGGTCATTTTATACATACACATATATAACATTTTCTTTGAGACAGTGTCTCACTCTGCTGCCCAGGGTGGAGTGCAGTGGTGCCATCTTGGCTCACTGCAGCCTCGACCTCCTGGGCTCAAGCGATCCTCCTACCTCACCCTCCTGAGTAGCTGGGACTACAGGCGAGCCACCACACCAGGCTAATTTTGTGTGTGTGTGTGTGTGTGTGTGTGTGTGTGTGTGTGTGTGTGTGTGTGTGTGTGTAGAGACGGGGTTTTATTATGTTGCCCAGGCTGATCCAAGGTCTTTCTTTTTTTTTTTCTTGAGACGGAGTCTCGCTCTGTCACCCAAGCTGGAGTGCAGTGACACCATCTCAGCTCACTGCAATCTCAGCTCACTGCAATCTCAGCTCACTGCAACCTCCACCTCCCAGGTTCAAGCAATTGTCCTGCCTCAGCCTCTTGAGTAGCTGGAACTACAGGTGCACAACACCATGCCCAGCTAATTTTTGTATTTTAGTAGAGATGAGGTTTCGCCATGTTCACCAGGCTGGTCTCGAACTCCTGACCTCATGTGATCCACCTGCCTCAGCCTCCCAAAGTGCTGGGATTATAGGCATGAGCCACCCATATCCGGAGGTCCAAGTTCATTCTTATGATTAAATATCAAAGCTTTCACAGTCACAGAAGAGACTGCAGACATGGCTTGGGCAATTATCTCTCTTCATACTAACTCTCTGTGTGCATGTGCCAATGTTTCAAAGGCATTCCCAGCCATAACTATTACTCACAGGGAATAAATCACCAGCCCCTGCACTCAGATGGTGTGACCCAGGCCACCAGAGATTGAGTGGCTTGTTTAATGTCCTGTAAAGGCAGAAACAACTCTAGAACCCATGGCTCAAAAGTCCCACTGTAGCCCAACCCAAAGGCACTGAGTGGGAAGAGCAGGAAATCAGGATTCAGCCAAGCCAGGCTCTAGTCTTGGCTGTGCCATGAACAGTGTGTGACCTTGGGTGGTGACTTTGGGTGAAGTGCGCTTTCAACTTTCTGACTGATGATTTCAGTGTCATTGACCAGCTATGTGACCCAGGGCAAGTGACTTCATCTTTCTGGACTTCAGCTTCCTCATCTGTGAAATGGGGTTGCCAGGAGGGCTCAATGAGCCATGGCCAGCAGGATGCCTGGCACAGAGCTTGGTATACGGTGGGTGCCCAATAAATGAAAATGTAGCAATGGTGGGCCGGGCGCGGTGGCTCACACCTGTAATCCCAGCACTTTAGGAGGCCAAGGCGGGCTGATTACTTGAGGCCAGGAGTTCGAGACCAGCCTGGCCAACATGGTGAAACCCCATCTCTACTGAGAATACAAAAATTAGCTGGGCGTGGTGGTGGTGGGCACCTATAGTCCCAGCTACTTGGGAGGCTGAGGCAGGATAATCACTTGAACTCAGGAGGTGGACGTTGCAGTGAGCCAAGATCACACCACTACACTCCAGTCTGGGCAACAGAGCTAGACTCCATCTCAAAAAAAAAAAAAAAAAAATGGAAAACAAATAAAAAGAAAATGGAACAATGGCAATCACAGTTCACTGCAGCCTCAAACTTCTGGGCTCAGGAGATCCTTCCATCTCAGCTTCCCGAGTAGCTGGGACCACAGACATGTGCCACCAGGAACATGACTAGTATTAGTGGTCAATATTGCTGTGATTAGTATTATCATTAGGAGAGGGAGAAGACAGGATGGGATCAACTTAAGAATCTCTTGTTCCCATGACTGCCCTGGAGAGGAAGTCCTGGAAGAAGATATCAGGGACCCTTCTTTCACCTTCCAGGGGGGAGGGATGTGAATGGAGCCAGGCCAGTCACCCCCCTGAAAGTCCCAAAGTCTCATTAACTGAAGAGATCCAGCCAGAAGGCCTGCTGGCATCACACTCAGAGCAAGCCTTTGCGGGCACAGAAGAGAGGGGTAGCCCCCAGCCACCTCAGGAGACTCTAATTTAGGGGCCAAAAGCCAGGGAGGCAGCCCTGCCTCAGCAGCCCTGACACTTCTGCCCCCGACGAGGATTTCTCTGGAGGAAAAACCACCGAGAGGAGGAGCCAGCTTTGGTGTGGAGCTTGCTCTGTTAGAAGCCAGGGGTCGGGGGGTTGGGGAGGCAGGATCTGACTCTGTTCCATCACTTAGCTGTGTGGCCCCAGGCAGCTCACCTGACGTCTCTGAGCCTCTATTCCTCAACTATGAGCATCATCACAATTCCTGCCCTTCCCAGCTCCCCAGGCTGTTGTGAGCACCCTTCAGGACGGCGTTGGCTGGCTTTGTAAACTGTCCAACACCTTAGGATGAGGCGCTGCCCTCATTAACCACCAAGCTCCCCTAAATAGACGGGCAAGGTGGGGTGGACAGGCCGCACGTGAGGTGCCACTCCAGGAGGCCAAAATGTTGATAAGGAAACAGACGCAGGGCCCAGGCCCCTCCCACCCCTCTGCCACGCCCACTCTCACCTCCTGCCTCCTTTGCCCGGGACACTCCAAGGAAACCCTGACAGTGGTATCGAAGATCCTGGGCCACGGCTTTCAACCCTCCCTCTGTTGTTGCACACAACCGTCCGTCCTGGGAGTCATGAGCCATTGGTCCTGGACTCTGGTAGCTGGGGGCTACGTAAGGATAGGGTAATTTGCCAAGGAGGCAAAGCAGGTGACGGGAGAAGAACTTGGATAGTGACATTTCAGCCCCAGGAGGCCAACCAGCCAGAGCGTCACACAGTCACCTAAATGTCCCCCTTCCAACCTCAGCTTCACCATGACAGGCAGGACCCCCTCCCTAGGAAGCCCCATTCTCCTATGGTAGCAGCCAAGTACAGCAGCTAAGAGCTTGGCTGAGCACTAGAACCACACTCCCTGGGTTCAAAGCTCGGCTCCTCCTTCTCAAGCTGTGAAATCTTCAGTAAGTTACTTAACCTCTCTGTGCCTGTTTCCTCCGCTGTAAAATAAGAGTGATAACAACAACACCTCATTGGGGTGTCGGGAATGAAAGGCATTTACACACCTACTGTGCTTTGTTAGCAAAGTGCTCGCCATGAAGTAAGTGCCCAGTAATTTGCCAGACAGTGGTCATGCAAATGAAAGAGGCTGCCTCCAAAAACATCGAGCTCTACGCCTGCAATCCCAGCACTTTGGGAGGCCGAGGCGGGCAGATCAACTGAGGTCGGGAGTTTGAGACCAGCCTGACCAACATGGAGAAACCCCGTCTCTACTAAAAATACAAAATTAGCCGGGCGTGGTGGCGCATGCCTGTAATCCCAGCTACTCGGGAGGCTGAGGCAGGAGAATCGCTTGAGCCTGGGAGGTGGAGGTTGTGGTAAGCCCAGATCATGCCATTGCACTCTAGCCTGGGCAACAAGAGTGAAACTCTGTCTCAAAAAAACAAAACAAAACAAAACAAAACAGTGAGCTCTCCATTCCCGGAGATAGTCAAGCTGTGGCTAAACAGCCACCTGTCAGAGGTTCATGGCCTGGATGACCTTCAAAATGCCTTCCAAATGTGAGCCCATAAAATCCCCCTGTGAAATGGCTCCCACCAGCTGCATTCCTCCTCCCTGCTGAGGCCCGGATGGCATGGGAGAGAGCCGAGTGGAAAAGCAGGGGGAAACAGCCTGGAACAGGCATGGAGGACCAAGGAAGGAGCCCTGGGCGGGGAGTCAGCCAGTCCGCCTTCCAACCCCAGTTCCAGCACCAATGCATCAATCCACCTCAGTTACTCCCTCTCCTCCAAGCCTCAGTTTTCCCAGCTGTAAAATGATGCCATTGAACTGAAGCCATCTCAAGCTGCATCCCTCACTCTGTGACCCTAAGAAGGAAGTGAGGGAAGTCCCCCCTACACACGCCCTTGCAGTCCACCTCTGCCGTTCTCACTCCAGGTTGCCGTGACCTGCCCTGCTAGGTGGCTGTAGGATCGGGGTCACACCCATAGAGGCACCCAGCACGGTTCTCCTCACAGAGTCCATCCCAAGGTGTCCCCAAGCTCCAGCACCTGCTGGGAGGGAGTAGGGTGCCCCAGGGCCTGACACACAAGGGTGTCAATGACAGCTGAGACCCCTCCCCCACGACCTCCAAAAGATTCTCCTCCAATTTAGCGAGGGGCAGAGATGGTTAAAAAGAGAAAGGAAACTGACCTCAATCCTGTGCAGTCCAATCGCAGTCCTCCGGGAAGGGAGCACAAGTGACAGGGGCAGCCCCCTTCTACTGGGAAGGGTCCCGTCTGTCAGTTGAAGTAGCAGGCAGGAGCCCAGAGGGTGAGTACGCTGGCTCCCCGGGCTGGGCCCACACAGAGCCCAGGTGTGTGAGTCACTCACTTGCCCGACCTGCTGGGCGGGCAAGGGCGGTAAGCAGGAGGACAGGAGGCAGCCCTGGCAGTCCACGAGGAAAAGCTAGACTGAGTCAAGCCAGCCGGGGCTGAGCCATCCATCAACCAGCCTGGGAGGACCAGGAAGCTGGCCTGGGTGAGGAAGGGAGGGGCAAGAACCAAGATGGGGAATCCAGAGGGGGGTGCCAAGTAGTAGGGCTGAGCTCCGACCACTGCCCGCTGGCCTGGGAAGGCACACAGGGCCTGGGTACAGGGCAGGGTTGGAGGGTCACCCATGGGCTGCACCCCTTTTAGCCAGAGAAGGTGGAAAGGAATATGCTTTGAAGTCAGAAAGATCCAAGTGCCAATCCCCGCCCTCTCCAGCCATGTGACATCATGCAACCGGCCTTGTCTCTCTGAGCCTCAGTTTCCTCTTTTTTTTTTTTGAGATGGAGTCTCTGGTCATCGCCCAGGCTGGAGTAAAATGGTGCGATCTTGACTCACTGCATCGCTGCAACCTCCACCTCCCAGGTTCAAGTGATTCTCCTGCCTCAGCCTCCCGAGTAGCTGGGATTACAGGCACCCACCACCATGCCCAGCTAATTTTTGTATTTTAGCAGAGATGGGGTTTCACCAGGTTGGCCATGATGGAGTTTCCTCCTTTTTTTTCATTTTCTTTTTTTGAGGCAAGGGCTCTCTCTGTCACACAGTGGCGGGATGATCAGATCACGGCTCACTACAGCCTCAAACTCCAGGGCTCAGGTGATCCTCCCACCTCAGCCTCCCAAGTAGCTGGGACCACAGGTGCATGCCACCACTCCTGGTTAATTTTTGTATTTTTTGTAAAGACAGGGTTTCACCATATTGCCCAGGCTGGCCTCGAACTCCTGGGTTCAAGTGATCCTCCTGCCTAGGCCTCCCAAAGTGCTGGGATTATAGCTGTGAGCCACGTGCCCATCCAGTTTCCTCCTTCTTAACCTGGGGTGATTATAATAGTCCCTACCTGATGGGGTTTTTGTGAGAATTAAATGAGACTGTGTAGGGAAAGGGCTCCTGGCTCCGAGAGAATTGGCCCTAATGGTGGCTCTGATTATGCTGATGCCTTTTTTTTTTTAGACAGAGTTTCACTCTTGTTGCCCAGGCTGGAGTGCAATAGTTCGATCTCGGCTCACCGCAACCTCCGCCTCCCAGGTTCAAGCGATTCTCCTGCCTCAGCCTCCCGAGTAGCTGGGATTACAGGCATGCGCCACCCGACCCAGCTAATTTTGTATTTTTAGTAGAGACGGGGTTTCTCCATGTTGGTCAGGCTGGGGCTGGTCTCGAACTCCCAGCCTCAGGTGATCCACCCACCTCGGCCTCCCAAAGTGCTGGGATTGCCAGTGTGAGCCACTGCACCTGGCACTGATGCTGCTTAAGGGCAGAGGGACCAGCACACTGAGTTCTTCTTCTTTTTTCTTTCTTTCTTTTTTTTTTTTTTTTTTTTTTTGAGACAGAATCTTGCTCTATTACCCAGGCTGGAATGCAGTGGGTTCCACTTGGAACAATCTTGGCTCACCGCAACCTCCGCCTCCCAGGTTCAAGTGATTCTCCTGCCTCAGCCTCCCAAGTAACTGGGACTACAGGTGTGCACCACTATGCCCAGCTAATTTTTGCATTTTTAATAGAGACGGGGTTTCACCATGTTGGCTAGGCTGGTCTCAAACTCCTGACCTCAGGTGATCTGCCCGCCTCAGCCTCCCAAAGTGCTGGGATTATAGGCTTGAGCCACTGCGCCTGGCCTCACTGAGTTCTTATTGTCAGTTTTGATTACCCCCAGATCTTAGCCAACATCTTCTGGGATCATTAAGAGCACAAGTATCTAGACATCAGGAACAAGTCATTCAACCACACACACTTGCTCTGCCCTTCTAATGTGCTCCTGAGAACCGAGGATGGGGTCTCAAAGGTAATCAACCCCTGCCCTCAACACACTCACGGATCAGCAGTCTGCACACAGATGTGTGAATTTCACACCAAAGCCCAGCCCCACTTTCTGCTCAGACACCAGCAATAGAGGCCTCAGGGTCCCAGACTGGGGTCCAGCAAACTATGGCCCATGGGCCAAATCCAGCCCATCATCTCTTTTGATAAGTAAAGTTTTATGGAAATACAGCCACACCCATTTGCTAATTTACCATATTGTCCATAGGTACTCTGGAGACACAACAACACATTTGATCAGCGACAGAGACTGAAGGACCCATAAAGCCAAAAATATTTACAATCTGGCCCTTTACAGAGAAGTTTACTGACCCCTGGCTTAGATGATGAAAATAATAATAATGAGGGCCAGGCGCTGTGGCTCACGCCTATAATTCCAACACTTTTGGGAGGCCGAGGCGGTTGGATCATCTGAGCTCAGGAGTTTGAGAAGAGCCTGGCCAATATGGTGAAACCCCGTCTCTACTAAAAATACAAAAAATTAGCCAAGCTTGGAGGTGGGCACCTGTAATTCCAGCTACTCAGGAGGCTGAGGCAGGAGAATTGTTTGAACCCCGGAGGTGGAGGTTGCAGTGAGCCAAGATCGTGCCATTGTACTCCAGCCTGGGTGACAGAGGGAGACTCCATCTCAAAAAGAAAGAAAAGAATAATAATGATAATCCTGGCTATTGGCTCTTACATGTGTTATACTCTAAAAACCTTTGACAGTGGCTCACACCTATAATCTTAGCACTTTGGGAGGCCAAGGTGGGCAGATTACTTGAGGCCAGGAGTTTGAGACCAGCCTGGGCAACATGGCGAAACTCTCTCTACAAAAACTAGCCAGGCATGGTGGCACGCACCTGTAGTCCTAGCTACTCAGGAGGCTGAGGCAAGAGAATCACTGAACCTGGAAGTTGCAGTGAGCTGAGATTGCACCACTGCGCACTCCAGCCTGGGCGACAGACCAAGACTTGGTCTCAAAAATAAATAATAATAATAAAAAACACCTCTCCATACATAATTTCATATAAGCTTCACAACAAGATTTCCCCTTTTTTATAAAGAGGGAAACTGAGGATTCTCAGAGCTAAAGTAACTTGCCCAAGGTCACACTGAAAGTCTGTAGTACATGGATGTTTTGAATGAAGGGCTGACCAAATCCAAAGTCTCTGGCTCACCTGGTTACCCAAATGAGGAAGTCCCTGTTGGATTGAAAAGTCCTGGAGCACGGGAGAGTAAACACATGCCTGGTTGACTGGGTTCCCTCCTGGGAGGCTGCCGACCTTTGCACCAGAGTCAGACTGCCCAGATTTGAGTCCTGGCTCTGATTATGAAATAGGAATACAACCATGCAGGAGAATTAAATGCAGGTTTGCCTATATAGCACCTAGAACAGCGTCCACCAGGCAGAAAGCCTTCTGCCACTGTGAGAGCTTTGTGGTCCTTATATGGAGGCTTGGAGTGTAAGAGAAGAGGAGGGAAGGTGGAAACCGGCTGCTCCACCTGCAGAAGTAATAGCATGGAGACCTCTTCGTTGGCGGGGACCTGGCCAGAGATGGGAGGGGCGATTCCAGGTTCCCTTGTTCTGGGGTTTTGCAGGGGATGATGCTGCCCCCTCCCACCCCCTAGCCTTGATTCCTGCACTTTCCTTAACCCTGGCAAGGAGGAGGTTGCAGCAGTTGGGAGGCTGCATTCTCATTCCCAGAGCTCCACCTGGGAAGGGCTGCCTTCTCATCTCACCCACCGGGAAGGCTGACCCGGGCCTTCCACTCCCACGGCAGCAGCAGCAGCAGAGGTCAGGGGACAGGGACGGGGAGTGTGGAGCTGCCAGAGCTGGCCTTTGTGTGTTCACTTGAAACCCTGGACCAGCCCCCATCTGTTGAAGGGTGGAAATGTCTCTGGAATCTCCTCTCTGGCCCTGTAGAGGGGAGGGATCTTCTCTACTCTTGCCCCTCTTCACCCCACCCACACCCCCAGCGGGCCCTGCAAAGGCCCGAGGAGGGCAAAGGAGGGGCTGAATATTAGGGAAGGAACCACGAGTTCAGAGAAAAACAAATCAGTAAATCCACTTCCACTTTTTTTCCCCCAAACTGTCGGTCACTCCAAGAGGTGAGGGGAGGCTTGCTTTTCCCCACTGGTAGCATAATGAGTTTCCTAAGCCATACTCCACTCAGCAAGGCTGCCGGGCAACCGGCTCCCCCAGCACACTGGAAGCAGCCCTTGCCAGCAGCAGCTGTGCCCACCTACAGTCACTTAGTCACTGAGACAGTACCCCAAGGAGCCCCTCACCAAGCCGTTAGTCTTCTCTGCCATCTGTACAGGGCCTCAAAGCAGTACCATGCTGGGCTCACCATTAACTGAGGCTCAACTTTGATTTAGAAGCAGTATCTGGGCAGGTGCAGTGGCTCACACTTGTAATCCCAGCATTTGACTCAGGCGGGCAGATCTCTTGAGTCCAGGAGTTCAAGACCAGGCTGGGCCACATGCAGAACCCTGTCTCTACTAAAAGTGCAAAAGTTAGCCAGGCATGGTGGTGCACACCTGTTCTCCCAGTTACTCAGGAGGCTGAGGTGGGAGGATCTCTTGAGCCCAGGAGGCATAGGTTGCAATAAGCCATGATTGTATCACTGTACCCTAGCTTGAGTGACAGAGCAAGACCCTGTCTCAAAAAAAAGAAAAGAAAAAAAGAAAAGCAAAAAGAGAAGAAAAGAAAAATAAATAGTATCTGGCAGGGCACAGTGGCTTCAGCCTGTAATCCCAGCACTTTGGGAGGCCGAGGCAGGAGGATCCCCTGAGGTCAAGAGTTCAAGACCAGCCTGGCCAACATGGTGAAACCCCATCTCTACTAAAAATAAAAATACAAAAATTAGCCAGGCATGGTGGCCCACGCCTATAATCCCAGCTACTCCAGAGGCTGAGGCAGGAGAATCACTTGAACCTAGAAGGCAGAGGTTGCAGTGAGCCGAGATCACACCACTGCACTCCAGCCTGGGCAGCACAGTGAGACTCTGTCTCAAACAAAAAAAAAAAAAAAAGAGAGAAAAAGAAATAATATCTAAGTGCCCACCATGTACCCTGGCCTCCCCTACAAGATGCCAGGAGCACCCTCTCCCACACTTCTGTCAGCCAAAAATGTCTGCAGACGTTGCCTAATGTCCCCTTCCCCAGGACAAGTTGCCCCCCATTGAGGACCCTTGTTCACAACCACCAATTTCATGTGATTCCCGCACCAACTTTCTGAAGAAAGCAGGCTGGGCATTTTATCCATAGGAAAGCAGAGGCTTGGTGCTATCAAGAGGGTGTCCCATTTCAAATAGTCAGTGGCTCATGCTCCGCAAAAAGAAGCTGGAAAGGGAACAAGTCGCTCCCTCAAGGGGCCGGAAGGACAAGAGGTGCCGGGCCGAGGTGGGCTGGACGGGGCCGCTGGCACGAGAGGCTCAGAGGCCGCAGCTGGGGCTCCCTCCTCCCCCACCTCCAGCCAACTGGCCTCCAAGCTGAGTAGGTCCCCAGGCCAGGTCAATGTGGTGGCCTAACCAAGGCCCAGGATGACTTTTAGAGGTCCCCCCAACACACACACCTCAAAAGCAATAAGCCAGAAGACACAAAAGATATAGGTAAGGCAAAATGAAAATAGCATCTTTCTAAATCTTCTGATTGAAAATTCCCAGATGATTTCATCAGAGTGGAAGTGATTCCATAAAGGGGTGTCCCAATTCATTTCTTATTGAGGAGGAGCTTGCCCAATCCCAAACAACCCTCCCATTTCCTTCCTGAGAAGCATGTTCCACTCCCAAGGATGGATCCCAGCAGGCATAGTGATACCATGCGATCCATGCCATGGCTTGCCCACTCGACAGTCACATTCTCTGCCTCAGAAATTTGGAACTGGCAAGTCAGGTGCAGTGGCTCACGCCTGTAATCCCAGGACTTTGGGAGTCTGAGGCGGGTGGATCACTTGAGATCAGGAGTTCAAGACCAGCCTGGCCAACATGGCAAAACCCTGTCTCTACTAAAAATACAAAAATTAGCTGGGCGTGGTGGCAGGCGCCTGTAATCTCAGCTACTCGGGAGGCTGAGGCAGGAGAATCATTTAAACTCAAGAGGCGGGGTTGCAGTAAGCTGAGATCATGCCACTGTACTCCAGCCTGGGCAACGGAGCGAGACTCTGTCAAAAAAAAAAAAAAAAAAAAAAAAAAAAAAAGAGGCTGGGTGAGGTGGCTCACACCTGTAATCCCAGCACTTTGGGAGGCCGAGGCAGGCAGATCACCTGAGGTCAGGAGTTCGAGACCAGCCTGACCAACATGGAGAAACCCTGTCTCTACTAAAAGTACAAAATTAGCTGGGCATGGTGGTGCATGCCTGTAATCCCAGCTACTCAGGAGCCTGAGGCCGGAGAATCGCTTGAACCTGGGAGGCGGAGGTTGCAGTGAGCTGAGACTGGACTGAGCCAAGATTGTGTCATTGCACTCCAGTCTGGACAACAAAAGAGCGAAACTCCGTCTCAAAAAAAGAAAAAAGAAAGAGAAAAAAAGAAAGAATTTCCATGTAACATCTGGGGACAGTTGTTTCTGGAAGAGCATCACCCTCTGCCCAAGGTCAGCCCTCCAAAATTAATACCTCCAATTGGATACCCCAGATTTCTCTTTCTGACCCATGCGAGAATCATCCTGCAAACATTTTTGATTGTGAAATTGCTTAATGCAGCTCTATGGCCCTCCATGGTTGAAAACCTTTCTCTACCCTCCCCAACCTGCATTTTGTTTCCACTTGTCCTTGTCAGTATTTCCCAGCTCAAATTTTCACCTGAAGTCAGCAGTCTTGGGTCCAAAGGATTTCTTGCTAATTCCAAACACCAGACTGACCCTTGGAGAATGAATGCCCTCTCCACTGAATACATTCAAAGCTGTGCCCAGGCTCTGAAGACATTTCCAAGAGCAAAGTTCCCAGGAGTGTCAGGGTTCAGGTGTGTCGCTGGAGGAAGTAGAGCCTTCTAACTGTAACTGCTATAAAGGGACAATAGTCTCTTACATGGATAAGCACTCCTGTGGTTAGAACAAAATCACAGAAAAAATGTTTACAGGTTACACCCTGTTTTTCCACGGCAGTTGGGGAAATGCTGCCAATACCCCACGTTCCTGGAAGAATAGGATTTGACTTGACCAAGGCAGTATGATCACCCAGAAACCGGGCAAAGTCATTTTACATAAGCCATCTGGTTTACTCCCAAACAGCCTGAGCTGCAGATCTTTGTAATTTTTTTTAATTAATTAATTAATTATTATTATTATTATTATTTTGGAGACAGAGTCTTGCTCTGTCACCCAGCCTGGAGTACAGTGGCACGATCTCAGCTTACTGCAACCTCTACCTCCCGGGTTCAAACAATTCTCCTGCCTCAGCCTCCCAAGCAGCTGGGATTACAGGCGCCCGCCACCACACCCAGCTAATTTTCATATTTTTAGTAGAGACAGGATTTTGCCATGTTGGCCAGGCTGGTCTCCAACTCCTGGCCTCAAGTGATCTGCCTGCCTTGGCCTCCCAAAGTGCTGGGATTACAGGCATGAGCCACTGCACCCAGCCTGCAGATCTTATTATGCCCATTTGAAAGATGAGGGGCTGAGCACTGTGGCTCACACCTGTAATCGCAGCACTTTGGGAGGCCAAGGTGGAAGGACTCCTTGAAGCCAGGAATTCAAGACCAACCAGGGTGACATAGCCAGGACCCCATCTCTACGAAAATAAAAAAATTAACCAGGCATCATAGTGTGTGCCTGTAGTCCCAGCTACTCGGGAGGCTGAGGCAGGGGGATCACTTGAACCCAGGAGGTCGAGGCTGCGGTAAGCTGAGATCATGCCACTGAACTCCAGCATGAGCAAGACAGCAAGACCCTGTCTCAAAAAAATTAAATGTAGGCTGGGCGCGGTGGCTCAGCCTTGTAATATCAGCACTTTGGGAGGCCAAAGCAGGTGTATCACTTGAAGTCAGGAGTTCGCGACCATCCTAGCCAACATGGTATAACCCTGTCTCTACTAAAAATATTTAAAAATTAGCTGGGCATGGTGGCAGGTGCCTGTAATCCCAGCTACTCAGGAGGCTGAGGCAGGAGAATCACTTGAACCCGGGAGGCAGAGGTTGCAATGAGCCAAGATCACACCACTGCACTCCAGCCTGGGTGACAGCAAGACTCCGTCTCAAAAAAAAAAATTTTTTTTAATTTAAAAATGAAAAATGAAAGATGAGGAAACTGAGGCTAACAGAGGTTAAATAATTTGACAAGTCATACAGCTATTAAGTGAGAGTACTGGTATTTAAATCTAGGTTCTTTAATTTCCAGGGCCCAGGCTCTTAACCAAGGGGAGAAATGGATTGAGGCAGCCAGTGGCAGGTGGTACCAGAAACAGGGAGTCCAGATTCTGGGCTCAAGGTTCTCCAATTGGCTCCCAACCTCCTAAGCCACCTGCCCGCAGCCTTGACAGTGTAAGAAGTCATGGCCACATGACAAAGTGGGCCTCGCATGCTGCATGAATGCAGAACGGGAACTCTTATCCGCACCCCTCATCCTCATCCCACTTTTGCAAACAAGGTTGAGGCCAGATGCCCATTTTCAGGGTCAACCTCTTAGAGACAGATGCCATTTGCTCCCTTTCGCTGTGGGACAAATTGCTGGGTTGGGCCTTGACTTTAGCAACTTCTAGCTCAGATGGGAGGTCCTCACCCTAGGTGAGGGGATGTGATCTACTTGCCCCTTCCTGAGTTGCTCTCTCCCAAGCCTCCAGCCACACATCCTCAAGAGCTCCCAACTGAGATGGAGACGCAGCAACAAATACTGTAGGCCTGTAATTACAACAGGGAGGGATCAAACAAACCCAAGTTTGAATCCAGCTTCATCAGCAAGCCCTGTGACTTTGGGAAAGCCACTTGACCCTTTGACCTCCATATGCCCGTCTGTAAAATGGGGATAAAGACACTCAACTATAAAGGCTGGTGTAAGGAGTAAATGAGCTCATTTGTATAAAGCACTTAGACTGTAGGCTTAGCAGGCCATTCATTATGCAGGGACCATGGGGGCACTTATGGTTTTTTATTCTATTATCCTAAAAAAACCTTCAGATTTCATGGGGCTGGAACTTACCTTTGTATCCTTTAAGTTTTAATAAGCAAATTAGTTTGTTTCTTCCAAAGCATTTACTGCAATCACTAATGAGGTGATATATCTCTTGGCTTAGATTTTATCTATGCCCTCAACTGGGTCATAAAGTCCGTGGAAATCAGACTCTGCCAGCCTGATTCACTGGTGTACCTACTGCCTAACCCAGTGTTGAGCGCATAGTAGGGGGCTGATAAGCATGTATTGAAGAAATGAATAAATTTAAGAAAGCAAAAGTGAACACCGTGGAAGCCCCATGTGCACTCACGATGGCCAGGATAACAGCAAATGCTTCTTATCTGTCATTTAAACAGATCTACTGAAAACCTCCACTGCACCAAATCAATTCATCAAAAATGCAGAGGAGAGATTAAACTCTCGCCTTGGTGCTCAGGATTTCAGCTGCCTCATCTATGCTAGACTGTCCTGAGTTGAGGGGCAGGAGTAGGTAAGGTCTAGGTGGAACAGAAGTGGGGAAGCCTTACCTAAACGGCTAGGGCTCTGAGGGGAAGAGAATTTGGCAGCTAAGGACAGGCACGGCAGCTCACACCTGTCATCCCAGCTACTTGGTGAGGCTGAGGCAGAAGAATCACTTGAACCCAGGAGCTGGAGGATGCAGTGAACCGAGATCGTGCCACTGCATTCCAGCCTGGGCAACAGAGCAAGACTATGTCTCAAAAAAAAAAAAAAAGAATTTGACAGCTGGCATTTTCTGGGTACCTGCTCCATCCCCACCACTGAGCCACCTTACCTGGTTCCGCCAAGATTCACCCCACCTATTTGTAATAGGTTTATTATTATCCCCATTTTTTAGAGGTGGGGTCTCACTGTGTTGCCCAGGCTGGTCTCAAAATCCTGGGCTCAAGTGATTCTCCTGCCTCTGCCTTCCAAAGAGCTAGGATTACTGGTGTGAACCACCGTGCCTGGCCATTATCCCCATTTTGTAGATGAGAACATTGAGATTCAAAGAGATTTAAGCGTCTTGTCCAATCATCACAAAGAGAGAAAGAGGCAGAGTTGGGATGTGGAGCTTCTTCTTCCTTCTTCTTCTAATTTGGGCCCAGTTTGGGCAAATGTCAGCCCATCAGCGGCTGTCCCAAGTTGGAGTCCTGAGAGCAGCATCCAGGCAGCCGCATTCCTCAGTGTCAGGGGCTGATGCCACCGCAATGTGGAGATATCCCTCCAGTTGCCTTGGCCAGGGAAGGAGGATCCCTATGGGGCCCCTCCTACTGCAAGAGATGGGCAGAGTATAGGGCCCAGCCCAGGGAAACCAAGGCAGGCAGTCAGGTGCATGGCACAGGTAGGGCAAGGTAGGCCATGGAGGGCCCTTTCTCCTCCTCGTTGGTAGGCAAAGCCCACACAGGCCAGGCCAGCACTGGCAGTTGGAGGTGACAGAGCCTTAGTCTTACCACATCGTACAACTCGAGAGGTGCCTTCACAGCCTGGGGACGGTGCCCCCAGAGTCATGCAGTGCTCCGCCCTGACATCAGGCACCTGGACTGCACCAAAGGCAAGGCTGCCCCGAGTCCTGGGAAACGTAAAGGCTGATTCACTGAAAATCGGTCCCTTCCAGAGGCCCCACAAGCCTCAGGAGAGGCCTCACTTTCCCCTCTCCCCTGCCCCTCTGAAGCCAGTGAGTTCCCAGGCTTTCAACACTGAATGCAGCAGCTTCCTCAAAGACTTCCTGTTTGTAAGTCATTAGGCCTCAGGATCACCGGTGAAATCAGGGAGGAAGGAACTTTTTAAAGTTAAGTGATTTCTGGCAGGGCACAGTGGCTCACACCTGTAATCCTAGCACTTTGGGAGACCGAGGCAGACGGATCATCTGAGGTCAGGAGTTCGAGACCAGCCTGGCCAACATGCCGAAACTCTGTCTCTACTAAAAATACAAAAATTAGCTGGGCATGGTGGCAGGCACTTGTAATCCCACCTACTGAGGAGGCTGAGGCAGGAGAATTGCTTGAACCTGAGAGGCGGAGGTTGCAGTGAGCTGAGATTGTGCCACTGCACTCCAGCCTGGGTGACAGAGCAAGACTCTGTCTCAAAAAATAATAATAATGATGAAAATAAATTAAGTGATCTGTATTGCCAATAAAGCTCCTCAGTGGGGCCCCTGATGAGACCCCACCCCCACTTTCCAGACAAGTGTCAGCCAGCCAAGGACAACTGTGGAAGTCATTGCTCATTGGGGCTGGCACCTTCCATGACTGGGGGGAGGAGGGCATGGAGAGGTAGGGGGAGGAAGGGATGGGAGAGGAGAAGGATGGGGTGCGAGCCGGGGTGGATGGGCAGCCATGGGGCTTGGTGCTGGGAGGCAAAGGGGCAGGAAAGAGGGCAGGACAGGGCTGGGCACAGTGGCTCACACCTGTAATCCTAGCACTTTTGGAGGCTGAGGCAGGCAGATCACTTGAGTTCAGGAGTTCAAGACCAGCCTGGCCAACATGGTGAAACCCCATCTCTACTAAAAATACAAAAACTAGCCAGGCATGGTGGTGCACACCTGTGCTCTCAGCTACTCAGGAGGCTGAGACAGGAGAATTGTTTGAACCCAGGAGGTGGAGGTTGCAGTGAGCCGAGATCACACCACTGCACTCCAGCCTGGGTGAGAGAGCAAGACTCCATCTCAAAAAAAACAGAGGTCAGGACAGGTGCTCAGGGGCCCATGTTAGGATGAGCTGAACATGGAACTCACGTGGAGCAGAGCAGGGAGGAGCAGCAAGTCAGCTAGAAAGCCTGTGCGGCCTCAACCTCTGCATCCCAAAATAGGTGGGAAAGGGTCACCGTGAACAAAGGCCACGAGGAGCAGAGGATGGAGTGTTTGGTGCCCAGTAGCTGCCTGTGCCTAGAAGGGGCTGCTGCTGTTGTCCCTGTGGCATGTCACCAGTCACATTCCTTTTTCCCAGAGAGCAGTGTCTCCTGTGCGCCAGGCCCCGACGCCCACCTGCAGCCCAGCATGGCCTCCCACAGCACATCAGGAGGCCCAGGGCAGAGGCCCTGAGATCAGTCCATTCTGTACAGATGGAAGCATCTCCAGAGACCTGTCTCCCCTTGCCTATGTAACCACCGGAGGCTGCTCCTGGAACTGCACCCAGGAGCTGTGATGGACAAGGCAACCATCCACGGCTCTCTCCCCAACCTCCCAGCAGATCCATGAGGACCAGTGGCTCATAAACTTACTTCCCTGGGTTCAGGGGGCACCCGCAGCAAAGCAGGAAGGCAAGAAGCTGTCATTAACCACCTACCAAGTGCCAGGTGCTTTCATAAGCCTTTCTACCTCCCAACAAGCTCCTGAGGTGGGTGCCATTGGCACACCCATGTTCCAGATGAGGATGCCGAGGCCCACAGTGGGACAGTGCCTTGCCAGAGTCAAAAAGACATGATCTGGCCGGGCACAGTGGCTCACACCTGTAATCCCAGCCCTTTAGGAGGCCGAGGCAAGAGGATCACTTGAGGTCAGGAGTTCCAGACTAGCCTGGCCAACATGGTGAAACCCTGTCTCTACTAAAAATTAAAAAATTAGCCTGGCGTGGTGGTGTATGCCTGTAGTCCCAGCTAATCGGGAGATTGAGAGAAGATGGCTTCAGCCCAGAAGTTGCAGGTGGTAGTGACTACAGGCGCCCACCACCACACCTGGCTAATTTTTGTATTTTTAGTACAGACAGGGTTTCACCATGCTGGCCAGGCTGGTCTCAAACTCCTGACCTCAAGTGATCCGCTGCCTTGGCCTCCCAAAGTTCTGGGATTACAGGTGTGAGCCATGGCACCCAGCCAGGACACTGGATTTGAACCAGTTGACCAGTCTGTGACCTTGAACATGTCCCAGAGCCTCGGATACCATGTTTGTAGAGTTGGAGTCATAATAACTGCTTGAGTGTGTGTGTGTGTGCATGTGGTGGAAGGTGCCTAGGGGAGATCAGATGAGTTCAAGAGCTCAAGAATGTAAGAACCCTTTATAGCTTAAGGTTAGAGGTGAAGACGTGGGGTGAGGCTGCCTGAGTTCCAATTCTGGTTCCTTACCAGCTGTAGGACCTTGGACAGGACATGTACCTCTCTGTGCATGTGTTCCCACTTGTATAACATGGGGATAATAACAGAGGGTTTGGGGAGCTTTCAATAAGAAAACATATGTATACATATGTAACTAACCTGTACATTGTGCACATGTACCCTAAAACTTAAAGTATAATAATAATTAAAAAAAAGTGGAAAAAAATAAATAAATAAAAAATAAAGTTAAATTGTTATCAATTTAAAAAAAAAAAAAAAAAAGAAAATGCTCACAAAGCCCTTGGCATAGTGTGGGTAGACGGTGCCGGTGCAGTCAACACAGACTATTGTTATGAACGGCTGTGTGAGGTGAGGAGCCACCGTCAGTCTGATGGGGCTAAGGAGGCCCTGTGCCTCTTGGCTACCTCAGCCTACACTGGAATTCCTCAAAGGAATTTATAGCACAAAACTGGAAGGATCGGGGGAGTGAAGGCGCAAAACCAGACAGTTCTTGGCTGATTTCTTTTCTTTTCAGAGATGGCAGTCTCACTATTTTGCCCAAGCTGGTCTTGAACCCCTGGCCTCAGGGAATTCTCCCACCTCAGCCTCCCAAAGTGCTGGGATTACAGGCATGAGCCACTGTACTTGACCTATTCTTTGCTGATTCCTGATCATAACTGACAGGAGTCCAGATGGACCAGTTCAGTCGATGGACAGCCTGGTCTGGCTCCTTGCCTAATCTCTGGGACACCTTGGTCAGCCTTTGGGGAGCATTAAAAAGGGGTCACAGCCGGGCGCAGTGGCTCACACCTATAATCCCAGCACTTTGGGAGGCCGAGGCAGGCAGATCACCTGAGGTCAGGAGTTCGAGACCAGCCTGACCAACATGGAGAAACCCTGTCCCTACTAAAAATACAAAATTAGCCAAGCATGGTGGCGCATGCCTGTAATCCCAGCTACTCGGGAGGCTTAGGCAGGATAATCGCTTGAACCCAGGAGGCGGAAGGTGTGGTTAAGACGAGATCGGGCCATTGCACTCCAGTCTGGGCAACAAGAGCAAAACTCCGTCTCAAAAAAAAATAGAGTCCTGGATCCAAATCCTGGCTCTGCCACAAACCTGGCAATGCCAGGCAGGTCCCTTACACTCTCTGAGCCTCATCCTGCTTTAAAAGGGGGATAATAAGATTGATCTAACAGGGTTCTTGTAAGGATTCAATGACACAGATAAAAGGCCTGTCCCTGTGCTGGCATACAGTAGGTACTCAATACGTGGAGCCGCTATTATGCTATTGTGATTTCTATTACCATTGCTTCCAGCTGGGCGCAGTGGCTCATGCCTGAAATCCCAGCACTTTAGGAGGCCGAGGTGGGTGTATTGCTTGAGCTCAGGAGTTCGAGATCACCCTGGGCAACATGGTGAAACCCATCTCTACCAAAAATACAAAAATTAGCTGGGCATGGTAGAGGGCACCTGTAATCCCAGCTACCCGGGAAGCTGAGGCAGGAGAATTACTGGAACCTGGGAGGCGGAGGCTTCAGTGAGCCAAGATCACACCACTGCACTCCAGGCTGGGTGACAAAGTGAGACCCTGTCTCAAAAAGACAAAACAAAACAATATTGCTTCTTTTTATTTTCACTTTACTACTCTCCCAACTTGAGGACTCAAGCAGAAAGCAATACCTAACACTCATTCACTGCTCATATGAAGTTGTAAATGTTGTTCACCAAATACTTCCAGCTGTCCCCTTCTAGAAAGAAGGATGGGCCCTTTGGGTGGGTGGGGCCGATGAGTCCTGAACTCCCTCCTGAGCTTCTCTTTTCTCTCTGGGGCAGTGGCCAGAAAAGTGCTGAGATGAAGAACGTCACCAGCCCTGGACTCTACGTGACCATAATGCTCACAGCTCCTGGTCCACCTACTGCAGACATGTAACAAGGGCAAGAAATAGACGCTTGCTGTTTTGTTGTTGTTGTTGCTTGAGATGGAGTCTCACTCTGTTGCCCAGGCTGGAATGCAATGGCACGATCTCGGCTCACTGCAACCTCTGCTCCTGGATTCAAGCAATTCTCCTGACTCAGCCTCCCGAGTAGCTGGAACTACAGGCGCCCGCCACCATGCCTGGCTAATTTTTTTGTGCATGTGTGTATTTTTAGTAGAGTCGGGGTTTCACCGTGTTAGCAAGGATGGTCTTGATCTCCTGACCTTATGATCTGCCCACCTCGGCCTCTCAAAGTGCTGAGATTACAGGCATGAGCCACCCCGCCCAGACTTTTTTTTTTTTTTTTTGAAACGGAGTCTTGCTCTGTCGCCCAGGCTGGAGTGCAGTGGCACGATCTCGGCTCACTGCAACCTCCGCCTCCTGGGTTCAAGCGATTCTCCTGCCTCAGCCTCCCTAGTAACTGAGATTGCAGGCGCGTGCCACCATGCCCAGATAATTTTTGTATTTTTATTTTTTTCCAAGACGGAGTCTTGCTCTGTCACCCAGGCTTGAGTGCAGTGGCCTGATCTCGGCTCACTGCAACCTCTGTCTCCTGGGTTCAAGCAATTCTCCTGCCTCAGCCGCCCGAGTAGCTGGGATTACAGGTGCCTGCCAACATACCTGGCTAATTTTTGTATTTTTAGTAGAGACGGAGTTTAACCCATGTTGGCCAGGCTGGTCTCAAACTGCTGACCTCGTGATCTGCCCACCTCTGCCTCCCAAAGTGCTGGGATTATAGGCGTGAGCCACTGTGCCCAGCTAATTTTTGTATTTTTATTAGAGATGGAGTTTTACCATATTGGCCAGGCTAGTCTCGAACTCCTGACCTCGTGATTTGCCCGCCTCCGCCTCCCAAAGTTCTGGGATTACAGGTGTGAGCCACCGGACCTGGCCGACCTTTGCTGTTTAAAGTCACTAATATTTGGGATTGCTAATTTTTTTTTTTTTTTTTTGAGATGGAGTCTTGCTCTGTCACACAGGCTGGAGTGTAGTGGCATGATCTTGGCTCACTGAAGCCCCCGCCTCCCGAGTTCCAGCGATTCTCCTGCCTCAGCTCCCCAGGTAGCTGGGACTACAGGCGAGCACCACTACTCGCGGCTAATTTTTGTATTTTTAGTACAGACAGGGTTTCACCATGTTGGCCAGGCTGGTCTCAAACTCCTGATCTCAGGTGATCCACCTGCCTCAGCCTCCCAAAGTGCTGGGATTACAGGCATGAGCCACTGGGCGCAGCCTAGGGTTGCTAATTATGGCAGCACCACCAGGCCCGTTCCAGCTGATATTCTCCATGTCAGACACTGTGAGAAGAATCTTATGAACATTTAATTTATTCCTCATATTGCTTCTCTGGGACAGAGACTACTATCATATAGCGTTACCTGTTTCACAGATAAAGAAATTGAGGCGGCCGGGCGCGGTGGCTCACGCCTGTAATCCCAGCACTTTGGGAGGCCGAGGCGGGTGGATCACGAGGTCAGGAGATCGAGACCATCCTGACTAACACAGTGAAACCCCGTCTCTACTAAAAATGCAAAAAAATTAGCCAGGCGTGGTGGCAGGCGCCTGTAGTCCCAGCTACTAGGGAGGCTGAGGCAGGAGAATGGCATGAACCTGGGAGTCAGAGCTTGCAGTGAGCGGAGATCATGCCACTGCACTCCAGCCTGGGCAACAAAGCAAGACTCCATCTCAAAAAAAAAAAAAAAAAGAAAAGAAATTGAGGCTCACAGAGTATGCAAATGGACCATGACCATTTCACTATAATTGGCCATATCAGTTAATTGTTGCTGCATAATAAACTAATCTAAATGGAATGACTTATAAAATGATAAGCCTCTATTACAGTTCAGGATCTGCAGGTTCGCCGTGTGGTTTTGCTGGCCAGGGTTGAGCTAGGTTGAACTCAACTGGACTTGGCTTTCTCAGGAGTCTGCTGTCAGCTGGCAGGCCTGATGGGGACAGGCTGGTCTAGGATGGCCTTGCTTGGGACACTCTCCTCCTCATGGTCTCTCATCCCCCTGCACTCTAACCCAGGCTCATATCACACCAAGGTCCGAGAGAGAGAATGTGGAAGTGGGCAAGACCTCTTGAGGGCCTGGCTTGGAAGCCACAAGTCCTCACTTCCATCACTTCGTATTGGTCCAAAAGAAGTGGAAAAATATGCCTCAACAATGGGAGAAATGAAGCATGGTGGCTATTTTTGACACGCACACAGTGGTTGGCTCAGGACTGGAACACAGACCCGTCACTTCACTATTATGTCATCCTGACCCTACTTCCAGCTCAAATTGCCAACAGGCACCTTGTTGAGGATGGAACTTGCACTTCTTCCCTTTCCAGCTCAGGCCCATAAACATTCTTCTGAGGATGAGTTACCCCACGGAGAGCTTCAGAGGCACAACTTTTTTACTTATTTATACCTATTTGCCTGGCCACCCATGCATTTATGAGATTCCTATTGCAGGAATTAAATTCACAGCACAGGCAGCTGGGGCACAGGCAAGACATCACAGAAAGGAAAGCAAGTACGAGGAGGCCTTGGATCACATGGCTTGGCAGGGGCCCAGTCCCCAAGGGCCCAGTCATGAGTATCATGGATCATTCCCATTTATAATGCTGTCCTCACGAAACCATCTCCGCAGAAATCGGTCGAAGAAGGCAGCAGCTGCAGCCCCAAGGACTGGGAAACCACAGAGGGTTCTTCGATGCGCATGGCGCCCCCTGGCGTCGTGCACTGAGCAGCACCTCCAGGACTGCGGGGACTGTATGAAGGGCATGATCCTGTGCCCCTTACCCCGCCCCATAGGCAGCCTCTGGGCTTGCAGGTGTGGACCTTGAACCAGTCACTCAGTGTTCTGGAGCCTCAGTTTTCTTGTCCACTAATCAGGATTATGATGCTACCTCTCATCCTGGCTCCGAGGAATCAATGAAATAAAAGGTTAGAGCCTGGTGGTGGCCACAGAGCATCTTTTCCTCCATCCAGAGGTCAGTAGCTCCACCTCCCCAATCAGAAACAGAAACATAGCCAGGTGCGGTGGCTCACGCCTGTAATCCCAGCACTTTGGGAGGCTGAGGCAGGAGGATCACAAGGTCAGGAGTTCGAGACCAGCCTGACCAACATGGTGAAACCCTGTCTCTACTAAAAATACAAAAATTAGCCAGGCATGGTGGTGGGAGCCTGTAATCCCAGCTACTTGAGAGGCTGAGGCAGGAGAATCGCTTGAACCCAGGAGGTGGAGGTTACAGTGAGCCGAGATCGTGCCACTGCACTCCAGCCTGGGCAACAGAGCAAGACTGTGTCTCCAAAAAAAAAAAAAAAAAGAGGAAGAAAGAAACAGAAATATGAATGCCAACCAATGTGGAACTCAGGGTCAACCCTCACCATTAGTCTCAGGGTGCTCACCTGGACAATATACTCTTGTATTGCTCAAGTAAAAATCACATAGAAACCCTGCAGGAGATAAAAGATTTCTTTGTTTTGTGTGTGTGTGTGTGTGTTGTGTGTGTGTGTGTGTGTGTGTGTTTGAGACAAAGTCCCTTTGTCACCCAGGCTACCCAGGCTGGAGTGCAGTGGCGTGATCTCAGCTCACTGCAACCTCCACCTCTCAGGTTCAAGCAATTCTCCTGCCTCAGCCTCGATCCACCTGCCTCGGCCTCCCAAAGTGCTAGGATTACAGGCATGAGCCACTGAGCCCAGCTGAGAAGATTTCTTTTCCTCACCCATCACTAGGTTCTTGGCTGAGCCACCTGTAACAAAAAACAAATTAAGAGAAAAGCATAGTGATGTGTTTAATATAAGTCCTACATGCCACGGGAGGCTTCAAAAATGAAAACCAAAAGAAACAGGGAAACTTCCCAGCTAGAGCAATCAGGCAAGAGAAAGAAAGAAAGAGCATCCAAATTGGAAAAGAAGAAGTCTAGCTCTGTTTGCCGATGATATAATCACCCACCTACAAAACCCTAAAGACTCCTCCAAAAGACTTCTAGATTTGTAAACTAATTCAGTAAAGTCTCAGGTTACAAAATAAATGTACACAAATCAATAGCACTGCTATACACCAACAACGACCAAGCTGAGAATCAACTCAAGAATTCTATCCCTTCTACAATAGCTGTAAAAACAAAGTAAAATACCTAACAAAATATTCTTTTTTTTTTTTTTAATAAAGATAGGGGTCTCACTATGTTGACCAGGCTGGTCTCGAACTCCTGGCCTCGAGTGATCCTCCCATCTCACCTCCGAAAGTGCTGGGATTACAGGCATGAGACACCATGCCTGGCCTCTTAGGATTATTCTTAACCAAGCATGTGAAAACTCTTTCTGGCTGGGCATGGTGGCTCACACCTGTAATTCCAGCACTTTGGGAGGCCAAGGCAAGTGGATCACTTGAGGTCAGGAGTTCAAGACCAGCCTGGCCAACATGGCGAGACTCTGTCTCTACTAAAAAAATTGAAAAATTAGCCAGGCGTGGTGGCACACGTCTGTAGTCCCAGCTACTCGGGAGGCTGAGGCACAAGAATCGTTTGAACCCAAGAGGTGGAGGTTGCAGTGAGCCGAGATTGTGCCACCACTGCCCTACAGCCTGGGTAACACAGCAAGACTCTGTCTCAAAAAAAAAAAAAAAAAAAGAAAGAAAGATCTAAGGAGATCTACAGAACACTGCTGAAATAAGTCATAGATGACACAAGCAAATGAAAATACATCCCATGCTCATGGATTAGAAGAATCAATATCATGTAAATGACCATACTTCCCAAAGTCATCCACCGATTCAATGCAATTCCTATCAAAATACCAACATCATTTTTCACACAATTAGAAAAAACAAGGGGCTGGGCATGGTGGCTCACGCCTGTAATGCCAGGACTTCGGGTGGCCGAGTTGGGTGGATCACGAGGTCAAGAGGTCAAGACCATCCTGGCCAACATGGTGAAACCCCGTCTCTACTAAAAATACAAAAAATTAGCCGGGCGTGGTGGCAGGCACCTGTAGTCCCAGCTACTCGGGAGGCTGAGGCAGGAGAATGGTGTGAACCCAGAAGGCGGAGCTTGCAGTGAGGGGTGATCACGCCACTGCACTCCAGCCTGGGTGACAGAGCGAGACTCCATCTCAAAAAAAAAACAAAAAACAAAAATTAACTGGGCATAGTGGCTCGTGCCTGTAGTCCCAGCTACTCAGGAGGCTGAGGCAGAAGAATCACTTGAACCCAGGAGGCGGAGGTTGAAGTGAGCTGAGATCACACCACTGCACTCCAGCCTGGCAACAGAGCAAGACTCCATCTCAAAAAAAAAAAAAAAAAAAAAAAAAATCCTAAAATTCATATTGAACCAAAAAAGACCCCAAATAGCCAAAGTAATCCTAAGCAAAAAGAACAAATCTGGAGGCATCACATTACCTGACTTTGAATTATACAAGGCTATAGTTATCAAAACATCATGATACTGGTATAAAAGCAGACACATAGGCCAACAGAACACAACAGAGAACCCAGAAATAAAGCCAAATACTTAAAACCAACTGATCTTCAACAAAGTATACAAAAACATAAATTGGGGAAAGGACACCCTATTTAATAAACGGTGCTAGGAAAACTGGCCACATGTAGAAGAATGAAACTGGGCCAGGTACAGTGGCTCACACCTGTAATCCTAGCACTTTGGGAGGCCGAAGTGGGTGGACCACCTGAGGTCAGGAGTTCGAAATTAGCCTGGCCAACATGGTGAAACCTCATCTCTACTAAAAATACAAAAATTAGACGGGCATGGTGGCAGGCGCTGTAATCCCAGCTACTGGGGAGGCTGAGGCAGGAGAATTGCTTGAATCCAGGAGGTGGAGGTTGCAGTGAGCCGAGATTGCACCACTGCACTCCAGCCTGGGTGACAAAGCGAGACGTCGTCTCAAAAAAAAAACAAAAAAAAGAAGAATGCAACTGGATTCCTATCTATCTCTCACCTCATACAAAAATCAACTCGAGATGGTCAAAGACTTAAATCTAAGGCCTGAAACAACAACAATTCTAGAAGACAACATTGGAAAAACTCTTCTGGGCATTGGCTTAGGCAAACAATTTATGACTAAGAACCCAAAAGCAAATACAACAAAAACAAAGATAAAAATGGGACCTAATTAAACTAAAAAGCTTCTGTACAGTGAAAGAAATAATCATCAAACAGACAACCCACAGAATGGCAGAAAATATTTACAAACTATGCACCCGACAAAGGACTAATATCCAGAATCTATAAGGAACTCAAACAAGTCAGCAAGAAAAAAACAAATAATCTCATCAAAAAGTGGGCAAAGGACATGAATAGATATTCCTCAAAAGAAAATATACAAACGGCCAACAAACAAATGAAAAAATGCTCAACATCACTAATCATCAGGGAAATGCAAATTAAAACCACAGTGAGATACTACCTCACCCCTGCAAGAATGGCCATTATTAAAAAGTCAAAAAACAATAGATATTGGCATGGATGTGGTAAAAAGGGAACACTTATACACTGCTGGTGAGAATGTAGATTCTCACCAACAGTGTATAATCTGTTGTACAGATTATACAGATTCCACAGAATGTACAACCTCTGTGGAAAAGAGTATGGAGCTTTCTTAAAGAACTAAATGCTGGGTCTGTCCTGCAGACCCTGGCTGATGGATGAAATGAGTACTCAGACACAGGTATGCAGTGTAAGAGCAACTAGGTGGCTGCCTGGCTCTCGTGGCCAGAGAGCAGTCCCAAGAAGCTGGAGCCGCTTGCTTTTATTCAGTGCAGGCACAATGCCAAAAACCTGGAGCCAACACAACCTGTAAGTAATTAACATTAATTGTTCCCCTTTCAGCAATCTCACACGTGTGTGAGGATGATCAAAGGTCAGTTGCTGGTCAACATAAGTAAACAAGCCTGTTTCAGATAAATTCCTCTACACTCCCTTCTACCTACTCCTTGCCCTCTGCCTGAGGGTTATAGAACAGTTGCCTTCAGCTATTCTCCCCCGGGGCTCTGCAGAACCTTCCGACCTTTCAGAAGATTTGCGTCCTTTCCCGGTAGTTTTTCCCACCTCTCTGACCGATCCCCCACAACTAAAAGTAGATCTACCATTCAATCCAGCAATCCCACTACTGGGTATCTATCCAGAGGGAAAGTAGTCATTAGGCTGGGTGCTGTGGCTCACACCTGTAATCCCAGCATTTTGGGAGGCCAAGGCAGGCATGCGGATCACCTAAGGTCAGGAGTTCAAGACCAGCCTGGCCAACGTGGTGAAACCCTGTCTCTACTACAAATACAAAAAAGCCTGTAATCCCAGTTACTCAGGAGGTTGAGACAGGAGAATTGCTTGACCCCAGGCGGCAGAAGTTGCAGTGAGCCAAGATTGTGCCACTTCACTCTACACGGAGCAAGACTCTTATCTCAAAAAAAAAAAAGATACCTATATGCATATATTTATTACAGCACACTTCACAATTGCAAAGATATGGAACCAACTTCAGTGCCCATTGACCAATAGGTGGATAAAGAAAATGTGGTACGTATACACCATGGAACATTACTTGGGCATAAAAAAGAATGAAACAATGTCTTTTGTAGCAACTTGGATGGAGCTGGAGGCCATTATTTGAAGGTCATTATTCTAAGCAAAGTAACTCAGGAATGGAAAACCAAATACTGTATGTCCTCACTTATAAGTGGGAGGTAAGCTATGGGTATGCAAAGGCATATAGAGTGGTATAATGGACTTTGGAGACTCAGAAGAGGGAGGATGGGAGGGGATAAAAAAAGAGGGTCTCATTGTACATACTGGGTACAATGTACATTACTTGGGTGACAGGTGCGCTAGAATCTCAGACTTCATCACTGTACAATTCATCCATGTCACCAAAACACACTCGTACCCCAAAAGCTATCAAGAAAAGATTTTTAAAAAGAAGAAACACGGCTGGGTGCGGCAGCTCACACCTGTAACCCTAACACTTCAGGAGGCCGAGGCAGATGGATTGCCTGAGCTCAGGAGTTCAAGACCAGCCTGGGCAACATGGTGAAACCCTGTCTCTACTAAAATACAAAAAATTAGCCCGGCATGGTGGCATGCAGCTGTAGTACCAGCTACTCGGGAGACTGAGGCAGGAGAATTGCTTGAACCCAGGAGGCAGAAATTGCAGTGAGCCAAGATAGCGCCACTGCACTTCAGCCTGGGCAACAGAGCAACACTCCATTTCAAAAAAAAAAGAAAAGAAACAGGTAGCCAGGCACGGTGGCTCACAACTGTAAACCCAGCACTTTGGGAGCCCGAGGTGGGTGAATTGCTTGAGCCCAGGAGTTCAAGACCTATCTGGGCAACATGGCAAAACCCTGTCTCTACTAAAATATAAAAAATTAGGCAGGTGTGGCAGCACGCACTTGTAGTCCCAGCAACTCCCGAGGCTGAGACATGAGAATTGCTTGAACCCAGGAGGTGGAGGTGGCAGTGAGCCGAGATTGTGCCACTGCACTCCAGCCTGGGTGATAGAGTGAGGCATGGTCTCCAGAAGAAAAAAAAAAAAGAAGAAGAAGAAGAAACAGGTAAATTTGTGTGCTTTTCTGCTTTGGTTTGATGAAGAGTAGGCAGTTGTGAAGAAGTATAATTGGAGAACAAAAGAGTCTGATCTAATGATAATAGATAGGGGGCGGTGAGGGGTGGCAGGACGGTGGAAATGGGACTTAGCAAGGCCTGATTGTTCAGATTCTTCTTGGCATCTCTGTGTCTTTGGCTCCTTTCCTTTGGGAATAGAGAGGGCACCTCCCCAGTGAAAGCTTTATGGTCTGATCAGGGAAGAAGGGAGAGGCAAAGGTGAGAGACTGCCCATCTGCTTCTGCTGTTTTCTCCAATGTTAAGATGCCATGGGCCGGGTGCGGTGGCTCACGCCTGTAATCCCAGCACTTTGGGAGGCCGAGGCAGGCGGATTACCTGAGGTCAGGATTTCAAGACCAGCCTGACCAACATGGAGAAATCCCATCTCTACTCAAAATACAAAAATTAGCTGGGCGTGGTGGCGCATGCCTATAATCCCAGCTACTCAGGAGGCTGAGGCTGGAGAATCGATTGAACCTGGTAGGCGGAGGTTGCGGTGAGCCGAGATCGTACCATTGCACTCCAGCCTAGGCAACAAGAGTGAAACTCTGTCTCAAAAAAAAAAAAAAAAAAGACTGAGTGGGCACAGTGGCTCACGCCTGTAATCTCAATGCTTTAGGAGGCTGAGGGAGGAGGATGGCTTGAGTTCAGGAGTCCGAGACCAGTCTGGGCAACATGGCAAGACCCTGTCTCTACAAAAAAATTTAAAAATCAGGCCAGGCACAGTGGCTCACACCTGTAATCCCAGCACTTTGGGAGGCTGAGGCAGGCGGATCACCTGAGGTCAGGAGTTTGAAACAGCCTGGCCAACATGGCGAAACCCTGTCTCTACTAAAAATACAAAAATTAGCCAGGCGTAGTGGCAGGCGCCCGTAACCCAGCTACTCGGGAGGCTGAGGCAGGAGAATTGCTTGAAACTGGGAGGCAGAGGTTGCAGTGAGCCAAGATTGCGCCACTGTACTCTCCATCCCAGGCAACAGCGTGAGACTCCATCTAAAAAAAAAAAAAAAAAAGGGTGGGCGTGGTGGCTCATGCCTGTAACCCCAGCACTTTGGGAGGCCGAGGCGAGCGGATCACCTGAGGAGTTCGAGACTAGCCTGGTCCAACATGGTGAAACCCTGTCTCTACTAAAAATACAAAAATTAGCTGGGCGTGGTGGTGGGCACCTGTAATCCTAAGTACTCGGGAGGCTGAAGCAGGAGAATCGCTTGAACCCAGGAGCTGGAGGTTGCAGTGAGCCGAGATCTTGCCACTGCACTCCAGCCTGGGTGACAGAGCGAGACTCCATCTCAGATAAAAAAAAAAAAAAAAAAAAGTCCAGGCACGGTGGCTCACGCCTGTAATCCCAGCACTTTGGGAGGCTGAGGCAGGCAGACCATGAGGTCAGGAGTTCGAAACCAGCTTGACCAACATGGAGACACCCCATCTCTACTAAAAATACAAAAATTAGTAGGGCATGGTGGCAGGCGCCTGTAATCCCAGCTACTTGGGAGGCTGAGGCAAGAGAATTGCTTGAACCCAGGAGGCAGAGGTTGCAATGAGCCAAGATCGTGCCACTGCACTCCAGCCTGGGCAACAGAGCAAGACTCTGTTTAAAAAAAAAAAAAAAAAGGTGTCACAGCCTCTACCCTGGAGTCATCATGGGTGCAACATGGCAGGTGAAAGTTGGAGCTGGGACATTCTCTCATCAACCAGCAATGATAATAAAGGGAAATAATAACACAGCCCTGGCCATGTGCCTGACGCTCTGCTTCATATTTTATAGAATAACTCATTTAATTGTCCCAACAGCCCTATGAGGTGGTTACAATTATCCCCATTTTGCAGGCGAGGAAACTGAGGCACAGAGAGGCAAAATCACTAGTCCATGGTTACCCAGCTAGCAAGCGGTGCCTCTAAGCTCAGCACTGCACTGATGATTTTATTAGCTCACAAACTCCCCAAGGTAATACAGCCAGTTTATAGATGAGAAAATCAAGGGTCAGATGGGAAAGTCACAGACTCCAAGATCACACAGGTAGCAGTGTCTGCACCCAAGGCCTGAGCACTTTGTTCTCAGAGAACAAAGGAGGTCTCCCCTCTGTCCGGAAGCCTCCTGAGGACAAGGAGGTTGGCTGTGGCCCCACTGGAGGCTGGACCCACCTGGGCAGAATCGTGGTGCGGAGGCGCCCTCTGCTGGCAGCAGGGAAAAGACCAGCAAAAGGAGCCTTCCTTTCCTCCCTTTGCTTCTGGCCTAGAGCAGGTTCTTGAGCACCTCCTCTGGGCCTTGCCTGGCACTGGGGATGCTGAAATGGATGAGTCATCACCCCTCTCTTATCCCCTCAGAGGAAATGAACCATTTTGAAAGGGTTATCAGCAGAGGGCTGGGGAGAAACACCTGACCTAGCCTGGGCAGTCTGAGAGGGCTTCCTGGAGGAGGTGATCTGCATTGAATGAAAGGTAGCCTGATTCAGTTCAAGTCTCTGGGACCAAAACAATTTAGGCTTCATTGGCCAGGGTAGTTGTCACAGGCCACCCTGATCATGATATCAAGAAAACCCAAGAGCCAGATGCAGTGGCTCATGCCTGTAATCCCAACTCTTTGGGAGGCCAAGGAGGGAGGAGCGCTTGAGCCAAGGAGTTTGAGACCAGACTGAGCAACATAGAAAGACCCCCACTCTACAAAAAAAAATTAAAAAATTAGCCAGGCATGATAGCACACACCTGTGATCCCAGCTACTTGAAAAGCTGAGGTGGGAGAATCCCTTAAGCCCCGGACATCAAGGCTGAAGTGAGCTGTGATGGTGCCACTGCACACCAGCCTGGGTGACAGAGCAAAACCCCATCTCAAAAAAAAGAAAAAAGAAAACCCACAGAAGTGAAATGTAAATGAGGGCTCTGATAAGCCAAGGAATTTCAGGGGGAAGTGCCTTCCAGGCAAAAGGAACAGAGAGGGCAAAGGCTCTGAACACAGAAGGTGAGACAGACCAAGGAACAGCAAGGGGGCAGGTGTGGCTGGATCAGAGTGAGCAGAGGGGAAGGAAAAGAGTTAGGGAAGGGAGCTAATAGAAAAATTATGACTTTATGTGTGGGTGTGCTGCCTAATTCACCCAATCCACCTTTCATTGTCTTTTTTTTTTTTTTTGAAACAGTCTCGCTCTATTGCCCAGGCTGGAGTGCAGTGGTACAATCTCAGCTCACTGCAACCTCTGCCTCTTGGGTTCAAGTGATTCTCCTGCCTCAGCCTCCCAAGTAGCTGGGATTACAGGCACTCACCACCATGCCCGGCTAATTTTTTGTATTTTTAGTAGAGATGGGGTTTCACTATGCTGGCCAGGCTGGTCTCAAACTCCTGACCTCGTGATCCACCCACCTCGGCCTCCCAAAGTGCTGGGATTATAGGCGTGAGCCACAGCGCCTGGCAAATTTGGTTACTTCTATGGTTTACAATAACTTAGCATAATAGCCATAATTATAATTGATAGCATATACTTAGACATTGGAATTTTAGAAATCCCATACCATTTTGGAATATATATTAGTACTATTCACAAAAATATAACCTAAAGAAGATTGACTGCCTGGCCGCTGCACTGTCTGGGAAGTGAGGAGTGCCTCTGCCTGGTCGCCGTGCAACCCTCCAGGTGTGAAGTGGCAGCCTTGTGTGTGATCTTTCTGCCCTCCCCAAGTTTGCATTTTTGACAGTAAAGTTTACTTTTAAATTAAAAGATTTAAATTGGGGAAGATTAAAAAAAAAAAAAGAAGATTGAGCATCATTTTGGCAATCTCATGTACCTAAACATGTTGAATAATCCTGTTTACCTCCTTTCTGGATGTTTTCAGTGGCCCTCTGATCCATCCAAAAAGCCAGGCATTAGGAAAGACAATTTTGAAACTGAAGTTTGATTTTGGAATTCCAGATTACCGTAAGTTCTTTATTTTGCCAAAACGATGACTCAGAAATTTTAAAGAAGCAAAAACTTTGTATAACCCTTTTGAATTTAGTCAATATGTTCACACAGAGAACCTCTTCTGCAAATTAATTTTGCCAATTCTTCTACCACTTCTTTGAACCTTCAGCTTTTTCTATCTAACTCAAAACAATCATTTAACCCTAGGCAAAATTTACATTTCCATGCCTTCTTATAACCTTTTACAAAAAAAAAAAAAAACCACAACACATTTTACTGTTCTTATACACCTTGCATGTAAATCTATTTGCAGAAGTCTCGCTCTGTCACCCAGGCTGGAATGCAGTGGTATGATATCAGCTTACAGAAACTTCCACCTCCCGGGTTCAAGCAATTCTCCTGCCTCAGCCTCCCCAGTAGCTGGGATTATAGGCGTGTACCAACATGCCCAGCTAATCCTTATATTTTTAGCAGAGACGGGGTTTCACCATGTTGGCCAAGCTGGTTTCGAACTCCTAACCTCAGGCGATCCACCTGCCTCAGCCTCCCAAACTGCTGGGATTAGAGGCGTGAGCCACCATGCCCAGCCATATTTCCAGTAGTCTTGATTGCATGTTACAATGGTGACTCTTTGGCAATTTTAACTGTAATGTAAAACCTGGTAAGTTATGTTCTGATAAGATTTGACTGTTTTCAGCATAGCTAGGGCATTGCCAATTCCACATGTCCCCAGGCCTTACCTAGCTGGAAAGCAGGCAAGTAAAACAATTGCCATGAATTAAGAATATTCGCATGGGCTGGGCACAGTGACTCACACCTGTAATCCCAACACTGGGAGGTGGAGGCGGATGGATCACCTGAGATCAGGAGTTGGACACCAGCCTGGCCAACATGGTGAAACCTCGTCTCTATTACAAATACAAAATTAGCCAAGTATGATGATGGACGCCTGTAGTCCCAGCTACTTGGGAGGCTGAGGCAGGAGAATCACTTGAACTTGGGAGACAGAGGTTACAGTGAGCCGAGATCATGCCATGGCACTCCAGCCTGGGCAACAGAGAGAGACTCCACCTCAAAAAACAAAAACAAAAACAAAAAAGGCCAGGCGCAGCAGCTCATGCCTGTAATCCTAGCACTCTGGGAGGCCAAGACGGGCAGATTGCCTGAGCTCAGGAGTTTGAGACCAGCCTGGGCAAGGTGGTGAAACCCTGTCTGTACTAAAAAGAACTAAAAATCAGCTGGGCGTGGTGGTAGGTGCCTGTAATCCAGCTACTAAGGAGGCTGAGGCACGAGAATTGCTTGAACCTGGGAGGTGGAGGTTGCAGTGAGCCGAGTTCTTGCCAATGCACTCAGCCTGGGCAGCAAAGTAAAACTCTGTCTCAAAACAAAAAAATTCACTGGGCATGGTAGTGGATGCCTGTAACCCCAGGTAGTCGGGAGGCTGAGGCAGGAGAATCACCTGAACTCAGGAGGTGGAGGTTGTAGAGAGCAAAGATTGCACTCCAGCCTGGGTGACAGAGCGAGACTCTGTCTCAAAAAAAAAAGAAATGCAAAAACTTGAAAAGACATCTCAAAAGACCAATCTTAGGTTCTACCATAGTGATGTTCTCTGCAAGAGTAATTAGGGAAGTTGCAAATCTTAGAACCTCTGGAATAACGGCTGGGAATTATTATTAATTCAGGCCCCTCTCATTCTCCTAATTTGGTGGCTTTTCATTAGTTTTATGTGAACAGTTTTGGGGGAAGGGCTGTTATCATTTAAACTAAAAGGTAAATTTCTCCCAAAGTTAGCTTGGCCCACGGCCAGAAATGAGCAAAGGCAGGCAACCTCTGAGGCTAGAAGCAAGATGGAGTCAGCCATGTCAGTTCTCTTACTGCAGAGTTTTTGTTTTGTTTTGTTTTGTTTTGTTTTGTTTTGTTTTGTTTTGTTTTGGGACGGAGTTTCGCTCTTGTTGCCCAGGCTGGAGTGCAATGGCACGATCTCGGCTCACCACAGCCTCTGCCTCCCAGGTTCAAGCAATTCTCCTGCCTCAGCCTCCTGAGAAGCTGAGATTACAGGCATGCACCACCTCGCCCGGCTAATTTTGTACTTAGTAGAGACGGGGTTTCTCCATGTTGAGGCTGGTCTCAAACTCCTGACCTCAGGTGATCCGCCTGCCTCAGCCTCCCAAAGTGCTGGGATTACAGGCGTGAGCCACAGCGCCCGGCCACTGCATAGTTTACAAAGGTGTTTTCAGCACTAGAAATCAAGAACACACAATTTAGGCCGGGCGAAGTGGTGCATGCCTGTAATCCCAGCACTTAGGGAAACCAAGGTGGGCGGCTCACTTGAGACCAGGAGTTCAAGACCAGCCTGGCCAACGTGGCAAAACCCTGTCTGTACAAAATTTAGCCAGGCATGGTGGTGCAGTCCTGTAATCCCAGCTACTCAGAAAGCTGAGGCAGGAAAACCACTTGAACCCAGGAGACAAAGGTTGCAGTGAGCGGAGATTGCGCCACTGCACTCCAGCCTGGTGACAGAGCAAGACCCTGTCTCAAAACAAAACAGCTGGATGTGGTGGCTCACGCCTATAATCCCAGCACATTGGAGGCCAAGGTGGGCGGATCACAAGGTCAGGAGTTCAAGACCAGCCTGGCCAACATAGTGAAACCCCGTCTCTACCAAGAATACAAAAATATAGCTGAGCGTGGTGGCGGGTGCCTGTAATCCCAGCTACTCGGGAGGCTGAGGATCGCTTGAACCCGGGAGGCGGAGGTTGCAGGTTGCAGTGAGCAGAGATTGCGCCACTGTACTCCAGCCTGGGTGACTGTGCGAGACTCCATCTCCAAAAAAATAAAAAATAAAACCCACAGAATTTAGTAGTTAAACCTCCTTTCTGCAAAAGCCAACATGTGTGTGTACATCTGTACGTTTGTGTTTTTCTTTAAATCAACCCCAGGAGAAACATCAAATTTTCTAAGAACATTTGAGCCAGTTCAGCACAAAGCAAAAAGCTATTAAATGACCTCTCAGACTCCCTTCTAACCTTTTGATTTTTGTACTTTCTGGAAACAAACACCACCTGACCACTGGGTGGACAGATGATCTTCACATTTGGTTTTGTTTTTCCAGAAAGCTCAACATCATGAGGCTATTAGGAAACTTTTGCTGCAATTGTGCCCAGAATCATGGTCCAGGGTAGCAATGACGAATTTGCATTTACTAGGCAGGCCAATTGCAGGCCATACACTCTACTAGGCACCTTCCCATCTCTGGGTACATTTGATCCTCCTAACCCAGAGAAACCAAGTCACTTGCCTGAGGTCACACAGTCATGTAGACCTGGGACAGGATCCAATCCCAGATTCACCCTTCTCTTTCCCTCCATAGAATGAGACCTTTCTTCATTAACCAAGACATCACTTACTGTCATCACTTTTCACTGTACGCAAGCGAGCCTGGAAATGCTCTCCTCAGAATCCTCCCCCATCCCCAGGACAGTTTACAAATGCGGTAGGGTGAAGAAGTCAGTCTCTGAGGCCCCATGGAGATATAAAACACACATGGCTGTAAAGTCGGCTTGAGTGTTACAATCAAAGCTACACATCTGGTTCTGGCCACCTTCCCCTATACAGGCCCCATGCCAGCACCCCAGCTCTGACCACCACAGCTGAAAACAATTCTTTCCAGTAACTCAGTGATTCTTAACTGGGAGAGGGATGGTGATTTGGCCCCCAGGGAACATCTGTCAATGTCCAGGAAATATTTTTTATTTTTGTAACTGGAAGAGGTAGGTGCTTCGGCATCTAGTATGAAGCCAGGGATGCGGCTAAACAACCTCCTGGCCGGGCACAGTGGCCCATACCTGTAATCCCAGCACTTAGGGAGGCCGAGGCAGGTAGATCACCTGAGGTCAGGAGTTCGAGACCAGCCTGGGCAACATGGCGAAACCCTGTCTCTACTAAAAAATACAAAAATTAGCCAGGCATGGTGGTGGGCCCCTGTAGTCCCAGCTACTCAGGAGCCTGAGGCAGGAGAATTGCTTGAACCCAGGAGGCAGAGGTTGCAGCAAGCCAAGATCAGGCCACTGCACTCCAGCCTGGGCGACAGAGCAAGACCCTGTTTCAAAAAAAAAAAAAAAAAAAAAAGCCACCGAGTTAGGAGGCTGAGAGGTGCCAGAATTCTAAATAATTCTCAGCCATTATTTCAGAGGTCCTAAGGTTTGCAACTTCCCCAATTACTCTTGCAGAGAACATCACTATGGTAGAACCTACCATTGACCTTTTCTTCTTTTTTTTTTTTTTGAGACGGAGTTTCACTCTTGTTTCCCAGGCTGGAGTGTAGTGGTGCGATCTCGGCTTGCTGCAACCTCCACCTGCTGGGTTCAAGCAATTCTCCTGCCTCAGCCTCCTGAGTAGCTGGGGCTATAGGCATGTGCCACCATGCCCGGCTAATTTTATAATTTTACTAGAGATGGGGTTTCTCCATGTTGGTCAGGCTGTTCTCAAACTCCCAACCTCAGGTGATCCACCCGCCTCGGCCTCCCAAAGTGCTGGGATTACAGGCGTGAGCCTCCGCGGCCAGCCCCATTGATCTTTTCAAATGTCTTTTCAAGTTTTTACATTTCTGACAACCAGCTGGCCCCACCTGGACCCTCCAACTAGTCTGTGGTCCCCACCCAGGAAGTGACTCAGCACAAGAGAACAGCTTTCATTCCCTGTGAGTTCATCTTCAACCCAACCAATCAGCACATTCCCTACCCTGGCTCCCTGCCCACCAAACTATCTGAAAAACCCCTAGCCTAGGCCGGGCGTGGTGGCTCATGCCTGTAATCCCAGCACTTTGGGAGGCCGAGGTGGGTGGATCACCTGAGGTCAGGAGTTCGAGACCAGCCTAGCCAACATGGCGAAACCCCGTCTCTACTAAAAATACAAAAGTTAGCAAGGCATGGTGGCATGCGCCTATAATCCCAGCTACTTGGGAGGCTGAGACAGAAGAATCACTTGAACCTGGGAGGTGGAGGTTGCAGCGAGCCAAGATCACACCACTGCACTCCAGCCTGGGCAACAAGAGTGAAACTCCATCTCCAAAAAAAAAAGAAAGAAAGGCCAGGTGGGGTGGCTCATGCCTGTAATCCCAGCACTTTGCGAGGCCAAGGAGGCCAAGACGGGCAGATTGCCTGAGCTCAGGAGTTTGAGACCCATCTGGGCAACACGGTGAAACCCCATCTCTACCAAAAATACAAAAAATTAGCTGGGCATGGCAGCTTGCGCCTGTAAGGCCAGCTACTCGGGAGGCTGAGGCAGGAGAATCGCTTGAACCCAGGAGGTGGAGGTTGCAGTGAGCCAAGATTGCGCCACTGATCTCGAGCCTGGGTGACAGCGTGAGACTTCGTTTCAAAAAAAAAAAAAGCAAAAATCAGCCTAGTGTGGTGGTGCACGCCTGTAGTCCCAACTACTCAGGAGTTTGCGGTGGGGACAGCTTGAGCCTGGAAGGCAGAGGTTGCAGTGAGCCAAGATCTTGCCACTACACTCCAGTCTGGGCGTAAGAGCTAGACCTTGTCTCAAAAAGAAAAAAAAAAAGAAAAGCAATAACAAACTGGGTGTGGGAATGGGTGCTGGTCTTGCCAACAACGTCTTATTCCTAACTTTGTCATCACCCAGATACGTGACCTGGGACCAGCATCTTAATCAGCTCAGTTATAATCGACTCTGCTATAACAAAATACCATAGACAACAGAAATTTATTTCTCACTGTTCCGGCAGCTGAAAAGTCCAAGATCAAGGCATTGGTAGGTTCGGTGTCTGCCAAGGGCCCCTCTTCTGGTTGATAGATGGCGCTTCCTCTGTGTGTCCTCACATGGCAGAAGGGTGAGCAAGCTCTTGGGAGCAGCAAAGTTCTCTTATAAGGGCACTGATCTCATTCATGAGGGCTGTGACATAATCATCTCCCAAAGCCACACCTTCTAATACCGTCACATTGTGGGGTACGTTTCAACATACGAATTTTGCAGGGACGAAACATATAGCGGCGGTCCCCAGTGTTTTTGGCACCAGGAACCGGTTTCGTGGAGGATAATTTTTCCACAGACTGAGTCGGGGGAGGAAGAAAGGATGGCTTCTGGACGATTCAAGCGCTTGACATTTATCATTAGATTCTCATAAGGAGTGAGCAACCTAGATCCCTCACATGTGCAGTTCACAATAGGGTTCACGCTCCTGTGAGAATCTAATGCTGCCGTTGATCTGATAGGAGGACGAGCTCAGCTTCGCTAGAGCCAACCGCTCACCTCCTGCTGTGCGGCCAGGTTCCTAACAGGCCACAGACAGGTAATGCTCTGTAACCCAGGGGTTGGGGACTCCTGATCTAGAGCAATAAATAACCTCCCCTCTCTGGGCTTCTATTAATACTTTTTTTCCCCCCTGTGAAATGTGAGCCTTGGATTGGAGGAGCTGCAGGAGGCCTTCCAGTGCCAGGGATTCTACCTCTCTGAGGATCCCATGCACTTCAAGGCTTTATGTGGTCTGCCTCCCTGAGGTGGATAGACTCCCATATTTCTTTTTTTCTTTTCTTTTCTTTTTTTTTTTTTGAGACGGAGTCTCGCTTCATGGCCAGGCTGGATGGAGTGCAGTGGTGTGATCTTGGCTCACTGCAACCTCTGCCTCCCCGGTTCAAGCGATTCTCCTGTCTCAGCCTCCCAAGTAACTGGTATTACAGGCACGCACCACCGCGCCTGGCTACTTTTTGTATTTTTAGTAGAGATGGGGCTTCACCATGTTGGCCAGGATGGTCTCGATCTCTTGGCCTTGTGATCTGCCTGCCCTGGCCTCCCAAAGTGCTGGGATTACAGACATGAGCCACCACGCCCGGCCAGACTCTCGTATTTCTATCTCCAGGCCAGATCTCTCCAGATTCAGAGAGCCAACTGCTTATGCAGCACCTCCACCAGGATGCTGACAGCATCTTGTGTCCATGTGTCCTGGACATAGCTCCCAACTGCACACTCCCACCTGCTCCCCACACCATTGGTCCATCCATCTTCTTCTCTCCATTAATGGCCATGACTCCAGGCTTCCAGCAGCTTAGGGTAAATCCACACCCAACAACCAGTGAATCCTAATGGCTCCTCCTTCAAAATAGATCTCAAATGCAACCATGTTTGACCACCTTGCCTTCCTGCCAACATCCTGAGCAAACCGTGCTCACCTCTCCCTTGGATTTTCACAGTGGTCGCCAACCCACCTCCCTGCTACCAGCAGGGGGCAAGCACAGCATACCATCGTTCCTTCTCGACATAGCAAGCACGGCATTCCATTAAAAAATAAGATAAGTCGGCCACGCACGGCGGCTCACGCCTGAAATCCCAGCACTTTGGGAGGCCAAGGCAGGCAGATCACAAGTCAGGAGTTTGAGACCAGTGTGGCCAACACAGCAAAACCCCATCTCTACTAAAAATACAAAAATTAGCCAGATGGAGGCCGGGCGTGGTGGCTCACGCCTGTAATCCTAGCACTTTGGGAGGCCGAGGCGGGAGGATCACAAGGTCAGGAGTTCGAGACCATCCTGGCTAACACAGTGAAACCCCGTCTCTACTGAAAATAGAAAAAAATTAGCCGGGCGTGGTGGCAGGCGCCTGTAGTCCCAGCTACTCGGGAGGCTGAGGCAGGAGAATGACATGAACCCGGGAGGCAGAGTTTGCAGTGAGCTGAGATCACGCCACTGCACTCCAGCCTGGGTGACAGAGTGAGACTCCGTCTCAAAAAAAAAAAAAAAAAAAAAAAAAATTAGCCAGATGGGCCGAGCACGGTGGCTTACGCCTGTAATCCCAGCACTTTGGGAGGCCGAGGCGGGTAGATCACGAAGTCAAGAGATCGAGACCATCCTGGCCAACATGGTGAAACCCCGTTTCTACTAAAAATACAAAAAATTAGCCGGGCGTGGTGGCAGGTGCCTGTAGTCCCAGCTACTCGGGAGGCTGAGGCAGAAGAATCACTTGAACCCGGGAGGCAGAGGTTGCAGTGAGCTGAGATTGCACCATTGCACTCCAGTCTGGCGATGGAGTGAGACTCTGTCTCAAAAAAAAAAAAAAAAAATTAGCCGGGCATGGTGGCAGGCACCTGTAGTCCCAGCTACTTGGGAGGCTAAGGCAGGAGAATCGCTTGAACCCAGGAGATGGAGGTTGCAGTGAGCCGAGATTGTGCCATTGCACTCCAGCTGGGCTACACAGCGAGACTCTGTCTCGATCAATCAATCAATAATAAATAAGACAAGTCATGTCCCCTCCATTCAGTGCATTCCACAGGTAAAAGCTCCTGCACCCTGCACCCCTTACCTCTCCCTCTTCATCTCCTCCCCATCACTTCTCTCCTCACTCCACTCCAGTCACACCAGCTCCCTTGCCTGTGTAGCCTCAACACAATAGGCACACTCCTGCCCCAGAGCCTTTGCACCTGCTGGCCTCCTGAATGCTTCTTTCCCAGTGAAATCTTCTCTGCCCACATCCACACCTGCAGTTGCAACCTTTCTCTGCAATGGAGGTCTTCCCTCCCAGACCCCACCGTTCATTCTCTGTTTTGTTCAATGACTGCTTCCCCACATTAGAATGGAAGCCCTGGGAGGGCAGGATCTTTATTGGAATTGGTCACTGCTGTATTCCCAGTGCCTAAAGCCATCAGAGGAATATCTGTACTTCCAGCAAGTGGCTTTTGGAAAACGTCATGCTGGAGCATGTGCCTATGGAAAATAAGGTCAACTGGGCACAGTGGCTCATGCCTGTAATCCTAGCACTTTGGGAGGCCAAGACAGGATTGCTTGAGTTCAGGAGTTCAAGATCAGACTGGGCAATATGGTGAAACTCTGTCTCTACAAAAAAAGAATTAGGCTGCGTGCAGTGGCTCACGCCTGTAATCCCAACACTTTGGGAGGCGAGGCGAGCAGATCTTGAGGTCAAGAGATGGAGACAATCCTGGACAATATGGTGAAACCCCATCTCTACTAAAAATACAAAAATTAGCTGGGAGTGGTGGCACTCGCCTGTAGTCCTAACTACTCAGGAGGCTGAGGCAACAGAATTGCTTGAACCCGGGAGGCGGAGGTGGCAGTGAGCCAAGATCATGCCACTACACTCCAGCCTGGCGACAGAGCAAAACTCTGTCTCAAAAAAAAAAGAATTAGCCTGGCATGGTGGCACACATCTGTGGTCCCACCTACTTGGGAGGCTGAGGTGGGAGGATCACTTGAGCCAGGGAGGCAGAGGTTGCAGTGAGCCAAGATTCCACCACTGCACTCCAGCCTGGGTGACAGAGTGAGATTTCATCTCAAAAAAAAAAAAAAAAGGAAAACAAGGTTCAATTAATTCTGAGACATTTGCCCTAACTCTGAAAAAGTGCTTTCCTTTTCATTTTGCCCCTCACCTGCCCCTCCTCCCGCCTCCAGGTCCCAGCCCCCTCCCATCAAAATAATTTACAAATGGGGCCACCTGTATTAGTCTGTTCTCATGCTGCTATGAAGAAATACTCAAGACTGGGTAATTTATAAAGAAAAGAGGTTCAACTGACTCAGTTCCACATGTCTGGAAAGGCCGCAGGAAACTTACAATCACGGCGGAAGAGGAAGCAGACACGTGCTTCTTCACAGGGCGGCAGGAGAGGCTGGGCGCAGTGGCTCACACTTGTAATCCCAGCACTTTGGGATGCTGAGGAGGGTGGATCACTTGAGGTAGGGAGTTTGAGACCAGCCTGGCCAACATGGTGAAACCCTGTCTCTACTAAAAATACAAAATTAGCCAGGCGTGGTGGCGCATGCCTCTAATCCCAGCTACTCAGGAGGCTGAGGCAGGAGAATCGCTTGAACCTGGGAGGCGGAAATTGCGGTGAGCCGAGATCGTGCCATTTGCACTCCAGCCTGGGCAATGAGAGCGAAATTCCGTCTCAAAAAAAAAAATACAGATCTCCCAGCATTTTGGGAGGCTGAGGCAGGCGGATCACGAGGTCAGGGGTTCAAGACCAACCTGGCCAATATGTGAAACCCAGTCTCTACTGAAAAATACAAAAATTAGTCGGGCGTGGGGGTGAGCGCCTGTAATCCCAGCTACTTGGGAGCTGAGGCAGGAGAATCGCTTGAACCCGGGAGGCAGAGGTTGCAGTGAGCTGAGATCAAGCCACTGCACTCCAGCCTGAGTGACAGAGCAAGACTCCCTCTCAAAACAAAACAAAAGGCTGAGCGCGGTGGCTCACACCTGTAATCCCAGCACTTTGGGAGGCTGAGGTGGGCGGATCATGAGGTCAGGAGTTCAAGACGAGCCTGGCCAAGAGACCAGCCTGGGGTCAACATGGTGAAACCACGTCTCTACCAAAAATACAAAAATTAGCCAGGCGTGGTGGCGGGCGCCTGTAATTTCAGCTACTCGGGAGGCTGAGGCAGGATAATTGCCTAAACCCGGGAGGCGGAGGTTGCAGTGAGCCGAGATCATGCCATTGCACTCCAGCCTGGGTGACAGACCGAGACTCTGTCTCAAAAAAACACAAGGCGGCAGGAGAGAGAAGGAATGCCAGCAGGAGAAATGCTAGACACTTACAAAACCATCAGACCTCCTGAGACTCACTCATTATCACGAGAACAGCATGGGGGAAACCACCCCCATGATTCAATTACCTCCACCTGGTCCCTCCCACAACATGTGGGGATTATGGGAACTACAATTCAAGATGAGATTTGAGTGGGGACACAGCCAAACCATATCACCACCCTTTCCCTAATTTGCAAAAAAATGTGCCAGGTCTGGACGGGCCCGGTGGCTCACACCTGTAATCCCAGCACTTTGGGAGTCCGAGGCGGGCGGATCACCTGAGGTCGGGAGTTCGAGACTAGCATGATGAACATGGAGAAACCCCGTCTCTACTAAAAATACAAAAAAATTAACTGGGCATGGTGGCCCATGCTTGTAATCCCAGCTACTCGGGAGGCTGAGGCAGGAGAATCGCTTGAACCCAGAAGGCAGAGGTTGTGGTGAGCTGAGATCGAGCCATTGCACCCCAGCCAAGACAACAAAAGCGAAACTCTGTCTCAAAAAAATAAAAAAAGTGCCAGGTCTATCTCCCAGATCTGGGCTCTGGGAGTGAATAAACATCATGAATAAATCAGGTGAGCCCTTGCTTCCCCTCCTGACAGGGGCACTGTTAAAATAAAATTATTCACCTCCCTCACTCTGCCCCTTGGCTAGGTAGAGTGGCAAAATATGTCACGCCAAAACATGCAACTTTGGCATAAGGATCATGTTGAGCTGAAGCCAATTAAGAAGAAGCAGATACAAGAAAAGCTCTCTGCCCTTCCCCTAGTTGACAAAAAGCAAGATGTAAATTTACAAAGGTGGCCAGGCACGGTGGCTCACGCCTGTAATCCTAGCACTTTGGGAGGCCAAGCCGGGTGGATCACCTTAGGTCAGGAGTTCGAGACCAGCCTGACCAACATGGTGAAACCCCGTCTCTACTAAAACTAAAAAAATTTGCCAGGCATGGTGGCGTGCACCAGTAGTACCGGCTACTCAGGAGGCTGCAGCAGGAGAATCGCTTGAACCTGAGGGACAGAGGTTGCAGTGAGCTGAGATCGCACCACTGCATTCCAGGCTAGGTGACAGAGCAAGAAGACTCCGTCTCTAAATAAATAAATAGATAAATAAGTTTACTAAGGTATCCACTTCAAGACCACTAGAAAGGACTGAAGTTAATCCCAGAGACAGCTGTAGATTCTTATCCGCCTGGAATGGCACTGGAGGAGTCTACATAACCAACTCGACCAACTAGCCCTCATCTTCCATTCATTCCCCCATATATGACCCTCTCATGATTTGCTGCACTAGAAACTCAAAGTTCTTTCCCTTCATCTTGTCTAAAAATACTTCTTTAAAAATGTATTACTCGCCGGGCATGGTGGCTCACGCCTGTAATCCCAGCACTTTGGGAGGCTGAGGCGGGCGGATCACGAGGTCAGGAGTTCAAGACCAGCCTGGCCAATATGGTGAAACCCCATCTCTACTAAAAGTACAAAAATTAGCCGGGCGTGGTGGTGTGCGCCTGTAGTCCCAGCCACTCAGGAGGCTGAGGCAGAAGACTCGCTTGAACCTGGGAGGCAGAGGTTGCAGTGAGCCAAGATTGCGCCACTGCACTGTGACAGAGCGAGACTCTGTCTCAAAAAAATAAATAAATAAAATAAAAATGTATTACTCTTGACCAGGAGTGGTGGCTCATGCCTGTAATCCCAGCACTTTGGAAAGTTGAGGTGGGCAGATCCCCTGAGGTCAGGAGTTCAAGACCAGCCTGGCCAACATGGTGAAACCCCGTCTTTACTAAAAATACAAAAATCAGCTGGACATGGTGGCAGGTGCCTGTAATCCCAACTACTGGGGAAGCTGAGGCAGGAGAATCACTTGAGCCCGGGAGGCAGACGTTGCAGTGAGCTGAGACCACACCATTGCACTCCAACCTGAGCAATAAGAGTGAAACTCCGTCTCAAACAAACAAACAAACAAAAAAAAGTATTACTCTTTTGTTAAGCTGCTATATAAGCCCCAGTTCTTTTTTTTTTTTTCTTTTTCTTTTTTTTTCTTTTTTCAGACAGGGACTCACTCTGTCCCCGAGGCTGGATGCAGTAGCATGATCTTGGCTCACTGCAACCTCCACCTCCTGGGCTCAAGTGATCCTCCCACCTCAGCCTGAGTAGCTGGGACTACAGGCATGGTGGTGCCACCATGCCTGGCTAATTTTTGTATTTTTTGTAGAGACAGGATTTCACCATGTTCCCCAGGCTCGTCTCAAACTCCTGGGGCAAAGTGATCCACCCTCTTCGGCCTCCCAAAGCTTTGGAATTACAGGTATGAGCCACCACGCCTGGCCTCCCCGTTCTGATTGCCCTCCTGAGTTACTTATCTCTGGGTTTTCCCACGTGTATGTGTAATGCTCATGTTAACAAAACCATCTGTTTGTTTTTCTCTGTTAATCTGTCTTTTGTCAGCCCCATATACAAGGCCCCAGCCATAGAACCTATGAAGGCTAGTTAGAAAAAAAATTTTCCACCGCTATGGCTATAAATCCCCAGCTGTCTGTGCTGTATTCATAGTTGAGTTCAATCTCTCTCCACCACTGTAATAGACTTGAATAAAGTCTTGCTTTGCCATTTTTAACAAGTTTCCAATGCAACTTTTCCCCTTTAGTAGCACACATCATCATGGTTGTTTTTTGTTTTTTTCTTTTTTTTTTTTGAGACGGAGTCTTGCTCTGTCGCCCAGGCTGGAGTGCAGAGGCACAATCTTGGCTCACTGCAACCTCTGCCTTCTGGGTTCAAGCGATTCTCCTGCCTCTGCCTCCCACGTAGCTGGGATTACAGGTGCCTGCCACCATGCCTGGCTAATTTCTGTATTTTTAGTAGAGACAGGGTTTTGCCATATTGGCCAGGCTGGTATCGAATTCCTGGCCTCAAGTGATCCACCTGCCTGAACCCGGGAGGCGGAGGTTGCAGTGAGGAAGATAGTCTCATTGCACTCTAGCCTGGACGACAGATCGAGACTCCATCTCAAAAAAGAAAAAAAAAATAGTGCTGTCAACCATATATAACAAAATTCGGAAACTGTGATTAAGTACAGAGTTTATTCCAACTCAGAGCTTCAGGATGGCCACCCAGGAGCATAGATTTCAGGCTGCTCTGAATACACAGTCTGATTCACAGTAGTTAAAGTGGGTTTTTGGCTGGGCACGGTGGCTCATGCCTGTAATCCCAGCACTTTGGGAGGTCGAGGCGGGCGGATCATCTGAGATCAGGAGTTCGAGACCAGCCTGACCAACATGAAGAAACCCCATCTCTACTAAAAATACAAAATTAGCCGGGCGTGGTGGCACATGCCTGTAATCCCAGCTACTAGGGAGGTTGAGGCAAGAGAATCGCTTGAACCTGGGAGGCAGAGTTTGCGGTGAGCCGAGATCGTGCCATTGCACTCCAGCCTGGGCAACAAGAGCGAAACTCCGCCTCAAAAAATAAATAAATAAAATAAATAAAGTGGGTTTTTCGCCGGGTGCAGTGGCTCACGCCTGTAATCCCAGCATTTTGGGAGTCCGAGGCAGGCGGATCACAAGGTCAGGAGTTCAAGACCAGCCTGGCCAATATGGTGAAACCCCATCTCTACTAAAAAATACAGAAATTAGCCGGGCGTGGTGGTACGCGCCTATAGTCCCAGCTACTTGGGAGCTGAGGCAGGAGAATTGCTTGAACCCAGGAGGCGGAGGTTGCAGTGAGCTGAAATCCTGCCATTGCACTCAAGCCTGGGCAACAAGAGCAAAACTCCATCCCCTCCCCCACCCCAAAAAAAAGAAAGAAAAAGAAAAAGCACAAGGCCAGGCACGGTGGCTCATGCCTGTAATCCCAGCACTTTGGAAGGCTGAGGCGGGCTGATCACATGAGGTCAGCAGTTCGAGACCAACCTGGCCAACATGGTGAAACCCTGTCTCTACTAAAAATACAAAGATTAGCTGGGCATGGTGGTGCATGCCTGTAATCCCAGCTACTCGGGAGGCTGAGGCAGGAGAATCGCTTGAACCCAGGAGGTGAAGGTTGTAGTGAGCCAAGATCATGCCACTGCACTCCAGCCTGGGCAACAGGAACGAAACTCTGTCTCAAAAAAAAAAAAAGAAAAAAGAAAAAAGAAAAAGAAACCCTGTCTCTACTAAAAAATACAAAAATTAGCCCGGTGTGTTGGTGCATGCCTGTTATCCCAGCTACTCGGGAGACAGAAGCAGGAGAATCACTTGAACCCAGGACGTGGAGGTTGCAGTGAGCCGAGATCACACCACTGCATTCCAGCCTGGGCGACAGAGCAAGACCCCGTCCTAAAAAACAAGAAAAATCAAGGCCACCAAAGCAAAACATGCCCACGCTGAGTCCATGCTCAGGCCCTGCAAGGAAATGCAGAGCAGCAGAGAAACACAACTGCGGTTCCTGAGGGCAGAGTCAGCGGGTTTCAAGGCTGAAAAGGGAGTCAGTTGCACTCTGCGAATGAGGCCTGGAAAACCAGTGCCCGGGAGAGGAACGAATGGGTCCACAGGTCTGAACACAGTTGGTCCTGTTGTTCATTGATCAGAAAAACTTCCATTAGTATCTGCTGAGATCCTGGCCATTCCAACTTCAGGATCTTTTATCAGCTTCAGCTCACTAGAGCCCCTTGTGGTGAAATACAACACTTAGGTTTGAAGGCTCCTAGAAAGTGCTGCTATAAATGGAAAAAATAATTTACAAAGTGAAGCGTCAATGGACAACCTTTCTTCTCCCTCAACCTCCTTTTCTGTAATTTTTTTTTTTTTTTTTTTTGAGACGGAGTCTCACTCTGTCACCCAGGCTGGAGTGCAGTAGGGCAATCTTGGCTCACTGCCACCTCCACCTCCTGAGTTCAAGCGATTCTCCTGCCTCAGCCTACTGAGCAGCTGGGACTACAGGCACACACCACCACGCCCAGCTAGTTTTTGTATTTTTTAGTAGAGATGGGGTTTCACCATATTGGCCAGGATGGTCTCGATATCTTGACCTCGTGATCCACCTGCCTCAGCCTCCCAAAGTGCTGGGATTACAGGTGTGAGCCACCGTGCCCAGTCAACCTTTTCTGTATTTTTCTACTTTCCCTTCAGTGATCCTCTGTATTATTTTAATATTTACAAGAGACAGCAGGGCGTGATATCTCACACCTGTAATCCCAGCACTTTGGGAGGCCGAAGTGGGCAGATGATTTGAGGTCAGGAGTTTGAGACCAGCCTGGCCAACATGGTGAAACCCCATCACTACTTCTGGTCCCAGCTACTCAGGAGGCTGAGGCAAGAGAATCGCTTGAACGGGGGAAGCGGAAGCAGAGGTTGCAGTGAGCCGAGATTGTGCCACTGCACTCCAGCCTGAGGGAGTGAGACCTTGTCTCAAAAACAAAAAAGTTTACAACAGACTTTCAAGAAACATCAGTTGCCAGACACGGTGTCTCACACTGATAATCCCAGCACTTTGGGAGGCAGCGGCAGGCAGATCACCTGAGATCAGGAATTCGAGACTAGCCTGGACAACATGGTGAAACTTCGTCTCTACAATAATACAAAAAATTAGCCAGGCATGGTGGCGTGTGCCTGTAATCCCAGATACTCAGGAGGCTGAGACAGGAGAATAGCTTGAACCCATGAGGCGGAGGTTGCAGTGAGCCGAGATCACGCCACTGCACTCCAGCTTGGGCGACAAGAGCAAGACTCTGTCAAAAAAGAAAAAAAAAAAAAAGAAACATCATCTTAGTGAGGAGGGTGACCTTCACTTACAGCCATGCTGTAACTGGTACCCCACAAGCCCTCTCATCTTAAGAAACCATTAAACTAAACTGGACAAAAGCCGTGAATGCCAGTCTTCAGGCACTGAACCACAGGCAGCACAAGCCTATGACCCCCGAGTGGAGGGAAACTCACAAGGTGAGACTTCACCCTCTGCCCCTCTCCCTACCCTCTTCCTGGGGACAGTTTTGTAATCACTGCACGGTGAGCTGGAGTCCAGGCAGAACTTAGTGTCCTGCTGAGCTGAGAAGGTGGAGTTAGCATTTGGGGCAGTGGAAATGGCTAGAAATGGTGGGACATGGTGCCAGAGAGGAGGAGTCTGTGCAGAAGGAGGCCCCGAGGTCTGGCAGGGGAGAGGAGGAATGTCCACTAAAAGTCCTTGACTAAGGGCTGGCTGAACATGCATGGGGGAAGATGACGCCAGGCCTCCAGATAGCATCTTCTGCAGGGTATAAGTGAAACAGGCTGGGCATAGTGACTCACACCTGTAATCGCAGATTCTCTCTTGCTCTGTCACTCAAGCTAGAGTGCTGCAATTACACAATCACAGGCCTCTGCTGCCTCAACATCCTAGGCTCCAGTAGCCCTCCCACCTCAGCCTCCTGAGTAGTTGGGACTGCAGGCATGTGCCACCATGTCCAGCTACTGTATTAATTTTTTTGTGTGTTTGTAGAGATGGGGCCCCACTATGTTGGACAGCCTGGTTTTGAACTGTTTCTTTTATTTTTTTGGAGACAGATCTTTGCTCTTTTTGCCCAGGCTGGAGTGCAATGGTGCGATCTCGGCTCACTGCAACCTCCGCCTCCCAGGTTCAAGCGATTCTTCTGCCTCAGCCTCCCAAGTAGCTGGGATTACAGGCACATGCCACCATGCCCAGCTAATTTTTTCTATTTTTAGTAGAGACGGGTTTCACCATGTTGGCCAGGCTGGTCTTGAACTCCTGACCTCAGGTGATCCGCTTGCCTCGGCCTCCCAAAGTATTGGGATTACAGGCAAGAGCCACCACGCCCAGCCCTGAACTCTTAAACTCAAGTAATCCTCTCACCGCAGGCTCCCAAAGTGCTGGAATTAGAGGCATGAGCCGCCCCACCCAGCCTGGAAAATGTATAGCTTTCAATGGTTATAATAGCAAAGAATGGTTACATTGGAGATGGTTATATTAAGAATCTAAGAGAACAATAGAAAATTAAACCCAAAGTAAGTAGAAGAAAATATATAGCTTGCAATGGTTATAATAGCAAAGAATGGTTATATTGGAGATGGTTATATAAAGAACCTAAGAGAACAACAGAAAATTAAACCCAAAGTAAGTAGAAGAAAAGAAACAATAAGGCTGGGCGCGGTGGCTCATGCCTGTAATCCTAGCTCTTTGGGAGGCCGAGGTGGGCGGAGTTCAAGACCAGCCCGGCCAATATGGTGAAACTCCCTCTCTACTAAAAAATACAAAAATTAGCGGGGCTCCGTGATGCGCACCTGTAGTCCCAGCTACTCGGGAGGCTGAGGCGGGAGAATCGCTGGAACCCGGGAGGTGGAGGTTGCAGTGAGCCGAGATCACGCCACTACACTCCAGCCTGGGCAACAGAGCGACACTCCATCTCAAAAAAAAAAAAAGAAAGAAAGAAAGAATAAAGATCAGAAATCAATGAATTAGAAAAAAGAAGAAAATAGAAAAAAATTATCAAAAACAAAAGTTGGGCCAGGTGAGGTGGCTCATGCTTGTAATCCCAGCTACTTGGGAGGCTGAGGCAGGAGAACCACTTGAACCTAAGAGGCAGAGGTTGCAGTGAGCTGAGGTCCTGCCACTACATTCCAGCCTGGGTGACAGAGTGAGACTCTGTCTCAAAACAAACAAACCAACCAACCCACAAAAGTTGGTTATTTGAAAAGATTCACAAAATTGATAAACCTCAAGCAAGACTAATCAAGAATACAAAAGTGAATTAGCCAGGCGTGGTGACACATGCCTATAATTCCAGCTACTCAGAGACTGACGCTAGTGAATCGCTTGAACCTGGGAGGTGGAGGTTGCAGTGGGGCAAAATTGCACCATTGCACTACAGCCTGGGTGACAGAGCAACACTCTGTCTCAAAAAACAAAAATAAAAAAAATTAAAAGTAGGCCCGGCATGGTGGCACACGCCTGTAATCCCAGCACTTTAGGAGGCTGAGGCGGGTGGATCACAAGTCAGGAGTTCGAGACCAGCCTGGCCAATATGGTGAAATCCCGTCTGTACTGAAAATACAAAAATTAGCTGGGCATGGCGGCATGCACATGTAGTCCCAGCTGCTTGGGAAACTGAGGCAGGAGAATGGCTTGAACCCAGGAGGCGGGGGTTGCAGTGAGCCGAGATTGCGCCATTGCACTCCAGCCTGGGGGACAAGAGCGAGACTTCGCCTCAAAAATAAATAAATAAATAAATATAAAAAAATTAAAAAGTAAAAACACAAATTCCTAATATCAGGAATGAAGGGATATTGTTATAGATCCTAACATATAATAAAATTTGTGCCAGCAGACATGGTGGCTCACATCTGTAATCGCAACACTTCAGGTGGCCATGACAGCAGGAGGATCAGTTGAGGCCAGGAGTTCAAGACTGGCCTGGGCAACATCGCCAGACCCCATCTCTACAAAAAAAAAAAAAAAAATTAACAGGGCGTGTTGGTGTGTCCTACAATCCCAGAGACTGTAGTGACCACAGGCACACATGACCAGAGTTGGCTAATTTAAAAAAAATTTTTTTTTTTTTTAAGACGCAGTCTCGCTCTGTCGCCCAGGCTGGAGTGCGGTGGCATGATCTCGGCTCACTGCAAGCTCTGCCTCCCAGGTTCACGCCATTCTCCTGCCTCAGCCTCCTGAGTAGCTGGGATTACAGGCGCCCGCCACCATGCCTGGCTAATTTTTGTATATTTAGTAGAGATGAGGTTTCACCATGTTCACCAGGCTGGTCTTGAACTTCTGACCTCAGGTGATCCACCTGCCTCAGCCTCCCAAAGTGCTAGGATTACAGGCATGAGCCACCACGCCCGGCCTCAGAATAATATTTGACCAAAGTTCTTGTTACCAGAAAGGGGTCCTGATGCAGACCCCAAGTTCCTGGATCTCTCCCAAGAAAGAATTCAGGGCGAGTCCGTACAGTAAAATGAAAGCAAATTTATTAGAAAAGTAAAGGAACAAAGAATAGGTACTCCACAGGCAAAGCAGCCCTGAGGGTTGCTGGTTGCCCATTTTGATGGTTATTTATTAATTATGTGCTAAACAAGAGGTGGATTATTCATGTTTCTCCTTTTTAGACTTTATACAGTAACTGCCTGTCGTTGCCATGGCATTTGTAAACTGTCAGGTCACTGGTGGGAGTGTAGCAGTGAGGACGACCAGAGGTCATTCTTATCGCCATCTTGGTTTTGGTGGGTTTTAGCTGGCTTCTTTACTGCAAACCTGTTTTATCAGTAAGGTCTTTATGACCTGTATCTTGTGCCAATCTCCTATCTCATGCTGTGACTTAGAATGCCTTAAACGGGCCAAGTGCTGTGGCTCAGGCCTGTAATCCCAGCACTTCGGGAGGCCAAGGCCAGTGGATCCCTTGAGGTCAGGAGTTCAAGATCAGCCTGGCCAACCCCGTGAAACCCCCGTCTCTAGTGAAAATACAAAAATTAGCCAGGTGTAGTGATGTATGCCTGTAGTCCCAGCTACATGGGGGTGCTGAGGCAAAAGAATTGCTTGATCCCGGGACGTGGAGATCATGCCACTGCACTCCAGCCTGGGCAACAGAGAGAGACTCTGTCTCAAAGAAAAAAAAAATGCCTTGGCCGGGCGCGGTGGCTCACGCCTGTAATCCCAGCACTTTGAGAGGCCGAGGCAGGTGAATCACCTGAGGTCAGGAGTTCAACACCAGCTTGGCCATTGTGGGGAAACCCTGTCTCTACAAAAGATATAAAAATTAGCCAGGCGTGGTGGCAAGCGCCTGTAGTCCCAGCTACTCGGGAGGCTGAGGCAGGAGAATGGTGTGAACCCGGGAGGCGGAGCTTGCAGTGAGCTGAGATTGTGCCACTGCACTCCAGCCTGGGCGACAGAGCTAGACTCCGTCTCAAAATAATAATAATAATAATAATAATAATAAAGTAAAATAATTAACCTGGACTCTTATTTCACACCTTACACAAAAACAGAATTTTTTTTTTTTTTTTTGAGACGGAGTTTCCCTCTGTTGCCCAGGCTGGAGTGCAGTGGCACGATGTCGGCTCACTGCAACCTCTGCCTCTTGGGTTCCAGCAGTTCTTCTGCCTCAGCCTCCCAAGTAGCTGGAACTACAGGCATGCGCCACCATGCCTGGCTAGTTTTTGTATTTTTAGTAGAGACAGGGTTTCACCATCATGGTCAGGCTGGTCTGGGCTTGAACTCCTGACCTTGTGATCTGCCCATCTCGGCCTCCCAAAGTGCTGGGATTACAGGTGTGAGCCACCATGCCTGGCCGAATTCTCTTTTTAAAAAAATAGTGTCTCCACCAGGCACAGTGGCTCACACGTATAATCCCAGCACTTTGGGAAGGTGAGGATTGCTTGAGCCCAGGAGTTTGAGACCAGTGTGGGCAACATGCCAAAGTCACATCTTTATAAAAAATACAAAAATTAGCTGGGTGTGGTGGCACATGCCTGAAATCCCAGCTTCTAGGGAGGCTGTGGTGGGAGGTTTGCTTGAGCCCAGGAGGTCAAGGCCACAGTGAGCTATGATCATGTGACAGAGTGAGACTCCATGTCCGAAAAAAAGAAAAAAAGAAATGAGGGTCTTGCTCTGTTGCCCAGGCTAGACTACAGTGGTGCAATCATAGGTCACTGCAGCCTTGAGTTCCTGGGCTAAAACAATCCTATGAACTCAGCCTCTTGAGTAGCTGAGACTACAGACGACCACCACCATGCCTGGCTAATTTTTAAATGTTTTGCAGAGACTAGGTCTCACTATGTTGCCTAGGCTGGTCTGGAACTCCTGGTCTCAAGTGATCCTCCCTTCTTGGCATCCCAAAGTGCTGGGATTATAGGCATGAGCCACCACACCCAGCCCCATTTTTTTAAATGGGCAATACACTTGAACAGACATTTCACAAAACAAAGTAGATGAGTATGCCATAAGTACACGAAAAGATGTTCTATATCATTAGTTATCAAGGAAATGCAAATTAAATCACAATGATCAAATTAAAATCAAAATCACTTCTACTAGAATGGTTATAATTTAAAACATTTTGCCAAAACACCATGACTCACACCTGTAACCTCAGCCCTTTGGCAGGCCAAGGCCGGAGGATTGCTTGAGCCCAGGAGTTCAAGACCAGCCTAGGCAACACAGTGAGACTCTGTCTCTACAAAAAATTTAAAAATTAAAAAAAAACAAAATTAGCCAAGCATAGTGGTGCACACCTGTAGTCCCAGCTGCTCTGGAGGCTGTGGTGGGAGGATCACTTGAGCCCTGAAGGTTGAAGCTGCAGTGAGCCAAGACTGTGCCACTGTACTCCAGCCTAGGTGACAGTGGGAGATTCTGACTGAAAAACAAAAAACAAAAAACAGATTTACAGTATCAAGTGTTGTAGAGGATTAGGAGCAAATAGAACATTCATAATTTGCTGGTGAGTATGCAATATAGTACAACCTCTTTGGAAATAGTTTGTCAATTTCCAATACACACACTTACCGTAAGACTCACCAATCTCACTCCTAGATATTTATATGAGAATTGATACCATGTGGCTACACAGGACTTTTACCTGAATATTCATCACTGCTGTGTGCATAAGAGCCCCAAACTGGAAAGAATCCGGATGTCCATCAACAGGAGAATGGATAAACAAATCGTGGTTTATCTGTACAGCGTGGAAAACTTGCGGGAGGCCAGAAATACGCCACCCCAAAATAAGACTGCGGGAGACCAGAATATGCCACCCCAAAATATGCCTCATTGGCATAAGGATTATTTAGAGCTGATTATTTTGAGAAACTGCAGACACAAGAGGAGCTCTAAAAACAGAGTAGGAGTTACTCTTTTGTAAGGAAAATTTGCATCTCTAAAGGAAACCTCCATTTGAAAGAGTATCTCCCTCTCCATATCAGGAAGAGAAGAATGACTCTAAATTACTAGAAACTCTTATCAATGGAGAAAGCATCAGTTGCAATCTGCATAACAAACCCTTGTTTGCTGAGCTTTTTCTGGTCATCGCTCCATAGCTGCCCTCCACTTCCACACACCTTTCTTTCTTTTTTTTCTTTCTTTTTTTTTTTTTTTTTGAGAAGGAATCCTGCTCTGTCTCCCAAGCTAGAGTGCAGTGGCGTGATCTCGACTCACTGCAACCTCCGCCCCACCTCCCAGGTTCAAGCAATTCTCCTGCCTCAGCCTTCCGAGTAGCTGGGATTATAGGCGCCCACCACCACACCCGGCTAATTTTTGTATTTTTAGTAGAGACAGAGTTTCGCCATGTTGGCCAGGCTCCTGACCTCAGGTGATCCACCCGCCTCGGCCTCCCAAAGTGCTAGGATTACAGGCGTGAGCCACTGCGCCATGCCTCTTTTTTTTTTTTTTTTTTTTTTTTTGAGGAGTCCGTCTCTGTCGCCAGGCTGGAGTGCAGTGGCTTGATCTCGGCTCACTGTCTCTGCCTCCTGGGTTCAAGCAATTCTCCTGCCTCAGCCTCCCAAGTAACTGGGATTACAGGTGCCCGCCACCATGCCTGGCTAATTTTTGTATTTTTAGTAGTGACGGAGTTTCACCATGTTGGCCAAGCTGGTCTTGAACCCCTGACATCAGGTGATCTGCTCGCCTCCATCTCCCAAAGTGCAGGGACTAGGGGCCTGAGCCACCGCGCCCGGCCCCCCCCACCCCCACCCCCACCCCCTTCTTCATGTTAGTTGAAGATAGTATTTAAGCCAACAAAGCAAAGCCACTTCTTGGAGATTTCCCCTTTTCTCTGGGCTTCCCCCACGTATACATAAGGTAAACATCTTAATCAACTTGTGTTGTTTTTCCCTATTTAACCTGCCTCTTGTTACAGGAGAGGGCTCCAGCTTCCTTCCCTGTCCTGTACACTGTGAAAAACTTCTCATCAATAAAAAGGAGTGGATTCAGCCTAGTGCGGTGGCTCACGTCTGTAATCCCAGCACTTTGAGAGACCAAGGCGGGCGGATCACCTGAGGTCAGGAGTCCGAGACCAGGCTGGCCAACAGGGAGAAACCCCGTATCTACTAAAAATACAAAAATTAGCTGGGCGTGGTGGCACATGCCTGTAATCCCAACTATCCTGGAGGCTGAGGCATGAGAACGGCTTGAACCCGGGAGGCAGAGGTTGCAGTAAGTCGAGGTCATGCCACTGCACTCCAGCCTGGGCAGATAGTGAGACAGTGAGATCCTATCTCAAAAAAATAAATAAGGGCAGGCACAGTGGCTCATGCCTGTAATCCCAGCATTTTGAGAGGCCAAGGTGGGTGGGTCACTTGAGCTCAGGAGTTAGAGACCAGCATGGCCAACATGGTGAAACCCGGTCTCTACCAAAAGATACAAAAAATAGCTAGGCATTGTGACGCGTACCTGTAATCCCAGCTGCTCAGGAGGCTGAGGCAGGAGAATTGCTTGAACCTGGGAGGCGGAGGTTGCAGTGAGCTGAGATAGTGCCACTGCACTCCAGCCTAGGTGACAGAGTGAGACTCTGCCTCAAAATAAATAAATAAATAAATAAAGTTTTAGGACAGGCAAAACTGAGCCATAGTGATAGAAATCAGAACAGAGGTTGCCCAGGGGAAGAGGGTGGGAGAAGAGAGATAGCAAAGGAGCTGGAGGAAACACCCTTGGGTCCTGGACATGCTCCACATATGACAGTTAGATGAATGCTCATATTTCTCAAGAGTCATGGCAGAGCGTGGTGGCTTATGCCTGAGATCCCAGCACTGTGGGAGGCTGAGGCGGGCAGGTCATTTGCGGTCAGGAGTTCGAGACCAGAGTGGCCAACATGGTGAAACCCCATCTCTATTAAAAATACAGAAATTAGCTGAGCATGGTGGGGGCATGCCTGTAGTTCCAGCTACTGGGGAGGCTGAGGCAGAAGAATCGCTTGAACCTGGGAGGTGAAGGCTGTGGTGAGCGGAGATCACGCCACTGCACTCCAGCCTGGGCAGCAGAGAGAGACCCTGTGTCAAAAAAAAAAAAAAATGAATCATGAACTGTACACTTAAAATGTGTGCACGCATTTTATGAGTAAATCATGCCTCAACATTTAAAAGAATGAAGAAACAAGGCCGGGCATGGTGGCTCATGCCTGTAATCCCAGCCCTTGGGAGGCTGAGGCGGGTGGATCACCTGAAGTCAGGAGTTCGAGACCAGGATGGACAACCTGGTGAGACCCTGTCTCTACTAAAAATACAAAAAATTAGCCGGGCGTGGTGATGCACGCCTGTAATACCAGCTACTCGAGAGGCTGAGGCAGGAGAATCACTTGAACCTAGGAGGCAGAGATTGTAGTGAGCGGAGATTGTACCACTGCACTCCAGCCTGGGCAACAGAGTGTGAGTCCCTCTGTCTCAAAAAAAAAAAAAAAGAAGAAGAAGAAATGTCATATCAGTATGTAACATAGCAGAGGCATTCTGTTTTTGTTTTTTTACAATAAAGTGTGCTCACAAGATGCCAGGAAAACCCAACATATCTGCTTTGAGAGTACGGTTGGCAAGTTTTCTCACAGGTTGGAGGAGCTGGTTATGGAATTTACAAAGGGACACATGAATGGGTTCTTGTGTGCCAGGCAGGCTGCCTGAGAAGTGCATTACAGATATTACTTAATACTTAAAGCCAGGCATGGTGGCTGATGCCTGTAGTCTCATCAGTTTGGGAGGCTGAGGCGGGTGGATTGCTTGAGCTCAGGAGTTCGAGACTAGCCTGGGCAACATGAAGAAACCCCGTCTCTATTCTTGAAAAATTATTATTATTATTTACTATTATTATTATTATTATTATTTGAGATGGAGTCTCACTCTATTGCCCAGGCTGGAGTGCAGTGGCGGGATCTCAGCTCAGTGCAACCTCCACCTCCCGGGTTCAAGCAATTATCCTGCCTCAGCCTCCCAAGTAGCTGGGATTACAGGTGTGCACCACCACACCCAGCTAATTTTTGTATTTTTAGTAGAGACGGGATTTCACCATGTTGGCCAGGCTGATCTCGATCTTGCGTCTTCAGGTGATCCACCTGCCTCTGCCTCCCAAAGTGTTAGGATTACAGGCGTGAGCCACTGCACCTGGCAAAAATTTAAAAATAAAAAAAAAAATTATTTAATACTTAGAAGAAGACTGAGGTCAAGAATTTGTTATTCCCATTTTACAGAAGGGGAAAATAAGGCACAGAAGTTCAGTAGCTCAATGTAGCTCAGAAATGGGAGCCAGGGCCAGGTGCAGTGGCCCATGCCTATAATCCCAGCACTTTGGGAGGCCAAGGCAGGCAGATCATCTAAGGTCAGAAGTTCGAGACCAGCCTGGCCAACATGGCGAAACTCCATCTCTACTTAAAAATACAACAATTAGCTGGGCGTGGTGGTGCACACCTGTAGTCCCAGCTGCTTGGGAGGCTGAGGCATGAGAATTGCCTGAACCTTGGAGGCAGAGGTTGCAGTAAGTGGAGATCATGACACTGCACTCCAGGCTAAGTGACAGAGCAAGACTCTGTCCCAAAGAAAAAAAAAAAAAAGACTGGACTGGGCCCCTGAGTCAGGAACAGTGTGGGGAAGATTCCAGCAAGGCAGGGGATGACATCTTGAAGACGGGACAGCGCTCCCTACCCCTGTACCTGAGCAAATCCACTTTCCCTCCCGAATCCCACCCACCTGTTCTGGGCCCCGCCTCTCAGATTCCTCTGAAGGTTGACAGATACAATAGCCCAAAACATGCCACTTTGCAATGAGGATCCTGTTGAGCTGAAAGCAACTGAGAAGAAGCAGATAGAAGAAAAGCTCTCTCTGCCAGGGTCGGTGGCTCCCACCTGTAATCCCAGCACTTTGGGAGACCAAGGCGGGTGGATCACCTGAGGTCAGGAGTTTGAGACCAGCCTGACCAACATGGAGTAATCCCGTCTCTACTAAAAATACAAAATTAGCCGGGCGTGGTGGCACGTGCCTGTAATCCCAGCTACTCGAGAGGCTGAGGTAGGAGAATCGCTTGAACCCTGGAGGAGAAGGTTGCAGTGAGCCGAGATAGCACCATTGCACTCCAGCGTGGGCAACAAGAGCAAAACTCATCTCAAAAAAAAAAAAAAAAAGAAAGAAAGAAAGAAAAAGAAAGAAAAGCAGGCCAGGCGCAGTGGCTCATGATGTATGAGAGGCTTGGCCAGGGACAGTATAAGAACAGGCACAGGCCAGGTGTGGTGGCTCACGCCTGTAATCCCAGCACTTTGGGAGGCCGAGGCGGGTGGATCAGGAAGTCAGGAGTTAGAGACCCGCCTGGCCAACATGGTGAAAACCCATCTCTACTAAAAATACAAATATGTGCCGGGCGTGGTGGCACAGGTCTGTAATCCCAGCTACTCGGGAGGCTGAGGCAGGCGAACTGCTTGAACCCGAGAGGTGGAGGTTGCAGTGAGCTGAGATTGCACCATTGCACTCCAGCCTGGGCAACAAGAGCAAGATTCCGTCTCAAAAAAAAAAAAAAAAAAAAGAAGAAGAAAAGCTCTCTGCCCTTCCCGTAGCTGCCAAAAAGCAAGACATAAATTTATAAATGTGCCCACCCCGCAAAAAAAACCACCAGGAAGGACAAAAGTTGATCCCAGAGACACCTCCAGACCCTAAACTTCCTGGGGCCCAGAGGAGTAGACTTAACCGACTCCACTCCTAGCTCCCATCTTCCATTCATCCCCCATATATTGACCCTCTCACGATTTGCTGCCCTAGTGCTTTCCCTTCGTCTTTTCACTTCACTAAAATGTATTCTTCTTTTGTTAAGTTGCTACATAAACCCCAGTTCTAACCACCCTCTTGAGTCACTTACCTCTGAGTACTCCCATGTACAAGTGTCATAATCAACTTCTGTTTATTTTTCTCTTGCCAATCTGTCTTTTGTTAGTCTAATGAATAGGGTCCCAGCCAAAGAATCTAAGATGGGTACACGCCCTACCCACCTTCCTTCTCTCTTCCTCAAGATTCCGAGCGCTCACTGCTATTTAATCATCTCTACCTGTGCCTGTTCTCTTTTTTTTTTTTTTTTGAGATGGAGTTTTCTCTTGTTGCCCATTTTTGAGTGCAGTGTTGTGATCTCAGCTCACTGCAACCTCCACCTCCCAGGTTCAAGCGATTCTCCTGCCTCAGCCTCCCAAGTAGCTGGGATTACAGGTGCACACCACCATCCCCAGCTAATTTTTGTATTTTTAGTAGAGACAGGGTTTCACCATGTTGGCCAAGCTGGTCTTGAACTCCTGACCTCGGGTGATCCACCCACCTTGGCTTCCCAAAGTGCTGGGATGACAGGCGTGAGCCACCGCACCTGGCCTGTGCCTGTTCTTATACTGTCCCTGGCCAAGCCTCTCATACTCCACCATAGTTTCCTCATCTGTGAAACGGGGATTTCAGGAGTACCCACTTCCTGGGCACATATGTGAGGCATGAGGACTAAACTCTGATTTTTTGTTTTTGTTTTTTTTGAGACGTTGTCTGGCTCTGTCGCCCAGGCTGGAGTGCAGTGGCACAATCTCAGCTCACTGCAAGCTCCACCTCCTGGGTTCACACCATTCTCCTGCTTCAGCCTCCCGAGTAGCTGGGATTACAGGTGCCCGCCACCACGCCCGGCTAATTTTTTGTATTTTTAGTAGAGACGGGGTTTCACCATGTTAGCCAGGATGGTCTCGATCTCCTGACCTCGTGATCTGCTTGCCTCGGCCTCCCAAAGTGCTGGGATTACAGGCGTGAGCCACCGCGCCCGGCCTAAACTCTGATTTTTATCTTGCCCAAATTCCTATCTAAGGGGTCTGGGGAGCCATGCCCTACAAATCATAAATTCTCTTCAGATGGGTTTTATTTAACCCTAGGTATTGTGACTGACTTTCCAACCTGACTGACTCTGGCATAACATTATGAGACAAGGAAGAACATCAAAATATTTTACCCCAAAACATGTTTCTTTGTCATATTTTGAAATGTCCCTACAAAGCTGTTCCTTGCTAGGGAAAATTTGCATCTGTAAAGAATCTCTATTAACATAGCTAGATCTTTTTCTTCCAGAACCTCACAATCCTATAGAGATTAACTAAGATCTGAATAGGAAACATTTGCCATTTATTGTCTCTAAAAGCAGCCACTATAAGACTTCAAAAGAACTTTGGTGTCCACAATATTTATCTTTTTTTTTTTTTTTCCTGAGATGGAGGTTTGCTCTTGCTGCCCAGGCTGGAGTGCAATGGCATCATCTCGGCTCACCGCAACCTCCACCTCCCGAGTTCAAGCGATTCTCCTGCCTCAGCCTCCCGAGTAGCTGGGATTACAGGCATGTAACACCACACCCGGCTAATTTTGTATTTTTATAGAGACAGGGTTTCTCCATGTTGGCCAGGCTGGTCTCAAACTCCTGACCTCAGGTGATCTGCCTGCCTTGGCCTCCCAAAGTGCTGGGATTGGGCCACTGTGCCTGGGCTCACAGTATTTATCTTATCCTGAACATTCCCTTTCTATGAATCCCAGGTCTTTGGACAAATTCAACCAATTGTCAACCAGAAAGTGTTTAAATTCACCTATAGCCTGGAAGCAACCCCGCCCTGCTTCGAGTTGTCCTAACTTTCTAGACCAAGCCAATGTAGTTCTTAAGTGTATTTAATTGGTGTCTCATGTCTCTCAAAAATGTATAAAAACAACTTGCACTCCAGCCACCTTGGGCACACATCTCAGGACCTCCTGAGGGCTTTTGTCACGGGCCATGGTCACTCATATTTGGCTCAGAATAAATCTCTTCAAATATTTTACAGGGTCTGACTCTTTGTTGGCATGCATATATAAAGAAGTTTGTCGGGCGCTGTGGCTCACGCCTGTAATCCCAGCACTTTGAAAGGCCGAGGTGGGTAGATCACCTGAGGTCAGGAGTTTGAGACCAGCCTGGCCAACATGGTGAAACCCTATCTCTACTAAGAATACAAAAATTAGCCAGGTGTGGTGCCACGTACCCGTAATCCCAGCTACTCGGAGGCTGAGAGAGGAGACTGGCTTGAACCCAGGAGGCAGAGGTTGCCAGTGAGCCTAGATCACACCACTGTACTCCAGCCTGGGTGACAGAATGAAACTCCATCTCAAAACAAACAAACAAACAAAGTTAAAGTTAAGATATGCAAAAGGGGGCCTGGCATGGGGCTGACATCTGTATTCCTAGCACTTTGGGAAGCCAAGGTGCGAGAATTGCTTGAGCCCAGGAGTTCAAGACCAACCTGGGCAACAAGGTGAAACCTCGTCTCTACAAAAATGTGTAAAAATTAGGTGTGGTGGCGTGTGCCTGTGATTCCAACTACTGAGCCAGGAGGCCAGGAGGTCAAGGCTGCAGTAAGCCATGATTGCAACACTGTACTCCAGCCTGGGTGACAGAAGGAGACGCTGTCTCAAAAGAAAAATCACAACAAACCCTTCTTCCTTTCATGCGTTCAATAAAGATATGCTGAGTGTACTTATCTACAGGGTGGTTTGTGTTAGAAATTTTATTTATTTATTTATTTATTTAGAGCCTCACTCTGTAGCCCAGGCTGGAGTGCAGTGGTGCAATCTCGGCTCATTGCAACCTCTGCCTTCTGGGTTCAAGTGATTCTCCCACCTTAGCCTCCTGGGTAGTTGGAGTTGTAGGCGCCCGCTACCACGCCTGGCTAATTTTTTTTTTTTTTTTGAGACAGAGTGTCGCTCTGTTGCCCAGGCTAGAGTGCAGTGGCGCGATCTTGGCTCACTGCAACCTCCGCCTCCCGGGTTCACGCCATTCTCCTGCCTCAGCCTCCCGAGTAGCTGGGACTACAGGCACCCGCCACCACACCCAGCTAATTTTTGGTATTTTTAGTAGAGTCAGGGTTTCACCGTGTTAGCCAGGATGGTCTCGATCTCCTGACCTCGTGATCCGCCCACCTCGGCCTCCCAAAGTGCTGTGATTACAGGCGTGAGCCACTGCCCCCGGCCCACGCCTGGCTAATTTTTGTATTTTTAGTAGAGATGGGCTCTCACCATGTTGGCCAGACTGCTCTCGAACTCGTGACCTCAAGTGATCTGCTGCCTCGGCCTCCCAAAGTGCTGGAATTAAAAGCATGAACCACCGCACCTGGACAGGTGTTAGGAATTTTAAATGCAACACTGATGTCAGGACCTGAGAGGGTCCTGCTGTGCACTGCTTTAGACAGGTAGGAAGCACCACCTGCTCTTTGGGTGTGCAATTTGCATCAAGAGTCTTAAAAATAGTCATGTCCGTGGCCGAGCGTAGTGGCTCACACCTGTAATCCCACCACTTTGGGAGGCCGAGGTGGGCTGATCACGAGGTCAGGAGTTCGAGACCAGCCTGGCCAATATGGTGAAACCCCATCTCTACCAAAGATACAAAAAATTAGCCGAGCGTGGTGGTGTGCGCCTGTAATCCCAGCTACTCCGGAGGCTGAGGCAGGAGAATCGCTTGAACTTGGGAGGTGGAGGTTGCAGTGAGCCGAGATGGTGCCACTGAACTCCAGGCTGGGCGACAGGGCAAGACGCCATCTTAAAATAAATAAATAAATAAAATTTAAAAAGTCACGCCCTTTACCCCAGAAATTCTACTTTGGGGAATCTAGCCTGAAAAAAAAAATACTAACTACTGAAAAGTCCTGTGATTTGTTTAGTCATCGATTCAGACTTTTCTTTCTTTCATTTTTTTTTTTTTTTTGAGATGGAGTCTCACTCTGTCGCCCAGGCTGGAGTGCAGTGGCACGATCTTGGCTTGCTGCAAGCTCCATCTCCCAGGCTCACGCCATTCTCCTGCCTCAGCCTCCGGGGTAGCTGGGACTACAGGCGCCCGCCACCATGCCTGGAGAATTTTTTGTATTTTTAGTGGAGACGGGGTTTCACCGTGTTAGCCAGGATGGTCTCAATCTCCCGACCTCGTGATCCACCCGCCTCAGCCTCCCAAAGTGCTCGGATTACAGGCATGAGCCACTGCGCCTGGCCTTCTTTCTCTTTCTTTCTTTCTTTTTTTTTTTTTTTTTTTTGAGATGGAGTCTCACTCTGTTGTCACCCAGGCTGGAGTGCAGTGGCGCGATCTCGGCTCACTGCAATCTCCACCTCCAGGGTTCAAGCGACTCTCCTGCCTCAGCTTCCTGAGTAGCTGGGATTATAGGCACCTGCCACCACGCCCAGCTAATTTTTGTATTTTTAGTAGAGACGGGGTTTCACCATGCTGACCAGGCTGGTCTGGAACTCCCGACCTCAGGCGATCCGGCGTGAGCCACCGCGCCCCGCCCAGAAATGGTTTTTAACACACACATGAAATGGTTTGGAAAGGAGCCTTTCTCTAATGCAAGGTGTGGCAAGGATTCACGGCCAGGTTGAATGAGGTCTGTATTTCAGGTTGAGGTTTCTGCTTTGAGGCACTCCCGAGGACTTGAAGGTTTTTCTTTTTTCTCCGAACAGAGTTGCTTGGCTGAAGAGCTCCGATGTCCCCTCCCTAGCGTACATGCCTGTCACCTGCCACCCTGGAGGAGCCCTGGGAAGCCAGCATCTTGCATGTGGGGATTTTGCCTGAAGCATCCTCCTTGGCCCCTGGCATGGCCAGGCTGGCATCTGGAGAGTCCGGGCTGCCTAGCTGAGGGTCATGCCAGGAAAAGCAGGTTTGAACTTGGTGGATGATCAGAGGCTCCTCCTCCCACTCACTATCACGCCACTGCCTGCACATCCTTCAGATGCCAGGCGCCGGAGCACCCTGCACTGAGCTGGGCAGGAGGAAGGCGGTGGCTCTGAGGAATCCAATTGGGATGCAGAGAAGGAGGCAACTCCGGAACCCACCCTCTGGATGGCGGAGGACTCCAGGGAGTGAATCACACCCAGAGAACTTGGGTTTCACTGGGTCCTTAGAGGAAGATGTGACACAGCGAAGGGAAGGGCATAGGCTCTGGGATTCCACAAGCCTGGGTTGAATCCAGCTCTGCCGCTTTCCCGTGTGTCACTTCTGGGAACTTAGGTCATCTCTCTGAGCACGTATAAAATAGCAATGGTAAAAACAGGCCGGGCAGAGTGGCTCACACCTATCAGCCCAGCACTTTGGGAGGCCGAGGCGGGTGGATCACCTGAGGTCAGGAGTTCAAGACCAGCCTGGTCAACATGGTGAAACCCCATCTCTACTAAAAATACAAAAAGTAGCTGGGCGTGGTGGCGCACACCTGTGGTCCCAGCTACTGGGGAGGCTGAGGCAGGAGAATCTCTTGAACCTGGGAGGTGGAGGTTGCAGTGAGCTGAGATCGCACCATTGCACTCCAGCCTGGGCGACAGAGCGAGACTGTCTCGGAAAAATAAAAATTAGCCAGGCATGGTGACCCACGCCTGTAATCCCAGCAACTTGGGAGGCTGAGGCAGGAGAATAGTGTGAACCCGGGAGGCAGAGGTTGCCGTGAGCCGAGATTACGCCATTGCACTCCAGCCTCCAGCCTGGGAGACAAGAGTGAAACTCCACCTCAAAAAAAAAAAAAAAAGCTATGATAACAATAATAATACCTGCCCCAAGGTATTATACCCATTACCCAGACTTGGCTGTTATGAAGATTTCATGACATTGTAATTTATGAAGCATGTGATAGGGAATCAAAACTTTTTTTTTTCTTTCTGAGATGGAGTCTTGCTCAGTTGCCCAGGCTAGAGTGCAGCGGCGTGATCTCAGCTCACTGCAATCTCTTCCTCTCGGATTCAAGTGATTCTCCTACCTCAGCCTCCCGAATAGCTGGGAATACAGGCACAAGCCACCACTCCAGGCTAATTGTTGTATTTTTAGCAGGGACCGCGTTTCACCATGTTGTCCAGGCTGCTCTCGAACTCCTGACCTCAGTTGACCTGCCAGCCCCAGCCTCCCAAAGCGCTGGGATTACAGACATGAGCCACTGTGCCCGGCCAGATTCAAAACTTGGAACACAGATGTGTGAAAATATTCTTCTGTTATGGAAGCAGTAGTGTGTGTGGTTGAGATCGCTGACTCTGATATCAGGAGGACCTGCATTCAAACCCTACATTACCTCTGTTCTTAAAAAAAAAAAAAAAAAAAGTAGTTCAACCTTGGACTAGATACTTTACCTCTCTGGGCCTCAGTTTTCCATTCTGTGAACTGAGGTTTGTAACAATAATCCCTGCTCTATATCATCATCCCTATCCTCATTATTGGTAAGTCAGGGAAGGCTTCTGGGAAGCCTTGGAAAGGGCTTTGAAGGGTGAATAGGAGTCTGACAGATGGTGAGCATAGGTTCTAGACATGAAGCCTTGCCGTGGGATGGCATTCTTTCTGGGGTGTATGTTTGGTTGGTGTGGGGAAAGTTAACATTCAGGAGTGCCTGGATCCTAAGGTGGATGGCTGGGTGGTAGGAACATGGTGAAAGGTCTTGTGGAGGGTCTGAAGTAATAGACACTGCCCACTGGAATGAAAGCCCCTTAAGGGCAGAGGGCAGATTCTTTTTTTTTTTTTTAAGATGAAGTCTCTTGGGGAGAAGGGGGAGGGATAGCATTAGGAGATATACCTAATGCTAAATGATGAGTTAATGGGTGCAGCACACCATCATGGCACATGTATACATATGTAACAAACCTGCACGTTGTGCACATGTACCCTAAAACTTAAAGTAAAAAAAAAAAAACAAACAAAAAAAACAGACGAAGTCTCGGCCGGGCGCGGTAGCTCACGCTTGTAATCCCAGCACTTTGGGAGGCCAAGGGGGGTGGATCACCTGAGGTCAGGAGTTCGAGACGAGCCTGACCAACATGGTGGAACCCCATCTCTACTACATACAAAAAATTAGCCAGGCATGGTGGTGCATGCCTGTAGTCCCAGCTACTTGGGAGGCTGAGGCAGGAGAATCGCTTGAACCCGGGAGGCGGAGGTTGCAGTGAGCCGAGATTGCGCCATTGCACTCCAGCCTGGGCAACAAGAGCAAAAACTCTGTCTAAAAAAAAAAAAAAAAAAAGACGAAGTCTTGCTCTTGTCCCCCAGGCTGGAATGCAATGGCACAATCTCGGCTCACTGCAACCTCCGCCTCCCGGGTTCAAGCGATTCTCCTGCCTCAGCCTCCCAAGTAGCTGGGATTACAGGCACCTGCCACCATGCCCAGCTAATTTTTGTATTTTTAGTAGAGACGGGGTTTCACCATGTTGGCCAGGCTGGTCTTGAACTCCTGACCTCAGGTGATCCGCCGACCTCAGCCTCCCAAAGTGCTGGGATTACAGGTATGAGCCACCGCGCCCAGCCAGCAGAAGGCAGATTCTCTTTTTTTTTTTTAAATGTATTTTTGCTCTTGTTGCCCAGGCTGGAGTGCAATGGCGCCATCTCAGTTCACAGCAACCTCCGCCTCCCAGGTTCAAGTGATTCTCCTGCCTCAGCTTCCCGAGTAGCTGAGATTACAGGTATGCACCACCACACCCGGCTAATTTTGTATTTTTAGTAGAGACGGGGTTTCTCCATGTTGGTCAGGCTGGTCTTGAACTCCCGATCTCAGGTGATCTGCCTGCCTCAGCCTCCCAAAGTGCCGGGAATACAGGCATGAGCCACCGCACCCAGCCTCTTTTTTTTTTTTTTTTTTTTTTTTTTTAGATAGAGTCTCACTCTGTCGCCCAGCCTGGAGTGTAGCGGTGTGATCTCAGCTCATTGCAACGTCCGCCTCCTGGGTTCAAGGGATTCTCCCACCTCAGCCTCCTGAGTAGCTGCAATTACAGGCATGCACCACCATGCCTGGCTAATTTTTGTATTTTCAGTAGAGATGGGGTTTTGCCATGTTGCCCAGGCTGGTCTCGAACTCTTGGCTTCAAGCAATCCACCCACCTAAGCCTCCCAAAATGCTAGGATTACAGGCACACACCACTGAACCTGGCCTGTGTTAAACTTTTCACTGAGGTATAATATATGGATGGATGGATAGATAGGTAGGTAGATAGATAGATAGATAGATAGATAGATAGATAGATAGATAAAGCCCACATATCATACGTGTACAGCAGAATAAATTTTCACAAATTTAATACCCCATGTAACCAGCGCCCAGATCAAGAAACAAAACACAGACTGGGCAATACAGTGAGATCCTGTCTCTATAAAAAAATTTAAAAATTAGCTGGGCAGCCAGGCTTAGTGGCTCATGCCTGTAATCCCAGCACTTCGGGAGGCCAAAGCAGGCAGATCACTTGAGGTCAGGAGTTTGAGACCAGTCTGGTCAACATGCAAAACCCTGTCTCTACTAAAAATACAAAAATTTGCTGGGCATGGTGGCGCGTGCCTGTAATCCCAGCTATTCCTGAGGCAGGAGAATCCCTCGAACCCGGGAGGCAGAGGTTGCAGTGAGCTGAGATCGCGGCACTGCACTCTAGCCTGGGCGATAGAGTGAGACTCCATCTCTTAAATAAATAAATAAAAATTTGTGGGGCATGGTGGTGCATGCCTGTGGTCTCAGCTACCCAGGAGGCTGTGGCACGAGGATCTCTTGAGCACAGGATTTCAAGACTGCCGTGAGCCCTGATCACGCCACTGCACTACAGGCTGGGTGACAGAGTGAGACCCTACCTTAAAAAAAAAAAAAAAAAAAAAAAAAGAGTGGCTTGGCAGGCTTTTTCTGTAAAGGCCTAGAAAGGAAATATTTTAGCCTTTGTGAGCCAAGAGTCAAGCCCAAGGACATGGCTGTATGTGGGTACTCATATAATGAGAGAAAACAAATTTTTCACAAGTGCTTTATTGTTTTTTGCTTTTTCTAATTTTTTCTTTTTTTTTTGAGATGGAGTCTCGCTCAGTCGCCCAGGCTGGAGTGCAGTGGTGCGATCTCAGCTCACTGCAACCTCCGCCTCCCGGGTTCACGACATTCTTCTGCCTCAGCCTCCCAAGTAGCTGGGACTACAGGCGCCCGCCACCACACCCGGCTAATTTTTTCATATTTTTAGTAGAGACGGGGTTTCACTGTGTTAGCCAGGATGGTCTCGATCTCCTGACCTTGTGATCCACCCGTCTCGGCCTCCCAAAGTGCTGGGATTACAGGCGTGAGCCACCACGCCTGGCATTTTTTCGTATTTTTTTAGAGATGGGGTTTTGCCATGCTGCCCAGGCTGGAGTGCAATTGTGCGATCTCTGCTCATTGGAACCTCCGCTTCTTGGGTTCAAGTGTGATCTTCCCACCTTAGCCTCCCAAGTAACTGGGACTATAGGTGCGCACAACCACCTGGCCAATTTTTGTATTTCTAGTAAAGACAGGGTTTCACCACGTTGGCCAGGCTGGTCTTGAACTCCTGGGCTCAAGTGATCCACCCTCCTCGGCCTCCCAAAGTGTTGGGGTTATAAACATGAGCCACCACACCTGGCACAAATGCTTTATTGTTTTATAACGAATTCTAAAATAATAGTAGTAATTGAGTAGGATTTTTGTATCATCTGTCCACTGATGAGCAGAATGAAATTTGAATGGTTGGGAGATAACATTTTGCTTAACTGAGGTTCAAATGTAAAAACCATTCTTAACTCGAAGGTTGAATTTGGCCTCTCCTTTTCCTGAAGTTCTCAGAGCATTTATCACAAATTCCCTCCTATCATTTGTTGGTATTTGCTAGATCTTGTTCCAAGAAAAGAAGTGCCAGGGATGTTCACCCAAACTGTGCTACAGGTTAGTTTTATCATCTTGGGGATCACTGTAGCCATAACGGGTCCTTCGTCCAGTGCGTGGCAAGTTAAAACACTGAGACACCAGGTTGCAGCAGACAAAGAGGTTCAATCATAGGGCTGCTGAAGGAGGAGATGGGAGGAAATCTCAAATCCATCTCCTTGAGGAGTTTGGAGCTAGGGTTTTTTTTTTTTTTTTTTTTTTTTTTTTTGAGACAGAGTCTCGCTCTGTCACCCAGGCTGGAGTGCAGGGCCTGATCTTGGCTCACTGCAACCTCCGCCTTCTGGGTTCAAGCGATTCTCCTGCCTCAGCCTCCCGAGTAGCTGGGATTACAGGCATCCGCCACCGTGCCAGGCTAATTTTTGTATTTTTAGGAGAGACGGGGTTTCAGCATTTGGCCAGGCTGGTCTCGAACTCCTGACCTTGTGATCCACCCGCCTCAGTCTCTCAAAGTGCTGGGATTACAGGCGTGAGCCACCTCGCCCGACCTTTCGTTTTTGAGATGGAGTTTCGATCTTGTTGCCCAGGCTGGAGTACAATGGTGCAATCTCGGCTCGACGCAATCTCGGCTCACCGTGTTCTCGGCTCATCGCAGCCTCCGCCTCCCGAGTTTAAGCAATTCTCCTGCCTCAGCCTCCCGAGTAGCTGGGATTACAGGCATGCGCCACCACGCCAGGGTAATTTTGTATTTTTAATAGAGACGCGGTTTCTCCATGTTGGTCAGGCTGGTCGCTCACTCCCGACCTCAGGTGATCCACCTGCCTCGGCCTCCCAAAATGCTGGCAAGCCACTGTGCCTGGCCTATTTATTTTTGAGACGAAGCCTTCTGTCACCCAGGCTGGAGTGCAGTGGCGCAATCTCAGCTCACTGAAACCCCCGCCTCCCGGGTTCAAGTGATTCTCCTGCCTCAGCCTTCCAAGTAGCTGGGACTACAGGCACCCGCCACCACGCCCGGCTAATTTTTTTTTTGAGAGCGAGTCTTGCTCTGTTGCCCAGGCTGGAGTGCAGTGCAGTGGTAAAATCTCTGCTCACTGCAACTTCTGCCTCCTCGATTCAAGTGAATTTCCTGCCTCTGCCTCCCGAGTAGCTGGGACTGTAGGCGCCCGCCACCACGCCCAGCTAATTTTTTGTGTTTTTCGTAGAGACAGGGTTTCACTGTGTTAGCCAGGATAGTCTCGATCTCCTGACCTCGATCGACCCGCCTCACCCTCCTAAAGTGCTAGGATTACAGGCATGAGCCACCGAGCCCAGCCTTTTCTCTTTTTTTTTTTTTTTTTTTTGAGACAGAGTCTTGCTCTGTCGTCCAGGCTGGAGTGCAGTGGCACTATCTTGGCTCATTGCAACCTCCACCTCCCGGGGTCAAGTGATTCTCCTGCCTCAGCCTCCTGAGTAGCTGGAATTACAGGTGCCCATGACCACCCCCGGCTAATTGTTGTATTTTTAGTAGAGACAGGGATTCAGCATGTTGGTCAGTCTGGTCTCGAACTCCTGACCTTGTGATCCGCCCACCTTGGCCTCCCAAAGTGCTGGGATTACAGGCATGAGCCACAGCGCCCGGCCTATTTATTTATTTATTTATTTAGAGACGAAGTCTCTGTCGCCCAGGCTGGAGTGCAGTGGTGTGATCTTGGCTTACTGCAAGCTCCGCCTCCCAGGTTGACGCCATTCTCCTGCCTCAGCCTCCCGAGTAGCTGGGACTACAGGCACCTGCCACCACGCCTGGCTAATTTTTTTTTTGTATTTTTAGTAGAGACGGGGTTTCACCATGTTAGCCAGGATGGTCTCGATCTCCTGACCTTCATGATCCGCCTGCCTCGGCCTCCCAAAGTGCTGGGATTACAGGTGTGACCCACCGCGCCTGACCTCATTTTGTATTTTTAAATTTTGTGTACAGACAGGGTCTCGCTGTGTTGCCTAGGGTGGTCTCAAACTCCCGTTTTCAAGAGATGCTCCTGCCTTGGCCTTCCCAGGTTTTGGGATTACAAGAATGACCCACTGTGTCCCCCTGGCTGTAAACAATATTTAAACAAAATCCTTATGATTCTAATGTCAGAAATGCTATCTATAGAGGTCAGGTGTGGTGGCCCATGCCTCTAATCCCAGCACTTTGGGATGCCGAGGTGGGCGGATCACCTGAGGTCAGAAGTTCGACACCAGCCTGAGCAACATGGCAAAACTCCCATCTCTACTGAAAATAGAAAAATTAGCCAGGTGTGGTGGCATGTGCGTATAATCCCAACTACTCAGGAGGCTGAGGCACGAGGGTTGCTAGAACCCGGAAGGCAGAGGTTGCAGTGAGCTGAGATCATGCCACTGCACTCCAGCCTGGGCAACAGAGACTCCATCCAAAAAAAAAAAAAAATTCCTATCTATAGGAATAACGGGGATACAAATAGTCAATATCTAATGCTAGGTGACTTTTGGTTATAAGGAAGTGGGTCAAAGTGAAGCCTGATTAATGCTTAATTATAACATTCTTTCTGCCATGATTTCTTATTAACTTATGAGAACAGCTTCATTACTACACTCATCTGCAGAATATTTGCTGAACAAATACTATGTTCTGGAAGCTGTGCTTGAGCCTGTGGACACAGCAGGAAACAAGGTAAGTCTGAGCCCTCCCTCTCAAAGCTTCAAGTCTAATAAAGAGAGAGAGAAAAGTTAAAAGGTAAGACCCTTGACCTTTCTGAGTCTCAGTTTCCCATACTATAAAATGGGCATAATAATCTGTGACCCATGTCCTCACCAACTGGTCATGAGACCCAAGAGGGAAGATGAATGTGCTTTGTAAACTTGAAAGCATCTTACTGATGTGAGCCGGGACCTTCCTCATGTATTATTTTTAGCTGCTTTTTCTGGTCTAAAACAAGATTTTTTTTTCTGAGACGGAGTCTCGCTCTGTCGCCCAGGCTTTAGTGCAGTGGTGCGATCTTGGTTCACTGCAACCTCCGCCTCCCAGGTTCAAGCAATTCTCTGCCTCAGCCTCTGGAGTAGCTGGGATTACAGGCATCCGCAACCATGCCCAGTTAATTTTTGTATTTTTAGTAGAGACGGGGTTTCATCATCTTGGCCTAGGTGGTCTTGAACTCCTGACCTCGTGATCCACCCACCTCAGCTTCCCAAAGTGCTTGATTACAGGCGTGAGCTACTGAGCCCGGCCGATTTTTTTTTTTTTTTTTTTGAGACAGAGTCTCTGTCGCCCAGGCTGGGGTGCAATGGCGCCATCTCAGCTCACTGCAGTCTCTGCCTCCTAGGTTGAAGCGATTCTCCAGCTTCAGCCTCCCGAGTAGCTGGGACTACAGGCACAAGCCACCATGCCCAGCTAGTTTTGGTATTTTTTAGTAGAGACAGGGTTTCACCATGTTGACCAGGATGGTCTCAAATTCCTGACCTGAAGTGATTGTCCTGCTTCGGCTTCCCAAAGTGCTGGGATTACAGGCATGAGCCCCCACAACCAGCTAGAGCTGGGAATTGAACCCAAACAGTTCCAGAGCTATCTCTTGCTCTAGTCCACACTTTTCAGCTGCCCCAGAAGGGCCCTGCTTGAGACTGTGGGGTCACCTGTGCCCATCCCTGCTCTGTGAGTCATCTTGAAACCCCCTCTGTATCAGACAGGTTGCCCAGACATCCCGAACACCCTGTTTTGGACAGACAGCATCAGGTGGTGATGGTATGGGACGAAAATGCTTCTGTGTCAGCCAAATTCCCTCCTTCCCTCTGAAGCAAGGAAGGGGAACCAGCTCAAGTCTCGAGAAATTTAATGAGGTTTGGTAAGGAATGCACTCTTTTGAAAAATGCGTGCATAATAACAGTGATTTAAACCGCCGAGAAGATGAAAAATAATGAGTGGTTTCGTTGTCAGAGTGGCAGGGACTAAGCCACAGCCTCGAGGGCGTGGACACATGGTTCCCCTCCATTCGATTCAGACTTGGAGACAGCTCAGCTTCCCTGGGTCTTAGTTTTCTCATTCCTCAAAGGAAGGATTGGATTCCAGCTAAAAATGATACTTTGCAGGGCAACTAGTGGACACAGAAATGACTGTCTTGGCCCCATGCAGTGGCTCACACCTGTAATCCCAGCACTTTGGAAGGCCGAGGCCGGTGGATCACGAGGTCAGGAGTTCAAGACCAGTCTGGCCAAGATAGTGAAACCCCATCTCTACTAAAAATACAAAAATTAGCCAGGTGTGGTGGTGGGCACCTGTAGTCCCACCTACTCGGGAGGCTGAGGCAAAGAACTGCTTGAATCTGGAAGGTGGAGGTTGCAGTGGACCGAGATCACGCCACTGCACTCCAGCTTGGGCGACAGAGCGAGACTCCATCTCAAAAAAAAGACTCTTTCCTACATATAGGCCAAGATCAGGCTCCCACCAGCGAGGTACATCCTCCTTTGGTGCTGACTTCCTGCTTCCTGAGCCCCATAATCCTGCCACTGTCTGATGACGAGGTCGCACACTTGGCAACACTTTTTCTACTTTTTTTAAATTTTTTTGAGACAGGGTCTCATTCTGCCGCTCAGGCTGGAGTGCAGTGGCGCGAGCATAACTCATTCCACCTTCTGGGCTCCAGTGAGCCCCCTGCCTCAATCTCTTTAGTAGCTGGGGCTGCAGATGCACACCATTATGCCCAGCTAATTTTTTTTTTTTTTTTTTTTTTTTTTTTTTTTTTTTTTTTGAGACTGAGTCTTGCTCTGTAGCCCAGGCTGGAGTGCAATGGTGTGATCTCGGCTCACTGCAACCTCCGCCTCCCAGGTTCAAGCAATTCTCCTGCCTCAGCCTCCTGAGTAGCTGGGATTACAGGCACCTGCCACCATGCCCAGCTAATTTTTGTATTTTTAGTAGAGACGGGGTTTCACCATGTTGGCCAGGCTGGTCTCAAACTCCTGACCTCAGGTGATCCGCCCACCTCGGCCTCCCAAAGTGCTGGGATTACAGGCGTGAGCTACCGCGCCCAGCCTGCCCAGCTAATTTTTAAATTTTATGTAGAGACAGGATCTCCCTACGCTGCCCAGGCTGGTCTCAAACTCCCAGACTCAAGCAATCCTCCCACCTTGGTCTCCCAAAGTATTGGGATTACAGGCGTGAGCCCCAGTGCTCCGCCTGGTAACACTTTCAAAGGCAAAAGGCTTTCTGTGGATTGGGACCCAACCTGTGTAATTCAATGCATGCCTTCAAGCAGGCTTGCTTTCTTGTACACTACCCAACTTTCCTTCATCATGGATTTTTCTAGACAGTCAGACGCCATGGTCCATCGTAGACTGGAGAACATCAGAGTTGGGAGGAGCCAGAAGCATCAAATCCTATTCCTCAAGCCAAGGTGGTTTGTGGAACCATCTTCCTCATTTTTGCTAGAGCTATGCAACACCTGAGTAAATGTCTTTCTTTAAATAAAAACATTTTCTTTTTTTTTTTTTTTTTGTTGAGACAGAGTCTCACTCTGTCATCCAGGCTGGATTGCAGCGGTGACAACTCAGCTCACTGTAACTTCCACCTCCTGGATTCAAGTGATTCTCCTGCCTCAGCCTCCTGAGTAGCTGGGATTACAGGCATGTACCACCATGCCCAGCTAATTTTTGTTTATTTAGTAGAGACGGAGTTTCATCATGTTGGCCAGGCTGGTCTCAAACTCCTGACCTTAAGTGATCCACCCACCTTGGCCTCCCAAAGTGCTGGGATTACAGGTGTGAGCCACTGTTATCTGGCCCTCTTTTATTTTTTTCTAAGTTCACATCAAATGGGTAATGTGCTGATGACTTAACAAGGTTTGAGGGAGGCACATTCAACACATGAACATGAAAACTCAATCACTTTTATGAACCACATAAGTGTTCATGATCCAAACACTTATTTTATTTATTTATTTATTTATTTATTTATTTATTTATTTATTTATTTATTATTTTTGAGATGGAGTCTCACTCTGTCGCCCAGGCTGGAATGCAGTGGTGCGTTCTCAGCTCACTGCAACCTCCACCTCCCAGGTTCAAGCGACTCTCCTGCCTCAGCCTCCCCAGTAGCTGAGATTACAGGCATGCACCACCACACCCAGCTAATTTTTGTATTTTTAGTAGAGACGGGGTTTCACCATGTTGGCCAGGCTGGTCTCGAATTCCTGACCTAAGGTTATCCACCCACCTCGGCCTCCCAAAGTGCTGGGATTACAGGTATGAGCCACCTCGCCTGGCCGAGATTGTCTTTTAAGATGATGCCTCTGCGTGACACTCAAAGCCCACAGAACCATGTGTTATTCACTCCAGAGGCCCTTCTGTTTCCAGCCTCAGAACCAAGACCTCTGTAGAGATAGCAAGATAAGGAGCAAGCAGGAGTCCTAACAGGAGGGGGTGTTTAAGGAGAGGCCAGTGGGGACAGTGGAATAAGTGTAGGAATGGCTTGGGTGGAACCCTGAAGTTAGCGGCAATAAATCTCAGCCTCTGAAAATAGATGAGGTGGGCCAGGCATGGTGGCTTACGCCTGTAATCCAAGCACTTTGGGAGGCCAAGGTGGGCGGATCACCTGAGGTTGGGAGTTCAAGACCAGCCTGACCAACATGGAGAGACCCCCATCTCTACTAAAAATACAAAATTAGCCTAGCGTGGTGGCGCATGCCTGTGGTCCCTGCTGCTCGGGAGGCTGAGGCAGGAGAATCGCTTGAACCCGAGAGGCGGAGGTTGTGGTGAGCTGAGATCACGCCATTGCACTCCAGCCTCAGCGACAGAGTGAGACTCCCATCTCACACACACACACACACACAAATTAACAACAACAAAAAGAAAATAGACAAGGTGGCTCATGCTTGTAATTCCAGTACTTTGGGAGGCCGAGGTGGGAGGATCACTTAAGTTCAGGAGTTCAAGATCAGCCTGGGCAACACAGCAAGCCCTCATCTCTTACTAAAAATGAAAAAATTAGCCGGGCACGGTAGCACACGCATATAGTCCCACCTACTCCGGAGGTTGAGGCTGGAGAATTGCTTGAGCCCAGGAGACTGAGGCTGCAGTCCAGCCTGACAGACAGAGTGAGACACCATCTCTAAAAAAAAAAAAAGAAAAGAAAAGAAAAAGAAAGAATGGGTTTTCAGATTCTGACTTCACCACTTCCACCTGTGAGACCGTGAACAAGTTTCTTAACTTATGTCTTGGCTTCCAGATCTATAAAATGGACTGTTAGGGGATGAATACGTCCCCCCGAGTCCATATGCTGAAGTGCAAACCACCAGTATCTCAGAATGTGGCTGTACTGTATTTGGAAATAGGGTCTCAAAAGAGGTAATAAAGTTAAAAAGAGGTCATTACACTGGCCCTAATGCAATGTGACCGGTATCCTTGTAAGAAAAGATGAGGACACAGACACACTCAGAGGGAAGATCACGTGAAGACAAGAGAGAAGGTGGCATTTACAAGCTATGGAGAGAGGCCACAGAAGAAACCAACCCTGCTGACCCCTTGGTCTTAGACTTACAGCCTCCAGAGCTGTGAGAAAATAAGGTTCTGATTTTAAGCCACCCTGTCTGTGGTACTTTGTTATGGCAGCCCTAGCAAACTAATACGGGGACCCACAAAAGTATCCGTGTTGCATGGATGTTATGAAGATGAAACCAGCTTTTTACGGGGAGTGCCTGGCCCAATGTCTGGCGCAAGGTAAGAGCTCAGTGCACACCAGAGAGAGCATCTTGGTTCTATTTAAGAACTCCTCTGCTTCATCTAGCTGACTCAGGCCACTTAGTGAATGTGAAAATCAGACAGTCCAGATATTTGGCACTGCAGGGACTCCCCACGGGATCGATTTCTTCATTTTTCAAAAGGTTATTATGCTTTTGCATGACATGACGTGGCCTGAAATGCAATGATTCCCAGCCACCAGGGCCACCTGATACATTAAACAGGCGGCACTCCTTCTGGCCTTGTCATTAACCTTCCCGGCAAATGACACAGTTCTGCAGCTGGGCCCAAAGCCTTGGTTTTTCTCGTCCATTCCAACTCTCATGGTTCTTGACCTCACCCAAAAGTCGCCCACCCGCTAGGCTTCATTTCGCAATCGATGCTGGATGAACAGCTGTAGGACCTGCACTTTGTTTGTGCCTCTGTCTCTTTTTCTTTTTGAGACAGAGTCTCACTCTGTCACCCAGGCTGGAGTGCAGTGGCATGATCTTGGCTCACTGCAACCTCCACCTCCCAGGTTCAAGCGATACTCTTGCCTCAGCCTCCGGAGTAGCTGGGATTACAGGTGCCTGCCACCACGCCTGGTTAATTTCTATAGTTTTAGTAGAGACGGGGTTTCCCCATGTTGGTCAGGCTGGTCTCTAACTCCTGACCTCAGGTGATCTGCCTGCCTCAGCCTACCAAAGTGCTGGGATTATAGGCGTGAGCCATCGTGCCTGGCCAGCCTCTCTTTTTCTAATCTCATGACTATACATCCATATTGCCCACTGGCAGGGGAAGATGGAATCTCTGCAGAAGTTAGCTTTTATTTGCAAGCTTAGGTGAGGGATAGTCTTAGAAAATGACTGGAGAGCCTTTATTTATTTATTTTTTTGAGACTCAGTCTCGCTCTGTCACCCAGGCTGGAATGCAGTGGTACTCTTGGCTCACTGCAATCTCTGCCTCCCGAGTTCAAGCGATTCCCCTGCCTCAGCCTCCTGAGTAGCTGGGACTACAGGCACGTGCCACCACGCCCAGCTAATTTTTTGTATTTTAGTAGAGATGGGGTTTCACCATGTTGGCCAGGATGGTCTCAGTCTCCCGACCTCATGATCCACCCATCTTGACCTCCTGAAGTGCTGGGATTACAGGCGTGAGCCACCGCGCCCGGCCGACTGGAGAGCTATTGATTACAGACCAGCTTTACAAATTGTGGCTCTATCTCAAGCCAGGAACACAACATGAATGCAAACACTCCTGCAGATTGGGAGCGCCGGTGGTTACAAACTAACAGGCAGACATTGATGAAAGTGATTTCGATCCTGTTTTTCCTGAAAAATTAGATTTAACTCCCAAGGTGTGCTCATTTTCATTTCAAATTTCTCCTGTACTAAAGGAGGAAGAGCAGGCCCAGCTGATGGCAAAACTGTGAAGTGGTTGCTTACTCCTTCAGATGCAGGCAACAGGGGCTGCAAAAGCGTGAGCTCCTCCAACCCTCAGGAAGAGAAGTGGGTGCACCAGCTGCCAGGCCCGGGGCAGTGTAGAGGGTCAGTAAATATCTGTTGAATTTCCTTAAGTCTTCATTAGGCCAGTGTATTAGTCCGATTTCACACTGCTATAAAAATACTACCCAAGACTGGGTAATTTATAAACAAGGGAGGTTTAATTGACTCACAGTTCAGCATGGCTGGGGAGGCTTCAGGAAACTTACAATCATGGCAGAAGGGCAAGCAGGCACCTTCTTCAAAAGGCAGCAGGAGGCCGGGCGTGGTGGCTCACTTGAGGTCAGGAATTTGAGACCAGCCTGGCCAACATGGTGAAACCCCATCTCTACTAAAAACACAAAAATTAGCCAGGTGTGCTGGTGTGTGCCTGTAATCCTAGCTACTTGGGAGGCTGAGACAGGAGAATTGCTTGAACCAGGAGGCAGAGGCTGCAGTGAGCCAAGATCACTGCACTCCAGCCTGGGCAACAGAGTGAGACTCCATCTCAAAAAAATAAAATAAAATAAAAATAAATAAATAAATAGCTGGGCGCAGTGGCTCACGCCTGTAATCCCAGCACTTTGGGAGGCTGAGGTGGGCTGATCACGAGGTCAGGAGATCGAGACCATCCTGGCTAACACGGTGAAACCCCGTCTCTACTAAAAATACAAAAAATCAGCCACGCGAAGTGGTGGGCGCCTGTAGTCCCAGGTACTCGGGAGGCTGAGGCAGGAGAATGGCGTGAACCCAGGGGACGTAGCCTGCAGTGAGCCAAGATCGCGCCACTGCACTCCAGCCTGGGCAACAGAGCAAGGCTCCGTCTCAAAAAATAAAAAAATAAATAATAAATAAATTAATAAATAAATAAAAACATGACATTTGGGTGGGGACACAAAGCCTAACCACATCAGCCAGCTTGGTGAGTCTTGGTATTCTGCATCCTGGACCTCCTCACCCTGGACTAGATGCATCTTTTTTTTTTTTTTTTTTTTTGAGACGGAGTCTTGCTCTGTCGCCCAGGCTGGAGTGCAGCGGCGCGATCTCTGCTCACTGCAAGCTCCACCTCCCGGGTTCATGCCATTCTCCTGCCTCAGCCTCCCGAGTAGCTGGGACTACAGGCACCCGCCACCATGCCTGGCTAATTTTTTGTATTTTTAGTAGAGACGGGGTTTCACCGTGTTAGCCAGGATGGTCTCGATCTCTTGACCTCGTGATCCACCCTCCTCGGCCTCCCAAAATGTTGGGATTACAGGCGTGAGCCACTGCGCCCAGCTAGATGCATCTTAAAGTATGAGAAACCACCTTTTGAATGGCTTCCACAGGGTATGGAAAAGTGGTATGATTTCAGTAGCACTTCTCATACTTTTTTTTTTTTTGAGATGGAGTTTCGCTCTTGTTGCCCAGGCTGGAGTGCAATGGCGCAATCTCCGCTCACCACGCCCGGCTAATTTTTAGTAGAGACGGGGTTTCTCCATGTTGGTCAGGCTGGTCTCGAACTCCTGACCTCAGGTGATCTGCCCGCCTCAGCCTCCCAAAGTGCTGGGATTATAGGTGTGAGCTACCATGCCTGGCTGCACCTCTCATACTTTAAGATGCATAAAAATCACCTGTTAAAAATGCACATTCTGGGCCGGGTGTGATGGCTCACGCCTGTAATTCCAGCACTTTGGGAGGTCGAGGTGGGTGGATCACCTGAGGTCAGGAGTTCGAGACCAGCCTGGCCAACATGGCAAAACCCCGTCTCTACTAAAAATACAAAAAATTAGCTGGGTGTGGTGGCAGGTGCCTGTAATCCCAGCTATTTGTGAGGATGAGGCAGGAGAATCGCTTGAACTGGGAGGTGGAGGTTGCAGTGAGCCCAAATTGCGCTACTGCACTCCAGCCTGGGCAACAAGAGGGAAACTCCAACTCAAAAAAAAAAAAAAAAAAAAAAAACACATTCTGATTCAGTAGGTCTGGGGGCTGAACCTGAGATTCAGTGTTTATTTTTATTTTTTTGAGACAGGGTCTCACTCTGTCACCTAAGCTGGAGTGCAATGGCATGATCATGGCTCACAGCAGCCTGGACTTCCCAGGCTCTGGCGATTTTCCCACCTCAGCCTCCAAAGTAGCTGGGACTACAGGTTTGCGTCACCACACCTGACTAATTTTTTTCTTTTCTTTTCTTTTATTTGAGAGAAGTCTCACTCTTATCCCCCAGGTTTGAGTGCAATGGCTCGATCTTGGCTCACTGCAACCTCCGCCTCCCGGGTTCAAACGATTCTCCTGCCTCTGCCTCCCAAGTAACTGGGATTAAGTTGCCTGCCACCACGCCCGGCTAATTTTTGTATATTTTAGCAGAGACGGGAGTTTCACCATGTTGGCCAGGCTGGTTTCGAACTCCTGACCTCAAGTGATCTGCCCGCCTCGGCCTCCCAAAGTGCTGGGATTACAGGCGTGAGCCACTGCGCCTGGCCGCGGCTGGCTAATTTTTTTCTAATTTTTGTAGAGATGGGGTCTCACCATGTTGTCCAGGCTGGTCTCCAACTCCTGGGCTCAAGCAATCGTCCTGCCTCAGCCTCCCAAAGTGCTGGGATTACAGGCGTGTACCACCACGCCTGGCCAGATTCTGTGTTTCTGACAATCCTCCTACTGATGCAGATGCCTGTACACTTCCTGGCTATCCTATCTGCCAGCTGTGTGGCCTCAGGAGGCCTCAGCATCTCCCTGGGCTTCAGTTCTTCCGCTGGATATTATTTAGATGAACAAACATATATTGACAGCTTACTACACGCCGGGCTGCTCTGGGTGCTTGCTAGAAAAACAAAGATGAAGAAGCCACAAGCCAAGCCCAGGCATGCCTCACAGACAGAGAACTTAAAGGTCCAACTACAATATTTAAAGACTCTGCGTTTGAAAATTTCATGACTCATTGGCAGAAATAGGACGACCGGATCTGCATCTCCCAGAAAACATCTCTCCAAACACTATGACAGGGATTCCCCGCTGACTACTGTCCTCAGAATCAGGGAATACGAAATCCAGAAGTAACCTCAAGAGAAATTTAGCCCAAACTCTATCTTGCCATTTTACAGAGAGGAGAAACTAGAGAACAGATGCAGAAAGAGTGGGGTCTGGAGGAAATTACTGGTTTTCCAGCTATGCTTTCGAAGGCTGTGATGTCCAACAGGAATAACATATGAGCTACAAAAAACTTAATATGTAATATTAAATTTTGTGGTAGTCACATTGAAAAGAGTAAAAAGAAGCCAGGCACAGTGACACATGCCTATAATCCTAGCACTGTGGGAGGCCAAGGCAAAAGGATTGCTTGAGGTCAGGAGTTTGAGACCAGCCTGGGGAACATAGTGAGACCTTGTCTCCACAAAAAAATTTTAAAAATTAGCTGGGCGTGGAGGTGCACGTCTACAGTCTCAGCTACTAGGGTGGCTGAGGCAGGAGAACTGTTTGACCCCAGGAGGTCGAGGCTGTAGTGAGCCAAGATGGCGCCACTACAGTCCAGCCTAGGTGACAGAGTGAGACCCAGTTTCCAAAAAAAAAAAAAGAGAAAGAATCGTTTCCATTGGTTAGCGCATCACTCCCAGGATCACTGGTTTCATTTTTATAGACACTGGATCAGAAAATTAATCTTTCAAGTACAGGTGTAGCTTTCTGTAGCCAAGTTGAATAGAATTACACTTCTGAGGCTGGGCACAGTGGCTCACGCCTGTAATCCTAGCACTTTGGGAGGCGAAGGCGGGCAAATCACGAGGTCAGAAGTTCAAGACCAGCCTGGCCAACATGGTGAAACCCCGTCTCTACTAAAAATACAAAATTAGCTAGGCGTGGTGGTATGCGCCTGTAATCCCAGCTACTTGGGAGGCTGAGGCAGGAGACTGCTTGAACCTGGGAGGTGGAGGTTGCCACCACTGCACTCCAGCCCGGGTGACAGTGCGAGACCCCACCTCAAAAGAAAAAAAAAAATGAATTATACTTCTGAGGCTGTGCACAGTGGCTCACCCCTATAATCCCGCAACTTTGGGAGGCTGAGGTGGGAGGACCACTCGAGACCAGCCTGGGCAACAGAGAGAGACCTTGTCTCTACAAAACATTAAAAAAGAAAAAAAATTTAGCCAAGTGTAGCTGTCCATGCCTGTGGTCTCAGCTACTTGGGAGGCTGAAGCGAGAGGATCGCTTGAGCAAGGAAGGTAGAGGCTGCAGTAAGCTGGGATCATACCATCACCCTTCAGCCTGGGTGCTGGAGGAGCAAGATTCTATCTAAAAAAATAAAAAAAAAAAAAAAAAAAAGAAAGAAAAAATCACACCTCACCCCTGGAAAAGAACTTAAGCGTAGCTGAATCTAACTTGCAATATGATTTTGCTGAAGATGAGGTTAAAGAGTGACGGCAGGCTGGCACTTGCAGCCACATTTCCAAAATTCTGGGTGTAAAATGCTCAGCACAGTGCCAGACACCTGTGCCTCAAAGTGTCAGAGAAATCTCAGCCACCTTCTTTCCCTTCCCCTCTCCCGGTTTTGCACCAAACCATCCTGTCCCTGGAGAATTTGCTCAATTAGAAGCGAGGTGAAATTCCAAGCACAGTTTGAAGGAGGAAGTGTCATTTTCAGCTTGCCTGTAGGTGCACCTCACTATGTAACATTTGTTACATAAGTGGCAGCATGACACGCCTAACTGATGAATGTCTGTTGCACACCCAATTCCAGCCGGGAGAGTCACGCAGGCTTTCCCTGGGAGAATAGTGGTGTGGAATTGAGGCATGGAGTTGCAAAAATTACTTTTGTCTTCTGACAAGTAGGGCCAGTTCCAGGGTGTTATACCCAAAGTGCTTTTCTACTGCAGCATAACCTCAAGAAAAACCAGTTTCAGGAGCACCACACCTAGGATCAGATGATGCAATATGATATTAGCGTCTCATTGCATCAGTGTGTCTGAGGCATGAGTCTTTTAAGCTGGCAAAAAGCATTATAAAGGGGCAGGAGAAAAAAGGAAAAGACTTGCAGACTGAAATCTAAAGGTACTGTCAGTGGTGTTCCTAATTGGCCACACAGGGTGTTTAGAGGATAAACACCCAGCCACCCGCCTCGGCTGACAAGCATCAGCATGCCATTTCCTGAAGGGGACTTGATGGCATATTTAGGCGAAATTCTTTTCTGGTTGGTTCTACTTATGCTTTATATCAAAGCGTCAAAGTTTAACCTCTAAAAAATCTTTTTAAATGCAGGTCTATTAAGAATAGGCTTTCAAAGGGTGCTTCTATTCCATCTTGACTTTTCTGAAAATCTCTGAAACGTACCAGTTGATTTCTCATTTCCAAAGTTCTTTTACATAAGCACTCTCAGCTCTCTTGACACACAGACTTTTGACTTTGATCAAATACCTTAGATTTGGGCCTCTTGGTTTCTCTGTCTTCCTTTACAGGACACTTGATGCTTCCCAGTCCTGTTTCTTGCACTAACAATGAATGAATGAATCACAAAAATCCTAGAACTTTATGCGTTTTCAAGAAGTTGCCTGAAGAAGGAACTTCCTTGTGCGGTACGCCTCAGGAAAAAAGAAGCAGGAGAAAAGCTTTGAGAGGAGAGCAAGTGACGGTGAGATCGTAATGGAAGTGGGGTGGAGAGGTGGAGGGTGGAGACCGGTAGGAAGCAAGCAAGGCTTTTTTCACCCGTCCCAGGACACGCGAACGAGATCAAGCCTCACTGCGGTTCACTAGGGTCTATGCAGGCCCTCGCACCCCTGCCTACCTCCTCAGAACCCAGCCTCTTGGCTCTTCTCACCCCAGCCCCACCAGACAGCTTCCCTCCCAGGAGGTGTCTCTCAAGATCTCGAAATGTGGAGCGTCCCGTTCACTCCACCTGGCCTGGAATACTTTTCCTGCCCCCTTTCATCGGGTCTTATTCATCCTTTAAGTTGTTCAGCATAACTTTCCACCTGAATGCCTTCCCTGGCCCTGGACTAGGATAAATCCCCTCGCCATAATGTTCCTACACAGGCATCACTTTGTAAAGCTTACCACTGTTGTAATTACTTGTTTACTGATCTGTCTTTCCGTTAGGCTGTGCGTTCCACTGGGGTGGAAACCTTGTTCACTGGCTCTGCAGCCCCGGGCACTGTGGGTCTTGCATGTACCGGGGGCTCAGTAAATATTTGGCAAAAAATGAAAAAGTTCCCCTCAAAGCCAGCTTCCAGTGCCTCCACGGCCCTCAAATTAATTATGAATTAATTCACTAATACAGCAAACCTTTATGTGATTCTTCCGTGTCACAGCACCTTGTTACATACTGAGGACACATCCACAGGCAAATAAAACTCAGCTTCTCTCTGCACAGGAAAAAATTATTCAAATTGTATTCATCTTTCATTCCAATCACTCAATTAGGGCACGTCCCTTGTTGGCTGCTGCGTGAGCGAAGTAACTATTTTCCAGCGAGTGTCCTCATGTGACCTGTCTAGACGTGCCCAGGAAAAACAATCCAACATCCTCCTAAGCCGCAAAGAAGTCCCTGACGCGCAGGCCGCACTGCGTGGAAGGCCCAAAGCGCGCTCGCGGGCCCGCGAAAGGCGCAGGAGCAGCGGAGCCGAGGCGGGCGGCGAGGCGCGCGGCGCGCGGCGCAGGCTCGGGTGGGCAGGGCAGGGCCAGGCCGGGCGGGGCGGGGGCGCCGGCAACGGGTCCGCCGGCCGGCAGGGGGCGCGCGCGCCCCGCGCCCCGCGCCTCCCGCCCCGCCGCGCGCTCGCTTGCCGCGCGGCCGCACATGTGTTTCTGTTTTGTGTTGTAGCATTTGTTCTGGAAGCTCGTATTTACATTTTAAGTGTATCTGGTGAGTGGGCTGGAGCCCTCGTCTGGGCCGGAAAAAAAAAAGCCCTCCGATCCGTCTTTTAGTTGCTTCTCTTCCTTTTTTCTCTCCGGTTTCTCATCACTCCAACCAGGTAGGGTCTGAAAATCGACAGTGATCAGTTTGTGGGGTCTGGGAAAGTTTTTTTTTTTTTCCTTTTTTTAAAGAGAAAAGGTTAAAAAAAAACCTGGGGGAGGGGGGCTGGGTGATTGAAGGAATAAAAAGAGGAAGGAAGGCGGATCCACGTGGTTTAATCGGAGACAGACAGAGATCCCATTGTTCAAAATCAATTAAAAAAAAAAAAAAAAGCAGACAGGGGAGAGCGCAGGGACGCCGGGGAGCTGGCGGCGGCCCTGGACACTTTGCAGTCGAATCGGAGACCGGCCGGGCCGCACGGCCGGCAAGGGGGCTGGGAGAGAGTTGGGCACCATTAAAGTTTTTATTTTTCGTGTCTGTGCGAGCAGGTGTTTGGGGCTGGGGTCCAGCTTTCTTCGGGCTCTTCCCCCGTCGCCGGGGGCAGTCCGCCGTAGGGATTCGGCTAACTAGAGCCCGAGGTCGGCACCCCTGAGCTGGGGCCGAACGGGGGTCCAGGGCTGATGCGGGGTGGGGGAGAGCGTTGCATTAAATGCCATGAGTGGGTTTGGGGGGAGACTGCGGAGACAAAAGCAGCAGGTGGGGTAGCCGGGGAGCAGGGGCTCCCTTACCACCCAGGTGCCAAGGGGGAATCCTGGAAGTGTCCCGAAGCCTTCTTTAATGAAAATCTAGGGGACTGGAGGCTGGTTTTACTTTCCCTTTACTTTTGGGGGGCGAGGTTGCAACTGTGATGCTTTGTGGGCAAACCTAACTTACGGATAGGCCGGGGGTCTCAATTCTCCCTCCAGGGGATTGCCTCTGGGGCTCCCGGCTGCCCTGCGGGATTCCCCGAAGGAGCCGCGCCGGGGCCAGGGAGGGGCGCGATTTCCTCTCCCAACTCGCCCCCTCTCCGCCCACCCTGCGGCCGCCACTTTGGGGAGGGCAGAGGAGGAAGTGGAGGCCGGGTGGCTCGTCTCCGCTCCCCTCCCCCCGCGCAGTTTATAACCCGTCCATTGTGCGCCGCTGCCCCGTGTCTCCCTCCAGCCGCGACCATGCCCAGGAAGAAGGCGGCGGCGGCGGCCTGGGAGGAGCCGAGCTCGGGCAACGGCACTGCCCGCGCCGGGCCCAGGAAACGCGGCGGCCCGGCGGGCAGGAAGCGCGAGCGGCCCGAGCGCTGCAGTAGCAGCAGCGGCGGCGGCAGCAGCGGCGACGAGGACGGCCTGGAGCTCGACGGGGCCCCCGGCGGGGGCAAGCGCGCGGCGCGGCCGGCGACAGCAGGCAAGGCGGGCGGCGCGGCCGTGGTCATCACCGAACCCGAGCACACCAAGGAGCGCGTCGTGAGTGAGGGTCAGGGTAGACGGGTGGGCGCAGGGCCGGGGCCGGCGGGCTCAGCGACGCGGCACGGCGCGCGTTCCAGCCGGGGGCCGCCTCGCGTCACGCTCCCTCCCGGCGGCCGGGCCGGCGCAGGCCGCGGGCTGAATCATTGCCTCCGCCTCCGCGCAACAAAAGGGCTCGGTACGGGGCGCGCGGCCCGCGGCCTACCCGACCCCGGGCACCGCGCGGGCGGTTGGCGGTTGGGGCGCGCGCCCGGGCCCGCGGCGGGGGAGGGGCGGCCGAAGCCCGCACGAGGGGGTCATGGCCCCGCCCCCACAGCTCCCTCTGCGCCCCTCCCCCCCCGCCCCGGGAAAGGGGACCTCGGTAAGTTCGCCCGGCCTGGAAGAGGGGGCGGCCAGCGGGCCCCACACGTCCGTGGCCGCCGCTGCGCCCGGGCGCCGCGGGGAGGGGGCGGCCGGCGCTCTGCGGGGAGCGGCCGTTTGCGCCGGGGCTTTGAGGTTCCCGCCGCCTCGGCTCCGGCGCCCGGGGGGGGCGGGGCCTGACGGCCGCCGCGCATGCTCCGCAGAGCCCTCCCCCGAGGTCGGGGAAGCCCCCCGGCTGAGCGGTGCTCGGGCTTTGTTTGCCGCCGGTGGTCCGAAGCTGCAGGATGCTCGCGAGGGCTCTGTTGTAGCCCCCCCAAGTGAAGAAGCATCTCCTAGGGTCCTGGGCGGGCTTCTGTTTTCTCAAATCTTAATTAAGGTCGTGGCTGACTCAAGTTAACGTTCCCGAAAAAGCCTGCAGAGCCGGAGATCTGAACCCGGCATCTGCCGCCACAGCATCTCCCCACCCCCACAGAACTTTCTTTAAGTTTGGTGTGGTGTGGGATATGTTTTTCAGAAGAGGGTCTAAGTTTTCACCAGATTCTCAGATAACCCCCAGAGAGCAAGAACTTCCACCTGGGGTGTAGAGCCTGACACCCGGAGAGGTTTTTTTCCTTCCATAAGTGCCCATCTCCTAAGGGTGTTTAAGGGTTAACAGCAGAGTGCTTTCCTCCAGAGAAGCGCAGGCAGTGTCTAATAACACATTTTCTACGTCCGTTTTATAGATAGGGAAACTGGGGCACAGAATTCGAGGGCCTTGTCCAAAGTCATGGATGGAACTGGATCTCCAAATGCTGTAACTCCTGATGTCCCTGCAAATTGCACATGGGAATATGCTTTGTAAAAGTGCCTTCTGGGTGAAAGGGTTAACATGTTAGGCAGTGGAGGAGAGCCCGTCAAAAGCTGTCAAAAGGTCTTGCCCGGGGTCTTGGATCAGGCTAGACTAGACAATGGCCAAAGTATTGAGAAACTGGAACACAGGAACTGTTTTCCTTTGACGTCTAGTCTGCTGTGCCAGACTCCAGACATTTGCCCTCCGAACACAGTATGTTAGGATGAAACTAAAAAGAAAGGCCAGGTGAGCTTCCGCGTCTCCTGTATCCTATTTTGAGTGAGTTTCCAAAAGCAAGATTGTGTTTAGACATCCAAGACTGCAGTTATCAGCTGTACAGCTCCAGACTGTTGGAACGCTGAATTTTGCCATCAGAGCAAAAGATCCTTACCCCATGCTGAGATTGACCCAAGGAGGTAGAGACAGGGAGTGTGTGAGGGACACTGGCTCTCCCTGGCCCACCTCTGTCTCCAGCTGTGCTGCTTGAAGCTGCTTTGTCAATGGAAATGGCACATTTGTTAGTCTTTTTTTTTTGAGGCAGAGTCTCCCTCTATGGCCAGGCTGGAGTGCAGTGGCACGATCTCAGCTCACTGCAACCTCCGCCTCTCAGGTTCAAGTGATTTTTGTGTGCTGATCAGCCTCTCGAGCAGCTGGGATTACAAGTGTGTTCCACCACACCCGAATAATTTTTGTACTTTTTGTAGAGGCTGGGTTTTACCATGTTGGCCAGGCTGGTCTCAAACTGCTGGCCTCAAGTGATCTGCCTGCCTCAGCCTCCTTCCAAAGTGCTGGGATGACAGGCGCGAGCCCTGTGTTGGGTTGCATGTTTGTAAGTCTTAATGTGAGTAAACAGCAGTCCATTGCAGCTTTTAAGTTCCTGTTTATACACATAAATACGTTATTATTTTACATATGTGTATAAGCAGGACTCTAAAAGCTACATCTTCCTTTCTCTATCCACTTAAAACCAACAGGGGCCCATGATGCCCATCCTTTGGGCTGTCGGTGCTGTTCTAGAATCAGAGCACCTGGGAGGCTGAGGGTTCAGCATATGATGCCCCTTTATGCCTCATGGAAAGTGCACACCCTACATTTAAGTTTTGCTTTTTTTTTTTTTTTTTTGAGCTGGAGTTTAGCTGTTGTTGCCCAGGTTGGAGTGCAATGTTGCGATCTCAGCTCACTGCAATCTCCGCCTCCCGGGTTCAAGCAATTCTTCTGCCTCAGCCTCCCGAGTAGCTGGGATTATAGACGCCCACCACCACACCTGGCTAATTTTTTGTATTTTTAGTAGAGACGGGGTTTCACCACGTTGGCCAGGCTGGTCTCGAACTCCTGATCTCAGGTGGTCCACCCACCTTGGCCTCCCAAAGTGCCCCACGTTTAAGTTTTGTTAGCATCTACTGAGTTTGGTCCATGTTCGGGGCTGGGTCCATGCAGCCCCATTGCCTTTCCATAGGCCTAGGGCAGCCCTCTGCCCCTTGTCCTGGGTTGGCCTCCTGCCCAGTCTCCCTGGCCCCAGGTTTCTGGTCTCTGTTTCTCTGTTGAGCAGTCCTAGGGACCCTGTGTGCTGCCACAGGCAGACAGCAGTCCTTGTTGCAGAAAGAACCTTTTTTACTGAGCATTTTGCATGCCTTGCCCCGCTCAGGGTTGCTAGGAGGAGGTCTGTGTGAAAGCAGCCGCCCAGGAAATGTCCAAAACCATATTGCCTTCAGTGACCCCAAAGCTGCAGGTGTCGGGCTTGTAGAAGATGAGCCAAATACTTACATTGTTGAGGGGCAGAATTGCCTTGAGTAAAAGATGTGCATTTTATAGAACATTCTTATGGCAGATGAGCGTTGTCATTGCCTAGGTGTTAAGAAAAAATTCAAATTCTTTTTTCCTCCGCTCTCACGGCCACACTCAACAACCAACACCAGACTTCTTCCGCACCCCCCACCCCAGATGGAGTCTTGCTCTGTCTCCCAGGCTGGAGTGCAGTGGTGTGATCTCAGCTCACTGCAGCCTCCACCTCCTGGGTTCAAGCAACTCTCCTGCCTCAGCCTCCTGAGTAGCTGAGATGACAGGCACCTGTCACTGTGCTCGGTAATTTTTGTATTTTCAGTAGAGATGGGGTTTCACCATGTTGGCCAGGCTGTCTTGAACTCCTGACCTCGTGATTTGCCCGCCTCCCAAAGTGCTGCGATTACAGGCGTGAGCCACCACGCCCCGCCTCCCAACACAAGACTTCTGTGACTAGACGTAAAGGGAGGTCTCCCCCTGCTATCAAGCAAGCAATCAGTTCTGCAGCACACACCGGCTGGGTGTCCTCCAGTTCATCTCTTGACACTATCCACCTGGAGGTAGATTTCCTCATCTTGAGGGCTCAGTCCCCAAGACTGTCCTTCCACCCCAGACACCAGTTGCAAGTCCAGTCCCTGGTAGCTTCTGACCAACTAGCCTCTAGTTGGGGTTCTCATGACCCCCTCTTTGGGGTCGATTAATTTATTGGAATGGCTCACAGAACTCAGGGAAACACCAGTTTATTATAAAGGATATTACAAAGGCTATGGATAAAGAGACCTGTAAGGCTAGATGTGGCAGAAGGGGCACTGTGTTTCCGTGCCCTCTGCAGACCACCCACCTGGTACATGTTCAGCTCTCCACAAGCTCTGTGACCTGGTCCTTACAGGTTTTTAACGGAGGCTTCATTATGTAGGCATGGTAGATTAAGCCATTGATCATCACTTTAACCTTCAGTCATCTCCCTCCTGAGGTTGGAGGATGGGGCTGAAAGTCCCTAGGCTCCCACTGCCCCATCCGGAAGCTGCCTGGGGGCTGCCAGTGTCAGTCATTAGCATACAAAAAGACATTGCTTTGGAGATTCCAAGGATTTGGGAAGTTGCATGCCAGGAACTCCAAATATTGATGGCAGTGTCACACTAGGGTAGATTCAGTCCTAATTCTTTGCGCACTTCATAACCTCCTAAAGCAAGTAAAGGCAGCAGCCTTGGCCAGATCCTACAAAACAGGTGAGTGTTGCAAGCTGCCCAGGTCTTTGTAGTTTTTCCAGTCTTGGGTTGCCAAGGTTTTGTGGACCCTGAGACAGATGTGTTGAATCTGAAAGGAGCAAATAAATAAAACTGAAAGCCAACCCGGAAGTCTGTTTCAGTTGATGGCCCTTAGGTAATTGGTCGATGCCGGCATTGTTCCCGGGGGTCTTACCTCCCCGGAGCAGCGGTCTTCTACATGGACCTATGTTAAAAGGTTGACTCTGGGCCCCGTAAACGCGCACCTTGCATTTGGATCATAATTCAAAAATTGCTTTAGACTAGAAATCCCATTTTGTTGATTGAAGAAGCTCAGTGCCTTTTCTGTCCATTTCTGTGTGTCTCTGCCCAGGTTATGTGACCAAGTTGCTGGAGGCAGCCAGGTGAAATGACATGAAAATCACTCATCTCATTGGGCAGACTGTTTGCCAGGCTGTCTGCTGCGTGGCCTTTATACACAAGCAGGGTCGCAGACACTGAGTTCGTCCAAAAAAACAATCCGTAGGCCCATCAGGGAAGGCTGGATTCCGCCTGGGAGGGCACACTGAGCTTCAGACACCCACACACCCACTGGCACCCCCGCCCTGCCCCGCCGCCCCGGGTGGAGCCCGCAAGCGCGGGAGTCTCTCCCACGATTGGCTGTTTCTGGTCTCTGAGGAAGAGGAGCACCCCTTAAGTGAGAAGGGGTGCTGGGAGTTCTCTGTTACTCTATTTAAATGTTAATTCCACATAAGGCAGAGGAAAGAAGTTATAGAGAAATAAAAGAAAGCAGCTTAGAGCAAACAATTATGTAAATAATAACGAAATACACTAACCTCCATCTAATGTGTGAGGAAATAGGATCCATGACGTAAAAACTTGAATAACAGTTAATGTCCTTCATAGGAATCTGACCACCGTCACTGGAGTAGACTCAGTTTACCGGGGTTTTTCACACATACACACGTATATATGTATATGTATACACACGTATGTATATGTGTGTGTGTGTGTATATATATGTGTGTGTGAGTGTATATATATATTTTTTTCTTTTTCTTTTTCTTTTTCTTTTTTTAAGATGGAGTCTCGCTCTTTCGCCCAGTCTGGAGTGCAGTGGCGCGATCTCGGCTCACTGCAAGCCCCGCCTCCCGGGTTCATGCCCTTCTCCTGTCTCAGCCTCCCGAGTAGCCGGGACTACAGGCGTGAGCCACCATGCCCGGCCCACAAATACATTTTTATTGGCGTGGTTGGGTTTGCCTATAAATGCTTAGCTAGCTTGATGGATCAGTCTTCATGAGCCCTTGACCAAATGTCCAGGTCACCCAGGAAACTCCCTCCCCAAGGCCAAGGCCACTGCGGTTAAGCTCTGGCTGTCTGAACTTGCCCCTGAACCATGCCCTCTGGCCTGATGGAGCTGAGGCTTCTGGTGTGGCCTCAGCACTGTGAAGTTTTGCTGCAGTGGTTGCATCTCAGTGTAGGGTGGTTTGACTTCAATGGTTCATACTGAGCACAGGTGCCCATGAACCTCCGCCTGCCTGGTCTGCAGTTGCTGGCATTCCAGGGCTCTTTTCTAGGCTTGCCCTCTGGCCTGGGAGCTTGGTCTCCAGTGCCTTAGCACCCTTCCTGGGTCTCTACTGCCCCCTCCATGCCAACTTGGTAGGCTTGGGCAGAGGACCCAGAGGCCTCTCCTTCCACAGGGACTTCAACAGAAGCCATTGAATATAGACCTGTAGCATATTCCAGCCAGGCCTGCCAGTTAAACAAAGAAGGGCAGATAACCAGGGGAAGCTAGGCTCCAATTCAAGTAACCTGAGTTGTGGGTGCTGCAGGGGCTGGGCCACCCTCTGATTAAGGTCATTTTCTAAATAATTTAAATGAACCAAAGTTGTTCTCCCTTTCCGTGTTGTTTCACTTCCCTCCCCCCAACTTTTTTTTTCTCTTTTTGAGACAGAGTTTCGCTCTTGTTGCCCAGGCTGGAGTGCAATGGTGTGATCTCGGCTCGCTGCAACCTCTGCCTCCTGGGTTCAAGCGATTCTCTTGCCTCAGCTTCCCAAGTAGCTGGGATTACAGACACCCGGCTAATTTTTTGTATTTTTAGTAGAGACAGGGTTTCACCATGTTGGCCAGGCTGGTCTCAAACTCCTGACCGCAGGTGATCCACCCACTTTGGCCTCCCAAAGTGCTGGGATGACGGGCCATGAGCTACCGCGGCTGGCCTCACTTCCCCTTTTCATGAGGACTGCAGGATGCATTCCTGTAGATTGACCATCTTTTTCCTGTTACATAATGTGGTGGAGTGGGCAAGCGTGACGGAACCTATATCTTGGGGGACGCCCTAATCAGGTTTGGGTCGTGTAAAGGTTCCTATTGAAGTGGAAATCATCCGTCATGAAGATGTGTAATCTTAGAAATGCGTGAGCCGTACTGCCAAAGCATACCCATGGGGTGATCACACTGTAGAGGTTAGAATGATTGGGCCTGGAGCTGCCCTTTTTTCTTTTTCTTTCTTTCTTTTTTTTTTTTTTTTTTTTTTGAGACAGGGCTGGCTTTGTCACCATGGTTGGTCTTGAACTCCTGACCTCAGGTGATCCGCCTGCTTCAGCCTCCCAAAGTGCTGAGATGACAGGCGTGAGCCACCACACCCAGCCCACATATATATATATATATATATATTTTTTTTTTTTTTTTTTTTTTTTTTTGAGATGGAGTCTTGCTCAGTCGCCCAGGCTGGAGTGCAGTGGTGCGATCTTGGCTCACTGCAAGCTCCGCCTCCTGGGTTCACACCAATCTCCTGCCTCAGCCTCCCGAGTAGCTGGGACTACAGGTGCCGGTCACCATGCCCGGCTAATTTTTTTTGTATTTTTAGTAGAGATGGGGTTTCACCGTGCTAGCCAGGATGGTCTCTATCTCCTGACCTCGTGATCTGCTTGCCTCAGCGTCCCAAAGTGCTGGGATTACAGGTGTGAGCCACCGCGCCTGGCCAACAAATACATTTTTATTGGCATGGTTGGGAACTTTCATCGGCGTTATTTTATTGGCATTTTATCGGCACTTTGGGAGGCCAAGGTGGGTGGATCACCTGCGGTCAGGAATTTGAGACCAGCCTGGCCAACATAGTGAAACCCTGTCTCTACTAAAAACACACAAAATTAGCTGAGTGTCTGTAATCCCAGCTACTTGGGAGGCTGAGGCAAGAGAATCGTTTGAACCCGGGAGGCAGAGGTTGCAGCAAGCCGAGATCACGCCACTGCACTCCAGCCTGGGCAGCAACACTGGGAGTGCAATGGTGCAATCTCAGCTTACTGCAACCTCCGCCTCCCGGGTTCAAGGGATTCTTCTACCTCAGCCTCTGGAGTAGCTGGGACGACAGGCGGATGCCACCACGCCTGGCTAATTTTTTTGTATTTTTAGTAGAGACGGGGTTTTACCATATTGGCCAGGCTGGTCTTGAACTCCTGACCTCGTGATTCACCCGCCTCAGCCTCCCAAAGTGCTGGGATTACAGGCGTGAGCCACTGTGCCTGGCCCCCTTTTTTTTTTTTTTGAGACAAGGCCTGGCTATGTCACCTAAGCTGGAGAGCAGGTGTGATCTTGGCTCACTGCAGTCTCCAGCTCCTCAGCTCAAGCAATCCTCCCACCTCAGCCTCCCAAGTAACTGGGACCACAGGCTCATTTTTCTATTTTCTGTAGAGACAAGGTTTTGCCATGTTGCCCAGCCTGGTCTCCAAGCTCAAGCAATCTGCCCGCCTCGGCCTTCCAAAGTGCTGGGATTACAGGCGTGAGCCATTGCGCCTTGCCAGACTTTTTTCCTGAAGCCTTCCAAGAACAATTCTGTAAACTGAAGGAAACCCCTTTCCTTTTCACGTCCAGGAAAGATGTGTAAGAGCGGAAAGTGATAGCAGTGAATGCTTCCCTTGCCAGTGTGGACTGAGTGAGGAGTTCAGAATTGAGTCTTCCACTAACAACCTACTTGAAAAAGTATATTTTGACATTTAAGGAAGCAAAGTGCTGAGAATATTATGAGTGCCACCCAGAATTGAACAATGGCCTTTTTAAATGGCGTAGATTTTCGTTGACAGTATGAGAGTTGGTGGCCCTGATGACTTTGTGTTGAGAGACTGAGGATGAACACTGAAGTATGCTGGCTGCTGTGACAGCTTGTTCCTTGAGAGCCGGGCCCCTGGGAGGTCCTGTTTCACTCACCATTGGCTCCCGGGCTCATGGACAGCGGCATGAGGGTGCCATCAAAGGCCGCCTGATTCAGACCCCTGCATACCCACCAAAGCTGTGTTCTGCCTGGTCTCCCTTCAGTGGAGAAATCGAACCTTGTTCTCTACTGTTTTCTTCCTGAGTCCCCATGGAAAGGCTCTCGGCAGAGTGGGCAGCAGAAGTGATGTGAGGCTCCTAAGGTTTGAGGTCGCAGGCCGTGCTTGCCATGTGAAATAGAGACTTGGCCCTAGGATGAGCTGGATTTAACGCCCCTGAGTGTCCGGCAGGCTTCCTGCAAATACCTCTGTACATCAGTTTGCGAAGGAGGCATGTATTTGGGTTTTTTTTTTAGTGTTTTGCAAAAGCTATTTTAAAGGGAAGTCAAAGGATAAAAATGAGCCTGGGCTTAGCAAGTGAGCGGCTGTGGGCAGGTTTGGGGTTGCCCGCATTGCCACTTGCCGATGAGGGAGGGGAGTGTGGGGAGACTCTGTTCGTGTGGAGGTCACAGGTGACATAAGGGCTAACTGAATGATTTTCTTTCGTTTCGTGCTGTCATTGGACAGCCTTGGAAAGCTAGGTGCAGACTTACACACTAATTCTTTTTTCCTTTCTCTGTCTCTGCAGAAACTTGAAGGGTCAAAGTGCAAAGGGCAGCTTTTGATTTTTGGGGCAACCAACTGGGACTTGATTGGTCGAAAAGAAGTGCCTAAACAGCAAGGTATGAGAATGGTGCCTCAAAAACCCATTGAGTGCTTCTTAAGTGCTAGGTTCTGTTGACCACCTGCCTGGTAGGTATTCCCTTCATTTACAAATGCATTTTCACAGAGGCCAAGTGACTTGCCTGAGGCCACACAGCCACTGTAGTGATGAGCTGGATTTGAACCCTAATCTTAGTCTTTTAAAGGCACAATTTTGAAGTGACTCACTAATTCCGTTAAGATTAATCAGGAAAATACAAGTAGTATCCTCAAATGAACATTGCCACCTTTTCCATCTTCCCTCTCACCTCACTTGTTTTCATTAAAATGAAGAGACCAGGTCTGTGAGATGGTGTCAGAATGTCCTAGACATTTGTCAAATGTCAGGTGTCAAAATTTCAGGCATTGCAGAAGAGTCCACGTTTCTTTGCAAGCTGCCAAATTGTTGCAGGAACTGGTTTGACAGAACAGTCTGGAGCGGGGGAAAGCAGAGAGGTCCTTAAGAAGTAATGTTTTGTCCCCAGTTACCTTTGGAAAACTGGTGTCTTAAGGGAAAAGGCCCATCCAGGAGAAGGAAGGCTGGCATGTAGCCAACTTTTATGGCTTCTTGATTTCATCTGGAAAGACTCCCAAAGTGCTTTCCAGCATTGCTTTGCCCCATGAACAAATATTTGCACGCTGGCTCGTCTTGGCACCTTAAAACAGGGGCGTTGGAAATCACCTTGTTCCATGAAAACACCTGGGGGCCAGCTGAATTAGAAATGGGTTTAAGTTGCAGGTAGCAGCAGCGCGTTGTTTGGAAAATGCCCAGCCTTCAGGCCCAAGCCAGAGGGGGCCACGTCCACATGGTGGCTTTTGTCCCAGGGAAGCACCTCCTGGTCTACAGTAACGTAAGCCCAGGTGCTGATGGCGCCTTGTTGCCAGTCCTGTGCCCGTGTTGCATCATTTCTCAAAGCCGTTCTTCAACTGAGCAGCCCAGTTGACATTGAAGATACAGAAGCCCAGGGAAGGGCAGTAAATACCAAAGGAAGCGAGTGGCAGGGCCAGGGTTGGAGTCCCACTCTCTAGTTAACTCTGTTGCCTCCCGCGCATGTATGTTGCTGTAGATCTGGTGAAAACCAGCAGCCTGGATGTCTTGGTTTTTGCAAGATAGCACCACAGCAAGCCACACAGTAGCTCTGTGATTGGGACCAGACCCCAGGGATCCGGAGGCCGTGGGAATTGACTTCTCAGTCTGACCGCAGAGCCTGGGACTGCTGCAGGGCGTTTAATTTGACTTGCTCCCCCTCCCCCACCCCTGCCCGGTCCCTCCAGTCCCTCCAGCCCTTCCTTGGGAGGCCGGAAGAAACCCAACCCGGCTCCTCAGGAGCCAGTGGCATCCTGGGCACTGCAGGGAAAGATGCTTTGGTAAGTCCAGGAGCATCTGACCACCTGAGACTCCCCTTGGCCAAGCAAGTTCAAGTGTGGCACCGCACCCTTGCCTGGCGTCCCGTGGCCTCCTGTGTTGCGGCACAGGGTCGTGATGATACTCGTCAATCATGCCATCATTTTGTCTTCATGGCAAAGAGACCTTGGGTTTCTCTTTATCCCTTCCGAGTTTTGTTTAATACAGTTCCTGAATCTTAATTTAGGTGCCACCTCCTTGAGTTTTTCTTAAGTTTTAATATAGACCATGAGGCTTTTATTTTTGGTTTGCTCTTTCCCCAGGAAATTGTTGATGTTCCTCTTCCTCCTTTCAGGGGAGGTGTCTGCAGGTGTGCTGCTTCAGGTGCCATGCGGGATCGGCTGGCCCCTGCCCGCCTGCGGCCAGGAGTCTTGCCCACTTGCCCCCACACCTGAATGAGGGAGCATGTGGTGCCCTCTGCTGAGGGCGGAGGGTGGGGCTGGAACGTACTTCACAGATACTTTCTAGGCAGCCAGGCGCTTGATAGAGACATTGTAGCCTTTTTATCAGTTCCTACATTGGATCAGTCTTACACACTCGATTTGGCAGTGGCTAGCATTTCAGGATAATCACCACAATCCTGGAAATACTCTTGAGCATCTCAATTTCAAAAATTAAGATTGCTGGGCATGGTGGCTCACGCCTGTAATCCCAGCAGTTTGGAAGGCTGAGTCGAGTGGATCACTTGAGCTCAGGAGTTAAAGACCAGCCTGGCCAATATGGTGAAACCCTCTCTACTAAATATACAAAAATTAGCTGGGTGTGATGGCACACGCCTGTAATCCCAGTTACTCGTGAGGCTGAGGCAGGAGAATCAATTGAACCTGGGAGGCAGAGGTTGCAGTGAACCGAGATTGTGCCACTGCTCTCCAGCCTGGGCAACAGTGAAACTGTCTCAAAAAAAAAAAAAAAAAAAAAAAAAGAAAAGTAAGAAATTGGCCCTGCCCCATCCTCTAATAGGGTGTGAAGGGGGGTTTGTGAGGAAGATGCTGTGGTTTTCTTTCCCATTGAGTGCTCGCTGCGTGCCAGGCATTTGTGAGGGTCTAGGCTGGAGGGAGCCTACAGCTTTAGCCCTGGGTGGCTTCTCATGGAGTGGGAGGGCTGGGGGGCTCAGGAAGAGAGCTGTGGTGGGCTGAGCAGGGCTGAGCAGAGCTGGGGCAGGGGAGCCCTGGGGGAAGGAGATTTCTCAGTGGATGTTGCCCTGGAGGGCTTCCCCAAGGAGGCGAACTGGTGCTTGACTTGAGCTTTCAGGAAGAAGTAGGAGGTGGGAAGGACATTCTAGGGGAAGCGAATATATGGGTGGGTGTCAGGGGAGTCATGAAGTGGCTGTCACACTGGACGGGTGAGAAGGGAGCAGGAGGTGGGGTGATACTGTGTGAGCAGTGCCCCTCCTCAAGGGGCCTGATGGAGCTGCTGGGAACATGAAGACAGGACACTCGGGTCACCCCTCAGAAAGAGCCTTCTGGCCCAGGGTGAAGGCCGGAGATGGAGGGCAGGAGAGCCTGGGAAAGGAGGGGCAGGCGGCAGGGAGTGAGGAGGAGGGGTAGGTTACTGTCAGGGTGAGCGGGGTTTCCTGGGTCAGCCTCTTCCTCAGCTGACGGCTGTGGAAAGCCAGCACTCCTGCCTCCTGGACAGACCTCGCACCAGGTCCCGGGCACTTGCGGGTGGGCGTGCTCAATGGCAGAACACGTGGGGCTGAGCCCTGTGAGAGGTGGGACCCAGAGAGGGGGCTGGGGCCGAATGGGTGTAAAGGTGGCAGGTGACGCCAGGCCTGTGCCAGCTTCTGGGTATTTTGATTTTTGGGCCTTCAGAGGCATCGCAGAGATTCGAAGTGAAAACCCGATCCTTGTGCAGCCTCCCAACAGCCAAGGCAGGGTGGCACCCGAGGAACACCTGTCCCTGGTACCCTCGGGAAGTGGCTGCTTGGTGGCCAGTGACATTTTGGAGGTCACCCCACCACCCCAGGTGTCTGATCTGCATTCTCATTCTCTCTGCAGCTGCTTACCGCAATCTCGGTCAGAATTTGTGGGGGCCCCACAGATATGGGTGCCTGGCGGGGGTCCGGGTGCGGACAGTGGTCTCGGGCTCGTGTGCTGCACACAGCCTCCTCATCACCACGGAAGGGAAGCTGTGGAGCTGGGGTGAGTACCGTGCGGGTGCTGGGCACTGGGGACCACTGTCACCAGCTGTCCCCACACAGCACGTTCTTCTGTTTGCCTGGAAAAGAGACTCGCGTCTTATAAGGCTGGGCTCCTTCGTTCACAGCCCATGTCTTTTTTCCTAATTCCCAGCTCGTCTCTTGTCTACACGCTACATGCAGATCCCCTTCCCCCCTGACATTTTTTGCCCATACGCAGCCCCTACTTCTTTGATTCCTTGTGTTTACACAAGGAACATTTTCCTGAATCTTCTGCCCGAAGCTTGATCTTTTCTGATACTGAGGTGTGTGAGTGTGTTAGGCAGGCTGTCCTTCCAGCAGACAGTTTCCTTCCTCTTTGAGGCACGATATGACATGAGACCTCTGTTGCTGCCACTTGAAATGCCACTGGCTTTTCTACCTCCCGCCTCATGTCATAGGATGCTGCGTCCCTGCCGCCATGGCCCTCGTGTCTGAGGTCTGCCCAAGTCTGGTCTGCAGGCTTGGCAGCTCACTGTCCGTGTTGTCTGCTTCTTAGGATATTTCCCCAGATACTTCAGTTTGCTTTTTTGGAGTTGTTCGGCTTTCCCTTCTGTTTTTCCTCACCTGGGCACTCGGGATGGGTTCCAGTTCTTCTGTTAGCCTCTGTCCACGGCACTGTCCTCTGCAGCCGGCCGGCCCATTCCTGCCCGTGTCCTCTTCCAGATCATTCCAATCATAGGGTATGGGCTAAGGCTCATTTTATCCCCAGCCCTTTTGGTGACTCCCGGCCTCTGCCTCCAGCGGGGCATATTGGCGTTTGTCCCCACCCTTTGTCGCTGGTCCTCTGGCTAGCTTTTAGTCCATATGACTGCATTTTTATTTTGGGCTGTTTGAACCGTTTTTTGTGATTTCATGAGCTGCTGTACCAAAGTCCAAATATATTAACATCTGTTGTCTTCCCTGCACATGGCTAATTTTGTAATTCTGTTGAAAAAAGCTAAAGTGTGTCTGGCCCAAATTTATACTTTATAGTCTCTTGATGACATGCTGACATTGCCACAGTTTTTGTTTTCTCCCGGTTGGCATAGATGTGTGTCCCTTCCCCCAGAGCACCCCTCCTACTTTGTGTTCCAACACTGAACACAGCCTTTTATGTCAGTGTTCCAAACTTAAAATACCTCAGTTCTGATCTCTCGCTGAGCTTCACTTGCGTGGTGGCTCTGAAAGCGCCCTCAGTTCTGACCCTGTGGGCAGGGACAATGTATGTCCCGCCATCAAGACGTGTGATCCCCGAGCAGACAGTGCAGTTGGTGAGGACAGGGTTGGAAGGTGTCACAGGCCCACTGCTCGCCACTCTAGAAGGCAGGGGGCGGCGTCTGGTGTGAGTAGAGTACCACGGGAGGGTGGCTGACGCATTGCTCATGTGGGGTCTCCATCTGTGGCCCGCTCACCCTGTCCTGCCGCATCTCAGTCCACTGAGACTTGCACTTGTTGCTCTGTATTCACATGCCTTTCACATGAACTTGGGCAGCTCCCATTGGAAGCTGGTGTATCTGCCTCTCCTGCTCGAGTGCCAGTGCTGGCCCTTCAGCCCGCCGTTCTTTAATTAGAGCGAGTCAGAGGCTGGTTTCCCTTCGTCGCAATTCCTTCTGTAGTCAGAGGCTGCTCCTGCAAGCCTTCTCCAGGACAGCTGGAACTCATCTTAATGGCTCTGCTGTCTGCCTTTATCACAACCTAAGGGTGAAAAGTTCATTGCTGGAGAAGGTTGCAAAACCCCCTAGAATTGCCCTGACTTCTCACCACTGTAAGATCTCCGTCAGTTTCCCCACGTCAGGTTACATGTGTGGTTTTTCTCTTATCGGGAGGGATCCGAGAGTGGCCGGTTGAATTTTTGTTTTGGAACTTGGTAGTTTGTGTTGAAACCTAGATGCGGTGTAGGGGCTCCCAGCCCTCCTTTTGGCCCACCCAACTTCCACGTCTGTTTGGAGTTGAATTTGGTTCTGCAGAGGACTTGGGGGTAGGGGTTGGCCCTCAGGCCTGCCTTCCGCTGGAATTCACAGATACAGGGCCTTGGTCGCACCTGCAGCAGTCCTGGAGGTGGGGCTGGGCGTGTTGTGTTGAGGGTGGATCTGTGCTTTGTCACCAGGGTTCCTGTGGCTGAGAGTCCTTGAGGGGCGATCCCTAGGGGTGGGATTGGCACTGTTATGTGAGCACCATTTACAGGGTAGAAAAAGGAAGAGAAATATTGGGCAGACACCAAATGGTCCTCAGTGGATGCCCAGAGCACCAAAGTGATTAAACTCTGGTGAGCCAGGTGTCAAAATGGGGTGCTGTCTTAAAATACATCTCAGAGGGTAGGGACGGGGTGGTTGTCTTGCAGGCACTCTAAGTGGGAACGGCGTGTTTCTGCGAGCATGCCCGCCTGTGCATGGTGTCCCTACCACACTGAGCCTCTCATTTCCCTTTGTAGCAGAGACGTGGGAGGTGTGCACGGGTGGTCCCGCTGCTGCCCCAGGGAAGGAGGTCCGGGGAGCTGCAGCAGGCGCCATTCCAGCGGGCAGAGGGCCGGGGCGTTCTTTGCTCTGGATCTTGGCTGTTGGGAATTTGGAGGGTACCTTCCAGAGACAGATGGGCATCATTTGAGAGTGTGTTTGTACTCGCCTTCTCCTGGTGGTGCCGCCTGGACCACCCTCTCTCTTTTCTACTTTCTCTCATGTGATCTGCAGGTCGAAATGAGAAGGGGCAGCTGGGACATGGTGACACCAAGAGAGTAGAAGCCCCTAGACTCATCGAGGGTCTTAGCCACGAAGTGATTGTGTCTGCAGCATGTGGGCGGAACCACACCTTGGCCTTGACGGGTAAGGAGGTGGCTGCTGGTGTCTCCTCTCAGTTTGGCAAGAGGCCAGGTGGTCTGCCTTGGGGATGGGGCGTGGGGTGGTGGAGTTCCCCTTGTGACTCTTGGTCAGGATCAGAAAGAGGCCCTGAGAACCTTGGCATGGAGTGGCTTCTTGAGGGCATTGGGAGCCTCCCCAGTGGCCATAGGAGGCCCATCTGGGAGTAGGAGACGCTGCCCTCTGTTTCTCTGCACACCCAGTTTCTGATGTGAAATGGCTTTGCTGTGAAGCGTCTGCACTGCCAGCTTTTGGGCAGTCTCACTTGCCTTCTGCCTGGCAAATGAGCTGTTTTTATTATTTTGATGCCTTTGATTCTAAATCTAGTTCAAAACATTCACCATTATCTTCCCTTTTGTGATATTTTTCCTTTCTTCCAGAAACGGGCTCCGTGTTTGCGTTTGGGGAAAACAAGATGGGGCAGCTGGGCCTTGGCAACCAGACAGACGCTGTTCCCAGCCCCGCGCAGGTGACCCCTCCTCAGCTCCGGCTCCATGGCTTTTTGTTTCTCTTTACTTTTGTGTTTGATTTTCTAAGGTGGGGTCTCCGTTTGAGTTAATTTACCCCTTGTAAAAACAGGGTCTGGATGTTTAGTTACATGCTGTAGAGTTTTTTTGTTTGTTTTTTTGTTTTTTGTTTTTTTTTGAGAACGGAGTTTCACTCTTTTTGCCCAGGCTGGAGTGCAATGGCGCAATCTCGGCTCACTGCAACCTCCGCCTCCCGGGTTCAAGTGATTCCCCGGCCTCAGCCTCTGGAGTAGCTGGGATTACAGGCATGTGCCACCACACCTGGCTAATTTTGTATTTTTAGTAGAGACGGGGTTTCTCCATGTTGGTCAGGCTGGTCTGGAACTCCTGACCTCAGGTGATCCACCCACCTCGGCCTCCCAAAGTACTGGGATTACAGGTGTGAGCCACTGCACACAGCCTTGCTATAGTTTTTAAAACAGGCTTAGTTTGTGGTCGGGTTGAAAACCATCCTGAAAACATTTTGTTTCCAAATGGAGAAATCTGTTAGAAATGCCTTGTCGTAAGCCTGTTCTGTTCCAAAGAAAGTGAGTGATGTTATATGGATGTAATTGTACTTCCCCCAAATACTTTGTTTTGACCTTGTATAAAGTCACCAGCCAGATGCTTAGAATACAAATACGAGATAGGCAGTCTTTTTTTTTTGGAGGGGAGACAGAGTCTCGCTCTGTTGCCAGGCTAGAGTGCAGTGGCGCGATCTCAGCTCACTGCAACCTCTGCCTCCCGGATTCAAGCGATTCTCCTGCCTCAGCCTCCCGAGTAGCTGGGACTACAGGCATGCTCCACCACGCCTGGCTAATTTTTGTATTTTTAGTAGAGATGGGGTTTCACCATGTTGGCCAGGATGGTCTCCATCTCTTGACTTCCTGATCTGCCTGCCTCGGCCTCCCAAAGTGCTGGGTGTGAGCCACCGCGCCCAGGAGATAGGCAGTCTTTTTTTTTCTAAGAAACTTGAGTTGGAGGGGTGAGATTTATACCTTAAAAACAAACTACTACTAAAGGCAGAAGAATGCTAAGTGCCTAATTAGTGGTCTAGGTGATGAAGGAAGGGAGGGACTTGGTTTTATTGATCTTAAAGAGACAGTGGCTAGGCTTTGAACTGCTCTGTGCTGGGAGGGTGGGGGTCTGAGGGTGCTTCTTTACATATCTTCTAAGCTTTGTGTTCTAGAAATGCCTTCAGCTTTTGCCTTCAGAATTACTGAGTTTATTAAACTTCCGTTTGTAACCTAGTAATTGTTTCCCACCAACATGCAGAGAGGTAGAGGCTTTTTATCAGTCTTTAAAAAAAATGAAAGTCTCCTTTCTTGTCTTTTCAGATAATGTACAACGGCCAGCCAATTACCAAAATGGCCTGTGGGGCTGAATTCAGTATGATAATGGACTGCAAAGGAAACCTCTATTCCTTTGGGTGCCCTGAATATGGTCAGCTGGGTATGGAAGTACATTTTTTAAAAGCTCTGTAATCTAACTGTATATATTCAGAACTAGAGATCAGTGTGGGGCTGCACACACGTGTTAGAAATGTGGGTAATTGATCTCAGATAATAGCCTTTGTCCGTTAAGTGGATCTCACGTTCAGCAGAACAGCGCGTCCTCATTCACAGGATTATGGAGTATTGCAACACTGCCTCAATGGAAAAGTTGGGACTGGAGTCCTACAAAAGATTTCTTTTTTTCTGATTTGGGAATTCATTTATATAAAGGGATTTCAAAGTTAAAAAAAAATCAGACCACCTTCATTCAATTTCACATTTAAAGATTATGCCTTTATTGAAAATGAGAAAATTACGGAAAATGAACGTTGTTCTGGAAACCCTGGCCTGGGCGATTATTTCGGGTTGCCACGTGAGGAGCCCTGGTGGACCCCCTCCCCGTGCGTCATCCCTAGCCAGAATCTAGTTGTCCAGAAACTTGTTTCTTCGATCTCATTGGTGGAAAAGGAGAATTCAGGCATCAGTTCTCAGTTAGTGGGGGGAGTGTCTTCCGACCTGATGGTCTCCATTCTCCTTCCCATCGGACCCTAAGTGCGGTTCCCTGAAGTGCGCTTCCCGGTTGTGGCTCTGCCTCCACTCCAGCCCCTCTGGGGAGGCCTCCGCGAGGTGTGGCGCGGGCGCCCTCTGCTGGCCGCGCGCGCTCCTGCAGCCGCAGCGCCTGGCAGATGGAAAAGGTAAAAATAGCGCCGAGCCCGCTGGCCTTAGCCTCGGGGAACAGTGACTTTGTGAAACTAAATATACTTCAAGTCAGAAGTGAATAAGAGAGAACAGCCCCTTACGCACATTTCACATTTCGCGTTGGTTGCCGTGGTGGAGCCCGAGACAGTTGGAGAGCGGTTTCCATGGCCACAGCCCTGCTGCGGTGCCCAGCAGCGGTCCGCTTCCTGCCACGTGCGCGCTCCTGCTGCCTTGGCCTCCCCTCTGCACCCCGGCAAGTCGATTTTCCGTCAGGAAGCATGACATGCTGTTGGTGATAAAAACGGCTCACTTTCATGGAGCAGTGACTGTGTGTGCCAGGCACCATGTAAGCACTTTGTACAAATTCGCAGGTGCTCAGTTACACTCAACTTGCAGGTAGTTTGGAAATCGGCTTGATTTGTAGCTACAGAATCGCTTATTCTCAGCGTATTACTTGCTTTAAGGCAGGTGTTTGTTTCGTTGTCCAAATCCAGATAGATCACTTTTAGAATGAACCTAAATCCGACTATGGCCGTGTCTCATCCACACACACTCATGCCTTGTGCCCCCTTTTTTGCAGTGCACTGAACTGGGCTGGGCAACGCCAAGATAAGAAAGACGGAGTCTCCCTCTGTCACCCGGGATGGAGTGCAGTGGTGTGATCTCAGTTCACTGCAACCTCCACCTCCTTGGTTCAAGCAATTCTCCTGCCTCGGTCTCCCAAGTAGTTGGGACTACAGGCGCCCGCTGCCACACCCAGCTAACTTTTTTTTGTATTTTTAGTAGAGACGGGGTTTCACCATGTTGACCAGGCTGGTCTCAAACGCTTGATCTCAAGTGATCTACCCGCCTCGGCCTCCCAAAGTGTTGGGATTACAGGCATGAGCCACCGTGCCCAGCCATGCCATTTAACTTTATTTTAAAGAGCTGTCACCCCTCTAGAGGGACAGGGAAGCCCGCTGTTCGATGTTTTCTGGAGTAGCTTCTGTCCTGTACTTCTGGAGAAAGCAGATGTGTGCAGCTCTTTAAAGGAGGTGGAAAAAGCAGTCACCAAATGTGCCTCCTCTCCTGTCTGGGAGTTGTGTCTGTTCAGTATCCACTGTGTCGATAGCAAATAAAAGGACTCTAATCATTTGTTGACTGCCTTGCTGAAACCTTGTCCGGAAGAGTGCAAGTGTTTAAAAATACCATTTTTGTGAGAAAAGTAGCGACATATCCGGAAATGCATTCTATTTACTGTGATGCTCTTACATTCATCGTAGCCTAGAAGGTGGGGGAATTTCTTAGTGGGGACCCTCAGACTTTTATTGTTTTTTTTGATACGGAGTCTTGCTCTGTCACCAGGCTGGAGTGCAGTGGCGCGATCTCGGGTCACTGCACCCTCCGCCTCCCGGGTTCAAGCGATTCTCCTGCCTCAGCCTCCTGAGTAGCTGGGACTACAGGCGTGCGCCACCACACCTGGCTAATTTTTGTATTTTTGGTAGAGACGGGGTTTCACCATGTTGGCCAGGATGGTCTCAATCTCTTGACCTCGTGATCCGCCGACCTCAGCCTCCCAAAGTGCTGGGATTACAGGCGCGAGCCACCGCGCCCGGCCAAGACCCTCAGACTTTTAAACGGACAGATGTTCCACTGGAAGGGATTATGTCAACAGTAGAGAACTGCTGTCATAAGACAGTGATAGTGAGCAGAGATCATGCCACCGCACTCCAGCCTGGGCGACAGAGCGAGACTCTGTCTCAAAAAAAAAAAAAAAAAAATAGAACCTGCTTATGAGATGAGTGTTATAAGGCGCCCTGTAAACAAGCCCAGGAGTTTTATTGTGTGTAGCGTAGTTGTGATTCCAGGGTGCAGTTGCTCCTTGGTAACCTGGGGGATTGCTTCCAGTACCCCCTGTGGATACCAAGATCTTAAGATGCTCAAGTACCTTATATAAAATGGCATAGTATTTGCATGTAACCTGTACACTTAAAATCATCTCTAGATTACTTCAGTACCTAATGTGATGTAAATGTTATGTAAGTAGTTCTACTGTATGGTCTTACTTGTATTGTTTGTATTATCTTTTTTTTTTCCTTGTTTCCTCCTCCCCCCAGATATTTTTGGACCACTGTTGGTTGAACCTGTGGCCATGGAGGGCTGACTGTATTTAAATAGCACAGTGCTCAAAAACACACATACCAATAAGGGCTGAGGTGCACACCAGCGTGCCGTATGGAGGGGGATTAGCCACAAGCCGGGGGCTAGTTTACAAACTGATAACAACAAGTTTTTTTGTTTGTTTTTTTTTGGAGACAGAAACTTGTTCTGTCGCCCAGGCTGGAGTGCAGTGGCATGATCTCTGCTCACTGCAACCTCCACCTCCCAGGTTCAAGCGATTCTTCTGCCTCAGCCTTCCCAAGTAGCTGGACTATAGGCACCCACCACCACGCCCAGCTAATCTTTGTTTGTTTGTTTTTGTTTTTTAAAGTAGAGACAGGCCTTCACTGTGTTGGCCAGGCTGGTCTCAAACACCTCACTTCAGGTGATCCACCCACTTCGGCCTCCCAACGTGCTGGGATTCCAGGCGTGGCCCACCGTGCCCAACCAAACTGATGATCACAGTGTGGGAACAGGAGCAGTTTAAAACTATAAACTACTTAGCAGCCCTGCTGCTGCAGGTGGCTGCAGGAGCTTGGGTGTCTGGCGTGTTCTCAGGACTGGAGCAGCCGGGCTTCTGGTGTGTGGTGTGCTGAGCTGGGTCTTTGCGAACCAGTCCCTGGGTCATTCGGAGTGTGGGAATTGCAGGCTTTAGCCACCCGTAACCATACGTTTAGGTTACTGGTAATTCATAAAAACAGAGGCCTGGGATTGTGTATGGAGCTTTTCTGTCTATTCTTGGTCTTTTAGGGGCTCCTTGTGGTCCCTCCAGTGGGGTAGAGATCTTACTTGATAGACCATTCCTTGATCAGCAGCTTCAACTTTTTTGACTGCAACCCATTGTAAGAAATAAGTTTTCTTTTGCAACCCAATCTGAACGTATAATACCTTACCTGGAATTGTTGTAACATGGTGCCATTATTATGTGTAGAGTATTCTTTGTCATTCTGTTCTATTCGTTTTTAAAAAATAACTGGTCTTAGCTCACAAAATTGATTTCACTGACCCACTCACTGTGCTGTGCCTAAGATTGGAAATGCTGCCTTTGTTGACCAACGTGTGCTGGTCTAAGGCCCAGAAGGGCCAGATTGGGGTGCTGCCGGGGCTCACTACAGAGTCCGTGTGAGCACACTGACACGTCCCTTGTGCTTGTGCTGCTGCTGATGGCCGGCTCTGTGGTCTCTACAGGACACAACTCAGATGGGAAGTTCATCGCCCGGGCACAGCGGATAGAGTACGACTGTGAACTAGTTCCCCGGCGAGTGGCCATCTTCATTGAGAAGACGAAAGATGGACAGATTCTGCCTGTACCAAACGTGGTTGTACGAGACGTGGCCTGTGGCGCTAACCACACGGTGAGGCTCGGCTTTTCTCACTTCCTGAGAGTCGCACCAGGATGGAAGGGGTGTTTATGCTCAAGTTTCCTGACGCTTGGCTTTGGCTAGGAACTGATCCCAGGTAGACATCTGCTTGCTTCTTCAAGAGGGCTTTGCACCTTGGCCAAAGGGTCCTTGGTCCCAGGGCAGGGTTCCCTGTCACTGCCTCCTATGTTAACTTCTCCCGTGATTTAAATAGACACATCTTAAACACGTAGATGTTTTGCCGCCCTCACCTGCACCTTAAGGTAAGCACTTTCTGCTTTTGGCTTTTATCTAACATAACATCACAGACATCTTTCCAGGTCAGTAGATGGTGCCCCATACTGGGGATGTGAGTCGTTTTTAATCAGTAGGTTGTCCCCCCCGCCCCCCCCCCCTTTTTTTTTTGGAGACAGTTTCACTCTTGTTGCCCAGGCTGGAGTGCAATGGCGTGATCTCGGCTCACCACAGCTTCCACCTCCCAGGTTCAAGCAATTCTCCTGCCTCAGCCTCCCGAGTAGCTGGGATTACAGGCATGCGCCACCATGCCCCGGCTAGTTTTGTATTTTCAGTAGAGACAGGGTTTCTCCATGTTGGTCAGGCTGGTCTCAAACTCCTGACCTCAGGTGATCTGCCCACCTCGGCCTCTCAAAGTGCTGGGATTACAGGTGTGAGCCACCACGCCTGGCCTAGGTTGTTTCTTTAAAGGTCACTTTAGATAAACTGCAGTGCAATCTTTTGTTTGTGTATCTTTTTTTTTTTTATTTGAGGCGGAGTTTCACTTTTTCACCCAGGCTGGAATGCAGTGGTGGGATCTCAACTCACTGCAACCTCTGTCTTCCTGTTTCAAGCTATTCTCCTGCCTCAGCCTCCTGAGTAGCTGGGATTAGAGGCACCTGCCACCATTCCTGGCTAATTTTGTATTTTTAGTAGAGATGGGGTTTCACCATGTTGGCCAGGCTGGTCTCAAACTCCTGACCTCGTGATCCACCTGCCTCGGCCTCCCAAAGTGCTGGGATTATAGGTGTGAGCCACCGCGCCCGGCTGTTAGTGTATCTTTTAATTTTAATGGCCTTCCTGTGGTTCTTCTGTCTGAGAATGCCTAGGAGTCTCTTTGTTCTATGCTTTGTTGAAAAAGCCTGGGCTAGGATTCCAGAGATCAAGTTGGTCCTCCCCACTGAGTGGTCTCAGCTCACCACCTCCTTCCCTTGGAATCTTCTTGCCGATGAAGAATGCCCAGGGAATTGGGCTAGGACTAGGGTAGGAGATTTCAGTTTGTGCAAGTCCAAAAACTGATTTGTTTTGTCTGATGTAGTCAGGGGAAATAAAGTTGGCTCTTGTTTAGGGCCTTATAGGCCAAGTTTTTTAGTAAGTTGTAGATTCCCATGGTTTAGACATGAAACATCAAAGAACTGAATTGGCATGTCAGAAGATGGGAAAACGAGACTGAAGAAGATAAATCTTAAACACTTGAAGTGTCTCTGAGTTCATTTCATCAGTGACCAGGTACAGGTTACCTCTGTACCTGTGGGTGAGGGAAGTCTAAAGAAAAATCCAGGCCGGGCGCAGTGGTTCATGTTTGTAATCAGAGGACTTTGGGAGGCCAAGGTGGGCAGATCATTTGAGACCAGCCTGAGCAACATGGTGAGACCCCCATCTCTACAAAAAAACCACAAAAATCAGCTGGGCATGGTGGTGCACACCCAAGTCCTAGCGACTTGGGAGGCTGAGGTAGGAGAATCGCTTGAGCCCAGGAGGTGGAGGTTGTGGTGAGCCGTGATCGTGCCATTGCATTCCAGCCTAGGTAACAGAGCACGAGACCCTCTCGAGGGGGGGAAAAGAAACGAAAAATCCAGGAACAGGTAGGCCTTTTCTGTTCTTTCTGCAATTGAATCTGTTTTTTTTTTGTTGTGTTTTTTTTTTTGTTTCGTTTTGTTTTTTTTTTTTGAGATGGAGTCTCATTCCGTCACCCAGGCTGGAGTGCAGTGACGCTATCTCGGCTCACTGCAGCCTCCGCCTCCCAGGTTCAAGAGATTCTCCTGTCTCAGCCTCCTGAGTAGCTGGGATTACAGGTGCACACCACTGTGCCCAGCTAATTTTTTTGTATTTTAGTAGAGATGGGTTTCACCATGTTGCCCAGGCTGGTCTTGAATTCCTGAGTTCAGGCAATCCACCTGCCTCAGCCTCCCAACGTGCTAGGATTACAGGCATGAGCCACTGCATCTGGCCGAATCTCTGTTGTAGTGGGAATCAAATGATTGCCCAACTCTCAGGAGACATAGCCCTGTTGCTTCTGATTAAGGAAAGGGTTAAGACTTGTAACTTAAATAAATAAACAGAACAAAAAAGGATTGGAAAATGGAGTCCCTGGCAGAGAAAATAGCAAACTGGGCTTATTGAATGCATGCCATTTTGCTACACTTGCTCCTGTTGCCTCCTCCCCCACTGCTGGAGGCGGGAGGTAGAGGATCTTTCTGCTGGAGGCAGGCAAAGGATATTTCTTTGGTTTTTGGAGACAGGGTTTCACCATGTTGGCCAGGCTGGTCTCAAACTCCTGACCTCAAGTGATCCACCCACCTTGGCCTCCCAAAGTGTTGGGATTAGATGTGAACCACCGTGCCCGGCTGGTAGGGGATCTTGAATGTTGCTGTTCCTTTGCCCTTAGCATTTGCACCAGGTTGTCTGCACAGAAACGATGACCCCTCTTGTTGCCTGTTGGAAGTCTGTTTGTTCCAACCCTGTGTTTTCTTTCCTTGCAGCTGGTCCTGGACTCCCAGAAGCGAGTCTTCTCCTGGGGCTTTGGTGGCTATGGCCGGCTGGGCCACGCAGAGCAGAAGGATGAGATGGTCCCCCGCCTGGTGAAGCTGTTTGACTTCCCTGGGCGTGGGGCTTCCCAGATCTATGCTGGTTACACCTGCTCCTTTGCTGTCAGTGAAGTGGGTTAGTGATTTCTGCCCCCTGGCTTATCAGTGCTCTGGTGCGGAACCGTGTAGCCATTGTCCTGTCCCTAGACCACGAACCCCAATTCTCTTTACCTCCCAGTGTTCTTTATTTTTTTGAGACAGGAACTCGTTGTGTTGTCCAGGCCGGTGTCGAACTCCTGGGCTCAAGCAGTCCTACCACCACAGCGTCCTGAGTAGCTAGGACTGCACAGGCACGCCACCACGCCTGGCTCCAGTTATCTTTTAGACAGAACACTTGTTTGCCATCCCGTCCTCTTTTCACCCTGATAATACTGAAGATGAGACTCAGCTCTCGATGTCTGGTCACGCTGGGAACATGTTTTGTCTTCCCTTAGGTGGTCTGTTTTTCTGGGGGGCCACCAACACCTCCCGTGAATCTACCATGTACCCAAAAGCAGTGCAGGACCTCTGCGGCTGGAGAATCCGGAGCCTGGCTTGTGGGTAGGTGGCAGCATCTCCTGTGGGTATGAGGTCTCTTCCTTTCATGGGGGTGTCAGACACACCCATGGGGTGCCCCTCCCTGATGGGGCTCTGTTTCTGCTGCCTGTTGGGCTGTCCTCAGCAGGCCATCTGACACACTGAATCCCAGAGTCCGGGGGTACAGGAGGGGAGAGGGCCCATTTGCTGCTAGAACAGATGGCTGTTCCCTGTCTTGTGGGAAGAAAGTCATTTTGAAGGTTTCTGTTCAAAGAAATAAACAAGCAGAGCTTGATGTATTCCTACGCTGCAGGTTGAAAATTATACGTAGTTGGAAACGTAGCAGGACTTGAGTTGCTGTGACACTGGGAAGACGACATTGTCTTGGCAGCAGTGGTTTGTAGTTCATTTCAGGACACCTGTTGAGTTAGCTAGCACTTCTTGCTGAGGAGTTGGATTTATCAGCTGGCAGGTGTGGGTGGAACAGTATGAGGGGCCTCTGTCGGCGTGGCTTTAATCTGTTGAAGGCTCTAGCCCTGCCCAAATCATTATGCATGAAGGCTGCTCCCTCTGGAACAGGCTTTCACTTTATCCTGATCTGGTCTCCTCTTCCCAAAGCGACCTCCCACTGAGAGAGAGCTGTGCAGGATGCACAGCAAGGTCCCCTGCCTTTGGCCCCTAGGCCTGTCTAAGGGCTTTGTTGTTTTGTTGAAGCGTTGAGTGGCCTGCACGGAACAATCTTAGGATTGAGGAGAAACCTGTTGGCCCTGTTATTGTGTTTGCTACTTGGAATGAGTACGCCAAGGGAAAAGTGGCAGCTCACACTCATGCCCTTGAGCCATAGCTGCGTGGGTGCAGGTCTGGGGCTGCTGGCCCTGCAGTGACAGCCTGCCTGTTTGCAGGAAGAGCAGCATCATTGTGGCCGCCGATGAGAGCACCATCAGCTGGGGTCCGTCACCGACCTTTGGGGAACTGGTAAGCTGTCACCTGTGCGGGTCAGGGGAAGTGGAAGCCAGTCAGGGTGGCTCATGGCCTTTGGGTTCTCTCCACCTGTCTCCCAAAACACACAGAAGAAAAACATTTGGGATTCCCCCCTTATTGTATTAAGGTTTGCAACACGATTGAGTCCCATGAGTTTTCAAGGACAATTCTGTGCTAGTCAGATAATTCTGAGTCATCTCTGCACATTTGTAAACTCTGAAAATTGGGACTTTTCAGATCCGGTTTCCCCTCACATTTTGTAAACCACAGTTGGGTTATGGTAGGAAAAGGGCCTGTTTGTTCCCTCTCCCCTGGAGGCCTAAGTCAGTGGGAAACTCACAGTTGTGGGTGATTTGAGGACATTCTTCATTTTTCCAAATTGAGTTTAAACCTGTGTTTCTGTTGTTAATACCAGTTACTTGAGTGATGAGGTTAGAACTCATGACCCTCAATTTCACACACGTGGCCTTCCGCAAACAAATGTCTTTCATTCTTAGATCCTGGTGCTAGGTGAGTCTTTTTTTTTTTTTTTTTTGAGATGGAGTTTCTCTGTCACCCAGGCTGGAGTGCAGTGGCGCGATCTTGGCTCACTGCACCCTCTGTCTCCCAGGTTCAAATGATTCTCAGTTCTCCTGCTTCAGCCTCCTGAGTAGCTGGGACTCTAGGCGTTTGCCACCACGCCCAGCTAATTTTTGTATTTTTGGTAGAGATGGGGTTTCACCATGTTGGCCAGGCTGTCTTGAACTCCTGACCTTAGGTGATCCACCCGCCTCAACCTCCCAAAGTGCTGGGATTACAGGCGTGAGCCACTGCACCTGGCCAAGGCGGGTCTTTGAGTTTTTGTTAGGAAGACTAGCTTGGCTGTGGAGTGCATCCTGATCTGCCTACACTAGTCATGGTTTGATTCTCCGCTTAACTCTTGGTGGTCTTAGTTTTAGTCCCTTATTTCTTGTTAGAAGCACAGTCTGTCTCCCTCTCCTGCACTCTTGTGGTTGCAAGGTACTCTTGTGGTTGATGGAGAGGAGGGGAAGGAAGGGCGTTCCTTGGTCCCTTGAGCTGTGGCTGGGATGGATGGTGAATGCACCTTTTTCTCGGGGCTCTGCACACCCTTGGAGTCTGGCTCAGATGCTCTGGTGGCCCGATTTGAAACATTGACAGGAAAGAGACAGAGCCTGGCCCAGTTTCTACAGATAGTTCTTAGAGGAGGAAGGATGTTTTCTGGGGCCTATCAGAAATAGACTTTGACCTTCTAAATATAAATTTTGAAACTAGAGGGGAGCAAGGGAGACTTTTTGGGGAGCTTCTCAAGGGTGAGAAGTTGGCCTGGCACCTTGGAGGGAACATCTACTGTGTGGGAAGGCCCGAGGTGGGGCCTGGCAGGAGATGAAACCAGGGACATGTGGGCAGGCCTGGGCTGGGGAGGGAGGGTCCTCCTCTCCCGCCCTGTGGGACCCTCTGTTTCACCTGAGCCAGGGCCTTCAGTCTTTCAATTGCCCAGCTCCACACCTTTGCACAAGACTCCCCCTTAGCTGCGCCAATTCATCCAGTTCCTTCTACCTCTGGGAGGGAAACTGGTTCTCTGGTGCCATTGCTAATAGTCTCCCTGTCACGCTTAAGCCCTTTTATTTTGTTTTGTTTTGGATGGTGATTATTCCACTCTGGATGGTGGAGGCATCAAGGGCATTTGGTCAGCCCGTGTTCTTGGTCGCTTTGGTCCTGAAGGGCCGCAGTTGCCATTCTTCCTGCACTCGTGGTGTCATCTCTTGTCACCAGTGCCATACTCCCCAGAAGGGACTTGTGCACACAGAAGTCCTGCAGGCTAGAGTTGGGCACCTTGGTCTTCCTTAGGTTAAGCGCTAGTCGCCTGCTGGTGGCACCTTTTGTGGATAAACTTGGATGATTCCACCTGGCCCTTGTGTGCAAGGGTGGCCGGGCTTGTCATGGGCCAGAGGGCATCATCACTGGCTTCTGGTTAGTGGGGGCCAGGAAATGTTGCCGTGATTCCCCACTTGTGGACTGAGCCACATGGATCCTCGATTGCGAACATCTTGTTTGCTTCGCCAGGGCTACGGGGACCACAAGCCCAAGTCTTCCACTGCAGCCCAGGAGGTAAAGACTCTGGATGGCATTTTCTCAGAGCAGGTGAGTGGGGGCAGCTGTGCCAGCTCGGGGACGTGTCCGTACCCAGTGGTATGTCACTCCTCATGATTTTGATCATCGCAGTCTGTTTGGGTTGTCTTGTTTACCATCTCAGCTGGCTTTCCTGGTGTCTCACGCTAAGATTTGTTTGAGAGGTAACAATCATTCTGCAGGAGAGAGTGCACAGGGTTGCTGGCCAGGCTGGGTGGCTGTCCTCACCCTTGATGACAGATGGCACCAACTGGCCGCAGCAGATCCACTCTCGGGCGAGCACATCGCTCGCGTCTCCATCACACCCAGGACTCAGATCCACTGGGCTGGAGGCAGGTCCGCAGGTCCACAGAGTAGAGGCTGCGTGGCTGCAGGAGTCAGATGGCGGGGTGAGGCCCCTGCGGCTCAGTCAGCCAGCCTGCTGGCCCTGTCTGCCAAGACACAGAGAGGGGTGGTGCACCTCACCCAGGCAGGATTGTGAGCCAGAGAGGGGGGGGATGGAAGTGGAGCTGGAGCCATGTCCCCACCTGTCCCTGCTGATAAGAGGTGGCCCAGTGGGCTTCCTTCCAGCTGGGTCTCCCAGGGCAGCCTGGAAGGCTCTGATTGGCAGAGCGTTGGTGGCAGTCACATGGAAACTAGCTGTCTTGGGCAGAGGGGCTTTTTGCAGTTTTCAAGGGCACTCTGTTTTTCTCCATGCTGACCCGCTTTAGCAGCCCAGTTTCCAGAGTCTCTTCAACGCATTGATTAGTCCAGGCGCCTCAGGCACACCCAACGCTGATTTGTCCCCCCAGGTCGCCATGGGCTACTCACACTCCTTGGTGATAGCAAGAGATGAAAGTGAGACTGAGAAAGAGAAGATCAAGAAACTGCCAGAATACAACCCCCGAACCCTCTGATGCTCCCGGAGACTCCTCCGACTCCACACCTCTCGCGGCAGCTGTCATTTCCATGTGCACTGGGACGGGAAGTCAAACGAGGAATTTAAAAAAGCAAAAGTTGACCGAAGGTGCATTTTTGTTTAGACTCCCTGAGGTTCCGTTTTACACATGATCCAACGTTAACTACCTTTTTTTCTGTATGCTTTCCAAAGTCCTTTTTTTTCCCTTAATGTTGAATTAAAATACTTGCTCATAGTTGATTTACCATTCCTACAAAAGAGGCAGAAACTTTGAGCAATCTAGGTTTTTTTTTTTTTTAAGTTTTTTCTTTCTTCCTCTCCTGAATACACTCCCCAAAACACCCCTTTCCAGTTACAATTAGCATCGTGATCCAAGCAGATGCCACATGGAAGAGGAATCGCCATTTACTCAGAAAAAATGTCCCTTACAGGAACCGGCAGCAGCTAGGCAGTCACCGGCCCGCCTCCATCCAAAATCACGCTCGCGTGCTTCGGAAGCATCCGGGTCACTCCTTCTCCGCTTTTTCTTGCAGATGGGCCTAGGCCGGTGTCGGTTCTGTTTCTCCCCTTGGCTGCCTGTACGCCCACAGCCTTCTGGCTGCGACATTATAGAATCGGCCGTGTCCCCCCTGGTGGGGGATTGGGGATCTGTGTTTAGCCATTTATATCTACTTTAGCTGTTAAAGAGGTCCAAATGAAAATCAGGTGATTGTGGAACCATGGGGACTTGGGGGTGGGGCAGAGGTGGGAACATTTGTATCAGTTGAGTCAGCTTGGTGGCTCCCTGTGGAGCCAGGGCTGAGCCTTGTCACGCGCACTCGCCAATTAAGAGATGGACCAGCCAGCAGTCAAGTGCATTCTCCAGTCCTTGCAAGAAGGATCAGCCCTTTCTGTGCCAGCCTCGATCGCCTTGTGCTTTGGTCTCTTTTTCTCCCCCCCGCCTGGATCCTGCCTCGCGCGGGCCGTCCTGTTGCTGAGACTCGGGGTACCGTTCTGCTGACCCAGCTCCCTTTAGTCACGTTTGCTTGGCTCTGGTACCAAATAGTTGGGATTACCGAAGAGTCCCCTTCCTTGCGTGTCAGCACGGATGCTGTGACTGCCACCTGCGTCCTCGTCAAGTGCCCGAGCTCGCCGCCGTGTGTGCTGCGCTGAGTGAGTTATGAGGTGCCTTTCCCGGAACCCTCCTCTCGCCTGGACCCAAGAGAGGCGACAGCTGTGGCTGGGGCTCTTGGTTTCCAGAGGGTCTGGACTGGTTTGGGTGCTTTAAAATAGATATTTAGTTCAGTGGTGCTTATGGGGGAGATGGGACTAGAACTTAAGTGTGAGACTTGGGTGGATGGGAAAGTTAAATATTGGTCTCTTCAAGTTTTTTTTTTCTTTTGCTTTGTTACCACTTGTCACTGTCTCCATGTTAAAATGCCAAAAATGATGTAGTTGTTGTTGCTTTTTTCCCTATTTTCCACCCCAGTCGCTCCTTACCGTGACTCCTGCCCTTGGAGGGCATGTAGCAGTGTCTGTCCTGCCAGTCCCAAGGCCCTGTGGGAGGAGACTGGCCTGCATCTCTCTAAGACTTAGTCTGACGCCACGCGCATCTCTTGTTCTGTGTTCAATCAGTAGTCCAGGGGAGAAGCTTCTGCTACTTCAGAGCTTTGCTAAACTAACCTAATTTGTCCAAATCACCCCAAAACCACCATCTCTGACGTAAGCTTCCATGCGACAGCCTGATCCGTTTCCCTGGACAGGTCTCTTTCCTGGAATGCAGCCCAGGCACCTGTGCTCCTGGCACCCTTGAGGTCTCTCCTTTGAGCCGTGGTCACCGAGAGGGTTGAGGACGCAGCACCCGAGGTCCCAGCCTTTGCAGGAGCCTCCCTGGGCTTAGCTGGACTTAGATCTTCGGTGGCCTCATGTAAACGTGGCAGCCAGCCTCTTCTAGAACCCTAGCCCAGGGACTGGAGCAGGAAAGGGACCTTCAAAGTGAAGACTGCCTTGTCCCGCAGCTCCTTCTGGCTTAGATTGAAAAATGGGCTTCCTAATGGGTTAAATCCTTTAAAACAAGGAGTTGTGGGGGAAGGGTGTCGTGCACTCCTAGAGAAAGGTACACAGTTGCCCGGTTGGGAATGTGCTTGGCGCTGACCCTGCGGGCATCTGACTGGTCTTCCAGCTCAGGAAAAAGAATTTGAAAGAGGCTTAGCGTGAAGGGGAATCAAAGAGGAGGTTGTGATTTGGTCGAAGGTGCCTGGTTTAGTGCTGTAATTGTCTTATTATTTTTTTTATATATATATTTCTTGGAGTAAACATTTTAAATAAACAACAACATTGTCTACTGTCTTGGATTTTGCATTTCTTTTTCGGTTGGAACGGAGCTCTGTTTTTCTTAACTCCTTATATGTGTACCTCCTAAGCCCTGGCACCCACAGAAGGTGGTGCCAGGAGACATGTGGCCCCAGGGGAGCTTCCAGGTTTAAACTGCACTGGTTGAAGTGAGTGGATCCCCCAACTCTGCCCCATGAAATGCTAGGGGAGTGGGACAGAGTCAGTACCTCAGTTGTCCAATTCAGAAGTGGAGTTCTTTGCATTTTCACTGGGGCTTTGAGAGGAAAAAAATAAGTCATGGGAGGCATCCAGCGCGGTGACTGCATGTGCACCCACTCCCCAGACTTCAGCAGGGGGCTCTGGTCAGGCCCCGGCTGTGGCTTCAGGCCAGTGCTGCTCTGTGCAGGCATTGTGGCCAACTGCCCACCAGAGGGCACCAGGAGGCTGGTCGTAGGTTCAGAGATCACGGACACTCTCCCTTCTAGGCTGCTGCTGAGTCTATACCGGGCAGAGTCCTAGACCAGACCCTTGCACAGGACACCGGCTCCCTGCAGCCGCAAAGATGCCTGGGATCCCTGGAACCTCGAGTGCAGGCCACCTTGTGTTGACTGGCTGAATAGTGTCCAGACCAGCCCCTCCTGGCAGGCATTGGCCCAGTTTGGGAGAGGAGGAAACGGTCTCCCATGGCCTGTTAGCTGCAGAAGGAGCATGTGCACTGTTGCAGGACAGTCCAAATGTAAAACACGGTGTTTCCCCATCTCCCCCCTTGGCAGCTTGGAGCTTCCCATCAGATGCTCCTGCCCTGGAAGAGCCCCCGTGGGCAGGGAAGCCACTGCTGGGGGCAGCGTCCCTGCTGACACACTGGCTGTTGTGTATTGGGCACATGCTGCAAATTGAGTGTCGTGTGTCTCGCCCCTGACTCCTGCAGTCCACTCCGACAGTCTTTTTGGAGACTGAGTTTCTTTCACCCAGGCTGGAGTGCAGTGGCATAATCGCAGCTCACTGCAACCTCTGCCTCCTGGGTTCAAGCGATTCTCCTGCCTCAGCCTCCTGAGTAGCTGGGATTACAGGTGTCCACCACATGCCTGGCTAATTTTTGTATTTTTAGTAGAGATGGGGTTTCACCATGTTGTCCAGGCTGGTCCCGAACTCCTGACCTCGTGATCCTCCCACCTTGGCCGCCTCCCAAAGTGCTGGGATTACAGGCATGAGCCACCGCGCTCGGTCTTGTATTTTTGAGATGGAGCTTTGCTCTGTCGCCCAGGCTGGAGTGCAGTGGTGTGATCTCTGCTTACTGCAACCTCTGCCTCCTGGGTTCAAGCAATTCTGCCTCGGCCTCCTGAGTAGCTGGGATTACAGGCAAGTGCCACCACGCCCTGCTAATTTTTGTATTTTTAGTAGAGACGGGGTTTCACCATGTTGGCCAGGCTGGTCTCAAACTGACCTCAAGTGATCTGCCCGCTTCAGCCTCCCAAAGTGCTAGGATTACAGGCGTGAGCCACCACGCCCGGCCACACAGGCAGTCTTGAAGGGAAGGCTGTTTGTTTTTTATTCCTGTGTTATAGAGGGAAGTGGGGTGCAGAGAGAAAATGGCTTTGGCTGAGGGACACAGTGGGGCGGGTAGGAAGACCTGTGCCTGGAACCACAAAGATCCTAGTAACAAAGATGGCCTCCCCTGCTCCCCCAGCCTGCCCCTGGCTGAGGACAGGGAGCCCATGTGACCTGTGGCCACCCTGGAGGGGCTGTCTTGAGAGCTTCGAGAACATCCAGGAGACCTTCACCTGCCCTTCCAGGGGCAGTGTAGGTGGCCAATACAGAGCAGCCGGGGCCTGCCAGGCCTGTGGCTGGGGGATGGGAGAAGCCTCCTGAAGTCGGGGGGGCAGAGAAGGCAGGCTCCCCACGGGCGGCTCTGGAGGTTTTTTTTTTTTAATGTCCCCCAGGCTGGAGTGCAGTGTCACAATCTTGGCTCCCCGCAACCTCCTCCTCCCAGGTTCAAGTAATTCTCCTGCCTCAGCCTCCTGAATAGCTAAGATTACAGGCACAGGCCACCACACCCGGCTAATTTCTTTGTATTTTTAGTAGAGATGAGGTTTCACCATGTTGACCAGACTGGTCTTGAACTCTTGAACTCAGGTGATTCCTCCCACTACCTCAGCCTCCCGAAGTGCTAGGATTACAGGCATGAGCCACCGTGCCCGGCCTTTGGCTCTGGGGTTTTCTCACCTGCAAAGCTGCTGCCTCCTGCTATTGTCCTGCCCCGTCAAGCCAGCAGCCTTTCTGGCCAATGTCCTCCACACTAAGCGGCTCCTTAAGCTCCCAGGGAAGAGTGAAAAGGGCTGGAAGGATGGCGAATGGGGAAGGGGACTTGCCGGTTCCTACCCAGCCCTGCTTTGCCCCGAACACCTGCCCCAGCCCCACATTGAAGGGCGGGGACCTGCGGAAGCGCCACGCGGGATGGTCAAGCTGGAGGGTCTCAGGATCCAGCTTAGCTGGTGTTCACACCAGACAATAGCAATGGAGCCCACTCTCCAGACTGGGAGGACTCAGTAGGCAGGGATGCAGGGAGGAGGGAAGGGGAGACAGGAACAGCCCCTTCAAGGCTTTGGAAGGGAAATGGGGGTCGCCCCCTGCTAAAAGCATTCTGGGCACTGAAGCAGCCTGGAGGGGAGAGGACTCGGTGCCTCTAGAGAACTAAAAGATGGCCTGTTGCAGGTTGGGAGGCACATGGGAGGGCTGGAATCTCCAAAACCCTCAGCTGCCCCCACACTGGGTCCCCAGCACTCTCCCACCCACCCCCCACCCCGCCAGCATTTCCTGTGATTTTTGTTCTTTTTTTTTTTGAGACGAAGTCTCACTCTGTTGCCCAGGCTGGAGTGCGGTGGCATGATCTTGGAGCCTCTGCCTCCTGGGTTCAAGTGATTCTCTCAACTCAGCCACTCAGCCTCCCAAGTAGCTGGGATTACAGGTGCATGCCACAATGCCCCGACTAATTTTTGCATTTTTAGTAGAGACGGGGTTTCCCCATGTTGGCCTGGCTGGCCTTGAAGCCCTGGCCTCAAATGATCCACCTGCCTCAGCCTCCCAAAGTGCTGGGATTGCAGGCATGAGCCACTGCGCCTGGCCCCGTGTCTGCTATGCAGGCAATGGAGGGTTTTGTTTACTTCTACAGAGATGTGGTCTCCCAGCCTTCAGGAATGAGAGGTGCCACGTGTCTTTCTAGGGCTTTATGTAAATAACTCCAGTCCTCAGAACAACCTCGAGACAGGCACAACTCTTACCCACTTGCGCTGGTGAGGAAACTGAGGCACAGAGCCCACTTACCTTGTTTTCTTGCCTTTGGCCAGTACAGGGAGCATTTCCTCTCCTTCCCTACAGCAGTAGTGCAAGCATGGCGCCAAATGACCACTGACCTTTGCAGGGGAACACAGTGGGGAGGGATGGGGACTGGGGCCTGTTGGAGCACATCTTTGTCTAGAGGGTGTGGCCAGTGAGTCTTCAGCCTCGGGCCCAGTGTGGTCAGGTCTAAAGACTTGGCAGCAGGAGCTGGAAATCCAGACTTTGAGTAAATTGTCAGTGCCTAACTTAGAGACGTTTATAACACTGTGCAAGCCAAGTACACCCAGCTCTCTGCTGCAGGTGTCTGCTAACAGCCAGGGCTGGGGGGGTGCTTCTCCAGGTGCTATCAGGATGGTGCTGCCTGGGAGGTAACAGGAGAGAAGGGTGTCAAGCTGCCAAGATTTCCTGCAGGACCCTTAGGCAGGTGGGGCGGGAGGGGCCCAGGGCTGACCTGAAAAGCTCTGGGTGAGGGTCTAGTTAGGGTCAGAGGAGGGACCAATTCATCCACCCTAAGGCAGCCCTTGGTAGAGGTGGGCAAGTTCCCTGGGAAAAGCCCATGGGGGTGGAAGAGTGAACCTTTTGTCCCCCTTCTGGCCCTAGGGCTTTCCTCTCCCCTTTTTCCCTAGAGATGGAGCCCCAAGCCCTTGGGGTCCAGAGTCCTCTATTTCTTTTGGCTTTTCTAGACTATCTGAAAATGCAGATGAGCTCATCCATCCCTCCCCATATTTGAAGGCCTGGTCTGTGTCAGTCCCAGGCTGGTATAGGGGTCAGAGCCATGAATACAACAAGAGGTCTCTAGTGTAGTCCATAAACTCTGCACCACCATGGGCAGGTTAACGAGATGTCGTAAGATGTCCTGGGGTAGCTGGCACACCAGGGCACAGCTCTTGGATAAAAACCCACATCTGATCCAGAGACCAGCCCTGCTGCCCCAACCCTGGCTTCTGCCTCGCTTCCTTAGGATGACCCTCCTCCACTGCCCCAGCAGCTGGCAGAGGCTGGCCAGGTCCTGCCTGCTGCCCACAGAGCCCCAGGTGTTAGGAAGGGGGCTAGTTTGAGGCCCAGCTCTGCCTTCAACTCCCTGTGGGACATGGACACAGGGCTCCCTTCTCAGGTTCTACCCTGAGGATTAGAGTGTCCTAGAGTCATCATCATCCAGGAGGAGCAGGGTGGGAGCCACAGCGCCAGTTAAAGCTTAACAGCATCCCTGTACCATTAACACAGGGGTGGTCAGATGGGAATATGTGGCTTTGGGCCCTGGAGGGGACATTTCAGGCTGAGGGTCAGCCCAGGTCCACCCCTGCTGTGCCTTCTCAAAGAGGCCACACCTACAGACCCAAGGAGACCAGAGCCTCCACTTGCTGAGGCCAGCTGCCTGCCGTGCATGGCACCACCCCCACCGTGGGCCTGCCCCCTCCAGGTCCTACCAGTCCCAAGGGGGAGGCCCTCGACCTTCCTCTAGCCTGGGCCCTGGACTCTAGACCCAGCTTGTCCCAGTTGCTTAAACCAGAGCAGCATTTGGATAATCTTAAATCCATTTGGATAATCTAAGTCCATTTGGATAAGTCCAACCACTTCCTGCCACGACATAATTTAGAGATGAGGGGAAGGACAGCAACTGATGTAGCCAAGTCTCTCCCCCCACACAAGCAGGCCAGCATGGCCATAGGTATCTCAGCTCAGCCTTGTCCTCAGTTGTCACTTATCCCCTCCCCAAACAAGGAGGTCACTGCCAAGATGCATTCACACCCACCAGCCCTTTATTGGCTATTTAGTAAACGTCACTTGGCTGAACACTTTTGCATCTTTTCCCCATAGGGGTTCAAGCTGGCGGCATTTGCCATCCTACTGGGTCCGAGGGTCGGTCGGGGCAGACAGGGAAGAAAGGGTTCTGTTGCCTGGACTCTCCAGCCTCCTCTACTGGGCAAAGAATCATGCTGTTGCATGGTGACAGTGGGCCATCCACGCTGGGGCAGAGCTGGCAGCTCCAGGGCCTGGGTCTAAGGTACCATCTTCCACCATTTGAAGGCAAAGGGCACCCGGCGGATGTTGGCACAGGCACAGATGTCTCCGACCTCTGTCAGGTAACAGTCAAAGTCATTGATGAAGGTGCACTTGAAGCCCAGGGGCTCCAGCAAGCAGCAAATCTTTTCTTCCAGGCAGCAGGTCCCCTTGATTTGGGGCCCAAAAGGCTTGGGGATCCCCAGGTTCTTGCCCATCACAATCATCCGCAACTGTTAGAAAGACAGGGTGGGTGAGGCCTGGACAGGGATCAGAGGCCTGAAAGCCAGCCGCCCACCTGCCTCTCTGCGGTCAGACCAGGCGTAGCAGGCAGGCAGCCGCCTCCTCCAGGTCAGTGAAACCCAGCTCACTTTTGCTTAGCCCTACAATGGCTGTTTCTCAACAGCCAGATAAAATCCTGCCTGGCCAAGGTCTGGGATTGTCAACTTCTCTAGTTTCTACGTTTCGATTATTCTGGCCTCTTGTCACCTGGATACAACACATGGCTGCTGCCTCCACTGAAACACTCTCCCCACCCCCGCTTTGTCAGTTGACTGCTGCGCATCTTTTGTATCTCAACTCCTCCTCAAAGCAGCTTCTTACCGTTACTCACCCCTGCCGGACCACACTGAGCTGATCAAGTTAGAAGACACCCATGTACAATTGGAGCATGCAGGGCCTGTGTCCCTAGGACCCAGGGAAGAGGTCAGCAGGTGTTTAGAGAATTGGGGCACTCAAATGCCTCAGTTCATTTTACACACCTATATAAGGGGTCAGTTGTTACATGAGAAAGTTCAGATGTGAGCCACAGTCGGCATAGGCTTGGTGAAGCCAGGACCTCTTGTACTCACAGCCCCACTCTTGACTATAACTTCTGGTTTAGAATAAGTAGGAACAGAATTTAAAAAACAAAAACAAACAAACAAAAAAACAAAACAGTTTTGCTCTTGTTGCCCAGGCTGGAGTGCAACAGGGTGATCTCCGCTCACTGCAACCTCCACCTCCCAGGTTCAAGCGATTCTCCTGCCTCAGCCTCCTGAGTAGCTGGGATGACAGGCATGCACCACTACACCTGGCTAATTTTGTATTTTTGGTAAAGACAGTTTCTCCATGTAAGGCTGGTCTCGCAGTCCTGACCTCAAGTGATCTGCCTGCCTGGGCCTCCCAAAGTGCTGGGATTACAGGTGTAAGACACCACGCCCAGCCCCAGAATGTTTTTTTTTTTTTTTGGTTTGGTTTATCAGACAAGGTCTTGGTTTGTTACCCAGGCTAGAGTGCAGTGGCTCATTGTAGCCTCCACCTCCGGGGCTCAAGAAATTGTCCTGCCTCAGCCTCCTGAGTGGCTGAGACTACAGGCATGTGGCACCACACCCAGCATTTTTTGTTTTGTTTTGTTTGTTTTTTTGGGAGACAGTCTTGCTGTTGCCCAGGCTGGAGTCCAGTGGTGCAATCTTGGCTCACTGCAACCTCTGCCTCCTGGGTTCAAGGGATCCTCCTGCTTCAGCCTCTGATTAGCTGGGATTATAGGCATGCACCACCACACCCAGCTAGTTTTTTGTATTCTTACTAGAGAGTTTCAACCATGTTTGCAGGGCTGATCTCGAACTTCAGACTTCAAGTGATCCACCCACCTCAGCCTCCCAAAGTGCTGAGATTACGGGCATGAGCCACTGCACCCTGGCCCCAGCATTTTTTTTTTCTTTTTTTTAAAGTTGCAGGGTCTCACTATGTTGCCCTAGCTGCTCTCCAACTCCTGAGTTCAAGTGATCTTCCCACCTCAGCCTCCCAACGTACTAGAACTACAGGTGAGCCACCACGACCAGCCAAGCAGAATAAATATTAGAGACGGAGTTTCAGTCTTGTTGCCCAGGCTGGAGTGCAATGGAGTGATCTAGGCTCAATGCAACCTCTGTCTCCGGGGTTCAAGCAATTCTCCTGTCTCTGCCTCCTGAGTAGCTGGGATTACAGGCATGTGCTACCACACCCAACTAATTTTGTATTTTTAGAGACAGGGTTTCTTCATGTTGGTCAGGCTGGTCTCAAACTCCTGACCTCAGGTGATCCACCTGCCTCGGCCTCCCAAAGTGTTGGGATTACAGGCATGAGCCACTGCGCCTGGCCTAGAATGTTATTTTAAGGGCTGATGTACCTCTATGTATCAGACACTGCTGCCCTGGACCCTGGAGATAGCGGACAGGAAGACCCACCCTGAGGTAGGTTGCTCAAGGCCTCGCTGCTGGCAGATGCGCGGCAACCTCGACTCTGGGTTGCATAGCACCCCATCCGAAGTGGGCCTCACAGGTTCACCCTTTTAGACTGGGGGCGCAGCTCACTGAGGCTCCTAAAGCACCTGGCCCAGGGCCTGGCCCATAGTAACTGCCTGGGGAACCTCCAAGCCTTCAGGCCCTGTACACTTGCTCTCTGGGTGGGGCGTCCCTAACCGAGATGGGGGAGAAGGGGTCTCCCTCCCATTTCCTCATAGGTACCGTTATCTGCTGTCCACCATATCTGCAGTCCAGCACAGTGAGGTGGCAGCCAGTGTTGCCTGGACAGGCCCTCCCCCACCCAGGGATGCGCAGTCGCCCCTCACCAGGTCAGGGAAGTATGGCCTCGCAAAGGACCTCTTGGGCTGCTGGTCAGAGGGGATGTTAGTCAGCTTCTCCAAGCAGAACAGCTGGGGAATCTCGATGATGTCCTGTTCCACCAGGCCCAGCTCCGTCTTCAGGATGTCACGGTTCAGGTGAATGCACTTCTGTGGGTGGGTGGGTGGGTGGGGGGGGGGGCGGGGGAGCAAGGAGAGCTCATCAGGAATTAAAACCAGTTTCCTTCCATACTGAAGGTAGGTGATGGCCTGACACCACTACCATCCCCATCACTTGCTGTGTGCCAGGAGCCTCACACTTCATACCAGCCTTACGAAATAGGCAGTTCCCTTTTCACATGGGGAAGTAGGGGCTCAGGAATGGCCTAGTCTTTAGTCCAGGATCCCATGGCTAGACAGCGTCTGGCACTTCTCAACCCAGACCAGCTGAGCCCAATACCCAGGCATCTCCCTAGGTCTTGAAATAGGCTTCAGACATAACCCAACACACCTGTCTCCCTAGGTCTTGAAATAGGCTTCAGACACATACCCAACACACCTAAGCTGTCGCCAGGGGCTGGGAGATGCTGTCTCAGCCCCATGCCTGGCTGGCACCCACCCTGCTATGCCAGGGGGGCTGTTCTTGCAAAACAGGGTACCCATGCACTGTGCGGGGCATAGAACATTCCTTGGGAACATTCCTGGGAATGTTAAGGACCCAGTGAGAGAAGCAGTTTTGCTGACCATGCAACCTCAGCCAAGAAATTACCCTTCTCTGGGCCTAAGCTTCTCCTTCTACAAGTTGGGGAGACTCTGCTTCTTATAGCCAATGATTCACTTCTAAGATCTCTGAAGTTTGGTGACCCTGAACACCATCCTCGGGACTGCTGTGATGGGCCACTTCATCCAGAAAGCATTGAGTAGTCCCTCGTCTATTTGAGTCTGATACTCAGCTTCTCGGAAGTGAGGAGCCGGCTTCTTCAAGGAGGCTGCGGAGCTATGTCATTTTCCGGGAAATGGACCCCAGGCAGCTTGAGTATAATGAGCAACACATGAACTTGGGAGTTCAGACTCATTTTCCCAAATGATTGTCCTGGGCTAGCGGTTTTACTGTGTGCCTCACTACCCTCATATGTAAGAGGTGTTTTACTTTATAGGGCTATCTGCAGGGTTTGTAGTTTTATAGGGCTATCTGCAGGGTTTGTAGTGAGGTATCTCGCAAAATGCTTGGGCCATCATTGGCTCTCAGCTAGGAACCTGGATAATCAGGGCTTTCCCAGCTTGGGGGAAAAGATCCAGCTGCATAGTCATAGCAAAGTAAACTCCCTCTGACAGTATCTGCAAGTAATATCTGTCAACGGTCCCGACATGCCATGGCGCTCCTCCCTGCCCCTGTCCCACCCTGGGTCCTCAGCCATCTGACACCATAGAAAGCTGTGTTACCCACTTCCAGCCCTCTTCCAAGCATAAAGGTACATCGTGCTGTGTTTGACTCCAGAGACCTAACTCCTTACTCCTCTAGTCTCCCTACATTGGCATATGGCCAGCTCTAGCCCCAGACCTGGGCCTGTATCAAGACCTGGAAGAAAGGGTGGCAGGCAGCTGCCCCCCGCCGCCCAACACTTCACCCCTCAGGAGGGGTGGGTGGAAACCTTCCTGCAAGACCTGCGGCACCAGCTCTTTCTTGGGGATGGCCCCCTTCACACTGGTCCTACCTCCACGTATTCATTCTGCTTCTTCAGGCTTTCATCAGCCAGAAGTTGGTCGATGGTTTTGGCTTCCCTTCCTGTAGGAAGAAGCGGGCAGCAGGCCTGCTGGTCAGGGAATGGCAGCACTGCCCAGAGCTGGGCACACTCGGGCCAGGCCCAGCCACCTGGGTGCATTCCTGGGCCAGTGACCATGGCGAGAGGACTGGCCTATCTCCAGGGATCACACCCTCAGGTCCAATATCTTCCTTCTGGGGACTGACCAGGGTCTACACCAGAACTCCCAGGCAGGACTTACTGCCACTGGCCACTCTGTCCCCAGCATGAGGGGGAATAGCCTGTGCCAGGCTGAGGGACACAGCCTAGAGCTTGTTAGGATGACTTCAGCCCCTACTCCCCTTATGCCAATACAACCTGGCACTTTCTGCCTGTGACCCTCTCCAGGTTACATTACCTTTGTTCCTCAATTGCCTGATCTTTGGGACAGGGATGCCCAATTTATTTGCCAGCTCTGAGGTGATAGTCTTTGTCATGTGGTTCATGCTCAGCAGATGTCACCTTCCATGGTGCTTCTATGACCAGGAGTTCCCGGGCCCCAACCCCAAAGGCTGAGTATCCAGGAGGTGTGGAGCAGGGTGGAAATTCTACATTTTTAACAAGCTCCCAGGTGCGCTGGCCCTCAGATAACACTTTGAGTATTGAGGGTCTAGAAAAACCTAATACCCCCAGCCCCTTTCTGGGTTCCTACAGCCTTTATTATTTTTTGAGATGGAGTCTTGCTCTGTGGCCCAGGCTGGAGTGCAATGGCACGATCTTAGCTCACCGCAACCTCCACCTCCCAGGTTAAAGCGATTCCCCTGCCTCAGCCTCCCGAGTAGCTGAGATTACAGGCATGCACCACCATGCCCGGCTAATTTTCGTATCTTTAGTAGAGATGGGCTTTCGTCATGTTGGCCAGGCTGGCCTCGAACTTTTGGCCTCAGGTGATCTGCCCGCCTCAGCCTCCCAAAGTGCTGGGGTTACAGGTGTGAGCCACCATGCCCAGCCCACTCCCACAGCCTTTAGATCAGAAGTGCAATGGCACCAGCCACACCACCTCTGCTTGTCCACCTGTGTGTTTCCTTAATGTAACCAGGAGACCCACAAAGTCCCAGTCCCTAGATACTTAATCCAACATGCCCTGAATAAATCCAGGCACTAGCATTGTTAACACCCGTTTTCCCCCCACTTGGGGCCACCTATGTACTAAGTGAGTCCCCCTTCAAATACATCCAAACAGCCTCCAGGCCATCCCAGAACATCTGGTCTACTTGTGTTGTAGTACCACTAGAGCAGCCCAGAAATAAGACGTTCTAATATGGCAATTCCAACAGCTTCTGTGCTTCCCTGGCATCCTTTACGCCAAGCGTGACAGAATGGCTATGTAGAAAGGACCCCTGGAAAAAGGAAGACCCCAGTTCTGTTCTGTGGAAAGGGAGTTCCCTTACCATTAGACAGGAGCTGATCTGCTCTAAGCTCATCAAACAGAAGAGCGTCGCCATAGCCTTCCTTCTGTTTCTCTCGGAACAGTTTATAGCAGGCACTGGGGCTGGCCAGGAGCAGCAGGAAGCCCTGGGAAACAGAACTTGGGTCAGAAGCCAGCTTTCTCAGCTGGACATGGTGGCTCATATCTGTAATCCCAGCACTTTGGAGGCCGAGGCAGGCAGATCCTCTGAGGTCAGAAGTTCGAGACCAGCCTGGCCAACATGGTGAAATTCCATCTCTACTAAAAATACAAAAATGAGCCAGGTGTGGTGGCATGTTTCTGTAATTCCAGCTACTCAGGAGGCTGAGGCAGGAGAATTGCTTGAGTCCGGGAGGCAGTGGTTGCAGTGAGCGGAGATCACGCCACTGCACTCCAGCCTGGGTGACAGAGCAAGACTCTCAAAAAACAAACAAAAAAAAAAAAAAACAAGAAAAAGCCAGTTTTCTCTCCAGAATCTTCCAAGATTCCCCAACAGAAGGCAAGGGTCAGATGTCCCTTCTCCAGACCCCAAAGCAGACCTTTTTGCCCTCATTCTTGTCATCTGTGGGGATGAAGCACATGAACTCATCCACGTGGCCAGTCATTAGCCAATCTGAGTAGAGCTCCACCGGCGCTTGGACCTGCTGGGCATAGAGGAAGTCTCGGAGGGTCTTACTCATGGCCCGGCCCTCTGCGCTAGAAGGAAGATGGAAAGAACAGCTCTTGAGCCAGTGTGGCCCAGGGCTGGTCACCCGCCACTTGGTGTCATGCTGCCTCCAGGGAGCTGGCCTCTGACCGTTGTGTGAAAGAGGCCGGTCCATAGCGGATGTGTTGGTTACGAATCCCTTACTCTGACCCCACTCAGAACAGAGCCTAGTGTTTCTAGACAGACAAGCCCGGGCACAAGTATCATTTTGGATTTATGGCCACCAAGAAATCCAACCACATATCTCTTGGAAATGACATCCTGGTGGACCAAATTTCACTTGTTTCAGTTTAAACCCTGGAATCAAAGAATAAATGGTTTATTCTCATCTTTAGTCTCCCACGTGAATCAAAAGCTCAAATGTCTTCAGTTTAAGAAATGGTCCAGTGTGTGTGACCTGCTGAGGTGCTATGGGAAGCAGGCGGGGCCAGGGGAACGACCATGGTCCCTTCCTTTCATTTGGAGGCGTCTGGCTTTGTGGCTCACCTGGGGTAAAAGCTGCTGCCAATGAGGACTCTGCCCAGCGGGTACTCTTTCCCTTGGACCTTGACAGGTGGGGACACCATCAGGTTCCCAATGGAATCCATGCTGGCCACTTTATGGTCCTCAGTGTCCTGGATCATGTAGCCAATACCAGGGCTCTGGGGGAGAGACCGAGCCAGGGAAGGGGTGTTAGTAGGGGATGGCTTTAGGCCCCAGTCTTATCCCTAAATCCAGGCTCTCAGGTAGACTTCCACGTCCCCTCCCCCCTCAGAGGCCACCTGGGCCCTCTCCCCACTTGGTGCCCCATTATTTCTAGGCAGGCCCCAGGCCTGAGAGATTGGACTGAGCTCAGATTAGCCAAACCAAGTTCCACACCAGTGAGTACTTCATGGGGAACTCATCGAGATCGGCGGCCTGAGGTGTGTCGAGGATCAAGGACGTTGTCTTGTGGGGAGCCTGGGTGTAGCAGAAGGCCATCTCATCCTGGAATGGAGAGGAAGACAGATTGTTTGCCAGTCACACATCTCCCCGGACCCCATTTACGGAAAAGGTACGGTAAGAACCCCCTTCCTTCCTGCCAACTCCTGCTCAACCCTCAACACCCAGCTCAGATATCACCCCTTCTTGAAGGCTCTCCGATCCCTCTCTCCCCTACTCTTCAGGTTTAAGACTTGAGCATCCATGGCCAGGTGTGGTGGCTCACGCCTGCAATCCCAGCACTTTGGGTGGCCAAGGTGGGTGGATCACTTGAGCCTAGGAATTCAAGACCAGCCTGGGAAACATGGTGAGACAGTCTACTTAAAACAAAACCAAAAAGTTAGCCAGGCATGGTGGCTCATGCCTGTAATCCCAGCTACTCAGGAGGAGGCAGAGGCTGCAGTGGAGCTGAGATCGCGCCACTGCACTCCAGTCTGGGCGAAAAAGACTTGAGCATCCAGATTCTTCCTTTCTTCTTTCGTAAAGAATCCATTAACAAGCCTTACTGGCTTACATTCTGAGTCAGCTCTGCGCTGGTGCCACTCAGGAAGCCACCGTGTCTCCACCCTATGCCACTGTGATGCCTTCCAGTTTCGCTTCTATTCTTGCCTACTCTTAAGATCTGTTCCCTACATCTTAGCCAGAGGGGTCTTTTGAAAACCTGAACTATAACCTTTCATTCCCGATTCATGCTTTGAGTGTCTCTTGTTTGTCCTTAGCTTAAAAGGTACCTTAACCAGGAGGTAGCCCTGCCTTTCACCTTTGTTCACTGTGATCTGTCTGCATCAGCCTTCTTCAAGACCTCCAAGCACAACCCCAGATTTTTTTTTTTCTTTTGAGACAGTCTCGCTCTGTCATCCAGGCTGGAGTGTAGTGGCGTGATCTAGGTGCACTGCAACCTCCGCCTCCTGGGTTCAAGCGATTCTTCTGCCTCAGTGACCAGAGTAGGTGGGACTACAGGCGCGCGCCACCATGCCCGGCTGATTTTTGTATTTTTTTAGTAGAGACAGTATTTTGCCATGTTTTCCAGGCTGTTTTAAAACTCCTGACCTCAAGTGATCAGCCTCCCAATGTGTTGGGATTACAGGCTTGAGCCACTGCACCCGGCCAGGAACTCCTTTTAATCCTGGCCACCCCTGCCCCAAATCTCTGCATGGCCAGCTCCTTGTTTCCTTAAGTTTCATTTGCAGATTTTCCCAACTATTCTTAAACTGCCTCATTTGGTCTAATGAATCACTGTATCATCTCATTGTCTAAATTTCATAGCACTTAAAAGTTCTATCCTTGCTAACATGGGACAGCATATGTTCCAGTTTATCTCTGGTGCTCAGGATGGCGTGCCTAGCATGTGATGATCACTCATCTGCAGAGGACAGAGCTCTAGAACCGAAGGCTGACCGGGGCTCTAGACTTGGTGCTGTGCCAGAGTCAGGCGGGACCCCAGGGCAGTGGCCCAGCTCTCACAGCCTTAGCCAAAGGTATCAGAGCCTTCCGGGGCCTGGGGGTTAGGGTTCTGTGGTCTTGAACACGTGTCCATTCTGGAATGGGAAGGAGGCTGGACTCTAACTATTCCTTAGTGGCCATGACTCAGGCAAATCCTCATCTGAGCCTCCACTGAAGTCCTAAGAACAGGGCCGCCCCTATCAAGGCTTCGGTCTTTAAGGTTAACCAGAAGCCTGTGAAGTTCCTCTTAGGTGGCACATGCTGAGTCTCCCCACCCCTCCCCGACAGGTGGGTTCCCAGGTGGGGTGTTACCTGGAGCCACCTGCCCAGGCGGTTGGGGTCCTCATAGACAGATGCCACCTGGCTGTTGCTCTTCTCACTCAGCTTCGTCACTGTGTCCACAAAACCCTGCAGCTGCAGCTCCCTGCCATGGGAGAGAAGCCAGTTCTGGGAAGGCTTTCGAAGGTCCCTTACTGGTTATGACCTCCTTGTGCCAAGAGAGGAAGAACACATCCTTCTCACCAGGAGAGGTTACATCCCTGCCCGTGAGGTCGACAGAGCAACCATCCCTGACCTCGGCACAAGCCAGAAGCTCAGAGCCCATCTTGTCTGACACTACTCAGCTTTGCCCATGGCAGAGCCAGGTTGGGAAGTGCCAGTGGCGGCCCCTTCCCTGGTAGCCAAGGCCTGCTCTGTTTATACCCTTCGGTCACATTCTGCAAGTACCCTTCCTTTCGTTCTGTCACCCAGGCTGGAGTGCAGTGGCATGATCTGACTCACCGCAACCTCCACCTCCTGGGTTCAAGTGAGTCTCCTGCCTCGGCCCCCCACAGTAGCTGGGACTATACGCCTGCCACCATGCATGGTTGTCATTTTTATATGTGTGGCGTTGGGTGGGTCTTGAGCCCTGGGGTCTTCAAGCCGTTGTGCACAGCATCAGGCTCACAGATCTACAGTGGCCATCCCTTCCTTGAAGGGAAACAGCAGTGTGTGAGGCTGATGTTAAGACCACTCATCTGGCCGGACGCAGTGGCGCACGCCTGTAATCCCAGCACTTTGGGAGGCTGAGGCGGGCGGATCACCTAAGACTGGGAGTTTGAGACCATCCTGGCCAACATGGTGAAACCCCATCTCTACTAGAAATACAGAAATTAGCTGGGCGTGGCAGTACATGCCTGTAATCCCAGCTTCTCGGGAGGCTGAGGCAGGAGAATTGCTGGAACCCTGGAGGTGGAGGCTGCAGTGAGCCAAGATCACACCACTACACTCCAGTCTGGGCAACGGAGCGAGACTCCATCTCAAAAAGAAAAAATAATAAATTATCTTAAACAAACGGAACAAACAGGTCCTCAAAAGTTGGAGGTCAGCAAGGCCCTAATATTGGGAGATATTGAAATTGGGACTGTAGTCCGGCTTCAGGTCCAAAGCTCATGTTGCTACTAATAGAATACAGCAATGTAACTACTGGCATAGCACATTCATAGTATCTATGCTACTGCTCCAAAGAACCTATTTCTTGGGTCTATGCAAAGCCACAGGGAGCTACCAGCCTGACAAGGTCTAGAACAGTCTGACGCTTACTGGGGGAAGGGTGTGTCGGCTCAGTCTTGCAGGTCATATGCAGCTATATGGGGTCAAACCATGCCTGAATATCACACTGTATGGAAGACTTGGGTTTCTTTGAAGAACAAGTAGATGCCTCCTGTGAGTGAGAAACCCGTCTTCAAATACTCGAGATACCACATCTCTCTGCTTTATGTCTTTTGTATCTGCCATCAGCAGAATCCCATCAGACTTTCTGAGATTTTACCTTCTCATCCTGAAGCCTGCTATTCCTCTGAGGACCACACTCCCCAGGAGCCCTGCCCTGGAAAAGCTGTCTGGCTTCTACACCCACGGAGCCTGGAAGAGGGGTAGAAGTCTTTTTTTTTTTTTGAGATGGAATCTTATCTGTCACCCAGGCTGGAGTACAGTGGTGCAATCTTGGCTCACTGCAACCTCCGCCTTCTGGGTTCAAGAGATTCTCCTGCCTCAGCCTCCCGAGTAGCTGGGATTACTGGGGTGCACCACCATGCCTGGCTAATTGTTTTTTGTATTTTTAGTAGAGACGGGGTTTTACCATGTTGGCCAGGCTGGTCTTGAACTCCTGACCTCAGGTGATCCGCCCGCCTCAGCCTCCCAAAGTGCTGGGATTACAGGCATGAGCCACCACACCCAGCAATTTTATTTTTTGTTTTTGAGACAGTTTCGCTCTTGTTTCCCAGGCTGCAGTGCAGTGGGGCTATTTCAGCTCACTGCAACCTCTGTCTCCTGGGTTCAAGTGATTCTCCTGCCTCAGCTTCACTGAGTAGCTGGGACTACAGGCATGCACTACCACATCTGGCTAATTTTTGTATTTTTAGTGGAGACGGGGTTTTACCATGTTGGCCAGGCTGGTCTCGAACTTCCGACCCTCAGGTGATCCTCCTGCCTCGGCCTCCCAAAGTGCTGGGATTATAGGTGTGAGCCACCACACTGGCCACCTTTTCCTATTAGTGTTTCCCATCCCTGCTAGAGCATTCCATCAGCATTATCCTTTGCCTCCTACCTTAAAAAAACAAAAAAGCCTTCACCTAAGGAATTTGCAATAAAGGGCAACGTGGTGGTAGTAATCTGGAGGCGGCCGGTGTGGAGCGAGTGGGGCGGGGGTGTCCTACCTGCGGACCAATCCCAACTAAAGGCTGCTCCTGCCACCCTGGCTTGAGCCATGCTGTGTCTAGACTGGTCTTCCACCTTTTATCTGTACCTGACTTTCCATGTGGCCAGAGTGATCATGCAGACAGAACCCTTGGCTTCCCACTGGTTCTGCCTTCAGGATCCTATCTCCTTTTCTCCCTAGGCATGTGGCTACATAGCTAGAGACTGCTCCTGGATTCCCTGAAGCCGGACGTGGCCCCGTGCGTGTTCAGGATTTTGGCATGTGAGAAGTGGTTCAGGAGACTTCCAGACCACTAGCAGCAACCATAGGTTGCAGTGTCCAAATCTTGGCTCTTTCTCCCTCCTGGGGCCCGGGCCTGGACCTAGGATGTGTGCACTCAGCCTCCAGAGAGGAGGCAGCCACCCCAGGGGAAAGCATAACAAGACTGAAAGGAACCAGGGCCCCTAAGTGGCAGTGGGCGAGCAGTACCATCTTCCTGCAGGCATCCAGGTGACAGAAAGCTTTCACCACTGTATTTAGAGTAGGTATGGCCCCAGCTACCTCACCGTAACACCCAGGGCCCACAGGGCTCTGCTCTTTTCACCCATCCCCACACCGCCCCTTCCTGGGCTCACACCTGTTCTCTGGCTCCGTAGGAGCTTCATCGTCCCTGGGACAGGTTCTCATCCTGACCTCTCCATCTTCACCCTGCTTTAGAGCACTTGGTACTGTTTAAAACCATGCCGTTTGGCCCTCACATAATGGGGGGACTGTCTCATTCACTGTTCCATGCCCATCTTTGGGAATATTCAGGCATGTATTGGACTGTCTTGGGGCAGGTCCAGACAGCTCAGACAGAAGGGTTTCAACTCTCCTGGTGAGAGGTCCTAGTCATCTTCACCCACCCTGCCCTGCATATAGAAAGAAGAGGGTGCCAGTTATGAGAACCGCCTGGCACAGTCAGCCTGATGGTCTCTCACCTGCACAGGTAAACCTCCAGAGGCACCTGGGTACAGGGAATGAAGACACAGGGAGCCACCCGGAACACCACCGTGTCTTTGTACAGCACAGTCTCTGGAATTGACTGCAACAAGACAAGGTCCTGTTAGCAACCTGCTTCCACATTTACTCGCTCCCCTCTTACCCCAGGGTTCCGGCCGTTCAGTCCGGCCCCCAGCTGGGCCCCACTTGCCTTCTGCAGCTCTCCCCCAGCAAACCTCAAGCTCTGCCCAACTGTGGGAGATGGCTTTTCCCCCACCGGAGCATCCTAGTCTGAGGACCCATCTATTATGGGGACATACCGGGTCTTGAGACTCCTCCACCAGGGACACAGAGTAGGAGATGAGGCCTGAGAATTCGGCAGATGGGAATGCTATAGCTTCAACGTAGAAAGTCTCCTTCAAGTGGTTCCCGAGGAGGGCCAAGGTATAGGCGTGCTGGTCGGGCCCCAGCACCAACTCAAAGGTACTGGAGTTGTCTTCTAGGAGAGAAAGAAGGGATGGACCAGCCACTGAAGTAACCTGGTGCCGGTCACATTTGATGGTCAAGGTACCAGCTCATTCCTCATATCAGATGCAAGGCTGTGAGTTCCAGGAGGGCTGGAGCTGAAATGGCTCAGCCATCCCCGTTTCTAGCATTCAGGTCTTGGTAGACAACCAGATGTTCATACACAAGCAATGGCCAGTTATTCACCAGTATTCCTTGAAGACCTATTACATGCCAGGAGTTGGAGCTCAGGTGATGATGCCTTCAAGGCTCCTGACTGGTGTGAAGCCTCAGGGTAGGTGGTTCTACATTTTGGCCCATGAATCCAACTCCTGCGATAATATCAGAGTCCTAAAGGTGAGAAACTGTCCCAGGCTGGGCTCAGCAGCCTCATCTGAAAAAAATCACTTACTGATGCTAGAAAGGTCAGTGAGAACCATTTATTGGATGGATTATGCCTCCATCAAGTTTTCTGAAGAAACCAAGTGTTCTTATGATTATACATGTTAAGCCTGTCTCCTAGTTTTAGGTCATTAAATACAAAACCATGCACAGAAGAGATCAGAAGGAAGTTGACCACACGTGGTGGTTGTCCGTTTGCTAATTAGATCCTAAAGGTGTTTTTGAGAGGGAGTCTTGCTCTGTCGCCCAGGCTGGAGTGTAGTGGCGTGATCTCAGCTCACTGTAAGCTTTGCCTCCTGGATTCTGGCCATTCTGCCTCAGCTTCCTGAGTAGCTGGAACTGCAGGCACCTACCACCACACGCCTGGCTAATTTTTTGTATTTTTAGTAGAGACGGGATTTCACCGTCTCGTTAGACAGGATGGTCTTGATCTCCTGACCTCGTGATCTGCCTACCTCGGACCTCCCAAAGTGCTGGGATTACAGGTGTGAGCTACCACGCCTGGCCCCCCCCCCTCCTTTTCTTTTTTGAGGTGGAGTCCTGCTCTGTTGAGCAGGCTAGAGTGTAGCGGCACTATCTCGGCTCACTTCAACCTCCATCTCCTGGGTTCAAGCAATTCTTGTACCTCAGCTTCCTGAGTAGCTAGGACTATAGGTGTGCACCACCATGCCCGGCTAGTTTTTTGTATTTTTAGTAGAGATGGGGTTTTACCACATTGCCCAGGCCAGTCTCCAACTCCTGAGCTCAGGCAATCCATCTGCCTCAGCCTCCCAAAGTGCTAGGATTACAGTCGTGAGCCACTGTGCCCAGCCCAAGTCCATTCATTTTCTAGGTCAGAAATGACCCTGACTTCTCCCACCTGGGTCACTCGAACTTCCTCTTTCCTGGCCTGTCCTCTATCTGTGCCCGATGTGGCAGCTGTAGGCCTGATGGCTGTTCCTGCTCAAGATTCCAGGTGACTTATTTCAGGGGATCCTAAGCTAGATTTACCTTGGCCACTAGAACCCCAAGAGATCCAGGAACTGTAGCATCCTCAGACCTTCTGCACGGCACTGCCAGCTGCCTCCATCTCCAGCTCCTCCAACGTGCCAGCAGATGGCTGCAGCTGCGGCCGTGGCTGCCCCTGGTTAGGCACTGCCCTGGGTCCTCGGCCTCTTGCTCTGGGTTAGAGCCCCAGCAGCCCTCCCGATGGACTCTGCAGTTCTGCAGCAGCCCCTCCTTGGAGGCCCTGGGGATGCTGGTTACAGGCCCAGCCTCAGTCCTGCTGCTGGCTGTGAGGGAACTGGGCCCACCGGGACCACTCCTGTGCTAGTTCCTGCTTCTCATCTACCTAGATGCTTCACCAGCCCTGAGCCAGGCCTCATGGGGCAAGACCAGACAAGGCAGTCTTCCCCCAGGAACCCCTGCAACTTCCCAGTGCAGACACAGCCCTCTTGACCTGCGATAGCATCAGCAGGCCCACGGCATGCAGCCCAAGAGGTGCCACACACCTAGGGCCTGCTCCTGTTCTGGGGACCTGGGCTCCCTGTGGCCATTCCACCCAAGGGTGATTCACCACCAGGCAGTGAGGGCGAGAGGGTCACAGTCTGTTTGCCACAATCCCCTACTGGCTGGCTCTCCTGTGGTTGACCTTCTGGGGGCCCCTCTCACAGATAGTTTGTTGTGAAGCATAGCTAACATTTCACTGTGGGCTATCTTTGCTAGGAGCTGTGGTAGGTGTTTCAGGCTCATGGGCTCACATCCTCAGGACCCTTTGAAGCAGGCATTTGTTGTCCCCATTAAACAGAAGCATGGGGGAGGCCAGAAGCCCTGCGACCCAAGTACACACAATAGCTGCCTCTACCTGGAAGGCCCTCCCTGCCCTCAGTCCTCACAGAGCTGCCCAGGAGGCCTTAGCTACCTCAAACTCTCCCTACCCACCCTGGGGGCATATTAAAGGGCTCCCTCCAGCCTCTGCTGGGTCCTCGACTGTCTGTCCATCTGTCGTAGCAGGCTCTGAGAGCAGGTAACATGGTTTATTCTTCCAGAGCTGGATCCTCAGGGCACAGAGCAAATACTGATGATTTGAGCTGAGCTTTTTCCTACCTGCCATGTACTGCTGGACTTACAGGAAGGTGGGTACCCTTCTTGGTTCTTCACTGGCACTTCTCGGCCATTTCTCTATTCCTCAAGAATCCCAGTTCCTGTGAAGTGCTGGCCATCAGATAATGCCAGCTACCCCTTTCTTTTGGGGACGACGATGTCATCCTCTCCATCCTTCGTGGATTGTTCTAGCATACTTGCCCTCCACTGCTGTTGTGTCACTGGTATCTGACAATAGACTAGAACATCTAGACATTTTGATCTCTCTTCGACGACCTTATTTCAATGAACCTGGGTTCTATACCACCTTAGACATCCATTACAATGATCATAACCCAGACTAGATGCCACCTCCAAGGCAGACAATGCCTTCCGATCTGTTTCGCTCACCTATGCTCCCACCCCAGCGAGTCCCCAACCTCAGTCCCAGATCCTCCTACCGATCCCCACCCTCCATCCTCACACTTCCCTTTGACCCTTCTCAGAGCCCAAAAACCCATCACTACATCCTCTCTTATACACACTGTCCACTCCCACACCTTTTTCTAGTTTGCTTTCCTGGAAAACCTCCATTCTGGTCACACCAGGTCTTTAAAGCTCACTCTTGCACCTGAGATGCTGGAGAAAACCATCACACCAAAAGGCCTCATTTCAGGCTACGACCAGACCTCAGAGCAAGCCACCAACACTACTCAAACACTATCGTCTCATTCCTGTCCACAGACTCACCTGTATTCCATAGTCCTAAAGGTGATCCTCCTGCCTTGGCCTCCCAAAGTGCTGGGATTACAGGTGTGAGCCACCACGCCCAGCCTGTTTAGAACCTTGTCTTCTGGCTTTCTATTCCTCTGCAAACTTCTCAGATCTTCCTCTAGGATCCATTTCCCCACCCCTGTTGGATCAGTTCCATCTATACATCTGCCCGTGTACTACCAGCTTCAGACACGCTCGACTGCGTGCTGGCCCCTGTAATTACCACCACACATCTCCCTTTACGGAGAGAGAATTCTTTCTGTGGCCTAGATTTACTGTGCCTCCCCATTTCAACCTGGCTTTTCACTGTTATTATCAGGGTCACTGATGACTGCCATTCTGAGGATTGTGACTTTACTATGGGCTTGGGCATCTTAGTCTATCCCACAGCATTTGCCAGGGTTGGCCACTGCCTTACTTTGCCCAGACTGGAGTGCAGTGGTGCAATGTCGGCTCACTGCAGCCTCTGCCTCCCGGGTTCACATGATCCTCCCGCCTCAGTCTCCTGAGTAGCTAGGATTACAAGCTAAAGCCACCACACCTAGCTAATTTTGGTATTTTTAGCAGATGGTTTTAACCATGTTGGCCAGGCTGGTCTCAAACTCCTGACCTCAAAAGTGATCCACCAGTCTTGGTCTACTCAAAGTGCTGGGATTAAGGCATGAACCACCACGCCTGGCCAGGCTTCTTTATAAAAATAATCTTATCTCAGAGTCAAGGTCTCACTGTGTTGCCAAGGCTGGTCTTGAACTCCTGTGCCCAAGTAAGCCTCCTGCCTTGGCCTCCCAAAGTGCTGGGATTACAGGTGTGAGCCAACACACCCAGCCTGTTTCTAGAACCCTGTATTCTGGCTTTCTATTCCTCTGTAAACTTTTCAGACTCTTTTGCTGTATCTTTTTGTGGTTCAAGCTTTAGCATGTTTCAGAGTCACCTGGAAGGCTTGTTAAAACATAACATGCTGTGTTGCCCTACCCTGATTTTTAAGTTTTTTTTTTTGAGACAGAGTCCCACTCTGTCACCTAGGCTGGAGTGCAGTGGTGCAACGTCGGCTCACTGCAGCCTCTGCCTCCCAGGTTCACTCCTGCCTTGGTCTCCTGAGTAGTTGGGATTATAGGTATATGCCACAAAGCCCAGCTAGCTTTTGTATTTTTTAGTAGAGATGTGGTTTTGCCATGTTGGCCGGGCTGGTCTCGAACTCCTGACCTCAGGTGATCCGCCTGCCTTGGCCTCCCGAAGTGTTGGGATTATAGGCATAAGCCCCGTGCTCAGCCCCTAGATTGTTGAATAAGTTTTTTTAAAAAAATTATTTTTTTGAGTCTCACTCAGGCTGGAGTACAGTGGCATGATCTCGGCTCACTGCAACCTCTGCCTTTCGGGTTCAAGCAATTCTCCTGCCTCAGCCTCCTGAGTAGCTGGCGGGCATGCCCGCCACCATGCCAATTTTTGTATTTTTAGTAGAGACAGGGTTTCGCCATGTTGGCCAGGCTGTTCTCGAACTCCTGACCTCAGGTGATCCATCTGCCTCAGCCTCCCAAAATGTTGGGATTAGAGGCATGAGCCACCACGCCCAGCCTGAATAAGCTTTTTCAATAAAGAAACCGGTAGTTCGCTATGATCCACATGATGAAGTATGGCATCCTTAGCAAGCTACATGAACCGGCGGACTCCAAGGCCTGCCTGGCCTAATCCACCTACTTCAGCACTGGTAGCCTCCCAGGGCCAGAGTAGCCCTTGTGGCCTGAACCAGACCTAGACCCCTGGGTTTCTTCGGCTCACTCTAGCTCATGTGTAAGATGGCCACGTCCAAGCTGGGCTACCTTTTCTGGCTAATCCCAGGCTACTTTGAAATCCAGCTGAGATCTATGGTCTGCAGAAGAGATGGAGTAGGAGACTGAGCCAAGGCCCCAGAGTGTAGACCAGGAAGTGGCAGGGGCACACTCTCCAATGCTGGCAACAAAGATGGTGCCCTCTGAGAAGAGGCACAGTATAGACCACAGAGCTCCCTGCGTTGCGTAGCTGAAGCTAAGCATGGTTTACAAGACAAGGTGGCAGGTTGGGCCGGGTGCAGTAGCTCACACCTGTAATCCCAGCACTTTGGGAAGCCAAGGCAGGAGGATTGTTTGCATCCGGGAGTTTGAAACCAGTCTGGGCAAAGTGAGACCCCGTCTCTACAAGAAAAGCAAATTAGCCAGTTGTGGCACACACCTGTCATACCAGCTCCTTGGGAGTGTGAGGTAGGAGGACTGCTTGAGTCCAGGAAGCTGAGTCTAGTCTACAGTGAGCTGTGATCACACTACTGCACTCCAGCCTGGGTGACAGAGCTAGACCTTGACTCAAAGGGGAAAAACAAAACAAAACCCAAAGAAAGCATGCTGGCATGTCCGTCCAGAAGCAGAGCTAGCTCTCAATGAGAGATTTAGAGGTACGCCAAGTCCTGAGCCAGTTCAGGGAAGTCAAAAGATGTGCAAGGCTGTTTTGCTGGAGTTGGGCATGTGTACCTCCTAACCAGCCCTCCATCTATAGAATAGAGTATGCTACCTGCCTCCCAGGAGAGGAGGGCTGAAGATGGGTGGTGGATGGCGTGGTGGCTGGGATGCAGGTGCTACCGTGGCTGCCGCTCTAGAGGTTTTGGCCTCAGATTTCTGGAAATTTAACATAGTGGATCATTGGTTTAGAGTGAAGATGGATTCTCCTGAGAGGAGTCACTGGGAGATGTGATCTACTCTGTGTAAGGCAATAGCTACTGTTTCAGTGGATATGTCTCTCTTCTCTTCTAGCCTGCAGGGAAGGCACAGCTACCCCCATTTTACAAGTGGAGAAAGTGGCTTAGAGGTGCAATAACTCACCCATGTGTACAGATTTAGCCTATGGGGAAGGTGGCAGCCAGAGAATCCTGGAAACACAAGTACAGCCACAACAGCCTCTCATCTGCAGCTCTAGGTCTCCAGCAGGCTTCTGCTGGGGACCTTGCTGGGAGGAGGTGTGGGCACAACTTGCCTGGCACGTCGAGAGCAGGCAAAGCTGGAGCTGGCACAAGAACACTCACTTTGGGGCCAGTAGACTCTCGCCTTCTTCGACTCTTCCTTGGAGGTATGGAGGACTAGCCGATATTTCTTTAAGATACAGCTGGGGCCTTGGACATTCAGAGTCATCTGGGACAGATTCGTTATTTCTGGGCAAAAGACAAAGCAAAGGTTAAGGAATGTCTGGAGGCCAGCACTCTGGGGGTGGAGGGAAGAGCAGTAGAGAGGGGCCGGGAGTTTGAACAGAGCACCAAGGACCCCCTGCCTTTTGCTAGGGCCCAGGCCCGAAGAATTACCATTTCACTGCTTGTTCTAGGTGGCTACAGGCAAGCTGCAAACCTCAGGGCCTCCTTTTGAGGGAGGATGGGATTTATCCCATGGTCCCCCACAAACAGAACAGGGCCTACCTCGATCAGTTCAGTGAAGGTTCACCTTGTTTCCAGTCTTGTTTCCAGTCTCAGTAGGAAACAAGACATTCCATTCTACTGCTAAGACCCAGAACCCTGGTCCCAACCGCAAGTCAGGATCCAAGGCGAATTTTACCCAAGACAGTCCAAGGTTCCTGGCCCAGACTATGAGAGGCTTTTTAGAAAGCAGCGCATATACCCCTATTGTCTTCATTTAGTCTTGTCAACCAACTGATATAGTTGGGAGGCCAACTGCATCATCCCCATTTTACAAATAGGGAAACAAGATCAGGGAAGTTAGTGTGCTCAAGTTCACAGCTAGGAAACAAGTAACCACCCATGCTCTTTGCATGGGGCTATGTGACTTCTCTTACCCAATTATACATCTACAACTCAGGACAAAAGGTTTGATCAGCCCAGGCATGGGGACTGGGGAAGAGGGTGTCGGGGGTGGGGTGGAGAAAATTAGTCTGGAATCCATTTGCTGAGAAGCAGGGCAGCAAAGAGACCAAGAAGGAAAGGCAGAGACAGTCTGAGGTCCTACCCTCTGAAAAGATCACTTTCTTGGTTTTCTTGTCCTCAAGTTGCTGGCCCACATCAGCAGGGTTGCAATTCACAAGCAGGATGGCACCCCAACCGCTGGGACCCCAGATCCATTTTTTCTGCAAATGAGATGGGAACATTGGCTCAGGAAGGAGCCAAATAAATCTTCTGTTTCTCGGATGCACCTCATAGCAGAGGGGCCCAGCCAAGCCTTTCTCCAGGGTACAGGGACCCATGGAACAGGACTGGTGAGGTCAAGAATCTGTAGGCACAGGAAGGTCATGTCAGGTAAGGAGGCTAAGAGGAAGGGAAAGAAGCTAGGTTCGGGGTTACCAGTTACTTACCTCATATTTCAGAGTCAGAGAATCAGGGACCGAGGCAAATTGGAAAAGAGACGTGCCACCTGGCAGCAGCGGCTAATCCTCTCATCTAGGAGACTCCACAACCAGGGTAGGACATGAGCCTAGAGTTGCCAGACATTCTGGTTTTTTTTTTAGTGAGCTAGAAATTTAATCAGTTCTGATCCCAGTACTTCGGGAGGCCGAGGCAGGTGGACCACTGGAGATCAGGATTTCGAGACCATCCTGGCTAACACAGTGAAACCTCGTCTCTACTAAAAATACAAAAAAAACTAGCCAGGCATGGTGGCAGGCACCTAGAGTCCCAGCTACTCGGCAGGCTGAGGCAGGAGAATGGCGTGAACCTGGGAGATGGAGCTTGCAGTGAGCTGAGATCGTGCCACTGCACTCCAGCCTGGGCAACAGAGCGAGACTCCGTCTCAAAAAAAAATTAGCCAGGTGTGGTGGCACACGCTTGTAACCCCAGCTGCTCAGGAGGCTGAGGCAGGAGAATTACTTGAACCTGGGAGGTGGAGATTACAGTGAGCTAAGATCATGCCACTGCACTCCAGCCTGGGTAACAGAGGGAAACTCCATCAAAAACAACATCAAAAACAAACAAACAAAAAAAAACAAAAAAATACCCCACAAAAGAAAAGGAATTTAATCAGCTCTGACTTGTACCGTGACAGTTTGGTTTACCCCTCCCCTCCACGTATCTAATCCTTCAGCAATGTCACAGCAATTGGGCTAGACACGAGGAAGGTCAGATCAAGTGAGCCTGTGGGCAGATTTGGCTTATAGGGCCCCTTCCCTGCCCCCTTTTGCTGGCAGACTCACCTTAGCCTGTTTGTCACTTGACATCTCAACTTGCCCATTGCGGTAGATGTCTACCTCTAGAGAGACCTCTGAAACAGAAGAAAAGGGTGTCCCAGCCACCTTGACCTGCCAGATGGAACCTCAAAGTTATAGGTTATCTCCTGTGGGGCTGCCCAAGGCTGGCATCAGGGCATCTAGCCTTTCTGGCATGCTATCAGCTTAGAAGCAGAAACCATTCTCAAAGGTGACAGCTTCATATCAGCAAGCCTGGAGAGGCCCAAGTAGTCAAATGTCTACCCCAAACCTCCCAGGAACTCACAAAACAAGCCCATCATGGTCCTCTCATGCCATCTCATGCCTTTCAGCCTCTACCCAAGTGATTCTTACTTGCAAAGTCTACCTCTCTAGTCTTCTGGAAAGCTTTATGCTCCAAGACATAGGAAAGGCTTAATATGGCCGGGCACAGTGGCTCACTCCTATAATCCCAACACTGGGAGACTGAGGTGGATGGATCACTTAAGGTCAGGAGTTGGAGACTAGCCTGGGCAACATGGTGAAATCGCATCTCTACTAAAGATACAAAAATTAACTGGGCGGCCGGGCGCGATGGCTCACGCCTGTAATCCCAGCACTTTGGGAGGCCGAGGCGGGCGGATCACGAGGTCAGGAGATCGAGACCATCCTGGCTAACACGGTGAAACCCCGTCTCTACTAAAAATACAAAAAAATTAGCCGGGCGAGGTGGCGGGCGCCTGTAGTCCCAGCTTCTCGGGAGGCTGAGGCAGGAGAATGGCGTGAACCCCAGGGGGCGGAGCCTGCAGTGAGCCGAGATTGCGCCACTGCACTCCAGCCTGGGCGACAGCGAGACTCCGTCTTAAAAAAAAAAAAAAAAAAAAATTAACTGGGCATGGTGGAGGGTACCTGTAGTCCCAGCCTCTTGGGAAGCCAAGGCAGGAGTGTCACTTGAGCTGGGAAGGTGGAGGTTGCAGTGAGCTGAGATCAGACCACTGCACTCTAGCCTGGGTGACAGAGCAAGATTCTGTCCCCCCCCCCAAAAAAAATTCAATACATGACAATTCTAAGCCCCTTTAAAACTTAAGGATTAGCTGGGCATGGTGGCTCATGCCTGTAACCCCAGCACTTTGGGAGGCTGAGGCAGGCAGATCACCTGAGGTCAGGAGTTCAAGACCAGACTGAGCAACATGGCAAAACCTTGTCTCTATGAAAAATACAAAAATTAGCCCGGTGTGGTGGCAGGTGCTTGTAGTTCCAGCTACTCAGGAGGCTAAGGCAGGAGAATCACTTGAACCCAGGAGGTGGAGATTGCAGTGAGCAGAGATCGCACCACTCCACTCCAGCCTGGGTGACAGAGTAATGCTCCATCTCAAAAAACAAAAACAAACAAAAAAACACACTTAAGGATCTAGGCTTTTGCCCAGGTACTGTCATAGGGACTGTCCCGCCTCCTTAGCATACCACCTCCCATCCCTTCCACCACACAAGGGACAACCACGTCGCTCCAGTGTGGTCTTTTGTTCACAGCTCATTATTTGACATGCTGATTCCCAACTGGAATATCAGGGCCACGAACGCAGGACTTGTTTGCTGTTACATCATCAGCACCTGACCAGCAGATGCTCAGGGACCAGATGCCCACTGCGAACTGGGCTGCCCCAGGTCCTAGGGATCTAGCAGCGTGCAAGACGGAGACCTCATCTCCTTAGAGCTTACATGAGCACATATGTGTACACCAGGGGTGGGGCAAGCAGGTACATCATGTTTGATAGCAATAAGCACTGAGGGATATGGGAGAAGGAATGGAGCGAGGGTATTTCAGTTTTAGATGATCAAGGGAGCCCAAGTTTACATTTGAAAAGAGACCTAAAGGAGGCAAGAAAATCTGGGTTAACATCTAGGGTAAGAGCCATTAGGGGAAATAGGAAGCCCAAGGCAGCAAGGCCAAGGGTTAGAGTGGCCAACAGGACCCACAGCAGAAGCAGCAGGATGACCCAGGGGGAAGATTCACAAGCGGTAAAGACAGAGGCAGTGCAGGGTTACTCGTGTAGTTTCGTGGGCAGCGACTTTGGCTTTAATCCAAGCAACGTGGAAGCAGTTGGAAGGCGTTATTCCAATATTCCACTTAAAGATGTACCACTCTGGCTGCTGGATCAAGGCTAGAGGTCTTAGTCAGAAGGGCAAGAGTGCCAGCATGAACCCCACTGGGAGGTCTGGGCTGTGACCCAGGTGAGAGGATGGGGGCTCGAGCCGGAGTGAACACACTGGGAGTGCGAGTTGCTGGATTCTGGCGAAACGTCAGGTAACACAAGATTCAGACTGCTGTGGGGTAAGAAGAATCAGGTGATGCCAAGGTTTACACTAGAAGGATGGAGCTACCGCCTACTGTGATGGAGGGACTACTAGAAAAACAGGTTTTCAGGAGTAGAGAGAATCCATTTGCATTTCAGACATCTGTCAGACACCGAAGCGATCATGCTGGGTAGGCAATATCCAAGTCGGGTTTGTGGGAGCAGCCTGCCCATAGGTGACATTAGAGTCACGTGACCTGCCTCCTGAGCCTGAGACACTTCACTGACTGGAAGCAGCGGGACAAAGGACTGAGAAGAGCTCCTCTGAGCTCCAAAGGGTTCTGAGAAGGAACAGGCAGGAGGAAAAATAAGTTGAACATCCCTGAAGCGTTCAAGTGTGTTAAGAGGGGATTGACCAGCAGGTACGTGGCTCATGCCTGTAACTCCAGCACTTTGGGAGGCTGAGGCGGGAGGATCACTTGAGGCCAGGAGTTTGAGACCAGGCTGGGCAATATGGTAAAACCCTCTCTATGGGGGAAAAAATAAAATAAAAAAATAAAGTCAGCTGGGCATGGTGGTGCGTGCCTGTAGTCCCAGCCACTCTGGAGATTGAGGTGGGAGGAGCCTGGGCAACATAGGGATACCTATGTCTGTATAAAAAATTAACCAAGTATGGTGGTATAACACCTATGGTCCAAGCTACTGGAGAGGCTGAGGTGAGAGGATCGTTTGAGGCTGCAATGAGCCATGATCGTGTCTCTTCACTCCAGTTCAGCTTAGGCTACAGAGTGAGACTGTCTCAAAAACAAAAAACAAGACAAAACAAAACAAAACAAAAACACAAAAGAACCCACACAAACCAAAAACTTAGTGTTGTAGATGTTAGAGTTCTAAAAGAACTCCGTTGGTGGTAGGTGTCTAATTTGAGAAGATTCTAGAGAAATTGAGGACACAGATGGCTCCTCAGGAAGAGAGGTGGGAGAATAGACTTTAAAAGACAACCTAGGCCCAGCACAGTGGCTCACGCCTGTAATCCCAACACTCTGGGAGGCTGAGGTGGGCGGATCACGAGGTCAGGAGATTGAGACCAGCCTGGCCAACACAGTGAAATCCCGTCTCCACTAAAAATACAAAAAAATTAGCCCACTAAAAATACAAAAAAAATAGCCCACTAAAAATAAAAAAAATTAGCCCACTAAAAATAAAAAAAATTAGCCCACTAAAAATAAAAAAAAATTAGCCGGGCATGGTGGCGGGTACCTATAGTCCCAGCTACTCGGGAGGCTGAGGCAGGAGAATGGTGTGAACCTGGGAGGTGGAATGGGCAGTGAGCCAAGATCGCGCCACTGCACTCCAGCCTGGGCAACAGAGCAAGACTCCATCTCAAACAAAAACAAACACCCTAGAATCAGGTTTAAGAGAGATGATATGGCCAGGCACAGTGGCTCACGCTTGTAATCCCAGCACTTGGGGAGGCCGAGGCAGGTGGATCGCGAGGTCAGGAGTTCGAGACCAGCCTGGCCAACATGGTGAAAACCTGTCTCTACTAAAAATATAAAAATTAGCCAGGCATGGTGGCACACACCTATAGTCCCAGCTAATCTGGAGGCTGAGGTAGGAGAATCACTTGAACCTGGGAGGCAGAGGTTACAGTGAGCCGAGATCATGCCACTGTACTCCAGCCTGAGTGACAGTAAGACTCATCTCAGAAAAAAAAGAAAAAAAAAGTAGATGTTATAGAGCTTGTTCCTGAGCTGATGGGGGTGATCTAGAGGGCGGGGAAGGGTGGCGGCTTCTTACATTGGTAAGAATTGACAAAGGAATGTTCTTGAATAAGAAAGGATCTAGTGAGACAAGAAAGACTAACTTTGGACCAGATGCGTCAATTAGTAACAAAGGAAGAAGGTAGGCACTAGACAGGCGTAGGTGGGTAGATGGCAGCGACACGGAAGTTCTGGCTGTTTCTATTCTCAGAATTAGGTTGGCAGTGCACGAAGATGGAGAAGTGACTGAGCGTCGAGGAGGGAGTGTGTGAGTGGGTATCTCAAATGAATCCATTTAGGAGTTTGTTCAGGAGTTCCTGGGGCCCACAGGAGGCATCTTGTTACCTGGAGAATCTTTTTTGGCTCCTCCTACAATCCCACCCCTTCCCCAACCCCAGCGGTGAGTTGGGCCCCAGGCTCCCAGTTGGAGCAACACTCACCAATGCCAGTGAGGTACAGCACAGCTGTGCCCACGGGGGCATCCTCGTTGGGCCCATAGTATGTGACCGAGACCTGTGGAGACAGCATCCCGAAACCATAGGCAGTGTTGGACGGGAGGTGCCAGGAACAGAGCCCCAGGCCATGTGCCGAGTCTAGGCGTGGGATCTTGGTCTTGTGTTATGGCTTCTGAAGTCTCACCTATGAGCTGGTATGGGGCCACAGCCCTGCGCTTAGGGCTGAGTCAGTCCCCTAAGGACTTAGAACCTGCCATGACCCCCAACCCTAACCTTGTCGAGAGCCAGGCTTGAAACCACCTGTCCACGTGAGAGCTGTATCCCTGATGGCGGGGTGATCAAGGGACTTATCCCAAAGGGATTTAAGAAACAGGCTGCCTGGCTCTAGAGCCCAAGCTTGAAACCACACTATACATCCTCCCTGCTAAACCCACTCTCCTGGGGTCCCATGTCCTACTCCATAAGGTGCACGGTGGGGAAACAGGCCTCTGGTGGCTTAAGCTGCTCACTAAGAAGGACACCCAGGTGAAGAAGCAGCGTTGGGACTCAGTCCCAACTGTGGGACTGTGTCCCACACCAGCCTCTACTTTATGCTTTTAGAAAGAGACCTGCCCTCCAGCCACTGACCCTGACCACAAGGTCTTGGTCATGAACCAGAGACCCAACCATTGGCCAGAGCATGTGACAGATCCACCCCATCCTTAAATAGAAGCTTTAGTCCTCTAAGTTCAAGGTTCTTTGTTGGCCACTCCTGAGGGTCCTGGAGGCCGAGCCCTGGGCAGAGAATGGTTCTCAGGTAGTCTGGAGTTCCACTGGCACCCACCGTGGCCTCCATTCTTATCTGAGATACCTTTTTTTGCGATGGAGTTTTGTTCTTGTTGCCCAGGCTGTAATGCAGTGGGACAATCTCAGCTTACTACAACCTCCACCTCCTGGGTTCAAGCGATTCTCCAGCCTCAGCCTCCTGAGAACCTGAGATTACAGGCACCTGCCACCACACCTGGCTAATTTTTGTATTTTTAGTAGAGACAGCGTTTCACCATGTTGGCCAGGCTGGTCTCAAACTCCCGACCTCAGGTGATCTGCCCATCTCAGCCTTCCAAAGTGCTGGGATTACAGGCATGAGCCACCACACCTGGCCAGAGACACTCAGTTCCTACCTAAGTCCACTACTTGCCTCTCAGGGAGTTGCCTGCCCTGGGCACACAGCGCAGGTGGGTGTGTGTACCTACCCCTCTGCAGCAGACATCTCCAGTAGGTCCTGTAGGGTGTGGGGGGAGGGAGGGAGAGCTCTCCCAGTCCTGAACTGCTCCATCATGGTTCTCACCCCCAGCCCCGCACTGGGTGCACCTGGAGAGCTTTAAACCAGCGGCCAGGATCCTAGCCCTGAGGTTCCATTGGTACCTCAGGTTTAATTGGTAGAGGGGGTGTGGCCTGGGTATTGATGTTATTAGCTCCCCAGTGGTTCTCACCTGCAACCAAGGTTGAACACTCCTGCCCTGAATGAGCCACCTGCTTCTACCACAGGAGAACCTCCCCAACATAGGCACCCCATTAGGGAGACAGCTTACCCAGGGGAGAATACACCCTTGGGCTCAAGCTCAAATCCTGGGTCTATCCCACTCTAGGTAGGCTACTTAGGTTTAGACACAGCACTCTGTGCCTTAGTTTCCTCATATGTAAAGTGATGGTAGGCCAGGTGTGGTGGCTCATGCCTGTAATCCCAGCACTTTGGGAGGTGGAGGCAGGTAGATCACTTGAAGTCAGGAGTTTGAGACCAGCCTGGCCAACATAGTGAAACCCTGTCTCATACTAAAAATACAAAATTAGCCGGGCATGGTGGTGGGTGCCTGTAGTCCCAGCTACTCGGGAAGCTGAGGCAGGAGAATTGCTTGAACCCGGGAAGTGGAGGTTGCAGTGAGCTGAGATTGTGCCATTGCACCCCAGTCTGGGCAATGAGCGTGAGACTCAAAAAAAAAAATAATAATAAATAAATGAAAATAAAAAATAAATCCCAGTCCTGCTGGTTGCTGACTTGGCAGGGCACCTTCGCTAGGTGCCTCTGTTTCTTTGTAAAATGGGGTCATGGAGTGCCCACACCACTGGTCTGTTGCAGACACTGGATGAGATCAGACGTGCAAAACAACGTGTTTCCCAGGCTCGAGTCACGTCTGCAGCCAGGAGGAAGCCCCAGTGGCTGTGCTAGGTCCCACCCCGGGAGATGCCCCTCACCTCTTCCCCTGAGGCTTACCTTATCCGCATCCACGGAAGGGCTGGGCGATGTCATCTTCACTGTGGCGTACGTGGGATCAGACAGGGGCCACCAGATGGTGGCGTCCTCCTTCTCAGAAATCACCGTGTTGGCCACATCGATCAAGACCCTCCCAGAGCCATGGATGGTGAAGCACTGGCACTTCTGGGGGGCACACCTGGTTTGCCCGGTAAGAGACACGCGTCAGGGCACAAACACCTTCTCAGCCTAGGAGATGACTGGCATGGGGGAGGGGACGGCTCCCGAATCCTCATTCTCCTTAGGGTGTTGAGGCAGAGTGGTCTGGGGTCCTTATTCCTACCCACCCCCTCCCAAAGGACCCCTGTGTTTGCTCTCCGACGGGCTCCAGCCCAAACCCCATCCCGCTACCGACACTGCAGAAGTTACCACAGCTACATCTTAGTAATAAGCACCCAATTCCCAAGAAGGGGGGAGCCACAAAGGATCCCCATAAAGAAAAAGATCAGGGCAAGCGACTCAGGAAGTTGTACTGTGACCCTGCTGAGTCACCTCCACCTGCAGGCTCCAGCATCTAGCAGTCTCCCTGGCCTGCTCCTCACAGCCCCCCGAGGCCAGCGTCCCCATGGTTTCACAGATAGGGGAACAGAGAGGCCAAGGCCCTTGCCTCACTAAGAGTCCATGGCAGCTGCTACAGGGCAGAGGCAGGATTTAAGTCAGAATTCTGCGTGGTTGGAACTGGGAGGCCCCCCACTAGAGACCCAAGGCTTCCCAAGATGGGGCAGGATAGTGAGGCTAGAGAAGTAACCCCCAACTCCCAGATCAAGGGGACTGGGTCCCAGGCCTGCCTGCCTGTCTGCCTGCCACCTCTGGCAGAGCTCCCAGCATCTCACCCGCTGAGATCCAAGCAGATTTCTGTGCCCAACACACAAACGGCATGGACAGGGCTGTCCAGGGACAGGTGGATGATACTCTGGAAGGACATGGCTCGGCCCTCCACGCTGACCATCCTCAGGCCTGCACCGCAGCCCTCACTCAGCACAGCAGCCTCAGACGCCCCAGGGCTCACCCTGCCCTTCCCTGTTATACAGTCCAGGCCTGTGCAGGCCACCCCCTTGTTAAGAAGGGGAGGGGTCAGCAGCTGCCCAGGTGTCACTGATTTTCCCTCTAAGAGCTTCCTGGTGGCTGATAGTCTGGGGAGCAGGTGGCATCAGAACCCCTTCATCACCAATTTATCAGGCACCTCGTGCCTGCAGAGCTGCAGGCCAGGGGAGTCTGAGGCCGGTTGCTTAGGCATCTGTGGCCTTCAGCTGGGAAGAGGAGGGGCTCTGGGAAGTCGGTGCCTTGGAGTGATCAACTTGGCCATGTTGCTGGAGGACTCAGCTGGAAGCTGTCGGGGCAAATACCTGCAGAGGGCAGTTGGGAGGAGTTGATGGTAGCAGTCAGGATGGCAATGTGTGGCAGCATGCCCAGGCTCTGGGGTCTCAGTTCTAGGGTGTGTGTCTCCTGGAAATTGACGAAGGAGCTCGGCAAAGTGCTGGACTGGTGGTTTGGTTTTGTTTTTGAGACAGGGTCTCTACCCATGCTAGAGTGCAGTGGCGCAATCATAGCTCACTGCAGCCTCAACCTACCTGGCTCCAGTGATCCATCTCAGCCTCCCAAGTAGCTGGGACTACAGGTGTGCACCACCATGTCCAGCTGATTTTTGTATTTTTTGTAGAGACCGGGTTTTGCCATGTTGCCCAGGCTAGTCTCGAACTTCTTGATCCCAGAAATCCTCCTATCTCGACCTGCCAAAGTGCTGGGATTACAGGCGTGAGCCACAGCGCCTGCCTAGACTAGGTGGTTATTAACCCTCTGGTGGTTTCAAAAATTATCAAGGGTGCTTGTTAACATTGCAAATTCCTGGGCCCAGAAGGTCTAGGGTGTGGTCCAGGAACCTGCATCCCAACCCCCAGTGATTAAGGTGAGCTCTTTGCTTACAGCTGTGTCGGTGGGGGTGGGGGCACAGCAAGTGTTAGTGGAATGAATACATCAAGCCAGGGTCATCAGCTGCTACTCATCTCAGCGGAGCCCACAGAGCAAAGAAATAGGAACCCTTCTCTGGCACAAGGAACTTACATAACTGACTTTAAAATTGTGTTCATTTCATGTCTTAAGCTTGGGTTGAGTTTTTTTTTGTTGTTGTTTTTGAGACAGGGTCTCACTCCGTTACCCAGGCTGGAGTGAAGTGGCGTGATCATGGTTCACAGCCTTGACCTCCCAGGCTCAAGTGGTCTTCCCACCTCAGCCTCCTGAGCAGCTGGGACTACAGATGTGCACCACCATGCCCAGCTAATGGTTTTACATTTTTCCGCAGAGATGGGGTCTTGTTATGTTGCCCAGGCTGGGTCATGCTTACTCCTGAATAGGTACCACAGTCACATGATTCCAAGTTCAGAGTCTCCCTCCTGCCCTGTGCCTTACCCACCTGCAGGTGGAGGTAGTGACAGTGTTACCCGTTTCTTATATGTCTTTCCAAATAAATGTTATGCATGACCAAGTAAATATGTGTGTGTATCCTTTTCTTCTTCTCTTCCTCCTCCAATACTAGCATACAGTTAGATAAATTTGAAGGGGCTTTATGGTGAGAAAGGGAAGGACGTGGAGTCTATTTTAAGGTTAAGGGAAAAAGGCTTCTGCAGGTTCCTTCGAGGTTACATCTCGAGACTAAAGAGAAAAGTTGTAAAATGTGCTCAAAGTTAAGCTGCTTGGTTACAATTACAAACTTTTCAGTTCAGTGGAGATGCCCCTGGAAGCCCATTGGGTTATCTTTTTTGAGGAAGGACAAGGAGGTCATTTAGTCATTTGCTCCACTAGAATTGCTGAACACCTACTATGTCCGGGGCGCTTTTGCTCTTTTCTTCTCTCCTCCTACTACTGTCTTCTTATATAAACGGTAGTATGTGCCACCCAGTATTCCATACCTTGCCTCTTTCACTTCATAGTTATACTGGAGAGAAGTTCTTTGTATCAGTACGTAAAAAGCAGCCTTACCCCTTTGTACAGCTGTGTATTTTACATAGGGTTGTACTGTAATATAAACATTTGTTTTCAGCCTTTGCTCTAATATGCACCCAGGTGTACCCAGCATAGGAGGTGGAGATGAGGTACTGAGTGAAGCCTGTTCGGTCAGCCAGGCTGGCTAAATTTGCAAGTTGCAGTAAAAAATTCCCTCCCTGGAGGTTTTAAGCACTCAACACAACTCTCAAGGATGTCTCTGTTTTAGTTGCTCTTGGAGGCAGGGGGTTGGTCAGCAAGACCCAAAATGCCCCTCTGGTTGGATTGAAAGTGGCAAAATTAAGCAGGCAGGAAGCACTCAGCGTGCAGAGGCTCTGATGAGACTCATCCCAAAGGGCTCACCCACCCTCACGCACAAGCGGCCAGAGGCAGCTGGAGGGAGAAGACGGGTTGACTGGGGAGGGGTCGCTGAGGCCCAGTCCAGGCTCTGGGGTCTGGAGGAAGGCAGCCTGGAAGCTCTGACGTTCCCCACCCTGGGGCAGCCCTGCCTTGTGCCAGGGCTCTACAGAGCACAGTGAGGAAGGCTCCTCACCCAGCCTCGTGGACAGAGATGAAAGTGACTCAGACCCAGAGCACGTCCTGCTCGCCTCCAGGGGCTTCTTATTCACCACTGAATCCCCAGCACCTGCAAAACAGCTCCAGACATAGTAGGTACTCAACAAGTTATTGTGGAGCAAATGACTAAATCACCTCCTTGTCCTCCCCCTAAGAAGATAATAACCCAGCCGGGCACGGTGGCTCAGGCCTGTAATCCCAGCACTTTGGGAGGCCAAGGCAGGTGGATCACCTGAGGTCCGGAGTTTGAGATCAGCCTGGTCAACATGGTGAAACCCGTCTACTAAAAATACAAAAATTAGCCAGGTGTGGTGGCTCACGCCTGTAATCCCAGCTACTCAGGAGGCTGAGGCAGGAGAATCGCTTGAGCTGGGGAGATGGAGTTTGCAGCGAGCCGAGATAATGCCACTGTACTCCAGCCTGGCCGACAGAGCAAGATTCTATCTCAAAAAAAAATAAATGAATAAAATAAAGATAATAACCCAATGGGCTTCCAGGGGTGTCTCCACTGAACCGAGGGGTTAGTGATTGTAACTGAGCAGCTTAACTTCAAATGCATTTTACAACTTTTTTTCCCTTTCTCTTCAGTCTCAAGAAGTAACCTTAAAGCAAACTGCAGAAGCCTTTTCCCTTAACCCTAAAATAGACTCCATGTCCCTCCCTTTCCCACCATAAAGCCCCTTCACATTTATCTAACTGTATGCTAGTATCTAATTATATGCTTGCTTACAAGTTCCAGGCCAGGTGTGATGGCTCACGCCTGTAATCCCAGAGCTTTGGGAGGCTGAGACGGAAGGATTCCTTGAGCCCAGGAGTTTGAGACCAGCCTGGGCAACATAACGAAACCCTGTCTCTAAATGATGATGATGATGATGATAAAAGAAGTTCCAGGGGCTAATCTTGAGACAGACCGAGCCTGGAGACCCAGCTGCAGAATTCAAGAGATTACCTCCAGGCAGCTAGCCAACAACTCAGCACATTGCTGAAATGACGTCAGCCCGTGCTTTAGGGGGACTGAGACCCGAGTTAGCCATGGAAACAAGACACAGACCTTGTACTCCTCACAACTCCTGCACACCTCCTGTACCAAATTTCCTTTTTTTTTTTTTTTTTTTTTTTTTGAGACAGAGTCTCGCTCTGTTGCCTAGGATGGAGTGCAATGGCACCATCTCGGCTCACCGCAACCTCTGTCTTCCAGGTTCAAGCGATTCTCCTGCCTCAACCTCCCAAGTAGCTGGGATTACAGGCGTCCACCACCACGCCCAGCTAATTTTTGTATTTTTAGTAGAGATGGGGTTTCACCATGTTGGTCAGGCTGGTCTCAAACTCCTGACCTCAGGTGATCCGCCCACCTCGGCCTCTCAAAGTGCTGGGATTACAGGTGTGAGCCACCGCGCCCAGCCAGAGTTTCCCTTTTAAAACTCTTGCCTTCAACCCAGAAAGGCGAAGCGGTTGCTTTTGATGTGAATCCAACCACTCCCCCATTGCTAGTTTTGGTAAATAAAGTCACCTTCTACCACATTTTGCTCTTGTTTTTGGGCTCGAGCTCTCCAACTGGCATTGGCTGGACCTGCTTGGGTTACATGATCATAAAGTAACTTTGTATTGACTCCCGCACTCCTCACATGCTTATTCCATGCAGAAGTTCTCTCTCGGCAACTCAGGTTTGCTCATCATGCTCAACTCAGGTTTGCTCATCAGAAGTCCCATGGTCACTTGAGGTCACTGTGGTGGGCGCTGTGGTGTGCCACCGCGCCCCCCTTTAGGGGGAGGCACTCACGCCCCCAGCTGCTGCGAGTGCCGCAAGTCTCTCTTCTGGAATTGCCTTCTGTGCCTAGGAGCGGCCTAGTACCTGGTTGTGTCCCCATCTGGGGACAGCCACATCCAATGTGGGGGGACAAAGGCCAGGTTGCCTTGTCTGAATGCAGGACAACTCTGAGGCCCTTCCCCAGCCCCCAAGATACCCCGTGCATTGCCTGAAGCCTTGAGGCAACTGCATCCCAGTTCAGTGTCCCCCTCTGAGCCCCACACTCCCTCCCAGGTGCGCTTCCGGAAACACCCTCCCCCGGCACCCCCCATAAACCTCCTGCAGGCAAATCTCCATCTAAGAATCTGTTTCCAGGAACCAGACATAAAACACTCTCAATTCAGGACTCAGATTTGTAAAGGGGAATGTTCACCCTTTCCTATGAGGGCTTGATGCAGGTGCAAGGCTTAGAGCTGCGGAAAGGAAAGGAGGTGCCTGGCTTATTTCTTTCCTATTCTGCTGGCTGCAGCTGGCACGTGGTGATTTCCAACCTACAGTAGGTGGAATAATGGCACCCAAGAGAGATCAGGTCCTAATCTTCGGAACCTGTAGGTTGTCTCATATAGAAACAAAGAAAGAGTCTGTTTGCAGAGGTGAATGAAGATCTTGGGATGGGGAGATTGTCCTGGACTATCCGATGGGCTCCAAATATCATCACAAGTGTCCTTATAAGGGGGAGGCAGAGGGAGATTTGACACACACAGAAGAGAAAGCCATGTGACCAGGGAGGCAGAGATTGGCATGAGGCAGCCACTAGCTGAGGAAAGCTGGCAGAAGCTAGAAGAGAAACTCCCCTCCTAAAGCCTTTGGAGCTGGGATGGCCCTGCTGATACCTGAATTTCAGCCCAGTGAGACTGATTTTGATCTCCTGGTCTCTGGAACTGAGAGAGGGTCCATCTCTATTGTTTTAAGCCTTTTAGTTCGTGATGATTTGTAACAGCAGCTTCAGGAAACTCCTATGTGGTCTCTGGGGAAGGGAGAGGTGGGAGCAAGGCGAAAGGAACAGGGAAGTTTTTGTTTGATGGGCATGATCAGGGGATGGCTCTGTGCTCTAGAGGGATGGTAGCACTTTCTCTCCCGTGGGCTTCCCTGACTTCTCCAGAGACACCTCCCACCTGCAACCCATACGTGGCTGGGGTAACATCTGCGCATCTGCATGTCCCCTGATGCCAGGGGTGCCTTATCCACCAGCTTGTCTCTGAGTCCTTCCCCAGCCCTAGGAATCCAGCAAAATCTTCAGTTTTATCTGCTAAGTCCTGTTCGCTGCTCGAGGCAGCCCTATCTGCCAGGTTTGGGGCTCAACTCATACCAGCTTCCTCTGTCCCTGGTCCCCTTCTGGTCCACAGAAACACTCACATCCTTTGCTTCAGTACATTTGGGGCTGGGGGAGCAGCCGATTGTCTTCAGAGCAGTGTATTTTGACCCAGGTTTTATGGATCCACTTCTCCTTAGTGGGGCAGGGCAGAGGCTTTTCAAAAAAAAATACAGTTTTTATTTATTTATTTAGAGACAGAGTCTCACTCTATGCCCAGGCTGGAGTGCAGTGGTACAATATTGGCTCACTGCAACCTCCGCCTCCTGGGTTCAAGCGATTCTCGTGCCTCAGCCTCCCGAGTAGCTGGGACTACAGGCAAACGCCACCACGCCCAGCTAATTTTTGTACTTTTAGTAGAGACGGGGTTTCACCATGTTGGCCAGGCTGGTCTCAAACTCCTAACCTCTGGTGATCTGCCTGCCTTGGCCTCCCAAAGTGCTGGGATTACAGGCGTGAGCCACTGTACCTGGCCCATCTTAACCATTTTTAAGTGTACAGTTCAACAGTGTTAAGTATATTTACATTGTTGTGAAACAGATCTCCAGCTTTTACATCTTGCAAATCTGAAACTCTACACCCATTCAACAACTCCCTTCTTCTTGCTCCTCCAGTACCTGGCAACCACCATTCTACTTTTTTTTTTTTTTTGAGACAGAGTCTTGCTCTGTTGCCCAGGCTGGAGTGTAGTGGGGCGATCTTGGCTCACTGCAACCTCCACCTCCCAGGCTCAAGTGATTCATGTGCCTCAGCCTCCTGAGTAGCTGAGATTACAGGCATGTGCACCCCACACCTGGCTAATTTTTCATATTTTTAGTAGAGATGGGGTTTCACTATCTTGACAAAGCTGGTCTCAAACTCCTGACCTCAAGTGATCCACTTGCCTCAGATTCCCAAAGTGCTGGGATTACAGGTGTGAGTCACCTGGCCCAGCCTCTACTTTCTGTTCCTGTGAATTTTTCTAGGTAACTCATGTAAGTGGAATCATACAGGATTTCTCTTTTTGTAACTGGCTTATTTCCCATAGCGTAACGTGCTCAAAGCATATTCATGTTGTAACATGTGACAAGATTTCCTTCCTTATTTTTGAGACTGGGTCACTCACTCTGTCACCCAGGCTGGAGTGCAGTGGCACAATCATGGCTCACTGCAGCTTTGACCTCCCTAGGCTCAGGTGATCCTCCCACGTCTGTCTCCCAAGTAGGTAGGACTATAGGTGTGCACCACCATGCCCAACTCTTTTTTTTTTTATTTTATTTATTTATTTATTTATTTTTGTAGAGATAAGGCTTTGCTGTGTTGTCCAGGCTGGTCTCAAATTGGTGGGCTCAAGCGATTTGCCCACTTTGGCCTCCCCAAATGCTGGGGTTACAGGTGTGAGCCACCGTGCCTGGCCTTCCTTCCTTCCTTTTTAAGGCTGAATAATATTCCATAGCCAGGGTGGACAGATTGCTTGAGCCTAAGAGTTTGAGATCAGCCTGGGCAACATGGTAAAACACCCCCTCTTAAAAAAAAAAAAAGGAGATCTTGCTTTCAGATATTTACCCAGAAGTGGGATTGCAGGATCATATATCAGTTGTATTTCTAATTATTTTTAGGAACCTCTATACTTTTTTCCATAGCAGTTGTATCATTTCATTTTACAATCCCACCAATAGTGCACAAGGGTTCCAATTTCTCAACATCCTCACCAACACTTTTTTTTTATAGTAACCATTCTAATGGGTGTGAGGTCACTGTGGCTTTGATTTGCATTTCTCTGATGGTTAGTGATGGTAAGCATCTCTTCATGTGCTTGTTGGCCATTTGTATATCATCTTTGGAGAAATGTTATACTCGAGGGTTTACTTCCAGGCTTTCTATTCTATTCCATAGGTCTATTTGTCTTTATGAGCATGCCACACTGTTTTGATGACTGTAGCTTGTAGTATGTTTTGAAATCAGGAAGTGTGAAGGCAGAGGCTTTTGATATTCATCTTTTCCGCCATCATATATTCTCCATGACCTACATGAAAATAACAGGATCCCTGGGTGTTCTCTGAATATCTTGGACCCTTTTGAGCCAATATCTGGTCTCAATTTTAATGATCTCAAGCCATCAAGTTTTATTTTCTACAGAGGAATCTGAGTCTTTATGTCGAAGCCATAAAAGGCAATATAAAAAAGAACACCGAGGAGATGAATTACTTCATTCCACAAAAATCCATCGCTATCAGTACGTAGGTGAATGCCCAGTTGTAGGTGAGTTTAAAGAGGGATATGCCCAGATTCTCAGCGGGGCTTACCCCTCCCCTGCTCCCTCCTCCTCCTCTTCTTGGAAAGGTCCCGTGGGAAACTCAGAACGAACTAGGATCATGCAAAATTTTATAGCCCAAATACATGTCTGGGAGCAAAAGACACACACAATAACGTGGCCTTCAGTGCAGCCTGTTAACACTTTTCAGTTTGTTTTGTGATAGTCAATTCAACCATGACAAATGAGTGAATGAATGAATGATACCAACAACATCTTGACCTCATGTACAAAGTGACTTAAAAAAACTTTATTGCAGCTTCTTAGAGCAGAACTGAGTGTGCAGTGCTAGGACCATGTTGGGATCTTCAGAGTGGGAAACTGGGACATCACAGGAGAAGAAAGCAAGCCACTGCTGGGAGGGCTGGCCGCCCCCAGGGAGCCACAATATTCACAAGAGCTCTTGCTTGCCACACTGCAGAGGACCCAGCGACATCTGGCCAGGAGGGAGAGGACGCCAGGGAAGATGGGCTCAGGGCACCATGTTCCACCACTTGAAGGAGAAGGGCTTTCTGCGCACGTTGGTGCCGCAGTGCACCTCCCCATGCCTGATGTGGTAGGTGAAGAAGTCGTTGATGAAGGTGCACTGGAGGCCCAGTGGCTCCAGCAGGGAACACACCTTCTCCTCCAGGCAGCAGCGGCCGTTGATGACGGGCCCGAAGGGCTTGGGGATGCCCAGGTGCTTCCCTAGCACCAGCATGTTCACCTGCAGGGAAGTGAGGGTTCAGGTCACAGGCAGCAGCGGGCAGCCTGCAGCGCAATCTGAGCGGCCCCACCCTTCTCTGACCTTTGGAAATAATAGCCCCTCCAGGGGTGGTGGCTCAGACCTGTAGTCCCAGCACTTTGGGAGGCTGAGGCAGGAGGATCGCTTGAGCCCAAGAGTTTGAGACCAGCCTGGGCAACATGGTGAGACCCCATCTCTAAAAAAAGTATTTTTAAAAATTAGCTTGGCATGGTGGTGCGTGCCTGTGGTCCCAGCTACTTTGGAGGCTGAGGGAGGAGGATCACTTGAGCCCAGGAGGTCAAGGCTGCAGTGAGCTGTGATTGTGCCACTGCACTCCAGCCTGGCAGCTTGGGCGACAGAGCGAGACTCTACCTCAAAAATAAAAATTGCTGGGTGTGGTGGCTCATGCCTGTAATCCCAGCACTTTGGGAGGCCTAGGCGAGTGGATCACCTGAGGTCAGGAGCTCGAGACCAGCTTGGCCAACATGGGGAAACCCCGTCTCTACTAAAAATACAAGAATGAGCCAGGTGTGCCTGTAATCCCAGCTACTTGGGAGGCTGAGGCAGGAGAATTGCTTGAACCCAGGAAGTGGAGGTTTCAGTGAGCCGAGATCATTCCAATACACTCCAGCCTGGGTGACAGAGCGAGACTCTGTCTCAAAAATTAAAACAAAATAAAAATAATAGCCCCACTTTACAAATGAGAAAACTGAGACCCAGACGTGGAAAATTGTTTGCCTAAGGCCACCCAGCTATACTTGGACTACAGCTATTAGACTCCAAGTTCCATACTCTTATTTATTTTAAATTTAAAAATTTAGATTTGGGGGTACATATGCATATTTATTACATGGGTATATTGATTACTGGTGGGCACTGGGCTTCTAGTGTATCCATTACCCAAACAATGAACATCGTACCCGATAGGTAATTTTCCAGCCCTCACCTCGCTCTCATTCTCTCCATTTTGGGGGTCCTCAGTGCCTATTATTTCCATCTCTGTGTCTATGTGTATCCACTGTTTAGCTTCTACCTATACGTGAGAACATGCAGTATTTGATTTTCTGTTTTAGTTCACTTAGGATAATGCCTCCAGCTCCATCAGGTTGCTGCAAAGGACATTATTTAATTTTTTTTTTTTTTTTTTTTTTTGAGACAGGGTCTTACTCTTCACCCAGGCTAGAGTTCAGTGGTGCCATCTCAGCTCACTGCAGTGTCCACCTCCTGGGCTCAAGCAATCATCCTGCCTCAGCAGATGCCACCACGCCTGGCTAATTTTTGTGTTTTTTGTAGAGACAGAGTTTCTCCATGTTGCTCAGGCTGGTCTTGAACTCCTGGACTCAAGCAATCCTCCCACCTAAGCCTCCCAAAGTGCTGGGATTACAGGTATGAGCCACCCCTCCTGGCTGATTTCGTTCTTTCTGATGCTGCCCATGCTCTTAACACTACGTTCTCCTCCCCTACCTGTCACCTTCTGGTAAACTCTTTCTATTACTCAGGGCCCAGCTCAGATGGCAGCCCCTCTGTGAAACTGCCCATGAATCCCTGAGCTCTGGCAGTCACTCCTGCTCTGTGTTCCCATAACTCCCAGCACTGCGCCTTGCACGTCGTAGGCACTCAATAAACATCTGTTGACTAGACAGATAAATGACTGCCTCTGTTATGGCACTTTCCATATGTAAATAATGTATGTAAATGACTCTGCTTCCTCCATTAGATTGGCAGGTGGCCTGGTGAGGTGGGAAGGTGGGATTTTGGCTGTAGGCCTATGTGGGTTTGAATCCTAACTCTGCTATTCAATAGCTGTGTGGCCTTAGGCAAGTCATATCACCCCTCTGAGCCTCATCAGCAAAATGAGCCCAACACATATCTCCGTTGCAATGACAATTAGGTAAGAACATGTAGGCACAGCACTGTGCTGGCACACAGTAGATGCACAGCCATTTTCCATGGGTCATGAGTCCTCAAGGGGGCCACCGCCTAGACACAGCCCATGCGTGCTAAGTGCCTCGTACTGTTCATCACTCCCTCTTCCCCGCCTCCCACAGCCAGCTCCTGGGAGAGAGTCTGGTCTCATGCTCAGACTCCCTCTGGGGACCTTGAACAGTGAAGGCACACAGTCAGCCCTCAGCGTTGCTGACTACCATAGCCGCGGGCGTCCACTTTCATTCCCGCACTGGGAAGCCTGGCTTGGCCAAACTGGAGGGAAACAAAACGCTTGGGGTCAATACTTTAATTCCTTTTGGCCAAGGAACCCTTTATTCTACACACAATCTTTTGCAGAATGTCAATGCAGAAACAGAAAATCTGAACCACTGGATTTGAGGCACCACCCCGGAGCCCCAGGTGGGGCTGGCACTGCCTAGGCTGAGTGGGAACCCAGTTTGAAAACCACGGTGGTAGGGCCTGCTGGCTCCTCCCTGAACTGTAACCCCCAGCTCCAGAAGAAGGGGGTGGCTGGGGTTCCCCAGTAGGACCGGGTGAAGTCTCTGCCTCGGTCTCGGGTATGCTCTGAAGAGAGGGAGGAATGGGGCCAAGGAATGGCAAAAACACAATGGATGATATCAAGACAGCACTTAGGGGCCACGGTGAACGCTCAAGACAAAGGTGGGACCACCCACAAGTGCAGCCTCCAGAAGGTGAATCCCACTCAGCCTAGGCAGTGCCAGCCCCACCTCCTCACAGAGGCCTTCCCGGACCCTCCAGTCTGAGGTGGTGCCCCCACGTGTGTCCCTGTTATGGTGCATAAGGTGACTTGAGGGTGTCGTGTTTGTTGGTTGATTCCCTATCCATCCCTCCATCCCCTGCATCACCCCGGAGCCCCAGGGAAGGTGCTACGTGGGAAGGCAGCATGGTAGTTACGGCATGGGGTTTGAAGCCAGAGCCCTGGCAGAAGCGACGATAGACTCTGACTTCTGGAATTGTTGTGAGATACCAGAAGGTGCTCTGGAAGTGGTACAGGGCCATGCAAGCCTGTATAGAGCACCCTTGGCATAAGTGACTCCATCTTAGAAAAAGACTCCATCTTACATTTCAAAAGGCACCATGCTAACAGGAACCAGATGTTTGCCTAATCAACAGAGACTGCACCCAACCAGATAGGGACATAAGCAGGCATACTCTATTACTATCAGTCCTCACCAGAGGACTCTGGCTATAAAAAGAGCAGGTCTTCACTAGCTCAAGATGACTGTCTTTTTTTTTTTTTTTCCCGAGACAAAGTCTCACTCTGTTACCCAGGCTGGAGTGCAATAGCATGATCTTGGCTCACTGCAACCTCCGTCTCCCAGGTTCAAGTGATTCTCCTGCTTCCGCCTCTCAAGTAGTTGGGATTACAGGCTCCTGCCAGGACACCTGTCTAATTTTCGTATTTTTAGTAGAGATGGGGGTGTCACCATGTTAGCCAGGCTGGTGTCGAACTCCTGACCTCAAGTGATCCACCCGCTCTGGCCTACTAAGGTGCTAGGATTACAGGCGTGAGCCACCGCACCCGGCCTCAAGATGACTGTCTTAACAGACACTGTCTTGCTGTCACTAGTGATTAGCACCTGGCACCCGCTGTTGAAGGCTCTGCCAAAATTACACTCTTCCTTGCAAGACGTTGATGTCCATTTAGATCAGCCCAGGACCCTCTCCTTGTCCACATCACTCTCCTTGGACTGGTTCACTGACCCCTTTTCCTATCCCCTTCTCTCTTGATGTTAAATATTGCTTTGTTTGGTAAGAATGTTTCATCTGTAACATTTCTGTGTTGATTAAGTACACTACTATGTATGGTTTGCAGGACTGACTGACTTGTGGAGTGGCTTGAGCCTGTGTGCCCAGGGCTCTGCCCACCTGAGGACTGCCCCTGGGGAACTCCGTGTGGCTTGTGGATTTTATGATGGAAATAGCATCAGTAGAAGCCTGACCTTGTGGAAAGACACCAACGTGCATGGACCTGGTCACGTCTGACCTTGTACCACTCAGGACAAAGCTACAAACGGTTACAGAGAGGAGCCAAGCCCTCTGGGACCGCCCGGGTGCCCCACTGGCCTCTCGGGCTGAGCTACCTCCATGCCACACCCTGGGGTTTTAAAGCCGCCACCTCCTCACCATGTTGGGGAAAAAAGCTTCCGCCTTAGAGAACTCTTTGAGCTTGAAGAGCTGCGGGATGTCAATGATGTCACTCTCGGCCAGGCCCAGCTCCCGCTTCAGCAGCTCGCGGTTCCAGTCGATGCATCTCTTGGGGAAGGGGCAGGGGCAGTGAGTGGGGGACTGATGGCAGTCGGGGGTGGGGGTGGGGGACAGTGTGGGGCTGAGGCCCCCTGCCGGAGGGTAGGACCTGGGACAGTGTCAGGAAGGCAGTGAAGGTGGCTGCCAGGCCTCACTGCACAGAGGGGCCTCTGGCCAGTGCTCTCGGGGGACCCTGGGGCCTCCCATTCCCTCTGCTCCCTCAGCCTCTCCCAGTCTTTGCTTCTGCCCTTGCTTCTGTGTCTCTGTCTTCCAGCGCATCCTGAGACCCTGAGCCTCTGTGTGCCTCTAATCACTGGGAAAGTGGCTGAGCCGGGGACAGGGCGTCAGGTCTGCTGGGGTGTAGGCACCCAGGCTCCTACCTCCACAAATGAATTATGTTCTCTCAATGTCTTGTTTGACAGAATGTTCTTTATTTTCTGCTGTTTTTTTTCTGTCATGGAGAAAAAGAAAAAAAAGGCAAATGAACTTAGAGGTCGATTTCCCTCTTCCCAGCCAGTGCCGGGGGGGGACTCAGTGTTCCCATCTATAAAATGGAGTCAGTAATAATTCTTACCATACAGGTTTGCTGTGAGCATCTGCAAGTCAAATATCTTTAATACAATATTTTAGCAGTATAAGTTCTCATTAAAAATGTTGTTCTCACCTCATTTAAATTCTTTTTAAAATATATTTTTATTTTTATTATTATTTTTTTTTTTTTTTGAGACGGAGTCTCGCTGTCGTCCAGGCTGGAGTGCAGTGGCGCAATCTCGGCTCACTGCAGGCTCCGCCCCCTGGAGTTCACGCCATTCTCCTGCCTCAGCCTCCGGAGTAGCTGGGACTACAGGCGCCCGCCACCTCGCCCGGCTAATTTTTTGTATTTTTAGTAGAGACGGGGTTTCACCGTGTTACCCAGGATGGTCTCGATCTCCTGACCTCGTGATCCGCCCGCCTCGGCCTCCCAAAGTGCTGGGATTACAGGCGTGAGCCACCGCGCCCGGCCTAAAATATATTTTTATAGTGTAATTTTTTTTTTGTTTTGAGACAGAGCCTTGCTCTGTCGCCCAGGCTGGAGTGCAGTAGTGCGATCTTGACTCACTGCAACCTCCACCTCCCGAGTTCAAGCGATTCTCCTGCCTCAGCCTCCCCAGTAGCTGGGATTACAGGTGCGCACCACTGCGCCCAGCTAATTTTTGTACTTTTAGTAAAGTCGGGGTTTCATCACGTTGGCCAGGCTGGTCTCAAACTCTTGACCTCAGGTGATCCACCCGCCTCAGCCTCCCAAAGTGCTAGGATTACAGGTGTGAGCCACCACACTTGGCCTAGTTTAATATTTTCTTGTTTTTTTTTTTTTTTTTGAGACTGAGTCTTGCTCTGTCACCCAGGCTAGAGTGCAGTGGCACATTCTTGGCTCACTGCAACCTCCACCTCCCGGGTTCGAGTGATTCTCCTGCCTCAGCCTCCCAAGTAGCTGGGATTACAGGCACCCGCCACCACGCCCGGCTAATTTTTGTATTTTTAGTAGAGACGGGGTTTCACCATCTTGGCCTAGCTGGCCTTGAACTCCTGAACTCGTGATCCACCCGCCTCGTCCTCCCAAAGTGCTAGGATTACAGGCATGAACCATCGCGCCCAGCCTAGTTTAGTGTATTTTAATAGCACACTTACAGGAACAGCACAGAAAACAGACAACATTAAAAATATCTACTTGCATGCAGGACAGACAGCTCAGAAAAGTATAGTGAATGGATGGAATCTACTGTGTGATAAAAATGCTACAAGTACCATTTAGTTGCTGTCAATAAGAAATGTCCTTGTTTTAAGCCAGGCGTGGTGGCTCATGCCTGTAACCCCAGCACTTTGGGAGGCCGAGGTGGGTGGATCACCAGGTCAGGAGTTCGAGACCAGCCTGGCCAGCATGGCAAAACCCCATCTCTACTAAAAATACAAAACATTAGCCAGGTGTGGTGGTGCACACCTGTAATCCCAGCTACTCGGAAGGCTGGGGCAGGAGAATCACTTGAACCCGGGATGCAGAGGCTGCAGAGAGTCGAGATCGCGCCATTGCACTCCAGCCTGGGCAATAGAGGAAAACTTCGTTTCAAAAGAAAAGAATGTCCAGAAAAATTTAACAGGTTTACTTATAATTATTATAAAGTTGAACCATGAAACTTGTTCACTGGAACATTTTGCCTTGCATTAACGCTAAATTATCTTATCTCCAAAGAGATCCCATCGAGAGAGGAAGAAACAGGTCAGCCCTCTCCTGATGCCACACAACATACTCAGATCTGAGGTGGAGCTCTCAGCCACAGAGGCATCTCAGCCCGGGGCCTGGCCCATGTCTGTGAGCTCTGCTGAGAGAGTAATATTTCATCTGTGCTCCAGCTATACCGAACCTCCCCGAGGTCCTCACACACATCGTGCTTTCTCCTGCCTCTGAGCCGCCCCACCCCCGTCCCTCTGCCTGTGGTATCTCTCTTCCTCTCATTTCCCTGCCCCGTTTGCCCAGCCAACCCCTACTTGCATGCTACTGCTTGGCCTCTGCCTCCTCCAAGAAGCCTTCCCTGAGCTCCATCCACTCAGACACCCCTCAAAGCCCCTGTGTTGGAGCTGTTCTTTTGACTCACTTCCCCCTGGCCTGTGAGCCCACAGGGCAGCAAGCTGTTCTGCCCTGTTCATGCAGTCTCCCTAGCACTTGGCACAGTGCCTGGCGCACAGTAGGTGCTCAGATGCTACCCTATTGCCTGGATGATTCCCTCCAGGCAACAGCGGACTATGGGAAGCAGGAAGGTGCACAGACAGGAGAACAAGGCAGGGCCGACTTACTCTTGATCCCTTCGAACAGCAGGGCCTCCCCGTGGCCCTCATTCTGCTGCTCCTGGAACAGTTTGTAGCAGGACCTGGGGCTGGCCAGGAGCAGCCGGAAGCCCTGGAGGCAGAAACACTGGGGTTAGAAGTCAGCTTTGCCCCTGGAGCTCCCAACGAGGGTGGATCTGCTGAGGGTGGGAGTAGTGTGGACTTGGACCCAAGCTGGCCACCTCCTCTACTGCCATCCTAAGGGTGAAGGAGAAATAGACAAGTAAAGTTGCTCCCACCCCAGGCAGAGGGTCTACCCAGGAAGGAGGCATGGCTTCCTGAGGCAGCCCCCAAGACTGTACCTTCCTGTCGGGTGCTGGCACAAAGCTCAGGAACTCGTCCACGTGGCCCACGGACAGCCAGTCAGAATAGAGCTTCACAGGGGCCTGCACCTGCTGGGCACTGAGGAAGTCCTGCAGGGCCTGGTGCATCTGCCGGCTGTCATTGCTGTCATGGCAGGGTTAAAGGGGTGTTATCGGCAGCAAGGGCTACAGGGAAGTCCCTGAAGGACAAGGGGCTTGGCAAAAAGGTCAGGGTTCTCCTTCAGCTGAGAAAGGGATGCAGGAGTCTAGAATGCCTTTATTTTATCCCCTAACATTTGAGAAATCAAGGAATTGTCATTCTAGTTTTATTGGGGGAAACTGAGGCACAGAGTCACTAAGGTAAGTAGAACAGAGCTTAGCCTCAGAAAGCACTGCCTCTTGAGTTAGATGAGATGCTGGTATTCTGGGTACACATGGGGCTTAGAGCCAGTCTGACCTAAGTCGGTGATCTCTTGTTAGCCATGTGGCCTTGGGGACATTCCTTCACCTGTTTGAGCCTCAGTTTTCTCCTAAAAAAAAAAATTAGTGTTGCAGTGCCTTGTTCTTCCTCACTTTTTTTTTTTTTTTTGAGACAGAGTCTTGCTCTGTTGCCCAGGCTGGCACAATCTCGGCTCACTACAACCTCCGCCTCCCGGGATCAAGCGATTCTCTTGCCTCGGCCTCCCGAGTAGCTGGGATTACAGGCATGCATCACCAGGCCCAGCTAATTTTTGCATTAGTAGAGACGGGGTTTCGCCATGTTAGTCAGGCTGGTCTCGAACTCCTGACCTCAGGTAATCCACCTGCCTTGGCCTCCCAAAGTGCTGGGATTACAGGTGTGAGCCACTGTGCCCAGCCTCTTCTTGTTCAATAGGTTCTAGCCATCCTGGCCTTGCACGCAGGAGCTCATTCCTGCCTCAGGGCCTTTGCACATGCACTTTCATTTGCCAGGAACTCTCTGTCCCAGATCTCCAGGTGGCCCTGTCCCTTCTGTCATTAGGCCTCAGTTCAAAAGCCCCTTCCCCAGAGAGGACCTCCCTGGTCACCCTAACAGTTCCTATTCCTCCCGTGCCCCTCTCTTTTGTTTTTGTCATTTGAAGTTATCTTGTCTACTTTTCTATCATCTGTTTCCCTACTAGAGTAGTGGTAAGGACTTGTCTTTCTTGTCCACGGCTGCATTCCCAGCTCCCAGAACATTTTGGATGCTCAGTAAATATTCACTGACTGAAAGAGGGTAAGTGGCAGGGCTGGAATTGAACTTGGGTCTATGGGCTCCAAAGCCCGCATTCCTCACCCTGCGCTTGGATTCCTCTCACACTCCCTCAAGTCTGTTGGGCTGTCTAGAATCGGAAGCAGGAAGGCAAGGCTTCCACTCTGGCCTCTGCTTTTCTACGGCATACCTGGGTCCTGGCCACCCCTTCCTGTTACTCCCCTCCTTACCTGGGATAACAGCTGTCCCCGAAGAGAATCCTGCCCAGCGGGTATTCCTTGCCCCTGACTGTGACTGGGGGGCTCACTTCCAGGTTCCCAAAGGAGTCCAGTCCACTGATACCCCCTGTTTGGGGCCCTCGAGTTACATAGCCAAAATCTGGACCCTGAGATAGGAGAAGGGAGTGCCAAGAGTTAGAGGAATGAGGTCCCTGGTGAAGGGTCGGGGGGTCCAAGTTTAGAGATGAACTTGGGCACAGGAAGTAACTCAGTACCGTCTACAGCTGGCACATAGCAGGTGCTGTTATCACATGTGGAAGGTTAAAGGAATGTTGAGTTCATTCAATGGACAAGAAAAGGGACTAGCATTTGTTGGGTCCCTAAAGCGTGCCAGCTGCTTGGTAAACCTTAACTTGGGCATAAAACAAATCTGTAAAACATCATTTTTTTTCCCCTTAAGACAGAGTCCCACTCTGTTGCCCAGGTTGGAGGGCCGTGGCATGATCTCAGCCACTGCAACCTCCGCCCCTGGTTCAAGGAATACTCCTCAGCCTCCTGAGTAGCTGGGACTACAGGCACGCCCCACCACGCCCAGCTAATTTTTGTATTTTTTTTTTTTTTTAGTAGAGATGGGGTTTCACCATGTTGGCCAGTCTAGTCTCGGATTCCTGACCTCAAGTGATCCATCTGCCTCGACCTCCCAAAGTGCTGGGATTACAGGCATGAGCCCCCACGCCCAGCCACATTTATTCTCTTAAAATTCTGGAGGCCAGAAGTGTGAAATCAGTTCCACTGGGCTTAAGTCCAGGGATGGCAGAGCTGGTTCCTCCTGGAGGCCCTGAGGAAAGAATCTATTATATTTCCGTGTCTTTTTCAGCTTCTAATAGCCGCCTTGGCTGGCAGCCCCTTCTTCCACCTTCAAAGATCTCCAGTCTCTGCTTCCATCATCACAGGCCCTCCCGCATTCCAGGATAAACCAGGATAATCACCCCATCACAAGATCCCTAATATAATTACATTCAGCAAAGTCCCTTTTACCATATAAGGAAACATCAGGTTCGGGGGGACTAGGATGTAGAGGGGCCATTATTCAGTCCACCGCCCATCTCCCCTGCCTCCCAGGAGAGGGTACATCTAGCCTTCTACACATAGATGGTCCATTCCCTGAGGCTTCATGGGGGCCATGAACTCCCTGAGAGTAGACGCCAAATTATGTGCCCAGGTGTGAGTTTCTGGGAAGATGAGTGGGTCTTAAGGAGGTCTGTGATCTTCAAATTTACTTCTTCACTGCAGTTTTGACCTCCTGGGCTCAAAGGATCACGGTCCCGTCTCAGCCGCCCGAGTAGCTGGGACCACAGGTGCATGCTATCACAACCTGGCTAATTTTTAAAGTTGTTCTTTCCTGTAGAGATGGGGTCTCACTATGTTGCCCAGGCTGGTCTCAAACTCCTGGGCTCAATCTTCCTGCCTCGGCTCCTAGAGTGTTGGGATTATAGGTGTGAGCTACTGCGCCTGGCCTGATTCCACAGATTTAACAATCACACTTCCAGTTCCTCTCTCCACTTCTCTCTAAAACCCAGACCAACCCGCTTCTCCCGCCCATCAAAGCTTTCCTTGTCCAGGTCTCCATGAACACATGGCCATATCCCAAGTGCAATGCGCGGGCCTCGCCTTCCCCTCAGAAGCCCCTGAATCAGGCGGTCACACCTGTGTTCTCCGCACACTTTCTGCACTTGGCTTTCAGGACACCGGGGGATCCTGGTTCACCTCCAACCTCACTTGCCCCTTCAGTCGTCCTGCCAAGTCTCATGGAATTCCGTTCCCGAGCCGACAACCCTCATGTTCGCATCTCTGGGCATCCCTTCCCTCCCAAACATCACATGTGTATCCACGCTCACTTGACTTCCCATTTGGATGTTGACCAATTGTCTCCCACTTGCCCTAAACAGAACTTTGGGTCCCCTCTTCCCACCCCCTCATTCTCCATCAATCTGTTCCTCCTCCCACAGTCCTCCCCTCCCAGGGGATGGTGCCTGCCACCCACAGAGGTCACAGCCTTGCTGTCAGCTTTGGCTTGCCTCTCTCATAGCGGGGGTCAGAATGCCCTGCTGGCTCTGCCTTCCAGACATAGCCGGAATCTCATGGCTTCTCACCTCCTCTGGCCACACCCTGCCTGCACTCCCAGCATCCCTCACCTGCCCACTCCCTTGCCCCTTGCCTCTGTTCTCTTTACTCAACAACACATAGCAGGGCTTGTTCCCTTTTCTAACAAACCAGATCATAATCCTCCTCTGTTTAAGACCCTGTGATGATTCTCAGTTTCTAAACAAGCAGCCTTAACAGTAGCCAACAAGCCCAACCCCATCCGGTCATCCCGTCCCTTCCCCATCACCTCTGACCACAGCCTCTTCTACTGCCCCCCATCTCCTCCCATCACCTCCTTGACCACCTCTGCTACCACCTCCCATCTCTTCCCTGACCACCCCTCTTACCACCTCCCATCTCCTCCCTGACCGCCTCTCCTACCACCTCTCATCACCTCCCTGATTGCCTCTCCTACTGCCTCCCATCACCTCTCTGACCACAGTCTCTCCTACCACCTCCCATCACCTCCCTGACTGCCTCTCTTCCCACCTCCCATCACCTCCCTGACTGCCTCTCCTCCCATCACCTCCCTGGCCGCCTCTCCTCCCATCACCTCCCTGACTGCCTCTCCTCCCATCACCTCCCTGGCCGCCTCTCCTCCCACCTCCCATCACCTCCCTGACCGCCTCTCCTACTGCCTCCCATCAGCTCCCTGACTGCCTTTTCTACCACCTCCTATCTCCTCTCTGACTGCCTCTCCTCCTGGTTGCTCTGCTCTACCCCTCCAGGCCCTCTTGCTGTTCTGGAACACTCAAGGCATGCTCCTGCCCCAGGGCCTTTGCACTGGCTGTTTCACTGCCTACAACACTCTTCACCCAGACACCCACTCACATGGCCAACTCGCTCACCTCCCTCAAGCATCTGCTGCAAGGTCAGCTTCTCCGTGAAGCCCACCCTGACCATCCTATTTAAGAACGCAATCTTTTTTTTTTTTTTTTTTTTTTTGAGACCAGGTCTTACTCCTATTGCCCATGCCAGAATGCAGTGGTGTGATCATGGCTCACTGCAGCCTCACCCTTCAGGGTTCAAGGGTCCTGCCACCTCAGCCTCCTAAGTAGCTGGAACTATAGGCATGCACCACCATGCCTGGCTTATTTTTATTTTTATTTTTAATTTTTTTTTTTTTTGTAGAGACAGGGTTTGACTATGGTGCCTAGGCTGGTCTCGAACTCCTGGGCTCAAGTAATCCACCAGCCTTGGCCTCCCGAAGTGCTGGGATTACTGGAATGAGCCACCAGACTCGGCTTTAAGAATGTAACCTAATCCACCTTCCCTACCACGCTGGCACCTATGAGCCCCTCCATTCCGCTCTACTCTGTCTTTCCCTGTAGCTCTTTTTTTTTTTTTTTTTTTCCTCTGGGACAAGGTCTCATCTGTCACCCAGACTGGAGTGCAGAAGTGCAATCATGACTCGCTGCAGCCTTGACCTCCTGGGCTCAAGCGATCCTCCCACCTCAGCCTCTCTAGTAGTTGGGACTACAGGCATGTGTTACCATGCCTAGTTAATTGAAACAATTTTTTTTTTTTTTTTGTAGGGACAAGGTCTCATTATGTTGCCCAGTCTGGTCTCAAACTCCTGGGTTCAAACAATTCTCCCACCTTGGCCTTCCAAAGTGCTAGGATTACAGGTATGAGCCACCACACCTGGCACCTGTAGCTCTTGACATCCCCTTCTAAGGAACCATATAACTGCTTTGTTCTATTCATTGTCTGCTGTCTGTCTCTCTGGGCCAGAACGTCCCCTCCGTGAGGTCAGGGACCTTGGCGTTGCTCCCTGTCATATCTCAAGTGCCTAGAACAAGGCCCCGCTGAGTATGTGTTCAAACAGTGTTTGATGAATGAATGTAAATTCAGCCACATCACTGCCCTGGCTGTTGTTGTGAGAGGGGGTCAGTTATACAGCCTTCAGCCTTGGATTTCTGCAGGCAAATGAAGGCATATCCATAGTCTGCAGAAGTGGCCCCCCAAGAGTGGGCTGTGTGGGGGACGCTCATGGATGCCAGGTGATGCGGCCTGAGGCACAACGTTGGAAAGCTGTTGCCCTTCTCATTTTCCTCCAGTCTTTTCTGGTTCCTCAAAAATTCAAGTTTCAGTGATGCAAACACATCCTTGACACCTGCTAATCCCTCATTTTAACCAGCAGAGAGCTGACCTCGAGCTCAGAGATGCTGCAGTCACTTGTAACGAGCTGGCTTTGGTAGCAGGATCTTGTTTCATTCTGTTTAACTTCACAGTTGCCTTCTATCTGCAGGAAGTGCTGCTGGTTTCCCATTGATGGTGGTGATAGAAAATTTACTGACGATGCTTACAGGAAGAACAACCACTGTGTGTGAAGCTTTGTGCCAGCTGCCCGATGGACAGCGTAAGGCATAACAGCCTCAGGCCCAGCAGCGCAGGCAACGAAAAGTAGATGAACGAGTCCATGATTTTAACAAAATACACTGAAGAAGTCAACAGGGGGCTGTAGTGGAGAAGGCTAGGAGTTGGGGTGGGAGTAGGGATCCCTCTTTTAGCATCAGGGAAGGCCTCACTGAGTAGGAAATAGAAGCTGAAACCTGAAGGCTGAGAAGCAGCCAGCCCCGTGAACAGGGAACAGCACTGCAAGCAGAGGGAACGGCATATGCAAAGACCGTGAGGTGGGGAAACGTTAGGCAAGTTTGAAGAACAGGAAGGAGGCCAGTGGAGGTGGGGCTGGGTAAGGGACAGCGAGAGTGGCCTACAATGGTGCTGGAGAGGCAGGTGGGGCCAAAGCCTGGTGCTGAGTGTGACTTTTTCTCCAATTCTCTTCATTCTGAGTGATTTGGGTGTTTTTTGTTGTTGTTTTTTCTTTTTCTTTCTTTTTTTTTTTTTTTGATACAGTCTTGCTCTGTCACCCAGGCTGGAGTGCAGTGGTGCAATCTCGGCTCACTGCAACCTCTGCCTCCTGGGTTCAAGGGATTCTCCTGCCTCAAACTCTTGAGAAGATAGGATTACAGGCACACACCACCATGCCCAGCTAATTTTTGTATTTTTAGTAGAGACGGGATTTCGCCATGCTGGCCAGGCTGGTCTCGAACTTCTGACCTCAGGTGATCCATCCTCCTTGGCCTCCCAAACTGCTGGGATTACAGGTGTCAGCCACCACACCTGGCCTCATTCTGAGTGATTTGAGTTGGAATACACAGATGTGCTTAGCTGAGGGACCAGTGCTGCCTGCCTTCATCCAAAGTTGTCTGTGGGAAAGGGGACAACAATGGTGCCGAGGTGTCCGTCTGTCTGTCCAGCAGGACTTGTGGCATCAGAAAATCTGGCCTTTGTTATACTTGGAGCATCAAAGTAGACACAGCCACTGAACCAGGCAGGACTGAAAGCAGCAGAAAGAGGGCAAAGTCACGGTAGCAGCTGGCTGGTTCGCCCCAACGCTGCTGAAACAGGATGAACTCGACCCCATGGCTGAGTACACACTGTGAATCCAACAGCATCTCTGCATCTCCACTGCTCAGCGCACAGCTTGGCCAGGAGGAAGCGAGACTCGGGACAAGTTGTTGAGTTTAACTGAAGTTTCATTCTGAAGCCTTCTGTGTGGGCAGGGCCACTCTCCCCTCCCTTGGGGCACAGTACAGATGCTTGTCGGAAAGCCATTTGTCCTAGCAAACCTTGGACCCCACACTCCTTCCGTCGTTTTCCCTGGGCACCTTGAGCCAAGGGGCTGCCAGGACTCAGAGCGCAGGCCTGGGGTCTTCCTGGGAAAGCAGGGAGAGGGAGGCAGGGCGGGGAAAAGCATGCTCACCAAGCCGGACTGGCCGGGTTTGAATTCCAACTTCTCCACTCTGAGCCTCAGTTTCTTCTTCTATAAAATGGGCCTATTGATAGAATCTCCATAACAGTTTATCAAATTAAATGAGTCAGTGCAGGTAAAGAATGCAGCACTGGCTAACACACAACTCATTCTCAATAAATGCAACTATTATTATTATTGTTCTGTGCTGAGTTTGCATCAACCTGCCAGGCTAGTCAAGCATGAGTCAGCAATACGTCACTTCCCACCTCCACATGGACAGCCTGTGGCTGATAAAGTCACACCCAGGAAATGACCACTGATCCACTGATCCCAAAATCCCCCATATCCCAGATGGAGCCCCTGAAGACCAAACACCACCCATAAGACAGAGCCTCCAGCTGGGCATTGGGAAAGATTCCAGCCCCGGCCCCACCTCCACCTTGCAGCAAGAGCTTCTTCAAGAGCACAGGGAGGTCCAAGCCTGAGCCACCTCCTCGGCAGGGTTACCTGGAGATCAAGCTGAGCTCACGGGTGACAAGGGTTTTGGGAAATGAAGAGCCAGATCTTATCTTGGTAATAAAAAAATAACAAGCCCCACCTACATGCTCCCACTTTGGTAGGAATTCCACCTCCTTGCACTGGGCTACTCAGCTACAGGCGCGGGCGGGGAAGGCAGGCTAAAAGGAGGGAGTCTCAAGACAAGAGGGTTTCGGCAGCTGTGCCCCCTCCCCACCCCATGCAGGTACCATCACGCGTTTGATGGGAAACTCCTTCAGGCCTCTGTTCCTTGGAGAGTCGAAGACCACGGGCAGCGTTTTGTGTGGGGCTTGGATGTAGCCGATCTCCATTTCATCCTGTGGGAGTGAGTGGAGAGGAGGCTGTTGCGCGTGCTGCCTGGGTCTTGGTGCCCGACGCCAGGATGGGGGCATGAAACCATCCACTCACTCTCACCCTTGCAGTCAAGGGCACATTCCTATGGGATGTTTGATCTCAGAGAAGGGGCTCAGAAGCGGAGCTTATTGCCCCCTGTTTGCCCAGTGCACGAGAGGCCATGAGCCTGCAGGAGTGCCCTTCCCTCCTACTCCTGGTGGTGCCTGGGCCAGTGCTGGGGACCCCTGGTGAGCAAAACTGAGACCCCTCCTCAAGGTGAGAAAACAAGGGAGCCAGGCAGTGGGCACCAGGGTTAGGAGGTGATGGGGGGTGAGGGGTTGAGGGGTCTGTGGGGACACAGAGGAGGGGCTCCTGATGCAGCTAGGATGGGCCAGAGAAGACCTGTTGGCGCCAGAGCTCGCGGCCTCCTCCCCAAAGGAGGGCAGATAAGACCCAGCCTGGGCCACTGGAGCAGCAGGAGGAGCACGGGGAGGTTTCAGAAATGAATCTGCTGAAAATTCCGCCTCCGCAGGCTTGTATTCTAGCAGGCAGGTGTGATGTTGGACATAATCACTACTATAAGTTACTATTAGGATGAACCAGATGAAAGTTCCACTCTTGCAAATCAAAAATGGCACATATCAGCAATTTCACACAGGTCAACTTGGTATCAAAAAAATGGAATGGCGGCCAGGTGCAGTAACTCATGCCTGTAAGCCCAGCACTTTGGGAGGCTGAGGTGGGTGGATCACCTGAGGTCAGGAGTTCGAGACCAGCCTGACCAACACGGAGAAACCCCATCTCTACTAAAAATACAAAATTAGCCAGGCGTGGTGGCACATGCCTGTAATTACAGCTACTCAGGAGGCTGAGGCAGGAGAATCATTTGAACCCGGGAGGCAGAGGTTGTGATGAGCCGAGATCGAGCCATTGCACTCCAGCCTGGGCAACAAGAGTGAAAAAAAAAAGAAAAGAAAAGATGGAATGGCAAGAAAGGAAGAAAGGATGTTGTGTGGGGGTGAAAAGAAAGAGGGATGAATTCCTGCTGGGGGTGATGGGGGAAATTTATGGACGAGGAGCATTTGTGCTGGGATTCACCGGTATGGATTGGAGATGGGGGATGGGAATGGGGAGATGGGTCCAAGAGACAGCACCGCAGGGGTGCGGCATGGAAGGACAGGGTCCCGAGGCAAAGCAAGGCAGTGGTGGGGAGGGTCAGGGTGCTAGGCTGGATGAGGCCCAGTCTCAGTCCTTGGGGCACTCCTGGCATGATGGGGGAGTGGCACGGAAACAGAGACTGGTAATCATGTGTTTCCAGGCACAGTGGCAGGCTGGCCCCAGGGAAGGGAACCAGGCAGGCTGAGAGGGCCTGGAAACAGACTAAGCAGGAGGAGATGGGAGCCATGGAAAGTGCTGGAGCTGGGGTGTGACCTGCTTTGGTGGCTGGGCCCAAGATGGACAGCCTGGAGGGAGGACCACTTGAGGGGCTGGTTGAGCACCAATCTCCTGAGCTTCACATCATTTCCTGAGGCCACCTGAGTGTTTTCAAGCAGGAAGGTGGCTTCATCTTGGTGACTGCAGTGGGCCTGCAGTGGCCCACAGCAAACGTCAGATGAATCACTTGCTTGAGCCTCCCGGCCCAAGGATCTCTCAGGTTCCTATCTCCCTGTCCATCTAAGGAAGAGTGGCCGGTGAGGCACCAGGCTGAACCCCAGGAGCCCGGGTCCCCCAAGTGTCTCTTGGCCCTCAGGGACAGTCACCCTGCCTGCCCCGCAGGGCACATACCTGCATCCACTGGTCATCCATGTTCTCCTCCTCAGGGCAGATGGTCAGCTTGCACTTGGCTTTCATGGCCAGAGTAGTCACTGACTTCAGGAAGTCCTCATTTTCAAAAATACTAGAGAGAGCAGAAAAGCAGCTCCTTAGTGCTCTGGAATTTGAAGCTCAGCCTGGAAGGATTGGGAGGGACACACAGGTGGCTCAGGGGTCACCTGTGGCCTGAACAGAGGCTCCTGGCACGTCCGGTCCATCTGCTCTTAGCAGGCATTAGCTCATGGAATCCATCTAACAAGTTATGAGGCAGGAACTAGTGGGTACCCCTTCCACCCGTGTATTAGTCCGTTTTCACGCTGCTGATAAAGACATACTTGAGACTGGGAAGAAAAAGAGGTTTAATTGGACTTACAGTTCCACATGGCTGGGGAGGCCATGGTGGGAGGCAAAAGGCACTTCTTACATGGCGGTGGCAAGAGAAAATGAGGAAGAAGAAAAAGGAGAAAAACCTGATAAAACCATCAGATCTCATGAGACTTATTCACTATCATGAGAACAGTATGGGAGAAACTGCCACCATGATTCAAATTATCTCCCACTGGGTCCCTCCCACAACACTTGGGAATTATGGGAGTACATGTCAAGATGAGATTTGGGTGGGGACACAGAACCAAAGCATATCATCCTGCCCCTGGCCCCTCCAAATCCTATATCCTCACATTTCAAAACCAATCATGCCTTCCCAACAGTCCCCCAAAGTCTTAACTCATTTCAGCATTAACCCAAAAGTTCACAATCCAAAATCTCATCTGAGACAGGGCAAGTCCCTTCCTCCTATGAGCCTGTAAAATCAAAAGCAAGCTAGTTACTTCCTAGATACAATGGGGGTACAGGTGTTGGGTAAATACAACCATTCCAAATGGGAGAAATTGGCCAAAACAAGGGGGTTACAGGGCCCATGCAAGTCCAAAATCCAGCAGGGCAGTCAAATTTTAAAGCTCCAAAATGATCTTTGACTCCAGGTCTCACATCCAGGTCATGCTGACACAAGAGGTGGGTTCCCATGGTCTTAGGCAGCTCTGCCCCTGTGGCTTTGCAGGGTATAGCCTCCCTCCTGGTAGGCCAGTTTCACAGGCTGGTGTTGAGTGTCTGTGGCTTTTCCAGGCACACGGTGCAAGCTGTCAGTGGATCTACCCTTCTGGAGTCTGGAGGACAGTGGCCCTCTTCTCACAACTCCACTACGTGGTGTCCCAGTAGGGACTCTGTGTGGGGGCTCCAAACCAACATTTCCCCTCTGCACTGCTGTAGCAGAGGTTTTCCATGAGAACACCACCCCTGCAGCAAACTTCTGCCTGGGCATCTAGGCGTTTCCACACATCTTTGGAAATCAAGGCAGAGGTTCCCAAACCCCAATTCTTGACTTCTGTGCACTTGCAGGCTCAACACCATGTGGAAGCTGCCAAGGCTTGGGGCTTCCACCCTCTGAAGCCACAGCCTGAGCTCTACACTGGCCCCTTTTAGCCATGGCTGGAGCAGCTGGGATGCAGGGCACCAAGTCCCTAGGCTGCACATAGCATGGGGACCCTGGGCCTGGCCTACGAAACCATTTTCTCCTAGGCCTCTGGGCCTGTGACGGGAGGGGCTGCCATGAAGACCTCTGACATGCCCTGGAGACATTTTCCTCATTGCCTTGTGGCTTAACATTAATCTCCTTGTTACTTATGCAAATTTCTGCAGCTGGCTTGAATTTCTCCTCAGAAAATGAGATTTTCTTTTCGATTGCATTGTCAGGCTGCAACTTTTCTGAACTTTTATGCTCTGCTTCCCTTTTAAAACTGGATGCCTTTAACAGCACCCAAGTCACCTCTTGAATGCCTTGCTGCTTAGAAATTTCTTCTGCCAGATACCCTAAATCATCTCTCTCAAGTTCAAAGTTCCACAAATCTCTAGGGCAGGTACAAAATGCCACCAGTCTCTTTGCTAAAACATAACAAGAGTCACCTTTGCTCCGGTTCCCAACAAGTTCCTCATCTCCATCTGAGACCATCTCAGTCTGGATTTCATTGTTCATATCATTATCAGTATTTTTGTCAAAGCCATTCAACAAGTCTCTAGAAAGTTCCAAACTTTCCCACATTTTCCTGTCTTCCTCTGAGCCCTCCAAACCGTTCCAACCTCTGTCTGTTACCCAGTTCCAAAGTTGCTTCCACATTTTGGGTATCTTTTCAGCAACGCCCCCCTCTACTGGTATCAATTTACTGTATTAGTCCATTTTCACGCTGCTGATAAAAACATACCTGAGACTAGGAAGGAAAAGAGGTTTAATTGGACTTACACTCCCACATGGCTGGGGACACCATGGTGGGAGGCAAAAGGCACTTCTTACATGGCGGCGGCAAGAGAAAATGAGCAAGATGCAAAAGTGGAAACCCCTGATAAAACCATCAGATCTCATGAGACTTATTCACTACCATGAGAATGGTATGGGGCAAACCACCTCCATGATTCAAATTATCTCCCACCAGGTCCCTCCCAGAACACGTGGGAATTGTGGGAGTACAATTCAAGATAAGATTTGGGTGGAGACACAGAGCCAAACCATATCAACTTGGGAGAAGACAGAATATGAGTTCACTGTTCAAGGTCACACCACCTGGAACAGTGCTGGGACCGGAATACAGTCCTCACTGGATTCCAGCCTGCGTCCTGACCACATTACCCTCTTACTCTTCTGCCCCTGAAGCTATCAGAAGAGGGGAGGAGAGGGTCTCCTGAGACCCCAGCACACTTGTCAGCGGCTCTCAGACTGCAGGAAGATTGCCTGGGCCTCCCCAAAATGCAGATGGGCCCCGTCCTCAGGGATAAGACCCAGCAGCTCACAGGCAGCCAGAAAGGTGCATTTTATTTAATTTAAATTTAATTTAATTTAATTTAATTTTTAATTTTTATTATTTTTAATTTTCTCAAGACGGAGTCTTGCTCTGTCGCCCAGGCTAGAGTGCAATGGTGCAATCTCGGCTCACTGCAACCTTGGCCTCCTGGGTTCAAGTGATTCTCCTGCCTCAGCCTCCCGAGTAGCTGGGATTACAGGCACATGCCACAACACCTGGCTAATTTTTTGTATTTTTAGTAGAGACGGGGTTTCACCATGTTGGCCAGGCTGGTTATTTTATTTTTGAGATGGAGTCTCACTGTGTTGCCCAGGCTGGAGCGCAGTGGCGCAATCTCAGCTCACTGCAACCTCCGCCTCCAGGGTTCAAGCAATTCTCGTGCCTCGGCCTCCTGAGTAGCTGGATTACAGGCATGCGCCACCACGCCCGGCCAATTTTTGTATTTTTTAGTAGAGACAGGGTTTCACCATGTTGGCTGGGCTGATCTCAAACTTCTGACCTTAAGTGATCCACCTGCCTCAGCCTCCCAAAGTGCTAGGATTACAGGCGTGAGCCACCGTGCCCAGCCCAGAAAGGTGCATTTTAAATGAGTTCCCAGGAGTTTCTGGTGCACAAGGTCCATGGGACACACTCTACAGGCCCCTGGGAGTTAACGTAGCCTCAGCTGCATCAGGGCAGGACAGAGGCAATGACAACAACAGTAGGGAACTTCCCTGCCTTTTTAGAGCCCCCAACAAGCAGCAAGCTCTCAGTGGGCAGGGGAGGGGTGACTGTTTTTCCCATCACACAGTGAGTGCTGCGGATGGAACTCAGGCTCTTTGTTGTCTGGACCCACCCCAGCACCCCAGGACCTCTCACCTGCACGCGTACACCTCCTGCGGGGGCTGGGTGTTGGGGGTCATGATCCAGGGCGCCACGCGGAAGACCACGCTGTCTTGGAACACCACAGCCTCGGGGAGCTCCTGCAGGGGAGGGGGTAAGGGGAAGGAGGGGCTGTCACCGCTGCCAGGGCCCAGCACCTACCACTTCCTGCAGCTGTTTGGAGTCCCCCTGCCCAGCTGGGCTCTGTACCCCTTTCCCTAGCCAGGCCACTGCCTGGAAGCCCAGGCCCCCGATGCAGGGCTGCCTTCTCGGCCTACCAGGTTGGACGTGTCCAGCAGGGAGATGGTGAGGGTAATGAGCCCCGGGAAGTCGGTGTCCGGGAAAGCGAGGGCCTCCACGTAGAAGTCCATGTTGTGCTTTCCACCGGGGACCATCAGGTAGTGAGAGGGCCACTTGGGACCCAAGACTACGCTGCACTTGGAGGACAGTTTGCCCCCTAGGAGAGAGGCAGGGGAGACTCAGGTCTGCGTCCCCACTTCTGAAGACTTTTCCTCCTCTCCTTAGTGCTCCCCAGAAGCCTTTCCCAGGGTCACCACATGGCACCATCAGAGAACCCCTTGCAGCCAAATCTGGCCAGTCCCCTTAGGAGAAAAGGACTGAAGTTCTAGCTGGGACGCTGCTCCCCGGCTGAAGTCCCAGAAGGGTGTGGCAGGGGTGCCTGAGCTATTCCAAACTTTATAGGAAGTCCAGTATACACCATTCCTTCACTCATTCCTGAGCATCTGCTCTAGCCAGATGTCAGCGGGGGACAGGGGCACAGCAGGGGACCAGGGAGACAGAGTCACTGTCCTCCTATCCTCACCCCCAGAGAGTGCACAGTCTTACGGGTGAGTAGGGAGAAGCAGAGATCATGAAAATAGCAGACAGCTGTGATAGAGGGAATCCCTGAGAACTTCCTGGAGGAGGTGATGCCTGGGTGGAGGCAATAAGTTGACCTGTCACCAAATCAGTGTCAGTTTAATCACTTTAAGAATGAAACAGGCCGGGTGTGGTGGCTTACGCCTGTAATCCCAGCACTTTGGGAGGCCGAGGCAGGAGGATCACAAGGTCAGGAGATCCAGACCAGCCTGGCCAACATGGTGAAAGCCCATCTCTACTAAAAACACAAAAAAATTAGCCAGGCATTGTGGTGGATGCCTATAATCACAGCTACTCGGGAGGCTGAGGCAGGAGAATTGCTTGAACCCAGGAGGTGGAGGTTGCAGTGAGTTGAGATTGCGCCACTGCACTCCAGCCTGGCGACAGAGAGAGACTCCATCTCAAAAAAAAAAAAAAAAGAAACAGAGGCTGGGCATGGTGTCTGTAATCCTAGTGCTTGGGGAGGCTGAGGCAAGTGGATCATTTGAGGTCAGGAGTTCGAGACCTGTCTGGCCAACCTGGTGAAATCCCATCTCTACTAAAAATACAAAAATTAGCTGGATGTGGTGGCACATGCTTGTAACCTCAGCTACTGGGGAGGCTGAGACAGGAGAATCTCTGGAACCCAGGAGGTGGAGGCTGCAGTGAGCCAAGATGGCACCACTGCACTCCAGCCGGGGCAACAGAGTGAGACTCTCTCAAAAAAAAAAATTAAAAAAAAAAAAAAAAAGCTTGGAATAGACCAGGCAGAATGATCAGGATCAGAATGATTGTCAGGCCCATGCAAAAAAAAAACCCTCCCATGGCGCTCTCCATCTCCTTCCATCCAGAAGCCAAAGTCAATATACGCCTACCTGACCTCCCCCTTCCCCTCTGCCCTGTCTCTTCCACCCTCATCCCCCACTTTAACCCTTGCACATTCCGCCCCAGCTGCACTAGCCTCCCTGCATTCCTCCAAACCACAGGCATGATCTCACCTCAGGGCCCACGCACTTGCCGTTCCCTCTGCCTGGAACGCCCTTCCCCTAGGTGTCTGTCTGGCTGTTCCTATACCTCCCTCTGCTCACATGGCACCTCATGGGGGACACCTTCCCTGGCCACCCTCTCTCCACACAACCCGAACTCCACTCCTCACTCCACATCCCCTTCCCTGCCGCATTCTTCTACATAGCATGTCACAGCGTTGGACACACTAGGTGTTTTATGTAATTATTTTACCTATAGTTCTCCCAGCCACTAAGATGAAAGCAACACGAGGGCAGGGACTCGGTCACAGTCATGGCTCTGTGCCCCGTGCCTGGGATCAACCTGGCACCTACTTAGTTGCAGGTGCTCGTGGGTCACTGAGAAGTTCCTGATGTCTCTGATTAGCAGGATGTTGCAGAACAAATGATTACATGCCACATGCTGTCAGCTTGCACTCAAAGTCTATAACCAGGAGGTGTGTGTGTGTGTGTGTGTGTGTGTGCGCGCGCGTGTGTGAGAGAGAGAGAAAGAAAAGCAGGGAGCAATAACGAGTCATTTTGTCTGTGTCCTCCAACTGGAAGGTAGTAGACGAGATGTCGTCTGTCTTGCCCACTGCTGCGTCTGCTGTTCTTAGAACTTGGCACATAGTAGGTGCTCAGGATTTATCTGCCACACAGCTGTGTGACAGGATTGTGCCCCGTTGGCCAGGGCAGGAGGGGAACAAAGATGGGGATGACTTACGTGTGGCCTGAAACACCCTCACTTTGTCCATCTCAGACCTGGCCACGTGGAGCACCAGTGTATGGTTTGTGAAGAAGTCCTTGGGGGTCTTCGTGCTCAGGGTCATCAGCGACATGTCCTGCAGGTCTGGGATGAGAAGGGCATTGCCTGAGTCACAGGGCCCTGAGACCGCTGCTGGTTTCCCATAGCCACCTCACCTCCTGGTGGAGCCTCACACCCCACCGCTCCCCTGAGACCTCCCTTTACCATGTTGCCTGGTTTTCTTTTCTTTATGCTATTTTGAGTATTTAAATGATGGTTTTCATTTTGGAATGAGAGCTCATTAAGGTTTTGGTCTCCTCCCACTAGGATGAGCTGGGGATGTAACCTCAGCAAAGCGGGGACCACATTTATTAATATTTTGCTCCTTGCAACGTTCCCTGAATCTTGAACCTAGAAAGCCGAGAACTCCCTAGAACAATGACCAGCAGGCGGCAGGCGCTCGGCTGAGATTTGTGCAATGAACGAGTGAAAGGTTTCTGTGCTGGTCCTGAGCAAGAAGTGGGGTTTGTGAACCAACTTGAACAATAGCCAAGAAGGGGTAGAGGGTGGGGAGAGTGAAGAGATGGTTCCCAAGGGACTGACTGATAGCCAAGGGCTTAAAGGCTTTGCGGTCAATTTGGTTTGAATCTGGGATCTGGGTGGGCTTAGGAAACGGATTTCAGCTTTCTCTGCCTCTGTTTCCTCATCACTAAGACAGGGGCAAGAGTTGTACCCACCGTAGAATGGTTGTGAAGATAAAGTCAGGTGATACACAGTGCTTATACCAGCTCTTGGCACCCCGGGAGTGCCCACAAAGGACAGCTGTTGTGATTATTACCGCATGTCAGGCACTGTACAGAGGCTGTCCCCTGGCATCGGGCCAGGCCAACTACATGCAACTTGAAAATACATCCATTTCTATGTTATTCTAAGAGCTCCCCAGGAAGGCCTGCCAGCCAGAGCCCCTTAGCACCTTCCTCCAGCGCAGGTGGATAATGTTTCCTCACTTCAACCCCGGAGCCACCCCCTTAGCAGCCCAGAGGTTTGCCTGCAGAGATCCTGCATTCCCCACCATCCTCATGCCTCTAAACCTGCTCCGGTGTTGGGACGTCCGGGGTTCAAACCCCGAGTCTGCTACGTGTCAGTGCTGTGACCTTGGGCAAATTGCTTAAGTTCCCCGTGCCTTGGTTTTCCTACCTATAAAGGTTTGTGTTGGAAGATCAGATGAGTTAATCATTCCAAAGTGGTCAGAGTCGTGCCCGGCCTATGGCAGAGGTCTCAGGGCCTGCTCTGATATGAGTTTGGGAATGAAAAGCTTTCATTTCGAAGGATTTCAGGCTCCAGGTTTGACCTAAGAGCGTTTAGGTTGGGCAGCAGGGTGAGGCATGGAAACCAGGGCCTGTAGGAGGCATCAGGAGACAGCACTGGCCTCAGCTCTTCCCTGACCGCTGCGTGAGCTTGGGGAGGTCACTTGACCCCCGAGGGCCTTTGCCCATTGCTTCACCTATAAAACAGATTTGCCAACAAGAAGATGCTTTCAATAACCCTTATTTCAGAGGGCCGTCACCAGGTTCAGGCTATGTGGGCAAAAGGGCTTTATAAAAAGCCCTTCCCGTTAGCTAGCAAATGCTCTTTACCTTCGCTGTCAAGCACTTCATCATCCTCGCAGTCCATGGCAGAAGATTCGAGATTGTCTCTGTCACAGTTCACCAGCAGGATGGCACCCTGTCCACAAGGGCCCCAGGTCCAGGTCCTCTGGACACCAGCAGGGAAGAGTCATGCTCAGAAACTAGCATAGAGCCCTCCAACTCTTGCAAGAGGCATAGCAACTCCCCATCACCTCTTTTTTAAAATTTATTTATTTATTTATTATTTTTTTGAGACGGAGTCTCCCTCTGCTGCCAGGCTGGAGTGCAGTGGCGTGATCTTGGCTCACTGCAACCTCCACCCCCCAGGTTGAAGTGATTCTCCTGCCTCAGCCTCCTGAGTAGCTGGTACTATAGGCGCATGCCACCACACCTGGCTAATTTTTGTATTTTTAGTAGAGATGGGATTTCACCATGTTGGCCAGGATGGCTCAATCTCTTGACCTCATGATCCATCCTCCTCGGCCTCCCAAAGTGCTGGGATTACAGGCATGAGCCACCACGCCCGGCCCCCATCACTTCTTTAACCCAGTGCAGTTTACACATCTTGCTTCCACATCAATTAATTATTTGATCTCAGGAGTGGATTTTTGCCTTTTACTCCAAAAGTCACAACCAAATTCACCCAAAACACAATTCATCCATTTAAAAAAAGGAGCCCAAGACAGTCACATGGATTTTAACAGCTTTTAAGAAATGTTGGCTGGGCGCAGTGGCTCACACCTGTAATCCCAGCACTTTGGGAGGCTGAGGCAGGCAGATCACCTGAGGTCAGGAGTTCAAGACCAGCCTGGCCAACATGGCGAAACGCTGTCTCTACTAAAAATACAAAAATTAGCTGGGCGTGGAGGCATGCACCTGTAATTGCAGCTACTCAGGAGGCTGAGGTAGGAGAATCACTTGAACCTGGGAGGCGGAGGTTGCGGTGAACCGCCCCTGCACTCCAGCCTGGGAGACAGAGCATGACTCCATCTCAATAAATAAATAAATAAATACATAAATACATAAATAAATAAATAAAATGTTGAGCTTGACAAACCAAATGCAGCTAAATATGTATGTCAATATTCTAATCTAAATAGTTACTATTATGTGAACTCTTAATTACTCATTCAGCAAAGTGTGGTACTATTCTTAGCAGCCAGTTAATATCTGCCTAGAGATTAAAGCACATTAAGCAGCCCCACCCTGTAGGGATCTAATAGTGATGGCGCCTCCCTTCGCGGGAGAGCGTTTGCCCCTGGGAAATGACTGCATTTCGGGAGGGATACAGGGACAGATTCTACTCCTAGAGTTGTAATTTGTCTTCCCACTTTTGCTGACCCCACAAAGGATCTTCATCTTTTTACAGGGCACAGCCCCCAGTGCACACCAGCATAAAATGGTGCAGGCAGCTCTGGGGTTTCAGGTTTACCTGCAGACTCTGGTTTAAGACAGCGTTCACCTGCCCTTTCTGCACATCCCATCATCCTGTCTTTCCACAACACACCCTCCCTCTCCCCACCTGGCTCCTTCCCGCCTCTCCCCCTGCCATTTCTTCCTTTCTCTGTTATTCCCCCATGTAGACAGCTCTGCAGAAATCTCTCCCATATCAGCTGTAGAGCATGGAGTAGGGAGTTTTTGAGCCAGAGTCGAGACCTGCCCACGAATTTCCTCTCTGCTGTGTATTAACTGGGTGACTCAGTAGGGTTTCCAGTTTGTAGGATAACACATCTGAACCCACAATTGGTGAAATTCTGATTTTGTAAAATAGATGGGAAATACATAAGCCAAAATATTAATGGTGATGCTAATTTTCTTTCTTTTTTTAACAGTTAACACGGAATACGTGGGACAGGCCAGCATTTGCCCCATCACCACAAGGGGGCGCCCGGGGAGAATCCAGTAGAAGTAGGAAAGGAGCGTTTGGGTGAGTGGTACCTGATCTTTCACAGCTCTGGTTGGCTTCACTTTGCCGGTGCGGGTGATGTCTGCGCACAAGGAGATTTCTGAAATCCCATCAAGTAAGAGGAGAGGTTGGTGAGGGTCCGGGGTTGGGGCACCCAGCCTGGCCCTGAATGGGCAGGTCGTTTCCCCAGGGGACTGTGTGCACCCATAGTGTGAGCCCCTCTTCCCGTCCTTCAGAGGAGACACAGGTTCAAGACATCCCTCCTCCACGGCCCCCAGGAAGTCTGGCTACAGTTCGGACAGCAGAGCTGGGGCCTCTGACCACACCTGTTCCCCTTCAGCGGGGCCACAACTGTGATGTCCACCAGACCCTGCACGTCTGGCCACCCCCAGGGATTTTGGAAGGAATTCCCAACCACCACAATGAGAGGTTCGATGTGAAGCCTCTGCAGGCACACCCTGCCAGCCTCTCGAAAGACTCTGGCCCCAGCCCTCAGTGACCTTGGGGTGGGGGACCCAGCGGTGACACCAGCCCCACGGGCTCTTCATGACATGTGTTGTGACTGTATCTGGGGACAAATTGCAACCCTGAACATGCCCCCACTCTGTCCAAATGGCTTGGCTGAGAAAGCAAACATTTGTTTGTAAATCCTTCCTCCCTCATCCGAATATATGACTGCAAGGTCATTCCAATAAAATAGATCCGTGTGCCCCACAGCATGATATGGTGACCCTTGTCCCACATGAGACTGACCCAGATGACCTTCTAAACATATTCATAGCCACGTCTTAGTTAGGGCCGGGGAAGCATTGTCCTTTCGTGGCCTGGACTTCCTGACTCCTTCACTAACCAATTGCATGACCTTGGACAAGTCTGTTTAGCTCTTGTGCCTCAGTTTCCTCACCTGTAAAATGGGATGATAATAATAATACCAATTTCACTGGATTGTTGTAAGGATTAAATGTAAAGTCTTAGCACAGTGCCTGGCAATTGAGTAAGTGCTGTAGTATTATTACTTAAATATGCATTAATGAATGAAATGCATTAATGAAATGAAACCTGAAGATTCTATATGCTACATATTATATATATATGTGTGTGTATATATATATTTTTTAGTTTTTGAGACTGGGTCTCACTCTGTCACCCAGGCTGGAGTGCAGTGGCACAATCATGTAGTCTTGACCTTCTGGGCTCGAGCAATCCTCCCACATCAGCCTCTTGAGTAGCTGGGACTACAGGCACATGCCACCATGCTCAGCTGTTTTTTTTTATTTTTTGTAGAGACAGGATCTCACTATGTTGCCCAGGCTGGTCTCAAACTCCTGGGCTCAAGCGATCCTCCTGCCTCCGCCTTCCAAAGCGCTGGGATTGCAGGTGTGAGCCACCATGTCTGGCTGCTACTTATATGTTTAATACACATAATGATACTAATCATGATATTATTGTTCAAAATGAGGTCAAGTTTAAGAATGGATTTTATTTAAAGAAGAACATTACATAAATATGAGTATAGGTGGATCATTGATATGGCAGAAATGGTGAAGATGAGATATAAATAATGGAATTTGAGGAACACTATCTATATTCTTGTATAAGACAGTGTCATTATCTACTTTTTGTTATAGATATTTGAGGTATCAAAAAGGAATAGAGGGCCTGGCGCAGTGGTTCATGCCAGTAATCCGAGCACTTTGGGAGCCTGAGGCAGGCAGATCACCTGAGGTCAGAAGTTCGAGACCAGCCTGGCCAACATGGTGAAACTCCATCTCTACTAAAAATACAAAAATTAGCCAGGCGTGGTGGCAAGCGCCTGTAGTCCCAGCTACTAGGGACGCTGAAGCAGGAGGATCGCTTGAACCTGGGAGACGCAGGTTGCAGTGAGCCGAGATCATGCCATTGCACTCCAGCCTGGGTGACAGGGTGAGACTCCATCTCAAAAAAAAAAAAATTAATGGAGATGCATATATTGAAAATCCAAGTTCCTACTTCCTAACTTGAGAAGCAAAATGTTAAGATATAATTAAAATTCCCCGCACCACCACTGCCACATTGTATTTCTTTGTGGTTCACTGACTAAGGATGGAATATTTCGAACTCCCAGATGTCTGACTGGCTAGAAACCATGCTTTTTCTCTACTCAGTCTAAAGTAAGCTCCAGGTGTAGTTTCTCCTACAGAGACATCCTGCAGGGATTAGGAGGTGGGCAGGGGATGAGACGGCACTCTAGGATCCTGGTTGTCACTTACCCACCCCGGTGAGGTAGAGTAGAGCTTTGACTGGTGGAGTCTTGGGTCCGTAGTATGAAATCTGAACCTATGGGAGAGCAGATCACTAATGACTTCTCTTAGTCATTCAACAAACACCCACTGGACCCCCTCCTATGTGCCGGCTCAGGGTAGGGCACTGGGGAGACAAAGTTGGGCAAGAACTGGTCCTAGCCTGTAAGGAGTGGCCCCATCCGATGGGAATGGAGGGAAAGCAAAAAGCTTGAATGACTGGTGCTACAGAAGAGCATCCTATGGGGGCCCAGCAATGGAGACACTCTGCCTGGCAGGGTCGTTTGTGAAGGAGTGTGCTTTGAGGTAGATCTGGGAAAGGGAGTAGGGGCCCAGCAGCTGGAGATGGGGCAGAAGAGGCGCTAGAGAGAGCTGATCATAAGCCACAGAACTGACTCTGGCAAGCAGAAGGGATCAAGGAAAGACCTGAAGAACCAGACCCTGGAAAGGCCGGGTCCTGGGGGATCTGGGGAGCAGGAGCTTTGAGTGGATGGAGGTTTCTTCAGGAAGAGATGAGAAAACACCAATCCACTGTGCCCAAGGTTCAGAAATCCTAGGAGAACACCTCGGATTGGCCAGAGGAGGGTGGAGCATCTGGGTTGACACATCCAAGCAAAATGGCGGTGGGGAGTTTCCAAAGCAGAGCCAAAGAGCTGCCACCAGAGGAAGAGGAGCTCCTGAGGGGCCACGCGGAGGTGCTCGGACCTGCCCTGTAGACAGTGGAAATCCAGGAAAACGCCACGGCCATCACTGCCTCTGCCTGGACCATGGTGTCAGCCTTCTGTCTGGTCTCCCTGCCTCCCACCCACTCCCTAGATCCTATCTACTTGCTAGGCCACAGCCATTGGGATCCTTCTAAAGTACAAATGCTGTCTTGTTATTCGCTGGCTGAAAACTTTTTGTTGGCTTCCTGTTGTTTGCAGAAAATGAGGTCCCTGATACCAAACTCTTCAAACTGACTCCTTCACCTCCTGTTCCATCTACCTTTCTTGCCATACAGAACTTCCTCAGTTTCCCCAACACGTGTCTCACCCTTTTCTCATCCAGAGAGTGCACACAGCCTGCCCCTCTGTGTCAAACTCTCTCCTCTCTCCTGCTCTTAGGTGGGTAGTTCGTGTCACCCTTCAGCTTGCTACTTCTTTCAGGAAGCCTTCCCCGACCACCCCCTCCCCAGCCTGCCTGGATAGTCAAGCTCTGTGTTCCCCCAGGGAGAAGCCTGCTTGGCTGGTTCTGCTGGGAATAAGTGGCTGTTGGCCCAGAGATCTGTGGGAACCCCAGAGGGTCCTGTTGAGCCCATCTACAGGCAAAGGGGGTGTAGTAGGTGGAATGGTGGTCCCCAAAAAGATACATCCATATCCTAATCCCTGGAACTTGTCGATGTGATTTCATTTGGAAAAAAAGTCTTTGCAGATCTAAGTTGAGGATCTTGAGACCAGATGCGGTGGCTCATGCCTGTAATCCCAGCACTTTGGGAGGCCGAGGTGAGTGGATCACTTGAGGTCAGGAGTTTGAGACCAGCCTGACCAACATGGTGAAATCCCATCTCTACTAAAAAAAATACAAAAATTAGCTGGGCATGGTGGCGAGTGCCTGTACTCCCAGCTACTTGGGAGGCTGAGGTAGGAGAATCGTTTGAACCCAGGAGGCGGAGGTTGCAGTGAGCCGAGATTGCACCACTGCAGTCCAGCCTGGGCGACAGAGCGAGACTCTTGTCTCAAAAAAATAAAAAAGGATCTTGAGATGAGGAGATCACCCTGGACCATCCAGCTGGGCCCCACATCCCATGGCAAGTACCCTTATGAGAGAGGCAGAGGGGGATTCCACAGAGAAGGGGCAGAGGCAGTGCGACCATGGAAGCAGACTGGAGTGAGACAGCCACAGATCAGACTGCTGACAGCCCCCAGAAGCTGGAGGAGGCAAATAATTATTCTCCCCTGGAGCCTCCAGAAAAATCTGGCCCTGCTGGCACCTTGACCTCAGACTTCTGAACCCCAGAACAGTGAGAGGATACACTTCTGTTGTTTTAAGCAAACCATGGAGATTTTCTTTCTTTTGTTTTTTTGAGACGGAGTTTTGCTCTTTCACCCAGGCTGGAGTGAAGTGGCGCAATCTTGGCTCACTGAAACCTCCCCCTCCCGGGTTCAAGAGATTCTCCTGCCTCAGCCTCCTGAGTAGCTGGGATTACAGGCGCTCGCCACTACGCCCAGCTAATTTTTGTATTTTTAATAGAGATGGGGTTTCACCGTGTTGGCCAGGCTGGTCTCAAACTCCTGACCTCAGGTGATCCACCCGCCTCGGCCTCCCAAAGTGCTGGGATTACAGGTGTGAGCCACTGTGCCCGGCCAGGCCACCATGGTGATTTTCTATACCAGACACAGGAAACCGATCCAGGAGCATGGACCAGCATCCCTTGGGGCTACCAGTTTGTGGCCTCCATAGAACTCAGTATCATTTGCAATTGTTTGTTTACCAGTAGATTCTCTGATGCTACCATTCATAGGTTGTAAGCCCCATGAGGGCTGCACCCTCAGCTGTCTTATTCATTTCTGGATTCCCAGTGCCTGGCAGTGTCTAGCAGTGTCTGGCATGTGTTAGGTACTGACTAAAGATTTGCTGAATAGAGTTTAATCTAAACCCTGACCTCCATGAACCCCTGGTAGCCGTATATTATTGTCCCCAAGGACACTATGGCTGGAAGAAGCCATCACGAGCTCTTCCACAGGGCAAGAGGCTCTGCCAGGCTGGTGCTGTGGATCACGGCAGGACAGAGTGTGTGTGGCTGCCCTGCTGAAGCCCATCCACACTGCCACCCCACAGCTATGACACTCACCTTCTGGTCGCCTGTGCTACCACTGGCCACTTTCATCGTCAGGGTCACCTCTACCCCAGGGTCCAGGGGCCATGTGGAGGAACCTGTGGATTTCTTCTTGGCTGGAGGGCCGTGGGCAATATCCACGACCACCCCTGGGGAGGCGTTGATGCTGAAGGACGTGCAGTCCTCAGGGGCAGAGCTGTGGACAAGACACATGGGAAAGCAGAGGATGCAGTGAGGAGGGGCTGGGCCAGCCATGGCTCTCCCAGCATTTCTCCTTGTGATGGTTAATATTAGGTGTCAGCTTGTTTGGACTGAAAGATGCGAAGTATTTTTTCTGGGTGTATCTGTGAGGGTGTTGCCAGAGGAGGTTGGCATTTGAGTCAGTGGACTGGGAGAGGAAGACCCACCCTCAGTATGGGTGGGCACCATCCAGTCGGCTGCCAGCAAGGCTACAACAAAAACAGGTGGAAGAGGTGGGATCACCTTGCTCACTGGGGCTTCTGGCTGCCTTCTTTCTCCAATGCTGGATGCTTCCTTCCGCTCCTCCTGCCCTTAGACACTAGACTCCAGGTTCATTGGCTTTTCGACTCTGGGACTTGCTCCAGTGGCTTGCTAGGGGCTCTTGGGCCTTTGGCCACAGACTGAAGGCTGCATTGTTGGCTTCCTTGGTTTGAGGCTTTCAAATTCAGACTGAGCCACTGCCAGCTTCTCTCTTCCCCAGCTTGCAGATCGTGGGACTTTGCCTTGTGATCGTGTGAGCCAGTTCTCCCTAATAAACTCTCTCTCACACACACACACCCTATTATTCTGTCCCTCTGGAGAACCCTGACTAATATACTCCTTTTCCCAACAGGTGTAAAAACCAAACAGCAGCCAGTGCTTACTCTGACCGTGGGGAGTAAGTACTGTAAGGTTGTCAGGAGGGAATGAGACTGACAGAAAGCGAATCCCCTGACCTGAAGGGTTTGCATTTGAACTAGAAAAATAGCAGAGGGATGGGCACACTAAAGGCTCCCACACACACAGATGTAGGCATGGAGGGGTGTGTCCACCCAGAGGTTTCCACCACGCCACTGTGCACACGCAGGATTGTGCATGTACAAAGCATCATAGACTTCTGCTTCTGGAATTGTGGCAGACCAGGTACTCTGAAGGACCTTCCTCTTAAGAAACAACTGGATCATGGATAAAATATACTTTTTAAAGTATTGCTGAACTCATGAGAAATAAGGTACATCTCCCAGAATTAGCCTTCTTCATGTGCACACAAACATACACACACATGCACATACACAGTGGTCAAAGTGAAGAACATCAAAGACAAAGAGAGGATCTTAAAGGCATTCAGAAAGGAAAGTCGGATTATCTAGGAGGAAATAACAATTCGATTGGAAGCAGACTTGTCAACAACAGTGACATCCAAAAAACAGTTGTGTCATCTCTTTATAGTATTTCGGGAAAATAGTTGACCCTTGAACAGCACAGGTTTGAACTGCGTGAGTCCACTTCTACTCTGATTTCCTTCCTCCTCTGCCACCCCTGAGACAGCAAGACCAACCCCCCTTCCTCCTCAGCCTACTCAACATGAAGACGAGGCTGAAGACCCTTATGATGATCCACTTCCACTTAATGAACAGTAAATATATTTTCTCTTCCTTATGATTTTCTTTTCTTTAGCTTACTTTGTTGTAAGACCACAGTATATAATACATGTAACATACAAAATATCTGTTAATCAACTGTTTATGTTACTGGTAAGCCTCCCATCAACAGTAGTCTATTAGTAGTTAAGTTTTGGAGAGTCAAAGTTATACAAGATTTACTATTTTTTTTTTTTTTTTGAGACAGAGTCTCACTGTCGCCCAGGCTGGAGTGCAGTGGCGTGATCTTGGCTCACTGCAAGCTCTGCCTCCTGGGTTCACGCCATTCTCCTCCCTCAGCCTCCTGTATACACAGATTTTCAACTACATTGGGGGTCAGCAGTCCTATCCACAATGTTATTCAAGGGTCAGTTGTAACTGTTAACCTAGAATCGTGCACTCGTACAAAAAATATCTTAATAAAGATATTTATTAAGATACTAATAAAATATTAATATTAATATTTTATTAATAAATTATATCTTAATATAATTTATTATATTAAGATATCTTAATAAATATCATAATAAAAATATCTTAATATAGATATTTTTGGATGAACAAAAACCGATATTTTAAAATCAGATTTTCACCAAGGCAATTTCTGAAGGCGTAGTTTAGGATGGAGGTATCTGATGTCATAAGAATGGTCTGAAGTGCAACAAAGAATCGTGAACAAATAAAATGGTAAATATTTTGGTAAATCTAAACCAACATTGTATACAAAAAAGTCATAAAAACTGTGGGATAAAAAAGGCAGAATATAATTTGGCAGGAGGATGAGAGAGTTGAAGTATTTTGAGGTCCTTGATTAAAATGGGAATTAAGATATTGTTTAACTCTAGATTTTTTAGAGTTAAACTTATTTTTTTTTTTTAGAGACAGGGTCTCCCTTTGTCACCCAGGGTAGAGGACAGTGACGTGATCACAATTCACTGCAGCCTTGACCTCCTATGCTCAAGTGATCCTCATGTCTCAGCCTCCCAAGTAGCAGGGACTACAGGTGCATGCCACCACACCCAGCTAATTTTTAAAATTTTTTGTAGAGACAGAGTCTCGCTATGTTACCCAGGCTGGTCTCAAACTCCTGGCCTCAAGCAATCCTTCTGCCTTGGTCTTCCAAAGTGTTGGGATTACAGGCATGAGCCACTGTGCCTGGCCTAAACTTTTATGCGCCTGGCCTATACTTTTAAAGGTCTTTGGCCGAGCACGGTGGCTCATGCCTATAATCCCAGCGCTTTGGGAGGCAAAGGCAGGAGGATTGTTTGCACCCAGGAGTTTGAGACCAGCCTGGGCAACATAGGAAGATCCTGTCTGTACAAAAAATAAAACAATTAGCTGGGTATGGTGGCTTGTGCCTGTAGTCATGGATACTCAAAATGCTGAGGAAAGAGGATCACTTGAGTCCAGGAGGTCAAGGATGCAGTGAGCCATGATTCTGCACTCCACAACATCTGCACTCCATCCTGGGCAACAGAGTGAGAACCTGTCTTTAAGAAACAAAATAAATAAAGATATTCACCAAAATAATAGAAATAGCATTTATAAATTTCTACACATGGAAAAAATGCAATAATAAGAAAATGAATAGGAGAACTGCCTTCCAAAAAAGCAAGGAAAGAGAAAAGGCCACATAGGGAGAAATTGGACAAATAAAAATAAAAGATTGGTGAGAACAAATCCAAATATGTAAATAATTGCTTGTAATCCCAGAACTTTGGGAGGCTGAGGTGAGAGGATCACTTGAGGTTAGGAGTTTGAGACCGGCCTGGCCAACGTGGCAAAAGCCAGTCTCTACTAAAAAAAAATACAAAAATTAGCTGGGCATGGTTGTACGTGCCTGTAATCTCAGCCACTTGGGAGGCTGAGGCAGGAGAATTGCTTGAACCCGAGAGGCAGAGGTTGCAGTAACCTGAGATCACGCCACTGTACTCCAGCCTGGGTGACAAAGCGAGACTCCATCTCAAAAAAAAAAAAAGTAAATAATCAAAATAAATATAACAGGATTAATATTGCCAGTTAAAAGAGAGTTTTCATTAAATAAACAAAATCCAGTAATATACTGATTATAAGAAACACATCTAAAATATAACGATCCAGAAAAGTTGAAAAATTTTTAAAAAGGATAAAAGATACATTAAGCAAATGCTAACTCAAAGAGAGCTGGGATGGATATATTAATATCAAAAGAATGAATTATTAGACAAAACACATTGGTATCAATAGAGAGGATTACAACCTAATGATATACGGTTTAACTTACCTAGAAGATATTCTAAACTTGTATGCATCTAATAAGAGCCTCAACATATATAAAGCAAGGCTGGGCATGGTGGCTCATACCAACACATTGGGAGGCCAAGGTGGGCAGATCGCCTGAGCCCAGGAGTTTAAGACCAGCCTGAGCAATATGGTAAAACCCCATCTCTACAAAAAATACAAAATAATTAGCCAGGCACTGTGGCATGCACGTGTAGTCCTAGCTACTCAGGAGGCAGAGGTGGGAAGATCACTTGAGCCTGGGAGGCAGAGGTTGCAGTGAGCCAATATTGCACCACTGTACCCCAGCCTGGGTGACAGAGTGAGAGGGTGAGACTGTGTCTCAAAAAAAAAAAAAAAAGCATATAAGGCAAACATTAATAGAAATACATTCATAGGGAAAAGAAGTTGACAAAACCACCATCAGAGTTGAAGATTTCAACTCTTCTTTCTCAATCAACAATAGATTAAGCAGATAAAAATTAAGTAATGATACAGATTTTGCTAACATAATTAACAAAGTTGATTTAGTCGATATATATAGAATTGTGTATCCCACAAGTAGCAAATATACATTTTCCCAAGCAAAGCACACACGGGTCATGGGTCATTTAAAAAAGTGACTATGTAATTGGCCATAAAGCAAGTCAATGACAGTGTGACAAACATTAAAGCATAGGTAATATATGGGTAGCAGAGTCTCTGATCATAATGTAACTAAGTTAGAAGTCACTAGTATAAAGTATGTTTTTAAAAGCACCATACATTTGGAAATTTAAAACCAGACATCTCAATTACTTACAAGTCAAAGGACAATTAATAATGGAAATTAAGTAATAATACTTAGGACTGAGCAATAACTAAAATACTATTTTCAAAACTTTTGGGGAGATGTAAAAGTGATACTTTATGCCTTAAATGTTTATATTTTTAAAAAGAAAGTAAAAGCTGAAAATTAATAGAAAAAGAAAATGTAATGTAAAATCCCAAAATAAAATAAAGTTGGAAGAAATCTGTGAAATAATAAAACAAATCAATAAAGCCAAAAGTTGGTTCTTAGAATAGACCAATAAAACTGACAAATCTCTGGCAACATTGATCAAGAGAAAAAATATTAGGAAAGCAAAAGAAATATTACTGAAGATAAAGCAGATTTTTTTTTTTCTGTAGATAGTTGATAAAAGGTTAACAAAAGACCCACAGAGAACGTCCTGTTTGACAGGGAAAATGTGAAAACCTTCCCTTTAAAGTCAGAAACATGGGGCTGGGTGCAGTGGCTCATGCCTGTAATCCTAGAACTTTGGGAAGCTGAGGTGGGCAGATCCCATGAGGTCGGGAGTTGGAGACCAGCCTGGCCAACGTGGCAAAACCCTGTCTCTACTAAAAATACAAAAATTAACTGGGTAGTGCACGTCTGTAATCTCAGCTACTGGGGAGGCTGAGGCATGAGAATCGTTTGAACCTGGGAGGCAGAGGTTGCAGTGAGTCAAGATTGTGCCATTGCACTCCAGCCTGGGTAACAGAGTGAGACTCTGTTTAAAAAAAAAAAAATCAGGAACGTGGTAGGATCAAAAAGTCACATCTTTTTAACATTGTGTGGATGATTCTAAGCACTGCAGCAAGAGAAAAAAAGACATAAAGTAAAAGATATAAAGAGTGAAAAGTAAGAAAAAAACTGCCAATATTGACAGAAAATACAGTTGTCTGCAAACTCCAAAAGAGTGAATTAAACTTTTTTAAAAATTAAAAATAAATAAAAAGACAAAAGTTTAATAAGGTGACTAATAAAGTAAAGAGGAAAAAATAAATTACATTTCTATACATCAGCAATAAATAGGAAACAAATATTTTTCTTTTTTTCTAGCAAACCATTTCTTTAAGAAGAAAACAATTTTTAAAAAACTGATGTAATTTACAAAAGGAAAAAATACTGTAAAGTACCTAGGATAAATCTAGCAAAATGTGTAAGATTTTTATGAAGAAAATATTCAAACTTTATTGAAAGCCATTAGAGAAGATCCAAATAAATAGAAATACTATGTATATGGTTAGGAAGCCTTGTTGCCGTAAAGGTATGAATTCTCTCCAATGGATTTATATATTCAATGGAATTTTAGGGTTTCTTATGGAACTTGACAAGTTGATTTTTAAATCTACACGAGAAATCCAGGAACTAAGTTGGTCAAGGTACTTGTAAAGGAAAGTAGTAAAAGGTGAGGCACTTTCTCAACCAGGTATAAGACTTCCTATAAAGCCATGGAACTTAAGATGGGGTTTTAATGGCTCAGGCCAAGACAAAGGAAGGATAAAACTTAAAGGACATACAACTTGATCTATGACAGAAATAGGCTTGCAGATGGCTGGAGGTAGTAGAGACTATATCATAAATGTTGCTGGAGCAATTGCTCATTCATATAGAAAATACTAAATTGGAAAAATAATTAAATTGATCCCAGCCTCACACCATACACAAAAATCAGCTGGAGGGAGATAAAGACTTAAATGTGAAAGTCAGAACTTTGAATCTCTAGAAGAGGATACAGGATAACATATTTATGCTTTCTCTGAAACAAGACTCAAAACCAGTAAACCTGAAGGAAAAGATCAAAAAATTCAACTAGATGTAAATAAATAGGCCAGGTGCAGTGGCTCACACCTTTAATCCCAGTGCTTTGGGAGGCCAAGGTGGGAAGATCACTTGAGCCAGGAGTTCAAGGCCAGCCAGGGCAACATAGTGAGACCCTGTTTCTATTTTTTAAAAAATTAACATCAATTTAAAAATTAAAAAAGAAAATAAATTCTGTTAATCAAAAGACAATATAAAGTAAAAAGACAAGCACAATGTAAGGAGAATATATTCACAACATAAAACCAACAAAGGCTTAGCATGCAGACTATTTAAAGAACTTAGGCAAATCAACATGAAAACATGAAGAGGCACTCCACCTTACTAACAAGTAAGAGAATGAAAAGGTTAACACCATAAAGAAATAGGGTTTTATACCCACTCAATTGGTGAAAAATAACACTATAAATGACACGATTCAACAGAAACTCTAACACACTGCTTACTGGAGTGTGAAATTAACCATTTTGCAAAAAAAAAAAAACAAAAAAAACCCAACTTGGTGTTATTAGCCAGCCCCAAACCCAGCAATTTGACTTCTAGGCAGATACTCTGGAGAATCTCTTTCATGTGTTCACTAGGAGACATGTTCAAGAAAGTTCAGAGCAGCCCTTTCTGTAATGTGAACAATGAAACATGGTCTAAATACCCACAAAAGAATAGCTAATAAATTATAGTGGATTCACAGTGGACAATCCCTAGAGAGGCAGAACTCCGTCCACATAAGGTCACAGAAACACTTAGGATTACATGTGTTTTTTGTTTGTTTGTGTTTTTTTTGTTGTTGTTGTTGTTTGTTTGCTTGTTTTTTGAGGTGAGATCTCTGTTGCCCAGGCTGGAGTGTAGTGGTGTGATCTCAGCTCACTGCAACCTCTGCCTCCTGGGCTTAAGCTAGCCTCTCATCTCAGCCTCCCAAGTAGCCAGGACTACAGGTGTGCACCATCACACCCAGCTGATTTTTGTATTTTTGTAGAGATGGGGTTTTGCCATGTCATGCAGGCTAGTCTTGAACCCCTAGACTTAAGTGATCTGCTGCCTTGGCCTCCCAAAGTGCTGGGATTACAGGCATGAATCACAGTACCTGGCTTAGGATTACATTTTCTATTTTTATCTTTGTATTGAATATTTGTCTCTATATTAAGAGTTATATGTATTCATTATAAAGAATTAGGAAACTACAGGAAAAGTATATGGTGGACAGACTTCTAAGATGGTCCCCAGTAATTCCCGTCTCTGCTGTTCATGCCCTTGTGTAATTCTCTCCCCTTGAGTATGGGCTGGACCTACTGACTTCCTTCTAACCAAGGAAGTAAAAGTGCTGGAATATCACTTCTGTCATAAGGTTACAATAGAATTCTCTCTCTGTCTCTCTCTCTGCCTCTCTCTCTGCCTGTCTCTTGCCTTGCTCACCTTGATGAAGCAAGCTGCCATTTTGTGAGCTATGGAGAGGCCAATGTGGCAGGAAACTGAGGGAGGCTTCCAGCCAACAGCCAGGGAGGAACTGAGGTTCCAACACCCTGCAAGGCCCTGAATCCTACCAACAGCCATATGAGTGGGCTTGGAAGTGTCACCTTCCCTGGTGGAGCCTTAGCATGACTACGGCTCTACCAATACCTTGATTATGAGAAACCTTGAAGTAGAGAACCCAGCTAAACCATACTGGATTGCTAACCTATAGAAATTATGATACAATAAATGTTATCATTTTGAGCCACTAAGTTTTGGGACAATTTGTTACACAGTATAGATAGCTAATACAGTATACCAGAAGAAAGAAGAAGTGGGAGGGGGAGAAGGGGAGAAAGAGAGAAAAAGAGAAAGAAGAAGGAAAGAAAGAAGGAAGGGAGGGAAGAAGACATAAATTGCCTAGAAGAAAATGAATCTTACCACTTACAGACTGTGAAAGGAAAATACATCTTGGGACCCCAAACTCACTAAGCCAAAGGGAAGAGTCCTGGGAACTGGGTCCCTCAAACCTGCCTCTCATGGTTCATAAATAAAATAACTATAAAGATAAAAAGCTACATACTTCCCTCACAATTGGCCCACAAGGAAATTCCCTGTGGGCCCCAAAGATCTTTACCCTAAAACAGTTCTGTTGAATTTCTCCCTAGCAATTGTACATTTATAGCTTATCTTTTTTTTTGGGGGGGGATGGAGTCTCACTCTGTCACCCAGGCTAGAGTGCAGTGGTGCAATCTCAGCTCACCGCAGCCTCCGCCTCCCAGGTTCAAGCAATTCTCCTGTCTCAGCCTCCCAAGTAGCTGGGACTACAGGTGCATGCCACCACTCCCGGCTAATTTTTTGTATTTTTAGTAGAGATAGGGTTTCACCATATTGGTCAGGCTGGTCTCAAACTCCTGACCTCAGGTGATCCACCCGCCTTGGCCTCCCAAAGTGTTGGGATTACAGGCATGAGCCACCACGCCCAGCTGATAGCTTATCTTTACAGGTACAGGGCAAAGGACAGAGCTTATCTTTACAGGTACAGGACAAAGGACAGAACTCAAAGTCATCCCTCTGCTCCCCTGAGACAAATGCATATGTAATTGCTTCCTCTCCGCTATATTTATGTAATCTCATGTAAAAATGCAGATTCACTGAGCTAGATGAATGCATAAGTGACTACTCCTCTACCTTGCCTCACACGAAAATGGTGTTTTCAGTAAAAGGCTGATCAAAGACTCAAAAGGATGCAACTGTTTGTCTCTTATCCACCCACACATTAAAAAAATTTCTTCATCTTCTTCCATTATCCGCCCTTTCTCCTTTAAATATCCAAGGCCTCAAAATCATCTTCAGAGAAGGGCATGGACCTGCCTCCCAGACACGGGTCCTTAACTTTGGCAAATAAACCTTCTAAAATGATTGACACTCATCTTGGTCATTTTCATTGATTTACAAGACAATCACTAACATTCTGATGTTGATCCTTCAGGAGATGGAATTTGACATAGCCTTTGAAGAACCTAAGAGGTCTGAAGTAGACAGAAGAGGAGATTTCATTCCATCTCCTGCCCACCCTGGCTTGGGCTCTCATTCTACCCTCACGAAGTCAATTTCACATTCTTAAATGACAGCAATTACTTACAGGCAATTTACTCTGCTCCAGGCACTGTTCACATTCTTTCCACACGTTAATTAATTCGGTTCTCACCACTAGCCTGTAAGGCGGGTACTGTTCATTTTACAGATGAGTAAACTGAGGCACAGAGAGGTGAAGTCACTTTCCCAAACTCAAGAGTTAGGTATATTGGATCTCTGCTTCATAAAGAGAGTGAGGGTGGGCCCTGGCCTGGCCCCCAGTGGTCCCCCGTGCTGCTCTCCCTGTGCTATGGTCAGACTGAATGGCCCACAGTTCCCTGCACCTGCCCCCCACTTTCCCATCTCCCGGGCTTTGCTTCTCACCTGCCCCTCATCTGGAGGGCTCTCCCTTCCCACATCCTTCTTGCAGAATCCAATCCAGCCCCAAAGGCCCATCTCAGTGGGTTCTCTGCCATCGAATCCTCCCTTTATCACTCCAACCAAAAGGGATTTCTTCCTCAAAATGAGATCAGCCCTCTGTGGTAGGCAGAACAATGGTCTCCCAAAGATGACCACACCCTAGTCCCCCAAACCTGTGAAGATGTTACCTTACACAGAAAAGGAAACTTGCAAATGTGATTAAGTTAACGATCTTGAGATGGGGAGATTATCCTAGATTAGCCAGATGGGCCCAATGTAACCACAAGTGTCAGAGGCATTTGAACCAGAGCAACTCCATCTTGAATAGGGGTTGCATAAAATAAGGCTGAGATCTGCTGGGCTGCATTCCCAGTAAGTTAGGCATTCTAAGTCACAGGATGAGATAGGAGGTCAGCACAAGACACAGGTCATAAAGACCTTGCTGATAAAACAGGTGACAGTAAAGAAGCTGGCCAAACCCCACCAAAACCAAGACGATGACGAGAGTGACTTCTGGTCGTCCTCACTGCTCGTTATACACTAATTATAATACATTAGCATGCTAAAAGACACTCCCACCAGCGTCATGACAGTTTACGGATACTATGGCAACGCTTGGAAGTTACCCTATATGGTCTAAAAAGTGGAGGAACCCTCAGTTCAGGGAATTGCCCACCCTTTACCCTGAAAACTCATGAATAATCCACCCCTTGTTTAGCATATAATCAAGAAATAACCATAAAAATGGGCAACCAGCAGCCTTTGGGACTGCTCTGTCTATGGAGTAGCCATTCTTTTATTCCTTTGCGTTCTTAATAAACTTGCTTTCACTTTATGGATTCACCTTGAATTCTTTCTCAGGCAAAATTCAAGAACCCTCTTTTGGGGTCTGGATTGGGACCACTTTCCAGTAATACAAAGGTCTTTATAAGAGGGAGGCAGGAGGGTCTGAGTCAGGGAAACTGTGGTGATGGCAGCAGAGATCAGAGTGATGCTGTTGCTGGAAGGGGCCACAAGCCAAGGAATGCGGGCACCTCTAGAAGCTGCAAGGAATGGGTTTGCCCCTGGAGCTTCCAGAAGGAATACAGCCTTGCCGACACCTTGATTTTAGCCAAGTAAGATTCATATTTTGGACTTCTGATCTTGCAAACTGGTAAGTAATAAGTTTGTGCTGTTTGAAGTCACTAAGTTTGTAGTGATTTGTTACAGCAGCAATGTGTTATATTAAGTTTACCCCACAGCTGCCTCCTTAGGTATTTTAAGTTCGGCTGAAAGGTTTTTTCGTACATAGTAAACTGTAACCTAACTGGAGGTGTAAACAGCCCGTGACCTACTTTTATACCAAGCACTGTTTTGGCTGATCTCAGGCAGCCAACTGTTCAAACCATGTTCAAATGAGGCCGATGCCGAGCTGTAGTCAATCCAGCTGTTTCTGAGCCTCGCTTCCGTGCTCTGTGGGTCACTTTCGTTTTTCTGTCCGTAAATATTGTTCAACCATGTGGCAGCTCCTGAGTCTTTCTGAACCTATTCTGGTTTGGGTAAAAGGGGCTGCCTGATTCACTAATGGTTCTTTGCTCCACTAAGCTATTAAATTTAATTTGTCTTGTGTTTCTTTTAACAAATAGGAAACTAATACACCCTCTGTCTTTGAATGTCTCTCTCTCTCTTTTTTTAAGCACAGTGCACTGCAACTCAACCTCCCAGGCTGAAGTGACCCTTCCACCTCAGCCTCCTGAGTAGCTGGGACCACAGGTACATGCCATCACCCCTGGCTAATTTTAAAATAATTATTGTTTGTAGAGATGGAGTCTCCTTATCTCCAGACTGGTCTTGAACTCCTGGGCTCAAGGGATCCTCCCATCTTGGCCTTCCAAAGTGCTGGGATTACAGACATGAGCCACCACGCCATGCCTCTGTCTCTCTCTTGATCCTAGGTAAAACCCTGTACTCTTGAGTGATATGATGGCCGAGGTCTGGAAAAGTGGCAGACAATCAAAAAAACACTTGAACCAAAATCAGCATCTTCCTAAGAAAAAGGAAGAAGCAAGGGGCATGTGGTAGTAGATTTTTTTAAAAGTTAGTATACTGGCCAGGCACGATGGCTCCCGCCTGTAATCCCAGCATTTTGGGAGGCTGAGGTGGGAGGACTGCTTTCTACCAGCCTGGGCAAAATAGCTAGACCCTGTCTCCACAAAAAGGAAAAAAAAAGGCTGGGCGCAGTGGCTCCCGCCTGTAATCCCAGCACTTTGGGAGGCCGAGGCGGGTGGATCACAAGGTCAGGAGATCGAGACCATCCTGGCTAACATGGTGAAACCCCATCTCTATTAAAAATACAAAAAAAAATTAGCCGGGAGTTGTGGCGGGTGCCTGTAGTCCCAGCTACTCGGGAGGCTGAGGCAAGAGAATGGCATGAACCCGGGAGGCGGAGTTTGCAGTGAGCCAAGATCGCGCCACTGCACTCCAGCCTGGGTGATAGAGCGAGACTCCATCTCAAAAAAAAAAAAAGAAAAAAAATCAGCATGCCAATTTTCGCCTTGTGTGCATATGAACGGCAAAAGGTGAAAATATAAAAATGTTTATTCAGAGCTCAAAGTCACAGGAAGTCTGATCAAGACATTAAGACACACTCAGCAGTCAGGTTATTCTTCCCGCCTCCGTTTGGGAGTTTGACATTTAGAATTTCTGTCATCCTCAGTGACATTTCGGTCTTGGCACCTTCTCCCGTCCTGACACTGTTGCCTGAGTTGGTGTTCACATGCCTGCAGCAGATGACAAGCTAGTCACCTTTCTCTGTGTGGCCATTAACCTTTGTTTTCACAATCATCCTATGAGTGAGCCATTGTTATTCTTTTACAGATGAGAAAACAGGTTCAGAGAGGCAAAGTGACGTTTCTGGGTGCTGGCTGATAATGGCAGGTCTGGGTCCTCTTGCAGCCCAGCCTGGTGCCATTCCTGCCACATCACGACTACCTCCTTCTCTGCATTGGTGCCACTCTGCTGTGCCCAGCATCCAGCACTTCCTAAAGACCAATGCTTCCCAAAGTGTGGTCTTCGGAACAGCAGCATCTGCCTCACTGGGGAATTTGTTAAAAATGCAGATTCTGGGGCTCCACTCAGACTTACTGAGTTGGAAACTCTAGGAGTGGGGCCCAGAAGTGTGTGTTTTTTGTTTGTTTTGGTTTTTCTGAGAGGAGGTCTTGCTGGAATGCAGAGGCACAATCATGGCTCACGGCAGACTTGAACTCCTGGGCTCAAGCAATCCTCCGGCCTCAGCCTCCTGAGTAGCTGGGACTACAGGCACACACTACCACATCCAGCTAATTTAAAAAACATTTTTATAGAGATGAGAGTCTCAGTATGTTTCCCAGGCTGGTCTCGAACTCCTGGCCTCAAGTGATCCTCCTGCCTTGGCCTCCCAAAGTGCTGGGATTACAGGCGCAAGCCACAGTGCCCGGCAGCAATCTGTGTTTTAACACGCTCTCCAGATGCTTTTGATACACACTCAAGTGTGAGAACCACTGCCAAAGAAGATGCTAATACGAGTTTGCTGAATTACCCTGATTTTTGAGTGGAATCTGAGGGAACCATGCCATGATGCACAGGACAGAATAAATAAAGCATTATGATGGCCAGGCATGGTGGCTCAAGCCTGTAATCCCAGCACTTTGGGAGGCCGAGACGGGCGGATCACGAGGTCAGGAGTTCGAGACCAGCCTGGCCAACATGGTGAATCCCCGTCTGTACTAAAAATACAAAAAAATTAGCCAGGTGTGGTGGTGGGTGTCTGTAATCCCAGCTACTCAGGAGGCTGAGGCAGGAGAATTGCTTGAACCTGGGAGGTGGAGATTGCAGTGAGCCAAGATCTCACCATTGCACTCCAGCCTAGGCGACAAGAGCGAGACTCCGTCGGCATTATGTCTGTGGCGTGCATTGTTATTGCTATTTTCTTATGCAGAAAAGCCATACACACAGCCAGGCATGGTGGCTCATGCCTGTAACCCTAGCACTTTGGGAAGCTGAGGCAAGTGGATTGCTTGAGTCCATAAGTTTGAGACCAGCCTGGGCAACATGGCTAAACCCCATCTCTACAGGCATCTCCATGACAACTCTGCGACATACGTACTATTGGAGTTCCCCTTCTACAAATGAAGAAACTGAGGCTGGAGAGAATGCATACACTGGTATCTGTTGAGAGCTACTGTGAGCCTGGCGTTCTACACACACTGTCTCATCGGCTGAACATTCACGGCAGCACTATGAGGTCTTGCTACTGTGAGGCAGGCATCCCTCTTCCCATTTTACAGATGAGCACACTGAGGCTCTGCCCCAGTCATGCAGTCCCACAGCTTCTACTGAATGCCCGGCTGAAATGCAGCTACAGATAGAAGCTGGGCGCGGGGCAGGGGAGACGGGTGGGGGGGTTGTTTTTGGGCAGGGGTGTTATTTTATTTATTTATTTATTTTAATTAATTAATTAATTAATTAATTTATTTATTTATTTATTTTGAGACGGAGTCTCACTCTGTCTCCCAGGCTCGAGTGCAGTGGTGCGATCTTGGCTCACTGCAAGCTCCACCTCCCAGGTTCATGCCATTCTCCTGCCTCAGCCTCCCAAGTAGCTGGGACTACAGGCGCCCGCCACCAGGCCTGGCTAATTTTTTTGTATTTTTAGTAGAGACGGGGTTTCACTGTGTTAGCCAGGATGGTCTCGATCTCCTGACCTCGTGATCTGCCCACCTCAGCCTCCCAAAGTGCTGGGATTACAGGCGTGAGCCACCGCGCCTGGCTATTTATTTATTTTTGAGACAGAGTCTTGCTCTGTCACCCAGGCTGGAGTGCAGTGGTGTGATCTCGGCTCACAGCAACCTCCACCTCACAGGTTCAAATGATTCTCCCGCCTCAGCCTCCTTAGTAGCTGAGACTACAGACGTGCACCACCATGCCCAGCTAATTTTTGTATTTTTAGTAGAGACGGGGTTTCGCCATGTTGACCAGGCTGGTCTCAAACTTCTGGCCTCATGTGATCAGCCCACCTTGGCCTCCCAAAGTGTTGGGATTATAGGCGTGAGCCACTGCATCCAGCCAGGAGTGTTATCGACATAAATGGGAAGATGGGGGTGGCAGCCTCCTCATCAGGAGGAGGAAAAGGCAGGGAGCCAGGCTGGTTTTGTTTTTGCCGGGCCATCTGGGTGGAGGCACCCTGTGGATAGGGGCCGAGAGAGGAGGGGTCAGGGCAGAGCTGTGGGTCATCAGGGAGGCAGCCAGGTTCAAGTGACAGGTGTAGCCCTGGGGGCTGTGAGGTCACCGTGGGTGGGGACTGGGGGTTGAGAGAGCAGCCCCTGAATGGGAACCCAGTGTAGGATCCCAGAATTTTCTCCAAAAATGGAAAGGAAGAATTCCTCTTTCCCAGGGCTACAAGGGAAGGTATGAGAAAAGGGTGTGGGTCACAGCAGGCACCGATTTTTAGAAAGTTTTCTTTTACTTGCTCCTCCCCTTCTCTCTCTCCTGTTGAACTCACACTGCAGTCTTTGACCAAAGGAGCCAGTGTTGGGGGTCCTTCCCGAAGGGCCATGGAAGCAAAAAACCATGTCCCAGTGGCCTGGGATGTAGGGGCTCCTGCGCTGTAAGGGATGGTGGTGGCTGATGTCAGGATGGTGGAATGTTTTTGAGTATGTTCTCTTTCTCTCCATATCCCTCTCAATTTTTCTCTCTTTCCCTTTTATCCTCCGCCTGCTCTTGTTGCAAAAAGATTTCATGATAGCTGAGTGCCAAGTACGTCCCACACATTATAGGGGATGCAAAGAGGAATGACACCCTTCCTGCTCTCAACTTTCTTTCATTCACTCAACAAACACTTAAATAGCACCTCCTGTGTGACAGGCATAGTTTCCCTTAAAACACACACTCATTCCTTCATTCGTTCATTCAATCAATCAATCAATCACCACACACTCACTCACCCCTCACTGTGTACCAGACCTTGTGCTGAGGACAAAGGTGGATGGGACAAGGTGGAAAATCTGGGGTTCCCTTGTGGACTCCCCCCAGTCCTCCTTGACAAGGACGTCATTCTACATCTGCTAAACTCAAGCCATGGCTGTCCCTGCCTGTCCCCTCAGCTCAGGTGGTGGCTTTCCCACCTGCTCCCAGCCTGGTTCCCATGCTGACGGGGGTGGGGAGCAGGATGGCTGGGTTGTCATCACCCCGGGTGGCACTGACCTGGGCCTCGGGGAGATTGCCAGGGTCAGTGTGAATGGAACATACGAATTCCCAACACACCACATACCACAGCAGGCCAGTCTGTCTACACCAGCCAGCCAGGGCACAGCATGTGCTTGTGGTTTTGCACTCAGCCATCACCAGCTGGTTGGAGCAGTTTGGGATCAGATACTCTCCTGCAGACCAGCTGGGGTGGAGTGGTTCAGCTGCCCCGGGGAAACGTCTCCCAGGCCAGGCCAGGAGCAGCAGGCAGCCTCGAAGGGAGTGAGAGAGGCAATGACCTTGGGCTGCTTCTGACAGGCTCTGTGACCTTGGCCTAGCCACTGACCTCTCCTGGGCCTCAGCTTCCTTCTCTGTAAAATGGGAATCACGTCGACCTGCTTCCTGGGTGGTTGCAAGGTTTGGAGGGCCCGGCATGTGGTAACTGCTCAGTATGGGACGGCTACTAATAATAACAATAAATGAAGCAGCAGACAGCTCAGCCCAGGGGGCAGTTCCCGGCCAGGAGATGCCCCAGTGGCTCTGGTGCATTTCTGCTCAGGTGCCTCCATTTATGATACACCTACCTGGCCGAACCAAAACTTAACCAAGGCTCTTGTTTCTCTGCCAAAGCCTGGAGGCTCATTCTCTTGGTTCTGTGTGCTGTTGTTTTCCTTCATTCTCTCAAAGCCTCAGTGATAAGCCAGGCCTTCCAACTGCCTGGGCACTGTGGTCAGAGGATGGGGACAGGAGAGGGACACGCCCTGTGTCTGGTCCACCAAGAAGATGAATAAGGGGCTCAAAAGACAATGGAGGCCGAGGGGCACACAGCAGGTGGACCGAGGGGCTAGGTCCGCCTCAGCCCCCTCTGTCCCATGTGGCTTCCTCAAGAGGGGAAGGGAGAAGGGCACAAACGGGTGGGTCTGGCACCTTTATAGCCACTCTCTCTGCTAGATGGGGAAACTGAGGCTCAGAGAGGTAAGGGCCAGCTGGGAACTGGGCCACTGGGATTCGATTCTAAGATGAGTGTGCTTCCTCTGGCTGTGTTCCAGATGTTCTCAGCTCCTAAACAAGGAACTTTCATAAACATCTGGGGGTTCACACCAGGTGTGTGCATGCCCTCAAGCGTGTGACCCACATGTGTTATCATAAGACCATCCAGAGCTGAATCTTCTTGTAACTTCCAACACCCTCCATACAGCCAGCACTGGGAGCTTGAGCCCCAGACAGTGACATCATTCCTCCAACTCCAGCATCCGCCATCTCCTGATCAACCACCCCCATGAGGGTGGCATTCAGTGTCTGCCACTCTCACACACAGAGGCTCATGCAGTCCTCGCTGCTGTCAAAGGAAAATAAATCTCAGGACCCCAAACTCACTAAGCCAAAGGGAAAGTCAAGCTAGGAACTGGGTCATGCAAATCTGCCTCCCATTTTCTTTCTTTCTTTCCTTCTTTCCTTCTTTCCTTCCTTTCCTTTTTTTTTTTTTTTTTTTTTTTGACAAGGTCTTGCACTGTCGCCCAGGCTGGAGTACCGTGGCATGATCTTGGCTCACTGCAGCCTCCGCCTCCCAGGTTCAAGCAATTCTCGTGCCTCAGCCTCCCGAGTAGCTGGGATTACAGGCATGCACCACCACGCCTGGCTAAGTTTTTGTATTTTTAGTAGAGATGGGGTTTCACCATGTTGGCTAGGCTGGTCTTGAACTCCTAACCTCAAGTGATCTGCCCACTTCAGCCTCCCAAAGTGTTGGGATTACAGGCATGAGCTACCACGCCTGGCCCCATTGTTTCTTTCTTTCTATTTTTTTTGAGGCAGAGTCTCGCTCTGTCGCCTAGGCTGGAGGGCAGTGGTGCCATCTCTGCTCACTGCAACCTCCGCCTCCCAGGTTCAAGCGATTCTCTTGCCTCACCCTCGCGAGTAGCTGGGACTACAGGCGCACGCCACCATGCTCAGCTAATTTTTGTATTTTTAGTAGAGACAGGGTTTCACCATGTTGGCCAGGATGGTCTCCATCCCTTGACCTCATGATCTGCCCGCCTCAGCCTCCTAAAGTGTTGGGATTACAGGCGTGAGCCACCATGCCCAGCCCCATTTTGTTTCTAAATAAGATAGCTACAAAGATTAAAAAAAAAAAAAAAAAAGCTACATATCTCCCTCACAATTTGCCGACAAGGAAATTCCTTGTGAGCCCTAAGATCTTTCCCGTGAACCAGTTCTGTTGAATTTCACCCTGACAATGTAAGTTAATAGCTTATCTTCACAGGCATGGAACAAAGGACAGAAATCAAAGTTATCCCTCTGCTTACCTGCAACAAATGCATATCTGATTTCTTCCCTTGCTCTATGTTTATCATTTGTGACAATATAGATTCCCTGAGCTCAAGGCATAAGTGACTATTCCTCTCCCCACCTCACACGGAAAATGTATTCAGTGAAAGCTGATCAAAGACTCAATGCAACCACTTACCTCTTATCTACCCATCTTTTTTTTCTTTCTTCCTCTTTGCCCCAATACCCACTTTTTTTTTTTTTTTTTTGAGGCGGAGTTTCACTCTTATTGCCCAGGTTGGAGTGCAATGGTGCAATCTCAGCTCACTGCAACCTCCGCCTCCTGGGTTCAAGTGATTCTCTTGCCTCAGCTTCCTGAGTAGCTGGGATTACAAGCGTCTGCCACCACGCCCGGCTAATTTTTGTATTTTTAGTAGAGATGGGGTTTCACCATGTTGTCCAGGCTGGTTTCGAACTCCTGACCTCAGGTGATCCACCCTCCTTGGTCTCCTAAAGTGCTGGGATTACAGGCGTGAGCCACCACATCCGGCCCAATTCCCACTCTTTTCCCTTTAAATATTGAAGTCCCAGACCCATTTAGGAAAAAGCACGGACTACAGATTTTTCCTGTTTCTGTATTCTTTTCCTGGGCACGTCCTTAACCTTGGAAATAAACCTCTGAAAATGATTGACACTCACTTTAGTCATTTTCTTTGATTTGCATTGGAAAGGGGACCCCTCTGCCAGACACTTTGTGTGCATTATATAATTCAATCTTCGCCGTAACCCAGGAAGGGGTGTTAATTTTCCCATTTTACAGATGGGTAAACCGAGGCTCAGAGAGACAAACAGACTTGTCCAGGCTCCCCACTGTCATGCCAACTGGTCTATTCAGAAGGAAACCCGGCTGGGCGCGGTGGCTCAAGCCTGTAATCCCAGCACTTTGGGAGGCCGAGGCGGGTGGATCACGAGGTCAGGAGATCGAGACCATCCTGGCTAACACGGTGAAACACCGTCTCTACTGAAAATACAAAAAAATTAGCCAGGCATGGTGGCAGGCGCCTGTAGTCCCAGCTACTGGGGAGGCTGAGGCAGGAGAATTGCGTGAACCCGGGAGGTGGAGCTTGCGGTGAGCCAAGATCTTGCCACTGCACTCCAGCCTGGGCTGGACAGAGCGAGACTCCGTTTTTAAAAAAAAAAAAAAGAAGAAGGAGACTTTGGGAGGAAGAAGAGAGACCATAGATGGCAGCTTCTGAATGCACACTGCCCTTTGCAGTTGGCACCTCCTGGACCCCCACCCCTTCTAGGCCTTTACCAAATCCTTTGGAAGTTGAATGAGCTCTGCCCACAGGGAGCAGTGCCCAGGGGAGTCCACTCCCCAGCATTTGGAGGCAGGGTGGGCTGCGAAGCAGGGTGGGTTTAGGGTCAGACAGTCCTGGCTTTGCCACCTTTAACTTTTTTTTTTTTGAGACAGAGTCTCACTCTGTTGCCCTTGCTGGAGTGCAGTGGTGCAATCTTGCCTCACTGCAACCTCCACCTCCCAGGTTCAAGCAACTCTTGTGCCTCAGCCTCCTGAGTAGTTGAGATTACAGGCATGTGCCACTACTCCCATCTAATTTTTTTTTTTTTTTTTGAGACGGAGACTCACTGTGTTGCCCAGGCTGGAGTTCAGTGGCACAATCTCGGTTCACTGCAGCGTCCGCCTCCTGGGTTCAAGCGATTCTCCTGCCTCAGCCTCCCAAGTAGCTGGGACTATAGCTGCGTGCTACCACGCCCGGCTAATTTTTGTATTTTTAGTAGAGACGGCGTTTCACCATGTTAGCCAGGATGGTCTCGATCTCCTGACCTTGTGATCCGCCTGCCTCGGCCTCCCAAAGTGCTGGGATTACAGATGTGAGCCATTGCGCCCCGTCTAATTTTTTTGTATTTTTAGTAGAGACGGGGTTTCCCCATGTTGGCCAGGCTGGTCTCGAAATTCTGACCACAAGTGATTTGCCCATCTTGGCCTCTCAAAGTGCTGGGATTACAGGCATAAGCCACCGTGCCCAGCTTGCCACCTTTAATTTATGTGACCCTCGGTTAGGTGTTTTTGCCTCTTTTTTTTTGAGACAGAGTCTTACTCTGTCACCCAGGCTGGAGTGCACTAGCCCAATCTTGGCTCACTGCAACCTCTGCCTCCCGGGTTCCTGACTTTGGGGACAGAGAGAATGGCTTGAGCAAAGTTATGGAGGCATGAATATGAGGGGCGGAGGTGAGGAGGGAGTGGCCCTCCCACCTGTGTGGTTCAGGAAGAGGCCGATGGCTGCTCAGGAGATGGGAGGGAGGCGCTGTCTGGGGCTATGTTAAGAACAGATAAGAAGTGACAGGAAGGTCTGGAACGGAGACCCATGGGGAGAATGGAGGGTCCTAGAGTCAGGCTGCCTGGGTTGAGTCCTGGCTCCCCTACTTATTAGCTGTGTGGCTTGAGGTGGGTTACTTAACTTCTTGGAGCCTCTGTTTCCTCTTTTGTAAAATGGGAATAACAACATTACCTGCCTCCCAAGGCCATTGAATGAGTTGAATGTAGGAAGTGTGATGTAAATATTAGCCATTGTTACGTGAGATGTTCAGGGGATAGAGTGACAGGCTCAACGTGTGGCTGAAGGAGGAGAAAAGAAGGATTTAGAGGCCCCTGTGAACTCCGGAGTCCCCATCCTTTCTGGGAGAAATGGGCAGTGCCTTCCTCTCTGCCCAACACTGACCAGCTGTCCACCCACCTCTCTAGGGCCAGAGGAAGCACTTGTGATCTTGATTACTACTCATGGACGCTGGGTAGAGGGCTAGCCTGGGCATGCTGGGAGAGGCCCTGGGCTAGCTTCAGCTCCTGTCATTTCCTTCACACCCATTCTCAGAGGAGTTGGGGGCGCCTCAGATGATGTCAGGTGATTTTCTTTTTCCTTTTCTCCCCAACTTCTTGGTCTCCTGCCTCCACCATGTGGCCCTGGGAGACCATCCCGACATTTCCTGCTGTTCTCTGGCTGCTGGGGCTCAGGCAGTAGCAAAGAAATGTCCCCGGCACTCCTGTGGGCACCATTCTAGGGCCACCGATGCCCAGACTGGGATGGGGAAGCCAGGGGCAACCACTCCTATTCCTGACAACAGCAATTGTTGCAGGATAATTTAGGAATCAGAGAGACCGAGGGGTTGAGGAGGATTTATTATTTAGATTCACTGGCTCAGTCAGGCTAACATTTCAAAAGACTGAGCCCTGAACAAAGAGTTAAGTTATCTTTTAAGCATTTCATGGGGCGGGGGTAGATCTGTGCAGGGGGAAGCATATTATAGAGGCAAGAAACAAAGACAGTTATTTAATTGAGACATGCATTATATTATTTTTTACTTTTTAAGGAAAAAAATTTTTACAGCTTGAGTTTATCTGTCTAGTGACCTTGCAGCTGCACAGCTGGAGAAACAGGGTCTTTACAATGCCTGGAAAAAGAGGAGCAATAAGGCTCACTAGCCACAAAAAAACAGGCAGTTAATTTTTAAGGGACTCCAGCTCTTTTTTTTTTTTTTTTCCAGGGAAAATTGTTTTTTTTTTTTTTAACATAGAACTGAGTTTTTGCTTACACGTTTTAAAATTTCTTTTAATTCCTGTTCTACAATAACAACAATGACCCTGCACACTCCCCGAGAGCATTCCTCAACTCTCTTGTTTAACCCAGACCCTGCCACAGAGCATGGCACTCAGCATTTGTTAAATGAGTAAATAAAAACTACCAAGGATGGGCCCACCACTGTGCTAAGTACTCAGCCAACATCTGCACATTTTTTCACATTGAATTCCTATAACCAGCCCATGATGTGAGTATTATCCCCATTTCACAGATGAGGCAACTGAGGCTCAGTTGCCCAAGGCCTCCTTGCTAGCCAGCAGCAGGTCCAGGCTTCCTACCTCAGTCTCTGCCGCCACAGAGCCCCGTTTCGCCATCCCCACCCACGCTATTATGCACCCACTGAGGGAGGCTTAGCTAAGAGATGTGGGGTAACAAACTGTGCTGTGAACCAGGAGGCCCAGGGGCTAACCTTACTTCCAGGGCACACGTGCTGTGTGACCTTGAGCAAGTCACAGACTCTCTGTAAGCTTCTGTTGCCTCGATGAAGACAGGGAGATGGATGGCCTGGTTTGCCCCATAATAATTTATCTGTCGTGTGTTCCTGGGGAATTTGCACTTGTACATGGCAAAGAACCCACAGCCATGAGACTGGCACTTCCCAGGGCTGCTGGGGTCTTCTCTCTCCAGCTACTCCCCTGGCAGTGGCTGCAGAGGCTGGAGCCTAGAGCCTGGGCCAAACACATGCTCCTGTGTCAGTAGAACTGGGTCATCCAGCATCTCCTGACCTGCCTCCAAAACCCCAGAAGGCCCCCCTCTTACCTGCAGATGTCAAGCTGAGTCAAGGTGCCCAGCACACACACGGCATGGGTGGGCTGCTCTGGGGTCACACGGATCAATGTCCCCTGGGCCATCGTCGGGCTAGCTCGTCCCTCTGGCTGTAGGAAGCCCCTGGGCTGGTTCCTTTATATCGCCCAGCAGAGGCCATGAGTCAGCACCTGCGGTCTGTGGCCCAGAGGCTCAACCCCTCCCCACTCAGGTCAGGGGTGTGGGCTCTCAAAATCTCCTCTGCCCTGGGGCTGCCCCTCGGACCTCTAGATGGGTGTCAATGCTGGTACCAGTGGCAGGGTGGCTCTGTCAGTTTCTTGGGAAGGATGGATGGCTCAGAAAGCCTGGGGTGGAGAGTGGGGCTGAGGGGTTGGGTCCTGGTCCTCATGCCCACAGTCCCATCCCTGCCTAGAGGCCCTGAACACCTTGATCTATCCAATCTCACCTATGTCAAACAGGCATATCAGAGAGGAGAAGGTGGGAAAAGCGGGGAGATTTTAGGTAAGCAGTCACAGGCCAGGCTACACGTTCAAAGACCAACCAGGCTTGGGACAAGTCTCTCCACCTGGGCCACCCACATGACAGCTCACATTCTCTATGCCAGGCACGTTTTCCTGCACTTCACATAGAATAGCTCATTACGACAAACCCGTGAACTAGATCATACCATTATCCCCTTATTTCACCCTCACAGCAGCCCTCTGAGGTTGGTGCCATTATTATACCCATTTTACAGAGGAGAAAACAGAGGTGCAGTTCTTCCACAGCTCGAGAGTGGTAGGGCCAGAATTGGAACCAAAGGTGTCCAGTTCCAGAGTGTGAGATTCATTAGCTGCCTGTCTATATGACACGTGCTTTCCAGACTGTATCACAGCTACATCTCGCTACAATACAAGGTGTATATGGGCTTATTATTACAACCCATTTTACAGAAGGAAAATTGAGGCTCAGAGAGTAAAAGTGACTAGCTCTTGCCCAAGGTGCCAGAGCTAGAATGCGGCAGAGCTGGGAAGAGAAGATGAGCTTCCTGGCATGGAAGTTGATGTTCTCTGCATGCTCCAGGATACCTGCCTCTTGCCAGGGCCTCTGGGTGTCAGACCAGACAGTGCAGGTGTGGGCCACGCCTGCCAGGGGGATGCCCATGTGGCCTCAGAGCTGTGGTTGCACCTGGGCCATTGGTGCCAGGCTCTGCCTTTAATGAGGCAACTGGGGGGTGGTGGATGGGTCCCAACAAGGAGCACTCAAAGGGTGCATGCATGGGAGTCTGGCGTGAACATAGAGCGTTTCGTGGGTTGGATATCTTGCGTTTGTTTTTTGTTTGCTTGCTTTGGCTTTGAAGCAAAGAATTTGCCTCATTAATTCAGAGTCAGGCTGTGGGATCAAACAGGCTTTAGTTCAAATCCTGCCTCATCTCAACATCCCTATGGAGTGCGTCCTATCAGGATGCCCATGTGTAGATGAGACCACAAAGACTTAGAGAGATTGAGTGAGACCCCCAAGGTCTCATAAGCCCTACAGTGGGGATCTGGATTCAGACCACCTTCTCTGGGCTCAAAATTTATCTTCTGTACCAGCAGATGATGATGTGGCCAGGTCCGACGTTCTGACGCATCTACATGACTGCCTGCACACAGTGTTAATAAACCCAATTTCTCTGGCTGACCGCATGATTAGAACTAGTTTGAGCTTCTACTGGGAAGTGGCAGGAGGGAGCTGTCCATTGTTAGAGTTGGGAGGGCCCTTAGAGAACACCCAATCCAGTCCTCGTTTTGCAGAAGGGGAGACTGAAGCACAGAAAGGGAGTGGGACCTGCCCACGGTCACACAGCAAATCAGAGGGAGGGCTGGCCTCTACCCCAAGTCTTAGGTCTCTTGAGGTTGTTTTCTTCTGTTCCTTCTTTTCTTTCTTATTTTCTTCAGCAGTTTGGGGTTTAAATTTGCTGTGAACGAGCCACAAAGAGGACGAGCCCCAAAGCAGTTTTGTTAATTCAACAAATACTGACTGAGTGCCTATTGATGGCCAGGCACTGTTCCAGGCACCGTGGATACGCTGTGAACAAAGTGGACAAAAATCCTGCCTTCATAGAGCCTTTTTGTTTGTTTGTTTTTGTTGGGAGAGAGACAGCCAGTAAGCAATAAATGCAGTAAGTGGATTCTATCGTATGTTAGTGGGGTAGAAAAAGGAAAAAGGACAGGGTAAAGGCTACCAGGAACACAGGGAGAAGGTTCCAAGTCAAGAGAACAGCCAGTGCAATCGGTACAAAGGCCCTGAGGCAGGGACATGCCTGGCGGGTTCAAGAAAGAGCAAAGAGGCCAGTGTGGCTGAAATGCAGTGAGGGAGGGGGAGAGCAGCCCAGGGCGGGGTGCGATCATATAGGGCCTTTCGGGCATCCTAAGAGCTTTGGCCTCTGCTCCAAGTAACGTGGGGAGCCTGGAGTCATTTTGAGCAGAGAAGGACCGCGAACCAACTTGCTTGAACGTGATCACTCTGGCTGTGATGTGAGAACAGACTGTAGGGGACCCGGGAGGAGGCCAGAAGACCTGTGAGGTGGCCGCTGCACACAGGCTGGTGACAGACGGTGGGGCTCAGGCTAGCGTGGTGGCAGTGGAGGAGGGGAGGATGGGTCAGGTTCTGGACATTTTGTGATGCAATACAGCCAATAGGAGTTGCAGAGGGACTGGATGAGGGGTGTTAAGAAAGACAGAGGGATGGAGGAGGACACCGCAGTTTGGAGCCTGAGGCCCTGGAGGGATGGGGCTGCCCGCAGCTGGGCAGGGAAGGCTGAGGGAAGGGCGGGGGGTGGGCATGGTGGAGATCAGGAGTTTGGTCCTGGCTTTGCCAAGTGTCATTTGGTGTGATGATGCCCTGTAGGACGTTTGAACACATGATTCCGGAGCTTAAGAGACAGGACCAGGCTGAAAAGGATAAAACAGTGAGATGTCAACATCTCCAGCTCCCCTAGGGAATGAGTGAGGATAGGGAAGAGAGAAGGCCGAGGGATGAGCCCTGGGGTCCTCCACCAGAGACCCAGGGGAGTGATGAGGGAGAGGAGATGCAAAAGAGAATGCATGCTATTTGCAATTACACAGGGAGCAATGCAAAACTAGGTTTGTAACACACACACACACACACACACACTCACTCACACTGAGGGAAAACGGCTGCACTTTGGAAGCAAAGCCTCTTTGTAGAAACACACTTGGTCACTCACAGTGGAACAAGGGCCACGGGCTCTGTGATGGGCAGGGCTGAGGGCAGGAGCCAAGGGCAGTGGAATGAGAGGCCAACAGACTTGGGGCTGGCGCGTGCCCCACCTGTGCCTGCAGCTCCAGCTGCATCCTGACATGGCTGCTCCCCTACTGTTGGACATGGGGGCTGTCTGCAAGTTTTCAGTGTCATAAACCATGCAGCGATGCATCACTTGTGCCCGTGTCTGTGGTTATTTGCAGGTATGTTGTAGATTCATCTTTGCCCCTCTTTAGTTTTTTGGCAGAGCGCTTCATTCTTTTCCTGAGATTTGCCACACCTTGTGTTTAAATGCCCATCCCCCAGCTAGCCTGAGAGCAAGGCCAGTGCCTAGACTTGTCACTCAACACTGGTGGCTTAACGCCGTGGCTGTTTGTGTTCCCAGCACCCAGCCCAGTACTTGACCCAGACAGGATCCTGTGAAGATCCCTGAGAACCCGGCCTGGCTGTTTCTTTTGCTGATGGCATTAACCCTTTCAGAGCCCAAAGGGGACCTTTGGGGTTGGGGAGTGAACTCTCTTATACATGGTGAGCGGCTCAGGATCCAGGCCAGAAACCCTGGAGGAAGAGGCCTCTCTTCCTGCTGAAAGGCAGAATCACCAGCCCAGCTCACGCAGAGGAAGCAAGGGTGTTCTGGGTGTTGCCAAATACCCTCTAGGCATTTGGGGCCCAGAGGGCTGAGGCCACCTGAGCTCCTGTCCCAGAGACTGGCTGGCTAGCCTGCTCCAGTTGATTGCAATGACATCATTTGGGGGAAAGGAATTAGGGTCAGAGGACTCTCCCAGTGGCTCTGTGTCTGGGTATAGTGCAGTGCTGTTCTTACAGCAGATAGCCTAGCTCTTGCTTCAGCATTATTCATGCATAAGTACAGTTCATTCCCAACACTGAGCTGTTCATTCAACAAATATTCACCGAATGCCTCCTAAGTGCCTGGCCCTCGCTTAGAAGCTAACCTAGGCTTTGTTTAACATAAATGTAGAAGCACCCAGGGTGATAATAGAGACCACCATCTATTAACGCCTGCTATGTGTTTACCTGTCACTAGGTCCTTGGGCTCTATTATTTCTAATTCTCACCATTAAGTGGGGCAACAGGTACAATCTCATTTCTACAGAAGAGTGAAGCACCAGGCTCAAGGTCACACGGCCTCTAGGGGGGTTTCAAATTTGGCTTCATCCAACATGCCATGCCCTGGTGTAGCCCTGACCTATGCCAGGTCCTAACATGCATCATCTCTAATCCTCACAGCAACCTTAACATCTCTCCCCGTTTTCCAGGTGAGGAAACCGAGTCTCAGAGGAGTTAGGTAACCACTCAAGGTTACGCAGAAGGAAGTGGTGACACTTACGTTTAATTTTGCGTGGTCTAACTCCCAAGCCCCTGCATCCTCGTCCACTCTAGGGCTATGCAGCTGCCCCCAGGCCAGGTCACTTGGCCAATGAATTCTGAAGACCCTTCCAGCACAAAGAACCCTGGTCTCTCAGCCTCTCTGAATTCATGACTTCTAGCAGAACACTGGAGCATGTCTAGATCATCCAGGCTGGCTGAAACTAGAAAATCCCTCCTCCTGTGGATCATCTGAGGTCAGGAGATCAAGATCAGCCTGACCAACATGGTGAAACCCTGTCTCTATTAAAAACATAAACATTAGCTGGGCGTGGTGGCAGGCACCTGTAATCCCAGCTACTCGGGAGGCTGAGGCAGAAGAATCACTTGAGCCCAGGAGGCAGAAGTTGCAGTGAGCCGAGATCATGCCATTGCACTCCAGCCTGGGTGACAGAGCAAGACTCCGTCTCAAAAAAAAAAAAAAAAAGAAAAAAAAGAAAATCCTTCCTCCTGCAAAGTGTTCATCCCGGAGCCCCCTGCCTGCTGTGTGTATTGCAGGGGCAGTCTTTTCTCCTCTCTGTTCACACAGCTCTTCCCTGCCCCCAGCATCTCTCCTTTCTCTCCCTTGCAGAATCCTTCTAGGTTTTGGAAGGATTCATGGGCACACAAGGGCATAATCATGACTCTAACATGTGCCAGGCTCTGCCCTGCACTGGAGCCCATTCATGTGAACAATACACTAACCCAGTGAATGTCAGTCATTGACAGATGAGTAGCACATTAGGGGCAGAGACAGGAGATGGAGCCCAAATCTATCTGCATCAAAAGCCTGCAACCTTCCCCTCTGCCACCTTTGAGAAAAGGAAGGGGACCAGTCAGATGAAGGCAAATGTCTCTGCATTCCCTTTCTGGAACTGGCTCCTACCCAACCCTTGACACCAGGTGCTTACATTTCTTCTCTGGCACCCAGGATTTCTCCTGGGGACCAAGACCATGAGAATGTGAGTGACATGAAAGCATGGACTTTGCTTTGCTCACTGTTATCTCCCTAGTGCTTAGGACAGGGCCTAGCACAGAGTAGGTGCACAAGAAATACTGTATTTTACTGAATTTATGACACTATTTATTTTAAGATACATTCCTTCCTCTAGCATCGTCTGTTGAAAAGACTCTCTTTCAACAAATTGAAATTGAATTGCTTTTGCATCTTTGTCAAAAATTGTACATGTTGGGCATACATGTGTGGGGCTATTTCCAGGTTCTATATTCAGTTCCATTGATCTGTGTCTGTTCCTCCAATAATACAACACAATTTTGATTACTGTAGCTATATGATAAATCTTAAAATTGGGTAGTATATTAGGCTCTTCCTGCCTTGCTATAAAGAAATACCTGAGACTGGGTAATTTATAAAGGAAAGAGGTTTCATTGGCTCATGCAGGCTTTACAGGAAGCATGGTGCTGGCATCCTCTTGGCTTCTAGTGAAGCGTCAGGGAGCTTTCAGTCATGGTGGAAGGTGAAGCAGAATGCAGACACTTCACAGGACGAAAGCAGGAGCAAGAGAGAGAGCGAGCCTGGGGAAGTGCCACACACTTTTAAATGACCAGATCTCACAAGAACTCACTCGCTATCACAAAGACAGCACCAAACCATATGTTGGGGTGATCAGACCCAAAACCAGGTCGTGGGGGCGACAAAGTCTGGCAGAGTCAAAGGAATGAGAAAAAGACCTTTTGAGAGAGCAAGTGGGACCAGGGGGCCATTGCGAGTGTGAAGACTGAGAAGGCCCTGAGCTCTGGGAGCCCACACTGTTTATTGGTGCTCAAACAAACTAACAGGTGGTGAGGATGCAAACAAACAGGTGGTGAGGATGTGGGGGTTGAAAGGAAACAGTGTATCAAGTGAATGAAAAACATATGGCTGCTTGAGATAATGGGAGTGCTAGAAGCAAGCAGCCAGCAAGTCTAGCAGACATGCAAGCCCTGCCTCAGCTTCTCTCCCAACACTCAGCTTTTCTCCCAACATGCCCCCCTTCTCTTTTTTGGGGGGGCACTCCCAGGCTGGAGTGCAGTGGCATGATCTCGGCTCACTGCAACCTCTGCCTCCCGGGTTCAAGCGATTCTCCTGCCTCAGCCTCCTGAGTAGCTGGGATTATAGGCGCTTGCCACCACGCCCAGCTAATTTTTTTTTTTTTGAGACGGAGTTTCACTCTTGTTGCCCAGGCTGGATTGCAATGGCACGATCTCGGCTCACTGCAACCTCCACCTCCCGGGTTCAAGCGATTCTCCTGCCTTAGCCTCCCAAGTAGCTGGGACTATAGACACCTGCCACCATGCATGGCTGATTTTTGTATTTTTAGTAGAGACGGGGTTTCACCATGTTGGCCACCAGGGATTTTAATAGGAATTTAGACCCAAGCTGGCTCAATGTCCAAGACTTTTCCTCCACCACTGGACAGTTGGATGTGAAGGGCCCATAGCAACCATGTGAGAGAGGCTTTCTTGGTGCTGGTGACAACTGGTATCTGGCCCAGCCAGTGGAGAATAGGCTCAGAATCTGCTTTCCTCCCTGGGGAAAGGAGGCTTCCCCAGCTTGGCAGAGACTAAGTCAAAAGATAAATTTCTTCTATTTTGGGGGGAAACAACCAGCTCATTATTTGGGAGTTTGAAGAAGACACCTCTCCCTGACAATGTTCAAAGTTCTTACCCTACCCACTGGAGGAGACTCAAAATGCCACCAGTTTTGGAACTTTGCTTTCTGGTGATGGAAACTCCACAAAGGAGACCTCATATTTTGCATGGTAGAATTAGTGAGTTCCACAGTTTCCTTTTAAAAAGTTTAGAAACCATTTCCCCCTCCTTACTATAAGTGGATCATAAGAAAAATGGTGGTGGAGGGGGATATGAGTTGAAGGAAATACAAAATAAAAATATCACCTGGTTTCAATCAGATAGTCATTTCCAGCACACAATTTTATTTCCTCCCATTTTTAACAGAATTTTAGATTTCATATCTTACAGGTTTTTTATTTATTTATTTTTTTTTTTGGAGACGGAGTATTGCTCTGTCGCCCAGGCTGGAGTGCAGTGGCATGATCTCGGCTCACTGCAACCTCTGCCTCTTGGGTTCAAGCTATTCTACTGCCTCAGCCTCCCAAGTAGCTGGGATTACAGGCACCCATCACCACGCCTGGCTAATTTTTGTATTTTTAGTAGAGATGGGGCTTTACCACATCGGCCAGGCTGGTCTCGAACTCCTGACCTAAGGTGATCCACCCACCTTGGCCTCCCAAAGTGTTGGGATTACAGGTGCAAGCCACCACGCCCAGCCTTTTATATAGTTTTTGTTTTAACTTTTTCCAATTACTGTTTCAAAACTATTATTAATAGTAGCAATACTGATTTATTTTTTCCAGCTTTCTTGAGGTATCATTGACAAATAAAAATTATATACATTTAAAGAGTATGAGGCCGTACAAGGTGGCTCATACCTGTAGTCTCAGCACTTTGGGAGGCTGAAGTGGGTGGATCAACTGAGATCAGGAGTTTGAGACCAGCCTAGCCAACATAGTGAAACCCCATCTCTACTAAAAATACAAAAATTAGCCCAGTGTGGTGGCACGCACTTGTAATCCCAGCTACTCAGGAGGCTGAGGCAGGAGAATTGCTGGAACCTGGGAAGCAGAGGTTGCAGTGAGCAGAGATCACACCACTGCACTCCAGCCTGGGAGACAGAGTGAGACTCCACCTCAGAAAAAATGAATAAATAAAAAAAAGTGTATGTTTTGTTATACACACACAGTTATTACAATCGAGCTGACATATCCATCACCTCACACAGTTATGTGTGTGAGTGTGTGTGTATGTGAACACCTGAGATCTAATCTCTTAACAAATTTCAAGTATAAGATATATTATTATTAACCATAGTCACCATGCTGTACATTAGCTTTCCAGAATTTATTCATCTTGCAATGGACAGTTTTACCTTTTGACCAACATCTCCCATCTTCTCCTACCCCCATCCCCGGTAACCACCATTCTTGTCTCTGTTGCTGTGAGTTCAACTTTTTAAAGATGCCAGTTATAAGTGAGAATATGCAGCATTTGTTTTTATGTGCCTAGTTTATTTCACCTGGATAATGTCCTTCCAGGTTCATCCATGTTGTCTCAAATGGCAGGGTTTTCTCCTGTTTTCAAAGGTTGAATAATATTCCTCTGTGTGTGTGTGTGTCGTGTGTGTGTGTATCACATTTTCTTTATCCAATCATCTGTTGATGGACACTTAGGTTATTTCCATGTCTTGGCTACTGTTTTTTGTTTGTTTGTTTGTTTTTGTTGTTGTTGTTGTTTTTTGAGATGGGGTCTCACACTGTCGCCCTGGCTGGAGTGCAATGGTGAGATCTCGGCTCACTGCAACCTCCACCTCCACACCTGTCTAATTTTTGTATTTTTAGTAGAGATGGGGTTTCACTATGTTGGCCAGGATGGTCTCGAAATCCTAACCTCAAGTGATCTGCTTGCTTGGGCCTCCCAAAGTGCTGGGATTACAGGCATGAGCCACCACACCTGATCTTCCCTCTTTTTCCATACTTTAAAAACTTAAAAGATGCAGTCAAAGCAAATCATGCCTAATTTAAGCAAATCATTCCTAATTACCTATGGAAATTGTTCCATAGGTAATGATTACTACAACCACCATCACTTAGACCACTTCTACTTTCTTGTTTAGCTCTTTGTCATTTCATGGATCATTTTCTTCTGTAGCCATATTTTTTCACTTAACATGAAAGGTATCTGTCGCATTACCATAAAGACCTCAGAGGTTTCATATATTGCATCAAATGGAGCAATATATGAGCATCCTACTCATTCCCATAGGTTTCTAACATTTTGACCAGCTTGATTCTGATTTTTTGCTATTATGAATCCCTAATAAAGATTTGTGTCTGATTAGAGTTACTTCTTTGTTTATTTTCCTAGAGATTGAACTCCTGATATTTGAAACTGTTTTCCAAAGGATGATATCAAAACCCACCTCTGTATTTAACACACGAGGCTGTTCACTTCACCCTGGCCTGTCCAGAAACTTTCTTTTTTGTTTCTGTTTCTGCTATTTTGATGGTGGCATTTTATGTTCATTTAGTGCCTAATGAGATTAACAAATGTTCCCGGTATTTGTCATCAAGTTGTTGATGTTGTAATTGTTCTTGTTATTATGTTAGAGCAATATTGGTCAGGAGAGATGTTGGCAGGGCTGGGGTAGAGGTGAGGGGCTAGAAGTGGGAGACGGTTAGTGCCAAAGCCGGGAAACTGGAGCTTTGCAAACTGCAGGCAGTTTGCAACCTCACAGATTCATCACTTTACTTTTTCTGGTTAGGACTGTGATTGCGTCCTTCCAACCGCAAATTGAAGGTTGAACCTGGAGCTATGTTCATGTAACACTGCCATAAAACTTGTACCTCAGGTTGGTTTAAAATAACTCTGACACCTCACATTCTCCTCTGTCAGGCTTGAGTGATTCTCTTTTCCAAAATTTATTTGTTCCGTGATTCACACCCAGCAGAAGTCATGAGGCGGGGCTGGATCATGCTGTCCCAAGGGTGTTGGCAGAGCTGCCTGTTCGGTTGGTGGTTGGTTCTTCTCTTCCCAGGTGCCTTGGACTTCCCCAAGCTTTCCTTCTTGCTAAGCAGGGTTGCCCAGGCGTCTTCAGCTGCCTGTGGGTTTAGAATGAACGTGTCTTTTGGCCCTATACTCCGGGGCCCAGAAGCCATGATGGAGAAGAGTTAGGCATGGGGATGCTATATCTCCTCTTACTTCAGTGCTCTCATCCTATTTTTCACTAATCAGGGCCTCAAATGGCTGTAACATACTATTTGTGCACCCCACCTCCATTCAATTTCTTCAACGCTCATGTGTCAGGGCCTCTTTCCAGGTCTCAAGAAATTCAGGCCTCAATTTTTCTGGAATGTTCTGATTTCAAATATGCTGCCCCCAAATAATATTTCCTCAGGTACCTTCGTGCAGAGAATGGTAGGTCCTGATGTTCGTGTTCCCAGCCAGTGACATTGACTATGGTGTGCTGAGCCCTCTGCAGGCTCCAGGCTGAGCTGCTGACATGTACCACCTCACGTAATTACTTTTTCTTTTTTAAGAGACGGAGTCTCGCTCTGTCACCCAAGCTGGAGTGCAGTGGCACGATCTCGGCTCACTGCAGCCTCCGCCTCCTGGGTTCCAGCGATTCTTCTGCCTCAGCCTCCTGGGTAGCTAGGATTACAGGCACGTGCCACCACACCTGGCTAACTTTTGTATTTTTAGTAAAGATGGGGTTTCATCATGTTGGCCAGCTGGTCTCGAACTCCTGACCTCAGGTGATCCGCCCGCCTTGGCCTCCCAGAGTGCTGGGATTACAGGCATGAGCCACCGCACCTGGCCTCACATAATTCTTATCTCAACCCCATGAGGAAGGCATTATTGACCCCATTTTGTAGGCAAGGAAATAGGCTCAGAGAAGTGGAATGACTCAACCAAGATCACACAACTGTTAGTAAAATAAATCAGGACTTGAACCCAGATTTAGCTGATTGCAAAGCGTTAACCACAAGGTTTTGCTGGCCAAATACAGGGGGAGATAAAAGATCCCAGACCCTCTGATCTTCTGATTTAGATTCATTCAACAGACACCTGCTGAGCACCCCTCTGCTGAGCACCCCTCTGTCCTAGGCATCAGGGACACACAGAAACAGAACCAATAGAACATATAGATGTATAGATAGATAGATAGATAGATAGATAGATAGATAGATAGATATCTACATCTATATATGTTCATATATATGGAGTGAGGGAGAGACAGAATTCAAGGAATTGGCTCAGCTCACATGATTGTGGAGGCTGGCAAATCCAAAATCTGTTAAGTAGGCCAGCAGGCTGGAGACCAGGGAAGAGCTGATACTGCAGCTCAAGACAACAGGCGTAGAACTCCAACTCCCTCTTCCTTGCGGGGGTGTCAGTCTTTTTTCTCTGGAGGCTTTCAGCCAGTTGGATGAGGCCCACCACAATACGGAAGTCATCTGCTTTACTAGAAGTCTATTGATTTAAATGTAAATCTCAACTAAAACACACCTTCACAGCAACATCCAGACGGGTGTTTGACCAAATATCTGGGAACTGGTGGCCTGGCCAAGTTGACACAAAAAAATTAACCAGCACCAAACACATAGTTTAAGGCAGGGTTCCTAATCCTATGGGGTCATTTAGTCTTTTGAACATTTAAAGGAAGCAATCAAGATGCCCTTAGCTTTTCTTTTCTTGCATGTGGGGAAAATGAGGCTCGGGTAGAAGCTGTAACTTTCCTAAAGCTACAGGCAAGTGGATGCAGAACGAAGGCAGGGACTTCCTCTTCTGACTTCGGTTAGCGTTCTTCATCTTCTGGGAATTTCTTAGTTTGGGCAACCCCAGAAGGCAACTCTGAGACAAGGATTTGTGTGCAAGAGGTTTATTTGGGAGGTGCAGGATACACTGGTAGACAGTGGGAAAGTGAGTCAGGGAAGGAAAGAAGCGAGTAAAGGGTCTGTGAATGACCTAGTTACCACCTGTGAGTAACTGAAGATCACCCCCCTGAGGAGTGCTAGAAAGTAGTGTGAAGCCCATGCCTCAGAGTTAGCCCAAGGAGCAAGGGAACTGGGGCATTTATACTCCCACTTCCTTTTGTCATTTGCTGAGGGCTGCTCTGGGTGGTATTAGTTCCCTGGCCATTTGGTCAGCAGGCTCTGGTGGTCAGAGAAGGCCTCAGGCAAACAGTACAGGTGCCGGCACTTGGAGGCCGGGTCTCTTTGAGCTGAAGGAGGGATTGTAGGAGGAGTGGGTGGGCACACATGGCATCTTCTACAGGCTAGGGGAGGCTTAACACTCCTTCAAGAAGCAGAAGACAGCTGGGAACACAATCGCCTGAAACATGCACATGGAATTTTCTGTGTACAGTTGGATGGATTTATGGACCCCTGGACCCCACCTGGGGACCCAAGTTTAAGATTCTTGGCTTGAATCTTCCTCTGGTGACTGGTCCTTCCTCTTTCCCCCATGCCCATGCACCTGTGCTCCCTGGGAAATGGGCAAGACTTCATTGACACAGCTGCCACCCACCCACATGTGCCCAGGGACTTTTCCAGAGAGAGGCGGCTCAGTGATGGCATCCTGGTGTGGTCCCCACTGTGCAACAACCTGCTCTTCCCCAAGCTTCCAGCAGCTGGCCCCCTGCCAACCCACCCGCAGCGCCCCCACCGTGGGTTGCTCAGTCCTCTGCAATCTGCCCACTGGAGGCCAGACCTCCTCTTTGTCCTGTCAGTGTGAACAGTGTGGAGTAACTGGATTAATTCACATACATATGCATTCATGATTGCCTTTGTATCTTTTAAAAGTGTGCATCTTTTAAAATTGCAAAATACACATCTGGAGGAGTGTGTAAACATACGTGCATATATGGGATAATACTAAATACCGTGTAAACACCACCCAGGTTAAGAAATAGAAAGTCTTTAGTACTCTTTTTTTTTTTTTTTTTTTTTTGAGACGGAGTCTTGCTCTATCGCCCAGGCTGGAGTGCAGTGGCACGATCTCGGCTCACTGCAAGCTCTGCCTCCCAGGTTCACACCATTCTTCTGCCTCAGCCTCCTGCGTAGCTGGGACTACAGGCTCCCACCACCACACCCGGCTAATTTTTTTGTATTTCTTAGTAGAGATGGGATTTCACCGTGTTAGCCAGGATGGTCTCGATCTCCTGACCTCGTGATCCACCCGCCTGGGCCTCCCAAAGTGCTGGGATTACAGGCGTGAGCCACCTTTGGGGACATCTCCCTGACTACATCCCCCCGCCCCCAGGACTAACAGTTACGCGAACTTTTGTGATCATCATTCCCTTGCATTTATGGTTTGTACTTTATTGTTGTTGTTGTTGTTTTAGAGACAGGGTCTTGCTCTGTCGCCCAGGCTGGAGGGCAGTAGTAGTGCAATCACAGCTCACTCCAGCCTTGCACTCCTGGACTCATCCTCCCAACTCAGCCTCCTGAGTAGCTGGGAGTACAGGCACACACTATCATGATCGCTAATTTATTTTATTTTATTCTTTGTAGAGACAGGGTCCCACTATGTTGCCCACTCTGGCCTCAAACTCCCGGCTTCAAGTGATCCTCCCACGTTGGCCTCCCAAAGCGCTGAGATTAAGGGTCAAGTGCAGTGGTTACTGTTTAGTTTTGCCTGTTTTTGTCTTTATGTGAACGAAAGCACACTTTATTCCTTTGTGACTTGCTTCTTTCGCTCACCATTGTGTTTGTGAAATTTATCCATGTTGATGTATGTTGGAGGCCAAAGGAGTGAGGGTCGTGATCAACTCAGTATACCACTGGAGGCTGTGTGAGTAAACAGCAAGCTGTGCTCATGAAAGCAGGATGCTGGCAAACTGACAAACTGCGTCTGTCACCCAGAAGGACCGCCAAGGGCGGTCACAACCCAGGCACAAGTGTTTCCTGTGATTAGGTGTAATTGAAGCCTGCTAGTAATGATGTGAACCTGTGATCAATTAAGCAGCTGACCAGTCGTTGCCTCCTCCTCCCTGCTCTTTCTACCCAATAAATGAGAAGGGCTGTGGAAGCTCGGGGATTGCCTTTGCTCACGAGAAGCAGGGAGCTCTCTTCTTCTTCCCTGGTTCCCCTTCCTTTATAATAGTTTCTTTTGTCTTAGGTTTTCATTTCTACGTTCATCCCTTCGTTCAGTCTCGTAATGACGGTCTCAAGCAGTAACAGTAGTAGCTGCTGTAGTGATGGTCTCAAGCAGTAGCAGTGGCGGTCAGCCACAGATGTGTGAGTCATAAATTGTTCATCACTCTCTAATATTCCATTGTATGAATAGACAACAATTTAGTTATTTGTTCTACTGGTGATGGGCACTGTTTCTAGTTTTTGGATAACATGACCAATGTTGCTATGGATATTCATGTCTCCTGGGGCAGAACTGCAAGGGTTTCTCTAGGTATTACCTAGGAGTCGAATTTCTAGCATTGGGTATAGGCATTTTCAACTTCACTGAATAGCACAAACTGTTTTTCAGGGCTAATGCCAATTTCCTTCCCATCAGCAATTGTGAGGGGTCTAGCTCTTCCACATCCTTGCTCCCGGTTCTATTTTGTATATTTATTTTTTTCCTAAGTGGTGAGCATGTAATAGTATACCACTGAGGTTTTAATTTGAATTTCCCCGATAACTAATTAGGTTGAATACCTTTTCTGTTGGATTGTTTATCTACTTCTTTTTCTTATGTTTATTGAATGGTAGGAGTTATTTGTACATCTTAGATACTGGTTCACAAAGAACAAAATGATAAAAAGGAAAGAATGATAAATGTAACTATTTTAATATATTAAATATATGTAATATAATTAATATATTAAAAGTAAGAGCTTCTGGTTTTTAAAAGAGTAGAAATAACTGTGGTTAACAGAGTAGAAATATAAACCACAAACTGGGAGAAAATATGTTTGTAACACATGCAAACGACGAATGATCAGTATATAGGATTAATAAATAACTTCTATCATTCAATAATAAAATGTCTTGCCTTCTGTTTTGTGTAGTTGGTCTATTTGTCTCTGCATAAGTTCTATATTGTCTTAATTACTGTGGCTTTATAATAAGTCTTGATATCTGGTAGAGCAAGTTCTCTTATCTTTCATCTTCAAGGGTGACTTAGCTATTCTTGGCTCTTTGCACTTCTATATAAATTTTAGAATCACCTTATAAATGTCCTTCCCTTCCCTTCCCTTCCCTCCCCTTCCCCATTCCCCTCCCTCCCCTCCCACATTTCCCTCCCCTCCCCTCCCCTCTCAAGTGCATGCTCTCACATGTGCACACACACATACACGCACCCTGTGGAGATTCTGACTGGATTTACACTGATTCGTAGGTCTTGCAGAGAACTGAAATCTTTTTAATATTGAGCCTTTCAATCTATGAATATGGCGTATCTCTCCATTAATTAGATCTCCTCTAATGTTTTTTCAATACAGTTGTATAGTATGCTCCATAAGGTTTTTGCACATCTTTTGTTAGATATGCTTTGTTTTTTACTTTTTGATGCTCTTATAAATGGCACATTTCAAATTTGCCATTTTCTATTTCTTTTTAGTATATAGAAATGTAGTTGGGCCAGGTGTGGTGACTCATACCTGTAATCCCAGCACTCTGGGAGACCAAGGCGGGAGGATTGCTTGAGGCCAGGAGTTTGCAATCAGCTGGGGCAACATGCGATATCCTGTCTCTACAAAAAAAAAAAAAAAAAAAAAAAAAATAGCCAGGCATGGTGGCACACACCTGTAGTCCCAGCTACTTGGGAGACTTAGGTGGGGGAATCACTCGAGCCCAGGAGGTCGAGGCTACAGTACATTGTGACTGAGCCATTACATTCCAGCCTAGGTGACAGAGCAAGACCCTGTCCCACAAGAAAAAAAAATACAATTGATTTTTGTATATTGGTTTTATAGTGACAGCCTCGCTAAACCCTCTTATGAATTCTTTTACTTTGTAGATTCTTTTGGATTTTCTGTATATATAATAATTCCTTTCTAATCTTATACCTCAATGGCAAGAACCTTCTGTTCAATGCTGATTAACAGTTATGATAATGGGTATTCTTATTCTGATCCTAGAAGGAATGGTTTCAATACTTTATCATTAAGAATAATTTTTGATGTGAGTTTCTTATAGATCAGTAGTTCTCAAACTTCAGTGGCACTAGAATTACCTGAAGGGCTTATTGAAACACAGACTGCTGCTCCCCCAGCCTCCAGAGTTTCTGATTCAGAAGGTGTGGGTGGGCCTGAGGACTTCCATTTTGGACACGCTCCCTGGTAATGCTGATAATGCTAATGCTGGTCTGGGGACCACACTTTGAGAATCACTATTGTACCTTTTTTTTTCTGAGACAGAATCTTGCTCTGTCACCCAGGCTGCAGTGCAGTGGCGTGATCTTGGCTCACTGCAACCTCCGCCTCTTGAGTTCAAGCAATCCTCCTGTCTCAGCCTCCTGAGTAGCTGGGATTGCAGGCACGTGCCATCATGCCCCACTGATTTTTGTATTTTTAGTAGAGACAAGGTTTCACCATGTTGCCCAGGCTGGTCTTAAACTCCTGACCTCAAACGATCCACCCACCTCAGCCTCCCAAATTGCTGGGATTACAGGAGTGAGCTACCACACCCAGCCTATAGCTATTCTTTATGGGGTTAAAGAAGTTTCTTTTTATTCTTAAGTTTTGCTTAAAAATCATAAATGATGATTTTATTAACTTTTTTCTGATTTATTGAGATGATCATGTAAATTTTTTCTTTGATCTATTAACCTGTTGAATTGATTTTCTAAGATGAAACATGCATTCCTGGGATCAATTTATTCTGATCTGATATTGTATAATCTGATATTGTATCATTTTTGAATTGAGTTTGCTAATAGTTTTGTTTAGAATTTTTGCATTTATGGGTTTATTGTTATGTTCGTAGGTTTTCTTTCTCATTCTGTTCTTGTCAAGCACAGCTAGCAAACTCAGGTTACGTGCTACAAAACAGAAGCTCTTACAGTTATTATTATGGCTTTACAATTGTACTTACCATACATTGTTGCTACTCTCCGTTTGCCCTGCTTCTCTACTAACCTATGAGCTTCCTAAAGGCAGATTCCATATCTGCTCACCCACTGCTGTATCCCCAGAATCTGCTGCTGAGCTGGACACATAGTAGGGAAAATTGTGCCCATGTAAAATAGGTGTGAGGATTAAGTAGCTACCCTGGAGAGGATGAAGAAGGCCCTAAGCTTGCTGGGGATAGAAAATGAAGAAATAAACACTTGTTAGGTTCTTGCTGTCTGCCAGGTACTGCTGTAGTCCTCAAACAACCCGTGAAGGTAAGCATTATTCCCATTTTACAGATGAGCAAATGGAGGCTCAACCATAGGAAATCTCCCATTAAATTTGGTCTTGCAACTGCTTCTTGGCCTTTTGGCTAAGAGCAAATGTAGAATTTGCTCTTGCAAGGTGGTTGAGCACACTGACCACTCCACGTCCCTTTATAAAGGTCCATGTATGACGGGAATCATTTTGGCATGCTGCCTTCCTTCTGATAATGAGAATTAGGTGGTTGACTCTGGTTCCCTTCTTGCAAGGGCTACTGGGAAGCTCCAATCCTAATGATAGTTTGGTTCTCATGGTCATATATTTGTTTGTCCTTTTCCATGGGTTTTATTTTCTGGATTTTTTTTTCTGTTTTGGTGTATTATTATTATTATTATTATTATTTCAAGATAACCTATCCTGGGTTTCAGCGATTCTCCTGCCTCAGCCTCCTGAATAGCTGGGATTACAGGCGCCCGCCACCACACCCGGCTAATTTTTGTATTTTTAGTAGAATGGGGTTTCACCATGTTTGCCAGGCCCGTCTCAAACTCCTGACCTTAACTGATCCACCTGCCTTAGCCTCCCAAGGTGCTGGGCTTACAGGCATGAGCCACCGTGTCTGGCCTTGGTGTCTTAATGTAAAAAATTTTTTTAAATCATCAGTTTGTTGAATGTACTCTTAATATATGTTGCCTCAAATCCCTAGAGGAATTTGGCAAAGGAATTAAAAAAAAAAAAAACACCAGTAAGTAAATGTGCTGATTGAGCTGTCCAGTAGACTCCTGGGGAGCGTTAGTCACATAAACACTTCTGAATGATGCCCTGCCCAGCCCTGCTCAGGTCCCTGCTTGCTGGAGCACTGGAAACTGCCCAAGGCAGCTATAATTTCTGTGATTGAGATGTTTTGAGTTAAGATAATTGGCATTGAGATGCAGTTTCTCAGAATGCCAAGACTTATTTAAAGACCCAAGAAGAGTTCAAAAAAGAAACTATGGAGCTAGCTTTGGTGCTGGCTTCCAGCTCTTGAAAGACAGCATTGCTTCAGAGAGCCAGCTGAGCGGTAGTTAGTTTCCATCTGCTGGTCCAGGACAGACACATCCACCAAGCACCCACACCGGCAACGTTCAGCCTGGGTTTCTGAGTGTGCATTCCTTTCCAGGAACTCGGAAGGAGACCCTTGCCCCCTGACATCCTATCAGGAACCATCTCAAATCCTCACCACCAACATAACAATAAAATGCTGTGAACCAGGAGACCCAGGCGTGGGGCCCAGAACTGGGGGGAAGCACTTGGGGGAAGAGGGATCCCAGCCCTTTTCTTGCCCGAAGCCTCGAAAAAACTTGCCCACTGCTTTGACTCATCTGTGAGTCCTGGGGGAGTGGCCACTGGCCCATCATGGTGGGCAAATGGGGGATACACGTACCTGCTTTGTTACCAAAGCTTTGCTGTAGCCAGGCTTTTGTTTGGTTTTGTTTTTTTAGATGGAGTCTCACTCTGTCACCCAGGCTGGAGTGCAGTGGCGCGATCTCAGCTCGCTGCAAGCTCCGCCTCCTGGGTTCACACCATTCTCCTGCCTCAGCCTCCTGAGTAGCTGGGACTACAGGCATGAGCCACCACGCCCGACTAATTTTTTGTGTTTTTAGTAGAAATGGGATTTCACCGCGTTAGCCAGGATGATCTCGATCTCCTGACCTTGTGATCCACCCGCCTTGGCCTCCCAAAGTGCTGGGATTACAGGTGTGAGCCACCACGCCCAGCCAGAGTATACAGGTTTTCATTCCATAATTATTCTTTTAGTCATTCAGAAACATTATAAAAAACTTGTCTTGTATTAATGATTTACTTCATAATAAATCAATGAGTAAATAAATCTCAAACTCTGGGAGGGACTCTTGTCCCTGCCTTTTCCCTGTTCCCCACGTCCTGTCCAGTAAGCCCGTCCCTTCCGGTTTCCCCACAAAGAGTGAATTGAATGTGGTGGCTTCTCTTCGGCTGAACTAGCTGCCACCTTCTGACTTGTCTCCCTGCTCCCATCCCTCACCCCAAAATTTCATGCTAAGCTTTTCCCCATGCAGAGCTTTCTTTATTATTATTATTTTGAGATGGAATCTTGCTCTGTCTCACCCAAGCTGGAGTACAGTGGTGCGATCTCGGCTCACTGCAACCTCTGCCTCCCTGGTTCAAGAGATTCTCCTGCTTCAGTCTCCCAACTAGCTGGGATTACAGGTGCGAGCCACCACACCCAGCTAATTTTTTTTTTTGAGACGGAATCTCGCTTCATCACCAGGCTGGAGTGCAGTGGCACGATCTCAGCTCACTGCAACCTCTGCCTCCCAGGTTCAAGCAATTCTCCTGCCTCAGCCTCCAGAGTAGCTGGGACCACAGGCACGTGCAACCACGCCCAGCTAATTTTTTGTATTTTTAGTAGAGATGGGGTTTCACCATGTTAGCCAGGATGGTGTTGATCTCCTGATCTCGTGATCCGCCCACCTCGGCCTCCCAAAGTGCTGGGATTACAGGCGTGAGCCACCACGCCCAGCCAAATTTTTGTATTTTTAGTAAAGACGGGGTTTCAGCATGTTGGCCAGGCTGGTCTTGAACTCCTGACCTCAGGTGGTCTGCCCGCCTGGCCTTCCAAAGTGTTGCTGTGTCCTGGCTACACACCTGAGTCACCGAGTTGCTTTGTGTAACATCCCAATGTCCAGACAGAATCTCTGATGGTGGGGGCCTGGCCCTGCTAGGTTTTCATGAGAGCCTTCCAGGTGATTCTAATGTGTAGATGGGTTGAGAACCACTGGTGTGACTGGGTACAGAGGTCACGTGTCTAGGCTCAAATTTGTTTCCCCCACTTAATAGCTCTGTGACCAGGGCAAGCGCTTTCATGTGGCTGTGCCTCAGTTTCCCTGTCTATAAAGTGAGAACAATAGTAATAGCTGCCTGCTGGCATGCTGTGAGGGCTATATCAGATGGTGCTCAGGAAGCATTCAGTACCTGCTGGCACAATGCTTGCACTTGCCGTCATTATGCTGGAGGGGACTTGGGATGACAGTGACTTTGTAGGAAGTGATAGGTCCCATGGACTCTGTCCAGCCATCCAGAATTCCTTTCCAGCCATCCTCACCCAGGGCCCTCCTTCCTGGGCTGCTGGAAGCCGCAGGAGGCCACAGAGTTGGGCAATGCCTGCGGAAGCCCTGCAGCTACTTATTCCAAATTCTGAATAAAGCATGAGTCAGGGCCACCCAGAGCTGCAAATCCCCACAAAAAAGACAGGCTTTCTTGTCAGCTTCTTGTCCAGGCAGGAGCCTCCACCTGGGCCAGTCCTACACAGCTGAGACAAGCAGGGTATGATCTGAGAGTAGCCAAGACAGCTGTCCTGTCCCTACCTCCCTCATTTCACCTCTGGGTCTCAAAGGGTCTTTGTCATCTATTAAAGCGCGGAGATTAGGAGTGTTCTACACAGCAGATGCTTGAGGAAGGGCTGGGGGATGTTATGTAACAGCAGTCATCATTTACTGAGCACTTACTATGCACCATGCACTGTGCTATTGACACTAAGTATATCTTGTGAGTTACCCTACTTCATCCCCATGCAAGCTCTATGAAGCGGCAGTTATTTTGCCCATTTTATGGAGGGGGAAACTGAGGCTCACCCAAGTTATGTGCTCAGCTAGAGAGTACGAGTTCAGCATCTGATGGTCCAACTCCGAGGGGTTTCAGGCAGCCAGCTGGGAGTAGGTGAGTCGGTTGGGTATCTTCCCTTATCCTCAGGCCTGGTCAAGGTTGCCCACTGTGTTAGGGGAACCACAATAGGGTGAAGGGAAATTTCCCTACGAGAACCCAAGCCTCATCCTAGTCTCCCTGGGCTTTCCAGGCCTGAGAGCCAGGCCCCGGAAGGGACCAGGCAGTGTGGCATGGGCAGCTGTCTGGGAAGGCAGTGGCCAGCGGAGGTGACCCCTGACCCCAGGCCTGATGGAGGCAGCTTCCAGTGCTTTTTGGAGCCACCCAGCCTGCATCCATGGGATCCCAGATCTCAGCCCAGCGGAGGGTCCAGAACTGAACACCAGTCCCAGAGTGAGGGTTCATTGACTGCATCTTTCTGCTGCTGCCTCTGTGGATTTCAGAGGGGACCGGGTATGGTCTCACTCTTGGAGGCCAGAAACGGCAGTCAGGGCCTGGTTGCTTGTAGTCAGCAGAAAAATGGTCCTCCAAAGATTTCCACGTTCGAGTCTGCAGAACTCGTGAGTATATGACCTTCTTAGTAAAAGGGAATGAAGGTTGCAGATTGAATGAAGTTCACTCATCAGCTGACCTAGAGAGGGTGGGTGAGCCTTGCTTATCCAGATGAGCCCAGTGTCATCGCAAGGGTCCTTACAAGTGGAAGAAGGAAGCAGAAGAATCCATCAGAGGAAGATACAAAAATGTTACTATGCTGCTGGCCTTGAAGATGGAGGAAAAGCCCAGAAGCCAAGGGGTGTAGGCAGCCTCTAGGAGCTGGCAAAGGCAAGAAAAAGGATTCTTCCCTAGAGCCCAGAAGGAACCAGCCCTTCCAAGATGTTGACTTTAGCTCAGTGAGACCCATGTGTGTGGCAGACGCACCGCCAGCAATAGCTAAACTGGAGCATACCCTGAGAATGACCTTACAGTCTCTGATGAATGTGCATTTGGGATTCCCAGCTATGGAAAGTGCCAACCCGGAGATTCATTTCTTATCTATGAGGAACATTGGGACCCACCACTTATCTCGTAGAATGCAGGCTGTACAGGGGATTGAGGCCCTTTGTTATGGGTGAAATGAAGATTGCCAGGAGGAGGTTATTAGGGTGAGAGTGCTAAGTCAAAATGCTATATAAACTGCATGCTTTTTTTTTTTTTTTTTTTTTGAGACGGAGTCTTGCTCTGTTGCCCAGGCTGGAGTGCAGTGGCATCATCTTGGCTCACTGCAACATCTGCCTCCCGGGTTCAAGCAATTCTCCTGCCTCAGCCTCCCGGGTAGCTGGGATTACAGGTGCCCGTCACTGCGCCTGGATAATTTTTGTATTTTTAGTAGAGACGGGGTTTCACCATCTTGGCCAGGCTGGTGTCGAATTCCTGACCTTGTGATCCACCCGCCTTGGCCTCCCAAAGTGCTGGCATTACAGGCGTGAGCCACTGCACCTGGCTAACTGCATGCTTTTTACGAGCAGAGGTGGTTCCCCTGTCCAGCCCACCACCACTGCACTGCCCCGTATATGAGTCCCCTCAATAAACCTTATGTCTCGGTCACTGGCTCCTGGTCTCTTCTTTGGTCTCTCAAACATGGTGCCATCCCTATCCTTTTTTTTGAGACAGGGTCTCACTCTGTCACCCAGGTTGGAGTGCAGTGGTGTGATCTTTGCTCACTGTAACCTCAAACTCCTAGTCTCAAGCAATTTTCCTGCCTCAGCCTCCCGAATAGCTAGGACTACAGGCCTGTACCACCATGCCCAGCTACTACTGAAGTCAGTAGAGGTCCAGCATGACACCATGTCAGACTTCTGACCTCCAGAACCATAAGATAATACATTTGTGTTGTTTTAAGCCACTTCGTTTATGGTAATTTGTTATAGTAGCCTTCAAAAAGTAATGCACTGACCCTGTCCTTTGCTGTGTGGACAGGTGGATGCCGTGTTCAACTGTGTTTTGCTTCTCGTCCGCCTTGGGGTTAGGTTTTTCACTGCTCAGTTGCCCCACCCACACCAACCTAGAGCACAGGGAGCAACTTTGAGAGGCATTCTGTTTCCAGGGCTTTATGCTGGGTCCACCCAGAGCCCTGTGGCCAGTCTTGGGGGTGAGAAAAGCCTGTTGGAAACTCATCCCTGTTCTCCGAATTTTAGGCACTTGCCTTCTAGAGAGTCACATTTCCCTCCCCAAACCCTTTCAGAAAATAGGATGTTCTCAGCGTCTTCATCTGTCTCAGCTTCCCCTGCTGGGAGAAATGAGGGAGGGAGCTTATTTTGTCAAAATATGGGTATGTGAGGGGACACCGGGAATCTGTTCAGAGAACCTAAGTAAGCCACGGCAAGGAGGCAGCACTGGAGAAACCTACACAGCTCTAGCCACCCAGCCCGGGGTGAGCTTGAGTGTGTTTCTGTGTTTTGCGCCTTGAGGGAAAATAAAGGGGTTGGGAGGGTGGAGGGCAGAGGGACAGTGCCCGAGTGCTCTGAAGTAAGGCTTCCCGCAGCCTCTTGCAGGCGGAAGGAGGATGCTGCTAAGGACACACAAAAGGCCTCCACATGCTCCCCATTGCCCATCCTTCCACAGTGCAACCTCCAGCCACAGCCCGGCCCCTAGCCTTGCCATGCTCACTTGTCCTGGTAGCCTGGCATTTTACCCCCAGGCTTGCTTTTATGTGTCCATATCATTACAGGTGTCCATGGCAGTCCTAACCCATCCTCTGGCCAAGACAAGGCAATCTCAGTCTTATCAAAATTTGGGATGTCAGCCCCAAATTCTTGGGGGTCAAGAAAGCAAATGCTTCAGCTGCAAGAAAGTCCTCTCTCTTTGCTGTCTCATTCTAAGCTCAAAGAAGGGTCAACATGAGAGCCAAGCCATTTGTGTTTCTGTTGATTTATTAGCGAGTGATGGAAACGCAGCTGGACCCATACAGAACACACGTGTAGCTGGCACACACCTCGAGAACCGCCCCCCCACCCCCATCCCCTGAATTCAGTGGTTCATTCCCAGAGTTTTCCCGCTGTGAGCTGCCTTGGTGGATCCAGCCCCTTAGCCCCCTCTCCTGCAGCAGAGCAGGATGTGGAAACGCTGACCAAAGGCCAACAGAGAGCCTGAGACCAATCCAGAGGAGAGGCAGCGTTCTCTCCTCCTGCAGAGAGAAGTCCCAGGGCCAATGAAGCAACCTTCTCCAGACACCTAATATTAACCATCACAAGGTGGATCACCATAGTCAACCATGTGTATTATGGGAACTACTTTTCACCCTTGTACCCAGTCTCCCTAGTACCCAACAATCCCCCAGATACTTTCGTCTCCAAGAAATTCCAGGAGGATTCTGGACAAGGCTGGATTTCTGCATGTCAGATCATGGGGAGTTTATAAGGCTAAGGGACAACTCTCATTGCTTCCACATGCATCTAGAAGCTCCTACTATGTGACAGCTCACGCTGGGTGAGGGTCAACATCTGGGCAGGAGCTTGGCCGGGTGAAAGATGGTTCCGCCCTGATCTAAGTGGATCCACAGCTCCCTTTTTATGGGGGAGGCTTTAGGAAGAATCTCTCCTGCCTGTCCTGCGTGGAGTGGTCTGGTTTTAGGGTTGTTCCTCTGCAGAGAGGAAGCAATTGGACCAAAGCAGAATCATGGATCCTTCCTCTGTTAGGATGCACAGGACAAGATGGCTGATGAGATACGTGGATGTTTCTAGACCCCAATGTGGATTTGTCCCCAAATGGATGATTTCAGAGTGAGAAGGGGACATCTCCATGGGTTGTGTTGAATCACAGGAGAGGCTATAAGAAATGAGGTCCTTCTTTTTGGGGGGCCGAGAAGATTCAAGTCTGAGAACCACATGGGTTGCAGGTGAGGCATGGACACTTCCAGGGAAAAGGCTTCTGAGAGGGACGGTCACCCTCAGTGTTCCATCTGGAGCCTTGGGGTCTCTTGGTGCTTATCGTTCAGGGGCCTGTCTCTGTCTCCACCACCTGGGCCAATGCCCGCCCCAGGGGGACAGGATGGTGGGTGGGAGCTGTCTCAGGGCACCATGTTCCACCACTTGAAAGAGAAGGGCTTTCTGCACACATTGGTGCCACAGTGCACCTCCCCATGCAGCATGTGGTATGGAGTGAAGTCATCAATGAAGGTGCAGTGGAGGCCCAGCGGCTCCAGCAGGGACCGCACCTTCTCCTCCAGGCAGCAGCAGCCATTGATGATGGGCCCAAAGGGCTTGGGGATGCCCAGGTGCTTCCCCAGCACCAGCATGTTCACCTGCAGTCCAAAGGGGAAGCAGCACTTCATCACTGGGCTCCCACCCCACACCTCTACTCTACCTGCAGGACCTAGGTTTGTGTTTTAGACAGCCTTGTCAATAGCTACTCACCCTTTCCTGTGCAATGAGAAGGTAACTGGCTAAAGGGGCTGGGAAGAACCGGTTAGCCAGGTGCCTTTGGGAGCATCCGCAGAACTCACTCTGGCAACGTGCTCTGGAAACTGCCCTAATGTGAATTTGGAATTGTGGATTGTGGCAGCTGCCATGTTTGTGCTGCAGAATCCCAACCTTCTAGGCCATAACTGATTGGGCCAGGGAGAACAGCTGGTCCAAGATGGACCAATCAGAGTCCCTCTCCCAGGAATTTGAAACTGACAATGGGAGCGTCTAGTTGGTCTCTGCCCGTGTCAGTGTCTCTGTGCATGGCCATACTCATCTTTGTCCCCAGGAACAGAGAAGCAAAGGAAGCCAAGCTGGAAGAAGAGGGAGAAGAAGTAGGAGGTGGAGAGGGTGAGAGAAAGAGAGAGAATGAATGATGTAGACACAGAAACAGAGAGGGTTCCAGGCTCTGCTGCAGCTATCCTGCCCTCAGGTTTCTGGTGTCCTTATATTAAGACTCCCTCTGGCTGAAGCTGGCTTCAGTAGGACTCTGTCTCTTGCGAACACAAGAACCTGAATCATTGCACAAACTTCTTGGGGCACATATATAATTACAAGATAGCCTCGAACAGGAAGGAAGGGGAGTGAAAAGAGGCTTTGCAAGCGGAGGGCAAAATGTTGCCTGAAAAGAGGAAGGAAAAAGCGGGGCATGAAGCAATGGTGGTGTGGACAGGTTCCCCACAAGGCTCTGACAATGGGCAAATTGAGTTCTTTTAGGGGATGAGGTGGGGAGGAGTGGAGAGGGGAGCTGGGTGACCTATAGCAGTGCTACTCAAACTGTGTTCCTCTAAAAGGCAGCATCAGCACCACCTGGGTGTTTGTTAGCGCGGCAGCAGTGCCTCGGGCCGTGCTTTAGACCTGCTGAATCAGGACCGCTGGGGTGGGGCCCCACCTGTCCAGGTGTTTCAAAGGCAAGCTCAAGATTTAGAAGCAGGCCAAGCACGGTGGCTTCCGCCTGTAATCCCAGCACTTTGGGAGGCCGAGGCTGGTGGATCACCGGAGGTCAGGAGCTCAAGACCAGCCTGGCCAACATGGCAAAACTCCATCTCTACTAAAAATACAGAAATTAGCCGGGCGTGGTGGTGCACGCCTGCAATCCCACAATCCCAGCTACTCAGGAGGCTGAGGCAGGAGAATCGCTTGAACCCTGGAGGCTGAGGTTGCAGTGAGTGAGATTGTGCCACTGCCCTCCAGCCTGGGCAACAGAGTGAGACTCCGTCTCAAAAAAAAAAAAAGAAAAAAAGAAAAAAAGATTTACAAGCATCAGAGGCAAAGCCCTCAAGGCTCAGTCAAAAGCCACTTCTTCCATGAAGACTTCCTGGATCTCCAGTTCTACCTCTTAGGCTGGAAGTGCTTTGTCTCACCTCCAAACTGCCACATCGCCTTATCCTACAAAATAGATCACTGGGACATGTCCTCAGAGAAGGGAAGAGTTTCCCTCTCAACCGATTAGACTGAAAGTCCCTTGAGAGCAGGGGGCATTCTTAATCATCTCTGCATCTGCCACAGGACACCCTAAATACATGTGGGATGGATGAAGAGCCACAAGCTGGGAGGAAGAGAGCAGAATGAGCATCTGGGTTCCCAGCTGATGCCATGTGCTTTGCACACGTGACCTCATGCAATCATTCATTCACTCCACAAATGTCAAGTGGACCCCTTCCCTGATGCCCCTTGGGCCAGGGCTTGGCCAGCAAGCATTCCACAGGGACCATGGTGGTCAGCCAGCTAGAAGCCCTTCTGAGGAGCACCATAGGACCCCTGATTCTCCCTGCCACCCCCACTGGCCACCACAATCCTAAATATGACTGTGACCAGACATTTTTCCTCTCTCGAGCTTAGAGGTTTGCAGCCTGATTTGGCAAAGGAGTCATGGGTAGTGCCCTCACCAAGTCAGGGAAGAAGGCCGTTGCTTTTTTCCTCTCGGTCTTGAAGAGCTGTGGGATGTCAATGATGTCACACTCTGCCAGGCCCAGCTCCCGCTTCAGCACCTCACGGTTCCAGTCGATGCAGCTCTGGGGGCAGGGGAGGGCCAGAGTTGGGGACACCTTGCCAGTGTGTTTTGGGGGCACCAAGGCATCCTGTCGCTCCCCTCACTTCTTCTGGGTCAAAAGAGGGTGTTGGGACCCCTCTGTCTGGGCCTGTTCTAACCTGAGCTTTCATGAACAGTTAGCCTCAGATGTCTGTATCCCATCCTTGCCTCCAGCCCCGCCTACTCCCAAATCACAGCCCACAGGTACACCACAGCCCTTGTACCTGCACAAACTTATTGTAGTTGATGAGGTCTTTATTGGAGAGCACCTGGTTGATGGAGATGGTCTTGACCTGCTCATCATCTGTGAAGGAGAGAGATGAAAGAGAAGGACAGGGACAGCACCAACGTGAGGACCACCTGCTTAGGGAAGCAGACAGGCAGGAGCCAAGTTCACAGCTAATGGTCTTGCCGAGTCAGCAGCCTCTGACTTTCCCAGGCCTTGGGTGGGTTCCACCTGTCTGAGCTTGCCTTGGCCACTGTGCACATCTTGGGGTATAAGGAGTGGGAGGGTCTGGTTGCCACAGTGGAATGAACTGAGACCTTTATTTGAGTTCACTGGAAGTGGTAACGCCTGTCACTGGAAATGTACAACTGCCCGAGGGCACTGGATGAGGAATCCTCTTGCTTTGGCTTAGCGGGGAGCTGGGTCAGTTGCTGCCCACCCACCCACCATCAGTCAGGTTTTATAGGTTCACTGAGCAGCGAACCAGCCAGTCCTGGGATTCAGACACCATCCAGCCCCAATCCTGCCCTTCAGGGGGTGACTGCGTGAAATGGGGACCTCCCAGGGGTCCAGATTTTCTCAGCCTGATGGTGTGCCCATGCAGATGAGACTGGACAGGGAAGCGGAGGCTAGAGTCAATGGCACACAATCCTCATGGCTGCTACTTAGTAAGCGCTTACCATGAGCAGGCCCCGAGGGGAGTGCCCAGGTTCAGCATCTCATTTAACCCTCACGGTGACCCCCACAAGGTATGCATTATGATCCCCACTTTACAGATGAGAAAACTGAGGCTCAGAGAGGTCAGAAGACTTGCCAAAGGTCACACAGGTAGGATATGTGGGGGCTTGTGATTCAAACCCAAGCCCAGGGCTCGCACAGGGCCTCAAGCCTTGACCAAGGGAAAGGAGAGGGCTCCCCTGACCCATCTGCAGGTCTAACGCCCGCTTCACCCCAGTTTAAGGCAGGAAGCTGGGGTCCAGTCCCAGCTCCACTGCAATCTTGCTGAGGCCTCTGGGCCAGTGACATCCCCTCTCTGAGCCTCACATTCTTGGGAATAAAGGTGGGTGAGAGTCATCCCATTTGATCTCTCGTGAGATCAAATGAGATAACACGTGTGATGCACACAGCGTGAGGCCTGGCGCACTGAGGTGTCTAATCAGTGCTCTGGCCTCTGTGTCTGGCCTCTGTGTCTATGTAATTAATCGCCACAGTCACTGCCTGAGTGTCAGCCCTCGAGGGTGGGGTGGCTGCTTGTGGCCTGCCATCTGTGAATTCTCCCACGCTCCCTCCCAGCTGGGCAGGTTGGAATAACTCTGCTCAACCCATTCCTGGGTCTTGCTCACCATAAGTTCTCCCAGGAAAGATGAAGGTGGCATTTCTCCCTGCCTGGTACATAATTTGGATTTAAGGATTTCTAAGACTTACTCTAGGTTCACCGGAGTCTAGTTAGGGTGCGTTTGGGAGCAACAGGGTCAAGAAAGACTATTTCTCTTCCATTTTATTGCTAAGGCTCCAGGGTTGTGTTGGAAGAAGTTAACGCTAGCAAACAGAGAGCAAGGGGACTTTGGAAATTATTATACTTGGGGGCGTCTAAGTTCTACAGGAGCTTTTTTTCTCTCTGAGCTGTGTTTGGTCTAGGATGCTATCTGCCTTCCCTGAGGCCATGGGACCAAGAAAATCTATGATCCTGCGTGTCAAAGGGTCTTTGCCCTGGGACCTCTGGGGTCACTGAGAAAGGGAGGATCCTCTGGGATTCATGCAGTCTCAGTGGGGCTGGAAAGGGAGTGAATTTGAGAACGCTTCCAGCAAGCTTGCCAGATGACTCCAGTCCAGCCAGCTCTCTCTCTCTCAAAATTCTTCCAGTGCAAAACAAAAAACAAAACAAAAAAAAGTGGGCCCTGGCCAGACACAGTAGTTCACACCTGTAATCCCATACTTTGGGAGGCCAAGACAGACAGATCACTTGAGCTCAGGAGTTCAAGACCAGCCTGGGCAACACGGTGAGACTCCATCTCTACAAAAAATACAAAAAATTAGCCAGGCGTGGTGGTGCATGCCTGTGGTCCTAGCTACTCGCAAGGCTGCGGTGGGAGACTCGCTTAAGTCTGGGAGGTCGAGGCTGCAGTGAGCTGAGATCATGTCACTGCACTCCAGCCTGGCTGATAGACCCTGTCTCAAAAAAGAAGAAAAGAAAATGCCAGCTCCTTGTTTAAAGAGCAGACAAAAGAGTACCATTAAAAGTGCTACAGTATAAAGTTGTTTCTTTGTCCCCGAGTCTCTCTCCTGACTTGTCAGGGTGGTTTTTATTTGCTATTTCACATTGCGCTTTGCCGGGGACTTGCATGGGGCTGGACAGTCCCTTGCTGGTGTCAGGGCCCACCCTGTGGGCCTCACAGCGGAGGCCTAGCTCCCAGGGGGCTGTGCTTGGGCATGCCTCTGCTATGAGACCCACATGCTGTGCCCTGGAACGGGGCTGGCAGGTCCAGTTTGGCATCTCTCATTCCCACAGGACTGCCACCCCAAGCCAAGGCAAATGGGCGACCTCCAGAGTATTGTGGCCTCTGGGTATGTGCTGGGTACCTGAGCAAGCCTGGGTGAGACACTTACCCCTCCCAAGTTGCCCACCAAATGCCCTTGCAGGGCAGGGACGACTGATGCCATGAAGATGCTGAGTGGCACATGTGCCCAACCCCAGCCCTCCCCATGCCCAGGCTCCTGCTGGGGGCAGAGTGCTGCAGCATCTCAGGACAGTGACAGAGATGGGGGAGGCCTTGCACTGAGGCTCCAGGGAGCACAGAAGTAGGCAGCAGAGAATCTGTGCCAGGGAGGCAGGGAGGCTGGGAGACAGGACTGTGCCTGAGCAGAGGCTCCAAGCCCCGTAGATGCTCCACTGATCCATCAGACCTCACAAAACAGAATTAAGATTTCAGGGCAGCCAGGTGTGGTGGCTCACGCCTGTAATCCCAGCACTTTGAGAGGCCGAGGCGGGCTGATCACCTGAGGTCAGGAGTTCGAGACCAGCCTGACCAACATGGAGAAACCCCCGTCTCTACTAAAAACACAAAATTAGCCGGGCGTGGTGGCGCATGCCTGTAATCCCAGCTACTCAGGAGGCTGAGGCAGGAGAATCGCTTGAACTTGGGAGGCGGAGGTTGCGGTGAGTGGAGATCACGCCATTGCACTCCAGCCTGGGCAACAAGAGTGAAACTCCGTCTCAAAAAGGAAAAAAAAAAAAGGGAGATTTCAGGATAGTGACTGCAGAACATTAAAGCTCCACGCCGTGACTGCACTGGTCACCTGCCTGGGAAGCCACTATGTCCCCGCTCAGTCCATGTCCACCTTCTATCACCCCGCTTCCCACCTCAGCTCGGCCCCAGCTGTGGGCAGTGGTGTCTGGTGAAGCAAGGTGTGCAGGGGCAGGAGTGAGAAGCCCTGAATTTGGGGACACACCCCTGCTTTAAAACTTGCCCTCCCCCTCTCAAGCCATGATGTGTCTTAATTTGGGTAAGGGGCAGGCAAGCCGCAAGGAGGGACACGGCACTGTTACCCACCAACAACCCCCTGGAACAGGAGGGCCCTCCCGTGGCCACACTTCTGCTTTTCCTGGAAGAGCTTGAAGCAGGCCCCAGGGCTGGCCAGGAGCATCCGGAAGCCCTGCGTGCAGAGAACAGATTCAGCTGAGCCTCCTGCCTTGGCATGGCGCCCTGGAGCTCAGTTCTTGCCCCAGATGCCAGGGAAAGACACGTCATGCACGAAGTTCTTACCTTCCCATCGGGGGCAGGGACAAAGCTCAGAAACTCATCCACATGGCCCACGGCCAACCAGTCCACAAAGAGCTCCACGGGGGGCTGCACCTTCTGGGCATGGAGGAAGTCCCGCACCACCTGGGTGACCCTGCGGCCACTTGACCTGGGACCCACGAGGTTAAAAAAAAAGTTGCTTAACTAAAAAGACTCCATGCAGAAATAAAATGACAAGAGTTTAGCATTCCTGCAATATCTGATTTTTAAAAAACAAAAAAACATGCATTACTTTTATAAACAGGAAAGTAATAAATATGTATATTTCATTTTATTTATTTATTTATTTTTGAGATGGAATCTCACTCTGTCACTCAGGCTGGAGTGCAGTGGCGTGATCTCGCCTCATTGCAACTTCCGCCTCCCAGGTTCAAGGGATTCTCCTGCCTCAGCCTCCCAAGCAACTGGGATTACAGGCGTGCACCACCAGGCCAGGCTAATTTTTCTGTATTTTTACTAGAGATGGGGTTTCACCATGTTGGCCAGGCTGGTCTCGAACTCCTGACCTCAAGTGATCTGCCCGCCTCAGCCTCACAAAGTGCTGGGATTACAGGGATGAGCCACTGCACCCAGCCAGATACGTATATTTTAAAATTCCACTTAGGGTGAGTTCTGCATGAGGCAGACTCAGGACAGGTCAGTCACACCAGGGCAATGACCTACCAGGTCCCACCATCCAGGAAAATCTTCAGAACCACCCTCACACCAGGTTCTTATTCTCCAAGAGACAGATTTCACCCCCATGTTCAATTTTTACGAAAATGTATCTAAGGGCATGGTCCAGCTTCCTCTTTCAATGGGATTATGTATTTGAGGGCAGTAGTCCCTTCCAAAGCTTGACTCTGGATTCATTCATTATTTGATCCCAAGTCTGTTCTAACAGCTTTGTTGCATTTGGTTAGCTCAATGTCTTGGTCTAGTCCACAGCAAGTAACCAATATGATAGGATTCCTTTTCCATCAGCACCCCTGTGTCACTACTGAACAACACATCATTTGTTACTCTCTCTGTATGTTATTGTCATTTCACTTAGCATGTCTTGTACCTCACTTCTCTTGCTCTCAGGAAAAGATCTTATATTAGTCATTTACATGGTAGTATGAACAAGCTTTGACCTAAATGCATTTTCTCCCAGGACTGTTGGGAATGGAAACTTTTTCTTTGTTACTTTTTTTTTTTTTTTTTTTTTTTGAGACGGAGTCTCGCTCTGTCGCCCAGGCTGGAGTGCAGTGGCATGATCTCAGCTCACTGCAAGCTCCACCTCCTGGGTTCATGCCATTCTCCTGCCTCAGCCTCCTGAGTAGCTGGGACTACAGGCGCCTGCCACCACGCCTGGCTAATTTTTTTTTTTTTTTTAGTAGAGACGGAGTTTCACCATGTTAGCCAGGATGGTCTCGATCTCCTGATCTCATGATCCGCCTGCCTTGGCCTCCCAAAGTGCTGGGATTACGGCATGAACCACCATGCCCACTCTTCTTCTGTTACTATTAATTGACTGTTACTAGTATCATCTATTTATTTTCAGAATCAGAAAACTTGAGTCTAGTTATAACTTTGCTTTCTATGTGACTCACTTACCCTCTCTGGGCCCACTTGTAAAATGAAAGTGTTGGACTGAATGATCTCTTAGGTCTCTGCTCTCTCTGGTTTCAGAGTCCCCGAGGTAAGTGTGGACTGTGTCTGGTGAACACCCACCAACCCCAGCACATCCGGGAGTATAATTTCATCATTCCTTGCTTCTGGCTCTCTTCAAGGAGTGCAATGGCCCCTGCTCCACCATCATCACCACCCCCAACCCTCAGCCTCCACCCCAGGAACTCCATTCCCTGTCTCTCTCTCACCCAGGCAGGTTGCCCCCAATGAGGATCCTCCCCAGGGGGTACTCTTTCCCATTGGCCACCACTGGAGGGCTGACCTCCAGGTTCCCAAAGGAGTCCAGGCCACTCACAGACCTGTCGCGTGGTTCCCGAGTCACGTAACCAAAATCTGGACCCTGGAGAGGGAAACCAAGTCAGGCGGGGGTGGAGGGTACCAGGAAGGGCCTGAACCAACTTGCTGGGCTTTGAGCTCCTTCAAGACAGGGTGGGAAAGGCCATCCATTCTTCAGGTGGAAATACAGAGTCATTGGCGGTGGGTGGGGGATCTGACCCAGTCAATATTTCATGCACGCATAGCAGGCAAAGTCGGGAAGTGCTCGGACTCTCTGGCCCTGCTGCCTTATCACGGCAAGACAGCAGGGGGCGCTCCGGTTGCTCCTGCACTCCCCATCGGACATGGAGCCTGAGGCCATGGCCACTCCATCCCCTTACCTACACAGCCTTCCTGCAAGTTCAGCCCAAGGGCAAGTAGCAGCTCAAGTGGCCAATTGTGGGAACCAAGAGGCTGCTGATGGCCCTCTGGGCCTCTGTCTTTGAACTCTAGAGAAGGGGAGACCTCCCCAGGGCTATCTCTCAGAAGCAACTTCGACAACATCAAGGGTCAGGAGAGAGAGCTCCTAGCATCTGTGTGATCAGTGAGGGGGTTGGAGGGGTCTCTTGTTCTTTACGGCACCAGGCAAGTCACTCTTGTTTTCTCAAGAGGTCCTCGTTAGCAATCATCACCTTCCCTGTTATCCTTTTTCTTAAAATAATGATACTAGCTAATAGTGGTGCGCGCACACACACTCCCTCCATGCAGGTACTGTGATGATGAGATGCTTCACAAACCCCTGTGAGGCCAGGGCCAAAATGTCATTTTTACTGATGAGGAAACTGAGGCTCAGAGAGCGGTAGTAACTCACGCAACATCACACAGCATGTAAGTAACGGAACAGGGTTGGTCTGACCCTAAAGCTTGTGCTCTGAACAGGTGCACCATCCTGCCTCCCCTATTTAGGGCTGCCAGATTCAGTAAATAAAAATACAGGATGCCCAATTAACTTTGAATTTTAGATAAACGACAACTTTTTTAGTGTAAGTATATCCCATGCAATATTTGGGACGTACTTACACCAAAAAGTTAACCTGTTGCTTGTCTGAAATTCACATTTGACTGGGCATCCCTGCATTTTATCTGGCAACCCTACCCTCATCCCTAAAGAGCACGGTTCCCACTGCTGCCCTCTGTACCCCACACCCCGGTGTGGCCCCTGGGGTAAGGCCTCTCAGCTCTCAGGGGTGGGCTGCGGCCGGGACCACTCACCAGGATTCTTTTGTAAGGGAAATCCTGCAGTTCCCCATTCCTTGGGGAGTCAAAGACCACCGGGAGGGTCTTGTGCGGCGCCTGAACGTAGCCCAGCTCCATCTCATCCTGCAAGTGAGGAGAGGCGAGAGACGCACAGCTGTGACAGTCAACAGCTGCCCCTGCTGGCTCGGCTCTGAGCCCTGTGGGGCAGACTGCTCACCAAGTCCCCTGGCCCAAGCATGTTTTGTGCTTGGAGGCGGACAGGACCGAGGTCAGGGTGCCTGCTGACTGGAGGAGGGGCTGGAGGCTCAAGGAGGGGGTGCACTTGTCTAAGGTCACACAGCAAGACAGAGGCCGGAGGTGAACGAGAACATGGACATGACCTTGGGGGTGTCCCTGTGAGTACTGGGCCAAGGCAGGTGGACACAGAGAAGCACTCACAGTGGCCTGAGTTGGATCCATAAATGTGCCCAGGTCAGTCCTGACCCCTCTGGTTCTGGAGGAAAAGATGGCCCAGTGTGAATGAACTTCACATCCAGGTCCTGCCCTAAACTCTTTATAAACATTAACTCCATTCATCCTCATGACATGCCTGGGCGTGGGCACCATAATTATCCCATGTGACAGATGAGGAAAATGAGGAACTAAGAGGTCTAATTATTTATCCAGTCCGGGCACGGTGGCTCACACCTATAATCCCAGCACTTTGGGAGGGTGAGGCGGGAGGATTGCTTGAGGCCAGGAGTTTGAGACAACCCTGGGCAACATGGCAAGACCCCATCTCTACAAAAAATTAGCTGAGCCTGGTGGCTGCACCTGTGGTCTCAGCTACTCGGGAGACTGAGGCAGAAGGATCACTTGAACCCAGGAGTTCCAGGCTGCCAGTGAGCTGTGATCATGCCATGGCACTCCAACCAGGGTGACAGAGAGACACTGTCTCCAAAAAGAAAAATAAATTCAAAATATATTAATTTAAAAAAATAAATAAAAATTAAAAAATATTTGTCCCAAAGCTCACAGCTAGTTAGTTGGTGGCACAGCCAGGCTCTAAACCCAGCCCATCGTGCCCCAGAGTCCTGCCCCAAACCCTCTCACTGGACTGACCTCCGGCCAAGAGGAAAGCTCCTTAACTTGGAATTCAAGGTCTCCGACCTCAACCCTTGCCTTTCTCAGAACCAGTGCCCTGACAGAGGAGAACACACAAGGTTCTCTCTCCTGCCTCCCACCCCCGGGCCTTTGCGCATGCTCGGTCTCTGCCAGGACCACCAACCTGTACAGCCTGGTGCTTGGCAGCCTGAGTCCTAGCACTGCCTTTACCAGCTCTGTGGCCCAGTCATGCTCCCCTAAGAGCTCCTGAATTATGGGGGACTTACAGGGGGTTATCAAGAAGATGAAATGATGCTATGCCTGGCCTGCAGAAAATGGGGCATAAATGGCAGAAGTCATGTGCCCTCATCTGCCAAATCTGGTCCAGCTCAGATGCTCTCCCTCCTGGAGGTCTTCACTGATTCCCTGGGCAGAGGTGATGCTGCATCCCCCAAACCCTACTGGTGCTTTGCTGGTATAGCCTCTGCACCCTAGATATTTCTTTTTCTCTCTCTCTCTCTCTCTTTTTTTTTTTTTTTTTTTGTTGTTGTTGCTGAGGCTGGAGTGCAGTGGCACAATCACAGCTCTCTGCAGCCTTGACCTTCCTAAACTCAGGTGATCCTCTGACCTCAGCCTCCAGAGTAGCTGGGACTACAGACACACGCCACCATGCCCTGCTAATTTTTTAACTTTTTTGCAGAGACAGGGTTTCACCATGTTGCCCCAGCTACACACTAGATAGTAGGAGTAGGTATTTTTGTAGCAATCATTCTGCACATCAAGGTTTCTCAGCCTCGACACTACTGAGGCGTGGGACTGGATGATATGTTATTGTGGGGGCTTGTCCTGCGCACTGTCTGCAGATACTGCAAAACGTCTCCTGGGGACACATCGCCTCTTGATGAGAACCACTGGTCTCAGCTGTTGAGGGCAGGGAGTGTGTGTCTCACACCTGTGCCACCCCTGTGGGCCTAGCCTAGTGCCTAGCCCAGATCCGGTGGGTGAATGGGTGTTGAATCCAGGATCAGCGTGGGTCTCCAGAAGGTTCTGGAGAGAAGCCTCTAGGTCTCACATTAGAAACGGCAGCAAGTTCCCTGGGGAGCACCCAGGTCCTCCTGGATGTTTCTCGGTGGCCCCCAAATGAAGGCCTCTCTCTCCAGGATGGCGTCCTTGCTGGGCCCTGCCCAGTGGCTGTGGTTACCTGGATCCAGCGGTCGTTGCGGTTCTCGGCCTGTGGGCAGATGGTCAGCTTGCAGCCGGCCTTCCTGGCCAGCTCTGCCACCGCATCCACAAAACACGTGTTGTTCCTCACACTACGGACAAGCCCAGGGAAGAGGGGCTCAGGATGGAGCCGGGGCCTGGGGGCCAGAGGGACCACCCACTGCCCCAAGACTCACCGGCACACATACACCTCTAGGGGTGGCAGAGTGCTGGGCGTCATGATCCAGGGTGCCACTCGGAACACCACAGTGTCAGTGAAGATAGGGGATGCCGAGAAATCCTGCAGGGGCAGACCAGGGGAGAAAGAGCACTGGACTTGGAGTCCAGAGGCCTGGGGGGACTCTGATTCCACCACTGTGGTCCATAAGAAAACCCCTTGCTTCTCTGCAAGATGGAAATGAACCAGAGGGGTGGTCAAGAAGTCTGGGGTCTTTCACACCAGTGGTGCCTGGTAGACTTACCAGGAATGGAGTCCTCCCCACTGCCCTTTATTATTATTATTTTTTGGAGACAGGGTCTTACTTTGTTGCCCAGGCTGTGGAGTGCAGTGGGGTGATCATGGCTCACTGCAACCTCAACCTCCCTGGGGTTCAGGTGATCCTCCCACCTCAGCCTCCCAAGTAACTGGGACTATAGGTGTACACCACTATACCTCGCTATTTTTTTTTTTTTTGTAGAGATGGGGTTTCACCATGTTGCCCAGGCTGGTCCCGAGTGGAGCTCCTCTTGAACCCCCTCTGTCCCTACCTCGTTGGAGTCGTCCAGCAGAGTGACATGGAAGGAGATGAGTCCTGTGAAGCCGGCATCAGGGAAGGACAGGCCTTCCACGAAGAAGCGCTCCTCATCCCCATGCAAGCGGGGTACCTCATAGGACACCTTATCTTGGCCCAGCACATGCCTATAGGCCTCACACACATCCTCAGGACCTGGAAGGGGAGGGACGGGGTGGCTGTGACTCCCTGTGGGCCCAGGGAGCATGAGTATGAGGGACACAGGAAGAGGTCTGCAGCCTCACCAAAAATTCCAAGTCCTCCAACAACTCCCTCCTTTCACCTCCACTGGCAAAGGAGAGGACAGGTAATACACAGTGGGGGCCACGGCTGGGGGAAAGGGTCTTCCTTTCTAAGACTGGCGCTCATACCTTTTTGGAGCACAATTTGGCAGCATCCAACAAAGTAATGTTTACCCCAAGCCCAGCAATTCCACTGCTAGGTATCTTTCCTACAAAAATACATCTACAGGCTGGGCACGGTGGCTCATGTCTGTAATCACAGCACTTTGGGAGACCGAAGGCGGTGGATCACCTGAAGTTAGGAGTTCAAGACCAGCCTGGCTAACATAGTGAAACCCTGTCTCTACTAAAAATACAAAAATTAGCCGGGCGGTGGTGGTGCACACCTATAATCCCAGCTACTCAGGAGGCTTAGGCAGGAGGATTGCTTGAACCCAGGAGGCGGAGGTTGCAGTGAGCCAAGATCACACCACTGCACTCCAGCCTGGGCATGGAGCGAGAATCCATCTCAAAAAAAACCAAAACCAACAAAAAACAAAACAACAACAACAAACAAACAATAATAGGTACAAAGTCACATAATATTTCTGTACAAGAGTGCTCGATATTCATTAATTCATCAAATATTTACTGTGCAACTACAGTGCACCCATGGGGCACGGTTCTGGACTTGAACAAAGCCCCTGACCTCAAGCAACCTGCATTGTTATAAAATCAAAACACTGCAAACCACTATGATGTTCAGAGAACTGTGTAAGTCACAGCACCTCTATGCTTAGGAATATTATACAGCAGTGGAAAAGAATGAAGTAGAGCTCAATAAATACCAGAAAAGGTGTGTGGGATTATTACTTAATGAAAGAAGCCGGTTGGAAAGCAGCATATGGACACACGCTGGAGAACATGTAGAATAAAGTTGGGAAGCACACATCCCAACTCGTTAACAGTGACAATCAGATTCAGGCCAGGTGCGGCGTCTCACGCCTATAATCCTAGTACTTTGAGAGGCCAAAGCGGGTGGATTGCTTGAGCCCAGGAGTTCACGACCAGCCTGGGCAGCATGGTGAAACCCTGTCTTTACAAAAAAAAAAAAATTAGCAGGGTGTGGTGGTACATGCCTGTAGTCCCAGCTACTCGTGAGGCTAAGGTGGAAGGATTGCTTGAGCCTGAAAGGTGGAGGCTGCAGTGAGCTGAGATCATGCCACTGCACTCCAGCCCGGGCAACAGAGCAAGACCTTGACTCAAAAAAAAAAAAAAAAAGTCAGATTTAGAGACGGGTAGAGAACTCTCAGGTTTCATTTTCTATACTTCCATATTGTCTGATTATTTAAAAAATAAGCGGCCAGGCACGGTGGCTCACGCCTATAATCCCAGCACTTTGGGAGGCCGAGGCGGGCAGATCACAAGGTCAGGAGATTGAGACCATCCTGGCTAAGACAATGAAACCCTGTCTCTACTAAAAATACAAAAAATTAGCTGGGTGTGGTGGCACATGCCTGCAGTCACAGCTACTTGGGAGGCTGAGGCAGGAGAATCGCCAGAACCCAGGAGGTGGAGGTTGCAGTGACCCGAGGTCACGCCACTGTACTCCAGCCTGAGCAACAGAGCGAGACTCTGTCTCAAAAAAAAAAAAAAAAAAAAAAAAAAAGCATCTTATTACTTGTATACATTTTTAGTTTCTCAAAGGCATTTAGATTTTTACTTGTATTTCTTGTGATTTTGGCAGACTATGTAAAACAACAGCCATCTATATTTGGGGGGAATACAAACTGAATTAATTGGGTGAAATCTATGGTGTTTGGGGTTGGTTTTACAAAACTTCAGCGAGACAGACAAAACAGTGATAATTGTTTAATCTGAGTGACAGGCACATGGGGATTCACAGCACTGCTTTTTGTGTATGTTTGAAATTTTTGATAAGAATTTCTACACATGCTTAAAATGTATTTGAAAAGGTCATTCATCAAATAAAATGACCTCAGGCCAGGTGTTGTGCTGGGGGCACCAGTTCATCAGTTCCAAAGCCCCCACTTCTGACTGTTCTTACTGCGACCCGCCACCCACCAGGGCATCTCCCGGAGTGTAAGCAGGACCTGCCCATGGCCCAAGGCAGGAACAGGAGGTTCCCTGGTAGGCAACCTGGCAACAGGGCACAGATGGCAAGGGGCAGTGGCACAAACTCACCGCAGATGTGGAAGACCTGTGCCCGTTTGGCATCATAGCTGGAGGTATGGAGGACAAGTTTGTGGTCATCAAAGAGGGCTGCAGGGCCCTGCGTCCGCAGGACCATGACAGACATGTCTTCCAGGTCTGTGAAGCCAGACAGAGTGGTAGTGACTCAAGGGAGTCCTGGCCCCTGGCCCCTTCCTCTGCTGCCCAGCTCCCTCCCCAGGTCAGTGGGTATCAAGACCTGGGTCTCCCAGCCCTAGCTTTGTGAAAACCCTGGAAGCCATCAAGAACAAACCATGAAGACATCTATGCTCTCCTGGACTCATGTTTCCTCAATTGCCCAGAGAAACATGAAGTGTGGCATAGCCAGCTGGTGTCTGACACACAACAGGTGCTCCAGAGAAGCAAGGAGGGTAAGGCCATGTGGGCGTCGTGCAGGTAAGGGTTCTGGCCTCCATCCCAGCATCACTCCCTGTGACCCTGGACAAGCCCCTCCCTTCTGGAGCCCCAGCATCCCCATGTCCAATGGTGCCCACTTCAGAAGGCAACCGTGGGCATCTCCCGTGGACAGCACCTAGCATACCCTGGAATATTGCAGCTCATTCTCCATGGGGCTGGAATTCAGGACAGATGGACTTAGCAAGAGGTGGGGGAGTCACAGAAATGTAGGCCAGAGGTGCTGAAGGAGGAGGCCCAGATTTGGGGTTGAGAGGGGAGGCCCCAGATCAGACACAGTCTTCAGGGAGTCTCCTGGCTTCTGAGTCTCAGCATCCTCATCTCTAAATTGGGGTGATGATATTGTCCCACTTGGATGATTCAATGAGAATTTGGGGAAAAGGCCTGGCACACAGTAGGTGCTCAAATAATGCTAGCATCCTCTGCTCCCCTGGAGGAAGAGAATGGCGAGGTGGCTCATTTCCAGAGCTTCTGCCCTGGCATGTGAGTGCTCACTGGCCCTAGAGACACTAGGGAGGGGCAGCTGCCAGCCTGAGATGGGTTTTGAGGAGCATCGAGGTGTGTCTGGAGGCTGGCGCTCTCCCCTGGACTCTGGCCTCAGAGTCTCGCCTGTGGGTTGGAACTCCCATGGGGTAACTGAGCAGTGACCCTGGACACCCAGGGACTCAGGCTGCCCCGGCCTCACCTTGCAGGCAGTGCACGTGCTGGTCACAATTGTCCTGGACATCACAGCTCGGATCATCACGGTCACAGTTCACCAGCAAGATGCCGCCATACCCACTGGGCCCCCAGACCCACTGCCGCTGCCAATGACAAAACATAGCCAGTGATGAGGGCTCAGATGAGACCTGTGCCTCCCTACCCAGGAACCCGAGCCTGGCCTGTAACCACCCAACCCTGTGAGGCTAGGTCCACGTTCTCGAAGCACCTCCTTCTCAAGACATGTCAATGGCAATGGCTCTCTGTTGCCCACACCATCCAGTCCAAAGCACAGAGCTGTCTTTCATGGCTATCTGTGATGGGCCTTCAGCCAACATCCTCTTTCTCAATAGGCAACCTGATTATAGGACCACACGCCTCACTCTGTGCTCATTCCTCCATTAAACCCTCCTTGGTTTTGCTCCTGCCATTCCCTGCACCTGGAACGTCCTCCCTCCTGCACCCCTTCAGAGCTCAGCTCAAGGGTACGTCCCTCCAGGAAGCCTTCCTCACCCACCCAGCCCACCTCGACCTTCTCCTCTTAACTCCCAGGGCACCAAGTTCCAACATAATTCAGTCCCAAGTTCTTCAACAGTTTCATATTTGGTTTCTCTTCTCGCCTAGGTCAGGATCAGCACATTATGAACTGTGGGCCAAATCTGGCCTACTGCCTGTTTGTATAAATAAAGTTTTATTAGCACACAGTCACATCCATCCATTTCTGTATTAACTGTGGCTGCTTTCACACTATAGTGGCAGAATTGAGACCATATGTCCCACAAAGCCTAAAATACTTGCTATGTGACTTTTCACGGAAAAAGTTTGCCCACTCCTGACCTAGTTTATGAGTCCAGAAGGTCTTGATCCCACAAACCAAGGCCTAGCTCAGGGCTGGGTACCTCCATGCCTGATAATTCCTGGCGATGATTTTTCTCCTGGTGAAAGAAGATCCCCAGCCATGCCTGGTTTCTGTTTTTGGCCCTTGGTCTCGGCATCAGCTGGGAGGCAGGGGGATATCTGTAATGGCCTCATCCTTCTTAACCCAACCTAGAGCAAGCTCCAACTGCACTCCTGCTTCCTGGGCCCAGGCAGAGATGCTTACCTTGTCTACAAAGTTCCTGTCCTGCCTTCCCTCACAGTTCAGGTCGCAATCCAGAGAGATGTCTGCAAGAGGAGGCAGAGGGTAAGTCACTACAAGGTTCCCAGGAGCCCAGGGCAGGCCTTGATCTCAGGGCTTGTCTGGGGCTGAGCAAAGGCAAGTCATTTCTAAGGAGACACCATCCAAGAGGTGAGGGCATCTGCACCCTCTGGGCTGGGGAAAGAGGCCTGAGGCAAGAAGCAGGGTCACAGCAAAGGCCCAGGACAAATGCTGCCCCCTCTAGGGAGACTTCCCTGACCACTTCCTATCTGCATCCCTGCAGCCCTTGCAGTCCCAGGCATGCCCTGAACTGAGCCCAGGTCTCCAGGAACATTCTTGTCTATATAAAGCTGCCTCATCTCCTTGGAATGGGGTAGCAAGCCTGGACTTTGGTGTCAAACAGATGTGAACACAAACCCAGGTTCTGCCGCCTCCTGGCTGTGTGTCCTTTCTGAGCTACTCGCAGTCCCCAAATCCCACCCCCATCCCACCTTCTTAACATTTAGCCCTAGACACTGGGTGAGATTTCATAATGCAAATGGAGCATTCAGGAGGTCAGAATCAATCTTTCTGCTCTGAAAAAAAAGCAGTCTTCTTAGTTCTTAAAGAAGAAGCAGTGAGGGGCAGGGAGGGAGAGAAGAAAGAATACATTAGATAGGATTTTTTTTTTTTTTTGAGACAAGACAGGGTCTCTGTCGCCCAGGCTGGAGTGCAGTGGCATGATCATGGCTCACTGCAACCTCTGCCTCCTGGGCTCAAGTAATCCTCCCACTTCAGCCTCCTGAGGCTGGGACTACTGGTGCATGCCACCATGCCCAACTAATTTTTGTATCTTTCATAGAGGCAGGATTTCACCATGTTGCCTAGGCTGGTCTTGAACTACTGGGCTCAAGTGATCCACCCACCCCAGCCTCCCAAAGTGCTGGGATTACAAGCATGAGCCACCACGCGTGGCCTGAAATGATTTTTAAACATGTGAAAAGATACTCAACCACCATGCAACAAGTGGATAAATCTCACAAACATAGCATAGGGCAAAAGACGCCCAACGCAAAAGAACATACATGATATGACTGCATCCACAGAAAATCAGATGATAAAATGAGACCATGTTATTTGGGTATTGCGTTCAAGAGATAAAACCATGAGGAGAAGCAAGAAAATACTTATCACAAGATAGTGGTTACCTGTAGGAGAAGGAGGGAGTTATGATCAGAGACGGACATTGAGGGGGACTTTGGGGTTCTGGTAGTGTTTCATTTCTTGGGCTACTCTTGGGTTTATTTTCTGAGCTATTCTTTGATTTGCTTTGTAATTATTCGTGTGTGTGTGTGTGTGTGTGTGTGTGTGTGTACATATGCTTTATGCACATATGTATGTAAAATAAAGCTTTATGTACTTTTCTGTCTATGTTATTTTCCAATGATCATGTGTGTATGTATTTGGGCTGCAGATGGGGAATGCCCAACCTCACTCCTAACTAAAGAAAGGCAAAGTAAAACCACAGTGCAATGCCAACTGATTGGCAAAAAGGGAAAAAGTTGCTAATGCAGTGTTGGCAAAGCATATATGCAGTTGGCAGACATGTATACTGATACAGTGTTTTTGGAGAGCAGTTTGGCAATATCTATCAAGTTAAAAAATATAGATTCTCTATAACCTAGAAGTTCTGCTTCTAAAAAATGCCTCCTACAGATAAAGCATTTTCAACTTCTTTGCTAATTGCTTCTCAAGTGTGTGAGCCAAAGCAAACTCCCACCCACTCCTTTGTAAGGAGTTTCCCAGCTCCACAACCTTGGCAATGCTCATTTAGGCATCTTTTAATTTGGGTTTTGATCACTGGGACTTTCTCTTCTGTGAATTGTTTATTCATGTTTTTGCCCATTTCTATTATTTTTGTCCTTTTCTTATTGATTGGAGTTCTTCATATTCTATATGCACCAAGTCAGCCGTATGCATTGCAGATTTCTTCTCCTAGTTCACAGTTTGACTTTTTACTTGTTGTCTGTTGCATATAAATTTTTAATTTTAATACAGTCTAATTTAGCAATCTTTCCCCTTATGGTCTTTGCACTTTTGTTTTGCCTTGTTAAAGAAAATCTTTACTATTTTGAGGGTACAAAGATATTCTTTTCTAAAAGCTTTACAATTTTGATTTTCACCTTAAGATTTTTAACTGACTTGAAGTTTATTTTTGAGTATGGTGTGAGGTAGGGCTCCAAGTTCATTTATTGCCACATGATAACCACACAAGCATGGGTCTGTCTATGGGTTCTCTATTTGCTCTATTGCTCTATACCAATTTCACAATGCCTCAAGTACTATAGCTTGAAAAAAAAGTCTTGATATTTGGAATTGTGAATCCCTCAACCTTATTCTTCATCAAAATTGTCTTAGCTATTCTTGACCTTTGCTTTTCCATACAAATTTTAGGATCAGCTCTGTAAAGTTATATTAAAAAGCCATGTTGGGGCTGGGCACAGTGGCTCATGCCTGTAATCCCAGCACTTTGGGATGCCGAGGCAGGCAGATCATCTGAGGTCAGGAGTTCAAGACCAGCCTGGCCAACATGGAGAAACCCTGTCTCTACTAAAAATACAAAAGTAGCTGGGCGTGGAGGCATGTGTCTGTAATTGCAGCTACTCAGGAGGCTGAGGTAGGAGAATCGTTTGAACCCAGGAGGCGGAGGTTGCGGTGAGCTGAGATTGTGCCATTGCACTCCAGCCTGGGCAACAAGAGCAAAACTCCTTAAAACAAACAAACAAACAAACAAAAAAGCCACGTTGGAATTTCTATAGGAATTTCATTGAATTTAGACTGTTTGATACTGTCACAGAGCTCTTAGATCTGTTATGTTTTTTCATTTGTTTGTTTTATTCTTTTTTCTCTTTGGGTTTCAGTTTGGGTAACTTTTATTCACTTATCTTCAAGTTCACTGATTCTTTCCTCAGCTGTGTCAAGTCTACTGGTGAAACCTTCAAAAGCATTTTTAAAATCTCTTATTACTATGGTTTTTATGTCTAGCATTTCCATTTGACTCTTTCTTATTGATTTTCTTCTCTGTTGAAATTCCCCATCTGTTCATACATATTGTCTACCTTTTCCACTAGAACCCTTAACATATTAATCACTATTACTTTGCATGCCCTGTCTGATAGCTCCAACATCTGAGCCATCTTGCACGGAGTTTATGTATCCATTTGTGGAGGCTTAGCAGAAAAACTTTAAGCTGGCAAAAGCAAGGTCCAGTTCCATGTCTATAGTATGCTTCAATTTGCTTACAAAAGAGGGGGGATATACAGGTATGTATGTGCTTTCATATATAAGCACAGCGTATCTCTAGAAAAATGCTGGGTTTGGGGAACTAGAAGTCTTGAGTTGGAGGGAAGGAGGTTTAATTTTCAACGTATACTCTTTTGTACTGCTTGAATTTTTCAAATGTGCCCTTGGCCACACCATCAACATGGCCCCCAACTTACCAACACAGGTGAGGTAGAGCACCGCATAGGCCAGGGGCAGAGGCTCATGGCTGGAGTGGTAGGAAATCTGAACCTGTGGAGAGTTGGGCGCAGAGTAATACCAGCAGAAGCCAAGAGCTCCCGCCCCAAAAGATAGCTCTCGGGGATCTGGTAAGGAGGGGAGGGGGCCCAAGGAACCTTGCTCTTTCTTTAACCTCCTCTGTGCCATTTATTTTTCTGTGTCTTGGTTGGCATATCTGTAAAATGGGAGCTATTTGTGAGAGCTTCTCAAGAGACTTGGGTCCCAGTCCCTCCAATAACCTACTCTGTGATTTTTGACAAGCTCTTGCTCCCCTTTGGGTCTCAGTTTTGCCATTTGTAAAATAAAGGGTTTGGGCTGGGCAGGGTTTGGGGACACTCTCCAAGCCAACATTCTTGTCTGTGGGACTCAGACAGGCCCGGGCTTGAGCCCGGCACCTCTGGGTACTCTATGACCTTGGCCAAGGCCTCTCACCTACCTGAGCCACCTCAGTTTTCTCCTCTGCAAAATGGGAAAAGGCCTCTACCTCTATAGGTCTCTACCTCAGAGGCTTGTAATGCAGCTTGGAAACAATACATGTAAAAGACTGAGCCCATAGGAAGTGCCCAAGAAATACTAGCTACTGTTATCAGTGGGCAGGTGGCATCTTGTGGGGTGGGGGCTGGTTAAATGCAGGGCTCTGAGGTCAGATGGCCTGGGCCCAGATTCTGAATCCCCCACTTTTGAATATCCCAGGAAAAGTTACTGATCTTCTCTGGGCCTCAATTTCCTCAACTGTAAAGTGGGGATAATAATAGTTCCTACCCCTTAGGACTAATTAGAGGCTGTGAAGATGAAAGGAGTCATGTATGGGGCACATGCAGCTCGGTGCCCGGCCCACAGCGAGCACTCAAGAACTGTTACAGGGTGAGGATGAAGATGGCGTGGATGATATTTAGTTGGAGGCAGATGAATCCAAGGCATCCAAGTTCCCTTTAAAGCATGACCCTCCCCTTGGGGTATTCCCTCCTGACATGGGTGTCTCAACTCTCTGCTTCTCATGTCCGAATCTCAGCCAGAGGGGAGGATCTTGCAGGGGCCACTCACCTCTGTAGTCCTGGGAGCCCCTAAATCCTGCAATTACTGACCTCCATGTGTCAATCACCAGCAGTGATGCTTGCCTCAAACATACAATTACTGGGATCCTGGCCAAAGGCAGGATAGGGAGCAGGGGTATATGGCGGGTGAGGGAAAGAGTGGGAGAGACTCTGAACTTCCTCCATCCCACCAGCCATCATGGCCAAGGAATTCAAGGTGGGGGTACCCACACCATCGCCACTTCAACCGGCACCAAGGTGGGGCCCCTCACAGGCTGGCCAGTCCTCTTGCACTACCCCTGGGACTCTGTCCTGACTCTCACCAGCTCTGCCGCTCGCTAGATCATGTGACTTCAGGAAAGCCACCCCTTCTCCTTCTTAGTTTTCTTGCCTATTAAATGGGTTCATTGGGTCCTGCCCCAAGTGCCTCATGGATGCATGGCTGGGAACAGAGGTGGGGGTGATGGAGGGAGACTGCCCCCAGGGGTCTGCACTGAATTCTAGCTCTCCTGACCATTAGTGTGCGGTCCCGGGACAGTTACTCTGAACCTCAGTTGCCCCATCTGCGAAATGGGCATCAGTCCCCCACCTCTCTGGGCTGCTGTGAGGGCTGGATGAGGTCATGGCTGCCCAGTACCTGGCACGTGGTCAGTGCTCCTTAAAGGGCCAGTTTCTGAAACATCGCTCCTGACATGGAGTGGATCCCACTACTCCCACACTCCAAGTCCTGGTCCCTATCAGCCCTCGAAGCAAACATCACCTGTGCCAAGCTTAAAGGCCACCCATTTCTCCCATGTGTTAAATGTCCCCTACCCTGCAAATAGGGTCAGGAAGAGAGTGGATTACGGACAGCAAAGCGCCTTGGGGAAATGCTGTCACCTAGGAAGGGGGTCTTCCCAGGCACCGGTGTCCCTCCCCTGTCCCTGCTTTCTCTCTTTCATTCAAAGTGGCAGAGATCCCCTAGTCAACCCTCAGCCTACATGTGGGGAAACTGAGACCCAACTCAGCAGAACTGGGACAACTCCTTCTCCAGGGGGTCTTGGGAAGCAAGAGAAGGAGCAACACTGGCTCCTATGGCACTCCACAGCAATGATAGGAGACAGGGGTTATGATTATCCCATTTTACAGATGGCAGACAGAGGCCCCAAGGGGATGATAAGGCTTTCCAAGGACACATGGTATGTGTCTGTAACTTGCAGAGCTGGGATTCAAAATCAGCAGTATGGCTCCAAGGCCAGGCACTTACCCACTGTGTTGCCCTGCGCTCTGGAGAAAGAGAATGTTGGGCCCTCCTAGAGCTAGACAGCTGCCTCCCTCGAAACCTCTCCCCACCCCACCAGGGACCAGCTCACATGGCTGTCGTTGAGGTCATTGCTGGGGGAGTTCATGACCACGATGATCTCCAAAGTCGCGTCAAAGCGCCACCGCCTGGTGTCTGCACGCTCCCGGCCCCTCTCCATGTTGGGAGAGATGTAGATGTCCACGCCAGGCGTCCCATAGACCTCAAACATTTCTGTGCCCTCAGGCACTGACCTGGGCAGGGCAGAGAGCCATGGTCGGTGCCGAAGGAGATATATTTTGCTCAGATGTTTGAGCTTTGGCTCAAGCCCTGCTTCCTCCAGGAAGCTTTCCTTGGCCACCCAGTCCCCTCAGATCCTCACAGTAAGCTCCTGCGAGTCAAGCCTGGACCCCACACAAACATATACACAGTCGGCCGGGCGTGGTGACTCACTCCTTTAATCCCAGCACTTTGGGAAGCCGAGGCGGATGGATCACTTGAGGTCAGGCACTTTGGGAAGCCGAGGCGGGCGGATCACTTGAGGTCGAGCCTGGCCAACATGGTGAAACCCTGTCTCTACTAAAAATACAAGAAAATAGCCAGGCGTGGTAGCATATGCCTGTAATCCCAGCTACTGGGGAGGCTGAGGCAGGAGAATCGCTTGAACCCAGGAGGCAGAGGTTGCAGTGAGCCAAGATTGCACCACTGCACTCCAGCCTGGGCGACAGAGCAAGACCCTGTTTCAAAACAAAACAAAAAAACATACACACAGTCTGATGTTCTAAGCCCCTGTGTTCATTAACATTTCCCTTGTGAGTTTCTTTACCACTCACCAGAATGGCGAGCTCTTCGGAAGTCAGAAGCCAGCCATGTGCTCGATAAATCCCCAGTGCAGGTCTGGGCACGAAGAGCTCAGTGAACACCAGCCATTGGTGGGTGGAGCCCCTTACAGTTCTGAGAGCTTTAAAAAGAGCAATTCTCACCCCAGATCCCATCACATGTCTCCTTAGTGGGTGGGAAGATATCCTTGAATTCTTCCCTGGGAAGGGAATTCAATCTGGTTGAGTGCCCGCTGCATGCCAGGCACCTGGCGCACGCAGCTCCCTCCACTCTTACAAGCTGTAAGGTGAGCAATATCATCCCCATTTGGCATATTAGCAACTGAGGCTCAAGGAGGCCTCGTGACAAGCCTGAGGTTGCATCACATGGCAGAGCCAGATGTGCAACAGGTCTGACTCCAAGCCCATGCTGTTCCACAGCTCTGCAGTGTCACCCGGGAAACTTGGCCGGATTTGGTCAAACAACCAGAAATTAATTGCAGGTTTAAAGTATCTGTGATGTTATCTGGCCCTGAGATTGCATTTCCCTCATTCCACCTAGCCTGGGGTTCCTCCTTGGAAACCAGACTATGCATCCTTTGACTGTGGGGTGCCCACTGTGCACTCAGGTACTGCCTGGCGGGCAGATCCACCCACTGCTCTCCCCACTGTTGATCCCGCTGGGGAGCTGAGGACCAACATTGTCCAGGGCAGCCAGATGGGGCTCAAGGCCACAGGATCACAGCTCAGTGGGAACCCATGTAGGGAGAGGCCACTGCGAGTTGGAGGGCCTCCTGGAGGCAGCGGCATGCATGCCCCTGGGGGATAACAGTGACTGACACTTACTGAGCTCATGCTGTGTGCCAGCCCATCATGCAATCCTCTCAATAACCCTAGAAGGGAGGCACTATCTATTATTGTCTCCCATTATACAGATGAGAAAGCCGAGGTTAAGTAACTTGCCCAAGGTCTGTGGCCGGGCTGGGATCCAAACCCAGCCATGTGGCTCCTCAGTCCACACTCTTGCCCACCACCTCCCCAGGAGTAATAATAACAACAATACCATAACATAAAAAGCCCCCAGCCTCTGCACTCTTATCACGGCAGGCCTGCCTAAGCCTTTTTGTACATTAGCTCATCTGATCCTCACTGCAGCCCCAGGATGAGATAATTACTCCTGTTTACACATGGGGAAACTGAGGCACAGGATACGTAGGGGACTACCCCAAATTTCCACAGCTGGCCACTCCCCCCGCTTCCCATCTTCCCTCAGAGTAAGGCAGACCTCCCCCAAAACAACCTCTTCACTCTTCCACCAACATGATTCTCTTACATCTCAAAGCAGCTTTTTTATGAAAAGGGAAATAAACCAAGCCCAAGCTTCTCTCCATCAGGCAGGTCCCACTCTGGTGTCTGGGCCCCTGTCAGGTGTCCTCACCAGTTGGGAGGGACAGACACACCTGTTTCTCCTCCTAAGCAGGGCTGCCAGACTTAGCAAATAAAAATACAGAAAGCTCAGTTGGACTTGAATTTCAAGTGAACAGTCAATCATTGTTTGGTACTCCCGTGAAGTATTTGGGATACACTTATACTAAAAAAATTATTAATTATTTACCTGAAATTCAATTTTAACTAGGCATCTTTTATTTTATCTGGCAACCCTACTCCCAAAGCCTGTAATTTCCAGGGCTGGTGGAGCCCTCTGGCCTGTTTGGCCCTGGGCAGCCCCCCACAGGGGAAATGGCAGAACCAGGGAGAGAGGCATGAAGACACAGAGACAGAGAGATAGGGACAGAGAGACTTGGAGAGACCCAGCGAGATGGAGAGTCAGAGACAGGGAGTCGGAAAGAGACACAGGAAGACAAACCCAGGTAGGAAGAGCAGCCTCTCATACCCTCGGGAACACCCTCAGCCACGCTCCTGAGGCACTCGCCTTCCATCTCCCAAGGAAGCCTTTTTTTTTTTTTTTTTTTTTTTTTTTTGAGACAGAGTCTTGCTCTGTCGCCCAGGCTGGAGTGCAGTGGTGCAATCTTGGCTCACTGCAACCTCCACCTCCCGGGTTCAAGCAATTCTCATGCCTCAGCCTCCCAAGCAGCTGGGACAACACAGCCCACCACCGTGTCCGGCTAATTTTTGTATTTTCAGTAGAAACAGGGTTTCACCATATTGGCCAGACTGGTCTTGAACTCCTGACCTCAAGTGATCCGCCTGCCTCAGCCTCCCAGCTGGGATTACAGGCGCGAGCCACCGCGCCTGGCTGAAGCCTGTACACTTTTTATGGAACTCCCTCAACCCCAAAGCTGTTCCTTGGGCCTCCAGTGTCCATGGGCAAGGGCTGAGCGCCCTTGATGGTCCTTCTGGTATGAAAACCCCACTCAGTCCCCAGGCTCCAGCCCCTGGGTGTAGGGTGTTTCAGCCCAGCGCCCCTGCCTCTCCATGTGCCAGGCTCTGTGTGAGATGCTGGGGGATCCCCAGTGAAGACTGAAGCACCCCTGCCCAGGAGGGTCCCCAGGACCACGGTCTGAACAAGGGCTTAGCACAGGTGAACAAGCTACATCTGAGGTTGGGGAAGGGAGGGGCTGCAAGCCGAGGGCTCAGGTGGTGCTGGGACCAGAGTCAAGAATTAGGTTTTAGACCAGGCTGGGTCACACATCGGCCAGCTGAGCTTGACTAAATCACTTAGTCTCTCTGGGCCCATTAACCTCACCTTAAAGTGGGATAATGACACCTACTTGGCCAACCTCATGGGCAATCATGAAACTCAAGTGTGATAATAGACAGGAAAGGCTTGCAACACCATTGGCCCAGGACAGGGAAGGAGTTATTAAAGTAAATGAGGGTGCAGGAAACGGGTCTGGAGGCAGGATGAGACAGTGGGCTGGGTGGCTGGGGCAGGTTCCCCAGGGAAGGCACCAAGAGGAGACACAAGTGAGGGGAAGGTGTTTTCACCGTGGAACCTTAAGAGGTCTAGTTTAGACTCAGGCTATAATGAGCTTGTTTTCATTTCATCCCTATGTAATGGGGAGCCAGCGCTGGTTCTTGATCAGGAGGGGCAACATGATGGAGCCGTGGCAAGGTACTTGAGCCTGTGGTCCCTGGGGCCAGACAACTGGGTTCAAATCCCAGTCCCACCACTCATTAGGTGTGTGACTTTGAGCGAGTGACTGCCTCCCTCAGCCGCAGCATCGACATCTATCTGGTGGGGATGAGGAGAAGATGAAAGGAACCAGTGTGGGTAAAGCACTCAGGATGAGCAAAAGTCATGCCCTCATTTCACTGATGGGGAAACTGAGGCCCAGAAGATAAGTGACTAGAAGGTAGGGCTGCTGACTTCCAGTCCAGTGCTCATGCCTGTCATGAAAGCTGTGTGTTAGGAGAATGAGAGGGGCAGCTGCTGGGAGGAGAACCTGCATCAGGTACGGGAGGATCTAGCTTCCCATTTCCTAGAGAACAGGGGAAGTACCTGGAGCCTCACCTGGACAAAGTCCTTCCTCTCCAGGCCACCTCGAGCTGCCAGCATGGCTGAGCTGTCACATGCTGGCTTCTGGGCTTTCTAGGCAGTGCTTCTGGTCCAGTCCTGGGCTCAGGGCCTTGGACCCTCGCCGCTGAGGCTTCCATGCACAGGCCTGTCCAGGGCTCTCCCAGCCCCACACCCCCCAAGCCAGCCGGAGAACTCAACTGCTCCTCTGGCACAGCCAGCCTAAGATGGTGAGTTGGGGGTAAAATGTGGTAGGGTGGCCAACAGCATCAGTTTGCTGGGACTAAGGCTGTTCCTGGATACAGAATTTGCTGTGCTAAAACCTGCAAGGTCCCAGACAAACAGGAACAGTTGGCCTCCCTAAAAGTAGCCAACCTCAGACCCACCTTATTGAAAATGCAGATTCTTAGAAGTGCTCCAGGTGGGGCCTTGGAACCGCATTTTAAGCCATTCTGATATTTGCTGACATCTGAGAATCACGGCTTAGAGTAGGTTGTCTTAGAAATGCTGGAGCCTGGTGGGCCAGGCGCAGTGGCTCACGCCTATAATCCCAGCACTTTGGGAGGCCGAGGAGGGTGGATCACCTGAGGTCAGGAGTTCGAGACCAGCCTGACCAACATGGAGAAACCACGTCTCCACTAAAAATACAAAACTAGCCGGGCGTGGTGGCATATGCCTGTAATCCCGGCTACTAGGGAGGCTGAGGCAGGGAATTGCTTGAACCTGGGAGGCGGAGGTTGCAGTGAGCCAAGATAGCCCCATTGCACTCCAGCCTGGGCAACAAGAGCAAAACTCCATCTCAAAAAAAAAAAAAAAAATGCTGGAGCCTGGTCCCTCCAGCCCGTGTAGAGTTGACTCAGTGTGAGCCCATCCCCCTCGTGTATCACCCCCTTCAATGGTGAGGAGGAAGACGGGGCATTGGTGAGGAAGGTATCCCCCACAGCCACATAACTTGTGTGCTATTATCCCCACTTTACAGATGAGAATACTGAGCCTTGGAGACGGCAGGTGATTTGCCCAAAGTCACACAGCTAGCAAGTGACAGAGCCAGGACTCATGGCCAGCTCTGTCCCCACTCGCCTGCAAACCCAAACCCATCTTCTCCCTTCATGGACTCAGGGCCTGGACTTCTGGGAGAACAAAATCAGACATTTTAGGAGCTGAGAAACTGATGGGAAAGTTCCCCATGGCTGAACACCGAAAGGTTGACAAGATGACCAACGAGGTCTCCACCGAGCTGGGATGTGGGGGCAGAGGAGACCAAGACCCAGGCAGCTGGGTTTCTGGGTGGCAGTTCCAGCTGCCCCTCCCCAGTCAGCGAGGATCCCAGATCCGCCGACGCTGCCAGCCTCATCAATAGAATCAGGTTCAGGAAATCATGGTCCCACTGTAATCTGGGTGGCCCTGCCCCACCCCACCACTGGAAAGTGGCAGCCCCGTATACCCTTTTTCCAAATCCCCCGTATTTAAAAGAGCAGAAATGCACCAATCCCCCCAAGGGCCCAGCTCTCTGCACAGGCAGGTCAGAGCTCTCGCATCAAACAAAATCCGATGTTGACAGAATGGAAGCTGCTTTGTCAAATCAGGGAGGGGACTCAGAGGCCTCCATGAGTGGAAATTGAAACCCACTGTTCTATGCCAACCCCTTCAGGGTCCATATGGGGAAACTGAGGCCCAGGGTTGAGTAGAAAGTTGCTCAAGATGACATAGTGAGTGACCACAGAACTAGGACCAAAACTTGGAGTCCTGGCTCCATTAGGCAGCCTCTGCAGAGAAAGGGGTGACATGAGTTGTTTGTCTTCCCAGTGAGGGCAGCGGTTCTTAGCCCCAGCTGCACATTCATCCCCAGCGGATCCTGAAAACCTAGGGTGCTGGGGCCTTTCACAGATGAGTTGAATCAGGTTTCCCAAGGTGGGGCCTGGGCATCAATTTTTTTATGGATCCCCAGGTGATTGAAACACACTTCCAGGGTTGAGAACCTCTGAGCTGGAGAAAAGAGGAGCTTCATGGCTCATTGCCAGGTGTGGTCTCTTAGGAGACACCTGCCCGGGATACCTTAGTGATGGGCTCCCTGCCTTCTGTCTTTTCCATGTGCTGTTACTTGAGGTCATTCTGAGGTGCGAGAGCTGTGCACCCGCTCAGGTCAAGGTTGCCCCCTCTTCGAGGTGTCTTAGAGAACAGACTCAGCTGCCCTCTAGGCTGCTGTGTGCGCTGGGCCCCTCTGCAGCCATGCAGATGGGACCTGACCCTTCCAGGACCTTCTGACTGCAGGGCTTACACAGCCGTGCATCTGAGAACACCTGGAGCTCTGGGGCCCTTAGAGCCAAGTCTGCCAGCACAGAGGCGCCACAAGCCCCACCAGGACCTCCAATCCAGGCGAGTCTCAGCACCTCTGTGACTCAGTTTCTTCTTCACCAATAGTCAGAGATCCTTCGTTTGAATTGGAAGACCTAGTTTCTAGTTTTAGCTCTGTCCCTAACTCACTATGTAACCCTGAGCAAGTCATTTCACACTCCAGGCCTCAGTTTCCCCAACTAAAAAATGAAGTGGCGTGTAAGACCCCAGAGATGTCTCACTGAACCAGCCTGGGGACTGCTCTCCAAGCCCACCTGTGATGAATCCCAAAGGTGACCAGCTTCGCGGGCCCCTCAGCCACATGAGCAGCCACAACCCAACAGACTCCAGGAAGCATCTCCACATGTTATGGGAAAGCCCAGTGGGAATGGGTCCAGTCTGTTCTTACCACTGGGCCAATGACAGAGGCCCTGAGGATGGCCCTCCCCACCAGAGGTCATCCTGGGATTTTGATTTTGCCCATTAAGAATGAAACTGGGCCAGACACGGTGGCTCTCACCTGTAATCCCAACACTTTGGGAGGCTCAGGCAGGCAGATCACTTGAGCCCAGGAGTTCAAGACCAGCCCGGGCAACATGGCAAAACCCCATCTCTACAAAACATGCAAAACTTAGTCGGGGATGGTGGTGCACGCCTGTAGTCCCAGCTACTCGGGAGGCTGAGGCGGGAGGATAGCTTGATCCTGGGGAGGTCCAGGCTGCAGTAAGCCAAGATTGCACCACTGTATTCCAGCCTGGGCAACAGAGTGAGACCCTGTCTTCAACAAAAAAAAAAAAAAAAGAAGAAGAAAAGAAAGCAGCTTTCTTCCTGCACCAAGACTTTGTGCTAAGGTTTGTGCTGATGCCTGAGCCTTGAGAAAGAGCTGTGTGGAACCAAGCAAACCACCTGGGCTGTGGAACTTGATGGGATCTGGGTTCAAGCCCTATAGCCCTGTGGGATAGCACTTGTCAGACCACCATCCCGCTGAGCCTGCCTCCAGTTGCAGGGAGGAGTTAATCAGCCACCAGACGCCCAGTGCATGGCTCAGTGCACCAGGGTACCCTTCCTTCCCTTTCCCCATCCTAAGACTCACTGCTCAAGAAAGAAAAGCCCCCATACCATGCCTGGGTCATCTCCAATTCATGGAAAGGCAAGAAGATAAAGTTGAATCCACTGCCACAGATAGAGAGGCCCAACAGACTTGCTTGTCCTCATCCTTCAAGGGTCTGATTGGTGCCCCTCCTCCAGGAAGACTGCCCTGACTCAGCCATGAGTCAGATGTAAATTTCTCTTTTCTCAACTCCTTCTCCCAATACGGTCCAGAGACTGTTCCCCAGACATCCTGCATATGGCAGGTTTGGGGATGCTTGAGGCTGTCCACAGGCCCAGGACAAAGCCTTAAACTGATGATGATGATAATGGTGACAGTTAACATAACTGAATGTTCACCACAAATCAGTATTAGTTACATGCTTTGCACACACAATCTCATTCAATGCCCCTAACTGCCCTTTGAAGTAAGGCCAAACTGGGTTACATCCTGGCTCTGCCACTCACTGGCCATGTGACCTTGGACAAGTTGTTTAACCTCTCTGTGCCTTTGTTTTCTTATCTATAAAATGACGATGATGACAGTGCCCACTTGAGAATTTTGTGAGAATTAGTTAACATATGGAAAGCGCTTACAGGCACTGCTGGGGAGTGGCATTCAGTGCCATTGCTGATATTATTATCATCCCCAGGCAACAGGTGAGGAAACAGAGACTCAGAGAAGTTAAAGGAGTTTCCCACGGTCAGAGAGCTGGGAAGTTGCAGAGCCAGGACTGAGCCACAACACCTACTGCCCTTTCTCTTGTTGGCCCGCAGGCTGAGGACCCAGGATTGTTACATCATGGCACCTCCAAGCCGGGAGGGACCTCAGAACTAACTCAGTCCTGCTCCCCTTCCCAGAAAGGAGTCCTTTCTGTGGCACCCTTGTAAGAAGGTTGTCCAGCCTCTGCTGGCTTCTCAGAGAGGAGGAGCTGCTTGTTCTCCCCTGTATGTGTCCCCAGAGCCTGTGCTCATCCTTCAAGGCTCTGAATGGTACACACACTAGACCCAAAAGAAATACTTGAAGAATATGTGAATGAACGAACTAGGAGCTCTCCACTCCCACCCCTGGGGGGTTTGGCCACCAGGGCCCAAGAATCCCTCATTTGAAGGTATCAGAGCTTCCATCCCCCACCCTGTGGCTGTCCCACCGATGGCCTTCTCTGCAAACCTCCAGTGTGGCTCAGGTGACTCCAGGAAGCTATGGCCTTTATCTCTTATTGCCCCAATCCATCCTCTATCCTCTAAGGAAGCTCTGCGGGGGAGGAGCCAGGCCCAGGCTTCCTGGGACAGGTCAAACCGGAGACACATCTGCCCAACGGGCACGAGGCAGCAGGGGCAGGTGAGTCACCCCATGGCACGCAGCCCAGTCACCCCATGGCAGGCAGGCAGTGGTGCCAAGTGGCAGATACCCCTCCTTCCTCATTACCTCCTTGGCACAGCCTCCGTGGCTGCCCCTTCCTTCAAGAACCACTGAATCCCCTTCCTCCTCCTACTGCCCACCCACCAATACCAGGATTTATTTCCTGGGCTGGCTCTGCTCCCGACTTGGTTCCCTCCCATGACCAGCTCCTCACCCCCTCTCATCCAATGCCCTGGATCAACCCCATCGCTGCTCCCGACTAAGTTCGCCCTGATTTTTCGAGTCTTAGTCTTGGAGACTCGTTCTCAATGGGTGGGCTATTTTCTTCCCACCCCAGGGCACATTTGGCAATGTCTGGGGACATTTTTGGTTGTCACAACTCGGGAGTGTGCTGCTGGTATCTAGCAAAGAGAGGCCCAGAATGCTGCTCTCCATCCTACAGTGCACAGGGTGGCCCCCATGACAAAGAGGTATCGTGACAGCAGTGCTGAGGTTGAGAAACCTGGCCTGAGGAGAGGGCTGGGAGACTTGAGAGGTGAGAGCTGTCCCACAGTTCTGCACCCTCCCCTCCCAGTATCCTGATTACCTCCAAGCCAGGACCCTGGATTCTCCCCAAAAGCCTAAGAAGCCAGCTCCCTGGTGGTCCCCAGAGCCCAGCTCTTAAAACCCTACCCTAACCCTCTTTTCTTCCTAAGAGAGAGAAGATAAGGCCTTACCTCCCTCTACCATGGGCCTCAAAGGCATGACCTGGCACACAGTAGGAGCATAATGCATGGGCATTGAGTGTCTAGAGGAAACCAGGTTGGAAATCTTTATTTTCCAAGTATCAGAGCAGCTAAAACCATAAGACTCCTGAGTAAGACCACAAGCGGGTTTAAACCCTGGCTTTGCCACTTAGTAACTGTGTGACTTGAGCAAATGGCTTGCCCTCTCTGCCTCGGTTTTCTCATTTGTCTGATGAGATGATGCTAATAATAAGCCTAGCTCACAGGGTTGTTGTAAGGGTTAAATTCAAGATTAAAGTTCAAAACTTAACTCAAGAGACTTGTGAAGCTCTTAGAATAGTGCCTGGCACATGGTAAGTGCTATGTATTAACTTATTTTTTAAAAATGATTCATGCTCTGTTTCTAGGCTCATAGGCTCAGGATGGGGCTGGGGATATCTGCCTGTTCCTATTCTTGTGTGCCCCAGACAGATCCTCAGCCCAACCTGCAGCATCCCTTGGACATAGAAAAGTGCCATCTCTTCGCGGCACCAGCCCCCTCCAAGCCCCCGGTCTGGAGCTCAGTCACTGAAGCCTCTTCTACCTGGCTCAGCCTCCCAAACTTCAAATTCCCTGGCTAAGGTCTTCAGGAAACTCAGTAGAGCAAGAGGAGGACCCAAGCTTCCCTGATTGGCTGCTGTTCCGAGGCCAAGGCTGGGGAGTGGGCCCTGAAGAAGCCCTGCCCAGCCTGCAGGGAGGAAGGTCCAAGGGCATCAGCACCAAGGGCCTGCAAACCACTAGGCCTCTGACTCTTACCCATAAATGTCCACGAGGGTCTCCACGCCAGCCACACACACCGCGCTGGTGGGATGCTCCAGGGACACACGCACGATTCTCTGCAGCGACATGCTGGTGTTGGACTTAGCTGTGGCCGCCAACCCCAACACTGCCCCTGAGGCCCCTTAGGATGAGGTTTAAAAGCCCCTGGCCCCACCCCTCCAGCCCAGGGTGCCAATTCATTGGCTCCAGTCATGAAAGCCCAGCCCCTTCCCAGAGCTGAGAGCTCAGGATTGGCTGGAAGGGACCCAGTATTTGTATACGAACCTGTTGTCCCGACCCCGGCACCCAGGAAGTTAATTTCTTGGGAAGCAAGTCCCCACAGGTACCTGGCTAGGCACCAGGAACTGTTGGGGGCAGGTGCTGTTGAGGGGGTGCAGAGATATATGATATTGATCTCGGACGCTTCTTGCTTCCTCACCTCCATTTTCTGCATTTTCAGAGACTATAATGGGGAGCTTTCTTACTCTGCTGGGGAAGCTGGTGAAAATGCGGATTCCCAGGTCTGTTGTCCACTCTGATCCAGCAGGTTAGGGGTGCAGCCTGGCCTCTGGATTTTTTTTTTTTTTTTTGAGACGGAGTTTCACTCTTGTTGCCCAGGCTGGAATGCAATGGTGCGATCTCGGCTCACCGCAACCTTCGCCTCCCAGGTTCAAGCAATTCTCCTGCCTCAGCCTCCCGAGTAGCTGGGATTATAGGCGTGTGCCACCACTTCCGGCTAATTTTGTATTTTTAGTAGAGACGGGGTTTTTCCATGTTGGTCAGGCTGGTCTTGAACTCCAGACCTCAGGTGATCCACCTACCTCGGCCTCCCAAAGTGCTGGGATTACAGGCATGAGCCACAGCACCCGGCCCTCTGGATTTTTTAATAAGCACCCCCAAAGCATTTTGGTGCCCTTTGAGAAACACCAACTTTTTTTTTTTAATGGATTTTAGAGCCAGACCTGGGTTTCAGCCCTGCCTCAGCTGCTTCCTGGATGGGCGACCTTGGGCAAGTTTCTTTTTTTTTTTTTTTTTGAGACAGAGTTTCGCTCTGTCACCCAGGCTAGAGTGCAGTGGCGTGATCTCGGCTCACTGCAAGCTCCACTTCCCGGGTTCACGCCATTCTCCTGCCTCAGCCTCCCGAGTAGCTGGGACTACAGGCGCCTGCCACGGCTCCCGGCTAATTTTTTGTATTTTTAATAGAGGCGGGGTTTCACCGTGTTAGTCAGGATGGTCTCGATCTCCTGACCTCTTGATCCACCCGACTTGGCCTCCCAAAGTACTGGGATTACAGGCGTGAGCCACCATGCCCGGCCGGGCAACTTTCTTAATTGTTCGTGCCTCACTTTTCTCGTCTGAAAAATGGTTGCTGTGAGGCCTCAGGGGCCAGCGTTGGTAGAGCTCTGGTATGGAGCTTGGCGTTATTGTATTACTATTGTTGCTGTTATTAGGTCCCAAAAACCTCTGAAAGCGGTAAATGATGAGGGTGAGAACTCTCTCCAGCCAGGGGGAGCTTGGCATGTCAGAGTAGGAAAGCTCAGTCGTCAGGTGGGAAACCGAAGTCAGAGGGGCATTCAGGCTCCTGGAAGAGCAGGAGCAAGGGCTCTGGGGAGAGAAGTCTTGGGTTCAGAGGCAGGCTCCACCGTGCACCCACTATAGGGCCTTGGGTGTCAGTGTCCCCCCTCTTGGAGACTCGGTTTCCTCATCTGTAGAAAATGCAGCTAATCACTGGCCCTGGCGGAGATAATAGTGAAGACGCACCCTGCCTGGCGGAGGCTCAGGAGGTGCTGAATAGAGGTTTCCTCCCTTCTCCCTGGCAGTGCTGACAGCCTGAGACAGGATGGGGACCAGGACCCGCTCCCCAGCATCTCCAGCTGGGACATCTGCACCAGTTCAAGGGCCTCAACAGGACCCTGAGATTGTCATTCCCATGTCTCAGTTTTTGGGAAAGATGTTCTTTTCAAGGAGAACTGCTGGGCTTCTGGGTCAAGGGACAGCTTCACTTTTTTCAGCTGTGGAATGGCTTGATGGCTGAGTCAGCCTTGGGAGCCCTGGGTAAGAGTTCGAGCTCAGGAGGAAGCCTTAGTCTCCCTAGCCTTCTTGTGAGCACAGATGGGGAATAGATGCAGAAAGTAGGGGCTTTCCCTGGGGTGCTGGCCCACTACCTGCCTCTTTCTCGGAGAACTGTATATGTCTTTGGAAGGAGACTCATGCCTTCACTTCTCCTCTGTTAATACCAACTTTTAGAAACAGGTTTGTGGTTAATTCAGACTAAAGTGTCAATGACTAATAGGCAGCAACTTTTTGCCCTCTTACTCCACAACAAAAGCTAAAATAAAGTGAGTGAGTATCAAACGGTGTAATTTGAGGCAGCAGCAAATGTGTAGGATGAGAGGGTGATGATTTCAGGCATCCAAAATCAGACCACTGAAGCCAGGTAACTTAGAAGCTTCAGACACAAAAATGGAAGGGAATTGGGCCAGGCACAGTAGCTCACACCTGTAATCCCAGCACTTTGGGAGGCCAAGATGGGAGGATCGCTTGAGCCCAGGAGTTTGAGACCAGCCTGGGTAACATAGCAAAACCCCAGCTCCGTAAAAAATAAATTAGCAATTAGCTGGGCATGGTGGCCTGTGCCTGTATTCCTAGCTACTCAGGAGGCTGAGGTGGGAGGATCGCTTGAGCACAAGAATTCAAGGCTATAATGAGCTGTGATAGCACCACTGCACTCCAGCTTGGGTGACAGAGCAAGACTCGGTCTCAAACAAAAGAAAAGAAAACAAAACAAAACGAAAACCAGAAAGGGAACTGTAGTGGCCTGTGGCCCTGGGAACCAGCCCTGCTGGGGAACTCTCACCTCTGTTAATAGGGCCCGGGCTGCCTCCCCGACCTGTTGTCCCTGAGAGATGGAGGGGATGCTGAAGGAAGAGAGAAGAGATGAAGAGGCAGGACCCATCCCTCCCCTGATCTGATCTCCATCTTAGCAGGGCCATCAGCCCCAGAGCAAGAGGCAATGTGCCAGCCATCCTGCTGAATCAGCCTGCCTGGCACTGGCCGTGGCACTGGCCGTGGCACTGTGAGGCTCTCCTAGCTGAGCAGGGGCCGCCTGTGGCAGCAGAAATTGAGCCAAGCAGCTTCATAGTGGATGGAACTGGAAGCAGTCTTCTCCGCTTTCCTCCCCTCCTCCCCAACCCAACAAACAGGCTGGGTAGACAGCCCTGTAAGAAATGCATGTCGACATTTTTATTGATCAGAAAGTAGGTGACTGGTCACCCAGAACATTCTCAGAGCCAACACCAGGGCCCCTCGATGGCCCAGCAGCAACTCCAGAGCTTCCCACACTCAGTGTGGCCCCGACCCCCAGCCCTATCTCTGCAATGCTCACTCCCTTCCTACCCACAGCTCTTTCTCAGGGGAGTCCCAACCCCAGCTCACACCCCCGGCCCCTTCAGAGCCTCCTTCTCCTTCTTGACTCAGTGCAGGCTGGGGTATGATCCTGAGCAGAGGACGCTCAGGTTAAAGCAGGAGCTTGCAAATAGAGTTCTGTAGAACCTTCCAGAAGGGGATTTTCAGGTTCCCGCTCACCCACTTTAACCATAGCAGTTCCAGGCTAGCTTTTGTTGGTTAAAACAGTGACAGTAGTTGGCTCAGTGTGAGGTCTCAGCAGGGGCCACTGAAAACCTAGATGGACCGAAGCCCTAGGGCCAACTGCCCTACAATGGCCTCACTGGCAGTGGGGGAAGAGGGTAGGCTGGCTTCCTCCTGCCCGTGCCCTGCAGCCCAGCTGAACCAGCCTGCCTGTGCATGTCTCAGTGACCTCACTCCGGGCTATTAACCTCCCGTGGCAGCTGTCTTCCCTACTGTGGGAGGGGACATGGGCCTGCACAGCGGTTTATTCAGGGATGAAACCTAAGCTATGTGCAGGGTCCCTGGGTTGCTGAGAGAGACCGGGCAAGCCTTCCCCTCCCACTGCCTGCAGAATGAAGGGGAATAATTAAAGACTATTAAAGGAAATTAAACTCCACCTTCAGAGATAACCTAATTTCCTCCCAACACACACACCCTCTTCTAACATCTGGCCCCCTACCCCTGCTACATCTGGAAGCTCCAGCTCCCTTCAAATCCAGAGTCCAAAATCCCAGCCCAGGAACCACGGACACCTCTAGGCCCCCAAATCCGTCGTCACACACTCTGCTACCCTGACCTCATCCCCTCCTGCCCCGTCATCCTTTGTGTGTCCTCAGGCCTCACGTTGGCTTCTCAGCATTTCTGAGCTGGGAGAAGCCAGCTCTGGTAATTAAAGTCTTTCCAGAAAGGTAGCAATCACTCTTCTGAGGTCGGAGTCAGCTATTAAAATTTTGTTGTCTTTTTTTCTATTTAAATTGGCCCTTGGACACTGGGTTTTTCTGTCCTTGTTTGTCCACACACAGCTGAAGGGTGCTGGATGGGGGTGGAGGTAAGTGTCACAGCCTTGGGTCCCCTTTGGGAGAAGAAACCTAGAGCGGGGAGAGGATGTTTCTGATCCCCTTTCCTAGTTTTCCAAGAGCAGAGGCAGCCTGGTGCCTGGCACACCAGACCCCAGGTCCCCCAGGCCCCGTTCCAGGTGCAGATGCAAAGTCATTATCCTTGTTCCCCAGGGAGGCATCAGAATGAAGGGGGAGCAATTCTAAGTGGGGCCCATCTCCCTAGGCCTCCCACAGCCATTCTGGAACATGCTAACATTGTTGATCTAGAGCCTCTGGGGGCTGTGGGTGGGAAAGAGGCCAGGGAAGAATGAGGTGCATTCTTCTCGGGTTGGGTAGGCCATTCCAGAGGCGAGGGTAGGTGGTATCCATCCCTGTGTCCTGGTGCCCATGGTGGCCAGGATGTTTGCAAAGTGCCAAGACTCCCCCAAGAGAATGGAGGCCAGGTGGTTGTTCCTTGCCTTCACCCTGGCAGGGTTCCCTAGCAAGAGGGCAGAGAGGATGGCGGGTGGGGGCAGGCTCAGGGCACCATGTTCCACCATTTGAAGGGAAAGGGCTTCCTGCGCACGTTGGTGCCACAGTGGATCTCCCCCTGCAGCTCGTGGTAGGACAAGTAGTCATCAATGAAGATGCAGTGCAGGCCCAGAGGCTCCAGCAGGGACTGCACCTTCTCCTCCAGGCAGCAGCGGCCATTGATGATGGGCCCGTAGGGCTTGGGGATGCCCAGGTACTTGCCTAAGACCACCATGTTAACCTGCAAAAGAGAAAAGGCAAGAGGGAGGCTGTCTGGCTATAAGTGCTGTGCTTCTGGCACCCCTTCCTTGCCAGAATGAGACAGGCCCTGGGGAATGGGTTGGCCATAGCCACAGCCTAGAAAGGGCTCTAGGACTGGAGTTTGCTCAAGAGTTAGGGCCTATGAAAGCAGAGGAGAAAAAGATTCAGGGTTGGAAATGAGGTTGAATAACAGCCAGGACTACCAGGAATTTTGTACATTAAAAAACAAAAACAAAAAACAAAAAAAAACTTCTCCCACTCTTTCTTTCATCTATGAGAAAATTGTCATATTATAGCAACTTTGTTAGAACAAGAGATTTTCGTGTCATCTGCCAGAAACTTGTACAACAAATATACACACCTACAAGGTCTGTGGTGTGGATGTCTTCCAAAGTGTGGTGTGCTTTTGCTGTGCACAGCTTGCTTAACTGTCTTTGGCAGCCCTGATCATTGTTAGCATTTATTGAGCATCTTTTATGTGCCAGATATATCATCACTAAATGCCACAGCCTCCCTCTGAAGCTGTGGCTCAGACAGGTTAAGTCACATAATCATACAGCCAGAGAATGATGAGACTGACATTTGGACTTGGATCTGGCTGGTGCCAAAATCCATGCTTTTTATCTGGCCACCTGTGGGACTGAGGAGTTGGGGGAAAGGGCTGAAAAAGCCTTTGGGGACACTTGAGTTTAACTCTGGGGGCACCTCTCCTTCCCTTGGTTGCGGACCTGGCTTGGGGCCCTAATCTGGGGATGGGAATTCTCCCCCATGCTGTGCTATGGGGGTTTCTTAGAGGAAATCTCAGCCCAGGTTGATGGCAAGAGGTCATAAGGGGTGACCCTTGGTGTTCAAAGGGGACTCCGGACCTTCTCTCTAGAGGGCGGCTCTGGGCTGTCTTGAGTTTGAGGTGAGCCTGTCCTGGACTCTGCCCTCAAACTCTCCGTGCTCTGCCCCCCACCCTCAAGTCTGCCCCACCCTCATCCATGGCAGGGACCAACATAAAGCTGGAGGGTCCCGTGAGGTCAGTCCCCTGGCCTTGGCCCTGAACTACCTCTTTGCCCACTAATGGGCCAGAACATGCTGGGGTGGGAGTGGGGGTGGGGCATGCAGGGGGCAAAGGGCAGAAAGAGGAGAAAAGAGCCAGGACCAGGACCAGGACCAGGGCCAGAGCCAGCCAGGCCTCTGCTTCCTCCTAAAGGAGGAGTCATGGGATTGGGGGCTGGTCCCAACTCCGCCACTCGCTCACTGTGTGACCTCAGACACATGACCCACTCTCCTTCTAAGCCTCAGTTTCCCCATATGACAAACCAAGGGGTTAACTGGGTGTTCCCTATGGGACCCTCCAGTGAAGACAAGCTGGGATCCTTCAGCAGAGCCTGGAACGAAGCTAGGGAATCCCCACAGGATGACCCACAGTCAGGGGCTTCCGGCAGATGGAGGCCAGACCACAGACACACACGCTCCAGCCTAGGCCCTCCCCGCCACCTTCAGCCAGAACCAGAGCTCAGCAGTCCCTTAGAGCTTTGCTGTCCACCACAGTAGCCACTGGCCACATGCAGTTGTTTAAATTAAAATTAAACTTACATAAAGTTACAATTTCTGTTCTTCATTGACACTAGCCACATTTCAGGTGGTAGCTGAGTGGCTACTGGACTGTATTGTACCGATATGGAACATTTTCATCAGCACAGAATGTTCTAACAGACAACACTGCCTTCAAGCCGTGGTTCTCAATCAGGGTCCATTTTGTCCACTAGGGCATTTTTGGTTGTCACATCTGGGAGAGTGCTATTGGCATCTAGTGGGTAGAGACCAGGGAGGCCGCTAAGCATCCTGCGAGGCACTGTACAGCATCTACAACAAAGGCTTATCCAGCCTAAAACAGAAGTAGAGCTACAGAGTCGAGAAATCCTGCTTGGGGGTCTCTGCCAGGACCTAGAGGCTGGAATCTCCCCATGAGGAGTCAGGAAAGCACACTGACCCTCCCCACCTCCTGCAACCTGCATCCTGATTCCGACATTCACTTCCAACCCTGATTCCATGCCGATTCCGACATTCACTTCCAACCCTGATTCCATGCCGATTCCGACATTCACTTGCAACCCTGATTCCATCCCGATTCCGACATTCACTTCCAACCCTGATTCCATCCCGATTCCGACATTCACTTCCAACCCTGATTCCATCCCGATTCCGACATTCACTTCCAACCCTGATTCCATCCCGATTCCGACATTCACTTCCAACCCTGATTCCATCCCGATTCCGACTTTCACTTCCAACCCTGATTCCATCCCGATTCCGACATTCACTTCCAACCCTGATTCCATCCCGATTCCGACATTCACTTCCAACCCTGATTCCATCCCGATTCCGACATTCACTTCCAACCCTGATTCCATCCCGATTCCGACATTCACTTCCAACCCTGATTCCATCCCGATTCTGACATTCACTTCCAACCCTGATTCCATCCCGATTCCGACTTTCACTTCCAACCCTGATTCCATCCCGATTCCGACATTCACTTCCAACCCTCGGCTTGTCCCAAGAGAGGGATTCAAGCTAAAGACCGCAGTCTGAAGAAAGAGGGTCTATCCCCATCCCGGGGGACCATCCCTGCCAGCTGCCAACACCCCAACATCCTTTCCCAAGAGGTTAATGGGCACTTGGGCCAGGCCCACCCCGATAGCATCGCTCAGGCCCTTCCCAGTTGAGATCACATCTGCTCATCTCCTTGTCAGCTGCCCTGTTAATGAGAGTCAGCGAGGCCACCGCCCACCCCACCTGCACCGCCTGACACAGGACCCCCACTGGGGAGCAGCAAGCGAGGGGCTGTGGTGGGGAACACAGCAGGCAGCTGAGACCCAGAGACAGAAGCCTGAAACACTTGGAACCAAACCACGCTTTCTTTTTCCATCTGGGTGAGAAAAAAAAAAGTGCTTTGTGGCGGGGCATCCTATGCTCTGTAGGATGTTTAGTGAAATCCCTGGCTTCTACCCACCAGATGCCAGGGGCATGCACCTCACTGCGGCAACAAAAATCCCCTGGGGGCAAAATTGCCCTGGTTGAGAGCCACTGATGGGAATGTTCTCTATATTCACAAAAACAGACACTGGAGAGGTCCGCAGGGCCCTCCAGCCTCTGCACCAGCCTGCCCTGGGCCAGGGAGTGCTTCTTCTCAGAGCCCCGCAGACCCCCCAGCAGGACCCTGCACAAGGGCTCTCACCATGTCTGGGAAGAAGGCTTCCGCGTAGAAGTTTTTCAGGAAGAAGAGCTGGGGAATGTCCACGATGTCACTCTCTGCCAGGCCCAGCTCCCGCTTCAGCACATTACGGTTCCAGTCAATGCATTTCTGGGGAAGGAGGCAGCTGGGCAGCCCAGGACTAGGAAGAGCATAACACTGGCCAAGCACCTACTGTGCGCTGGGCCCGTGTGGAGCCCTCTGGGCCCGCTAGCTCCTTCAAGCCTCACAACAGCTTTGTGCAATAGAAACCATTGCTGTCCGGGGGAAACTGAGGCTCAGGCAACCTGCTCAAGTGCACAAGGCTAGGATGTGCCAAAGCTGGGGTTCGAACCCAGGCAGTTTCTGGATGCAAATGTTCTTGTCAGCACAACACACTGTCCCAGCCCCAGCCACAGCATGGCTGATGCTCCTGTCCCTTCTCAGCAGCTTAGGAGAAAGCGCTGGGCACTACCGGGAAGGGGTAAGGGCCCTCCTGCCATTAACTGAGCACCGACTCTGTGCTAGCCCCTTCGCCTTGCATGGGGCAGGCATTTTTTATCCTTGGGGTGAGCCCTGCCCCTTCCTGACACCTTGCTTCACCTGTTCCCACAGGATCCCCCTGAATCTTACCCACCCCACCTCTGGGCCCCTCAAGGTCCTATTTCCCCACCGTGTCTCTCGCATTTCACCAGACTTCTCAGATGAGAGGCTCAGATTTGCTTCTGTGAAAATAGGTCATTGCCCCAGCGTGGGGCCGGGTCTCCCTCATTAGGCTGGGAGCTCTCTGAGGGCATGGCTCTGTCTCTTCCATCAGACTGTGGGTTCCTGAAGGCAGAGGCTCTATCCCACCTGCAGGCCCCAGCAGCCCCCAGGACCATGAGAGCTCCAGCGCTGAATCTCTGACCCAACCCAGTTCCTGGGGCTTCTTCTCCCTGGAAGGGAAAGGACCCCTTAGAGCAGCTGGTGGTCCTGCCTCTCACCTGTGCATGAAGATTGTCTCTCTGGAGGTGTCTGTCTGCCAGCATCTCATTAATGCTTCTTTTTGCCTGGTGTTTTAACCCTGCAAGAAGAGAAAGACAGTACATAGCTCAGGGAGCACTGCCTGGAGGCCGTCTTCAGCCTGGGGCTACATAATCCAGGCCAGGATTTCCCTCCTACCTCAGTGCCAGGGTCAGAAGCCAGGACAGAGAAAGCCAGAGACTGAGAACCCCTGAAGGGACCAAGCCATGGCTGCAAGGAAAACCTGGTGATGGATAAGGAACCCCTCAGGAAGTGACTCTGGACTTGGAGCCTAATAATTATGGCACAGCTACCATTATTGAATGTCTGCCATGCTCTGGGCATCCTACTTAATGTATTATTAATATTTAAAGCAACTATAGGAGGGATTAATTATCATCTACAACTCAGAGAAGAGGAAACTGAGGCACTGAGAGGTTCAGAACACACCCTTGATACCACAGCCAGCAAATGCCAAGATCAGGATTTGAACTCAGGGCTATCCTTGTGGATGTCTGCACCACATCCATTCCAATGCTCTATTCCCCAGGTATTCCCCAGATGAGAACACTGAGGCTGTGATAAGGAGGGGAGATGGGCCAACCAAGCCCTTGGAGGGTCTGTTAGCTCCTGCAGGAAGCTCTGCAGAGGGGCCCTGACCAAGCCTGGCTTCTCCTCCTTCCTCTCTCAAGGCCCCAGCCCTGCTGCTCCCTGGCTGCATAGCCCTGTCCAAGCCAATTCACCTTTCTGAGCCTCAGTTTCCACTTCTGTGAACAGGGATAAGGAAGAGGGGAGAGAGATCAAAGGGGAGTGAGAACAAGAACATGCCTGGCATTGACCGGCACCTGGGGCACTCATGACTTCCTGTGCCTTTCCTCTCCTGGGGTGTGGCCCAGGAACTCCCCCACCCATCAGAGGACCTGGGGACCCAAGAAACAGAGAGTGGGTGTTGGGTTCTGAGTCCAGCTGAGAGATCTGCAGGTGCAGGGGCTGTACCCAAGGATGGTGATGAAAGGGCAGGGTCCCCCAGGGGTGACCGGGTCATTGGCACTCACCATCAAACTGGGCTGCCTCCCCATAACCCTCTTCTTTCTTCTCTTGGAAGAGTTTGAGGCAAGCGCTGGGGCTAGCCAGGAGCAGCCGGAAGCCCTGGCACGGAGGGAGGGAGAATGGCTCAGTGGACAGGGTCCCCTTAGACACAGGAGACCCCAGACTCAGGACTCAGGAGGGGCCTGACAGTTCTTGGGACTCCCCTCTCCCACTCGGTCTACACCCCAGCCACAAAGCACTGTCTGCAACTCTCCCAGTCCTCCAAGCAGGTTCCCACCTCCAGAACTTTGTCTGTGCTGTTCTCCCTCCCTGGACGCCCTTCGCATTTTGCCCACCAGGGCATTCTGATTTCTTCCTTCAAGGCCCAATTCAGGGCTGGGTGTCGTGGCTCACGCCTGTAATCCCAGCACTTTGGGAGGCCAAGGTGGGCAGATCACCTGCAGTCAGGAGTTTGAGACCAGCCTGGCCAACATGGTGAAACCCTGTCTCTACTTAAAATACAAAAAATTAGCTGGGCATGGTGGTGTAATCCCAGCTACTTGGGAGGCTGAGGCAGGAGAATCGCTTGAACCCAGCAGGTGAAGGTTGTAGTGAGCCAAGATCGCGCTATTGCACTCCAGCCTGGGCAACAGAGCAAGATTCTGTCTCGAAAAACAAACAAACAAAAAACAAACAAAATACCCAATTCAGATGTCTCCTCCTTCACTGTCAGAGCTGTCCCTAGCAGAGCTGTAACCACTGGTCACTGGGAAGCCTCCTCTCCCAGGCTGCTGGCTCCCTGGCCATGCCTTCCCAAGCCACCTCTGCAAGGCTTACTGTAGAGGCCCAGAACCCGGATTTGAATCCTATCCTGACACCTGCAGGCTGGGTGAGCTTGGATGGGTTAATTGCCCTTCTGAGCCTCAATTTCCTCGCTTGTAAAATGGGACAATAATAATTGCACCCACTTGACGGGCTTGTTGGAGGATTAAATGAATTAAAACATGTGAGTATCTGGCACATAGTAGGTGCTCAATAAATATTACCAATTATTATCAATATCATTCCTGACTATTGGATAAGGGATTTGGGTCCAAGCACAAATACCCTGGAAGTGTGAGGATGAGCGTGTCAGGGTGCCCTGACCCAGAAAATGTCCCAATCCAGAGCTTACTCGGGGCACAGGGTTGAGCTGGTTCCAGATGGCTTTGCCCTGACTCATCCCATCAGGTCAGACAAGGGCAGAGGTGGCTCAGGCAGGGAAGGAGGGGACGCACCTTTTGGTCAGAGGTAGGCACAAAGGTCAGAAACTCGTCCACATGGCCCACAGAGAGCCAGTCCGAGTAGAGCTCCACGGGTGCCTGCACCTGCTGTGCCTTCAGGAAGTTCCGCACTGCCCTGGCCATCTGCCGCCCACCGGACCTGGCCAGGAGGGAGAGGGCGGGCAGTCACCTTGTGCCTGAGAGGCATCAGGCCTTGCCTGAGTCATCATCAGATCTGCCACCAGGGGGCGGAATTGCTCAAAGAACGCTTTAAACGTGGGGCGTAGAGCGTGGAGAAGCCAAGACAGCAGAGAATGGACTGTGCATTTGTGTGTGCATTTGAGCACCTACTGTGTGCTGTCCTTAGGGTCCTCGCAGTAAGTGTCTTGTTTAAGCCTCCTGATGACCCTATGATATACATAGAAATACCAGCTCCAAGTTACATCTGAAGCGTGCTCGGCCAAGCTCTCTGGCCTCACTCCCCACTGCGCCCCTCCTTGCTCACTTGGCTCCAGGCCCACCAGCCTCCCTGCTGATCTGCTGTCTCCAGCCTGCTCTTGCCTCAGGGCCTTTGCACAGCTGTTTCTACACCCTGGAATATTCTCCTAAGTAGCCACATCTTTAACTGCCTCTTCTTTCTTTCCTTCTTTTCTCTTTCTTCCTCTTCCTTCCTTCCTTTCTTTTTTTCTTTCTTTCTCTCTCTCTTTTTTAATTTTTTTTTGAGACAAGGTCTCACTCACTCTGTTGCCCAGCCTAGAGGCTGGAGTGCATGGCTCACTGCAGCCTCAACCTCCCGTGCTCAAGTGATCCTCCCACCTCAGCCTCCTGAGTAGCTTGGACAACAGGTATGTGCCACCACGCACGGCTAATTTTTGTAATTTTTGTAGAGGTGGGTTTCGCCATGCCACCCAGGCTAGTCTTAAACTCCTGGATTCAAGCGACCCCCCCACCTCGGCCTCCCACAGCACTGGGACTACAAGTGAGGGCCACTGTGCTTGGCCTAACTGCCTCTTTTCCTTCAAGGCTTTGTTTAAACAGCAGACTCTCAGCAAAGCTGAGACAAACATTTATTGACATGTGCCACACACATGCTTTACCCAGGCTACCTCATTTAATCCTTATGACAGCCCTGTGGGGTTGGGACTATTACTGTCCCCATTTTACAGGTGAGGGAGTTGAGTCCCAGAAAATTAAAGTTATATGCATTTGTTCATGCATTCATACTATATTCATACATATGATTGGAGGTACTTATTTGTTTTGTTCACTTATTGTCTGTTTCTCTCTGCTGGAATGTTTGGTTGTCTGGTTTGTCCATTGCTAAGGTCAGAAACCAAGGCAGGGTCACTGGACAGCAGCCTGAGGTGCTAAATTTGAGTTTGGAGCCCAGGTAGAAGGAGACCTGGGTTCTGACCGTACTGCTAACTTGCTATGTGGTCCTAATACGTAGCCAACCCTTTTCAAACCTCAGGTCCTATCTATCCACCAAAGGCCTCATTCCTGGTTTTCAGTCCAACAGCCAATGGAATGGGGACACGTCCACACAGGAGACCCCTCACTTTCCCATGTGGGGTCCTTGCTCTGTGCCTGGGAGTTCCCAGAGCAGACCCCTGCACCCTTGAGAGAAGGTTCCTGGCTTGGCTCACTGGCTCGTGAGGCTTGTGGGAGCAGACAGGTAAGGATGTCCATGTGTTGCAGTGTGATATAGAGACTGGGGCAGGAGCCTGGGACAGAGAAGGGAGCAAAGTCCTTGGAGAACACCAAGGAGCCCCTCCCCTTCCTGAGTCTGCATCCTCTGAGCTCTCTGCCCCTGAGCCTGCATCCTCCGAGCTCTCTGCCCCTGAGCCTACATCCTCCGGCTCTCCGCCCCTGAGCCTGCATCCTCTGAGCTCTCTGCTCCTGAGCCCAGGTCCCAAGGATCCTGGAGGAGAGAACTGCCCCATGAGGCATCTGAACAGAATGGTTTCTCCCTGAACTCTGTCCCCAGCTGGACCCGCAGAGCCCCCTCCTGCCTGAGGTCCTACCGGTCCATCCCTGCCCATCTACATGCCACCCATACCGAGTTTTTTCGACTTTTCCTTTGAGCTGTACCTTCTCTGGCTTCCAGGCTTCTGCCTGAGCGCTTCCCTCTGCCTGCAACATGGTCCACTCCACACTACTTTGCCTCCTTCCTTCCTTCCCTCCTTCCTTCCTTCCTTCCTTCCTTCCTTCCCTTCCTCCCTCCCACTCTCCCTCCCTCCCTCCCTTCCTTCCTTCCCTTCCTCCCTCCCTCCCTTCCTTCCTTCTTTCCTTCCTTCCTTCCTTCCCTTCCTCCCTCCCTCCCTCCCTTCCTTCTTTCCTTCATTTATTTGTTTGTTTAGACGGAGTATTGCTCTGTCACCTAGGCTGGAGTGCAGTGGCTTGATCTTAGCTCAGCGCAACCTCTGCCTCCTGGATTCAAGCAATTCTCCTACCTCAGCCTCCCAAGTAGCTGGGACCATGGGCGTGCACCATCAGGCCCAGCTAATTTTAGTATTTTTAGCAGAGACGAGGTTTCACCATGTTGGCCAGGCTGGTCCCAAACTCCTGGCCTCAGGTGATCCACCCACCTTGGCCTCGCAAAGAAGCGTCAATATCGTTGGCTGCCCCTAGGAAGCCTTCTAGGACAACGCACGTGGGATGATATGTGATCCCCTCTCTGATCCATTGCTTGCCTGTCTCCCTCATTAGACTCTAAATCTCAAGGGCAAGCTCCTCAGCCATTTCTGTATCCCCAGCATTAGACTTTGGGCTTGGCCTATAGGAAGTCTCCATAAATATTTACTGAACTGGTAAATGAATGTATGAAAGAATGCACGTAACTTAACTTTTCCAAGCCTCAGCTTCCTTATCTGTAAAGTGGGGATAATGATGGTCTCAGTCTCACAGGGTTGTTGTAGAAATTAAATGAGGTAGCCTGGGGAAAGCACTATGGGTGTGACATGTAGTAGGTAGTAGCTGGTCAATACATTTTTCCAGTTAGTTCCAACCTGCTTTGAAGCAGCCCCACTACTGGGGCCAAATGAAAAATACCTAAGCATTCAAGAGGTGGTTGACACGAATTCTTTATCCCCAGTAATGCTGATTCTGTAGCTAGGACTGGGATTTTCATCAGGCCCGTTTTAAAGATAAGGAAACTGAGGCATGGAGTACAAAATAATTTGCTCATTTAAAATGCATCTGTTTTGTTCACTGATGTATCCCCAGTACCTTTAACTGTGCCTGGCATACAATAAATATTTTTAAGTGAATTAATTGAGTACCTATTGTGTGCCAGGCACTGTGGTATACACTGGTTTGGGGGACTCATCCCAAATCATGTAGCTGGCAAGTGGCAGGGCCAGGACTCAAACCCAAGTCCATCTGATTCCAAAGCCTGTGCTCCTTCCTCACGGGTTCCTCCCTGAGTTAGAGAAAGACTGTCCTGAGGCCTCAAGGACCGTCTGCCCCCAAGGGTGTGGGTAGAACAGCCCACACAGTAGTGTCTGGGCATGAGTCACCAACAGGGTGAGCACATGCCTCTCGCCTGGCCAGTCTCAGCCCCAGGCATCCTGTCTGGGCACCCAGTTACGTGCCTGGGTAGGTGCCAGGAAGCCTCGCCTCATCCGATCCAGAGCTCTGAGGCTGCCAGATTCACCAGGTGAGGCTGTGACCTTCTCAGCACTGCCTGACTCCTCTGGGCTGGAGACCAGATGGTCAGCCAGGGCTTGGGGGGTAAGTGGGGGCACCCCTGCTATGCAAAAACCCCACAAACAGGAAGGTGATCTCCAGGGCTTACAGTGGGTGTCATCTCCAGGGAGGAAACAGGGGGACCCACCAGGACCCTGAACTGCACACGTCATTCTTTGGTTACCTGCAGGGAGGGTGTGCACCCACTCAGCAGGACCTAACAGACATCGCCACCTGTTTGAGCGTTAAAACCTAAATACCTTGTTTCCTGCTCCATCACATCTGTCCAGGGTGAGATCCACTGACTCACCTCTGTCATCAGGGTATCCTGGCCAATCACTTGCTTACCTGCAGCCACCTGCCCTGGGAACTTCATGACCTCAGGACCCTTTTAAGCCATGGTTAGGACAGAAGCTATTCTGACTTCCTAATGGGAGAAGTCAATGAGTCTATTCCTCTGTCTCTGTGCCAGACTGTATCTCACCTCCCCAGCTTCTCCAATTTTTCATGAGAAGCCAGAAACCTGCCTTTTTATGGGAGGCCCTCCCGATATCTGTTTATGTTGGTGACTCATTAAGCTCATAAAATGAGGTAGGCCAAAAGATCGCAGGCCACAAGCGTGTGACTTTTCTCCTAAGATTCTCTGATCTTTTAAATCTGAGATCCTAGGTTGCCGAGTCTTTGATTCCAGGATTCCACGCAGGAAGTTAAGATCACTTCTCAGACTGGGGAATTGTGTTTGTGATGGGGGCACAGGGAGGGTGGATGCTGCAGTCATTCCCTTGTGCCTCCCCACCTCCCGCCCCAGCCCCTCACTTGGGGAAGCTGCTCCCGATGAGGATCCGGCCCAGGGGGTATTCCGTGCCGCCCACCGTGACGGGCGGGCTGACGTCCAGGTTGCCGAAGGAGTCAAGGCTGGAGGGACCAGGGAGCGGGATCTCCCGGGTAACATATCCAAAGTCAGGACCCTATGGAAGAACCAGCGAGACCCCCACCCCAAGAAGGAGAGGTCAGTGAGGACAGGACGAGGCAGTTCTTGGAGTAGAGGGGAGTTGCTGGGGGTCTCCCACTCCATGGCTCTTAGTACCTGAAAAACGATCTCTGTCCACTTTTTACAAATCCCCCCTGGGCTCTGCGAACCATGCGATTAAAGACAAATCAATAACCAAAGATAACTAAAAACTCCCCCAAATGTTTGGAAATTAAGCAGTATACATCTAAAGAATCCATGGATCAAAGAAGAAATCAAAGTGGAAATTAGACAAGATTTTGAAGTGAAATTCATAAAAATCTGCTGTCTTTTGATAGCACATTAAAACTCATGAGATGTTGACGAGGCAGCACTGCTAGGGAGTTGTCAGAGCTCTAGACATGTGTATTTAAACTGAGCGTGGTGGGGCAAGCCTGTGCTCCCAGCTCCTCAGGGGGTGAAGTGGGAGGATGGCTTGAGCCCAGGAGGTGGAGACTGCAGTGAGCTAGGATTGCACCACTGCACTCTAGTCTGGGTGACAGAGCAAGACCCTGTTTCATAAAATAAAGTAGGCCAGGCGTGGTGGCTCACACCTGTAATCCCAGCACTTTGGGAGACCGAGGTGGGTGGATCACGAGGTCAGGAGTTTGAGACCAGCCTGGACAACATGGTGAAACCCCATCTCTACTAAAAATACAAAAAATTAGCCAGGCGTGGTGGTAGGGTGGGGGACACCTGTAATCCCAGCTACTCGGGAGGCTGAGGCAGGAGAATCGCTTGAACCCGGAAGGCAGAGGTTGCAGTGAGCCAAGATCGCGCCATTGCACTCCAGCCCAGGCAACAGTGTGAGACTCCTTCTCAAAAACAAACAAACAAACACGTGTTTTTTTTAGGAAGAGAAAAGGCTGATGTGGGGTGAGGGGATGGGGGAGGGATAGCATTACAAGATATAACTAATGTAAATGCCGAGTTAATGGGTGCAGCACACCAACATGGCACATGTACCCTAGAACTTAAAGTATAATAAAAAATATATATATACATATAAATAAAATAAAAAGAAAAGGCTGAAACATCTTAGTTTCCATTTCAAGCCAGAAAAAGAACAGCAAACTAAACACAAAGAAAGTAGAAAATGAAAATGATAAAGATGAGAGCAGAAATCAGTGAAAAAATCCCCTGGCTCCTACAGGCCAAGCCCGGGGCAGGTCAGGTGGGTCCCCCTCCAGCACGCTGGCCCTGGCGGGTGCACTCACCTACAGGGTTCATTGTCACCTGATCCCTCCAGGCTGGGTTGAATGTCCCTGCTCTGTGTGCCCACAGACTGCATCCCATCACAGCTCCTACCTGGACCATCACCGTCCCAGCAGTGGAAGAGTGGGAGCCGGGAAACAGGCAGAGACTGTGGACTCACCTCGAGGGGTAGTGCAGCCTCGAGGCTGAGTGCAGGGCTGTGGGGACAGCCCCCCTAGTTTTGCATCTTGGTGCCACTATTAACTTGCTGCATGGCCTGGGGCAAGTTACTTAACCTCCCTGAGCCTTGATTTCCTCATCCATAAAGAGGAAATAATGATAGCACTTATCTGTAGGAGTACCCCATGGAATACATAAGGTAAGCCATGGAAAGCTAGGAGACAGTGCCTGGAACTCAATAAGTAACGGTGGGTGCTGCTGTTGCCATCTTGTGCACAGGAGGTAGCACAGTGCCTGGCACGTAGTAGGTGTTCAGAAAACATTTGGCACCTAAAGAGAGGCCCTAGCTCTTAAGAACAAGAGCCGTGCAGGCTCACTAAGGGTGCATTCTCTCCAAAAGGCAGTTTGGTCTCCCCAGAGCTGACCACACTGCCAATTCCCCCTTGGTGACCAGCCGCCTTATCCAGAAGAGGGCTGCTGACCTGCCCCTCCCAACACAGGAACAATCAGGCTGCTGCCTATTTGCATGTGATTTGCATATCATTTCCTCTCTTGCCCAAACTCCGCACTGGCTCCCCAGTTTGCTGACATCCCACCTCCTGTATCCTTCTGCCCCCTCTTCCTGTTCTCTGAGCCCTATAGGACTAGGTCCAGATGAGACTTCACTGGTGCGCCTCCAGGAGGACCCAACCAGGGTTTCTGCACTCTACCTGTCGCTACGTACCAGGATCCTCTTATAGGGGAAATCTTTCAGGCCCCTGTTCCTGGGGGAGTCAAAGACCACGGGGAAGGATTTGTGAGGGGCCTCGATGTAGCCAAACTCCATCTCGTCCTGGGAGGGGAGAGATGAAAAAGCCACAGTGACCTTTTTCGGGTGGTTTACAGAACAGGGTGGTCCCCACCAGGCCTGGGGCAGGGCAGGGCAGCGGGTCTTCCCTAAGACCTGGTGAGGGGCAGAGGTAGAAGTGAGGCCTCTTAGGACCCCAGCCAGGAGAGGACTTTCATCTGGGACCAGAGCGTTTGGAGGGAAGCAGTGGAGGCTGGGGCTGATGCAGGCAGCGGAAAAGCCCTCGCCCCAGAGGCCTGGCCCAGGCTGCCGTGGCTTCTCTAGCGACACTGGGTCCATCAGGCACCTGTGCGGCTTCCCTTTCCCCAAGCCAGGCTGCAGGCTTCCCGAGCTGCCCCCAGCTCCCACCTGGATCCAGCGGTCATTTCGATTTTCAACTTGAGGGCAGATGGTCAGCTTGCAGTTGGCTTTCAATGTCAGATAAGACATGTCCTCCAGGAATTTCTCATTGGAGCCATGAGTGTCCATCACTCTGTAAAAGGTAGGGAGAGGGGAGCATGCTAATGGCCTCTGACTGTGGCTGAGGTGTGAGTGGCCTTCAGTTTGTGCTGGGCCCTGTGCAGCCTCTGGGGTACAGGGGTTCCAGTTCATGACCTTGAGAGGCTCATAGGCGCATGGGGAAGATGGATAAAGTCTCCAGATCACATCAGGTGACAGGTGCAAGGTGAGGCATAAGCGCGGGCAGTGGTGCCCAGAGGCAGGGCACCTAACCCAGCACAGGGAGTCAGGGAAGTCGCCACAGAGGTGACCTGAGGCTGAATCTTTTGGGTTAAAATAGCAGTGAGGGGCAGGTAGCCCCATCTACTCCTGTTCCACACAATTGGCCTAAGCAAAGGGGTCAGGGTGGGGTTAGCAAGCAGGAGAACAGTCTCTTTTTAACACCTACACACACCTAGACCCGGGGAAGCAGAGCAAACCTGTTTGGCCACACCCTTCCCAGCCTTTTAACTTATGACCAGCTCAACTGTGGCTTTTTCCAGTGGTCTGACCTCTGGCACAGAGGCCTGGCAGGGCTTTGCCAATCGAGGCTGATCCTTCCCTCAAGGGCATGATGAGGATTCTGAGAGACGGCAGAAGGACCAGCAAGCTGGGTGAGATCGGGCTTGCAGAGACTGGGTTCCCATGTCCATAGCAGGCAAGGGATCGTACCCATGTTACAGTGAGGGTAGGTCTCCGATGGCCACCAGCAGCCTGTGCAGGGCCTGGCTCCACTGCCCAGACTAAATCTGAGATGTTCTGGGGCTGCAGCCACAGGACAGGATGGGCAGGAAAGCCAGAGCTTGAGCCAGTGACCTGGGAGAGGCCTTAGCTGCACAGGGCAGGGTGGGTCAGGGTTGGGCAGGGTGGGGCCCCAGCCCACCTGCTGCTGTCCTGCCACCAGCTCTGCCTGAATGGGTGCCCGCAATGAATCCGTCGGTGTGAGTGAGGGGCGCAGCCCTGAGGCAGCTTCTGTCCCTACCTCTGCACTCCAGACTTGGGGGAGGGCTGGAGGGAGGGAGCCTCACCTGCACACATACAGCTCCTCAGGAGGCTGAGTGTTGGGCGTCATGATCCAGGGGGCCATGCGGAAGCCCACAGTGTCTGTGAAGAGGGTCACCTCGGGCAGGGTCTGAGGGGAAAATGAGGACTTGGTGGGCCCTGCAGGGACCCCTAGCCTGCCTCAAGCCCCCCCAGCCCCCAGCCTGCCCAGCCCTGGAGCCTGCAAACTGGGCCCCCAAACCCCTCAGCCTCCTTGGCCACCCCCCAGTGCTGTACACACCCCCGGGTCCACCAGGCTGACACTGAGGGAAACCAGCCCTAGGAAATCGGCATCGGGGAAGGTCAGCCCCTCCACATAGAACTTGATCTCCTGCTCCCCTGGCTGTCGCTCAACTTCATAGGACAGACACTGGGGCCCCAGCACCTGTTTGTAGTCCGAGAGAGAATTCCCACCTAGGAAGAACAAGAGTCAGGGGCTAGCGAGGAGACAGGGGTGAGGGGCTGCAAGCCCAGGAATCCAGGACAGAGCCCCCTTTGTGGTTAGAGCAGCTTGGGTTCCTCTCTGGCTCTGCCACGTGCAAGCTGCATGGCCTTAGCTCAATGACTCAACCTCTCTAAGCCTCAGTTTCTTATCTGTAAAATGGCTAACATTTTCTCATGAGGCCAATATAAACTTTAAACTAAATAAAGAGATAGAAGCACCTGGCACAAAAGGTGAAAATTACCCATGGATAAATAGATATGCAAAATGTAATATATTCATAAGATGGAATATTATTAATTCGTAAAAAGTAATGACCAGACAGGTATGGTGGCTCATGTCTATAATCCCAGCACTTTGGGAGGCCAAGGCGGGAGGATCACTTGAGACCAGCCTGGGTAACATAGGGAGACCCCATCTCTACAAAAAATTTTTTAAAATAGCCAGGCGTGGTGGCACATGTCTGTAGTCCCAGCTACTCGGGAGGCTGAGGTGGGAGTATCGCTTGAGCCCGGGAGTTCAAGGCTGCAGTGAGCCGTGATAGCATCACTGCACGCCAGCCTGGACAACAGAGTGAGACCCTGTCTCTAAAACATAAGAAAAGTAATGAAGCACTGATTCATGCTACACCATGGATGAACCTTGAAGACATTATGCTAACTAAAAGAAGCCTATTGTATGGTTCCATTTATATGAAATATCCAGATAGGGAATTTCAGAGATACAGAGAGCACATTGGTGGCTGCACACGGCAAGAGAGGCTATCCATTCACTTGTCGAGACTTTGCTTACGCCCTGGTGTCACACTAAGTACTTTTAAGCTGAGTCCTCTGCCTAAACATCCACCACTGGTGCATGGGAGGGAACATTCTGGCTCCTGCCAGGCTCATTTAGCTGGAACAACAAGCTCTGGGTCAGTTTGAACAGCGAAGGGTGAAGGGGAATCGGGAAGGGGTAGAAGCCTGTTGCTGTTTGTAAAAACAAGTAAGAGCAGTCCGGGGTTAAGGAGTGGTAATTTATTTATTTATTTATTTATTTATTTATTTATTTATTTATTTATTTATTTGAGACAGGGTCTCACTCTGTCTCCCAGGCTGGAGTGCAGTGGCATGAACACGGCTCCCTGCAGCCTTGACTTCCTGGGCTCAAGTGATCCTCCCACTTCAGCCTTCAGAGTAGCTGGGACTACAGGCTAATTTTTTTGTATGTTTTGTAGAGACAAGGTTTTGCCATGTTGCCCAGGCTGGTCTCAAACTCCTGGGCTCAAGTGATCCTCCCGCCTTGGCCTCCCAAAGTGCTGGAATTATAGGCATGAGCCACTGGGCCCGGCCAATTTTTTCTTTTTCTTTTTTTTTTTTTTTGAGATGAAGTCTTGCACTGTCACCCAGGCTGGAGTGCAGTGGCATGATCTTGGTTCACTCACCCAGGCTGGAGTGCAGTGGCATGATCTTGGTTCACTGCAACCTCTGCCTCCTGGGTTTGAGTGATTCTCCTGCCTCAACCTCCCGAGTAGCTGGGACTACAGGCATGAGTCTCCACACCCAGCTAATTTTTTTTTTTTTTTTTAGACAGAGTCTCACTCTGTCGCCCAGGCTGGAGTGCAGTGGCGTGATCTCAGCTCACTGCAAGCTCCACCTCTTGCCTTAACCTCCGGAGCAGCTGGGACTACAGGCACCTGCCGCCACACCTGGCTAATTTTTTTGTATTTTTTAGTGGAAACGGGTTTTCTCCATGTTAGCCAGGATGTTCTCGATCTCCTGACCTTGTGATCCACCCTCCTCGGCCTCTCAAAGTGCTAGGATTACAGGTGTGAGCCACCGTGCCCGGCCTAATTTTTGTATTTTTAATAGAGACAGGGTTTCACTGTGTTGGCCAGGCTGCTCTCAAACTCCTGACCTCAGGTGATCCGCCTCCCAAAGTACTGGGATTACAGATGTGAGTCATTGCGCCCAGCCTTGGCCATATTTTTTTAAGCCACAGGCTGATTAATAAAAACTCTGATGAGAAAGACAGGTTCTGGGGCCAGAGGCAGGGCCCGGGCCTCAGCCTCACTGGTTCTCACGCCCTCCCTGCCTGGACAGTGCTTGGCATGCAGTTCAGTCCACGCTGATTGACCAGAGGAGGGAACGGGTGTGGGGCAATGGTAAAAGGAGGAGCTTTGGTGCACCCAAGACACCTGGGTTGGAATGCCTGCTCCACCCCAGATGGTTGTGCCATAGTGAATTCCTGCATCTGAGCCTCGGTTTTCCTCTCCATAAAATGGAACTCGTTGTTGTTGAACCTCCTCCTTGAGGACTATATTTGGTACTGATGGAGTGGTTGTTTGTAAGCTGTAATGAGAGTTACAAAAAGGTGATGGAAAAAAAGAGAGAGAGATGGGGGAGGAGAGGATAGATATGGATGGAGCTGGGAGGAAAAGGCCCCATCAGGCCACTCACCCCTGGCACAGAAGACCCTCACTCTTTTGGAATCAGAAAAGGGCACGTTCAAGACAAGCTTGTGGCTGTCGAAGAGCTTGTCGGGGCCATTGCAGCTCAGCAGCATTGGGGACATGTCCTGCAGGTCTGGAGAGAGTGGCCCTCTTGAGATCGCCCTTTCTCCACCCCACCAACAGGATCCACTTCCATCCCCCTTCCCCACTCCCCAGACAACACCTTGTGTCACTCACCAGCCAGCGACATCAGCCAGCTGTGGGTGAGGTCAGGCTCTGCGGACCTGTGATTGTCCCGGTCACAGTTCACCAGCAAGATAGCCCCATAGCCCTCAGGGCCCCAGCGCCAGGTTTTCTGTGGCAAAATAAGATGCCTTGGGATCAGTGGGACCCAGGAGGCTCCAGGAAGGGGTTCTAGACATGGCCAGGGCGGGCTGCTTTATTAGATTATAGATTTTCATATTTTTAGTTTGCTTAAAGATTTTAAAAAGGATTATTTGGGGAATGGAGTTCCAGATAAGGCTCTAGACCCACCTCATCCTTGTGCAGTGAGCAACCTGCACAACCATACACAATGGCTCTACCCAGCCATCACACTGGAGAAGCAAAGGTGTCATTACCACACCAAGAAATGGCCCTCAAAAGCTGGCTAAGCTTTAGCTCTGCCTGTGGGGCGGGGGTGGGCAGAGGCTGCCTGCCATGACCTTGATGAGGGTCGGGATCTGGAGAATCTTTGGGAGACCCTTCCCATCCCAGCACTCTCCTGGAACCTGTCCCATAGATATCTCTGGCATCCGCATGCAGTCCTGCAGGCTCTGCAAGCTGAGGTCTGAGCCAAGTCGGGAAACATGGCTGGAGCTCTCCCTGCCTCTGTGGTTGCTGCTGTCCCCAACACACCTCCCCACCAGACCCACAAGGCAGGGCTTACTTTCCCCATTTCACAGAAGGGTGCGGGGAGGTTCTGAGAGGTGAGTCCCAAGCCGCATAGCTGGCCTTTAAACCCAGGTTCTTGGGATTGCACAGGGCCACTGTTAGCCTTTATGGCACTCTTGCCCACCCTCTGGGTAGATGCCACTCTGCAGCAGGGCCCTAGACATGATTTGTATCATAGTTGCCACCATGCCCAAGCAGTCTTGTGCAGTGAACAACCCACGCAGCCATCCATGGCAGCCCTGCCCACCTTGTCCTCAAAGCTTTGTGATCCAGGCTGCCTCTCTGGAGTCTTTCCCTTTAAATTGTACCTTCTACCCCTCCCAGGACAGCTTCCAGATAGTTCCTGTGGGGTGACGCCTTGAGCCCACTCTGTCCTCCTCCTTACTCTTCAGGTGTTACCTGGGGCTGACCACCATAGCCTCCTCTACCCCAAGGCTTGTCTTCTCCTTGCCTTCTGTCACTCAACAATCTTTTAGGAAGCACTCCCACATGTGTAGGGGTCCAAATATAGCCCTCAAAATAAAAAAGGCAGCAACAAAAGAACCAATCCCAATTTCAAAGTGGCACAAGAGAGACCCAGAGAGGGTAAGCTGTTTTCCAGCAGTCACACAGCATGTCGGTTACAGGGTGTAGGTTAATGTCCACTCATGCCAATTTTGCTGTCCCAGATGGGTTCCCTACATGGTTGGATACTACAGACCCTGGGGATCCATCATTCTTCTGGAGGGAGGGCACAATCCACCCGGGACCACCCCAAGTTTGCCTTTCAACCCCGCAGCCTTGGGGTGCCCGGAAGGGTCTCACCTTGTCCCCTTGGCTCCTCTTCACCTTGCCTGTGCGGCCTGTGTCAACCTCAAGGGAAATATCTGCAAAGAGATGGAGAGGGGCTGCCAGGGGCTCATCCAGCCCCATCTTCACACCCCTAAAGTCCAGGTTGGGCAAACTCTGACCCCTCCCCAAGCCCGTGAGGACTGGAAGCCCTGTCTGGGGGTCAGACCCCACACTTGGGAGACCTCTGTGGCTTGCCCTGTGGTTCTGGGAGTTGGAGGGACCCAAGCCTTTGGCTCTTGAATCACTTGCTTGCCTGTGCATGTCCACCTGCTAGCTCTTGGTGGCTTTGGGGTTCCAAATCATATGCTGGTGACCCCAAACTCTGAGAACTGGGGACATGGCCTGAGGTTGCAGGGGCTGGGTTCTGCCGTTACATTGACCCTGGCCCTGGCTGAAGGGGGCACGTTCCGTGCTGGGTCTTGGAGGTCTAATGAGGGTATACGTGGGACTCTGGATGAAGGAGGCTTATTGTGGGTCTAGCCGTTGTTCACTGGGCAGTGAAGTTTCTAGATCCTTGTGGTCCTAAGGACTGCTGGGTCTCAATCCCTGTGGTTCCAGAGTGGACAGAAGGTCCCGAGGAATCCAAGCCCCTCAGTGATGGAGGAAGCTGGCCATGGGTCTTCCACTCCAAGGAATCCACTAAGACCCTCAAACAGTCAACCTGGAGGGGCAAAGGGATAGATGGGCAGCCAGGGAGCTGCTACTTACCGACGCCAGTGAGGTAAAGCACGCTGCGGCCCAGAGCTTGGTCTTCCTGCTCCCCAAAGTAGGAGACCCTCACCTGCAGAACATAGCCCTAAGCCTGCACGGCCATCACCTTCAGAGATGGCGGAGGCAGAGGTGATGAGGGACACATCCTGACAGCCCTACTTAGAGGCACAGGAGGCCTGGAGACCCCCCCAGTCTCTGAAGTCCCAAGACTCAAGGGCTCCCGGCTGGGATTCAGAGCTACCTTCTCCAGCAAGTGGCTGTGGAGCCCACCTTGGTTCCCAGAGCAGGTGTGAGGAGCAAGGAGGGTGGGGGAAAGGTGGAGGGATGGGAAAGGTGGGGCAGCTCCCAGCAGGAGCAGCTGGCAGATGAGGGAGGAGCAGCCGGCTCCATCGACTTAGGCAAGTCTCTCAGCTCCTCTAAGCCTCGGGTAGTTCCTCAATAAGATGGGAATGAGAACCCCCACTCCATCACCCCAGTCAGTGGTCCTGGAGCTTTTAGCGTGGTCCAGAATCCGTGCCAAGCCCTCCAGCCGGGTCATCCCAGTGAGCCCCTGGGATGGCCCCAGTCGACAGGAGACTGTCCGGACCCTGCCTGCAGTCCAGCAGTCCCTCAGCTAGCAAGCAGAGGAGGTGGGGTCTGAGCCCACAGTGGGCTCCTGAGCCCCTCCCTCAACAGCTGCTTTATCCCTGCCTTTTCCCTGTCGGGGAGAAAGGGCCATGTCTAGGATTTGGGTGCTGGGGGCTGGGGCGAGTGAGGAGGGACTCGTCTGAGCTTCGGGCAGGCGATGAGAGAGAAGGTTGGCTTAGGTGTGGGAGATCCGTGCACACAAAGATGTGGACGTGTGTGTGTGCACCTGCACGGGTTGTTGTTGTGCGGTCCTGCCCACACGAGAGCACTGGGGCATCTTGCTGGGTCCGTGTGTGGGCTGAATACAGGGATTAATGTGAAGTTGTCTGTGAATCTGAGGGGGTGACTAGGAGAGCTTGTGTTTTGTGGGAGTACTCACGTGTACATGTGTGATACTGGAGTGGTGGTGGAGGTTTGCGTGTTTTGGGCGTCAGTGGCATTGTATCAGGATACGTTTTGTGTATGTACTGTGATAAGCTTTGTGAGGTTTGGTTAAGTGGGGAGCTTTGGAATGGGAATTGCCAATGTGGGGCTCTTACCTTGGATGGGGGTGGAGAGATCCAACCCTTTTCTATGAGAAAGTGGCCTCTTACCTTGAAGTCCTTTAATTCCTTACTGGCTGTGCCCACAGATACGACCATGTCTGCATCAGTGTCTAGCGGCCAACGGGCCTTGCCTATGGGCTCTTTCACACGTGTGCGGTTGTAGACCATGAAGACCTCCACCCCGGAGCTTCCAGAGACCCTGAAGCTGTTGGCACCCTTGGGCACATCACTGGCAGAGAAGAGAGATGGGAAGAGAACCAGTCTTCCCATCTCTCTTCAGGGGAGTGGCCACAGTGGGGTGGGGGCTTGGGGCTGCCAGGCCGTTCAAATGGCACCCCTCAACAGTCAGGCTGGGGAGGCACAGGGCAGTGCCACTGGCCAGGAGCATCTGGAAGCCAGGGCATAGATGGTAAACCCTTGGACACCCCCAGCCCACACCCAAGTCCTTTCCAGATCTGACACTTCCAAACTCTCCAGCTCAACAGAGATCCACTAACCCACCACCTCTCACCACCTCCACTGACATCACTGCGGCCCAAGCCACCATCACCCCTCGCCTGGATCACCGAGCAGCTTTCTCATGGGTCCGTGGTCCCACCCAGGCCCCTCCAGTCTGTTTTGCACACAGCAGAGCGTGTTGTTCCTTTGCTGGAAAGCAGTGGTTTCCATCAAACTCAGTAAAAGGCAGAATCCTCTTGAGTAGCATAAGAGGCCCTTCTGATGCGCCCCTGCCACCTTGCTGACTGCCTCCTCCCTACTACGCTTTCCCTCGCTCACTTAGCTCCAGCCACGCTGGCCTTCCTGTTGTGCCATGAAGATGGCAAGGCTGTCCTGGCACTGCCCGCTCCTGCTGCATGGACTGCTCCTCCCCAAGATGTCCACAAGTCTCCTTCCCTCACCCTCTTCAAGGCTCTGCCTAAATGTCACCTTCTCAGCAAGCTCCTGCCCCCACCCAATCACTCCATTTAATGCTGCACCTTGCCCACCTTTCCCCCCGACTGATCCCCCATCTCCCTTCCCCTGCTCTGATTCTTTTTTTTTTTTTTTCTTGAGACAGAGTCTCACTCTCTCACCCAGGTTGGAGTGCAGTGGTGCAGTCTCTGCTCACTGCAACCTCCGCCTCCCAGGTTCAAGCGATTCTCCCACCTCAATGCCAGTCAACTGTCCATCTCTCTTGCTAGAAGGTCAGCTCCACAAGGGCAGGAATTTTATCTGTTTTGTTCACAGCTGCATCCCCAGCACCTATAACAGTGTCTGGCACATGGTAGGTGTAGGTGCCCAATAAACACGTGTGAATGAATGGATGCATTCTCACTTTCTGCCACTCTGCAGGGGGATTCAAGCCCATCTGCACTTGAGTGGAGATCTAGAACTTGACTAATGCCAGCACCCCGTGCAACTTCTTTCCATCACCCAATACACCGCATTCACCTGATACATCAGAGCTCTGGGATCAAGAAATGGGTGTTGAGAAGCCTCCCATCTGCCTTGGCCCCAGCCTGGGGCACTCATCTGCCGGGCCCCCACCCTACCCCTCACACCACCAGCTGCTCCCAGCCACAGCTGGTTGGGGCCAGCCTTCCTGGCCCACAGCATCAGAGGGGGATGCACTGCAAACTCAGGCTACAGGGCACGCAGAGCAAAACCAACAGGGCCTCTGTGGGTGGCATCTCATTCTTCTTCATCCCCTGCATAAGCGTGAACTATGGCCTCTCTGTGCCAGGCACTGCACTAATCCCCAGAGTTCCAGGAGGCTCTTGAGCCTGTGGCGCTCACACTCTGGAGAGGAGGTTGAATGAGAGAACTACACATTGGTGCTTGTTCTTCCTTTGTAAGTCAGGGCTCTCCAACATCATCCCCCACGGCAGAGCCATCAGCCACCAGGACACCACCCAAGGTCAAGTCCACTTACAGACATCCACCTGACTACAAAGATGCTGCTGGAGGAATTTTGTCTGTTTTGCTCACAGCTGCATCCCCAACACCTGTAACAGTGTCTGGCCCATAGTAGGTGCTCAATAAACACTTGTTAATAAATGGTTGGATTCTCACTTTCTGCCACTCTGCAAAAGGGGTCCTTCTGCATATTCTCCCGCCTTCATCCTTTCCTGGACCCCTAAAAAACCACCCAAATATTCAGCCCTCTGGAGAAACCAGACCCCCTCCACAACCTCTGCCATGATCACTTGGCCCCATCAAAAAACTGTCTCCATTGACTGCGGTGACAACAGTCCTAATTCCAACAATCACGAGTCCTACTTGGCGCTCCCTAATGCTCATCACAACCCCCCAAAGCAAAGATTATAATCCCCATTTTACAGAAGAGGCAGGAGTGTGCAGGGGCCCCAGGAGCCCCTGCAGGCTGCTGGCAAGACCCACCTCCCCCATCCCCCACTCCTGGCCTTACAATCACCACATTCCACAGCACTTTTGGGGGTCCTCGCACCTTACCTGCTCTTCCTCATCGTTTACATCAGTTGCCATGGAAACCCCAAGTCTCCTGGACTATCATCCTCTCATCTGACCCCCTTCCTCATCCTCCCCAACTCCCTTTCAATCCCAGCCACCATCATCTGCACGATATCCTCAGTCCCACCCTGGACAGTTTCCTTGATCTTGTACTGTAAAAGAAGCCTGCCCCCAATAGCAGGCATGGCCTCCCCTTCAGCCATCTCCCTGGTGACTGCTTCCCCCTTACTCCCTCCAGCCCCTGGGCCTGGAGGTGGGCAAGGGTCCTTCATGCTCCTCAATGTCCCTTCCAGATCATCATCTTTCTTCACTCCGTAAACCCCCAGCTTTGCATTGACATTTCCAGACTACACCACCCATCTACAGGGACACCTTTGCACACCATCGCTCTGTCCTCATCTCGAGGGTGCCAGCTCCTGCCATGTTCCTCAGCCGGCTGCCGTCACCAGTTTATACTTCAATGGCGATGTAGATGGTGTGCTGCACCCTGGTCCCTCAGTCCCTTGACCTCTCATCCAATGCTCCTGTCCTCCACCTGGCCTCATCCCCTCCTTCACGGGGCAGGTGCTATAGAATGTTATTATCAAAAAACTGCACCCACTACAAGCTCCCCTGTTAGCAACCCACTCGGACACCGCTTCCCAATATTCCAGCTCACTCCTAACACACCAGTGCAACCAAACCTTCAGCCCACTGGGACGCTTGACCTTTGAAGGCTGAGTCCTCTCTACTCGCCCCCCACTGCTGTCCCTCATCCCTCATGTTCCCTCTTCCCTTCCCCAGGATAGTCCCATAGATCCCATAGTCCCCCGCTGCGGCCACCCCCTTGCTCCACTCCCTAATCTTTTGCTCATCCTTCCCTCCCTTGAGCTGCCTGGCAGAGCTCCAGCTATACAATCAGATCCAACTCTCCACCCCCTCTGCACCTGCACCACGCGGCTGACCATGGTTCACTTGGACTCATGACTGCTGACCTCAATGGATGCGTGACATGCTCGTGCTCCTACAGCATTGCTCCAGGCTCTTTTCTCTTTCAGTGTCCTAGAGGACTATGTCCTATCTTCTCCTATCTCCAGAAGCCTCCCCACTCTTCCCCCTTGTCACTCAGAGCCTTCAACCTCCCTCCTCCCACCACCTCATCTCCCAGCCCTCCTGCCTTTGAGTCCACGACCATGCCTGCCCTCCTGGGAAGAGGGGTGTGCTGTCTGGGCTCTTGCCCAAGACCAGCCCTCCTGGGGCACATCCCCTACTCAAGGGCATCACTGGCCTTGCCCCTTCTCCCCTCCCTTGCACCCAGCACACAGACGTGAATATCACCCATCCCCAAACTCATTCTCCTTTGACCTCCTCATTTCTTCTGCTCCCTTGACACCTCCAATTATTTCTTCTCTTTGCGTCTGCAACCTGCCTCTAATCAGCCTTTCCTCCCACCACACCAAGGAAACTCCACTGTTGCCAAACCCAGTGGGTCTTTTCTCTTCTTCCCCTCATTGACCTGTCAGAGGCACTTGGCCCAGATGATCACCTGTCTTTGAAACACTTTCCCACTTGGCAGCTGGGACACGGGCTCTGCTTGCTCTCCTCTGACTCCGTGGCCTTTCCTCTAATGCCTTTGCTGTGTCACTCCCCCTTACCCCCTAACTCCAGGCAGTGGTGTGCTGGCAAATGTTTAACAACCAGCTCTCTGGAGTGGGGGGGTTCTTATGCATATATATGTATATATAAATTTATTATAAATTTTACTGATGTAAATAGTGTGTAGCACATAATGTAAAAATAATAGTATAATACATATAATTCTTTATTGTAAAATGTGTTGTAAATTCTATATAGTACATTGATTCCTCCAGATGCCCTCTCTTGCAACTGTAGCCAACCTGTGGTTGCAATTTGACCATGATTTGACCAATGCAATTGCATCCCAATCTGCTCATTCTTTCCTCCATAAGTTTATTGTCACTAAATCTGATATGTGACGTAAACGTTGGTTGATATTTTTGTTGGCATTCACGAATAAGATGAAAGGGGAAACAATGAAGATGCATGTCACCCTTCATTCATTCATCTAGGATATGAGCAACCTCTTTGCTGAATCAGATAATCCTGGAGGAACATTTCATCAATTTTTGGTACTAACCACAATGTCATGGCTATAGACGCAATACACTTTTAAATTGAGTTGACATTGTTAACCTGTCTCCATCACTTTCTGAACTCTAGGCATTTGATAAAACGATGAATGAAGCCCTGATTTGTAGCCTTGACCAATGTCTGTGGTGTAAACACTCCCACTCTAGCCAGTTTCAAGTTACCAGCCCAACATCATTGGACTCAGAGTTTCAAAGAGCTGCATAATAGCACCTCGTGACATCACTATTTCCACTATATCTGGACAATGGTAAAATGCAGTAAAATAATTAAGCAGTGATGAGTTTTCAGTACTACTGCCTTTGTTTTTAATATAATTTGCTTAATTGTGTGTATATTTAATTTTAAATAGTGGCTGTGTTTAACAAGGGGTTCATAACCTTCTTAAAAATTAAACAATCAGATCTCCTTGAGGAAGGACCCTGGTACATTGCCACAAACACACTGTTCAACTTTCTCCCAGCCTTCCCCGAGAGGACACACAACTTTTTACCAGGGTGACTGTCACTGGGGAAAAGGAAATAATCGTACATTTCTAGTTCTCCTGCACACCGGCCCTGAACTGGTCTAGGAGACCCTAAACAACACTGCGGCCCACCTGGCAGAGCAGGGGCTCATGGAGGCCAGGTGATCCATGGAGTTTCAGCTCAGGTTCATCTTACAGTGGGTCCAGTAGCCCCTGAGCCCATGTGTGGTTCCGCCCCACCCCAACAAGTTCTGAAATGTGTAATTGGAATAGGCACCATCGGCAACGGGCAGAATCCCTACACTGGTACTCTTCAGAGTGCGGCTGGCCCCAGCGCACCTGGCTTAGGGCTCAGCCTCCCCTCTCCTCCTCTCCTCCCCTCCCTCCCCTCTCCTCCTCTCCTCCCCTCCCTCCCCTCTCCTCTCCTCCTTTCTTCTGTCTACACCCACTCCCTTGGTTTTCTCCACCTGCCACATCAATATGGTTAGAACTCTCAGACTTCTTGCTTTCTGAGTTTCTCCCTGGGTGTCTACCAGGCATTTTATTTTATTTATTTTTTATTTTTTGAGACAACGTCGTGCTCTGTCACCCAGGCTGGAGTGCAAAGGCATGATCTCAGCTCACTGCAACCTCTGCCTCCTGGGTTCAAGCGATTCTCCTGCCTCAGCCTCCCAAGTAGCTGGGATTACAGGAGCTCACCACCACGCCAGCTAATTTTTGTATTTTTAGTAGAGATGGGGTTTCGCCATGTTGGCCAGGCTGGTCTTGAACTCCCGACCTCAAGTGATCTGCCAACCTCGGCCTCCCACAGTGCTGGGATTACAGGCGTGAGCCACTGCGCCCAGCCCTACCAAGCATTTTAAATTTCACACATCCAAAGCCAAACTCCTGCTTCCCCATGCCCACTCCTTCCCCACTCCTTTCAAACCTGCTCCTGCCCAACCCACCGCAAGTCTGTCCATAGCAGCTCCACCTTCCAATTCAGCCTCACCTCCTCTTGTTCCCTCACTCGCACAGCCAGCCCCTCAGCAAATCCCATCAGCTCCACCTTCATAGCAACTGCAGACCCTGACCGCTCTCACCTCTGCCACAGCTCACATCCTGTCCAAGCCACCAGTTGCTTCCATGTGGATTTTTATCATAGGCCAGTGACCTGCTTCCCCTCTCTCCCCACAGTCCAGCTTCAACATAGCAGCCAGAGGGACCTTTTAAAATAGAAGTCCCGTTGCATCCCTCCTGCTCAGAGGCTGTCACCAGAGCCTGTGTGGCCTCCCAGGCTTTCCTGACCCATTGCTTTCCCTCCCCACGCCCTCTTGCTTGTTCCTGCCGTTCTTCAAGCATGCCAGGGCTGCAGCTCTGTCTGTCCGGAATGTTCCTGTCACCAATCCCTGCGGTCCGCCCAGCCCCTCACTTCCTTCTCTCAGGGTAGCATACGAGGCCTTTCTGATGTACCCTTCTTGCCTGTTGCAAATGGCGTGACACAAATGACACCATGAGTCTGGTTCCCCAACCCCAGCTTCATTCCAGCCCATGGCACCGGCCACCTCCCAGCCACCTGACAGAGCACATATCTGCTCATTGCAGTCTCTCCCTCTAAAATGCAGAGATTTTTTTTCTGTTTTATGCTGTCTGCATCGCTGCTGTCATCTCTGCATCCAGCTTAGTGCCTGGCATGAACCAGGGGCACAATCAACGCGTTCTGGACAAGGACACAGCGACTCAGGATGGTGGAGTGGCTTTCTCAGGACTGCCCAGCGGGGAGGTGGCTGAGTCATGATTGAATCCAGTCGGCCTGGCCCATGAGTTCCAAGAGCAAGTAGCCACAAGCCCAGGGCACCCAGCTGGCAGCAGAAGGGTTTCTAGCTCATGGGTGACTCCTGCTCCACCCCACTCAGGGACCACCGGTGCCAGACACAGCCCTTTCAAGGGAAGCAGGACTCTGTGGAGCCAATCCCTAGCTTTGGGCAAAAGTTGACATCTCTAAGTCACAGCCCCCTATTTGGAGTCTTGGTAGAAAATGATGATGATGATGATGATGACGATGATGATGATGATGAAAGAAGGGGGAAGAAATGACAGGTACAATTTCTCTGGGGCTATCAAGACCCTCCAAGCCCAGCCTAGCTTCCTGTAGTCTAGATCTGCTCCCTCCCCACCCCAAACTTGCTCAATAGCTCACACCTCTGTTCACCTCTCTCTGGGGTGCTGGGCTCCTGGTCTCAGTGTCTCCCTCCCCTGTGAGTAACAGATGAGTGGGCAGTGCCTAGAGGGGTCAGGCCTTGGGGGAAATGTGGCTTCCTGCAGGAGACACCTGCTATGCAGGTCTGAGGCCCAGGGCCACTCCCACAGGCATGGGGAGGGGCCTATTCTAGTTCCCAGCCCCACTGCCTTCAAGACTTGGTTCCCATCACCCCCATCCAGGTCAGCTTCAGCTACAGAAGAGCGGCAGGTACCCCAGCAGGAGCTTTGAAAACCACCAGGAAGAGGCAGGAGGAGGGGTCTGCTTATTCTCTCTGGCACCCAAGCAAGGCAGGTTATGCCGGGTGAGCCCTGCGCTGCCTTTGATTCTCATTCCCTTGGCATCCTACCCCAACCCTTGCCCCGGGGCTGGGAGACGGGGCTTATACTGCCTTTCCTTATCTCTCAGGTGCCCAGATCTGTGGGCCTGGTCATGGATGAAGGGCTGCCCTTGGGAGGTGTGACAGGCAGGAGTGGGAGCTTGTGGGGAGCCCCAGGCCACCCTGCAGTGGGCTGTATTGCGCCAGCTTTCTGGAGCTGCTCCCGGCTTCCTCCAAATCTAATAATCCTCTCCAAGATGCTTCTCTTTGGTGATGTCTCATGATGTAGCCCCCAGACCTAACCAACCCCCAGATATGCAGTACTGGCATGTCCCCAAATGCACAGTCAGGTGAGGTCACAGATTTGAAAGCACCCCTCCAAATAAAAAAGGCCAAATCATTACCACTACAGGAGTCACCCTGTCAGGTGTCTTGGTAATCACTGTTATATCATCATGGTTTCCACTGTTATGCTGATGAGCCTGCCCCTCACCAGGCTGCTCCCCCATCTCTGCTGGGCCAAGTCATGGGGCGGGGGGCAGGGGGGTCTTTTGCATTCTTCAAGACCCACTTCAAATGCCACCTCTTCCATGGAGTGAAGTGTGGGTTCTGTGTGGAGCATGGCCTCCAACTGGGTCACTCAACTGCCTCGATTTTCCTCCGCTGTAAAATGGACACAATCCCAAGAGCTACTTCCTAGACTGTTGGAGGGATTCCCTGAGATGATGACTTCTCAGCGTTAGATGCTGTCACCATGGTTACAATTACTCTTCTCAGAATCCCCAGACAGCCCAACTCACTCCAGCCAGAAACCTTATGTGCTTCCTCTGTGCCCCCATGGCCCTGGTTCAGACCTTCCTGGGGGCCACTTCACATCTCGTCTGCGCCGCCCAGAGCAGCGTCCTCCTACTCACCCTGCAATGCCCACCAACCTCATGCCCACAGCAGGGCCAGTTGCATCAGGTTCAATAGAGAGGTTATGGGCAGAATGGGGTGAATTCTTAGAGAATCTCACAAAAGGAGACGCGGAGGGCGGGATGAGGAGTGTAAAACCAACTACTCTCCACCCCTGCCCGCCTCCTGTGGTAAGGTGCAGGTTCACCCACTGGTTATGGCATAAGGCAGCATGTTCCATGGGTTCTAGTGGGGCAGGGAAAGAGCCTGCATTTTCAAGCACCTGCCGTGTGCCAGGCACGTGCTTAGCTTTTGCTATCCATGATCTCATCTAGACTTCACTCCAACTCCTGCTCCCCGACCAAGGTAGGTGTTACTTGTCACAGGGTAATGACGGCCGGTAATGCAGGAGTAAAAGAATTTACCAGGACAGCTGTGTGTAAAGGAAAGCAGATTGATTACAGAAAGTAGGAAAATACATCGCCAGAGACACAAAAGTCAGCCTTCAAGAAAGAAGCCTCTCTCTGGGGTGAAGCCGACTGCAAAGAAACAAAGACTTGCTGGGGATTTTATAGGACGATGTTTATCTGTCTGTTGAAGAGGGCTTTGTGCAGTACTGATTATGCCCAGGCCGCGGGGAGCTCAGTTGCAGGGGTCTGGTGAAAGCTGGGTGCAGGAAGATTGTGAGTTACTTGCATAGGAGGGCAATGCGTCCTGGACCATGAAGAAAGGCAGGCTTGGAGCTGATCAGCTTTCTTTTCTTTTTTTACTTTTCCCTGCTCCTACCAGCCTGGTAGGAGATTACGTCCCCACTTCACAGATGAAGAAATCTCGGAGAAGTTAAGTAACTTTACTCAGGTCACCCAGATAGCAAAGTGAGAAGCTGTCCTGGCTGGTATTAAAATGAGTGCGTGTGTGCCCTGAGCATGCCCTTGTCGGGGACTGGAAGGAGGAGACGATCAGGGATGTCGGAAGGAAACAGGAATGTGTTGAGAGAGTGTGCAATTCGAGCTCCTCTGCATGGCTCTTTGGCAGCAGGCCAGGGAGGCCTAGGGAGGGTGGCGGCACCAAGGCAGGAAAGCCACAGCCCCCTGGCCCCACCACACACCCACATCTTACAGCGGCAAGGCGAGGGGGGTGGTGCCTGTGATCTTCTTGTCCTTGTCTGCCCTAAAATGACAGAAGAGACCAGGGAGCATCTTGCATAGCATAGGCCTTGGGTCAGAGACGGGCCTTGGAGGTCATCCCGGCCAGCCCCCTGCCCACTCCCAAAGACTGACAGCTCACTACCTCACACCCCTCTCTGCTTTGACAGTTCAGGTAATTAGAAAGCTTTTCCTTTTGCGTGGCTGCAACTTGCTTCCCAGAAGCCTCGGCCCACTGGGGCTCCACCGGCCAAATCTTAGGTCAACAGCTCAGAAATGTACCACCTGGTCTCTAGGGAGAAGAGAAATACAGCAGTCACAGAGGAATGCTTCCCTGCCAACTGTCCTATCCTGCACTTTGGACATGGCCAGATCCTGGGGGCAGAAACTGAGTGGGTGGGGGTGGGGGCCAATGTGCTCTTGGGGGTCGTCTGGGGCACTGTGCTGGATGAGTGGTGGGGGCAGGAGGGGGAGAATCAGGCAGAATCGGACGAAAAGGCTGAAGAGCAGGCACTGCTGGCTGAGCCTGTGGCTCCCCTGCACGCCTGGCCAGGATCTGGCCTGCCAGGAGCCCCACAGGTGCCAGCCGCTAGGTGTCCTGGAATGAAGCCACAAGAAATGCCGTAGGGTCAGGCAGCAGGGCCCAGCAAATCTCCTGGGGTGACCAGCTCCGTGGGTGATTCTGCCTGGAGCCAGGGATCTGCCTGGAGGCTGATAGTCCCGGGGTACTGGCCGCCACCCCGTGAGCTCCAGCTAAAGGCCAGCAGCTTCCCTGGGGCACACAGGGCTCCCATTAGTGCTGCCAGTGGCTCTGCCTCAACGTACCTTCCTGGGTAGCTACTGTACATCAGGTCCCATGCTGGGCACCAGGAAAGCAGAGACAAATCATCCTTGGCTTTGCCCTTGTGGGGTCCACAGAGTCTACGGAGGGTTTTTACTCCATTCTCTGATTCCATCCCCATGGCCCCTGCCTGCTAATAGGGGAGTGATTATTCTTCTCCCCATTTTACAGAAAATGAGCTGAAATACAGAGAGGTCACACAGAGGGTGATGGGGCACAGCCGTGCTTGGCCCCTGCCTGGGTCTGATTCCAAAGCTCATCTGCTGCCCTGCCTTCACTTCACCCCTCACTTACCCAGCAACATAGAAGAGTCTCAGAGCCTGGGCAGTCACAGGGTTAGGCTCACAGAATTTAGAACCAGGTGGACCTGGGTCCAAATCCCAGCTCTGGCATTTGTGGGCTGTGTGACTTCAGAAAAGTCTCTTAACCTCTCTGTGTCTCCGCGTGTCTGCAAATGGGGATTATAGTAGTCCCCATCTCACAGGCTTGTTGTGAGGTTTAACTGAGATGGTGCAGTGAGCACTTAAAACAGGGCTGCCGGCTGGGCATGGTGGCTCATGCCTGTAATCCGAGCACTTTGGGAGGCTGAGGTCAGGAGTTCAAGACCAGCCTGGCCTACATAGTAAAACCCCATCTCTATTAAAAATACAAAAAACTAGCTGGGCATGGTGGAGGGAGAGGAATTGCTTCAACCTGGGAGGCGGAGGTTGCAGTGAGCCAAGATCGTGCCACTGCACTCCAGCCTGGGTGACAGAGCAAGACTCCGTCTCAAAAAAAAACAAAAACAAAAACAAAAAACCAGGGCTGCCATCATGATCATTACAGTCACAGAGGGCATCTGAAAGGCATGGAGGAGTGGGCAGACCCGGACAAAAGAGGACACAGGGCCCTGTCGTTAATAGGACCCTGGCACCTCCCTTCACTCTCCTCCCTGACCAAGAAAATGGGTCAGGTGTGCAATTGTTGAAACCCACATCCTGAAATTTGTTTAACTCTCCAACTAGGATGGAAGCTCCTCACATGTGGCCATGGGCCGTATCATCACCGAGTGCCAGAACCCAGCACAGAGCAGGTGCCCGGGAGCAGACGGCCCTGGGGAAAAGACCACAGGAGGTTCCTTGAGATGGGAGGTGTGGGCACCAGACAGTAGGAGGGGGCAGCTCCAACCCCCAGTCCCCTGGCTGCAACCCTGGCTTTAGCTTTCCCCTGCATCCTCTCCCCGGGGCTGGCTGGGGCTGCTGGAGGTTGAGGGAGGGCAATGGCTGATGTCCCAGACCCCTCAGCAGGCTCAGGCATTTTCTCAGGAGTCTAGAATCACACATGATGTGGCTGTGTCCTGTCTTCTCCCTCATTCACAGAAATCACACTAGTGGGTGCCTTATGCCCTGTCATTGCTTGGGGAGGGGCACGCCCAGAGAGCCCAGGCTGAGGGCGCAGGCTGAACCAGCTTTCTCCCAAGTGGAGCTCTGCCCAGCCAGGAATGGAGGCTGGAGAAGAGGGACAGCTTTCACTCACTGGTCTTCCCAGAAGAGATAAACAGGGGCTGGGGACCAGAATGTCCCTGAGAGATAGGGCCCTGAATTTAGAGTCCAAGTCGTGAGTCACCGATCCTCTCCCCAAAGCATGTCCGCATTCTGTGGATTGTGGAATTCCTCAAGGTAAAATGGAAAAAAATTGGCCGGGCGCGGTGGCTCAGGCCTGTAATCCTAGCTACTTGGGGGGCTAAGGCAGAGGATCACTTGAGCCCAAGAGTTTGAGGTTGCACTGAGCCATGGTCACACCACTGCACCCTAGCCTGGGTGACAGAACGAGACCTTGTCTCAAAAAATAAAATAAAATAAAATAAAATAAAAACTTAGGCAGGGTGAGATGGCTCACACCTGTAATCCCAACACTTTGGGAGGCCGAGGTGGGCAGATCACCTGAGGTCAGGAGTTCGAGACCAGCCTGGAAAACACGGCAAAACCTTGTCTCCATTAAAAATACGGGGTGGTGCATAACTGTAATCCCAGCTACTTGGGGGGCAGAGGAGTGCAGGAGAATCACTTGAACCTGGGAGATGGAGGTTGTAGTGAGCCGAGATCATGTCACTGCACTCCAGCCTGGGCAACAGAGTGAGACTCCATCTCAAAAATAAAAATAAAAATAAAATAAAATGGAAAAAATAAAGGTGCCAGCTTCGCAGGTACAAACAATAAGGGATGTCACTCCGAAGAAAACAGGCTCAGAGATGCTAAGTGACTGGCCCAAGGTCACACAGCCTGCAAAGACCAGCTGGAAGTAAAAGGGATGGGAGCTGAGAAGGGAAGAGAAGAAGGCTCAGAGTGAGGAGACATTCCAAGACTAGGATCCAGGAAATGCCAGGAAGGGGTAAGGAGGCGGAAAGCGGAGGGCCTGGGGGGCCAGAGGGAGGGGGAGAGATTCCCAGCCAGTCCCAAAATGGCAAGTGGCAGCTAGGACCCAGGGGAGCAGGGAGTTCCACAGAATTAAGGGGTGGCTGACCTCTGAGGCCCTTCGTGATGTCAATATTTTATGTTTCAAGAATGCTACCCTCTTCCATTCTGAGTCCAGTTTTTACAACCCCCGGGCCTGTCAGGGCCCTGTGGAACTTGCGGAGGACCCCAGCTTCATATTCTCCAGGGACCCTGAAACTTGAACTTTTAATGTCTCTTCTGGTGAATAGTGTTCTTCCTGCTGCAGTGACACAGTGACAGGACGGAGCAGAGAATGTGTCCAGCCAGGGGCCGGCAGCCTGTCGGTCGCTGGAAATTAGTGTCAGTGTCAATCCTGTAATTTTCCCCTGAGGAGCACAATTATGCCTCATTGTTCTTCTGTGCGAGTTAAAAGCATTAATTTACTCGATGTACACATTACACATACCACAAGTTTTCGAACTCTGTTTTGGCATTTTCATTTTCTGAAATACAGAGAATTCCAGAAAATGCATCTGAGAGGCCTGCAGAGTCCCTTCTCCCTATGCCCCTCCAATTCTACCGCTGTCTGATCCTGACTCAGTCTTGCATTGCTGCTTTTGCAGTGGTGGGGAAGGCTTGGGGGAAAGTGCAGGAGAATGTCCCTGTCTCCTACAAGGCCGGCCTTCTGCATCCCAAAGAATAAAGGTTCTTTATGGTCTCCAGCCTCAGGCTCTGGTTCTGGCCTCTGGGCAGTCAAGGAGGGCCACACAGGACCGCAGATGGATTCCTCACACTTCCCACCCCTGTCTTTATTGGCATGAGCCACCTGAACTCCTTAGGCAAGGACAAGGATAGCCAGGGCAGTCTGGCCAGATCCAGGGAATCAGGGTGGTGAGCTAGCCCACTGGGGTGTGGGGGTCAGTGTGGTGAGCTAGCCCACTGGAGTGTGGGTCATCAGGATGGTGAGCTAGCCCTCTGGTGTGGGGGGTGGACAGGGTGGTGAGCTAGCCCACTGGAGTCGGGGGTGGACAGGGTGGTGGGCTAGCCTACTGGGGTGGGGGGTGGAAAGGGTGGTTAGCTAGCCCTCTGGAGTCAGGGGTGGACAGGGTGGTGGGCTAGCCCACTGGGGTGGGTGGTGGACAGGGTGGTGAGCTAGCCCACTGGAGTCGGGGGTGGACAGGGTGGTGGGCTAGCCTACTGGGGTGTGGGGATGGGACCTGCAGCACATGCTGAGTCGAGGATTCCTAAGGGTTTCCTAGGCTGGGACACCCTGGGGCACACAATTACCCCAAACACAAGTGTTTCTCCAAATAACCAGTTCACACAGCCCCTGGGGGAATGAATCACTTCCTGTGATGTCATCCCTACACACCCATCTCCTGGAGGGCTCAGACTCCCAGCAGCTCAGGTGACTGGCAACACCTCCTCTTCTGGGGGCTTCCCCCCTCCCACCAGTAAGGCCAACTAGAAACCCCTTACTTGGCCTTAGCTAGAGTCAGACACTGGGTGAAGGGGTTGGGGAGGCCCCAAGTTCATCACTTGTCATCAAGTGTAACCCCTTCCTCCTGCTGCCAGCCCAGCTGCTGGAGTGAGCTTCAGGCTCCTCTTAAAAACCTTCCCAGGTTGACAATTCCATGCCCCTCTTTCCCTGCCCATCGCAGACCTGGCCAGCAGGAAGCTCTTCCTTATGCTGCAGAATCAACTTCTGTGTCCTAGTTTGGAGGCTCTCAGTAGCTATGACCATAGTCACCACCAACACCCAGGTGAAGGTTCCTGAAGGGCTCTTGGATGGAGGTGCCCTGTGTGCTCACTCAGGATCCCAGAGCAACCTCTGCCTCCCAGAGCCAACCAGAGCACAACAGCTATGAATAGCCCAGGCAACTTCCCGTTGCCCCTCCGCTGGGCCAGGGCCTGCATTTGAGGACGCTAAGGAGCTTTACAGACACCCTATGCTCCCAGCACTTGCAGTCTGAGCTGTCCTCGTCTCCTCCCATCCTCTCAGGTGTGAGGGAAAGGACAGATGCTGGAGAAAAGGGGACTCACAGAGCTACCAGAGCTGTGCGCACTGCCAGGGCACCCACGGCGCAAGGGGTCTTATACATGCATGGGCTCATTTATCTTCCCCTGAACCCATTATAACTGGTGTTATATTGTTTCTTCATTTTCAGATGTGGAAACTGAGGCTCGGAAGTGCAGCTCCAGCCACGCCTGGAGCCAGCCTGAGAATGGAGTGTGTTCAACTCCAGGGTCTGGGTACTTCACCTCCACAGTGAACTGCAGAGTGGACTCAGCTCATCTCATGGGGGCTCAGATGAGGAAATGAAACCCAGAGAGGACAAGTGACTTGGCCCACATCCAGCAGGAAGTCAGTGGCAGAGCTAAGACCAGGTCTCCCGGCTCCCCGTGAAATGTTTCTGGCCTTAGCAGCACAGTGTAGAGCCAGAGGTTCTGAAATCACCTTCTAGAAACAGCCATGCCCTCAGATGAGAGCAGAAGCCTGAAATAAGAAGAAGGGGGCCTGCAAGGGACCCTTTTCCTACTCTTGGTGTGAAAGTAGATTCCCAGATACAATGTGGGATGCCTAGTTAGATTTCAGCTTTAGTGGCCAGGTACGGTGGCTCACGCCTATAATCCCAGCACTTTGGGAGGCCGAGGTGGGTTGATCACTTGAGGTCAGGAGTTTGAGACCAGCCTGACCAACATGGCAAAACCTTGTCTCTACTAAAAATACAAAATTAGCCGAGTGTGATGGTGGGTTCCTGTTATCCCAGCTACTCTGGAGGCTGCGGCAGAGAATTGAACCCGGGAGGTGGAGGTTGCAGTGAGCAAAGATCTCGCCACTGCACTCCAGCCTGGGTGACAGAGCGAGACTCCATCTCAAAAAAAAAAAAAAAAAAAAAGAAAAAGAAAAAAAAGACTTCAGCTTCAGCTAAACAGCAGATTATTTTAGTAGAAATATCTCCCATGCAATATACTAAAAAAGCTTTTTGTTTTTTATCTGAAATTCAAACTTAACCAGGCATCCTGTATTTTTATTTGCTAAATCTGGCAAGCCTATGTTAACAGGGCAAGAGACAATGGGGTCTCTGCTGGCCACCTAGACCCGAGAGAACCAGCCCCCACAGCGGGGCTCCCAGCAGCAACTTAGAGTCAAGGTTTGGTTTCCATGGCTCCTGGTTTTCCTCCCCAGCCCTGCCACCGGGGTCACAGACCACTGCCCAACAGAGAAGCAGGAAGGGCTTCTCGAGCAGAGGATCACCAGAGGCCAGGTGGGCAGCTGGCCCTGGGCCCCACATACATTAACCAGACCAGCAGGTACAGGGGCTGAGTCCCAAGAGGGAGAAAGGAGCTCAGATCTCACCCAGTAACAGACCCCCAGCACCCAGCTCCTCTTTGAGGGAGACTCCCACCACGAGCCCCCTATCTGCAAGGGGTTCAGCCCCACCTGCTCCAGCAGGGATGGAATCCATAGACAGCCTCTCAGAGTTGGAAATGCCACCAGAGATCACCAAATCCAATTCCCTTAGTGGCCAGGTAGGGAAACTAAGGCTGAGTCCCCGAGTCCCCATCTGGACACAGCCAGCACAGGAAAGATTTGGGTCAACAGGAGAAGCAAATGCTACTGATGCCCCCTCAGATGTCATCATTGCCACCATCACCGCCATCATCGCCATCATCACTGTTCATCACCATAATCAGCGTCATCACCATCATCTCACAGCAAACATAAGTCCCAGCCGTCTTGCTCCAGGTTCTCTCTTCATATTAATTCATCGAGTATTTCCTAACCACTCCCTCCTGATTGGAATCAATCTAGTTATCTCTGGCTGACCTCCAAGGGTCAAGCTACCACACACGTCCCTTCACCTCAAAGAGATGGGGGCTTGGCAAGAAATTGAGGGAGGTGGGAACCAGTTCTCTTCCCCATCTTGAGCCATCTGATGTTCCACACAAGTTCTACCTAGGTGTCAGAATGCAGGGCCCAGACCCCAAAGCCTGACCCCAGGGCTCAGAGTTAGAAATCTAAGGCTGGACTCTTACCCAGGGGATTGAAGCCAATGTCCTGAGCCCAGTGCCCAGGAGCTGGGGCCCCAAGGAGGACCTGACTAGACCCTAGTTCCTTCCTTCCAGACTCCACAGCCAACTCCACCTTCTCTGCTATCTCCTGCCAGCATCCTTTCCAACGTGCCTGACTTGTCTACCAGGCACCCACCCCATTGACTTACACTCTAACCCAGCTCTCTGCAGCCAGGAGAGCGCCTCCCAGCTCTTACCTGTGAATGTCCACATGTGCCTCGACTCCCACCACACACACGGCATGGGTAGGCATCTTCAGGGACAGCTGCACAACTCTCTTTGGGGCCATCCTGTCACCTGGCTCCCAGCCTCCTAGATCAGCCCTGGCTCCCCAGCTCCCGTCCTGGGCACTTCTTTGCCAGGAAGAAGTGTGAGTTCTGATGGACTGGTGCCTCCTCCTCCCTTTAAATTTCACCCTGCGACCTGATTAGCCTGGCTGAGCCTGGTCCCCACCTCCTGGCTCCACACCCTCCTCACTCAGGGCTGTCAATCCAGGAGGTCAGGGGAGGAGGTGCCCAAGGCCTGTCTGGGAGATGGGGAAGGGGAGCTTCAACTGGGGGCCCCGGGCGAAGCAGGACTCACCTGCTGACAGGAGACCCTCCAGAGCTCCCCAGCAGCCTCTGCCCTCCCCTCCAAAGACTCCTGGTGCCTGAACCCCTATTACAATGATGTCAGTGTTTCTGTGGGCTGACTATGTGCGGGCTCTGCCTATAACCACCTGTGATCCTTATCAAACCTTTTAACCTCTCTGTGACTCAGCTGCCTCATGTGTAAGTTGGCAGCTGTAACAGTAGTACCTGTCCCATTGTGTTGATGTGGGAAAGACATGAGTTATGTGTAAGAAGATTAGCACAGCTCCTGGCACCTGTGTTCACTAAAACACTAACAATTATGACTTTTATCCTCATTTTGCAGGTAAGAGAACCATGGCTGCAGGTCTCACTGCTAGTAAGTGGTAGAGTTATAACTTCCACGCAGGTTCACCCGTCTCGCCACACAATACCACCCCCCAACAGGTGAGGGTAGGCCCTTGTGCCCAGACTCCACAGACAGCAGAAGCCACCCCAGGCAAGCATTCTTGGGGAGCCAGAGAGGAGGGAACTTGAAAAAGAGCTCAGAGCAATGACCTGGGAGCGTGGACTCATTTCTGAAAATCCCTCTTCTTTCAGCTCAGCACAGCAAGCTTCAGCCTGTTCTGAGGCTCTTTGTAGAACTTCATTTGTTAATTTGACAAGTGTTTGTTAATCATCTTTTATGTGTCAGGCACTCATTTAGGTGATAGGGATACAACTATGAACAAAAGAGACCATGATTCCTGCTCTGACGACATTTATATTCTGGGGGAGACAGACCGTAGGTGAAGTTAAATGAGTAAAGTGTGTATGACATCAGATGGTGCATTAAGGTTCTTCCCATTATCTAAGCGAGGGATGGCATGGCTTGGTCCCAGGGTAACAGGGAAGGTGGTGGGAAGTGGTTGGATCCTGAATGTATCTTGAAGGTAGAGCCGATGAGGTTTGCTGATGAGTTGGATGTGGGTGTGAGAGAGAGTGGTCAACGATCACTGGAGTATTTGGGACCCGAGCAACTAGAAGGATGGAGTTGTCATCAGAGAGATAGGGAAGGCTGCAGGAGGGCAAGCTGGGCAGGGAGCTTGGCCATTCTCTGTTGGACTTGTTCGACATGAGATGTCTGTTAGAGCTTGGGGTAGAGGTGGTGAATTGCAGGTGACGTGTTCCCTTCATATCGGGCATTGGGGGTGATGAGAAGAGCCGTTTGCTCTGGAATCGCAGGACACCCATCCTCAGTAATGTGGTCCTCTTCTTCCAGGGGGCTCTTATACAGAGTGGGAAAAGGGGCACATAAACCAGAACTCTAGTGTCCACAGGGCTGGGGTGGCAGGGCAGCAAAGAGCAAGAAAGAGAGAGAGAGAGAGAGAGAGAAACAGCCTTGCCTGAGGAGTTGTCAGTCTGATGGAAGATGTGGGGGACACACAGTCCCTGGCTGCAGGAACCCCAGCCTGATTAGGGAGGCAGGAAATAGTAAAATGGCATAAACATTTATTTGGTTACTTTTGATTTTGAAGATATTTTTGAAACCATCTTTCTTATTGCAAATGTTATTGATCTGCAAAGTTCATTACACCTGAAGTCACCAAGACAAAGTCTAATTTTACCCCATGGATACAGAACCCAGGGAAACAGGTGTTCAGGGATGGTTTTCCATCACCCAAACCCCAAACCTCAATTTACCAGGACCTCAGTCATTTTGTTTAACAGCATTTATTGACATAAACGTGTCCATTTCTTATGGAATGGAATGCAGAGTGGAACAAGCAGTTTCCTGCAGAGCACATGGGTGTGTTCCCATTAGAGAAGATTAAATGGATGGATGGATGGATGGATGGATGTGTGGGTGGATGGATGGATGGATGTGTGGGTGGATGGATGGATGGACAGACAGATGGATAGGTGAACGATAGGAAAAAGGGAGGCAGGAAGAAAGGCAGGCTGGTGCATAAAGAGCTGTCTAAAAAGATGATGATGATGATGATGGTGATGATGGTGATGATGACAACAATAATGGTGATGCAAACACATATATGGCCCTCACCATGTGCCACTGTTTTAAGACCTCTCCATGTATTCATTTACCTAATCCTCACAATAATACTGGGTGGCAGGTATCAATCAAGCCTGGAATGCCAAGTTCAAACAGACCACATGGATGTGTAGGATGTGCCCTTGGCCAGTTGTGGGCAGGGCCAGGGCCCAGGCAGGTCATGGTGTCTTAAAAGAATGTTCTTCGGGCTGGGCACAGTGGCTCATGCCTGTAATCCCAACACTTTGGTAGGCCGAGGCGGGCGGATCTCGAGTCAAGAGTTCAAGACCAGCCTGGCCAACACGGTGAAACCCCGTCTTTACTAAGAATACAAAAATTAGCGGGATGTGGTAGCAGGCACCTGTAATTCCAACTACTTGGGAGGCTGAGGCAGGAGAATTGCTTGAACCTGGGAGGTGGAGGTTACAGTGAGCCAAGCTTGCACCACTGCACTCCAGCCTGGGCAACAGAGCAAGACTCTGTCTTGAAAAAAAAAAAAAAAAAAGAATGTTCTTTGAGATAGAGGAAAGAGGAAAGAGAAAGGGGGGCAAGGAGGGAAGAGCAGAGGGAGGCAGAGAGGAAGAGAGGAGGATAAGCACATCTCTATTTTACAGCAAAAGAAACTGAGGCACAGAGAAGTTGGGGACCCTCCCAAGTCCATGGTTGGAAGTTGGTCCCATCAGGATTCAACCCCAGGCCATCTGACCCTGGTGGGCTGATTGCTGACTAGATCCCTGGGAGGCAGAATATCAGGTCATTTCTTCCCCATGCTTTTGTGTGTTGTTTGAATCACTTTCATGAGCAAACAACATTTTTACTGTTGGAAAAAAAAAAATGAAGCCACCCTCATTATTCTCTCTTCGAGGAAAAATAAGATGCATTTCCTCCTTTTGGCTTCTCTCCCCACCCTCTGCTATTCCTTCCCCGCCTCCCTTTTTCAGTCTTCCAGCTCAAAGAACATTCTTTTAAGACACCATGACCTGCCTGGGCCCCTGCCCTACCTACAACCCACAAACAACACATCCTGCACACCCATGCTGTGGTCTCTTTGAACTTGGGATTTCAGCCTTGATCGGTCAGACTGGGGAGGAGCGAGGGTGGGAGACCTCTGTGACATCACTGCCTCCTTCCCCTCTGAAGGAGGACATAAAGCTGGGAGGCCGGCCCCACTTAGCCTGAAACGGGGCCCCATGCAGGGTAGAGGCCTGCCAGCTGCCCGGTGACTAGGGGACTGTAAGACGACCCCAGGAAGCCCCTGGAACAACCCAAGAAACCACTATAGGGAAGGTGGCTGGTGCTGGGGCTACAATGGCCAGGGCTTCATTTTCCCTGTTCTTCAACAATTTTTTTTGAGCACCTAAAATGTGCCAGACATTATTCTGGCCCTGGGGATACCACAGTGAACAAGATAGACCAAGCCCCTGCCCTCGTGGGACATCGTGGAGAGCAGGCAGGTAGAAAGCTGGTGGGATAAAAACTGTGATACCAGGAAGTGATTCAGACAAATAAAATAGAAGAGAGGAGGGGATGGTGTGCTGTTTTGAGTCAAGTGATCAGAGAAGGCCAATCTGAAGAAATGATATTGGAGTAGAGAGCTGGAAATGAGACCTTAGTGATAATGACATAAACATTTATTTGGTTACTTTTGATTTTGAAGATCTTTTTGAAATAATCTTTCCTATTGCAAATGTTATTGATCTGCAGAGTACATCACACCTAAAGGCACCAAGGCAAGTTCTAAGTTTACTCCATGGATACAGAGCCCAGGAAAACAGGTGTCTATGGTCTAAGATTCCATGAACCTAGTGTGGCAAGCTGGGTTTCCATTAACAGCCGGAGCAGCCACTCTCTCTCTCACACAGAGAGAGAGAGCCCTTTCCTCTCATTCTGATGAATGCATAAGTTAAACATTAGAGAACTGAAGAAAATGGTGCCCGAGTATGAGGGCTGGAATGTGAAAACAAACCTGTTAAGACCGCTCCTGGGTTTTCTCAGACCCGAAAGTCTGATGAAATAATGAAAGTATTCTTACACATACACCTCATACCAGGGCCCACTTAGGATTAAGAAACTTTCTGCTGGGCACAGGGGCTCATGCCTGTAATCCCAGCACTTTGGAAGGCTGAGGTGCGTGGATCACTTGAAGCTAGGAGTTCCAGACCAGCCTGGGCAACGTGGCGAAACCCCATCTCTACTAAAAAAAAATTAACTAGCCAGATGTGGTGGTGTGCACCTGTAGTCCCAGCTACTCAGGAGGCTGAGGCATGAGAATTGCTGGAACCCAGGGGCAGAGGTAGCAGTCAGCTGAGATTGTGTCACTGCACTCTAGCCTGGGCAACAGAGTGAGGCTCTGTCTCAAAAAAAAAGATTAAGAAACTTTCCAAGGCTCTAGAAAAAGCTTCCCAGACCCTAGACCCTAAAGATTAGATAAAGATGGAATGAAACAGACCTACTCTCTGGCAACGTATACTCCCACACGTAGGCATACAGCTTAGAATGTAGACAACACTGGGGGAAAAACTTGTACTTTCGAGTTGGTCTGGTGAGTTACTCCGATCTTCTCCCTGTAACCGGTTACAGAAATAAACTCCCTTCTTTCTCAGTCTGTCTGCATCTCCTTATTGGACCACGAGAGCAAGCAGCCTGACCTCGTTCATCCGGAAACACTAGGATCACCCCCGACAACCCCCCAGTCTCCCTATTTACAAAATGGGTTGTTAAGCTGGATCAGAGTTTCCAAACTCAGGCACCTTCAGGAGGGCAGGCAGATAATAGATATGTGTGACGCTACCAGCTGGGAGAAAATAGGGAGGGGTGGTAACTGCTGCAGAGGGGACAGAGCCTGCTGGGCTCATGCGTTAAGTCAGTGTTTCTCAGAAACAGAATACTGAGGTCAAACAAAACCCATCGGTAGACCAGACCTAGCTCTTGGGCCATGAGTTTGAGCCCCCAGCATTGGTTATTTTGTGTTGGTGGGTAAGGAGAGGGGTGGAGGGAATAACTCTGGCTGGGGAAGTCATTTGATGCCCTTGAGGGTAAGCAATGTGGGCCCCAGTGAGGCTTGCCACCATCAAGGCATGGAAATTGCCTGCCTCAGGCCTTGGGACCAATCAGGGTAGGTTCTGGGTCTACTTGTGTTGCCGACACCAGCTGTGGGCTCTTCTGGTCCGGGGGACCTCTCCCTAACACACATACACACACACACGCTGCCTGCTGTGCCTGAGCTCACCTAGAACCCCATGGAGGAAGGTAGGGAGGATCAGCAGAGCCCAGTTCTTGTAACCCCCTGTCTGAGACCGTTCTCCCCTCCCAGCACCCCCGGGTACTACAGGGACAGTTCCACTTGCTCTCCAGGATCACCCAACTTCAAGCTGGAAGGGCCCCCGAAACTATCAATCCAGCCCCTTCACTTTCCAGCTGGGTAAACCACAGCACCGAGAGAAGCAGTGACTCACCCAAGGTGACACAGTAAAGTCACAAGAAGCCAGATTTGGATCCAAAGTCTTCATTCATTCAACAAACATCTATTAGGCACTTTTTATATATAGGTGCCGTTCCAGAGGTCAGAGTCCTTGACATCTGCTGAGTCTGCTCAGCTCCCTATGTTGACCCAACCCCTTCCTGTGCTCCTGGCACCCAGGGCAGGATCCTGGACCTCCTGGTGAATGGGGGAGAAGCCTTGGGGGTTCTGACTTGGCCATTGTGAGAAAATAGGGTACCCACTGATTCCCACAGGGCCAGAGGGCAGGCCAGAGGCTCTAATGGCGGGAAGTGGTGAGGACCATGAGTCACCCAACTCAATCCACGCTATCCCCTCAGCATCCAAACTCCAGACCAGGCTCTGCTGGGCTGTGCAGACCTGCAGGAATTACCAACTCCCTCCTCGGGTCTGGGGACATCCAAGGCTCCATGTGGCAGCATCAGCAGTGTTAATGATACCGTTCATGGGGCAGGGCGGGACATGGCACAGCCCCAGCTGAGCAGGCATGTGTCCTCTGCCCTCGGGGGGCTGTGACCAGGCGAGTCATCCCCACAGGTGGCCAACTCAGCAGCCTCCAAGCACATCAGCCCCTTCCCTGCCCCAGCTGGCTTTTCCCATCTCAGCAAATGGTGCCACCTCCACCCTAGCTGCCCAAGCCAGCCCAGGCAACCTCTCCCTCCCTCTCCCGCACCCCTCCTGAGTATCACCTCTACTTTCCAAACATCTCTTGATCCTTCCCTTCCTCTTTGCCCCCACCCTCACCTCCACCATCACCATCACCCTCCTGGTTCCAGCCACCATCTCTGAGCTGAGACCTCAGCAGCTCCTGGTCTCCCTGACCCCAGGCTTACTGCGTTCCTTGCCACAAGCAGTCATGTTCCCCCTGACATGTGTATCCAATTGCATCATTCCCCTGCTGAAAAGCCTTCCCTGGATCCCCCCAAGATAAAGGAGGACTAAGGGGCCCTACCATCTAGGGTTCCAGTCTGAGCGCAGCTGCTTCTCCAATTTCAGGGCTCTGGACAAGTGATTTAACTTCTCTGAGGCTCAGTCTCCTAATTGGTAAAATCTGGATTGATAGATTTATTTATTTATTTATTTATTATTTTGAGATGGAGTCTCACTTTGTAGTCCAGGCTGGAGCTCGGTGGCACAATCTCAGCTCATTGCAACCTCTGCCACTCAGGTTCAAGCAATCCTCCTGCCTCAGCCTTCCATGTAGCTAGGATTACAGGCATGCACCACCACACCCAGGCAATTTTTGTATTTTTAGTAGAGACGGGGTTTCACCGTGTTAGCCAGGCTGGTCTCGAACTCCTGACCTCAGGTTATCCATCTGCCTTGGCCTCCCAAAATGCTGAGATTACAGGCGTGAGCCACTGCACCCGGCTTAAAATCTGGAATAATTTAGAAGTAAGAAATAATATATGTAAAAGGTGCCTGGCATATAGTTGATGCTCAAGACACGCTTTGCGTGGAATTCAAGGCCCCTGAGACCAGGCCCCTGAGGGACCTCTCTTCATTCAGTGCCCGACGTCTGTCCCGATCAGAATTCCTCTGGGCATTCCTGCTGCCCTGACTGGGGGATTGCTCCCTGACCTGGGAGTCTCTGTGAATCTCTGCCCATCACCAACCTTCCTGCCCTCCCCTTCCCTCCCCTAACTCCACCTTTTCCCCTCCAGCACCCACTCCACAGGAAGGCTCAGCACTTCTACTTCTTTTATGGATTTACATCCCACATCCTAATAAAAAAAATTAAGACTGCCCATAAAGTATACCCTGAATAAGGTGTTTTATTTTTTTTTTTCAAGTGAGGAAATTAAGTCAAAAAATGAAGGAAGAAAGAAAAAGACAGGTATGGACATCCTCTTTGGTTGGTAGATTTCGCTGTGAGTTCCCTGGCGGCCCAAGAGAAAAAGAAAATATAACTGGTTTTAGGAATCATGGTGCTCACAAAGTAAAACTCAACCAGTTGAGGGAAAAAAGCCCTGCTCTTCTAGGCCCTGAGAACTGAGGGAAATCCATCCCCTTCCCACCCTGGGTGGGGTTTAATGGATGGGGAAAGTGTGGAATATTCAACCATGTGGTTCACAGCATCCTTGTATTTGGGTCTGGCTTGATCCATGGGTTTATTTTGGGATGGGATGTCTACAGAAATATGTGTTTTGGGTCCTTCAGACTCTTCTCCATGAGAATTCTTTGTTTTAACCAAACCTTTGTTTGGATAGTGCCAGGGAATGTGGGGTTTCCCTCCCTGACATTGGCTCTTCCTTGCAGCTGCCAGAACAACGACCCAAAGTCCTCTAATGTCAGCCAACCCGGGGCTAGAGTTGAGGTCCCACTGTGAGAATCAGCCCAGGTCCAGCACCTCCTACTGATTCACTCAGAGCTGGGGGACACTCATACCTGGAAAGGGGATGGGGGACAGCACCTCTGTGGGGCATCCCCCCAATGCAGGGCTCACATCTCGGCAGCCCCTTCTATGAAGGCCCCTTGGACCGGCTGCCTCCTTGAACACGTGGAGACAGAGGCACAGAGTGACTTGCCATAAACCACACAGCTAGGGAGAGGCAAACCGAGGTAAAAGACAGAAAACCGATCCCAGAGTTAGAAACTTGGATTCTTGGGCCCCCCTCATGGTTTCTTGAAAAACTTCCTTTCCTTTCACAGAAGCAGCTCTGCCCAATGGACACTCTCCATCTAGATCTGGCCCACCCGCTGTGGTTCTCACGATCCAGGTTGCTGGTGAGACACTGTCTCGCAAGAACTTCATGGGACAGAAGGGCTCAGCACCTTTCCCAAAATCACTCGTTGATGCAGCAGACATTTCTTGGGCCCCTAGCATGGGCCAGGCAATGAATAGATGAAGAGGAGCTGGTCGCAGCCTGCCTTATAGGTGAGCATGGTTGATGGGGAGCGTGGAAGTGTGAACATGTTGTTACCAGGCAATTGGTTATTCCATCATGATAAAGGGATGTGTTGAGGGCGTGGAGGGAAGGGATACTAATAATGGGAGCCAGCATTTATTGAGCACTTACCGTATGCCGGCTCTGACTAAGCACTTTGCAGACATCATCCTTAATCCTTGCAACTGACCCGGGAAGGGAGCACTGCTATTGTCCTTGCTTTGCAGAGGGGGAAAATCTAGTGTCAGAGTTTAAGCAACGTGACCAAGGTCTCTTGCTAATTAGGATGGAAGCAGAGATGCAACTCCAGTCCATGAAACTTCAGAGCTTGTATTTTAGTTGCTACATCCCACTGGCTCCAAGAAGGATGAGGCCAGAGGGTGCCTGTGTCCCCTCATGGGTTGCTGGTGCTTATAGGCTGCAGGGACTGCCAGGCCCAGCCCCTCCCATTGTGTCACACACCCCCCGACTTCAGCCCTGCCAAAGGTGTGACTGTCTGGTGTCTGGCCCATTGGCCCCCAGCAGCCCTCCTGGACAGAGGCCTGGTGGCAAGAGGGTTCAAGAGACAACCAGTTTCCAGCTGTCCCCACACCATTAAGGTCCTCTGAGCACCAGCCGCCCAACTCCATCACTCCAGCACCCCTTAGAGCCTGGAGCCTCCCAGGGCATGAGTACGGACCTTCCAGTTCCTGCTGGCCTTGGAAAGGGCCAGGGTTGGGGCCTAGCCCAGAGCTAGGAAGGAGGCCCAACTCAGAAAGGGCCCTGATGGCTGGGGTGAGGGAATGGGGGTACACACACTCCCAGAAAGTCAGGAAAAGAGAAGGCTTAGAGATAACTCGCAAGTCCCAGGGACTTCGCATTTAAAGCAGATGACATAGTAGACACTCAGGACAAAGCAGGCAGGTGTCAAAGCCTACCTGCTCATCTCTTCCCCTCCAGAAGACCCTGTAACCCAGGTGCAGGAGCCTGAGGTTGCATAGATCCTCTCAGAAAGTCACCAGTCTGTCTGTCACCAATAAGAAGGCCCAGAGAGGGCAAGCAATTGGTCCAAGGCCACACAGCCCATGTTCTTTCCCCTACAACGAGGGAGAGAGGAAGTGGCACTGGGGGTGGAGGGGAAGAAACGATGGTCACAAGTGGGGCAAGCCACACCAGTAGTGGACAGAGCATGGGGACAGCGACAGGCCCCACCCGAGGCTACCACTTACCAGCTGGTGGATGCTTCACCACTCTGGGCCTTTACAATGCATGCCCCTTGACACCTCCCAGGTGTCTCCACAGGGTGGCTATGCTTATCTCCCAATCTGCTGATACTTATAAAGCACCACCAGGCACTCAGCACATATTAGTCCCCATCCTGATCCCTCATGATCTGCCTCCTCCAGAAAGCCCTCCCAGATGGCTCTGGCTCCCAGGGAATGTGCTGTTCTCTAAGCAGCCCCCACAGGCTCCTGTGCTGGGAAACCACCTGTTTCAACTCTGTTCCCCTTGTCACTCTGGTAAGTAAGACTGCACATTCCAAAAGGACAGGGACAGGGACCTTCTAGGCCTTTGGCTCAGGGGGATCAGGAAGCTGATATAAGTGAAAAACATCTAGAATTTACAGTGGTATGAGAGTTCTCAGCCACCCATCCCACAGCTGGCCAGTAGCCCCCACATTCCCTTCCCTGGGAAGAGGATTTTGCCACCCCTCGCAGAGCTCTTTGTCTGGCCCCCACTGCCCTGACTGGGGCACCTAGCGTCATCTGACGGGGGAGCTCCTGCTTCTTCACACCCCAGCCTGGGCCTGTGGCCCAGTGAAGCCAGAGGAGCCCCCAGAGAGGACAGCATGGGAGGAGAATGGGAGTGCAGGGGACAAAGACATACAGAGAAATGAACGGAGACAGAAAGAAGCAGACTGAAAAACAGAGAGACACAGACAGAGAAAGCCCAAAACAGGGATGAAAGAGAGAGAGAGAGCCCAGGAAAGGAAGAGAGATGCAGAGAAAGGCAGAGACAGTGAGGTGCAAAGAGAGACTGAGACAACCAGAGACTGAGATGGAGAGGGAAAAACTGAAGGACAGAGGGAGGAACAGAACGAAGAGAGACAGAGACACTGCAAGGGAGAGCAGGAGACAGCTCCCAGACAGGCAGAACAGAGCCCAGGAGCCCCGAGGCCCCAGAGCCCATGTGCTCCCTCTCCACTTTCCACATCCCTGGGGGCTCCCCCTTCCCAAGCCTGCTGATCCTGGCACTCAGGCAGGGCTGGGGGAGACAGGTAATGATCACTGAACTTGTGCATGGGCTGGGTGCTGCGGCCACACCCCCTTGACACCTCCCAGGTGGATGGCTGTACTTATCCCTAATGTGCAGATGAAGAAACTGAGGCTGGGAGCCATTGGGTAACTCGGCCAATGACACTGAATGTTAGGGTGCAGGCAGGAAGCTCATGGATAAGGAGTCTAAGGCCCAGAGAGGTGTGGTGCCTGGCTCTGGGTCACACAGCAGCCAGCTGCAGAGCCTGGGGCTGGAAGCCGCTTCCCCTGGCACCTTGCCTGGCTCATAAGAAAACAAAGCGAATCTCATTAAGTCTTTGGTAATGAGGCTCCAGGTCTTATCTGATGGGTGGTGGAGAACACTGTCAATGCCCCCCTCCACATTCTCCATGCCCACCTCCTGCCTCCTGCTCTCTTTTCTGGGAAGAACACCTCTGGGACCACCCAAACTCGCCCTCTCTTCTAGGAACCAGTCCCCTGCTGGTGGCATCTCCATCTCCCCACCCCCTGCTCTCCAGCCTGGATGCCCATATAGAACCAACGAGCAGCAGGGTGGCCATTTGTACACTCCACACAGTGACATCAGCGAAGCATGTCCTCAGGCTCCCCCCAAAAGTCCTAGGCCCCCTGGAGAAAAGGAGGGAGGACCAGCACGCTGACTCACATTGAGTGGCAGCTCTTGGCACATGCCTTCGCTCGCCGTGGCCTCTTGCATCCCACAAGGAAGGGACAGTTGAGGAAAGCGTGGCTTGGAGAGGAAGAGAGTCCCACAGGTCATCCAGGACAGCCACCCGACCCTGAGCTCATGCTCCTGCCATTACCCAGGACCCCCAGACTATTTTCCCATATGTCCCGGTCCCATCCCTGTCCTGAGCCAAAGTGTGGGCTGCCTCACCCTGCAGCCCTTCCTCCTCCACACTTACGCCCTGTGTCCTGGGATACAGCAGGCCGGGAAGAGGGGGACACTTCCTGGCTGTGGGACAAGACAAGACAAAGATCCTTTTTGGCCGTGGTGGTCCGGTCTAGGCCACAGTTTTCCTGTCTGCATCATTTGGGTGGAGGGCATAGTGTGATAGCTCTGAGGGTCCTTAGGCTTACCTCTCCTGAACTTCACCTCGCCTGCATGCCCTCTGGGGCCTGAGGTCCTCATTTCCACCCTCCAAGGTGGCCCTGGTGCCTCGTAGGCTGATTCCGGGTTTCCAGAGCCTTCAGGAGACAGCACTTCTGGTTCCTGGGGGTCAGGGAGCATCTAGGCATGGACGCTGTGATCTGCCTGGCCTCCTGCCACAGCCTTTTGACCTAGGGAGGGAGGAGGTTGGGAACAAGAATACAGGGAGTCTGCCTGAGGCTGTTCAGGGCTGCACCACACACCCTCACATGTGTCCCCAACCTTGCATGCTGCTGCTGGGGTGGGACGCAGCCTATGTCATCTCAGAGCTCCCAATCTAGGGCTGGCAGAGTCTGATGCAGACACAGAGATTACAAGACAGCTCTTCCCAGATAAGCATGTTGCCCAAAAGACCACCAGGATAGCTAAATAGCAGAAAGGAGCTTTACTAGTGGTATGAGTTTGCAAACCAGGAAGAGACAGTCTCTGGCGTGTTCTGGACGTGCTCTCTCTTGGGAGAGGAAAAGGGCAGGTTGGGTTTTGTGCCTCATGGAGCCCATATGACGCAATAGAGTCATACATATTCAGCAGGTTTGCGGGAAAGGCTATCCATATTTATGAAGGGAGGGGAGTGTATGCACACAGGCACACGTAGTGTAATGCACGCCCCACTTTCACACACGTAGTGTAAAGCAGACCCCACTTTCACTTTGGGCTAGGGTTCTAGTACTAAAATGAGGTGGAATTTCGTTCTTTATAGCAAAAGGTGCAGGACACAAAGACAGCTTGTTTGCAGACTCTATAAGCTGCTGAAATGGCTTAAGGTCTGCAGTTGCGTATCAGAAGAGAATGTTTGAGGCCAGGCGCAGTGGCTCATGCCTGTAATCCCAGCACTTTGGGAGGCCAAGGCAGGTGGATTGCTTGAGCCCAGGAGTTCGAGACCAGACTGAATAACATGGTGAAACCCTGTCTCTACAAGAGATAAAAAAAATTAGCCAGGCATGGTGGTGCATGCCTAATCCCAGCTACTCGGGAGGCTGAGGTGGAAGTATCACATGAGCCTGGAAGGTCGAGGATGCAGTGAGCCATGTTCACGCCACTGCACAGCAGCCCTGGGCAGCAGAGTGAGACTCTGTCTCAAAAAGAAGAAGAAGAAGAAAAAGGAGAAGGAAGAGGGACAAGAAGAAGAAGAGGAGGAAGAGGAAGAGGAGGAAGAGGAAGAGGAAGAAGAAGAAGAACAAGAAGAAGAGGAAGAAGAAGAAGAAGAAGAAGAAGAAGAAGAAGAAGAAGAAGAAGAAGAAGAAGAAGAAGAAGAAGAAGAAGAAGAAGACGGAGGAGGAGGAGGAGAAAGAAGAAGAAGAAGAAGAAAAAATGTTTGTCAGGCAGTTCCTCCATCCAGTCAGAGCTGTAGTGGTCTTGGTTGTAAATCCAAGTCATGAAGGATGTGACGATTTGCCTGACAGTTCCTATTATTAAGAGTTTAGCAAGGGTGTGGTAATTTTTTTTTTTTTCCCGAGACAGAGTCTCACACTATCGCCCAGGCTCCAGTGCAGTGGCCCGATCTCGGCTCACTGCAAGCTCCGCCTCCTGGGTTCATGCCATTCTCCTGCCTCAGCCTTCTGAGTAGCTGGGACTACAGGCGCCCGCCACAGCGCCCAGCTAATTTTTTTTGTATTTTTAGTAGAGACGGGGTTTCACCATGTTAGCCAAGATGGTCCCGATCTCCTGACCTCGTGATCAGCCCGCCTTAGCCTCCCAAAGTGCTGGGATAACAGGCATGAGCCACCACGCCCAGCTGGGTGTGGTTATTTTTGAGAAGTAGTCTCACTCACTCTGTTGCCCAGGCTGGAGTGCAGTGGCACAATCTTGGCTCACTGCAAACTCCAGCTCCCAGTTTCAAGCGATTCTCCTGCCTCAGCCTCCCGAGTAGCTGGGATGACAGGCACGCACCACCACCACCCAGCTAAGTTTTATATTTTTAGTAAAGACTGGCTGGGCTGGTCTCGAACTCCTGACCTCAAGTGATCTACCCACCTTGATCTCCCAAAGTGCTGGGATTACAGGCATGAGCCACCGTGCCCGGCCAGGTGTGGTTATTCTTGCAGTGGTGGGAATTTAGAGAGTTGCCATGCCAACCAGGCCTTGAACCTTCTGCCTGTAGGTAACTTTTGTTTCCTTAACCTTGGGGTCCATCTTAGTTGATAAAGGGGCATCTATTTTGGTGTCTCAGATGATGAACATAGAGAGGTCCCCCCAGGACCATGGGCTCTGGGTCCATCCGGGGTCAGGAGCCTTCCTGGGAGGTGACAGTGTAGCAGCAGCGTGAGGAAGGGACTGGGTGTCAGGCCCCTCTGTCCAGCACACCCCTTGCTTCCCTGTGGTCACTCGGCTCCCCAAGGCCAGGCCCCACTGCCTACCTGCTCCCAGGTGTTCACAGTGCCTCCTTCCTAGATAAGCTACAGAGAATGTCAGAGCTGTTGGGCCCTTAATGACACATGGGCCACAAGAGCAGAGAACGGAGAAAGGAGCTGGGTGGCACTGGGTGAGCTAGGAACAGGCCCCAGGCTAGAATGCAGGGCTCATGCCCTGCCCGGCACCCTGTGCACTGCCCTTTTGTGCCTGTTTTCAGACTCCAGGACACGATGCCCCCCGAGCCTGCCAAGGTGCCCCCCATCATTCATGCACCGATTGGCCATGGGCTTCTTCCATGTCCTGGGCCCGGCTTTCATGCCTGCCCACCGCCTGTGGCCTCAGCATGGCCACTTCACTCCAATGTGTTGGCCTCTGTCCCCATGCCACTCACAGCCCCCTGAGTCCCCATCAGGGCTGGCAGCCTGAGGGGTGGGAGGGGAAGTCTGGCTGTGCCTGACATGACAAGTTTTCCCAGGAGAGGTGAAGATTTCTAAACTGGACCCAGCTTTCCAGAGCATTCGCCAGCCTGGCCCCACCCCCACTCCCGACCAAAGCCTCCGCCCTCCTGGCTGGGTCTGACTTACCCACACTGAGCACCAGGAACTGGATTCCAGGGCCAAGAATTTGACCACATCCTGGTGGGTCCAGCCTAACATTCCCCAAAACAGGGCGGAAACCAAGGGAGGGATCAGCAGATGAGCACGCATTCAGCTGATGGAGTCAAGGAATCTTCTAAAAGCAGTACTCACTGCAAAGGATTTAAAAACCCAGCCCAGAAAATAAGCATAGGGAAACCCTTGCTTTTCACCTTACCTGGGTTCTGAAGAAATCTTAAGAAAACTTTTGTAAGTAAATCAAAAGTGACTTTGGTGAGGGGAGCTGACCCCTTAACAGCCACCTTTATTTCATGCTTATTCTAAATGCCTGTCTCCTCCATCACGGTCGAGCTGTCTTCAAGAATGAGGGCCACATCATACTCATTCTGATAACCCAGCACCCAGCACAGGGCCTGGCCCATTCCTTATTGGTGCTCTTGGAATGAGTTGATGAATAAGCAAGTTAAATTTGCTAATAGAGGAGGTAACTCACAATCCTTACATCTGACAAAGAGCTCGCATCCAGAATTTATAAGAACACCTACAAATAAATATGAAAAAGGCAGACCTCCTGATTTTTTTAACGAGCAAAAAAAATTCGCCGGGCTTGGTGGCTCACGTCTGTAATCTCAGCACTTTGGGAGGCCAAGGTGGGTGGATAACCTGAAGTCAGGAACTCAAGACTAGCCTGGCCAACATGGCAAAACCCCGTCTCTACTAAAAGTAAAACAATTAGCCAGGTGTGGTGGTGCACGCCTATAGTCCCAGGTACTCAGCAGGCTGAGGCAGGAGAATTGCTTGAACCTGGGAGGCAGAGGTTGCAGTGAGTCAAGATTGCGCCACTGCATCCCAGCCTAGGTGAGAAAGTGAGACTCTATTCCCCCAAAAAAGAAAAAAAAAATTGAACAGGCACTTCACTTAAAAACATAAAAGATACCAAGAGGCCAATAAACAGAGGAAAAGATGCTCAACTTCTTTAGTCACCAGGGAAATGCAAATGAAAACAAAAAGAAGACTCCACCACCAGGATAGCCAAGGTTAAAAAGCCTCACAATACCAAGTGTTGGCGATGTGGATGTGGAACAAATAGAACTCTCAGACACTCCCTGTGAGAATGGAAATTGGTAGGATCACATTGGAAAACTGTTGGCAGTATCTATTAGACTTGGAGCACAATACATACTTTCCCTGTGATATGTGTCCCCACCCAAATCTCACATCAAATTGTAATCCCCACGTGTCAAGGGAAGAACCTGGTGGGAGGTGATTGGATCATGGGGGTGGTTTCCCCCATGCTGTTCTCGTGATAGTGAGGGAGTTCTCATGAGATCTGATGGTTTAAAAGTGGCAGTTTCCCCTGTGCTGTCTCTCTCTCCTGCTGACTTGTGAAGAAGATGCTGACTTCTTCTTCCACCATGATTGCAAGTTTCTTGAGACCTCCACAGCCATGCAGAACTGTGAGTCAATTAAACCTCTTTCCTTCATAAATTACCCAGTCTCAAGTAGTTCTTTATAGCAATGCAAAAACAGACTAATACGCCTATGACCCAGCAATTCCACTCCTAGACACTGTAGAAGAATGAGACCATTTCCCACCAAAAGATATGTACAAGGACATTCATAGCAACTTTACTTTCAATAACCACAAATTGGAAATAACCCACATGTCCATCAATAGAGAGAGGGATACATACATTGTAGTATCTTCATTAAATGAAATACTATACAACAATGAAAAAGAACATATCACAGTTCCATGTGACAACAAGAATAAACCTCACAGACATATTGATGTGCAAGAGAATCCAGACACAAAAGACTAAATACTGCGTGATTCCATTTATATGAAGTTCAAGAACAGGCAAAGCTAACCTGTGGTGATAGAGATCAGAAAAGTAATTACATTTAGAGGAGGCAGCATTGACTAGCAGCAGGCATGAAGAAGCCTTCTGGGGTGTTGGAAATGTTCTGTATCTTGATCTGAGTGGTGATTACACTGCTGTAATTATATGTAAACATACATTGGGCTATACACTTAAAATTTATGTACTTTGTGTATAGGAACTTCAATAAGCAATTAAACATTTTTTTCCGTACAGTGAAAACACGCCCAAACCAGGATAGAAACCAGAAAAGCCATTGTCAGGTAACCACATGTACAACTGGTGGGGTTTAGAGTCAAAAACCTTCCAGAAACAGCATTCACTACAAGATTTTTATTTTATTTTATATTTTATGTTATTTATGAGATAAGGTCTGGCTCTATTGCCCAGGCTGGAGCTCAGTGGTACGATCTCGGCTCACTGCAACCTCTACCTCCTAGGCTCAAGCCATCCTTCCAACCTCAGCCTCCTGAGTAGCTGGGACTACAGATGTGCACTACCACACCTGGCTAATTTTTGTATTTTTAGTAGAGACAGGATTTCTGTATGTTGCCCGGGCTGGTCTTGAACTCGTGAGCTCAAGTTATCTACCTACCTCAGCCTCCCAAAGCGCTGTGATTACAGGCGTGAGCCACCAGGCGAGGCCTGCTACAAGATATGTAAAAGCCCAAATTTTAATTTACAGATAAAGCCAACCCATCGTCTTAATTTACCAGGCAGGAGGTTGTGATCTGGGGTCAATTTGAGCTTCTCAGGCTGTGATCTAGATCCACAAAGCCCCTGAGAAAACATGGCCCAGCTCCCTGCAGCAGCATCAATTTACCCAACAATTTGAGAGAAAAAAAAAGTATTTGAAAATGTTAAGACAAATCTGGCCGGGTCATGGCAGGGCCCCTGCTGGTCCATAAGGCACCTCTGTGCAAAGTGAGAAAAAGCATGCCCCTTCTTTGGGATAGATGCAGCCCCACTCAGGCACAAAGCTTGGCAAGAGGCGCTCGGATGGGAAGTCAGCCCCAACTCCTCCTCTGTATGCAGTGAACAACCTGCCCAAGCATTCGCAGCAGGCCTGTATTGCGGAGTGGAACTCAATTCACACGTGCACAGATATTAAGCAGGAAGCTTCAAGGAGATTCTCTGCTTGCAGCCAGCCTGTGCAGCTGCAACCTCTGGTTGCATGAATCTACTTGTGCCTTTACTGAGGTGTCAGTTTTGAAAAGTCTCATGTAAAGCGACCCTTTACATGAGGCTTTCAGAGGAATGGGCTTGCAAAGCCAGAGGAGAATAATAAAAGGCAAGGAGGAGGAATGATGCCGGAAGAAAGGATGGGGGTGGTTAGGAAGGCTCCCAGACAGGCCCCTGCCCTGCCCTCTGGGTTATCTGGACTCAGTGCTAACAATTAGGTGGAAGTGAGGGTTCTCTCTTCCCCACTCATGTGGGAGGGGCCTGTCTAATAACACAAGCTGGGTCACCAGCTTGGAAGCAGTACTGGGCCAGGATTCAGGATCCCTAGGTCCCCGTCCTAAGACCCTGGAGACCGGCTGTGCAACCTTCTGCCCTCTCTGCAAGGAGGGGCTTGGGTAGCTGATGCTCAGGGGCCTGTCCAGCTCTGACTCAGTGAGACCAGGTGAGGCTTACATCTCCTGAGGCCTCTCCCCTGCCTTCTCCCAAACAGCATCCCAGTGCCCCCAGCCTCCATGTCCCCCTACAGATCCCCCCAGGTAACCCATAGTGAGGCCAGCCAGGGTTGGGCGGAGTCTGAGAAGCAACCAGCTCCAACCTAGGCGTGAATCACCCAGCCTGCCCTGGCCCTCTGCCCTGGGAGCACGGGGTGCCAGCACAGCCTGGCACGGTGGGCACCTGGTTCTGAGCCACCTCTTTGCCTTAATACACGCTTCCTGCCCCACTTCCCCTCAGCCCACGTGCATCCTCCTTTCTCCCAGACACCCAGCACAGGCCGCCCAGGTGCTGGCTCTGAAGGAAGACAGTGGGGCCCACAGTCTGAAGAGGAGGCTCAGGTCATGCTCAGTGAGACCCCAGACTGAGCATGGAGACAAAATGCCTGTCCTTCAGGGGCCTCCTCGCTGATCGGGGAGGAACAGCCCCTGCGCTTGGAAGCTTCCAATCTGATGGGGAGGCATAGCCCTTGAACACACAGATCATCTAGTCTGATGGGGGAAACACAGCTCCCATGGTATAAGAATTAAGGAGTAGGCAATGCTCCCTCTCTCTTTTGAGAACCTTCTAATCTAATGGGGGAGACACAGCCCTGCCCTGGAGTCTTTTGATGGAGGAGCTCTCAGGACACTCTTCCTGCAGGTGGAAGGGACTCACTGCTACCTTCAAGACCCACCTCTTTCTGAGGGTGGAGACGAAGCTGCTGCTGTCCTCAGGGGTCCTGGTCTGATGGATGAGATGCAGCTCTGGTCCTCAGGAAGCCTCTGGTCTGATTCCTTGTCTGATGGGGGAGGCAGCACACCCAGCAGATGCAGCCAGCAGCCAAGTCACAAGGCCTCTTCTGCCCATGTGTGCAGAGCTCCCTCTGGGCATGTGGTTCTGGGCCAGGGTGGGAGGCCAGAGCTGAGATGAGAGGTCTGGGCTGGGGGATATGGGGAGGGTCACCCAGGGGCTGAGAGCCACTCTTCACCAGCTCGCTGCTCACTCCTGGCAAGGCACTGTCACACACTGCCGAGTGAGGCCAGCCAGGGATGGGCCTCCCTGTTTGACAGATAGGGAAACTGAGGCCCAGAAGGAGACGTGACAGGACCAAGGCCACATAGGAGGCAGGACTCATGCCCCAGTTTATCTCCAGAGGGTAAGCGGGAGGGAGATAGGCACCAAGACGAGGCAGATGACAGGGGGAGCTGGCCAGGAAGGCTCAGGCAATCGGGCACTCTCTGCTCCAGTGCCCCCGAGATGGCCTGTCCGGAGCTGGCCTTTCTCAATCCTGTTTGGAAAATGACTTTTATGTGAAGGAGACCGGCTGCCCCGCCAGGCGTTTATGAGCCTGGCTTATTGGTCTGGACTAGCGAGCCTGGGGCACAGCTTCTGCATGAGCCAAAGGAAACACTTGCCAAGGGGCAGCCCTGGCCAGTCCATAGCTTCTCTGAAAGTCAAGGCTGGGAGCAGGCTGGGAATCCCCAAAGGTCAGAGCCAGAAGGGACCCAGGGGATGAATTGGTCCAACCCTTGCCTTTTACAGATGGGAATGGTGAGGAACAGAGAAGGGTGGCGACCTGCCCAAGGTCACCAACACTGGCTCCCAATCCCTGGCCAGGGCTCTCTGCAGCACTGGAGCCACGTGGAGCAGCACTTCCCCTCCAGCTGTCCTTGTGGGGACAGGTCAGGATGTCGGATAGGTCTTCTGTATTCGGGTTTCTGGGGGGCTGCCCTTTGTTTTTGTTTTGTTTTGTTTTGTTTTGTTTTTTGAGATGGAGTCTCTGGCTCCAGTCACCAACCAAGTCCCAAGGCCTCCCAGGCTGGAGTGCAGTGGCATGATCTCAGCTCACTGCAAACTCCACCTCCCGGGTTCAAGCGATTCTTGTGCCTCAGCCTTCCAAGTAGCTGGAATTACAGGCACCCACCACCACGCCTGGCTAATTTTTGTATTGTTAGTAGAGATGGGATTTCACCACGTTGTCTAGGCTGGTCTCGAACTCCTGACCTCAGGTGATCTGTCCGCTTCGGCCTCCCAAAGTGCTGGGATTACAGATGTGAGCCACGGTGCCTGGCCTAGGGGGCTGCCCTTTGTGGGGCTGTCCTCCTGGCTCTGTATCCGCCCCTATGGCATCCTTTGAGGAGGCTAACCCAGGACCTGGCCATGGCATCTGGCCCAGAGCTCTACACTTAAAATGTATGCACTCTGTAGAGGTTTGTACCACCCCTCCTCCCTGTCCCCACCCCCACCAGCCACCAGGATCCCCAAGCAGGGGAAAGGGCTCTGCTGAGACAGCTAAGCTGCTCCCACTAGGGAAGGAGTGGAACTTACTGTTTATGGGCCACCAACCCTGTGCCAGCCCAGAGCAGAGCACTTGAACATAACATTACCTCATTCAAGTCTTAACGGTTGTGAGACCAGGCATCTTTATGAGGAAAAAAAGGAGATTCCAGATGTTGAGACACTTTGCCCGAGGTCACGCAGCACCACGTGGGAACCTGGGATGCCAGCCTGGCTCGGTCTGCTTCCAAAGCGCACGCTTGATTTCCCCACTGTGTTAGCAGCCTCCAGAAGGGCCTCAGGCGATGCCCGCCTCCTCCAGGGAGCGCCCAGAGCATCCTGTCACCTCAACCCCTGACTTGCAGGGGCTAGGCTCTGTCCATGGTTCAGAGCTGGCTGTGCCCTCAGTTGTAGCCCCGGCTGTGGGGCTCCCTGAACTCCCTGGGGAGAAGTGATGGGACAGGCATAGGCAGACCTGGCCTTGGGACACATTCAAGCCCATTGAGATCCCCAGGCCCACTCAGGCCTGCATGGGGGGCCCAAGGGCTCAGCTAAAGAGGATTCATGGGCCAGACTCTAGTTTCACAGTTCAAGGCTGGGATGGGAGTTCTGAGGCTTGGGCTCCAGCTGAACTCTGCCATGGCCTGCTGTGTGACCTTGGGCATCTTGCTGGACCTTTCTGAGCCTTCATTGCTAGGAGCTGGTCACTGACATCCTGTGATACGTGGGTCTACATGTGCCTGGTTAGATCCAAAGGTTCAGGCAGAACCTTTGCTCAGCAGGAGGGGCAGAGGAGGGGAAGAGAGCTGGACCGGGACTGGGTATGACCTACTGGGCTGGGCCTCTCCAGTGGGACTTTGCTGATGGCATTCTTCACTGGTTGCCACATCAGCAACTCTACCAGAGTGGAGGGTGGCCTGGTGGTCCCTCTTGCAGAAAGTCATGGCAAGCCTTGAAGATTATGGGTGCAGGACTGAGGGCTGGGCCACTGATTCCGCTTGTTTTATGGTTATAGAATGATTTGGGTTCTCCATTTCTTGTGTTACAGCTCAGTGACGCACTGGAGGCTGGCTCTGGAGAGCAGATAATGCACATCTCTTCCCAACACCACACTCAGGGATGTCACACTGGCCATGGTGGGAGTATTTACACCATGGAAACTGGTTAGCACTACACGAAAGGGGCTTTTATGTGTGCGGCATTAGGTTGGTTGGTTTGGAAAGCCAATTGTTAAATATTTATCAGAACACCACACGGGTTGTGTGGATAAGTTAGATTTTCCAAGAAACTTGTCATTTTTATCTAAATTTCCACATTTCTTGGCATATACATTCTTTTAATTTAAATTTAAGTTGCTTCCTCAGTGCAGTAGGCAGCATGTCAGTCTCATAAATTTAATTTTAGCAACTAAAGGAAAAACGCATAAATTGGACTTCATCGAAATTTAAAACTTTGGGCCAGGCACGGTGGCTCACGCCTGTAATCCCAGCACTTTGTGGGGCTGAGGCAGGAGGATCATGAGGTCAGGAGATCGAGACCATCCCGGCTAACACTGTGAAACCCTGTCTCTACTAAAAATACAAATAATTAGCCGGGAGTGGTGGCAGGTGCCTGTAGTCCCAGCTACTCAGGAGGCTGAGGCAGGGGAATGGCATGATCCTGGGAGGCGGAGCTTGCAGTGAGCCGAAATCGTGCCACTGCACTCCAGCCTGGGCAACAGAGCGAGACCCCGTCTCAAAAATAAATAAATAAATAAATAAAATTTAAAATTTTGATGCTTCAAAGGACAATATCAAGAAAGCGAAAAGACCATCCCCAGTGGGGAGAAGATATTTGCAAATTGTGAATGCAATAAGGCTCTAGTGTCCAGAATATGTAAAGAATGCTTATCACTCAACAATGAAAAGATTACAAAGTGGACAAAGAATTTGGGTAGATAGTTCTCCAAAGAAGATATACAAATGGCCAATAAGCCCATGAAAGATACTCCATACCATTAGTCAGTAGGGAAATGAAAATCAAAACTGCAATGAGATACTACCTCACACTCACTAGAATGACTATAATCAAAAAGGCAGACCACAACAAGTGTTGACAAGGAGTTGAAGAAGCTGGAAGCCTCATACACTGCTGGTTGGAATGTAAATGGTGCAGCCACTTTGGGAAACGCCGGTGCAGCTGCAGCGCTGTGATAGATTGACAGCCCTTCTACCTCTGGGGAGGAGGGGAATGTGACAGGAAGGGGCTGCTGGCCTGGGGCTCCTTCAGGGAGGATGCAGACACTTTTCTGGAGGCCTGGGCTCTGTGTGTTTGCAGGTACAAGCTTGGCTCCCCAAAATATTGCAGGAGATGGGTGTCCCCTCTCTTGGGGTCCCCCAAGGGCTAGTAGGTCTGAGATGGTACCAGTCTCCTCCAGAAACAGAGGTGGCTTCTTCCGTTTCCTGTGGTGGCTTCTCTCCGTTTCCTGAGTGTAACACAAGGTTACGCTCTTGTGTGCCTGTCTTGTTAAGTTCCTTTATTTAAGACTTCTCTTTTTCCCATTGAACCTTGCCAAAAGTTCATCCATTTAATTAATCTTTTCCAAGAACCAACTTTTGGATTTTTGTTTTAGTCCTATTTTTTTCACCAATTCCCACTTTTACATTTATCTTTCCTTTTGGGGGGTTAATTTCATTATTTTTCTAAATTCTCCAGTTTGGCGCTTAGTTCATTCACTTTCTGCCATTCTTCGTCCCTACTGTAAACATTCAAGACTATACATTTCTTTCTAAGCACAATTTTAGTTGAGTCCATGAGTTTTCATATGTGACCTTTCTACTGCTCAGTTCGGAATTGCCATTGCAATGTCTCCTTTGATCAATGAGTTATTTAAATGACTGGTTTTTAAAATTTCCAGATGAATAGGGTTTTCTTATTATCCTTGCTGAGTTCTAAGTTAATTGCTTTAGAGTTAGAGGATGTGGTCTGGATGATACACTTTATTTCAATTTTGTTGAGACTTGCTTTTGCCAATACCCACCTAAGTCAGTTTTCATGTATGTTTTATGTGCTTGAGAAAAATGTGTCATGGCCCATGCAGGGTCACCTATACGTTGATTGGATGGAGCTTTATTTGTGTTCATGAGATCTCCTATTGACTACTAATTTTTTTGTCAGCTTTATCAATTATTGAGACATGTTAAAATCTCCCACTATATTAGTAAATTTGTCCAGTTCTTGCAGTTCAATAAATTTTAGCTTCATATCTTTTGATGTCAGGGTATTACTAGTTTGATAAAATAAATTGAGAAATGACCTCTCCTCTTCTGTTTTCTGGAAAGATTGTGCAGAATTGGTGTACATTCTTTAAACATTTGGTAGGACTCTCTAGTGAAACAATCTGGGCCAGGAGATTTCTTTTCAGGAGTTTTTAAATTACTAATTCATCTGAGTAGATACCCAGTATCGGAATTGCTGGATCAAATGGTAATTCTACTTTCAGTCCTTTAAGGAATCTCCACACTGTTTTCCACAGTGGTTGTACTAGTTTACATTCCCACCAGCAGTGTGAAAGTGTTCCCTTTTCACCACATCTCTACTAACATCTTTTTTTTTTTTATGGCCATTCTTTCAGGAGTAAGGTGATATCACATTGTGGTTTTGATTTGCATTTCCCTGATCATTAGTGATGTTGAGATTTTTTTCACATGTTTGTTGGCCATTTGTAAATCTTCTTTTAAGAATTATCTATTCATGTCCTCAGCCCATTTTTGATGAGATTGTTTGTTTTTTTCTTGCTAATTTGTTTGAGTTCATTGTAGATTCTGGATATTAGTCCTTTGTTGGATGTATAGATTGTGAAGATTTTCTCCCATTCTGTGGATTGTCTGTTTACTCTGCTGATTGTTTCTTTTGCTATGCAGAAACTTTTTAGTTTAATTAAATCTCACCTGTATATCATTGTTTTTGTTGCATTTGCTTTTGGGTTGTTGGTCATGAAGTCTTTGCCTAAGTCAGTGTCTAGAAAGGTTTTTCTGATGTTATCTTCTGGAATTTTTGTGGTTTCAGGTCTTAGATTTAATTCCCTGAGAAAAAGATACTTGTACACTCATGTTTATAGCAGCACAATTTACAGTTGCAAAAATTTGGACCCAGCCTGAATGCCCATCAATCCATGAGTGGATAAAGAAATTGTGATATATGTAAATATATATACACCATGGAATGCTATTCAGCCATAAAGATGAATGAAATAATGGCATTCACAGCAACCTGGATGGAATTGGAGACCATTATTCTAAGCGAAGTAACTCAGGAATGGAAAACCAAACATATATGTTCTCACTCATAAGTGAGAGCCAAGCTATAAAGATGCAAAGGCATAAGAATGATACAATGGACTTTGGGGACTTAAGGGAGAGGGTGGGAGTGGGGTGAGGGATAAAAGACTACAAATTGGGTACAGTGCATACTGCTAAGGTGATGGGTGCACCGAAATCTCACTAACCACCACTAAAGAACTTATTTATGTAACCAAACTCCACCTGTTCCCCCAAAAACCTACGGAAATAAAAAAAATAATAAAATAGAGGAAAACATGAAAAAAGTAAAATTACTAGTTCAATTTCTTTAATAGCTATATGGCTATTCAAATTACTTATTTCATATTGGGTGAGTTTTGGCTGTACTTTTTGAGAATGTAGTCCGTTTTATCTAAGTTGTCAAATTTATGCTTGTTAAGTTGTTTTAAGTATTCCATTATTATTGTTTTGATGTCTGCACAGTCTGTCTTGATATTCCCATTTTATTCCTGAGATTGGTAATTTGTGTCTTCTCTCTTTTTTTCTTTGTTGATCTTGCTAGGCATTTGTCAATTGTATTTATCTTTTCAAAGAACCAGATTTTGTTTCACTGATTTTTCCCTATTGCTTTTCTATTTTTATTTTCTTGGGTTTCTGCTCTTATCTTCATTATTTTCTTCCTTCTGGCTGCTTTTGGTTTCTTTTACTCTTCTTTTTCTAATTACTTAAGGTGGGAGCTTAGAGTATCAATTTGAAGCTTTTTCTTTTTTCTAATGTAACTGTTTAGTGATTTAGATTTCCTTCTCAGAACTTGCTGTGTTCCATAAATTTGGATATGTTGTATTTTTATTTTCCTTGAGACTTCTTTTTTGACCTATGTATTATTTAGAAGTGTGCTGTTTAGTTTTTAAGTATTTGGAAATTTTCCTGTCACTGATTTTTATTTTAATTCCATTGGGGTCAGAGATCACCCTCTACAATGTCAATTCTTTTAAATTTTTTGAGATTTGTTATATGACCAAGGATGTGGTCAATTTTGGTTTATGTCCCACAGGTTTTTGAAAAAGAATGTGTGTTCTACTTGGGTTGGATGAGCTGATACAAAATGTTGAGTAGATACTGTTGGTTGACAGTGTTTGTTGAGTTCTGTAACTTTGCTGGTTTCTGTCTAATTGTTCTATCAATTGTTGAAAGAGTATTAAAGCCTTCAACTATAATTGTAAATGTGTTTATTTCTCTTCTCAGTTTTATCGGTTTTTACTTCATATATTTTGTAGCCCCATTGTTTGGTGCATACACATTTAAGATTTCTGTATTTTCTTGGTGAATTGACTCTTATCATATGTAATGGCTCTCTCTATCCCTGGTAATTTATTTGCTCTAAAGTCTATGTTATCTGATATTAATACAGCCACTCCTGCTGTTTTTCAATTAATGTTGACATGGTATATCTTTTTCCATCCTTTTGTGTTAAACTTACTTATATCATTATGTTTGAAGTGAGTTTCTCGTAGACAGCATATAGTTAGTGTGGTAATATTTATCCACTTTACCAATTTCCATCTTCTAATTAGTTTATATAGACCATTTACATTTAAGGTAATCATTTGTATGTTAGAGCTTAGACCTGCCATTTTGCTTTGTTTCTCTGTTTTCTTTTTCCTACCTTCTTGTGGGTTACTGGAACTATTTTTTATAATATTTTAATCATCTATAGTGTTTTTTAGTGTATCTCTTTGTATACTTTTTTTAGTGGTTTCTCTAGGTATTACATTATATATACATAACTGAACATAATCTACTGGTATTATCATCTTAACAGTTTGAGTGAAGTATGGAAAACTTGTCTCTCTTTACATTGTTTTTTCCCCATTTATAATTGTCTTAAATATTTTATCTACATACATTCAAAATCACATCAGACGGTGTTACGATTTTTGCTTCAACCATCAAACATAATTTAGACAGCTTAGGAGAAGAAAGTTTATTGTGTTTATCATAATTTTGCTCTTTCTATTGTCTTTCTTCCATTCCTAATGTTTCAAATTTTCTTCTTTTATCATTTCCTCTCTGCTTAAAGGAAATGATAGGGTAGGTTTATGGTGACAAAATCTAATTTTCTCTCATCTGAGTGTATCTGCATTCCTGAAATATAATTTTGCTGAGGGTAGAATTCTAGGTTAATGATTCTTTTCTTTCATTATTTGAAAAATGTTATGCCACATTCTTCTGTCTTCCACGGTTTCTGATGACAAATCTTCAGTCTATCAAATTGTTTTCTCCATAAGTAAGATGTTATTTCTCCCTTACTACTTTCAAGATTTTATTTGGCTTTATTTTTCAGAAGTTTGACTATAATTTGTCTTGGAATAAATTTATTTGGGCTTACCTTGTTTGGAGTGACTCAGCTCTTAAATCTGTATGTTCATGTCTTTCGCCAAATTTGGGAAATTTTTCCATTATTTCTTTGAGTGCTTTTTCAGCCCCATCCTCTTTCTCCTCTACTTCTGTGACTCCAGTGGCTGAATGTTAGATTGTTTTATTATTACTTTTTTCCTTGACATGAGTTTATCTATATAACAAACCTGAGGTCATTTTATTATTAACCACAGGTCCCTGAAGTTCTGTTCAGTTTTTTTCCAGTCTATTTTTTGTCTATTGTTCAGATTGAGTAATTATATTGTTCTATTTTCAAGTTTGTTGATTAATTCCTGTGTTGTCTTCATTCTGTTGTTGAGCCTATCCATTAAGTTTTAATTTTAGTTATTGTATTTTAAGTTCTAAAATTTCCATTTGGTTCTTTGTGTCTTCTATTCTTTGCCGAGCTTTTCTACCTTTTCATTTATTTCAAGCGTGTTTACAATGGCTCTTTGAAGCATTTTTATGATAGCTGCTTTAAAACCTTTGTCAGATAATTCTAACATCCTAACATCTGTGTCATCTCAGTGTTGATGTCTATTGATTGTCTTTTCTCATTCAACTTGAGATTTTCCTAGTTCTTGGTATGACAAATGATTTTCTATTGAAATCTGAACATTTGGGTGTTATGTTATAAAACTCTGGATCTTATTGAAACCCTGTGTTATAGCAGGCCTTCTCTGACACTGCTCTAGTGGGAAAAGAGAGGCGCCATCTCATTCCTGCCAGGAGGAAGTGGAAGTTCAGGTTCCCCATTCAGCTTCTGTTGACATCTGGTGGGGAGGGCTTTCTGATTACTGTTGAGTGAAAGTGAGAGCTCAGGCTCCCCACTAGGCTTAGAGGGACAGGGGTGCCCTGTTGCTGCTCCCCATATGGCCTCTACTGTTGACATGGAAGTGGAGGTTATCCTCATTACTACTGGACAGTAGTGAAAGCCCTGATGCAATTCTAGGGCTCCTCTGCTACCACCTCAGTCAGCCCCTCATTGCTGCAGTGTAGAGGTGGACGATCAGGCCCCTCTACATGCGGACATCAGACCGCATGGTCTACTGATATTACAGAGTATGAAGGTATTCATTATCACCCAGTGAGAATCAAAGTCCAGCTCCTCGGCCTTCTCTGACGTCACCACAGCTGAAAAGTTGAGGCATCTCTTTGTAGTCTGGAAAAGGTGGAAGTCAAAGTTTTCCACTCAGCCTTCCCTGGAAAGGTAAGGCTAAGGTCACAGTTTTTTCTGTAGTGTTTGGCTGGAGTAGAGCAGTTATCATCTGAAAGTTTGTCTTTCTCAGCTGCTTCTTCCTGGTCCTTTGGCTAGAAAGAGCCAGCTTTTCTTGGGGCTTATTTGTCTGCATCCCTTCATGTTTTGGGGTTGCTGCCTCTCCAATTTGGGATATGTGAGGCAAAAAGAAAACCCAGGAAACCCAGCTTTATATATTCTGAACTTATGTTATTAGATCATACAAGTTCATAATTGTTTCAGTATTCCAATGTATTGAACCTTTTAAGATTATATGGTAACTCCCTTGTTTCCTCACAACGTTTTTACTTTAAAGCCCATCTTATCCACGTTTATTAAAGCTGAACCTAGTTCCTTTGGGTTGGCTTTTTTTTTTTTTTTTTTTGGTATGTCTTTTCCTATTCTTTTGCTTCTCTACTTCCTATGATTGTATATTTGCGTGTATATATATATATATATATATATATATATATATATATATATATATATAGTTTTTTTGAGACAGTTTCACTCTGTCACCCAGGCTGGAGTGCAGTGGTGCAATCTTGGCTCACTGCAACCTCTACCTCCCAGGTTCAAGCGATTCTCCTGTTTCAGCCTCCTGAGTAGCTGGGATTACAGGCATGTGCCACCATGCCCAGCTAATTTTTGTATTTTTTAAGTAGAGACGGGGTTTCACCATGTTGGCCAGGCTGGCCTCAAACTCCTGACCTCAAGTGATCCACCTGCCTCAGCCTCCCAAAGTGCTGGGATTACAGGCATGAGCCACCACACTCGGCCTGATTTTATATTTTACTCTAGTACAAAGTTTTGCTTTTTCATCCACTCTCACAATATATGTTTTTCAGCTAGATAATTTATTCCAGTCCATTTCCAATTATTGTCATTGCTGGCTCATTAATTTTGTTCATCCAAATATTTAAGTGGCTACTGTGTGCCAGGCTCTGTTTTAGGTGCTAAAATATGGCAGTGAATCAAAGAGTCAAAAATACACATGCTTGGCATTAGAGTCTGGTTGGGGGAGATAGACAATAAACAAATGGCTAAGCAAACAAACATATGACTAAAACATATATTGTCCATGGAGAAGAATAATTTATGTAGATTTACTGAGGAGAATATGGACAGGTGGGGTGGGGGAGTAACTTTACAGTGCTGTGTCAATGTCCTACGGCTGTCATAACTGGGTATCACAACTGAGTCGCTTAAACAACAGAAATTTGTTCCCAAATTTCTCACCATTTTGAAGGCTGAAAGTTCAAAATCAAGGTGTTGGTAGGGTTGGTTCCTTCTGAGGGCTGTGAGAGAAGGAGCTTGTATTAGTCCATTTTCATACGGCAATAAAGAACTGCCCAAGACTGGGTAATTTGTAAAGGAAAGAGGTTTAATTGACTCACAGTTCAGCGTGTCTGGGGAGGCCTCAGGAAACTTACAATCATGGCGGAAGGCTAAGGGGAAGAAAGGCCCCTTCTTCACAAGGCGACAGGAAGGAGAAGTGAAGGGGGAAGAGCCCCTTATAAAATCATCAGATCTCATGAGAACTCACTCACTATCACGAGAACAGCATGGGAGAAACTGCCCCCATGATTCAATTACCTCCACCTCGTCTCTCCCTTGACATGAAGAGATTATGGGGATTATGGGGATTACAATTCAAGATGAGATTTGAGTGGGGACACAAAGCTTAATCATACCAAAGCTATTCCAGGCTTCTCTCCTTGGCTTATAGATGACCATCTTCACGTTCACACGGTGTCTCCCTGTGTGCATGTCTTTCCAAATTTACTCTTTTTTATTAGGACACCAGTCACATTGGATTAGTGCCCACCTTAACAACTTCATTTTAACGTGATTACCTCTGTAAAGACCCTGTCTCCAGATAAGGTCACATTCTGAGGTATTAGGGGTTAGGATTTCAGCATGTGAATTTTAGGTGAGTAGCAGGGACACAATTCAACCCATAACAAGTGAAAACTGATGAACACTACCTCAGCCAGGTGATCGATGTTCGCCTCGGTGATGATTAGCACACAGAGTGGGGCAAGGGCACTGATTTCTACAGGGGTCAGGAAGCCTCTCTAGCAAAGCAAACTAAGAGTGACCTGAAGGATGAAAGGACACAGCCATGGGGACACCTGGAGAGTCTGAGACCCAGAAGAGGGAGCAGCAAGTGCAGGACCATGGTTGACTCATTCAAAGAACCACTGGGAGGCTAGTGTGGCCCAGGGGTAGGGGAGGGGAAGGGACACGTTATGTATTAGTCTGTTTTCACACTGCTCATAAAGACATATCTGAGACTGGGTAATTTATACAGAAAAAGAGATTTAATGGACTCACTGTTCTACATGGCTGGGGAGGCCTCACAATCATGGCGGAAGGCAAACGGCACATCTTACATGGTGGCAGGCAAGAGACAGAATGAGAACCAAGCCAAAGGTGAAACCCTTCATAAAATCATCAGATCTCGTGAGACTTATTCACTACCACAAGAACAGTATGGGGGAAACCGCCCCCACAATTCAATTATCTCCCACTGGGATCCTCCCACAACATGTGGGAATTATGGGAGCTACAATTCAAGATGAGATTTGGGTGAGGACACAGCCAAACCATACCAGAGTACTAGGGGATGAAGTCAGAGAAATGAAAGGCAGAATCATGTTGTCCTTATAGGCCAAAGGAAGGGTCTGCTTCCTCCAAGTGAGATGAGGAGTTGCCGGAAGGGTTTGAGCAAAGGAGAGGCATAACTTGGCAGAATCCCTCTGGCTGCTTTGCTGACCACAGATTAGAGGGAGGCAAGGGTAGAAAGCAGAGAGACCAGTCAGAGAAGCAATCATAATCCTGGCGAGAAGCAATGGTGTCTTGGACCAGGGAGGAAGTAGTGGAGCAGGTAATAAACAGTCAGAGATGATTTTTGGGAGGCAGATCCGACAGGGTTCACTGATGGATAAACTGTGGGGTGTGAGAGGAAGACAGGAGTGGATGACTTCACGGTTTTGGCACAGGCACCCAGAAGCATGGGGAAGTCTCAGGGAGGGGCAAGTTTGCAGGGCTGGACATCAGGAGGATGGTTTTGCAGGTGTGAGGTTGAGGTGCCTATTAGACCTCCAAGGGGCAACACAGGGGAGGGGACTGGTTAATCTCACTGGAGTCCAAAGCCAGAGGTCTGGGCTGGACATAGGATTGTGGGAGTGGGCAGACAATTTCAAAGCCAGAGATCTCCTAGGGAGTGAGTGTGGGTAGGAGAGAGATGGGGCCCAAGGACAGAGCCCTGAGGCCCTCCAATGTTTAGAGTTTGGGGAGAACAAAGGAGCCAGGGAGGTAGGAGAAAACCCAAGAGAAAGTGGGATGTCCCAGAAGAGAGAGGGTCTCAAGAGGGAGCATGATCACCAGGTGTGGTGGCTGGAGGATTGTTTGAAGTCAAGAGTTTAAGACCAGCCTGAGCAACATAGTGGGACCCCATGCCACAAACCCTCCCTAAAAACTTTTTTTTCTTTATAAACTGGGTGTGGTGGCACACACTTGTGGTCCCAGTTACTTGAGAGGTTGAGGTGGGAAGATCACTTGAGACCACAGCTCTAGGCTACAGTGAGCCAAGATCATGCCTCTGCACTCCAGCCTGGATGACAGAGCAAGACCCTGTTTCTAAAAGAAATAAAAATAATAAATAAACAGATAAGGAGCATGATCAGCATGTGAAAGAAAAAGGTCTGAAAAGTGATCCCAGCTAGGCCTCCCATCCTGATAAATGCCTTTTTAGTTTTAAAATTAACTTTAGGGCCAGGCGCATTGGCTCACACCTGTATAATCCCAGCACTTTGGGAGGCTGAGGTGGGTGGATCACTTGAGGTCAGGAGTTCAAGACCGTCCTGGCCAACATAGTGAAACCCTGTCTCTACTAAAAACACAAAAATTGGCTGGGCGTGGTGGCGGGCGCCTGTAATCCCAGCTACTTGGGAGGCTGAGGCAGGAGAATTACTCGAACCCAGGAGGCAGAGGCTGCAGTGAGCTGAGATCGTGCCACTGCACTCCAGCCTGGGTGACAGAGTGAGACTCTGTCTCAAATAAATAAATAATAAAATTAACTTTATTGACATATAATTTACATGTGTATATAATTTACATACAGTAAAAGCATCCATTTTAATAAGTGTATGGTTTGATGAGTTTTGACAAATGTATAAACTCACGTAATCACCACCCCCAATCAAGAGTTACAACATTTTCACTAGCCCCAAAAGGTCCCTTTTCCCTTTGCAGTCAATCCCTTTCTCAACCCTTGTCCCCAAGCCACCACTCACATGCATTCTGTGGCTATAGACTAGATTTTTGCCTGTCCTGCAAAGAATTACACATGAAATCATAGACTTGGTATTATTTTGCATCTTGCTTCTTTCTCTCTGCAAAATGTTTTTTAGATTAATCCACGTTGTTGAAAGTATCTGGCACTTCATCTCACAAGTCACCCACTTGGCCCTCTTCCAAGTGTACTTAAAAAAAAAAAGAGGCCGGGCGCGGTGGTTCACACCTGTAATCCCAGCACTCTGGGAGGCCGAGGCGGGCGGATCACAAGATCAGGAGATCGAGACCATCTTGGCTAACACGGTGAAACCCTGTCTCTACTAAAAATACAAAAAATTAGCCGGGCGTGGTGGCAGGTGCCTGTAATCCCAGCTACTCGGGAGGCTGAGGCAGGAGAATGGCGTGAACCTGGGAGGCGGAGCTTGCAGTGAGCCGAGATCGCACCATTGCACTCCAGCCTGGGCAACAGAGCGAGACTCCATCTCAAAAAAAAAAAGAAAGAAAGAAAAAGAAGAGAAAGTATCTGCAGTTCATTGCTTTGTTATTGCTAAGTCATATTCCATTATAAATTGCAATTCGTTTATCTGCTCGCTGTTGATGAACATTCATGTTGTTTTCAGTGCTGGGATATTATAAACTTTTATGAACTTTCCTATACAAATCTTCTCATGGTCATGTTTTCATTTCTCTTTGGCAAATACTTAGGTATTGCTGGCTCATATGTTAAATGTACATTGAATTTTTATAAGAAACCAAGTCTGGTCCTTTTTAATACTCTCTTGTTCTGTGCTTATGGTTTTATGTTTCTTTTTTTGTTTTTGTTTTGTTTGCTTGTTTGTTTTACAGACAGGGTCTCGTTCTGTTACCCAGGCTGGAGTGCAGTGGCTTGATCACAGCTCACTGCAGCTTCAAACTCCTGGACTCCAGCAATCCTCACCTCAGCCTCCCAAGTAGCTGGGACTATAGGCACACACCACCACACCCAGCTAATTTTTGAGAAATATTTTGTGGAGACGGGGGTCTCACTATGTTGCCCAGGGTGGTCTTGAACTCCTGGCCTAAAGTGACTTTCTCAAAGTGCTGGGCTTACAGGCGTCAGCTACTGTGCCCAGCAGGACACTTTTATTTAAATTATGTAGCACTCTTATTACCCAAAATGAATACTCTAATTCCAATCCTTGAAGTGTTTACAGGTCTGATTCCTCTGTTTGTGGTTTCTTTGCATGTTTTTAAATGTTTTTATTGTGAGCTCATGATCATCAGGATTCTAACTGGTAGGAACTTTATAAGGTCTGGTTTGATATGTGTTTCTCTAGAAAGGATTTTAGTTTGTTTTTGCTGGAGACCTGGGAGTACTATTCACCAGGGACTCCTTGAAACTAGGTTCTCAGCCTGGTGTTTCTGGACCAAACAAGCAATGCCAGCACTTTAGGGGGTGAGGCAGGAGGATTTCTTGAGGCCAGGAGTTCAAGACCAGCCTGGGCAACATAGCAAGACCCCATCTCTTTAAAACAAAAATAATTAATTAATTTAAAAATAAATTTCTTCACATGGACACAGGGAGGGGACCATCACACACTGGGGGCCTGTTGGGGGTTGGGGGGCAAGGGGAGGGAAAGCATTAGGACAAAAGCCTAATGCATGCGGGGTTTAAAACCTAGATGATGAGTTGATGGGTGCAGCAAACCACCATGGCACATGTATACCTATGTAACAAACCTGCATGTTCTGCACATGTATCCCAGGATTTAAAGTATAACAAAAAATAAAAATAAAAATAAAATAAAATAAAGTGGGAATTTGGGCCCTGATCTCACATAAGGGCTGGCTCAGGGGAGAGTTTCTTTCCCTCTTTATTCTGAGTGAAAGCCAAGACCAACCCTTTTCTTGCCATATCCTTTTAGAAGGTAGATCTTTTTCAAGTTTGCCCTTTCACTAAGGATGTTGCCTGCAGAAGCTCTGACTTCGTATGGGAGCTCAGACCCCAGTTCCACTCGGTCAGGCCTTGGGCTACGTCTTCTATCTCCCCTGCATCTGTTAAAAGCAAAGCTCTACATTGTAGTGGGAGAGGGAGTATCAAATGGCACATACCCTTTGAAAAACAGTTTGGCAGTTTCTTATAAAGTCAAACAAACCCTTACCATACAATCCTGCAATCTCACTCCCAGCTATTTGCCCAAGTGAAGTGAAAAAACTACATTTACACCATAACCTATGCGTGAATGTTTGTATCAGCTTTACTCATAATAACCAAAAGCAGGCCGGGTGCAGTGGCTCACACCTGTAATCCCAGCACTTTGGGAGGCGGAGGTGGGAGGACTGCTTGAGTTCAGGAGTTTGAGACCAGCCTTGGCAACATTGTGAGACCCTGTCTCTACAAAAAATAAAGGAATAATTAGCAGGGCCTGGTGGCACATGCCTGTAGTCCCCACTACTCGGGAGGCTGAGGTAGGAGGATTGCTTGAGCTCAGGAGTTTGAAGCTGCAGTGCCATGATTGTACCACTGCACTCCAGCCTGGGCAGCAGAGCAAGACCTTGTCTTAAAAATCAATAAATGAGGCCGGGCCCGGTGACTCACACTGTAATCCCAGCACTTTGGGAGGCTGAGGCAGGCGGATCATTTGAGGATAGGAATTTGAGACCAGTTTGGCCAACAATGGTGAAACCCTGTCTCTACTAAAAATACAAAAATTAGCTGGGTTTGGTGGCACACACCTGTAATCCCAGCTACTCGGGAGGCTGAGGCACCAGAATCCCTGGAACCTAGGAGGTGGAGGTTGCAGTGAGCCAAGATCACGCCATTGCACCCCAGCCTAGGAGACAGAGAGAGACTGTCTAAATAAATAAATAAAAAAAATACATAATAACCAAAAGCTGAAGACAGCTCAGATATTCTTCAGCAAGTGAGTGGATCAACAGACTGGCACATCTGCACAATACTAACACACTTAGAAACGCAACATAGATGAATCTCAATTGCCTTATGCTAAGTGAAAGTCAGACTCGAAAGACAACGTGTTGCTGGATGATTCCATTTTTGTGACATCCTGGAAAAGGCAAAAATATAGGAAGAGAAGACAGATTAGTGTTTGCCAGGAGGCAGAAGTGAGAACAGGGATTGACTTCCAAAGGATTCAGGGACATTGACGAGAGATTAAACTTCTATACCTTGATTTGTGATGGCGGGTACACAACTCTATGCATTAGTCAACACTCAAAGAACTTTATACTAAAAAGGGTGAATTCTACTCTACGTGAAGTTGACCACAACTTTAAAAACAACAAAGCTCTAGTTTACAGGAATCTTTTAGGCCAGCCTCCAGTCGAGGGTTCACCCCCTCTTGATTTGTGTAGACATTCTTTTTTTTTTTTTTTTTTTGGCTTTGGAGCACTTCCTCTACATTCTTGCCAACTCAGTCATGCCTTTTAAAAGATTCTTTTAAAATTTTTGTCCAGGACACCAGCCTAATGTGGGACACCATCTTTAACCTCAAAGGGACCTAGTCCAGTGGAAGACAGAACAGGCAGGCACGGGAGAGCCTCCTCTCAAACATCCATGCATGGCAGATCCCCCAGGAGCCTCGGGGTCTCCTGGACCTGCCTGAGATCACACAACTTTTTCGTAATGGCAGTAATGGCTGTAATTAACTGGCATAAAAATGTGAGGCACAAAAGCAGCTGGCCGGGCTCACAGCCAGGGAGGTGGAACCAGGTAACTCACAGCCCTGCTGGGGGTAACATCAGGGCAGGCTCTGAGGGGCGTGAAGCCTGACCGGGCTCAGAGAGAGACCCACATATCTGCAGACGTCACTCTGTGCAGGCAGCCTCAAGGTTGGGACTCTAATGAGGATGGGTCTGACTCAGTCCTAGTCAGCGTCCAGGGACACTGGGGCTGTCCCTCTTGGAGGGAAACAAATGCCCACAGCATGAGTTTCACTGGTAACCCCTGTGCCGAGAGTTCACCAGGCATTGAACCAAGCTCTTCACCAGTATGACCAACCGCGTGGAGCTCTCTCCGGGCCTCTGATTCAATAGTACCTGTCTCATTGGCAGCAGTGAGGATTCAGTTAGCTGATATGTGTAAAGCACTTAGCACCGTGTGGGCTCCTCCATAAATGCTGACCATTATCATCACCAACCCATTTAACAGATGATGTCACTGAGGCCCGGTGCTGTTAAGGGACTTGTACAGTCATGCAGCTACCACGTTGCAGAATTGGGTATACCTGGCTCTGGAATTTTACAAGACAGCTTGCCTGGAGCAAGGTCACACCTAGACAGAAGTTCTCGGGGCTCAGGTAGGACTAAAAATATTCCAGGGAGGGCAAAGGGGCTCCCCTGGGCCCATTCCACCTAGCTCTGAGCACCTCAACCCTGTCCTCACTGTTGAGCACCCATCTTCCTCTCTGCATTTTCTTCCCATCTCTAAACACCTCCTCCAGGGGGCCTTCCTTGATTTCCCTTCCTCATGTCAAAGCACAGAATTCCATTTAACCTAAAGGCCTATTTAGATGTCAGGCACTGCCTGGAGCTCTAGGGATGTAGCAATAAGGAGCCAGACAGAGCTTTGTCCTCATGAAGCTGACATATTGGTGAAGAGAAGAGATAATAAGTTTTAAAACAATACACTTAATTATAAATCATGGTTAGGTCTGTAAAGGAAGCAAATAAAGAGGTCTGAGAAAGCCTCCTGGGCAAGGCAACATTTAAGCTGAAACCTTGGATGAGAAAGCCCCAGACACTGTCAGGAGTAGAGCGTTCCAGGTTGGGGCGGGGGGGGGGCGGTGTGGGTGGAGTTTATGCAAAGACCCTGGGCTGGAAAATTGCCTCCAGGGTTTAGGGAGCTGCAAGAAGACCTCTGTGGCCAGGAAGGGAGGGAGGGGGGAGGGAAGAGGGTGGGATCAAAGACAGAAGCAGCAGGCAGGGGCTGGGATGAGAGCCTTGTTTGCCAGTTGTGCCCTTTGGCTTTGACTCCAAGCGAGGTGGGAGTCACTGCAAGGTTCTGAGCCCAGGATGCTCTGCAGGGAGTGGATGCCAGGGAGGCAGGGCAGGAAAGAGGGAGATGCAGTGGGCTAGATGGGGCTGATGAGAGTTGGGACTAGAGAAGGGGCATCAGGTGGCAAGAGGTGGACAGGTTGAGTTCCTGAGGACCCAGAGCTCATTCTTCTCCAACTCTATGCTGTCCACTGGTGCCACCTATCCCTTCTCTAGATTTATACCCTAGCTCCTAACACCTCTTCCAGGGAGCCCTCCCTAATTCTCCCATCCTCTGAGCTGGTAACCCAGGCTCTCCCTTCCCCCATCCACATCTCAGGCTATTGAGAAGATCCTCCTGGAGCTGTGCACAACCTTGTCACCCAGAGACCCCCTCACAATAGAATCAACAGCTACGACTAAGGGTGGAGTCCAAGGCTGTGGACAGTCCCTGAGACCAGAGGCTTAGGGAGACCTGACTTCAGAGGGGATCTGTTTTTTCCCAAATCCTTTTTAATGCCCACCTGCTCCAATAGAGGCTGGATCCAAAGGGTTTTGAAGTTGCTTTGTAGAGGATGGAGTCCCCTAGTACGGGCAGTTTCCAGGTTAGCGCCAGCCTGGAGTCTTCTCCCCACCACCCCCACCCCCACCATGGGGTTCCAGTCCTGACAGCTCTCCCTCCTAAACCTCACTCACACCTTTCCCTTCCTTACCAGCCCCCAAGCCAGGGCCCTGCTTCCTTCATTTGCCCAAGAAAATTGTACTAAGCACCTACTACATGCCTGATTCTGAGCATCCCACTGAGATCAGAGATTGCCAAAGCACAGCCATGCCGTAGGGGTTCACAGTCTGGAGGAGGCAAGTAGGCAAACTGATGGTGGGGATGGTGGTGGGCATGGTGGGTGGTGGGGATGTTGGTGGGGATGGTGATGGTGATGGTAGGGATGGTGGGAATGGTGTTGGGGATGGTGGGGATGGTGATGTTGATGGTAAGGATGGTGGGAATGGTGGGGATGATGATGGAGATGGTGGGGGTGATGGTGACTGTGGTGGGAATGGTGGAAATAGTGGTGGGGATTGTAATGGGGATGATGGTGGGGATGTTGGGGATGGTGGTAGGGATGATGGAGATGGAAGGGAGGATGGTGGGGATGGTGTTGGGGATGGTGAGGATCATGGTGGGGATGAGGGGGACAATGAAGACAGTGGAGATGATAGCTCTCATTCGTTAGGGCTCACTATGTTACAAGCATGATACAAGCACTTGACTTCTAATCCTCATAACAGCCCTATGAGGTAAGAATAATTATTTTAATAATGGGTAACATTTACTATTTATTAAGCACCAGGCACTCTTCTAAAGTCTTTACAAGTGTTAACCCAACCAAGGCAGCTACAATTATTGCCCCTATTTTGCAGATTAGGAAACTGAGGCACAGAGAATTTTATTTACTTGACCAACGTGACACAGCCAGTTATCGTGAGAGCAAAATGAATTGGCTATGAAGGATGTGGATAGCAGGCGCTATGGGATACAGAGGAGAGTGTCCTGCACCATCATGCTGGGCAGATCAAGGCAAATGTCATGGAGGAGGTCATGTTAACCCAAGTCTTAAGGGGTTAGTAGGGGTTTGCTAGGTGGGTATGAGGGAAGGCATTCCAGGCAGAAGGATCCATGGAGCAGTGGCGCAGAGGCATGCTCAGGGAACAGGGTGGGCCTCAGCAGGGCTAGAGGATTGGGGTGGGGATGCTCAGGCTGGAGAGGTGAGAAGAAGCCCAATCCCCAATCCCAGAGGTTCCTGCAGACAGGGCTGAGGGCTTGGACTTTATCCTGAAGGCGATATGAGGCTGTAGCCCCCCACCCCCATCTCTCCCCTGAACTGCCAAGACCTATTTTCAACTCTGCTGGGAGCTGAAGAAATAAACCTCCCTTAAACCGGGCCAACTCAGCGACCTTCACCTGCACCTCCACCAGAAGACTGTCGACTGTGGGCCCTGCCTCTCACCCCATTCTTGTTACACCCCAAATTGTCCTTGAGAGTCTTCAGGTCACCCCACTGCCTCCCATTAACACTGTACCCAGGTTCAGTGTATGAGTCCTATCCCACAACCACAGCTCCCACACCTTGTCCCCCTGCCCACACACCCTCTGTTCTCCCATCCACCTGTCCACAGCCTGTTCCTCCCCTGGGCTCGGCTCAGGAGCCACCTCCTCCAGAAAGCCCTCCCTAATCACTCTAACCTAGAAGAGCTTCTGTCTCCGCTCTTCCCAGTTGCATGTCACATGGGATCCATGCCATGGTGGGATTTATGAACTACCGGTTTTCTTCTCTCCAATTCCATCTCCCCAGTTGGAATGTGAGAGAGATGCTTAGGGTCAAGACCGTATCCTAGAATTAAGTGTTTTTCTTAAAGCTCCAGCATACGAGGCTGCGCTCCATGCTCCAGCAGCCTCCTGGTCGTCTGGCCACTTGAGGAAACTGAGGCTGAGAGGGTTGAAGGAATTTCTCCATGGTCATCAGTTTGGGTTTGACTTCAAGTCTGCCTGACACCAAACTCCATGTCAGGAGCTGCTTCTCACAGTTTTCCTGGAGCCCATCCCTCCCCAGGCAAGGCACACAGCAGGTGTTCAGCAGAAACTCAGGGACTGATCCAAAGCCTGGCACAGCCCAGGAGTCACCCTCATGTGAAGTCCTGCCTCGGCCTTGTTTTTTCAGATGGAGTCCTCTAAAGGCTGCTGGCTGCCCTTCCAATTACTGCTGAAGGCACGGCCGACAACATCAAGGTCTGGACGGCCGCACAAGTCCTCGGGAGCTGGAGGCTGAGATTTCAGAAGTTCTGAGCTCCTCTGACAGATGCTGGCCTGGACCCATCCAAAAGGCCATGGGCAGGAATCCGAATCAAGGCCCGAAGGAACCCGGGGCAACAGGTGCAAGCTCACATCACTCAGCCCTGTCAAACTGTAGCCAGGTGTCTCAACCACTGTCGGCCCGCACCAAGCCCTGACTGCGTCCGGCACTGTGCTGGGACCTCACAGGCCTTTCTCCTCTCTCTTTCCGACAGTACCATGCAACCTCTTTGTGCAGATGACATGTGATGCATTTCTTCCACCAGCCAATCACCCACTGAGTCTACAAATATGTGCTGAACACCTACTATGTGCCAGACCTGGAAGACAGAACTGGGCTACAAAAATGTGCAAGATATACACAGTCCCAACTCTTTAGAGCATAGCATCTGAGGGATGCCTGGCTTTGGGTCCCAGACCAAATCCCCCCTGGGTGGGGTAATACAAAGGCCTCACTAATGACGATGAAGAAGGGGAAAATCACTCCGCACATCCACAGTAGGGCATGGGGAACTGCGACGAGCATCTTCCTAATTTATCCTGCCGGGTTGTACTGGGGACACCCCCATGTGAAAGCCCCACTGGGCATGAGCCCTGGGAGTCATTCTTATAGAGGGGCCCTCTTGCTAAGTGTCCCCCACCCCATGCACCCTGCCAACATGGGGTGGGGGTGCGGGGGTGACAGACAGCAGGAGGGTGCGGAGGCAACAGAGCAGCAGGAGGAGAACCGGGACTGTGGCATGCCATCCAGCCCAGGGACACACAGGTCATGAAGTCAAAGACACTGTGCAGGCAAGGACTGTCCTTAAGCTGTGGTGGCAAAGACATCCTTTAAAGGGACTCTCTGCGGGGCATGGGGTTGAGAAGGTGTGAGGAACAGAGCCAGCCAGGACAGCAACCAGAGGCAGGAGGTCTTCAGGACCAGGTTTCCCAAATAGAGGGTTCCTGGTGGGTCTGTGGCCTGAGGTGACTGAGCCACACAGGGAGAGAAGCTGTCCAGGGCCATTCCCCCATGCGCAGATGGAAAAACAGGCCTGCGAAGGAGGAGTGGCCTGGGGCTACACAACAAGGGGCAGGTGCAGCCCAGGCAGACAGTGGAGCTGGCCCAGGGCACAAGCCGGCTGGAGAGCACTTGAGTCACCAGGTCCTCCTCACTGGGACCTGCATGGCTACCTCATGGAGTCTCATCACGTCCTCATGACTGGCTGTGCCGCCGCTGGGCAGTTACTCACAGGCTTGGTACAGAGGCCCCGGGCAGATGGGGGAGGGCAAGGTAGGAGAGATGGGCCTCTGGCCAGAGCCCTGCCCAGTTTCCTCCTTCCTCAGCCCCTTCTCATCCCTGCTTCTTCTTTCCTGGGGCATCTGCTGGCATCCAGAGTCCCCGTCAGCAGGGAGCAGGGGCAGAGGCTAAGCCTCCCTCGTTAGACAGGGGTCTCCTCCGAGGCAGAGCCTGTGCCTTTCCCGCCACACCAGGAGCTCTCCCATGGGTATCCCTTGGACCAGTAGCTCTGCCTGGGTGGAAGCTGCACCTCTCCCTCAAACCAGTGGCCTTCCCAGGGTGGATCTCTGTCTCCTCCGTCCCCTAGGAACTCCCTGGACCCCTTCCTCTGGGAGACTGGCCAGTCCTGGAAAACGAGTCCCCATCCCCTTAGAGTCAGTGCAGTGGAACCTGAGAAGTGGCTGTTCGAGGGCAGCTGTGTAGTAGGAACAACATCCTTCCACAGGCCCCGAGGTGAGGGATGCCCTCCGGCCTCACTCCAACCTGGGCTCATGTCTTACATTGCCACCCCCCCAGCCCTGGGACCTGAGGCAATTGACCCGACCTCCCGGAGCCTCTATGTCCTCACTGGTGAAGCACGGTGCCAGCTGCCTGCCTCGTGGGGTTGGTGAGAAGCAAATGACATAATGTTTGTCAGGTGTTTAATGTAGGGCCCAGCACATGGTGAGTGCCCCACAAATGGGCCCAATTATCATTGTTATTAAAAGAATCACGAGAGATGACCACACCTCAGTGATGCCCAGTACTCTACAGTTTACAAGGCACTACCATCTGCGGTCACATGGGAGCCTCGAAGAGCCCATGAGGTGACAGCGCTGGAGGTTCCCAGCAGCGGCAACCGAGGCCCAGGCTCCTTTCCCACATCACCGTCCTCCGGGCTCTGGCCTTGTAATCCTGACACGCTGGTTGACAGGTGTCTGTGCTGCATCAGAGTAATTACAAACTGGGCAGCTGGAGTGCAGTACTTAACCTCTCTGAGCCCCGGCTTCCTCATCTGTAAAATGGGAATGACAGTACACCCTCATAGCCTGGCTGCAAAGAGTGAATGATGTCACGCATGAAAAGGTCTTAGAACACCTTCTGAAAGAGGCAGTGCTATCTGTAAACTGGTGTTTGCCAGTTTCATTATTTATTCAGCACCTACTCAATGGAAGTGTTTCATTTTAAAATATCACATCTAATCCTTACAACCATATTGCTTCCATTTCACAGTGCATTGTAGGCAGTGTGCTCTGGGAAACTGGCTCTGGGAAGGAGACTTGCACACTGAATTGCCAGATGCTTTCAGGATCAACACCTAGGGTGGGTGCGGGCAGGCCAAGGGAAATGTATTGGGTGGAGAGAGCAGCTGGGCTGTGGTGGACTCCAACAGAGATCTCAGCCAAGCCCACAGGAGGCTCCAGAGCTGGAATATTCAGAGATGTGCTTCACTGAGGCACAAAACTACCCAGCTAAAGACTTCATTTCCCAGTATCCCTTGCAGCTGGTGTGACCACGTGACCAGGATATGTCCAAGACAAGTGAGAGGAAGTGATACATGCAACTTTCAGTTGTGTCCTTAAGAAAAAACAATAAAGAAACCTGCCTTCCCTTTCCCTTGTCTCCCTTCTCATTAGATGGAATGCAGATGTGATGGAGGGGCCTGGGCAGCCAGACTAGATCATGAGGTAGAATACAAGTGTTAGAGAGAGTGGAGCAATGAGACAGAAAGAGCCTGGTCCCCACATGTCAGTCAGCGCCTTCAGTAGTCCTGGACCACATCCATTTCACCCTTTCCTCTCCTCCCTTATTAAAGCCACTGTTTTTCTGATATTTGTGACACTAGCCAAATCTGTGGGATAACTGATACAAACCAAGGTAGCCCCATCAAGAGAGAATCTGTTAGCATTTGATATCTCTCCTTTGATTCTTTTTTCTAGACATATTGTATATCAATATATACATGAATGTTCATCTATTTATGGGGGCATGTGTATTTGAATGTACAGGAGGTGTGGATTTCCCAGTACACAAACTCAGGTATGCAAATGTAAACCAGAAAGAAAATTCTAAGCCCCAACCAACTGAATGGACTCCTCCTCTTGGCCAAGGGCATTCTAAAGTAAACCTGAAACACTAGTTCAGGCCATGATGGGAACGGGTAATTGAACGTGTCTCATCATACCTTTCTCCCTTTGGAATACAGGCACAGCTAACCAGCATTAACATTAAAGCAGAGACCTTAAGACAGAACAGACTCTTTAAGTCTGATAAGAAACATTTACAATCTATTCTCTCTGAAGCCTGCTAGCTGAAGACTTCATCTGCATAATAAAAACCTTGGTCTCCACAACCCCTTATCTTAACCCAGACACTCCCTTCTATTGAGTCCAGGTATTTAAATAAACGCTTTCAACCAATTACTAATCAGAAAATCTTTGAATCCACCTGTGACCTGGAACCACTCCCTCCCCACTTCAAGTTGTCCCTCCTTTCCAGACTGAACCAATGCACATCTTACATGTATTGATTGATGCCTTATGTCTCCCTTAAATGTATAAAACCAAGCTGTAGCCCAACCACCTTGGGCACATGTCATCAGGACCTCCTTAGGCTGTGCCATTGGCATGTCCTTAACCTTGGCAAAATAAACTTCCAAATTGATTGAGACTTGTCTCAGATACTTTTTGGTTTACACGAGAAACACAATTTATTTTTTCTGCAACCAAATGTAGTCTGTGTCTCAAGCTCCCCATTCCCTGGTGGTGGAAACCTAAACCAGCCAATGAGCAGCCCTGGTCATTTCAGATTAATTTCAGTCAATTAGGATTTGTGTGCCTCTGAGAAAATTAGGGTGAATTCCATCAACGTAGGGCTTTTTCTTCCTGACCCTCACCCCTTCTTCCTTTTCCAGTAGATTTAAGTTTTAGTTAATGACTTAAATATAGTTCATAGTCTCACTGACTGGAGCTGGGGCCATCTGGCATGCAGGTAGAATCAGAGGTAGACTGGCATGTGGTTTGTGACCCATCCTTTGAGGAATCTCTATCCCTCCCTAGTTCCCAGGTGTGGGGCCTCAGCTGCCTTGGCCCAGTGTCGCTTGTCATCATCCCACCGTGCCACATACACCTTCCTTGGAAGTTTGAGCTGCTCTGCATCCACATCTCAGGTCAGAAAAATCAGGGCACGGCCAATTAGTGGCCTTTTTTTCTTTATTTATGGTACATAAAATACTGGTATCTGATAATTGATGGAATCTTAGATTTGATCAATTTTGGTAGCTTCTCATATTCTCCCTACTTTGCAAATGAGGAACTGAGGCCTAGAGAGGTGAAGTCGAGGTAATGCAGCTAGTAGTAAATAGGGGAGCTGGGACTTGAATAGAGGCTGTCTAGACTCTAACCATGAGGCCATTCTGCCTCTGTGGGTGTTCTGCCCTTTTCAGTTTCTTCCTCCTGGTCTTCTTTGATGTTCGCAGACTTCTCATAAGGAAGACAAGGAATGAGGCAAGGATTACCCCTATTTTACAGTGAAGAAAATGCAGACCCACAGGGGAGGGGTGATTTGGCATTAGTGACCCAGCTAGAGAATGGTGAAACAAGGTCTAGATCCAGGGCTCCTTTGGGGAGAGACCCGACCTTGTCCAGCAATAGTCCCAACACTTACAAACACGCACACACACACACACAGCCTGCATGCCCAAATGTGCATATGCACTCAGGCATATGTACCCACAGAGCGGAGCAGCCCTGACTTCCTCCCAGTGGCCTCATCCCAAAACACAAAAATCATTACCTGGTGCTCTCATTCCAACTCCCTCTCTGGGCAGCAGTGCAGGGCTACTGGCAGGGAAAGTTCAACCACAAAGCCATGATTAATTCTCCACTCCAATTATCAGTGGGAAGGAACTGTCTTCTCCTGAAGCCAGGAAGAGCACATCAAACACAGTTCCTAAGTGCACCAGAGGGAAGTCTGACCCATTAACCAGGGGGTAGCTACTGTGTGGGGGAAGGGAGAGGCCAAGGGAAGCAGCAGAGAGAGCCAGGAGATTCTGGGTTCGAGTCCCAGCTCCACCACCATGTGGCCCAAGGCACATCTGTCTTATCAATTTTGTGTTGCTAGGAAGGAATACCTGAGGCTGAGCAATTTACAAAGAAAAGAGGTTTATTTGGCTCATGGTTCTGCAGGCTGGAAGGTCCAGGAGGCATCTGGTGAGGGCCTCAGGCTGCTTCCACTCATGGAGGAAGGTGAAAGGGAGTTGGCATGTGCAGAGATCACATGGCAAGAGAGGAAGCAAGAGAGCAAGCAGGAGGTACCAGGCTCTTTTAACAACCAGCTCTCACAGGAGCTAGTAGATAAGGAACTCACTCACCTCCAAGGGAGGGCATTCATCTATTCATGAGGAATCCACTCCCATGACCCAGACGCTTCCCATTAGGCCCCACCTCTAACACTGGAATCAAATTTCAACATGAGTTTTGGGGGACAAACATCCAAACTATAGCACCATCTGTGACTTGTTGGAGATCCCCCTCTGGCATTAGCATCTTTTAATAATAACAAAAATAATTTCTTGTACTTGGAAAGTTCTGTTCCCTTTGGGCCAGGGATCATGTCTGTGTTACCCATCATTAGATCCCCAGCACAGAGCCTGGCACATAGTAGGCACTTTTCATGAGTGATTGTTGAATGGTAGAGTGGCCACTCCTTTCTATTTACACAAACTTTTTTTTAGGCTAGTCAAGTAAAGCAGTGGGAATGGAGGAGAACAAAAAAATCTATAACTGCTTGTATTTACACAAACTTTTACAGACTTCCTCTCATTTAATTTCATGATGTTGGAATTAGTAGTCTCATTTTATAGATGAGGAAACTAAGGCTCAGAGAGCCTGGGACAAAGAACAAGTTTGTGACATTAATTTCTATGTGCTAATTCTTCCTAGCTTTATCTTCCTTGACCTTCATTTTCTCTCCTCCCTAATTTATTTATCATTTGAATCCACCCCACCTCACTCCACACCCCCTCACACACACATATACACACATATAAGAGTCATGAGATCCATAGGTACAAACATACCCATTGCTCAGAAAGAGCAAAGTTGTGTGTTCTCACAATGGGAACATGATGATAAATGGAAGAACAATGGCTAGGGACTCTGGTCTCCCTTTTTAACAAGGACTCCCAATTTGCCAACTTGGAGCTTTGGGAGAAATTGACCTACTCTCAGCTTCAGAGGGAGGCACCAATTGATTTAAGCCAATCAGCATATCCCATGCTTCTGGCCACAGCTATTGATTGGAAAATGGACAGATGACCCAAGGCAGGCCAATTGGAGCCAACAAGATCCCATGTATGAACTTTTTTAAGTCACCAGAGAGGTACATTTTTCTGTTCTACCACATATGAATCTAAAAACATAGAGTTCCAGAAACTTCTTGCAGCCACCTTTGGAACACAAAAGGAGAGTATGACTGAGAATAGACCTAATACTGAGGCTATGGAAATGAGCATATATGAGCTGCTGGATCATGCTGTACCTGAAGGCCAACCTACCCATGACTTCAGTTCCATGGGCCAATAAATTCCCATTTTTAGTTGAACTGGGTTTTCTACAACTTGTAGCTGCTGAAAAGTATCTGATACAGCCCAAATCTTGTATTGAATTGTAATCCCCAGTATCAGAGATGGGACCTGGTGGGAGGTGGTTGGATCATGGGGGAGGTTTTCTCATGAATAGTTTAACATCATCTCCCTGTACTGTCCTCACAATAGTGACTTCTCGCAAGAGCTGGCTGGTTTTTTTGTTTTTGTTTGTTTTTGTTTTTTTGAGGTGGAATCTTGCTCTGTCACCTGGCTGGAGTGCAGTGGTGCAATCTCAGCTCACTGCAACCTCTGCCTCCTGGGTTCAAGTGATTCTCCTGCCTCAGCTTCCCGAGTAGCTGGAACTACAGACATGTGCCAGCACACCCAGCTAATTTTTGTATTTTTGGTAGAGACGGGGTTTCACTATGTTAGCCAGGATGACCTCGATCTCTTGACCTCGTGATCCACCCACCTCAGCCTCCCAAAGTGCTGGGATTACAGGCGTGAGCCACCATGCCCAGCCAAGAGCTGGTTGTTTAAATGTGTGGGACACCTAACTCTCTCTCCCTCTTGCTCCCACTCTTGCCACATGATGCACCTGCTCCCCCTTTGCCTTCTGCCATGATTGAAAGCTTCCTGGGGCCTCCCCAGAAGCAGACGCCACTATGCTTCCTATAAAGACTGCAGAACTCTAAGCCAATTGAACCTCTTTTCTTTATAAATTACCCAGTCTTAGGTATTTCTTTATAGCAATGCAAGAATGGCCTAATTCAGTATCCTGACAAATATAAACAGTTTCAACAATGTACCCATAAGAAATTCAGTTGACTGTTTTTATAAAGGTCTCATAACCCTACTGTTACCAGTGGAGGGTGTCTAGGATCTTGGTGTTTTGAATGAAGAACTGGACAAAATGCACAAACAAAGCAAGGAAAGAATAAAGCAACGAAAGTACAGATTTATTGAAAATGAAAGTACACTCCAGTGTGGAAGCAGCCTGAGCAGGGGAAAGCAACCAATCAGAGGTTAAAGTGAAGTTACAAAGTTGCACTTCTATGCACACGAAGACTTGGCCAGCAATCAGTCTGATTGGTTGCAGACAACAACCAATCAGAGGTTGAAGTGAAGTTACAAAAATTACACTCCTATGCAAACATATGATTGGTTGAAGAAAGCAACCAATCAGAGATACTTTCAATTTGCCATTTGCCAGGCAGAAAAGGTGTGGGTTTGCAAAGGGAGTAGCCTCTGGTCTTTTTGTTACTTAGGCGTGGAAAGTTGGGGTTTTCCTTTTGATTTAGTTCTAGGAAGTTAGTGTGAATTGGCCTTAGGTTCCCTGCCTCCAGACCCTATTCTCCTGCCTCACTACTTGTGAGGCGGGAAATTAAAGAAAGAAAGAAAAATAAAATTTAAAAAGGAGAAATAAGCTTTCCTGTATTAGGCTGACTTGCCCCAGAGGCAGCAACAGGCACAGCCCAGACCTAGGAAAAGTCTTGATACTATCTAAGAAGCCAGGACACAAAGGAATGTGCCCTGGAGATTTTCCCAGCACTCCCTCAACATAGGGAGGAGAAAAACAGATTTTCCTTTATCTTACGGTATGAGTTTATAGATTCCTGTTCTCTGTAACTAGTAACTTGAAGTATTCTCTTTTATCTAAGCAGTGGAGTGAAGGTCATAAACCATCTGAGCAGGCCTGAGATACAGCCACCTGGCTGCCATAGTGAAGGTTATGGGATAAGTCTGTGCTAGGCACTAGAGGAAATCTAGATAACAGACATCTGGGCTGCATAGCAATGGTCATGTGTAATCCTGAGTTATGAACCTGTCACAACTTGATTAACTGTCTTTGTTCTGCCTCTGTGTCCTTGCCTTTGTGCCGCTGTAAGCCTGCTTCTAGCTAGCCCACCCCCTTTTTGAAGTGTGTATAGAAGTCAAGTGCTGTCTTTGTTCTGGGCCCAGTTTTTGGATGTTAAGTCTGCTGGGTCTGAGTGCACTCAATAAAGATCCTCCTGTATACACCCCAAGGTCTCTCTGGTCCTCCTGATTCCCACAACACTTGTTATTATAGTGGATTGTAGAAGAGCAGGAAGTGGGGGTTACTCATCCTCCAGCTCCATCCATACTTCCACCTCTCTCCATAGTTTCTGCTAGCTGATCACCTCAAGGTTATCTGCCCAAATGCAAATCTGCAGTGAAGCCCCAGAGTCTCCTGGCTAAGCATACAGGTAGGGCTAAAGAACCCACAGTGGAGGACACTGGCCAAGACCAGCCAGTTTTCTTCCAACTGAAAGGAGCCACAGCTAAACAAAAGATAGGGAAACAAATCCCTATCTTTTGGCCAGCCCTGGCAGAAAGACAGACTTTCCATGGGCAGCCGTGACAGTTTCCTAGCTTTGGCATTTCTGCATGTCCTTAGGTATGTCCTCCCTAATCATATCTATCAACCACCTACTGAGACATCTTCATTTGTAAAGTGATTTATTAATTCAGAGAGTTCCTGTGAGCTTCGAGTGAACCCTCACCTGATCAATAGAAGTTAGACCCAGAATGGCAGAAAAGCACGGTGGGAGAGGTCACTGGGATTTGGGGCTTGGCTTCAAGTTCTGGCTCTGCTACTTCTGGGCTGTGTTATTTGGGGCAGAATGCTTACTCTTTCTGTGCAAGGCAGAATGATGGCCCACTAAGGATATCCACGTCCTAATCCCTGGAACCTGTGAACGTGGCAAGAGGACCTTTGCAGATGTGGTTAAGGGTAAGGATTTTGAGATGAGGTGATGATTCTGGATTATCCAAGTGGGTCCAATCTAATCATATGAATCCTTAAAAGCAGAGAAATTTCCCAGCTGTGGTTGCAGGGAGACACAACTATGGAAGAAAGTTCAGAGAGACACAACATTGCTGACTTGGAGGCTGGAGGAAGGAAGCTAGAACCGGAGGGTGGGTGGTCTCTGGAAATTGAAAAAGGCAAGGAGATGGATTTTTCCCCCAGAGCCTCCTGAAAGGAATGCAGCCCTGCCGACCTTGGATTTTAGCCCAGTGAGACACAAGATGTGATTCTGACCTCCAGAATGTAAGATAACAAATTTAGTAGACCTAAAGAAAGAAGCTGAGGCAAAATTAATATAGAGAGTTTATTTGGGCCAGTGTTGAAGACAGCAGCCCAGGACACACTTCCAAGTTGTCTGGGGGAGTGCTCCATCCAGCCTTTGTTACAAGCAGGTTTTTAAAGTGGATACGCAGTTGTTTGACAGGCATTCTGACTGGATTACAGAGATGACATTGATCCATGATTGGCAATACCTTGTTGAATGATAGAGTAGGAGTTATGGTGTCCAGCATATGGCATTTTATAGCTACTTGGCATCAGTCAGTCTAGACCCCACACAGCAAGTGGTTTCAAGAAGTCATTATCTGGCTCAAAGTGGGAGTGAGACATGGCTGCCATCACATGCTGTCACACGTCAGTGCTCTCTGGGCTTTAGAAATAAGTGAGCTCACATTCCTCAAATAAAAAGTTTCTTTTCAGCCAGGCATGGTGGCTAACACCTGTAATCTCAGTACTTTGGGAGGCCAAGGCAGAAGGATCACTTGAGGCCAGGAGTTAGGGAACAGCCTGGGCAAAAAGTGAGGCCCTGTTTCTATTTTTTAAAAAAAATTGTTTTAATTAGCTGGGTGTGGTGGTGCACACCTGTGGTCCCAGCTACTTGGGAGGCTGAAGCAGGAGAATTGCTTGAGCTCAGGAGGTCAAGGCTGCAGGGAACTATGATTGAACCACTGCACTCCATCCTGGGCAACAGAGCAAGACCCTGTGTATTAATTCATTCTCACATTGCTATAAAGAAATACTTGAGACTAGGTAATTTATAAAGAAAAGAGATTTAATTGGCTCACATTTCCACAGGCTGTATGGGAAGAATGATGCTGGCATCTGCTTGGTTTCTGGGGAAGCCTCAGAAAACTTACAATCATGATGGAAGGTGAAGGACAAACAGGTACATCTTACATGGCCAAAGCAGGAGCAAGAAGAGTGTGAGTGGTGGGTGCTATTCATTAAACAACCAGATCTTGTGAAAACTCACTATCATGAGAACAGTACCAAAGGAATGGTGCTAAACCATTCATGAGAAACTGCCCCCATAATCCAATCACCTCCCACCAGCCCGCACCTCCAACACTGGCAGGGACACAGATCCAAACCATATCATTCCACCTCAGCCCTTCCCAAATCTCATATCCTTCTTACATTGCAAAATACAATTATGCTTTCCCAACAGTCTTAGCTTATTTTAGCATTAACTTGAAAGTCCAAAATCCAAGTCTCTTCTGAGAGAAGGCTAGTCCCTTCTGCCTATGAGCCTGTAAAATCAAAAACAAGTTAGTTACTTCCAAGATATAAGGGGGGTATAGGTGTTGGGTAAATACTCCCATTCCAAAAAGGAAAATTGGCCAAAATAAAGTGGTTAGAAGCCCCTTGAAACTCCAAAGCCCAGCAGGGCAGTCACTAAATCTTAAAGCTCAAAAATAATCTTTTTTTTATTCCATGTCCCACATCCAGGGCATCCTGATGCAGGGGGTGGGCTCCTAAGGCCTTGGGTAGCTCCACTCCTGTGGCTTTGCAGGGTTCAGCCCCTGCATCTGCTCTCAAGGGCTGGCATTGAGTGCCTGCGGCTTTTCTAGGTACAAAGTGCAAGCTGCCCATGGCTCCACCATTCCAGGGTCTGGAGTTTGGTGGCCCTCTTCTCACAGCTCCACTAGGCTGTGCCCCAGTTAGGGACTCTTCGTGGGGGCTCCAACCCCACATTTCTCCTCTGCATTGCCCTATTAGAGGTTCTCCGTAAGAGCTCCATCCCTGAAGCAGGCTTCTGCTTGGATATCCAGGCTTTTCCATACATTCTCTGAAATCTTCCAGGCCTCAACTCTTGCATTCTGTGCACCTACCGGCTTAACACCACGTGGAAGCCACCAAGAATTATGGCTTGCACCCTCTGAAACAGTGGCCCAAGCTGTACCTGGGCCCCTTTTAGCCACAGCTGGAGCTGGAGCAGCAGGGATGCAGGGAACAGTGTTCCAAGCTATCAGCACTTACTTTCCTTTTAGTTATGCACATTTCTGCAGCCAGCTTGAATTGCTCCCCTGAAAATAGGCTTTTCTTTCCTACCACATGGCCAGGTTGCAAATTTTCCAAACTTTTACACTCTGCTTCCCTTTAAAATATAAGTTCCAGTTTCAGGTCATTTATTTGCTCACACATATGCACATAGGAATTTAGAAGCAGCCAGGTCACATCCTGAACACTGATGCTTAGGAATTTCTTCCACCAGATACCCTAAATCATCACTCTCAAGTTCGAAGTTCCACAGATCCCTAAAGCAGGGGCACAATGCAGCCAGGTTATTTGCTAAAGCATAGCAAGAGTGACCTTTACTCCAGTTCCCAATAAGTTCCTCATTTCCACCTGAGACCTTCTCAGAGTGGTCTTCATTGTCCATAACACCATCAACACTTTGGTCACAACAATTCAACAAGTCTCTAGGAAGTTCCAAATTTTCTCTCATCTTCCTGTCTTCTTCTGAGCCCTCTACACTCTTCCAACCTCTGCCTGTTATCCAGTTCCGAAGCTGCTTCCACATTTTCAAGTATCTTTACAGCAATGCCCCCCTCTTTAATACCAATTGTCAGGCCTCTGAGTCCAAGCTAAGCTATCATATGCCCTGTGACCTGCACGTGTACATCCAGATGGCCTGAAGCAACTGAAGACACACAAAAGAAGTGAAAATAGCCTTAACTGATGACATTCCACCATTGTGATTTGTTTCTGCCCCACCCTAACTGATCAATGTACTTTGTAATCTCCCCCACCCTTAAGAAGGTTCTTTGTAATTCTCCCCACCCTTGAGAATGTACTTTGTGAGATCCAACCCCTGCCTGCAAAACATTGCTCCTAACTCCACTGCCTATCCCACAACTTATAAAAACTAATGATAATCCCATCACCCTTTGCTGACTCTTTTCGGACTCAGCCCGCCTGCACCCAGGTGAAATAAACAGCCTTGTTGCTCACACAAAGCCTATTTGGTGGTCTCTTCACATGGACACATGAGACACCAATTTTCTGTATTAGTCCATTCTCACATTGCTATAAAGAAATACATGAGACTAGGTAACTTATAAAGAAAAGAAGTTTAATTGGCTCATGGCTCTGCAGGCTGTACAGGAAGCATGATGCTGGCATCTGCTTGGCTTCTGGGGAAGTCTCAGAAAACTTACCATCTTGATGGAAGGCAAATGGGAAGCAGGCATGTCTTCGAAGGGGATGCAGGCACATCTTGCATGGCCAGGGCAGGAGCAAGAAGAGTGTGAGGGGGGAGGTGATACACACTTTTAAACAACCAGATCTCGCAATAACTAACTCTGTCACGAGCACAGCATGAAGGGAATGGTGCTAAACCATTCATGAGAAACAGCCCCCATGATCCAGTCACCTCCCACCAGGCCCCACCTCCAACATTGGCAGTTACAATTCCACATGAGATTTGGGCTGTGACACAAATCCAAACCATATCACCCTGTCTCACAAATTTCTTTTTCTTTTTAATTAAAAATAAAGAGTTTTGGCCAGGCAAGGTGGCTCACACCTGTAATTCCAGCACTTTGGGAGGCCGAGGCGGGCAGATCGTGAGGTCAGGAGATCAAGACCATCCTGGCTAACATGGTGAAACCCCAACTCTACTTAAAAAAAAAAATGCAAAAAATTAGCCGGGCGTGGTGGTGGGTGCCTATAGCCCCAGCTACTCAGGAGGCTGAGGCAGGAGAACGGCGTGAACCTGAAAGGCGGAGCTTGCAGTGAGCTGAGATCGTGCCACTCTACTCCAGCCTGGGGGACAGAGCGAGACTCTGTCTCAAATAAATAAATAAAGAAAATAAGAAGTTTCTGTTATTTATCAATTTATATTGTTTAGCCACCAGATTTGCTCTAATTTGTTACAGCATCCAAGAAAACTAATACAAACACTGAGCCTTGTCTCCCTCCTCTGTAAATAGGAGGTGTAGCCCTGACCTCCATGGAATCATCTGAAAACTAGAGGCTGTGAGCTTGGTCCTGAAATCACGAAGTCCTGGGTTCAAATATAGGATTACAGAGGGGCCCCACTCTTCTCTTGCCAGGCCGGGCAAGGGGCTCCGCCCTCTGCCTGCCACAGGAAGCCTGCCCCGTGCCTCAGCGAGGAAGCCTGAGTTTTAGGTTGGTGCAAAAATAATTGCGGTTTTGCCATTACTTCTAATAGCAAAAACTGCAATTACTTTTGCACCAGCCTAATACTTGGCCTTGCACGTCCCCATTCCTTCTTTCAGACCTTTGACCTTGAGCTGCCTCACCCTGGCCAGGGCCAAAGCAGTAGGATTAAGGGAGAGTCTTGGGAGAGAGCGGAAGAAACAAGGGCAGGGCCCCAGGTCCTGACCCTGAGGCAGGTGCAGCCTGAGCGTTGGGGGAGGGATGAGCCCTACAGGGCGCAGCTGCATGGGCGCCTTCTGCTTCTGGCTGTGGGATTCGCAGAAAGGCAGCTAACCTCCCTGAGCCTGTTACTCCACCTGGAAAACGGGGAAGAGAAGTTCTAGAAATAGCTCCCATTCCTAGGCATCCTCCTCTTCTCTCTTTCTTACTCCTTCCCTTTCTTCGCTATTGTTATTATTAATCATGAGTTTTACCACGACCCCATAAGGAAACTGGGAGCTTGGAGAGCTTAACTTGTCAAAGTCACGGAGCAGGCAAACGGCTCAGGTGGGATTCGAACCCAAAGCCCATGGTCGCACTTCTAGGCCAAGCTGCCGCAAATGTGCAGGATGCCCGTGACCACCGACAAACACGGGCTCGCTTTGGGGAGCTAGACCTCCGCGAAGAGGGAGGTGGGGCCTTTGGGTTATAGGGAGGGGCCACCGCATGTCCCCAGTCCCTCCTGCAGGTCACGGAGCCAATGGGCTCCGGAGTTTCTCCCGCGCCCGGGCAGCGCGTGGAGACCTGGCTTGTGATTGGAGCTCGGGGGCCAGGGGAGGTGGCTCGGGATGCGAACGCGCAGTTTAGTGACTAACGCGCTCGCAGCCTGCGCTAATCCCGGCTATTACCGCGCTAATCCCTCGCTGCAGGCTCACTCCCGGGCCGGGCCGGGCTGTCACGGGTCAGGGCCCGGCGGGGCGCGCCTTTCTCACCCTGCTCACGCTACGAACTTCACCCCTCCCCAACCCCCGGGCCCGAGCGGGAAGGGCCTCCGGAGTTCTCTTGGTCCAGGCCCACGTTCCCATGTCACAGATGGGAAAACCGAGGCCCAGCGGGAAGGAACTTCCCCAGGGCCAGCAGAGCTGGACTTCTCTATGGCCGCCCTGAACAGCCGGCTGCCTGACTGTCATCACCTTGTCCCCTCTGGAATAAAGGAGGTTTTTGAGGACAAAACTCGTGCCCTAGCGCTGTGGCCGGGGCCTGGAACATAGTAGGTGTTGAGTTGTAAAGGAATGAATCTGGCCCTTTGGAGTCAGCCCAGAACGCCATATTGAAATGGTGAAAAGGACAAGACTATGGCCTGAAGGCAAGTGGAGAAGTGAGGGGTGAAATATTCTGCAAGGTATAGAATAGACAGTAAAATATGCCTCTGTTATAGAATATTTGCTGGAAATACAGCTCCTAGTGTTCTTTGGAGTCCTTTTTTCTTTCTTTCTTTTTAACATTTTTTGCTATCACTTTGCAAAATGGAAACTCCTATGAAACTTCCACATGAAGCACTGGGCTGGCAGTTTGCTTACGTATTTCATTTAATCCTGTGAGCTAGAGATCACATTGTCCTTGTTTTACAAATGAGGAAACTAAATGGAATCAGAAGGGTTAAGTCACTTGCCCAAGGCCCTGCAGCTAGAAATAGATGGAGCTGAGATTTGAACCTCAGTCCACAGAGTTTTGTTTTGTTTTGTTTTGTTTTGTTTTGTTTTGTTTCAGCCGAATTGAACTAAATGTCTGCTTAGAGCTTTCAGACTCGAGGTTCTGTGGCTCTGCTGCAATATTTAATATTTTTGAATTGATCTTTTTGAAAAAGGCCAAATCTGCTATGCTATGGTTCTTCAGTCTGTTCCCAGCCTCTGTGCCCAGGCATCACAAAGCTACCAGGAGAAGGCACCACTCTGATTTCCTAGCCTCCTTTGGAGTCTGTTCTTTTGCAGAAAAATCTCCCCTGAAATGTGCAAGAGTTTTCGCACCAAACAGCCACTTGTCTCATTTTAATAGAGTCCCAAAATTGACACTTGGGAGAACTGGGTAATGCAACTCAGTTCCACAGACCTTTCCTGATATTGTGTGACAGATACTGTTCTGGGACTGGAGACAGAGCAATAAATAAGACCTTGCATGCTCTGCCCCTCAGATTCCCCACGCGTACAAGGTTGGAGATGGCAGAGATGGCATGCAGACCCATTCTCTCCCTTTCATTAATGTGCATGCAAGCATGCTCCCTTCCAGCACTCATGGCAGATATTGCTCATTGATCATGGCACACTTTCCTGCTGAAACACATTTCAGCCTCAAGTACCTAACTCCCAGGATTGGTTGAAGCCAGGAGTTCAAGACCAGCCTGGGCAACATAGTGAGACCTCGTCTCTACAAAAGTAAAAAAATTAGCCTGGCGTACTGGTGCGCATCTGTAGTGATAGCTACTTAGGAAGCTGAGGTGGGAGGATCACTTGAGCCCAGGAGTTTGAGGTTGCAGTGAGCCATGATCAAGCCACTGTACTCCAACCTGGGTGACAGAGTGAGGCACTGTTTCTTAAAACAAAACTAGCAGTCCCCAAGCACCAAGGGTAGAGGTGCTAGGGAAGATGAAATATTTTGTCCTCTCCAAACTAAGGTAGCTCAGGTTCTCCCTAGCTTTGCCATTCAGCCCAATATTCTCCAATTCTCCCAGGGTTCCAGCCCTGTGGTTTCTCTGCTCCTGGAAAAGATCCTCCCCCATGATGAGTGACACTACTGAGACAAGCCAGAGAGACATGGGGCAGAGCCTCCTTCTGCCTCTTCCCTTGTGGTACAAAGGAAGGATGCTTAACAAGCCCCCTGAAGACCTGTTCCTCCCAGGCAGTGCCTTCTAGCAGCACTATCTCCTATCCCTTCCTAAGGAGGCTCAGCCCTCCTGCAATCAAACAGCAGCCACCTCCCCAGGACCACATTGGCTCAAGACAAAGTGGGGAAAGGAAAGAAGTAATGGAAGTGTTGGGTCAGCCAGACAAGAATCCCATAGGACTGTGGTTTCCCCATATCCATTATGCTGTTATCTCCAAGCCTTTGCATATGCAGTTCCCTCTGCTATGACAGTACCCCCTGCACACACACGCCCCCCACCCCCCACCTTCTCCGGCCTTGTCTAACGAACTCCTATTCAGTTCTTCAAACCCTAGTCAGATGACATCTCCTCTGGGAAGTCTTCCTTGCCCTCCCTCTAGACGGTCACCCACTTCTTCTTGGGTACATCTGTGCCTGTGCACACATTTGTTTCTTGTAGCCACTATAGTGATTTGTGTACTTGTCTCTCTCCTTCTCTGGACTGTAAACTCTTTGAAGGCAGAACCATGTCTTATTCTATCAGGATCCTCACCATCCTGGCACAGACAGGGAACTCACTAAATATGTGTGGACCTGTTGATTAAAACCCTACCACCTGAAAAGCTGAAAACACACCAAGCTGATGAGCCAAAGACAAACCTCATTATCCCCAATTTGCAAGTGACTCAGCTCAGCCAAAGAGACATGCCGAAAAGTCATCTGCTCATACCACTGGCCAAGTCAGGGCAAGAACCTAAGAGTCCAAGCTCCTCAGCATTCCAAGGAGGGGAAATGGTCCCTCCCTTTGATCCTGCATATGAGATGGCCAACTCTAAGTGTCCATTAATGATTTTTCACTGTTTATATTGCAAAGCTGGAACACTTCACCCAGGTGGCTACAGCTAGGAACTTACACGATCACAGTTAAAAGTTTGCACCATTTATTTCAGCAAACACCTTTTACGAATCAAAAGACAAGGGCAGGGATGGTGCCTCACGCCTGTAATCCCAGCACTTTGGGAGGCCGAGGCAGGTGGATCACGAGGTCAGGAGACCAAGACCATCCTGGCCAACATAGTGAAACCCCATCTCTACTAAACATACAAAAATTAGTTGGGCATGTTGGCGCCCCAGCTACTCCGGAGGTTGAGGCAGGAGAATCGCTTGAACCCGGGAGGCAGAGGTTGCAGTGAACCGAGATCGCGACACTGCGCTGCAGCCTGGTGATAGAGCGAGACTCCGTCTCAAAAAAAAAAAGAAAGAAAGAAAGAAAGAAAAAGAAAAGAAAGAAAGAATCAAAAGACAAAGTGTTAATATTCTTAATAAACAAGGAAACCTTATAGATAAATGAGTAGTAACTCAGTAGGAAAATAGGTAAAAGTCACAAAGAGGCAAGCCACATAATGTAAAATCAATTCAACAATGATTCATTGAGCCACTACTGCATACGAGGCATGGCTCTAGACACTGGAGGTACATGATGAACAAGACAAGGTCCCTGTTCTCATGGAATGGCCTAGTGAGGCGAAACAGGCAAGCAAATAAACATATATCTCTCCTATGGCAGGTATATGGAGCAAAGTAAAATAGGGTGATCTGATAGAGGTGACACAGCTACTCTAGAAGGGGTGGTCAGGAAAGGTCTTGCAAGGAGGTGCTGATAACTGAATGCCAAGAATGGGCAGCCATGCAATGGCCAGGGGGGAAAGCCTTCCAGAGGAGGGACCGGCAAAGATAGTGCAAGATCTCCAAGAAGGAGTGAGCCAGGAATATTTAAGAAGCTAAGAGGAGGCCAGCGTGGCTGGAGAGAAGTGGGCAAGGAGGAAAGTGTAGAGTACGGGACCGGCTGGAGCGTGCGGGACTGTAAGCGGGGGACAGAGTTGAGATTTGAGTGAGGCAGGAAGACCTGGGAGATTTTAAGCAGGAGAAGGGTGTGATCTGGTTACGTTTTCAAACTATCACTTTGGCCACTGTGTGGAGAGTCGACAAAAATGAGAGCAGAAGCAGGGAATCCAGTTAGGAGGCCCCTGAATTAGCCCAAGGGAGAATTGACAAACACTTGGCATAAAGTGGAAAGGGTGGAGGTGGAGGTGCAAGCATTCAGGATGTTTTAGGGATAGAAATTGATGGGATTTGCTAATCATGGACTGGAATTGGGGATGAGAGGAAACTAAGTCTCAAGGAAACTGTGTATACATATTTTTTGCCTTGAAAAATTGGTGGGTAGATGGTGGTACTTCTTCTTAGGTGGGAAAATGGCAGAAGATGGGCAGGAGCTGGTTTGGAGAGAAGTTTCAAAATAATAGTAAGAGCTCACATTTACCAAGTTTTTCCTCTGTGCCTGGCTTGCTTTACATCAGGGAGTTCTCAATCTCTACGTTGTTGCTATTTGAGATGAGATCATTTTTTGCTGTGGAGTTGTCCTATACATTGTGGGGTGTTAAGCAACATCTCTGGCCCCTACCCACTAGACACCATTAGTGTGCATGCAAGTATACATGTGTGAGCGTACACACACACACACACACACAGAGAGAGAGAGAGAGAAAGAGAGAGAGAGAGTTGGACAACCAAAAAATGTCTCCAGACACTGCCAAAAGGCCCACTCATCATTCCTGGTGAGAACACTGCTCTACATGGATTCTCTTCTGTAATCCTCACAACCACTCTATAAAGTCCATGCTGATAGTATCCCCATTTTACAGATGTGGAAACTGAGGCCCAGAATACTTAACTTATCCAAAGTCATGAGTCTTTATTTTTGGCCAAGTTGGGCTTGAGTGCCCACTGACCATTGCTACGGTATAAATGTGTCTCTCTGAAATTCATGTTGGAACCTAAGACCCAATGTGATAGTATTAAGAGACGGGACCTTCAGGATGGGATTAGCATCTTTACAAAAGGGCTTGAGGGAGTTGATTTGCCCCTTCCAACTCTTCTGTCATGTGAGGACACAGCAAGAAAGCACCATCTTGGAAGCAGACAGCAGTCCTCACCAGACACTGAATCTTCTGGCACCTGGATCTTGGACTGCTTGGCCTCCAGAACTGTGAGAGGTAAAGTTCTGTTCTTTATATATTACCCAGTCTCAGGTATTTTTGCTACAGCAGCACAAACGCACTAAGACAACCATTCATGAAGAGAGCTCCAACAGGCAGGTGTGTGCATGCCACTGAGGTGCAGGGGAGTGTCAGGGTGAAGAGGGAATCTGCAATTGGGAGTCCCTGGTGCCTGGATGGGACTTTCACTGTGGAACTGAATGAGGTCACCTAAGGAGAATATACCATCCCCTCTCTTCTTTTGAAAAACTTCATTTCTCCTGTTATCTCTGCTTTCTCTTGCATTACCAGTTTCTCTCTTTTCCGAATCATTCCCATAAGCAAACATAGAGCGTCACTGTTCCTTGGTGTCACCTCCCCCTCCAGTGCCTGCCCAATTTCTCCACTCTCTTTCATAGCAAAATTCCTTAAAGAGTTGGTACAATCCGTCTCTTCAAAATGTCACCTCTCATTCTCTCCTCCACCCACTCTAACAAAGCATTCATCCCAACACTCAACTAAGACCTCCAGGCCATCAAATCCAATGGTCACTCCTCTGTCCCCATCTTACTGGCCCTCTTGGCAGCTTTGGACACAGTTGTCCTCCCTCCTTCTTGAAGCATCTTCTTTCCTTGGCTTCCATGACACCACACTGTCTCGGCTCCTCCTCTAAGTGTAGAAGGGGCCTAGGGTCTGGTCCTAGCCCCCTTCGCTTCCCTATTTACATGAAAGAAAAAATATGGATGGCCAGTACACATTGAAAATTGTGCTCAGCTCCAATTATAACCAAAGAAATGCCCACTAAGACAAATGAGATCTACTTTTAATCTAACACGATAGCAAAGATTCAAAAGATTAATTATACTCAGTATTGGCATAGATATAGAGAAACAAACACTCTCATTTGCCATTGGTGAGAAGATAAGTAGTACCATCTTTTTTTAGAAGGCTTTTTCTCAATATTGATCAAGAGACATATAAAATAGAATGATCAATCCTATACTTTGTTTTAATCTTTTCTATTGACATAATTTCAGACTTACAGAAAAACTGCAACAATAATACAAAGAATTCCCAGATACCCTACCCATCATCCACATCACCTAGATTCCCCAAATATCATCTTACTACACTAGGATTCTCCCTCTCCCTCTCTCTCTGTTTCTCTCTCTCTTCCCAAAATATATATATATACACTCACACATGTATGTATCTGTGTGTGTATATATACACATATGGATATATGTACATACATACACATACATATGGATATATGTACATATGTATGCATACATACGTATATGTGTGTATATATACACACATGTGCATATATAATAGTTTTATACTTTTATACTACATATGTATATATTTTTCTGAACCACTTAGTGGCAAATTGCAGGCATGATATTCTTTACCATAAATACTTGAGTGTATATTTCCTAAAAGTATGGAATTATCTTAGATAACCAAAGTACAAGAATCAAAGTCAGGAATTAACACTGATACAATACTACTATCTAATCCACAGATCTCCTTGGGATCTCACCAATTGTCAACATGGTGCCCGTTTTAGCAAAAGTAAATCCAATATCATATATTGCCTCCAATCATTATGTCTCTGTAGTTTCTTTTAATGTGGAACAGTTCCTCAGTTGTCTGTTTCATGACTTTGTCATTTTTGGAATCCAGGCAAGTTATTTTATAGAATGTCCCTGAGTTTGAGTTTGGTAGATTCATTCTGGCATAAACACTTTTGTCTTACTCTTCCCTCTGCCTGGAATATTGGTTTCTTGGCTTTTCAAGCTGCTTTCTTCTCCTCCTCCTTTGAGTCTCCCTTCAAATATCACCCCTTCCAAAGAGCCTTCCTACTAAATAGAATTACAGTCAATTCTCAGAAAAAAAAAATTGGCCAAATGATCAAGAAATGTGATGTTTTAGACCAGGGGTCGGCAACTACCGTGAATGAACTAAGAATGGTTTTTACATTTTTTTTTAATGGTTGGAGAAAAAAAACTGAAAGAAGAAAATCTTGTGACATTCTCATGAAAATTAAATGAAATTCAGTTTTAGTGTCCACAAATAAAGTTTTATGGGGACACAGCCAGGCCCGTGTGTTACATTTATCTGGGCTGCTTTCCTGCTACAATGGCAGAGCTCAGTAGTAGGCACCGAGAGTCACTGCTCTCATCTCTTTGTGTGGCTGCTCAGCACACTACGAACCACATGCCACAGCTCCAAGTCGACAGCATGCACATCGCTGTGGGGCAGTATTTTCTTTTTTTATAACCAGTGCATACACGTCATGTCAAAACAAGAAGAGTGGACTTCCAATGTTGTACTTTTTAAAAATACATGATAATCATGTGGCAAAATACACGCAACATAAAATTTACCATCTTCTCTATTTTTAACTAGATAGCTCAGCAGCGTTCGGTACATTCACGTCATTGTGCAACCATCAATGCCATCCGTCTCCAGAACTCTTTTCATTTTGAAAAACTGAAACCCTTTACCCATTAAACAAGAACTCCCCATTCTCCCCTCTCCTCCAGCCCCAGGCAACTACCATTCCACTGTCAAAAAATAACATTTCAATGAATTGAGTTGACTCATTGGCTTTTATTATTGATTCATTAATTAGGCAGCATCCCATTGATGAAATAGAAAAAGACATCCCAATGAGAAGAGGGGGTTGTCTTTGGGGGCACAAAGTGGCAGAAGGGGAACAGAAACAAGGAACAAAGAGTAGACTGGGCATTTCAAAGTTACTTTTCTTGTAGGATGAAAGCAGAGGGGACTTCCTTATCACATCAGCTCAGGTTGACTGGGACCTTCTCTGCTGGTTGCTGTAAATCTGTTTGTTTTTTTTAAAGCTGACTGTTTTAAGGGTCAGTTTGATTACGTGGCACCTAACATGAGTGACTCCACTCTGGGGTCTAGTACAGGAGCTTAGTCCAAAACAATGGCCTCCAGTAAATTTTATTTCACCCTACTTTCTGTCTCTATGATTTTGACTAGTCTAAGTACCTCATAGAAGTAGAATTCTATGATATCTATCCTTTGGTGACTGGCTTATTTCATTGAGCATGATGTCCTCAAGGTTCATCTACATCATACCATGTGTCAGAATTCCCTTCCTTCCTTTCTTTTTTTTTTTTTTTTGAGATAGAGTCTCGCTCTGCCCCCCAGGCTGGAGTGCAATGACACAATCTCGGCTCACTGCAACCTCCGCCTGCCAGGTTCATACGATTCTCGTGCCTCAGCCTCCGAAGTAGCTGGGGTTACAGGTGTGTGACACCACACCCAGCTAATTTTCTGTCTTTTTTTTTAGTAGAGATGGGGTTTCACCATGTTGGCCAGGCTGGTGTCAAACTCCTGGCCTCATGTGATCCACCCGCCTCAGCCTCCTGAAGTGTTGGCCACTGCTTCCAGCCATTCCTTCCTTTTTAAGGCTGAATAATATTCTATGTATGCATATACCACATTTTGTTTATCTATTTATCCATCAATGGTGGAGTGTCACATTTTTAAGGCCCAGCGAAGTGTGCATTATTTTGTTATCCAGTTAGATAGCAAGACATTGTGCTTATTAGGCAATGACACTGCATCTGTGCCAAAAGATTTTAATACATGTCTCGCTCCATAATATCTAAAATATTTACTCTCTGGCTGTTTATAGAAAAAGTTGGCCAACCCAATTCTTGTTTTACCCTGGCTTCATAGCAGTCATGGAACTGGACCTGTAGTCCCACTTAGTTGCATGCCAACAAATACCAACTCAAATGCTCAAACTTTTATCTGAAACTTTGTGTGGGCTTCCCTGCAAATGCACTTGACTGTTTCCTCCCAGCTTTTCCCGTTCAAACCTGACTCAGAACCACCCCTAACCCCCATCTCCACCCACAAGCCAGGCCTGTTGCTATGGTTTGAATATTTGTCTCTTCCAAAACTCATGTTGAAATTTAATCCCCAATGTGGCTGTACTGAGAGGTGGGGCCCTTAAGAGGTGATTGGGTCATGAGGGCTCTGCCCTTATGAATGGGTTAATCCAGTCATGGATTAGTGAATTAATGGGTTAATAGGTAACCCATCAATTGATCCATTAAGTGATCATGGGAGAGGAACTGGTGGCTTTATAAGAAAAGCAAGAGAGGGCTGAGCTAGCCTGTGAGCACTCAGCTTCTTCACCAGCTGATGTCCTGCACCACTATGGGACTCTGCAGAGAGTCATCAGCAGCAAGAAGGACCTCACCAGATGCAGCCCCTTGGCAATGGACGTCTCAGCCTCCATAACTGTAAGAAATAAATTCCTTTCTTTGTAAATTATCCAGATTCAGGTATTCTGTTATAAGAAACAGAAAACAGACTAAGACACCTGTCCTTTCTTGCCCAAACAGTCTTTCTGTAAATACTTCCTGATGCCTCTTCTGTACCCAGCCCTTGGGAAGTTGACATGAGAGGCAGGGTGATACTTATGCACCCAGACCTGTCCCCCTGCCTTCCCCACCCACATGCTCAGCACCTTCCTGAAATTAATCATAGAATCTTCAGATTACATGATCTGAAGTGCTCAGACTCTGCAGAAGGTGTGAATTATACAAGCTCTGAGCTTTTAAGTTCTCTTAAGCTTTTTGTTTCTTTTTCTTTTTTTCCTTTTTATTTATTTATTTATTTATTTATTTATTTATTTGAGATAGAGTCTCACTCCCTCTGTTGCCCAGGCTGGAGTGCAGTGACATGACCTTGGCTCACTGCAACCTCCACCTCCCCGGTTCAAACGACTCACATGCCTCAACCTCCCAAGTAGGTGGGACTACAGCCATGTGCCACCATGCCTGGCTAATTTTTGTTTTTTTAGTAGAGATGGGTTTTCACTATGTTGGCCAGCCTGGTCTTGAACTCCTGGCCTCAAGTGATCCACCCGCCTCAGCCTCCCAAAGTGCTGGGATTACAGGCGTGAGCCACCGCACCCAGCTCTCCTAAGTCTTTTAGTATAAGTTTAGAATGGAAGAAATGCAGGAACTTAGGCCCTGAAAATGTTAGAATTAGGGAATCTTAGGGTGCTAAATTGTTAAAATATAAAAACCATTAAAATGGTGGAGTTATTTAACCAGAATGTGTTAAACTTGCAGATTCTTAGAACCATGGAAAATCAGAATGTCCTGGGTGGAGGGGATCTTCTAGAAGCCAGGAACACATGTCCTATCTGGGGCACAAATCCCTTCTGACCCCCAGCAGCCTTCTTCTCCCTGCCTGATTCCCGTCCAAGGGTCTTATTGCTCAGGCATGCTCTGAGCTTCCTAGCTGCTGCGACCTTGTCTTCTGGCCACTGGCTGCTGCCCAAGGTGCTTCACAGCCCAGCCCTATTTTCCTTCCACCCTCTCCATCCACTCCTTAAAGACACCAGAAGCCAGACCTGTCTTCCTGCCTTGCTCCCGTGGTCTCCTCTGCCCAGCTTGCCCTTCCCTTCACTCCTCACCTCCCCACCTCTCCCTGTTGAGAGGCTAGCCCCTTGTCAAGGGTCTCCCCAAACATCACCTGCACAGGGATGTGCTCCTGTGTTCCTGAGTGGCTGTCACAGCCCTCCTTTATCCTCATGCCTACAAATCACCTCATGTCTGCAAATCCCTTCAAGTCTTAGAGCCTCAGTCTCAGCTTCTGTCAAATGAGAAGAAGAAAAGTACGCCCCTCAACGGGTTGTTGTGGGAATGAAATTCGGTAACACAGAAAATACTTAGCCCAGGGCCTGACACAGGAGAGGTGCTCAGCCAACATGAGCTAAAGACCTCAGGAGGCATGCTGGCTCCAGAGCCCTGGCTGGTTGCACCAGATCAGGGCATCCATGGGCAAATGCAGAACCAACTGAATGAGCTGTTGAGCCTCAGCCCAGGAAGAAGGGAAGTGTGCACCTGGCAGGGAGGTGCCCATCCAGGACGAATCCCTGAAAGAGGATGGATTGCTTCTGCCAGGAACTATTTGGATGATGGAGGAAGATGAGGGTGAGATGTGGGGAGGGGTCAGCACGTGATTTCATCCCAGCACTGGAGTAAGAGACACATGGTGGTGGGCGGAGTCAATCATCAAGCCAGTGTCAGTCATTGAGCCCATTGAGGGGTTAAGAGCTTTGTCCTGAAAGTCAAGAAAGGAAAACAAGGAAAAGAACCATGCATTTGTTGAGCACTTACTGTTTGCCTGGTGCTGTGCTAAACACTTGACGTGTTCTGGTTTGGTTCACACCAAAGCTAGCATCGGGACTGAAAGTGTAACAGAAGAGCCAGGTAGACCGGGTTCGAATTCCAGCTCTACCTTGTGCTGGCTGTGTGACCTTGGGCAGGTCGCTTCCCCTCTCTGAGCCTCAGTTTCCTCATCTGTAACGTAGGGTAGCAAAGGAAAAAACTTTTCCTTCTGTCCTTCTAGGTTCTTGATTGGAGCCCCTGTAATAAAAAACAGATTAACAAGGAAAAAGCACACAAATTTATTTAATATAAATTTTACATGACACAGGAGACTTCATAAGAAAATGAAGACCCACAGAAGCGGTTCGAGCTAAGCCTTTTTTTGCTGGGTTGGATGAAGGGTGGGGAGTCATGGGAAAATGTGAAGGACAGAAGAATTTGAGCTAAGGGCAGTGAACTGGGAACACCCAGCAGGGTGGCTTGTTTGGATTCCTCTCGGCATTCCTGTCCCTCTATCTTCAGAGGTGAAGATGCTTCTTTCCTCCAGGTACAGGGAGGGCTCCTCTCACCTGAAGGTCTTGTGATCTGCTTCAGAGGAAAGCTCGGAGAGTCCTTCCTGCACCCGCCGTTTCTCAAATTCTTTCAGTTTCAAATATTCAATATCCAAAGCACCATATTTTGGGGTAGTACATTCTGAATCCTCTCAACAGGGATAATAATATTAGGCTAAACCAGGTAAATTTGTCAACATTTGACTCTTTGGACCTATAATAATGGCAGTTTCACACAGATCTGTCCTGGAAAGTTTTGGGGAGAATTACAGTAATTAATCCATCTAATCTCCTTAGCTCAGTGTCTGGCACATAGTAAGTGCTCCATAGGCAGTAGCTCTTCTTATTTATTTATAGTCCTCATCCTCATGTAATAGATTTTAAAAACTGATGCTCAGAGAGGTTAGGTAACTTGTGCAAGGCCAGCCAGCTGGCAGGCGGCCGAGCAAGGGTTCAAACCCAGATGTGACTGGGCGCTGTGGCTCGCGCCTGTAATCCCAACACTTTGGGAGGCCAAGGTGGGTGGATCACTTGAGGTCAGGAGTACTTGACCAGCCTGGCCAAAATAGTGAAACCCCGTCTCTACTAAAAAAATACAAAAACTAGCTAGGCGTGGAGGCGCTCATCTGTAATCCCAGCTACTCAGGAGGCTGAGGCATGAGAATCGCTTGAATCTGGGAGGAGGAGGTTGCAGTGAGCCGAGATCACACCACTGCACTCCAGCCTGGGCAACAGAGTGAGACTCCATCTCAAAAAAAGAGAAAAAAAAAAGACTAAATGCAAGCCCAGTGCCCCAATCTCCTTTCTGGAGGGGAGCTTCATCTCTGCAGGGCAGGCAGGGTACAGTGCCGAGTCTGTGCAGCTCAGGCCCGCCTTCCCCTGCTGCCTACCAGATCCTGAGGGTTGGGGCTCGTGTTACCCTATTTCCATTAACCATTGGCTGGGTCCCCCTTCCCCTCCAGATCCCTTGCTTCAGGGCCCTGACCCACAGCCACCTGAGAGGCACGTGACAATGGTGAGTGCTGGGTTGCCCTGGGAGAGGATGGAGGGGTCACTCTGAAGATCCCCACAGGTGGTGGAAGGATGACATGAGATTGGGGTCAGAGTCAGAGCCGGCTACAAGCTTTTCTACAGACTCAGCTTCCTTTCCAGGCACAAAGAACGTGACTCTGCCTGTGCGTGGGAGACTGGGAGAGTGAGCACGTGCGCGTGTGTGCGTATATCTGTGCCTATGCATACTAGGTGTGTGGGTGTATGCACCTGTGTGAGGATGGGTGGATGCAGGGGGACTGGGAGGAGGAGAGTGAGGTATGCGTGCATAGGCGTGCCTGTGTGTGCATGAGGACCTTGATGGGGATGCACCCCTCTCGTGTATATTTCATGCGTGTGTTGGTGTTGTATGCGGATTGTATGGGGCTACCGCTGGCAGCTTAGTGGAACATCTGGGGCACAGATTCTGGAGCGGAAAGCCTAGTCTGCACCCTGGCTCTTCAGCTTGCTGGCAAAGGGTACCAGCCACCCTAAAATAGGCCACTTTGGCACATGGATTATTTTGAGCTAAAGGCCGTTGAGAACCAGCCACCACAGGAAAAGCTCCTTATCTCCTCCTAACTGCCTAAAAATTGAGTGCAGACAATCCCCAACTTACCATGGTCCAATTTGGGGTTTTTCGGCTGTGATGTTGCATTCAGTACACTCCTGGACTTACAATGGGTTAACTCAGAATAAACCCATCATAAATGGAAAATATTGTAAGTCGAAAAGGCACCATCATAAGTCATGGAGCAGCTGTACAAATAGACCCTTTTGTAAGGGAAATTTCCACGTGTAAAGATGTCTCATACGTGGGAGAGAGCTGCTCCTGGGGAGCCCTGCTGTCACCTGAGGCTTTTCTCTGCAGAACAAGATAACTCTTATTTACCTACATCTCCTCCTGACCCCTTCCCAGAACAGCCCTCCCCAGCCCAGAAACTCAAAACCCCTTTTCCTTTGTTGATATTTAAACCCCAGTCCCACCCACCCCTTTGGTTACTGATCGCTGGGTGCTCTCATGTGTATACACAATGCACTTATTAATGAACTTCGGTTTGTTTTTCTCTTGTTCATCTGTCTTTTTCGAGTCTCCCTTATGGGGCCCCAGCCAGAAAGCCTAAGGTGGGTGGAGGAAAAGGATCATTTCCTCGCTCATGCCATAGGGGAGGCAAGCTCTCCTAGAGGGGTGCTAGCCACCCCAAAATATGTCTCTTCGGCACATAGACTATTTTGAGCTAAAGGCCATTGAGAACCAGCACAAGGTGCTGGAGAAAGGCCACAAAGAGTATGTCAGGGAGGCCACCAGGAGCTCATACTTCCTGGAGCTCAACAGGCTTGAGGCAGGACATGCTGTGTGTGGGAATTGTGTGGGGGTGGGCGGGGGGTTGGGAAGGATGGAGGAAGAGATTGTGTGTGCATGGAGGAGGTGCATGGGTGTGTGAGTGTGTGCACAGGTGTTCTGTGAGTAGGTGTAGGGGGCTGTGTGTGTGTATGTGCATGTGGGTGGGGCTGCACAGGTGTGTGGCTGTGCAAAGAGATGTTCTATGAGTAGGTGTAGGAGTGTGTGTGTGCGTGTGCATCTGTGTGTGCATGTGGGTGCATGGCGTGTGGGTGAGTGCACAGGTGTGTGGGTAGATAGGAGTGTGTGTGTGCGCGTGCGCATGCGGGGGTGCTCAGGTGTATGGGTGTGTGTGTGCACAGGTGTGTGGGTAGGTAGGGATGTGTGTATGTGTGAGAGTGTGTGTACATGTGGGGGGTACAGAGGTGTGTAAGTGTGTGTGCACAGGTGTTGTGTGGGTAGGTAGGGGTGTGTGCATATGTGTGTGTGCATGCGGGGGTGCACAGGTGTGTGGGTAGGTAGGGATGTGTGTGTGTGCATGTGGGGGTGCACAGGTGTGTGGGCGTGTGTGCACAGGTGTTGTGTAGGTAGCCCCCAAGGGGTGTGTGTGTGTGTGTGTGCATGCATACATGTGTGTCTGGGCCGGGTGAGAGTGTCGGCACATCTGTGCACGCAGTCAGCTCCATCAAGGCTGAGGTTGAGGCTCTGACCCCTCACAGGACCTCTGGGAATCCAGGCCTTGCTGCCAGTCCTCAGCTGCAGGCCAGGCATCCACCGCAAGCCCTGGCTGGGGAGCAAGGTGAGAAAAAAGAGAAATTTTGTATCTGAGGAATGTGAGCCCCTTTAAACGATCAGGCCCAGAGAGGCACTGAAATGTGACAGCAGCCATGTCTCTCTCCTGCCTTGAGCTAAATAATGACTTCTTGAAGCCACTTGCTATGTGGACTGACTGACACCAGGCAGCCATAAAATGCCATCTGGACACCATACTTCATACCCTATCATTCAACAATGCACAGCCAATCACAGCTCAATGTCATCTCTGCAACCCAGTGAGAATGCCTGTCAAACAACTGTATCTGCTTCAAAAACCTGCTCGTAATGAAGGCTGGACGGAGCACTCCCCAAGGCATCTTAGAAGTGTGTCCTGGGTGGCCGGGTGCAGTGGCTCACACCTGTAATCCCAGCACTTTGGGAGGCTGAGGCGGGTGTATCGCGAGGTCAGGAGATCGAGACCATCCTGGCTAACACGGTGAAACCCCGTCTCTACTAAAAATACAAAAAAAAATTAGCCGGGCATGGTCGTGGGTGCCTATAGTCCCAGCTACTCGGGAGGCTGAGGCAGGAGAATGGCATGAACCCAGGAGGCAGAGCTTGCAGTGAGCGGAGATCGTGCCACTGCACTCCAGCCTGGGTGACAGAGCAAGACTTCATCTAAAAAAAAAAAAAAAAAGAAGTGTGTCCTGGGCTGCTGTCCTCAACCTTGGCCCAAATAAACTCTCTATATTAATTTTGCCTCAGTTTCTTTATTTCAGTCAACAAAAGGTGACTCCATGCAGCTCAGCCCCACAGGAGACCCCGGGGCCCCTGCTTGGAGCCCGTGAGAGCCTGTGAGGGCAGGAGGTCGCCCTCCTGATGCCAAGGGAGGACACATTTCTGCAGCCCACCTGTGTGACCTTTGTGTCCTCTCTTGGACCTCCAGAAGCCATGCCCTGAGTGGGCACTGGGATTCCACAGGACTCAGGGACGCACTCCACTTGGCTGTGGGGCCATCTCAACCTCAGGACGGTGGGGCAGACAGAGTGTCAGGGCTCAGAGGCACCGCAGAGCCTCCCGGGCCAGGGTCTGCACTGGTCCCAACCACACACAGTAAGACACTGGAAAAACCAACTCAACAAATGTGTCCAGGTTGTACCTCTATGGGGTAAAACCCAGTCAGAGCCCAGGCAGCCTCAAGAAGAAAATTCAGTGTTGAACTCAGTAAAGACTCACTCTGATGTCTTCATAGATCGCCAAGGACAACCCCCCCAAAAAGGGAGGACCAGTCTGAGCCAGAAATGCCCCAGGGGGACACATGCCCTCCAGAGGCAGCTGGCTTCTCAGTCACATCCCTGACCTTGGGAAGAGCCTAAACCTGCCTCCCTGTAGCACTCCCTCTGCACCAGCTGCTAAACAGGGACCTCTCTCAGGTTCTGAAATCATTCATTCATTCACAGAGTACCTACCATGAGCTGGGTCCTTCACAGGGCACCAAGAACATAGCAATGAACATGACAGAGACAGACTGAACCCTCGTGGGCTTATGGGGTATTTGGGGAGAATGTGGAACAGGCAATCATTGACATAAGTAAGGTTGCCAGATAAACAACAGAGAGCTCAGTCAAATGTGCATCTTGAAGAAACGATGAATGTCCCATGCAATATTTTGAACCTGGAAAAATTATTTGGTGTTTACCTGAAATTCAGATGTAACTGGGTGCCTCATGTTTTTCTTTGCCTACATAAGATATTTTCAGCTGGTGACATAGTCTGAGGAAAATAATCGAGGCTAGAGAGTGAAGGAGTGGCCAGAGAAGCCAAAACCTGAATGGAAAAGAGGCCCCCACCCCGGAGTCCACCTCCACTCCCCCAGCTCATTATCAGTAAAGAGTGTGGAACTCACTCATTACCACGAGGAGGGCACCAAGCCCTTCTTTTCTTTTTTTTCTTTTTTTTGAGACAGGGTCTCTGTCACCCAGGCTGGAATGCAGTGGTGTGATCATAACTCACTACAGCGTCGATCTCCTGGGCTCAAGCAATCCTCCTGCCTCAGCCTCCAGGGTAGGTGGGCCTACAGCACAGGTGTGCACCACCCAATTTCTTTAGCTGAGTCCTGGTTGCTTAAGCTGTGACTCACTGTCCCCATAAAAACCTTAGAAATGTCCCCAGGAACCAAAGTGAGGAGATTCCATTGGATGTCATTTAAATACCTGTAGCAGAGTGGTCCCCAAGAGATAAAAAGTCTTTGAACAGAATCCAGAATAGAATCAAGCAGTAAAACCATCTGCTGGCGCCATGCTTCTGGTGAGGGCTTCAAGAAACTTCTAATCATGGCAGAATCAAGAAGCTTCCAATCATGGCAGAAGGCGAATGGGAGCGGGCATGTCACATGGCAATAGAGTGAGAACTACTCATGACCACAAGGAGGGCACAAATCCCTTCATAAGGGATCTGTCCCCATGACCCAAACACCTCCCACTAGCCCCCACTTCCAACACTGGGGATCGCATTTCCACATGAGATTTGGAAGGAACAAATATTCAAACTGGATCATTGTGCCCCTGGACCCCAAATCTCATGTCCTTCTTATATTGCAAAATACAATCACCCCTTCCCAATAGTTCCCAAAAGTCTTAACTTGTTCTACTGCCAACTCAAAAGTCCAAAGTTCCATCTAAGACACAAGGCAAGTTTCTACCACCTATGATCCTATAAAATGAAAACCAAGTTATTTACTTCTAAGATACAATGTGGTACTTGCATTGGGTAAAGATTCCCATTCCAAAAGGCAAAACGTGGCGAAAACAGAGGGGAACAGGCCACTTTGGGAGGCCAAGGCGGGCAGATCACCTGAGGTCAGGAGTTCGAGACCAGCCTGACCAACATGGAGAAACCCCGTCTCTACTAAAAAAAAAAAATTCAAAAATTAGCCGGGCATGGTGGCGCATGCCTGTAATCCCAGCTGCTCAGGAGGCTGAGGTAGGAGAATTGCTTGAACCCAGGAGGTGGAGGTTGCAGTGAGCCAAGATTGTGCCACTGCACTCCAGCATGGGCAAAAAGAGCGAAACTCCATCTCAAAAAAAAAAAAAAAAAGAAAGGGGAACGGCCACATACAAGTCCAAAACCCAGCAAGGCAGACATTAAATCTTAAAACTCCAAAATAATCCCCTTGACTCCATATCCTACATCCAGGGCACTCTGCCACAAGGAGTGGGCTCACAAGGCCTTGGGCAGCCCCAGCCCCATGGCTTTGCTGGGTGGGCACAGCCCACGTAGCTGCTATCACAGGTTGGAGTTGAGCTTTTCCAGGCTGAGGGTGCAAGCTGCCAGTGGCTCTACCATTCTGGAGTCTGGAGGGCAGTGGCCCCATTCTCCCAGCTGTGCTAGGCAGTGCCCTTGTGGGTACTCTCTGTGGGGGCTCCAACCCCACATTTCCCCTCACCATTGCCTTAGTAGAGTCTGTCTTCTGGGGCTCCATCCCAGCGCCATATTTCTTTTTGTCTTTTTTTTTTTTTTTTGAGACGGAGTCTCACTCTGTCACCCAGGCTGGAGAGCAGTGGCACAATCTCGGCTCACTGCAACCTCCACCTCCCAGGTTCAAGCAATTCTCCTGCCTCAGACTCCTGAGTAGCTGGAATTACAGGCACCCACCACCACACCTGGCTAATTTTTGTATTTTTAGTAGAGATGGGGTTTCACCATGTTGGCCAGGCTGCTCTCAAACTCCCGACCTCAGGTGATCCACCCACCTCGGCCTCCCAAAGTGCTGGGACTACAGGCGTGAGCCACTGCACCCTGCCAATGCTTCTTTTCATTTTTATTTTTTTCTTGCTTTTAGTATTTTGCCAAGGCTGGGTCATCCAGGCATTACGCTTCTTATACAGCTTGCAGGACTATGAGCTGAATAAACCTCTTTTCCTTATCAATTACCCAGCCTCAGGCATTCCTTATAATGCAAAGTGGACTAAAACACCAATTGAAACCAAACAAGTGGTGAAGCTACCTGGGAGGGTATTACTTAGCCCCAGATCTGACTTAAGAAATAGGAAATGCATATGCTGAACCCTGGGGACACAGACTATGCCACCACCCTTTTTAGGTTATGGGAAATCCTGTTTAAATGACTAACAATAGGACTTGTGTCCTATCAAGACCTTGGACAAAACCTCCATCCAAGCCTGAAGTTTCCGTGGACATTAAGGAATCTTAGAGGAGGTAGGAACCCCAAAAATGGGTTGGAAAACTAAGCTCGAAATTTTCTTGGTGTGACAACATCATTGCCTTAGTAGGCTCTCATTTTTTAAGCTTGACAAGAATTGAGCAAAGAAATGTTTCAGAGAATCAAACAATTTCAACTTTGGAATTTGAAATATTTTTAATATTTAAGAGAATATGGGCTATGTTAAGCTTGTCCAACCCTTGGCCAGTGGCTTTGAATGCAGCTGTAGCTTTAAATGCGGCCCAACACAAATTCGTAAACTTTCTTAAAACATTAAGAGATTTTTTTTCAATTCTTTTTTTTTTTTTTTTTTTTTTTTAGCTCATCAGCTATCATTAGTGTTAGTGTATTTTATGTGTGGCCCAAGACAATTCTTCTCCTTCCAGCGTGGCCCAGGGAAGCCAAAAGATTGCACACCCCAGTCTGTGTGAATAAAAAGTCAGTCTTAAGGTTTTAATTTAAATACACAAATGAGGCCGGGCACAGTGGCTCACGCCTATAATCCCAGCACTTTGGGAGGCCGAGGTGGGCGTATCGCCTGAAGTCAGGAGTTGGAGACCAGCCTGGCCAACATGGTGAAATCCTGTCTCTACTAAAAATACAAAAATTAGCCAGGCGTGGTAGTGGATGCCTGTAATCCCAGCTACTTGGGAGGCTGACAAAGGAGAATCGCTTGAATCTGGGAGATGGAGGTTGCAATGAGACGAGATCATGCCACTGCACTCCAGTCTGGGCGACAGAGCAAGACTCCGTCTCAAAAATAAAGTAAAATGCACAAATGAATCATTGATTGATTTAGACTTGTGATATTTTAAGTTGAAATTTTACTATGCTTGACAGAAGTGTTAAAAAGTTATAAAAATTTGAATTCATGATAAGCATAAGTTACCAGATTTCTAAGAATAATTTAAGTGCTTGAGAAAGTTGTGTTTGTTATTAAGGCAACTGAAGTATTTTTAAAAGAAATTGAATATGTTAAATCTATACATGCAGTTAAAAATGTTTAACTGTGTGTCAACCTGAAATAACCAGGAGCGTCAGAGTCTAATTTAAAAAGAGTTTAGGCCAGGCACAGTGGCTCACGCCAATAATTCCAGCACTTTGGGAAGCTGTGTGGATCCCTTGAGTCCAGGACTTCGAGACCAGCCTGGGCAACGTAGTGGGACACCGTCTCTACAAAAAATTTTAAAAATCAGCCATGTGTGGTGGCCCACACCTGTAGTCCCAGCTACTGAGGCTGAGGTGGGAGGATCACTTGAGCCCAGAAGGTTGAGGCTGCAGTGAACTGTGATTGTGCCACTGCACTCCAGCCTGGGCAACAGAGCGAGACCCTGTCTCAAAAAATAATAATAAAAAAAAATGTAAAATACACCAAAGTAAAATAAAATAGAGTTTATTCAAGCACAAGATTTGAGAACGGCCACCCAGAAACCTCAACTCCAAAGTAATGAACTCAGCATTCCGAAGTAGGGAAGTGAAGTTTTCATTTATAGAGGCAGGGACAGAGGAATTTTTAGCCAGATAACAACATTTTTCATACTAGGCTGGCGCATAGTTACAGCCATTTGACTGGTTATGGGCAGTGTTTCTTTTGGCGGAGGGCATATTTCACATTTTTTGTGAAGGGTATGATAGCTATGCGTTTCCTGTCATCTGTTCTACGCAGAGCAGGACAACAAAGGGGAAGTAGATGAGTCACAGGGTCATTAATTAAGAAGGCAGGAGGGTTTTGTCCCTGCTGTTCTTTAATTCTCTCTGGTCATTGTACAGAATAAGAAAAATAAGAAAGTGAGTTAATCTACAATCTGAGGAATAAAAGGCACATGACTCAGATCCCAGTCACAGCTCTCTCAAGGCTGAAGTGTGTCGGGGGTTCTGACAGATTTTAAATTATATTTTCATGCATGTTTAATTAGCCAAGATTGTCAATGGAACCAAATATTCAGTTGTATCATTTTAATAATTTTATAATAATTTTTAAAGTTTTTTTTTCTTTTTGAGACAGAGTCTCGCTCTGTCGCCCAGGCTGGAGTGCAGTGGTGCAATCTCCGCTCACTGAAACCTCTGCCTCCCGGATTCAAGTGACTCTCCTGCCTCAGCCTCCCAAGTAGCTGGGATTACAGTCATGCGCCACCATGCCCAGCTAATTTTTGTATTTTTAGTAGAGACAGAGTTTCACCATATTGGCCAGGCTGGTCTTGAACTCCTGACCTCAGGTGATCCACCTGCCTCGGCCTCCCAAACTGCTGGGATTACAGGCATGAGCCACCATGCCTGGCCCACTAAAGTTGTTATATTTTAAAAGAATACTTTTCCTAAATTTTTTCTTAAATTTTTAATCGTGGTAAAATATACATACCATACAATGTGCCATGTAAGCTATTTGTAAGTGTTCAGTTCAGCAGAGTGTTAGGTACGTTCACATTGTTAAATGCAGCCAATCTCCAAGACTCTTTTCATCTTGCAAAACTAGAATTCTACGCCCACTAAACGACAATTTGCCATTCCCCTCTCTCTTCAGCCCCCAGGGCAACCTCCTTTCTACTTTCTGTCCCTGTGAATCTGACTATTGTAGGTACCTCATTGAAGTGGAATCATATAGGCCAGGCACAGTGGCTCATGCCTGTAATCCCAGCACTTTGGGAGGCTGAGGTGGGAGGATTGCTTGAGCCTAGGAGTTCAAGACCAGCCTGGGCAACATAGTGAGACCCCATCTCTAGCAAATAAAAGAAAAAAGTGGAATTTGTCCTTAAGAGAAGATTTTTAACTTGAACTCAAAGCTAAAGTGGGATTGTTGAATTTGAAATGACAGTAAGTGGAATAATAATTTTTGAAAACCAAAGGAGATCCTTTTTTTTTTTTTTTTTGAGACAGGGTCTCACTCTGTCACCCAGGCTGGAGTGCAGTGGCCGACCTCGGCTCACTGCAACCTCTACCTCCCAGGCTCAAGCAATCTTCCCACCTCAGCCTCCGGAGTAGCTGGGACCACAGGCACACGCCAACACGCCTGGTTAATTTTTTTGCATTTTTGGTAGAGACGGGGTTTCACCATATTGCCCACGCTGGCCTCCAACTCCTGAGCTCAAGCGATCTGCCTGCCTCCGCCTCGACCTCCCAAAATAGTGAGATTACAGACATAAGCCACCGTACCCAGCCTACTATCTTTTTTTTTTTTTTTTTTGAGACAGAGTCTCGCTCTGTTGCCCAGGCTGGAGTGCAGTGGCATGATCTTGGCTCACTGCAGGCTCCCGGGTTCACACCATTCTCCTGCCTCAGCCTCCCTAGTAGCTGGGACTACCGGCGCCCGCCACCACGCTCAGCTAATTTTTTTTTGTATTTTTAGTAGAGACGGGGTTTCACCGTGTTAGCCAGGATGGTCTCGATCTCCTCACCTCATGATCCGCCCACCTCGGCCTCCCAAAGTGCTGGGATTACAGGCGTGAGCCACTGCGCCCAGCCCATTATCTTGTTTAAACCTCACAACCACCTGGGAAGGAGGTGCCATGATTAACCCCCATTTCACAGATGAGAAAACTGAGACTCAAGTGAGATGACTTGTCCAAGGTCTCCTAAGCCAGGAAGGGCTAGGATGTCAATCCAGGTGGACTGATTCTCGAGATGGAAAATGTGACCACATCATGGGGTATGGCAGAAATGATTATAGCGCCTTCTTCCAATGTGGTTGTAAATGACTGCGTGATGTTCTTCCTACACAAGGGTGTGTGTGTGTGCATGTGTGTGCATGCGTGCGTGTGTGTGTGCACGTGTATGTGCGTGTGTGCATGTTGTGTGTGTGCATGTGTTTGTGAGCATCCGTGCATGTTTTTTGCTCCTGCTAGGTTGCTCATAAGGATGGACCTGTGTCCCCACTCCCACCCGCACAGCACCTGACTCTGTGATTTGTTTATCAAGTGATTTTTAAAACGAATCAACGACCCAGGCTCACAGGACAAAGGCACTGAGGTAACAGGACAGGCCTGAAGGATGAGACACAAAAGACCTCCCTCTTTTACCAACTGGCTCTGCGCCCTTCGGCCGGTCACTGCCCCTCTCTGGGCCCCTCTCATCCTTCTCTGAGCTTCAGTCGCCCCTTTGTCCAGCGAGAAGTTCCCACTCTAAGGGACCTGCCACTGACCTCACACAAAGGTGGCCCCTGAATTCTGACCCAAACCACCAGGAAAAAGAGGGTCCCAAAAGCTAAAGGAAGGTGCTGAGCAGGGTGGGACAGAGGCGGAGGCATTCTGATCTCTCGGGCTCAGGCCGGCCAGCGCCGCCTCCCTGCTTCCAAGATGGGGATCTGGCGCCACCTTGTGGTCTCCGCCTCTTGCGGCCTTCGCGTGTTCCCTGTTTTAACTCTTGCTATTAACCCCACTGCTGCCCTCTGGGAACTCTGAAGCAATTCCACTCTCTTCACCAAATATTTATCTACTGTGCCCAGCTGTACCCAGGCTCGACCCAGAAAAATCATGAACAAGTCCCTGCCTAACCATTTAGAGGCGTCTGGATCTGCACCACCCATAGAAAAATGATGCAAACCAGCCGGGCGTAGTGGCTCACGCCTGTAATCCCAGCACTTTGGAAGGCCGAGGTGGGCAGATTACTTGAGGTCAGGAGTTCGAGACCAGCCTGGCCAACATGGTGAAACCCTGTCTCTACTAAAAATACAAAAATCAGCCGGGCATGGTGGCGCGTGCCTGTGGTCCCAGCTACTCCAGAGGCTGAGGCATGAGAATCACTTAAACCCAGGAGGCGGAGGTTGCAGTGAGAAAAGCTCATGCCACTGCATTCCAGCCTGGGTGACAGGGCAAGACTCTGTCTCAAAAAAAAAAAAAAAAAAAAGGAAGAAAGAAAAATAAAAATGATGGCAACCACAAATGTGTGCCTCACAGGTAACCACATTTTCTAGTAGCCACATTTTTAAAAGCTGAAATAAATAGGTACAATTAACTTTAACAATACGTCTTTGGGCTTTTTGATGTTTGTTTGTTTGAGACAGAGTCTTGCTCTGTCGCCCCAGCTGGCATGCAGTGGCACGGTCACTGCTCACTTGCAGCCTCAACCTCGTGGGCTCAAGAGATTCCCCCAACCTTGGCCTCCCAAGTAGCTGGGAGTACAGGGGGTGCATCACCATGCCTGGCTAATTTTTAAATTTTTTTGTAGAGACAGGGTCTTGCTATGTTGCCCAGGCTCATCTCAAACTCCTGAATGTTAGTGATCCTCCCTCCTCAGCCTCCCAAAGTGTTGGGATTACAGGCTTGAGCCACCACATCCAGCTAATAATACATTTGCATTTAATGAAATACATTCACCATATTATCATTCCAACATGGAGTCAATTATTTTTAAAATTACCATCTTTTTCTCCTTGTAACTCCTTGAAATCTGTATTTTACACCAGGGGTCCCCAACCCCCAGGCTATGGACCATTACCAGTCTGTGGTCTGTTGGGAACCAGGCACACCGCAGGAGGTGAGCATTGGGCTAGCAAGGGAAGTTTTGTCTTTAGATTCCCATAGGAGCACAAATGCTATTGTGAACTGCGCAGGTGAGAGATCTAGGCTGTGAGCTCCTGATGAGAATCTAATGCCTGATGACCTGTCACTGTCTCCCATCACCCCCAGATGGGACCATCTAGTTGCAGGAAAACAAGCTCAGGGCCCCCACTGATTCTACATTACGGTGAATTGTAAAATTGTTTCCTTATGTATTACAATGTGATGATAGAAATAAAGTGCACAAGAAATGTAATGCGCTTGAATCATCCCGAAACCATCCCCACCCCCATCCATGGAAAGCCTGTCTTCCACAAAACAGGTCCCTGGTGCCAAAAAGGTTGGGGACCACTGTTTTACACCTACAGCATGTGTCAGTTCAGATTAGCCACATAAACCTTGTCTGGCAGTGGCTACATGTTGGAAAGCATGGGTCTAGGACCTCCCAGGCTTACTCTGGCCCCCTGGCAGCCCCTCAGACAACTGGCTTATTACATCTTCTCCAGAATTCACCTTTCTAGCTTTGCTTCACTGACTAAGGGTAGAACCCTGGCCCGGACAAGTCATCTTACCCTTGGATGTATAAAATAAGGGTAAGAAAAATACTTACTTCTGGGGTTGTAGCAAGGATTCAATGGGATAACATACACACAGTGCTTAGCGCAGGTGCCTGGCAGGGAATAAATGCTCCATAAATGGTGACCTAATGAATGAAAGCCTTAGCCCATCTTTCAGCATGGTGATGGTTAATTTTCTGTGTCGATTTGGCCAGGCTATGGCACCCCATCATCCAGTCAAACATCAGTCTGGATGTTGCTGTGAAGATATTTTTCAGATGTGATCAACGTTTAAATCAGTAGACTTTGAGTAAAGTAGATTGCACTCCAAAATGTGGGTGGGCCTCATCCAATCAGTTGAAGGCCTTAACAACAAAGACTGAGGTTTCCCAAAGAGGAGGCAATTCAGCCTCCAGAATGCAACATAGAAACCGTGCTGTTTCCAACCTGTAGATTTCAGACTCAAGACCGCAACATCAATTCTTCTCCCATTTCTGACTGGCCAGCTCTACAAATTTCAGGCTTGTCAGCCCCCACAACCATGTGAGCCAATTTCTTAAAATAAATCTCTCTCTCTGCATATATAAATGTACCCCCGAGTGGGGTACAGCCACAGCAGCACGCAGAAGAGACATGACTTCCTCATTCTGAACTCACGCAGTATTAGAACAATGGAGCACCCCAGCCCTTCCCCGCCTCTGAGCACGATGTCTCTCAGGACCGAGAGCTGAGGCAGAGGCTGAATCAACGCCCCCATCCCAGAGACTCTTCTCAAGGGAGTGAGACCAAAGGGTGGGCTTTGCCAGGGGAAAGGGAATGTGACGGGGCCAGGCAGGGCCAGGGTTATGGGGATCTGCTCTTGAGGGTATGACTGCAGGTCCCCATGGTGCAGAGTCAGGGGTTGGGGCGATCCCTGGCCACAGAAGGATTGCTTTGGGGATCCATGGCCCAGACCCCGACCTCTTCCTTTCTCTGGTCTCCTGCCAGAATTCCTGTCAAATTTAGCTGCCTACAGCAGCCAGAGTGATTTTCCTAAAGTGTACATCGTGCCGTTGACACCTTCCAAAGTCCTTCCCAGGCTTCCCCCATGACCCCATAAAGATAAAGCCCCAAAGCCTTTTCCACGACTTACAATGCTCTGTGTGACCTGGCCACAGCCAGCCCAGCCTCTCACATTGTGGAAGCTTTGAAGTATGTTATCAAACAGCATGTAGTCAGAAGCCCATGTTTACAAAAACTTAAAATAACTATATACGCATAGGAAATAACTACCGTCTACTGGAACTTGGGTCTGTGCCAGGCCACGATGTGCAGTACCTTACTGGATATCATCTTGTTATTCCTTGTTCCTTATAACAATTCCTAGTATCTCCTTTATAGAAGAAGAAACTGAGGCCCAGAGAGGCCCCCAGCTAGTGAGGGGCAGAGCCAGACTTGACCCCAGGTCCACCAAGACCAAAGTCCATGCTCTTCACTGCAGGCTGGTTGGTGCCTCTGTGCAGATGGAAGATAATAATAGCTCTCACCTCACAGGGCTGTCGTGAGGATTAAACAGGCTGAGATGTGTGTGTGAATGGGCTCTGAACAGCTCCTGGCATGGCGCAAGGGCTCAGGAAGTGTGCTGCCCCACAGCAGCCTGTGGGCAGCCCGGCCAGATCATACTCATAGATTCAGACTGATCTCTGGTACTAGGGTCATGGGTGATCATATTTTTTTTAACTTTTCCACAATGACCAGGTAATACTTGTGCATTTTTTTCTTTCTTTTTAAATTATTGTATGTATAGTGCTCTCAGTAAGCTGTCTGTTTCCTCAAAGCAGGCTTGTCGAAGTTTGAGTGGCCTCCCTGGTTCCCCCAAGGCCTGGCCCGGAGACCCCACACCCAGTGGAGGAACCTAACAGAAAACAGCTCAGAAGAGCCCCTCTTAGCCCAGGCACCCTGCCCACAGGCTTGGCAGGGGCGCTTGCTGGAGGGGTGGGTGCGGGTCTGTGCCAGGAACTGGCCTAAGCTAAGTCCCCAAAAGACACCGTGAGATGCTTTGTGGCTCTTCCGGATCCCAGGGGAGAGGTGGGAGCAGCCGTGATGCATGCGACCTCCGGCCCTGAATCCACCAACAGCTGTGACTACTTCAGCTATTTTAAACCTCTGGGCACCAGGAAACTCCTGTCTCATCAACCAGGCTCTGGGCCCAACATGATGGCCTGAGCCCGGGCAGGAGTCCTGAGTGTGGGTGGCCAGGTCTGAATTGGGTTTTTAAGGGGAGGGGGCTTCATTTCTTGAGCCTTGTGCCAGGCTCTGTGCTAGTATTTTCTGCACCTTGTTGTCTCGTTTAATACCGTCCTTACACCGTGCTGAGGGATCAGTTACTTCACAGAGGCAGAAAATGGGGCTCCGAATGGCAGGGTACCTGGCCCAAGGCGGCACAAAAGCAGAGCTGGGCCTAGAACTGCGACTTCCTTATCTACAAAGCATGGACAGCATTCTGCCCCTGCCCTCACTCGGCCTTGCCCCCTGCCTCCACCCCAGTGGCCCTGCAAGCTCCTCCCTCTGCCACTCTTAGGAGCTCTGCAACCCAGAGTCAATTCCCCCACCTCCTCACAGCTCACTTTCTTCATCTGTAAAGTGGCGGAGTTACTGGGAGGGTTCAGTGATCTAACTCTAATACATGAAAAGAGCCGCTTGGAACAGTGCCTGACCCACAGAAAGAAAGCAGTAAGTGCCCGCTCTTACTCCAGCTCCCCTGGGTATTGCGGTCTGATGTTATCACTATCTTGCCCAGTGTCCTGTTATGAGCTGCCCGGGGTCTCCGTCAGTGGGGGGTACAGTGTCCTCCCCCACTCTGGCCCCAGTCTCCCCATGAGTCAAATGAAAGTTAGAGCCCCAGGAAGGTGAGAACCCTGGTGGGTGCCCGTTATCTGTCACACAGTAAGGGCTCCAAAGTCACTCGTGGCAGAGGGGTGCCCAGACACGAGCTCACCTCTGGGGGCGCCTCGAAGTCTCTCCAAGCTACACAAGTTTTGTCCCAGTTTGGCAGGTGGCCACCCGAGAGATTCCTCCTGATTGGAGGATGTGCTCAGCCGGGTGCCTGGAGTTCATCAGAAGTTACTGGCCTCGGCCGGGCGCTGTGGCTCACGCCTGTAATCCTAGCACTTTGGGAGGCCGAGGCAGGTAGATCACCTGAGATCAGGAGTTCAAAACCAGCCTGGCCAACATGGAGAAACCCCGTCTCTACTAAAAATACAAAATTAGCTGGGTGTGGTGGTGCCTGCCTGTAATCCCAGCTACTTGGGAGGCTGAGGCAGGAGAATCAATTAAACCTGGGAGGCGGAGGTTGCAATGAGCTGAGATGGCGCCATTGTACTCCAGCCTGGGTAACAAGAGGAAAACTCTGTCTCAAAAAAAAAAAAAAAAAACAGTTACTGGCCTCTCCCTGGGTCTGTGAGCTGTGCCTTTGGGGGACAAATGACCTCCTGGCTAAAACTCGGGCCTTCCCTCTTCCCCACTCACATTCCTCCCAAATCCCTGCCACTCAGAAGCAGCTGGGCTCTTCACCACCTCCTAATTTGGGCCGCCTCAGGGAGAAGGTTGGAGTCCAAGGGCTGGGTATATCAGCACTGGGCACTTGTGGGCCTCACCCCTCTTGTCTGGGGGCACCCGTTCCTGGAGCTCCATCTTCCATCAGCTCTAACTCCTTCCCAAACACACATCCCCTCCGCCCCACTCCTTCCCTCCCACGGCCTCTGCCCACCCCCCCTCAGTTTCTGTCCTCACCTACCAAAGACCACTTCCTCACACAGGGCTGATGTATGTGTCTGAACAGCACTCCCACTGGGTCCCAGGGGAAGGGCTGGGACATGGGAGGGGCTGGCCGAGGCCCACACTGATTGTCATCCTACATCTCAGCCTCTGTGAGACACACGATGACCTCTGGGTGGCACCCCCCTTCCCTTGGTGGCCCAGGCCAGAACCGGGGCCCTAATCCTTACCCCTCTCCTCTCCCTCCACCCACACATCCTATCAGTCACCAGGTGCCACCAAAATCCCAGTCCCTAAGCAGTGGCCGGGTCAGTCCCCACCTCTCCAGCTCTGGCCACAGCCAGGGGCTTCCTTGCCCCTCCCCAGCCCAGAATGACCCATTTCACGAGCACACCCGACCACGGCTCGCGGAGACAACCACTCCAGGCTCCCATCTCCCACCCTCCAATGCCTTGGCTTGGCGTCCTGGTCTCCCTCAGCTGCCGGGTTCCCCATCCCCACCGCTTCCCGTTTTCTCTATGGTGAGGTTCATCTGACTGTTGGGGGATGGGGGTACCGGGCTGCACCCGGCTTTGCACAGGCAGCTCCCTCTCCTCGCCTTTAATTTGCAAACGCCTCCTTTAAGAAGGTTCCAGGATCGTCTTCTCTGGGAAGGCTTCCTGGCCCCCAGGCTGGGTTAGGGCACCCTCTTTGTGTTCCCACATTTGCATTTTCAGCCCCACTGGGCTGGGGCGTCCGGAGGGGAGCTAGGGCCCTCCAACACCTGGGCGCCCACCGAAGGTTTGTCGAATGAAAGAATGACAATCCAACCATGGAAAGCACAAAACTGGTCCCTGATGACTTCGCCACGACCTCAGCGGGGCGGGACGAGTTAGGGGCGGGACCACGCTTGACGGACAGGCCCGCAGCCCACTGCGAGAGGACTGGGGCGGGCCGCCCCGCCCACCGGCCGCTGGATAAGGCTGCGCGCGGGGCCGTGGGGCGCAGGCTGCTGGAGAAGGCGCACCTGCTGCAGGTGCTCCCGGCCGCCCCGGACCAGCGAGCGCGGGCACTGCGGCGGGGAGGATGCTGCGCGAGCGGACCGTGCGGCTGCAGTACGGGAGCCGCGTGGAGGCGGTGTACGTGCTGGGCACCTACCTCTGGACCGATGTCTACAGGTGAGCCGGCCCACCGTGATGCCCGGGCCGAGATCTCGAGCCCAGAAATCCTGAGACGCGCTCAGACTCGGGGACGTGGACAGCCTTTGTCCAGCCCGAGTTGTCCCTCATCCCGAGCCCCCGAGCCCAGAAATCCTAAGAATCTCATCCAGAAACCTGACAACCCCCGAACCTTGTGTCCACCTTCCAGAAACCCTGAGACTCTCCCAGACCCCCTAACACAGCCTCAGCCCCAGCTCCCTCACAGACCCTCCCTTTCACCCGTAACCCTCCGTCTGGCCCTCTCCAGTTCTCCTCCCGGGGGACCTCACACCCCTTCAGCTTCCCTGCCGTCCTCTCCCCTTTCACTTCCCCTCCGCACCTCACTTCCCCTCGGACCCACCTCAACCCAGCCCCTCTCCTGCTTCCCACTCCCAGTTCAGCGGAGCTTCCGCGGAGACTTGCCGGGGACTGGGGCAGGACCCGAAGGGAGCTGCCCTGAGGCTGAATCCGGCCCTGGAGGTTACTCAGGCTCCGATTTCGCCCTGTGGGGGCTGCTGGTGGTTGCTTGTCCCCAGGCACTGGCCCTGAGCTCCGTGTCCCCAGATACCTTCCCCTGACTTCATTCTGAGACCACAGAGGGACAATATTCTACCCAGCTGACGACGGGGACTTGGGGTGTATAGCGGGGTACTTTGTTGGAAAAGGATCCTGATTCAGAGTTCTGCTCCCTCCCCTTCTCTCTGTCCAAGAACTTGGTAGAGTGCGGGATGTCCGAGACAGCTGAAGGTAGGGTAGGGCCCTACCACTCCCCCCGCAATCCCAGAAAGCAGCCAAGTCCAATGATCTGTCTCCCTGAGTAATGGGACGGGGCCTTGGAAAGGTGTGGCTGGTGTGAATGAAAGGGTGGGGTTATGCTGGGGTTTGATCTGCCCCCTCTATTCCAAGCATTTAAAACCTCCCCATTGCTAGGGTTGGAGGGGTCAGTGCTGGGGGCAGGGAGCATGCAGGACTCTGAGGTGGGACCCTGTGCTGACACCGGATGAGTCCCCTATCCTCTCTGCCTCAAGCTGAACTCACACGGAGGCACCATCGTGGTTTATGGCTCTCAAATCATCCTGACACCTGGAGCACCCTGCCTCTCCCAGGCCCCCACCAACCCATCATGTGTCTCCCCACACAGCCCTGGCAGCCCTCCCACCTGCCCAACCAGTCTCCTGCCACCGCTGCAGAGGCACTGGCCACGCTGATACCAACAAGCCCCAGGACTAGGGACCCACTCCATGCCTCTGTCCCTGGCCTCAACCTCTGCCTTCCCCTGGGCCTGGGCTTCAGTTGTCCCCCATGTAAACCTCAGAGGTGGACTGGGTGGTCTCTGAGAACAAGAACACAGCAGTGGAGGGTGGTCCAGGCTCTGGTGGGGTGCAAGAGCTCCCCTGCCTTCCCCACCCCCAGCCCTGAACTGGGCACCGCTAGGGAGTGGGCGCGGAGCCAGAGTGCTCAGGTCTCTAAGCCTCAGCTGTCACCATACCCACCTGTTTATTTGCTGGGGCATGGTTGGTGCCGCCTGAAAAGCTGGCATGATCCTCCCAGTCGGGGGTGGGGAGCAAAGGAGGGTTCCTGCTCAGGCGCCCTGCTATCGCTCTATCCTGGCAAAGAGAGGCCCAGCTGGGGTAGGGGCACAGAGTGGGGCAGATATGGACTCAGCCTCCCTCTAGCAGGGGGCAGCAGTGTGACGATTCCCCTTGTCCTGTCTCAACGACCACAAAGACCCTAACCCCCACCGGCACTTAAGGTTCTCCACCACCACAGAGAGGGGCAGTGCGCTCTAGACCAGTACTGTCCAGAAAAGTCCAGTTTGAACCACAACAAAACCACAATTGCATTTTAAATCTTCTAGTAGTCCACACTTTTTTAAAGTTAAAACAACAGGCATAATTTTAATAATATATTTTGTTTAACCCAATATTTTAGAATATTATCATTTCAACATGCAATCAATATAAAAATTATTAAGGAAATGGTTTACCTTCCTTTTTTCATGCTAAGTCTTTGTAATCCAGTGCACATTTTACACTTCAGCACATCTCAGCGTAGATTGAGTGCATCTCAGGTGCTCACTGGCCACCGTGAGCCAGTGACACCGGGACAGAACAGGTCTAGTGCAGAGTTTCTCAATCTCGCACTATTGCATTTTGGGCTCGATATTTCTTTGTTGTAGCGGGATGTTTAGTGGCATCCCTGACCTCTGTCCCCTAGATGCCAGTAGCAACCCCCAAATTGTGACAACCAAAAATGTTGCCAGACAGTGCCAGCAGTCCCCTGGCAGGGGGCAAAATCACAGCCAGCTGAGACTCACTGGTCCAGTGGAAGGAAGCCTCTTCCAGGACTAAGGAGCTTGAGTTGTTACTGCTATTGTGACTCGAGTTACCTGTAGTAATGAGAGCAACTGCCAGTATTGATAACAGGAGGAGGTATTAGTGGGCACTTAGGAACTGAACCCACCACCTCCTTTCTTCCTCACCATAGACCCTGGAGGGTTCATTGATCATCCCATTTTACAGATGAGGAAGGTAAGGCTCAGAGAGATGAAGCCATTTGTCCAGAGTCACACAGGACTCAGGTCCAGGTCTGTTTGACTCAGAACTCATGCTCTTATACCCCACTCTGTCCTATGTGACCCTAAAACCAGCGGGTTGAACTGGACGGCCCTCTCAGCCTGTGTCTCTTCCACCCTGGCCACGAGCCCACTGTCCCCAGAGACTTCACCAACTCCCATTTGGCCCTCCACTCTTCCCTGAGTCCTTTGCTGCCCGGACACAGGTCCTGGCTCAAGACCCCAAGTGATGCCCCCAGAGCCTCCAAGTAGACCCCAAGGAACAAGGCCCGGGGGTGCTGGGCCCAGTTAATTACGGAGTGGCATCCTGACCCTCACTCCTTCTGAGTCGCAAAGGTGAGCGAAACGGCCTCAGCACCCACTCCCTTTCCCAAGGGCTCTGGACTCCCTTTCCTGTGATGCTGGCACACAGGATCCCCTCCAGACACATAGCAGGGGCCTCCCCAGCCTCATTCCTCAATAGACCTTGTGGTCCTGGCAGGCACTGCCCTACCAGCTTCCATCCACGGGCTGTGTGACCTTGAGCAAATCGCTTCACTTCTCTGAGTCTCCACTGACCCAAATGGGGGTCGATCAGAGAACAGGAGGAAGGATCTTGTATTCAATAGAAGATGTACACTCAGGGTCACAGTGATGAACAATTGACCACTATGCTGCCCTATGAGGGGTCATCCAGGCCACCATGGGCAGGGGTGCTCTGGGCCACCCACGCTCTCCCAGCAAAACTGGCCCCCCTGGGGATGGATGCCTTGACCTAGCCTCATTCTGACTGCTAGTCTCCAGCAAGCAATGAATAGATACATAGAAAGAAGGAAGTAGGGTGTTTGTTAGAAATTGTACTTTGTGATTGTTGTTAAAGATACTCGCTGTTTCCTTCTGCTCTTCCCAAATATACTCATCTTAGTCTTGGCACAGGTACACCTGGCCCACACAATCTCCTCCGGTGGTCCCTTTAGCCGACAGTCACTTCTTCAGTGGGGCTGGCCTGGGTCCCCATCTGATTTGGGCTTGAAGTTGGAAAGAGAGCACAGAGGGAGTCCCTAGGTTGGTTCCATCCTGGCCACCCACCTCTTGTGAGCCCTGGAGGCATGGACACTCCCAGAGTCTGGAAGGATTATTAGGGACAGGGCAGCCTCGGAGTAAAGTAGGTAGCAGGGTGGTCACTCTCTGCCCACAAGCTGGGCCTTGGGAATGGCTTCTTCTGTTCCTCCCTCGGCTTATGCCTCTGTCAGTGAGAGTTCTCGAGAAGGCAGGGCTCTTCTTTTCCTCCCTGGTGTACAGGAGCCAGGATCCAGATCCTGAGGTCTGCAGGAGCTTCAGGACACTGGAATGATCTTAACATTGTCCCTTTGCCTGTGCAGAGGTTCCAGCTGCGTCTGTGAGGTGGAGGTGGGAGGATTCCCTTCCCTGGGATTCCCCAAGGCAGAGGCTGACCAGCCATTGTCCCAGTAGAAGACAGAAAGAAGATAAATGTCAGCTAGTAATATCAAGTAAATAGTAATAATTTGCCCATAACTCGCTGGCAGAAGATAGGAAGAAGGTATCAGGCAGGCGCTCCTAGACTTTGGCACAAACTCACTCCCAGACTTTCTGTCTCTTGGTTGGTGTGAAGGCTAGAGATGTATTTGCTTTTTTAAAAAGTGTCATTAGGACAAAGGCCAGGAGGGTCTGAGATCCAGTTTTCCATGATGGGGGCCTGGGGTGCTATGGGCTCCCCTCCCCATAGTGTGCCAGGCCCTACCTCACTGATCTCCTCTTCTAGCAATTCCTCAGCACACACTCCATTCCGGCCACGCTGGCTTTGTGGATGCTGTTAGCCCTTGGCTGTGCCAAGCTCATTCCCACCTCAGGGCCTTTGCAGTTGCTGTTCCCTCTGCCTGGAACACCATCCCCCAGATCCCCACAAGCCTGACTTTCATCAGTCAAGTCTCAGCTCCAATGTCACCTCCTCCAGGAAGCTTTCTTTGACTACCCCATGTCGTGGTGCCCTACCCTGAGTCCCGAGAACTCTGTTTCATCACATTTTTTTCTTTGCACAACTTCTCATCGTTTCTTAATGTTACTAGTTGACATTTATTGAACACTTATTTTGTGCAGGCTTCTCAACACTTTGCATGCTCATCTCACGGACATGTAATAATTTACGTATTTAAACCTTGCAACAACTTTATGAGTTAGGTACAATTATTGTCCCCTTTTCGCAGCTGGGGAAACTGAAGGAAGGAGTGTTTGTCCAGGATGGCACAGCCAGTAAACTGTGGGGTGCAGAGCCCAGGCCCCTGCCTGCTCTGCCAGGCTGCCCTCCTGGTACTTATGTTTCAGGCGTGCCTCCTCCTTGTTTGTGATCCTCCCTGGAGTCAATGAAGGGCTCCCTGAATGAATGAATGAATGAACGAATGAATGAATGAATGTGGCCTGTGATGCCTGTGGACTGGCCTGTCATGGGGCTGAGCTCCCCACCCCCAGCCTCAAGGGACAGGCACCGTTGGATGGGCCTGTGGAAGGTCAAGGGCATGTGGCCAAGCTTGGCCCGAGCAGCGCTTGCTCCTGAGAGAATGACGGTGGGAGGAATTCAGGCCAGGTCAGGTGGCCCATAAATTAGAACAGCACCCAGAGCCCTCAACCCCAAACGGGATGCCTTGCCAGGAATTGCTCCAGGGCTCTGGTTTCAGGCTAGTTTCCTGGGGTTGGGAGTGTTCTAAGGAGAACCAGGCTCACAGTCCCTGCATAGTTGGGGTCCCTGAGACCTTCCCTCATTGACTGCAGGGCCCTGAGTTGGGATGGGAGCACAGTGGCAGGGGCTCACCCCAGTGCCCACCCCTAGCTGGCCAGACATACCTGCTGCACTTTGGAGGAGGCAGCTTTTGAAGGCAGCTCTTTCCTGCCCAGCCACGCCAGACCTTGCACCCAGAGGCTTTGATGGGCCCAGGCTTGCTTCTCTCTGTCATTGACCCAAGAGCCCAGGACAGGAAGCCAGTCTTTAGTGTCCCTTCTCTGTGTCTCAGACTCCCACCTGTGAAATAAGTAAGGGGCTCTCATTTGGTCCTCTTCAGAGCCAGGCCTGATCCTCCCCTCTGCCCCACACCAGGCACACCTACCTGGGGGATCTCAGGAAAGACTCCAGACTTTGAATTCTCTCCCAGGGAGGGGACAGCCAGGCCCAGGTCTCAGAGAGCCTGAGTTCCCCTCACACTCGGCCATGACTGTCCCTGAGATTTGAAGCGGGTGCTTGCCCTCTAGGGGCCTCAATGTGCTCATCTGTAAAATGAAATCACAGTGGTATGGGCCTCATGGGGTTATCGAAAGAATGGGCTGAGGTCATGTGGGCCATGGGCTTGGTACAGTGCCTGAGACATAATGAATACTCAGTTCCCTGGTGGTCTAGTGGTTAGAAAAATAATAATAATAATAATAATAATAATAATAATAATAGTAAATACTCAGTAAGTTGTTATGTATTAGTATTGAGTTTATTTTGAAAACAAGTAATAATGAGACCTGATCCCTCTCCTCAAAGACTTCATAGCACTTATGGGAAAGAAATCTAGAACTGAATTTATTAAGTGTTGTTTGAGACACCAATAAATGGAGGGAGAGATATATTCTGGCTGATGAGATCAGGGATGACTTCCTGGAAGAGGTGGCAACTGAGCTGGGTCTTGAAGGATGGACTGGGGTTCAGAGTGAGACCAAGAACATGCCACTCAGGGGCAGAGATAACTGGCAGGGAAGTTGGGGCACACAGAGACAGAAAGGGCACAGCTTCAGAGGCCTGGAGTATAAGGCTGGAGGGTCAATGAGCTCTAACCAGGCTTTGAATACATCGTTCAGACATTGGACTTTGTTCTGTAAGTAGCAGGGAGTCACTGAAGGTTTCTGAGGAGAGGAGTAGCTATAGATCAGATTGTTTCTTCCCTAAGGAGAGGCCCGGGACAGCTGGATGCACCAGGTGGTGAGGGAAGCTGGCTGAAGGCAGACGTCATTGTTTGCCTCCACTGATCCCTGTTCAGGGCAGCTGCCCACCCACAGGGCCCCAGCCACCACCATGCCGAGCACCAGGTGTGAGGTCTGGACTGAGGTCATTCTCCCCGCTGGTCCTTGCCTGCCTCTTGCTCGCCATGGGGTTGCATGACAGGCTGGCACCCACGACTCCCCCCCCCAGACTCCTCTAAAGCCCCAAGAGCAGGATGTCACACCCAGGCTGCCAGGAGCTGGGGTCACTCTGGGGATGAGCCCCAGCTGGTGTTAATGAGGCCCAGGCCAGGCGGGCAAGCTAAGAAAGCCAGATGCCAGCAAGGAGCAGGCGCTTCATGCCCTCAAGTCTGGGGCTGGTGAGCCACCCCAGCCCTGCAAGGCCAAGCCAGTGACCCTCCCCACTGACCGAGCCAAGACCAGAGAGGACCATGGCTCCTAGAGACCACAAAGCATTTGTGGGACTGGGCAAGTGTCGTTTGTTTGACACCAACCTAGTGGCCATTTCTCTCCATTTCCACAGCCACTATCTGGTCCCAAGACACCATAATCGCTCACGTGGGCAGCTGCAGCCACCTCCTCCCCACTTCCTCTGTTGCTTTCCTGAAATCCATCCCCCACCCTGCATTCTGGGCAACCCTGCACCCTGGATGATCTATCTACAGTGCAAAACTGATCATGCCACCCCTGCTTAGAAACCTTCAGTGACTTCCCTCTACAATCAGAGGAAGGCCAGCTCCTCACCATTATCTAAAATCCCTGCTCCCACCACTCTCCCTCCCCCTTGCTCACAAACTCCAGACACACTCCCCTCTTTCCAGCTTCTCGAACATGCAGGACTAACCCCCACCTCAGGCCATCACGCAAGCTGTCCTGTTGCTTGGAAATCTCTGCTCCTCTTCCTCTCCTTCCTTGTCCAACTCAGTGGTTGTCAAACTGTGGGGGACCAGCAGCATCAACATTACCTGGGAGCTTGTTAGAAATGCAGTTTCTCAGGTCCCACCCCACAGTCGATAGATCAGAAACTCAGGGGCTGGGCCCATTTACCTGTATTTTAGTAGGCCCTGTAGGTAGTGGTAATGCACACTCAAATTTAAGAATCTCTGGTTTAATTTTTTTTTTTTACAGTCAGCACTGCAATGGTGTAATTAATTCCTGCCTGTCCTTTAGATTATAAAGTTTAAACCTTAGTTCAAATGCCACTTCCTCAGGGAATCCCTCCTTGAACCCCAGACTGGGGCCTCATGGCACCCTCTCCTCCTTTATAGTAATTATCACAGCTGTAATCATGTAATCCATTGAAAGTCTGTCTTTTCTGTCCAGGCACAGTAGCTCACACCTGTAATCCCAGCACTTTGGGAGGCTGAGGCGGGCAGATCACTTGAAGTCAGGAGTCCCAAACCAGCCTGGACAACATGGTGAAACCCCGTCTCTACTAAAAAATACAAAAATTAAAAATAGCCAGGCGTGGTGGTGGGCTCCTATAATCCCGGCTACTCAGGAGGCTGAGGCAGGAGAATCGCTTGAACCCAGGAGGTAGAGATTGCAGTGAGCCAAGATCATGCCACTGCACTCCAGCCTGGGCAACAGAGGAAGACTCCGTCCCAAAAAAAAAAAAAAAAAAAAAAAGGTCTGTCTTTTCCATGGGCCCAGGGAATGTGTTTGCTTTTTCACTAATCTACCCCTCAATGCCTAGAACTGTGCCTGGCACATTGTAAGTGCTCAGTAAATACATGTTGAGTGAATGAACGACCATATAAGTAAGCCCGCCTCCTCCAGCCCTCCTGCAGCAAACATTTATACTTACGGTGTGCCCATACTAGGCCAGGTGCTGAAACAAACAAACAAACAAACAAGAAGATCCAATCCCTACCTTCAAGGAGTGAACTGCCAAAAGGGCCAGTAACTGTGGGGGCAAATGGATGGAGTTAGGTCTTCAAGGAGAGATGGACATTTGCCAGGCAGAGAAGTCAGGGGAAAGTCTTGCTGGTAAAAGGAACAACATATGTCAAAATGCACAGTAGATGGAACAATGCAGGGAGCTGAAGTGGTGGAAGGAACCGCAGAAAATGAAACCAGAGAGTCAAGCTGAGTTGCAATGGCCAAATGTGCCTAGTTCAACACCAGGATGAAGAGTTTGGATATTCTTGTATGGGTAGGCACTGAGGAGCCAGTGAATATTTTCAAGAAAGCCCATGACCTGATTTCTGGGTTTTTTTTGTTTGTTCGTTTGTTTTTTAAATCACTTGTGTAATACAGCTTGGAAAGCCAAGAAGGGCAGGTGCATTCATTCATGTATTGCCAAAGACTACACTGAGCATATCCATGTCCTGGGTTCTGGGATTCCATGGTAGGCAGGAGACATGGCCACAGTGATTGGCAGCCTGTCCCTCCATCCATGCTCTCCTTAGCCTCTCTCTAATAAGCAAGAAGGTCATAACCACCCCCAAGCCCCCTCCCTTTCCCTCAATACTGTCCTGGGCCCCTCCCTGCAGCCTCCAGGGACAATCCAGGTGCCTGAAGCCCCTGGCTCTCGGGTTTCTGCGAGAGAGATTCTAAAGGGTTCTTCCTGAGGAGGAAGGCAGCCAACAGGATCTGCAGGGGCACAATGGGCCCCTTTATTGCTTTGCCCAGGGCCACTCCAAGAATAGCTGTTTGCTCAGCTCAGAACAGGGCTGGTGCTGGGGAATAGGAGGGTGTGGGGCCCTGGAGCTGCGATGTGGGCTGGGCGTTAACCCTCTGGAGCCTCTGAGGCCTCCTTTGGTTTCTCTCTGGTCCAGAGGAATGAAGGTGGGCAGGAAGCATCACTTACAGTAACTGAGTCAGGGTCCTAAAAGATCATCTTGTAAAACATTTTTTCCTAAATAGAATTGTGTGCAGAAGCTCAATATATAAAACCAGATGAAATAATAGTGGCTCTGGGTCAGGCATGGTGGCTCACTCCTGTAATCCCAGCACTTTGGGAGGCCAAGGCGAACGGATCACTTGAGGTCAGAAATTCAAGACCAGCCAGGCCAACACAGTGCAACCCCATCTCTACTAAAAATACAAAATTTAGCCAGGCATGGTGGTGCATGCCTGTAGTCCCAACTACTTGGGAGGCTGAGGCAGGAGAATCACTTGAACCTAGGATGCGGAGGTTGCAGTGAGCAGAGATAGCACCACTGCACTCCAGCCTGGATGACAGAGCACGACTCTCAGTTTAAGAAAATAAATAAATAAACAATAGTAGTAGTAGTGGCTCTGGTTAAGGTGGGGAGGGGAGTGGCAGGAATCCAGTGGAGATATCCCAAGCTTTTTTTTTTTTTTTTTTTTTTTTTTTAATAGACAGAGTCTCGCTCTGTCACCCAGGCTGGAGTTCAGTGGCACAATCTCAACTCACTGCAACCTCCACCTCCCAGGTTCAAGTGATTCTCCTGCCTCAGCCTCCCGAGTAGCTGGGACTACAGGCACACGCCACTACGCTCGGCTAATTTTTGTATTTTTTTTAGTAGAGATAGGGTTTTGCCATGTTGGCCAGGCTGGTCTTGAACTTCTGACCTCAAGTGATCCACCCACCTCAGCCTCCCAAAGTGCTGGGGTTACAGGTGTGAGCCACCGCACCCAGCCATCCCCAGCTTTCCAGAGCCTTCCTCCTCACCCCTTTGCCCAGGGCCTCTCCTCTGCACTCTCTGGACTCAGCCACCTCTGCTCTGGTTCCATCCTCTCACCTAACACTGGATGAAACTGAGAGAGGGAAAGTCCCTGGCCCAAGGCCACCCAGCATGTTGATGGGCAAAGCTGAGACTTGCAGGAGAGGAATGCTTCCCAGACCTGAGGCCATAGTTTCCCAGACTCTCATGGCTTTGGCCAAAACCATCTTCAACCTGTCTCACTATAACACTTTTCTTTAACCCAGCTCACATTTTTCTTAATAACTTTATTTTAAACAGAGATTTTATAGCATTACCATAAATGGCAAGACTTTATCAGTCACCATAAAAAGATACTGTGTTTGATAAACACATAAGTCTTCTTGTAGATTGTTCCTCCCTGTGCCACCTAAAGCATCCAGGGTGTGTACTCACACCTCTCCTTGGGAACGGCTTACCTTCCGTCCGACTCACCTCTGCCCTCTTTGCTTGGGTGTATGATGGGCCAAGCCCTGTGCTAGGCTCTGAAGAATGAAGATGGGAGAGGCCGGACCATGCCCTCAGGGGACTTATAACCCAAAGGAGGGCAGGTACCACGTGGCAACACCACTCAGCAAAACGTGGCCCCAGCCCTAGGGGGAGTGAGAGACGAGAGCTATGGGCAGGAGGGTGGCAGTCCTCCTGAGGCGTAGGGACTAACAGATGGACATTCAGAAGGTGCAGACCCCCTCAAGTCAGGGGCAAAACTAGACTCAAACCCAGGTCCTCTGCACGTGCACCCTTAGTCCAGGGCTTTTGTCCAGACTCTGTGCCCCTCTTAATGATGGATGTGGCCAGGCACGGTGGCTCACGCCTGTAATCCCAACACTTTGGGAGGCCGAGGCGGGTGGATCACCTGAGGTCAGGAGTTCAAGACCAGCCTGGCCAACATGGTGAAACCCCAACTCTACTAAAAATACAAAAATTAGCCGGGCATGGTGGCGGGCACCTGTAATCCCAGCTACTCCAGAGGCTGAGGCAGGAGAATCGCTTGAACCAAGGAGACAGAGTTTGCAATAAGCTGAGATCACGCCACTACACTCTAGCCTGAGTGACAGAGAGAGACTCCTCCTCAAAAAAAAAAAAAAAAAGTGATGGATGCGGAGAGGGGACAGCAAGCCATGACCAAGAAGTGTCCAGTCTCACATCATCCCAGGACAGGCTGTGGAGTTTGGAAGGGGGCAGGACAAGAACCAGAGTGACCTTGGGGTGTCTTCATTGAGCTCCTCTCCCAGCACTGGCCACAGGCTGCCGAGTCCTTCCCAATTCTCCTGCCAGAGCCCAAGACCAGTAGTCTTTGCCCATAGCCCCTGAAGTCTGTGGCCCAGGTCAGACAGACACTGCCCGGCAGCCTCTACAGATTCACGCTCACGGCCTTGGCCAGCCCAGGGCTCTCAGCAGTGGACCGCAGTGCTGATTGTCTGGACCAGTGGTTCTCAAAGTGTGGTACTGGGACCGGCAGCATCAACAGTTCCTGGAAGCATGTTAGAAATGCAGATTCTTGGGCCCCATGCCAGACCTCCTGAATTGGATGCTCTGAGATGGGGCCCCGCAGTCTGTTTTGACAAGACCTCCAGGTGCCGCCGCCCCAGACACTGCTGCTGCACTTTGACAGCCGCTGGCCTACACTTGTCATTCAACCCTGGCCACTGTTTCCATCTTCAGCTGCCCCAGCACCCTCAGCCTCTGCCATGCCAGCCAGCCTCTCCAGAGACTGGATCTACAAATCTACAGCCTTCAAAGAAAAACACCCTATAGATTTAAACAGCACCCCTGATGATTCTGATGCCTGCCATAGTTGAGAACTCCTGGAACCCAAGAGCACCAGGCCCCCAAAATAGCAGCTGTGCCTTTGAGACAGGCTTACACCTATGTCTTAGTCACAAATCCCACGAGAATCCCACCTAAGTCCCTCTGAGCCCTCTTGGGCCTCCAGACCAGTGGCTGGATTTAGCAAAGCCGCCAGCCCTAGGCACCTTCCTCCCTTAGTCCCCTGTCCTTCCTGTCACCTCTCCTTAAGCCAACAACAAAACACCATGGACAGGGTGGCTTAAAAACAAATTCATCTTCTCACAATTCTGGAGGCTGGAAGTCCGAGATCAGGGTGGTGGCATGGTCGGGGTTCTGGTGACGGCTTTCTTCCTGGCCTGCAAATGGCCACCTTGTCACTGCGTCCTCACAAGATCTTTCCTCAGTCCATGGAGAGAGATCTCTATCTACCTATCCCTCCCTCTCTTGCTGCTCCTCCTCCTCCTCCTCCTCTCTCATCTTTCTTCTCCTATTTGATTAGAAGCCTGCCCTTGGCCAGGGTGGCTCACGCCTGTAATCCCAGCACTTTGGGAGGCTGAGGTGGGTGGATCACCTGAGGTCAGGAGTTTGAGCCCAGCCTGGCCAACATGGCGAAACCCCATCTCTACTAAAAATACAAAAATTAGCTGGGTGTGGTGGTGTGCACCTGTAATCCCAGCTACTCAGAAGGCTGAGGTAGGAGAACAGCTTGAACCCGGGAGGCAGAGGTTGCAATGAGCTGAGATTGCACCACTGCACTCCAGCCTGGGAGACAGTGAGACTCCATCTCAAAAAAAAAAAAAAGAAGAAGAAAAAGAAGCCTGCCCCTATGACCTCACCTAACCTTAATTACCTCCTAAAAGCTCTATCTCCAAATACCATGACACTGAGGGTGAAGGCTTCAGCATGCTAATTTGGGGAGAGACAAACATTCAGTACACAGCAGCCAGATCACATCCATTTGTTCTCCTGCTCTGAAATACTTTCGGAGTTCTTGAATTTCGGAATTCAAGAATTCCAAAAGTATTTGCTTTGCAATGGAAAACCACTTTTGAACCCCAAGAAATGACTCAGAAGGTGGGGGATGTCAGGTGGCAAGAAAGCTGTGGCAGGAAGGAAGGGATCTTTGTAACAAGAGACACCCCACCTCTGCCCTGTTAGGACCCAGGCACTGGGCTCCATCCCTGTGAGGACTCAGCACTTTACTCAGCGACCCTGGGCAGGGAGACAGGGTTCCAGGCCCAGCTCTGCTAGTGGAGCAAATTCATTCCTGCCTGGGTCTCCATCTTCCACCTTCACAGGACCCTGTGGCTCCCAAAACTGGCCTCCCATCAGAGGCACTAGGAAGGTTGTTAAGAATTCAGATCCCCAGGCCCGACCCTCATACATTCACACTCAGGAGGTGCAAGATTGGCCCAAGAGATTTCATGTTCAACAGATGTCCTCTTCACAGCCAGGTGACTGCAATGCAGCTGGCCCCTTTGGGGTCTCCCAGATCAGATTACCTGTGGGGGCCCTTGCAGACTTGCCCCTCCAGAAGTCTTCTTTTTTGAAAAAAGAGCCGGGCGTGGTGGCTCACACCTGTAATCCCAGCACTTTGGGAGGCCAAGGCAGGCGGATCACCTGAGGTCGGGAGTTCAAAACCAACCTGACCAACATGGAGAAACCCCATCTCTACTAAAAACACAAAATTAGCCAGCTGTGGTGGTGCATGCCTGTATCCCAGCTATTCAGAAGGCTGAGGCAGGAGAATCGCTTGAACCTGGGAGGCAGAGGTTGCAGTGAGCCGAGATTGTGCCATTGCACTCCAGCCTGGGCAACAAGAGTGAAACTCTGCCTCACACACACACACACAAAAAAGAAGAGACAGGGTCTTGCTCTGTTGCTCAGGCTGGAGTGCAGTGGCACAATCATAGCTCACTGCAGCCTCAACCTCCCAGGCTTAAGCAATTCTCCCACCTCAGTCTCCTAAGTAGTTGGGACCACAGGTGTGCACCAGCATGCCCAGCTAATTTTTTAATGTATATAAAGACAAGGTCTCACTGTTGTCCAGGCTGGTCTCAAACGCCTGGGCTCAAGTGATTCTCGGGCTTTGACCTCCCAAAGTGCTGGAAGCAGGAGTCTCCTCTTGAAGCCCCTCATCCCACCTACCCCAGGGCTCTCCCTAACCCTCTCTCATCTCTCCCCACAGCGCGGCCCCAGCCGGGGCCCAAACCTTCAGCCTGAAGCACTCGGAACACGTGTGGGTGGAGGTGGTGCGTGATGGGGAGGCTGAGGAGGTGGCCACCAATGGCAAGCAGCGCTGGCTTCTCTCGCCCAGCACCACCCTGCGGGTCACCATGAGCCAGGCGAGCACCGAGGCCAGCAGTGACAAGGTACCACGGCGGGAAGTCCAGCCTCTGCGGGCCCGGGACCATGCCAGGATAGAGGCAGGGTGGACCAGCCCTGTCCCATAGAAACTGCACGTGGGCCATGTGTCATTTTCAGTTCTGCAGTAACCACATTGAAAAGGCAAAAAGAGGCCGGGCGCAGTAGCTCAAGCCTGTAATCCCAGCACTTTGGGAGGCCGAGGCGGGTGGATCACAAGGTCAGGAGATCGAGACCATCCTGGCTAACACGGTGAAACCCTGTCTCTACTAAAAATACAAAAGATTAGCCAGGCATGGGGCGGGTGCCTGTAGACCCAGCTACTTGGGAGGCTGAGGCAGGAGAATGGCGTGAACCCGGGAGGCGGAGCTTGCAGTGAGCCGAGATCGCACCACTGCACTCCAGCCTGGGCGACAGAGCGAGACTCCGTCTCAAAAAAAAAAAAAAAAAAAAAGAAAAGGCAAAAAGAAACAGGTGAAATTAATTGTCTTAATATCTATTACTTAACCCTATCTATCAAAATATTATCATTTTGACATGCTATCAATATAAAAAATATTAACAAAATTGTTTGTTTTTTGTTTGTTTGTTTGTTTGAGACGGAGTCTCCCTCTGTCACCCAGGCTGGAGTGCAGTGATGCGATCTCGGCTCACTGCAAGCTCCACCTCCCAGGTTCACACCATTCTCCTGCCTCAGCCTCCAGAGTAGCTGGGACTACAGACGCCTGCCCTATGCCTAGCTAATTTTTTTTTTTTTTTGTATTTTTAGTAGAGATGGGGTTTCACCGTGTTAGCCAGGATGCTGTCGATCTCCTGACCTTGTGATCCGCCCACCTTGGCCTCCCAAAGTGCTGGGATTACAGGCGTGAGCCACCGCGGCCGGCCTGTTTGTTTGTTTTTAAGAGACAGGATCTCACTCTGACTCCCAGGCTGGAGTGCAGTGGTGCGATCATAGCTCACTGCAACCTCAAGCTACTGGGTTCAAGCAGTCCTCCTGCCCCAGCCTCCCGAGTAGCTGGGACTCCAGGCACCTGCCATCGTGCCCAGCTAATTTTTTTTTTTTTTTTTTTTAGAGACAGGTCTTACTATATTGCCCAGGCTGGTAGTTTATATTCTTTTTCCATACCAAATTTAAAATTAGTGTGAGTTTTACACCTTATAACACACCTCCGTTCAGAATAGCCGCATTTCCAGTGCTCGGTAGCCATGTGGATGTTGTGGGGTTAGACCATGGAACGATGGCTTCGTAAAGGATGAAAATTATAGACAGCTGAGTGATAGAAAGTTTAGAGGCTCAGAACCATAGAATCATTGGAGCTTACAGTCACAAGTGTCCTTGGTCTATCTGTAAAATGGGGTGCTGAACATCCATGGGTGATTTGCCTAAGTGGTGAGGCTGAGACCAGAACTGTCTCCTTTCTGGGTTCCGTAATTATGAACTTTACCATGTGCCCCATCACAGTGATGGCATTGAACATGGTCCAAAGAAAATAGCCTCAGCCCTGTCCCCTCAGTGGGCACTAGACGTGCAACATGGCAGATATGGGGGACCCCAGGCAGCAGAATGCACACAGTGGCACAGGAAGGCAGACAGCATCCTAACTGCCCTCTCAGCCAGCAGGAGGGGAGTCCACAGTCTAGTTCAGTTACCTGAGGGAAACCGCCCACCAACCCAGGAGTTCTTCCTGGAGGAGAGGGTTCTGATGTTTGGAGAGGGTTGGCTTGACAAGCTGTGAGGGACAGCAGTTGCTTCAGGTTTTCCTGCTTGTGATCTGTGATCTCTGCTCTCTTTTCTCTCTACTCCAATGTGCCCCCTCCCCACCAAGGTCACCGTCAACTACTATGACGAGGAAGGGAGCATTCCCATCGACCAGGCGGGGCTCTTCCTCACAGCCATTGGTGAGTTGGCATGGTTGCCGTCTCAGTGCCTTCATCACCCAGGGCCTGGCACTGTTGTCCTTCTCTGGGGCACTTAGGCGGTTCTCAGTGCGGCTGACCTGGCACTTGGAGCTTCTTCTGAATGGCACAGGCCTGGGGAGGGATGTCACATGTGCCCCACCCCGGTCCTTCCATACTGGGGTGGGGGCTTATCTGCAGGAAGAGGCACTCCCTGATCCATCAGCAACCCCCCCCCAAGTGTCAAGGTCCCCTTCCCAGGCTCTGTGGCCCTAAAAGAGAAAAAGGTGAAGTGTGTTTCCCCCTGCCTCTCCCCTGCAGCCTGGAGAAGAGTGTCCCTCTCATGGTGAGGGGAATGGCCACAGTCTATAAAACTAGCAGCTGTTCTTGACAATCCCAGCTGCCCCCTGGTTCTCCCCAGATTCAGCCCCGAGGGTGCAGAGATGCAGCCTCCAGGTCCTTAACTCACCTAGTCCAAGTCCTTCATTTGATCCACAGGATGGTGAGGCCCAGAGAGGTTAGGGAATTTATTCAACATCACACAGCAACTGGGTGGCAAGTTGAGTCCAGAACCCAGAATTATCCCTGTCTCAGGTTCTCTCCATTGCATCACACTGCCCTGCGCTGGGTGCCAGGCCTGCATGCCAGGGAGGTGGAGCCTAGCCTGGCTCTACAGGACCCTTGGCTGTGATCATCTGAATTTTCCATCACTCCACCCCCTGAAACTGAGGCATTACTTTTATGCTATTTTATTTCATTTTTTAATCATAGAATGTTAAAGCCAAGAGGACATTTCAGAGGGTCATTTTGTTCATCCAACCTTGGTTTAACATTGACAGAGTTGCCGCATGGCAGAGGAAGGGAACTACCAGTTATTGAGAGTCAACTGCATGCTGAGTGCTTTCAAAATAATGATGCGGCCTGCTTATTGCAGGCCTACTGTGTGTCTAGAGCTGCACTGGGCACTTTGATGAGGAGGAGGAGGGGGAGAATGGTAAACACCTGATATTAATTGAGCACCTATGGTGTGCCAGGCTCCAGTACTCAATGTTTTACCGTCACGATTTCAATCTCTTCTTCCAACTATTCCAAGGATAGATATTATTATTATCATCCTCATTTTATAGATGAGAAAATCAAGGCTCAGAAAAGGTAAAACAAATACTTGCCTGCAGCTACATCTCCAGAAAATGGTTGGTGAGATGCCAATCATTCCAGTTATCCCACATTCTCAGGGGGGGTCTCAGAATCTCCCCAAGATACAACTAACTCCCGAGCCAGCCCCTTCCTCTCTAGCCCTGTGCTCTCAGCTGCTTAAACAGGCTTAGCAGCAGGGCCCTTCTCATTCTTGGCTAATTCCCAAATGGGCTTGGTTGCTGGTCCCCCTGTCCCTCTTTCTGTCCCAAGGAGGTGCCCAGCCCTGGGGTAGGGAACCTCGGGATGACCTTGGTGAGGGTGGCAGATGATCAACAAAGACTCCTGGGTTGTACTGAGCCCTGGCACGTGTGTGAACCTTGCATGCACACAGCATCCAGGCAGTCTCAGATGACAGTCCCTGAGGAAACCTAATCCCACCAAGATAGGGACACCTGAGGACGGGGGCAGGAAGGGCAGGGGCCTGACACCTGTCAAATGAGGATGATCCCAGAAGGCTGACTGCACCATTAACAAGACTTCCACCAAAGCAAGACAGACTTAGGATAGATGGCAAAATAAGCGTCTATAAGGAGGCAGGACTGGACTTTTCCTCCTCACTAGGAGATGACAAAGCTGTGCTTAGAGGAAGCCCGCTCAGAGTTGGCGGCATGGCTGAGTCCCAAAAGATGCCACATGTGCCCACGACAAGTGACCAAGTTCATCCTTCCGAGGTCTGTTAATAATTATTTATTTAACTGCCACAAGTTCCAGATATTTAGATTCCATGGGCCAATCAAATGTCCCCTGCCCCCACCCCCCAAAAAATGAGAACACTAACAACTTTGATGCTTGGCAAAAAAAAGAAAAAAAAATACATCAATAAAACAATTTGTGGCCAGGCGCGGTGTCTCACGCCTGTAATCCCAACACTTTGGGAGGCCAAGGTGGGCAGATCATGAGGTCAGGAGTTTGAGACCAGCCTGGCCAATGTGGCGAAACCACATCTCTACTAAAAATACAAAAATTAACTGGGCGTGGTGGCACGCACCTGTAGTCCCAGCTACTCAGGAGGCTGAGGCAGGAGAATTGCTTGAACCCAAGAGGTGGAGGTTGCAGTGAGCCAAGATGGTGCCACTGCCCTCCAGCCTGGGCGACAGAGCGAGACTTTGTCTCAAAAAAAAAAAAAAAAAAATTTGCTATCAACTATCACTATCATTTTAACTCTTAAAAAATAGGCAAGGCATAATCTCAGAATAAAAGACAGTCATGGCCGGGCACAGTGGCTCACGCCTGTAATCCCAGCACTTTGGGAGGCCGAGGTGGGCGGATCACCTGAGGTCAGGAGTTCAAGACCAGCCTGGCCAACATGGTGAAACCCTGTCTCTACTAAAAATATAAAAACTAGCCGGGCATGGTGGTGGACGCCTGTAATCCCAGCTACTCAGGAGGCTGAGGCAGGAGAATTGCTTGAAACCAGGAGACAGAGGTTGCAGTGAGCTGACACAGTGCCACTGCACTCCAGCCTCGGCGACAGAATGAGACTCTGTCTCAAAAATAACACAAAACAAAACAAAAAACAGAATAAGAGACAGTCATTCAATTGCAAAAAGAAACTAACACCATTGAACTTCTGTTTCCTGTTCCAACAGAGACCCTGGTGAAAATCTGGTTTCCCTTGGGGACCACTGTTCTCTCTGTCCCTTCTAGGTTTTCTCTTTTCTCGAGCATCTGCCCCAGGAGCCCTTGAGCCCGTCATCCTGAGTAATCAATCACTCAGGGGCAGCGCCTCAGAGGCAAGCCCCCCCCCAACCCCAATATCTTGAGAGGCTGGGACTGTCCCCTGGGCACAAAAATGTATCTGAATCTCTCTCACCCTGGTCCTATCCTGAGTCCACATTGAGCAGAAAGAGCCTTGGCTTCTGGGTAGACAGAAGTAAGCCTAAGATCTTTCTCTGTCCCCTCCAGCCAGCTTGTGACAAGTCACATCATCCCCCTGAGCCTTGGCTTCCTCATCTATAAAATGCGCTTCACAGAGCAGCCTTGCATGGTGTTTACAAGGATTCAGTGGGATGTTGTGTGCGAAGGGCCCGGCACAGAGTGGGTGCTTAGTCAATGCTCCGCCTGCTTTTCTCTCTTGCTCTTGAGGTGGCCGCATTTTCTCTCTGCCTGGGTGAAGTTAAAGAAATGTATGGTCTCTCCTTCTTCCTTCTGGGATTTGGGAGCAAATTCATGATTCCTTTGGCCAGATCAGGCTCTGGGTCTTTGTCCCAATCCCGCCAAGGACTTGCTGTGTGACCTTAACAAGTAACCACCCCCACTAGGACTCACTTTTTACAAACTATAAAATAAGGGGTTTGAGCTAATTAATCCCTAAGGACCTTCAAGACCCTGGTTAGGGTTGATTTGCAAAGACTTCCATTTTTTGGGAGGGATGGGGGAGAGCAAGAGGTGAGGTGTGGGGAGGGAGGAAGAATCCCACCCTATTTGAGGTCCTGGCAGTGGAAGGAGTACACATATGCGGGCCCCAGAAAATTTTAACATCAACCTAAGGGGCTTGATCCTATGCCTTCTCCCCAGAGGCTGGGATACTTGCCCTGATTGGCTGTGGGGGAGGGTGTCCTTCCTTCCCATAACATCTCAAGCTGCTTAGTAAGGCAAGAAGGCCAGGCACCCTGCCACTCTCTGGCGACCCTCCAAAATGCTTGTGCCTCTCGGTCAGAGCTGAGGCTTCAGTGTCTTCATTCTCAGGGCAGACTGCCTTGAACCCAATCCTAGGGACATTTCCCGTCAATCTGCCCCACACCCAGGAGCCACCTGACGCCTTGGGGCTATTCTGGGGAACTGAGGTGGGATCCAGAGCCTCTGGGAAATGTCGTCTGGAGCCTGGAGGCCCTGAAGCAGAGCTCCTCTCCCTCCTCCCCCTCGGGAAGGCAGAGCCATCCCAAGAGGCAATGCTCTGGGCAGGTCACACCAGCCCTGTTCTCTGCCCCTACCCGCAGCATCCCACTGGAATCTAGTTAAATCAGACATTGGGGGAAGCCTTGCAGGGGCGAAGTCCCATGGGCATGACTACAGGGTGGGCGGTCTCTGAGGGTGAAGGGGCCAGAAGGTCATTTCAGTGGATTATGGGGACAGGTCATGGGTCATCAGAGAGGAGTTATGAAGCCCTGTGAGAGGCTGGGAGGACGATAAGGGAGCCACACTGTGAAATGCCCACATTTCGTAACAGGAAGGTAACGAAACCTGTCTGAATTCAGTAAATCAGGAAATCGCAATAAGCATGAGAGAGGTTGCCTTAGGCAGCTGAGAAGAAGGGCTGGACAAGGAACTGCTGTCTTTCTTTAGAAACAGTGTGTTACTATTTTATTTGATTTTGTTTGTACTATGTCCAAATATTACATGAATAAAATGTTTCCATTTAAGAATTCATAATGAAATGAAGCAGTATAGACTGCACCATAATTTCTCTCCTAGCCCACGGCCCCACTGCTTTAATGGACTCGCCACAAGGAGTCCCAATGTAATGTCACCTTACGGCCTAGAGACGAAGGCCGCAGGGCTACCAAGGTGGGGAAATGGGCACTTCCTCTGGGAATGACCTTCAAGGGAGCAAGTCTTGTGTCTTTGACTTTGGGCTGGGCTTTTGGAAACAGCTTGCAGGGAGGTCAGCCTGGGTTCATTGCAGGGAACAGCAGAGAGCAGGCAGCCGGAGTCCGAGGCCCTGCTGAGAGCCTGGCTCTGCGTTCTGGGAACTTCGGTGGTCACTTCCCTGCTGCGGGCCTGGGTTTCCTCATCTGTATCGTTAGGGGGTGGGGGTGGTCACGCCTCCCCTGGAGTGGCCGAGAGAACACACCTTGGAAAACGCTGTGCAGCTGCAGAGCAGGATGCCCGCAGGGGAGAAATTTTTACCTTGAAAAGGACAGAGTGGCTCCCTAAAGAGGCTGGACCTGCGGCTCCTTCCGAGGGAGGAGTTTCAGGAAGCCAGCTCCCTGAAAGGCAGCATTCAGTGGACGTGACCGGCTGGAAAGTTCACAAAGGTCCAGGAACCAAAACCAGTATTATTCCTGCCCCTGCACCCCAGGCTCTTAGCCCCTGGTGGTACCGCCTTCCCTTCTTTCCCCTGGGGTCCTTATCCTGCACCAGCCTCCCAGATTACCAGCCCGATTTGCTGACAAGTGGCTTCTCTGAACCTGGGTTTGCTGCCCTGTGAAACGAGAGCAATGCTATTCATCTCATGGGACTGTGGACGCCTTGAGAGCAGGTGCTGTGCCTCCATTGCCCGTTGCCTGGTACAGCTCCCGGAGCAGTAGCTCCTCAGCAGTGAAATGTGGAGTGAATGCGATCGGAGGGAGGAGGTTACAAATTATGCCTTACAGCACCTAACTCACCGCACAGCTGCAGAGGCTGGGACACACAAGACTGCCTCTCTCAAGGGCCAGGCGCCCTTGCAGCCTCCTTCTAGACTGGAAAAGTCACATGCAGGTCTAGGGTATGCAGGCTATAGGCAAAGGGAGGACCTGAATGTGATCTCTGGACTCTGGGCTTGGTTGGCCCAGAGAAGGGTGACATCAGTGCACTTCGTGTGCCAGGACCCTCCTTTCCATGCCCTCCAGGCAGAGGGTGTGCCTGCCACGGGGACTAACCAGGAATGCATTCATTACCACCCAGCGCCCACCAGGTCCAAGTCATGCTCAGCGTGAGATGAGCCCACTCGGGCAGCTCTGGGGACCTGGAACGGGCACATGTCATGTGTGTGACACTCCCAACACCTTCCCAACCACATCCCTACTCGACCTCATCCGTCTCCAACTCAAGGCAATTTCGCCTCCCAAGGGACATTTGACAATATCTGGAGACATTTTTGGCTGTCACGACTGGGAGGGATGTTACTGGCATCTGGTAGGTAGAAGCCAGGAGTGCTGTTAAACATCCTACAATGCACAGGCTGCCCCCACACAAAGAGTTATTTGGCTCAAAAATGTCAGTAGTGCCTTCCATTGCAGCTAATGCATCTGCTGTAACCAGGAAGGGCCCCATGTTACAAGTGAGGAAACTGGGGCTCAGAGAGGTCCTCTAACCTGCCCAAAGTCACACAGCTTATAAGCAGAGAACCAGGGTCTAAACCCCACCTTGTCTGATACTAAACCTTTTCACTTCCCTACAGTCTCCACAAAGCCTGTCTCCATGGCAGGCCTAGGGATGCTGAGGGTCCCTTCACCAAGAGAAGGGATAAGTGGGGGCCTGGCCCTGGATCCTCCATCTAGACTCACAGGTGACCTCAGACCAAGAGGGGTTAGAGACAGCTTCCCACCCACAGTAAAACCCTCAGTCCTTGAAGGTGGGATCTAGCCCACTGGAAGTTCTGGGAGAGAAAGAGACACGCACACCCAGGTGCACATGTGCACACCTATGCGCATGCCCGGGTAGACTGAGAAAGGCAGTTTGGGAATGCTATCCCTGTTAAGTTTTCAGAATATGAACTATGAATCAGACCAACCGCACTGTGTACCCCAGTTCTGCTAGCGTCCCTATGTGATCTTGGGCATGCGACTTCACCTCTGAACTGAGGCATCCAGATCTGTGCAGCGAGGATCATTCCCCAACCCCCAGCCAGAACAATGAAGTGGTAGGAGGTCCCAGACCTCCCCGATGGCAGCTCTTGCAGCCGTAAGCTACGAGGTCCACACGGTGTCTGCTGACGGTCTCCAGTGGGTAGTGGGATGTTGAGGCAGGGGGTTGCATAAGATGACTTCAGCGAGGTCCTCTCTTTCCCGTGACCAAATGAATGGCTGAGACGCACCCAAATCCCACAGGTCTTCCTCTTGCCCCTGCCCTGCCCTGCCTGGCAGGCTCAGCAACTCACCCATGTCTCTTCTCCCCAGAGATCTCCCTGGATGTGGACGCAGACCGGGATGGTGTGGTGGAGAAGAACAACCCAAAGAAGGTACCTAGCTTTCAGGGCAGGCACCACCCTGAACCCAGGGCTTCCGAGGGCACAGCCCCAGATCCCGCAGGCAATTCCCATTTCACAGCTCAGGAGACTAAAGCCCAAGACAGGCTCCCAGACACACAGCATACCAATGATGGAACCCACAGAGGAGCTCAGGCATCTCCTAGAGACGGCAACAGAGCAGGCTCCTGAGTCTCAGTTTCTCCATCCCATGATGGGGACGCCCAATTCATGGAACTGCTGGGAAGGATAAATGTGCCCGCTACAGAGGAAGCACTGTGAAGGCATTTGCTCTTATTATTTTGCCTGTTCTTTTAAGACTAGGGAGGTGGGGGAGACAGACCCTCAGGACAGAGGGTCGCATTCATCATTCTCAGTTCCAGGCGTGGTATTATCTCTGCTGGTGCATGCACGGCCCCTCTCCTCTTTCTATTTATTCTTGCATTCATTCACCATTCATTCATTTGTTCCCTCGTTCATTTACTTATTTTCTTTTATCTTGCATTCCCCACTCCCATTCTGCTCCCCCACAGAGGACCATTTTGCTGGGTTTAATGTGTCTCTTTCTGCTCTGGTGACTCTCAGGAGGCATGTGGTGTGGTTGGTGTGCATGTATTTTTAATTTGTGCAGACGGCATGGTGTTCTCCATCACATTCTGTTTTGTACTTTTCCCTCAACCTAGTTTTTAGGCTCCATCAGTCTTGCTCTGTGTACATTCAGGCTGTTGCTTCTAACTGCTTTCCATTTTCTGCCCTTCTGTATTATCTCAATTTTTGCCATGGGCATATGTGACTTTTATAATAACACTCTGAAGCCTAGAGTAAAGTATACATAGAGGGGTACTTACGAAGTAAAATAAACACAGCCTGATGAGAAGCCTGGGTCCTAGCAGCCTGCTACCCTGACTCTCTGCAGGTCAGGAGAGGGTTCTCAGCCATGTGGGGAAGTCCCTTCTTCTAGGATCGTGAGCAAGGCTTGCCTGAGACCAGGGCCAGCCCTGCACACTCATTCTCTGAGTCTATGGCCAAGCCATATGAGAATGAACTCCACAGAGGCCTCTGAAACCCAGCAGCCCCAGGGCGACAGCTTCCAACCTCCCCCAAGGGGCTGGGCAGTCTTGGGAAAGTCACACGATCCCCATGAGCCTGAACTTGGCCAGAATTTTTAAATCTGGGCCGGTGAAGTTTTCACATTTTCTTCACTCATCCCATAAATATTTGCTGAGCATCTTTTATGTTCCAGGAGCGGGTCAGGCCCAGGGGACACAGAAAGAACAAGAGAAACACAGCCCTGGCCTTAAGGAGCCCATGGTCCACATTAAATATGGAGTGTTTCGGATAGCTGTGTCATCACAGTTGTCCTAAGTCCTCCCAAAAAGGATGTGTACAGGGCCAGGTGTGGACCCGGGGAAGCTGCTCTGTCCTAGAGAATCAGAAAGGCCTCCAGGAAGAAGAGACAGTCATGCTGTAACCGAGGAAGGGTAGAGTGGGCCAGGTGGAAAGGGGCAGGACAGGAGCAGAGGGACTGGCATAGGCAAAGGCCTGGGAGCTTGAGTCTTTTGGGAGCAGAAAGGCGCCGGGATGGGTGGGGCAGAGTGAGCGAGGGGCAAGGCGGAGGAGATGAGACAGAGAGGAAGGCAAGTTTCACCAGGCCTTCCAAGCCACAGCAAGGAATCAGGGCTTCATGCCAACTCAACTGGGAGCCCCTGACCTGGCTTAAAGCAGGGAAGCAACACAATCTGGCCCGAGTTTGTTCTAGTAGTGCTATGGCTGCAGTGTAGAAAGTGGAGCACCATGCAGGTCCCATTCGGAGCACTAGGAGCGTGTCTGGAAACAGCTGGGTGGCATCCATCCAGGCGTCTCCTCCTGAGCTCCCCTAGGGACCTAGGGACCCATGGTAGAATGTCTGTCTGCTCATTTCTCTGGCCAGCCTCCACCTCCCTGCCTCCACCCACACCAGACACCAGCTGCACCAGACAGGAGGCCCATAAATGCCTCAGTCAGCCTTCCTGTCTCTGTGCCTCTATTGAACTTGCCTTTGATGCCCACATTCATCCTCTGTGGACATCAGTCTTGAGATTCACATTTGCCAGGTCACAGCTGCCCCAGTGGGTGGCGGCTACTCTTTACCCTCATCCTGGGGCTATCTCTCCAGTGTCCCATGGGGTCTATACAAGCATAGAGAAGAGGGCACTGACCTTTCTTCCTGCCACTGTAGGCATCCTGGACCTGGGGCCCCGAGGGCCAGGGGGCCATCCTGCTGGTGAACTGTGACCGAGAGACACCCTGGTTGCCCAAGGAGGACTGCCGTGATGAGAAGGTCTACAGCAAGGAAGGTGCCAGCAGGCCCTGCACTTGGGGGGCAGGATGAGAGGAGTGAAAAGATTCATGCCCAGTCCTGGGCTGGGCTGAGGGTGAGGCAGGTGTGGACTCAGGCCTCCTGGGGATGGTGGACACAAATTCCCACTCTTGCTTAAAGCCAAAGGCAAAACCATAGGAAATAGACAAGGGCCGGGCGTGGTGGCTCACACCTGTAATCCTAGCATTTTGGGAGGCCAAGGCAGGCAGATCATGAGGTGAGGAGTTCAAGACCAGCCTAACCAATATGGTGAAACCCCATCTCTACTAAAAATACAAAAATTGGCTGAGCGTGGTGGCATGCACCTGTAATCCCAACTACTCAGGAGGCTGAGGCAGGAGAATCACTTGAACCCAGGAGGCAGAGATTGCAGTGAGCCAAGATCATGCCACTGCACTCCAGCCTGGGCAACAGAGCAAGACTCTGTCTCAAGAAAAAAAAAGAAGAAGAAGAAGAAGAAGAATAAAAAGAAAATAGACCAGAAGGAAATTCCCAAAAGGTTAATCATCTCTAGTGTTGGAAATGACAACTGGTTTTTATTCTGTTTTATGCTTTGCTTTTTTCTTTTTCTTTTTTTTTCTTTTTTTTTTTTTTTGAGACAAGGCCTTGTTCTATTGCCCAAGCTGGAGTGCAGTGGCATGATCATAGCTCACTACAGCCTCAACCCCCTGGGTTCAAGCCATCCTCCTGCCTCAGCCTCCTGAGTAGCCAGGATTACAGGCACATGCCACCATGCGTGGCTAATTTTTTTTATTTTTGTAAAGATGGGGTCTTGCTATGTTGCTCAGGCTGGTGTTTGTCTCCTGGCCTTAAGTGATCCACCCACCTCAACCTCCCAAAGCACTGGGATTACAGGTGTGAGCCACAGCACCCAGCCTCTTTATGCTTTTCTATAGTTTCCATAATACACATCCATGGGGATTTTTTCCTGATTATCAAAGTAAAAGGCATTGGGAAGCTGAGGCTCCAGCAACAGATAGATCTCTTCATTCTCACCTTCTGTCCCTCAGATCTCAAGGACATGTCCCAGATGATCCTGCGGACCAAAGGCCCCGACCGCCTCCCCGCCGGATACGAGATAGTTCTGTACATTTCCATGTCAGACTCAGACAAAGTGGGCGTGTTCTACGTGGAGAGTGAGTGATCCCAGCCCAGTCCAGCCTAGACCTTTCTAGCCACCTACCCTCCTCCCCTTAGCAGTTGTGGCCTTCACAGGTGCAGGTGCCTGGGGAAGACCTGGATTGGTCTCTGAGTGATTGTAACATGGCAATGCTGTTGTCCCGTGAAGTTGAAAGACTCCATGGGGACACATCGCTCCTCCTCTCAAAGGAGTCTGGAGTGACATGGGTCTATGTAGAACCCAGAGGCCCTTCCTCCCTACGAATCAGGGGAGGAAGGGCATTTGGGCACTTCTTTTCTGGAGTCATGTCACCTTCAGGATACCTGAGGCAGGGCAGGCACCACCTCCAGGTATTTTCTGCCATCTCTGACTTTCAAAGACCCCCTAAAGATGCAGTGGGCACCCTTGAAGAGTTGACCCCTTGCTCCTCTCGATGGCAACAGATGTCCTGGGCCCCCACTGTGTAGGGCACGGGCTCCTGCCCTGGAGCTAGTCCTCGTAGCTGCCGGCTCTGCCTCACCCTGTCTGTGGATATGTGTTGAGCCCTTTGGTGCCAGGCCCTGTTCTCAGCTTTGAGATCTCTGCAGTAAACACAACAATCACACCCTGCCCTCAAGGAGCCGCCAGTCTAGCAAGAGAGACATAATCAGTACCACAATTGGAGGAAATGAAATAGAATAAGTGAGGAGAATGGCAGGGCAGAGGCACCACTAGATGGGTGCCTCTGAAAAGGCCTCTCTGAGGAGGTGACATCTGAGCTGAGACTCAGATGAACAATAAGAAGGAACCAGCCACTCGTGAGCTGAGGGAAGAGTGTTCTAAGCAGAGGCAACAGCATCTGCAAAGCCTGGAGGAGGAGACCAGTTTAGAGTGTGGGAAGAGCAGATGGAAGCCCAGAGCAGGGCTGGGAGTCAAGGTCAGTCAGCTCGGCCAGGGGCCAGAGCATGCAGACTGGGTTTGGATTTTCTTCTGAGTGCAATGGAATGCCATTAGAGGGTTTTATGCAAGGGACTGTCATAATAATGATGTATGTGTTTTAAAAACTCCCTCAGCAAAATAGTCGGCATTGCAATTTGCCATGGTACAAGGCGGGTCGTGGGGTGGCGGGAGGAGGCTTCTGCATGCCCAGCTGCCTAGGGGGGCCAGGATCTCTGGCCCAGCCCCGAACCCACCTCTAGACAGGCCTACTAGATCCAGGGCATTCACCATGAGGTGAGTAGGGACCCTGGACCCTCACATCAGGGAGATATTTAGCCAGGATGGCAGTGGCCAGCAGCCACCCAATACCAGTCTTCCTTCTGATCCACCCTGGGCTCCAAGCAGTGACCTCACACAGGTTGGAATGTGCCCAGAGTCAGGCTGGCTCCGCTGCCGCAGGGGGCCGGAGATGTTGATGTTGACACCATCCAGGCCAGGGTTGTCATGGAGGATGGGATCACCAGTGGGAGCAGGAGGGATGCAAGCAGGACCTCAACCTCGGCCTCTTGACCTTGGTGTCGTGACACGAGACCTGTTGCAAATAATGATGTCTGGACATTATCTAGAAGTTTCTTCTTTTTGCTAAAGGGAGTGGACTGGTCTGGTTCCATAATCTCATCCCTCCTCATCACTTGCCATCTGAGATGGGTCCTGAGCAGACAAGAAAAAAGAGGAACTACTACCACAAGGGCTTTGAGAACGTCCCTTGGAGCCTCTTATTTGGGCTGCCCATCCTGTGGGGAGCAGCCACGACTGAGACAGTGGGGACCCAGAAGAGACAGTTTCCCAATAATGCTGACACTGGGTCACTGGGTGAAAACTCTTAGACACACACACACACACACACACACACACACACACACAAGCAAAGGACGACAGATAATTGACCAGGAGCACAGTCTCTTTTTCTTCCAGGCAAACACTTTGGAGTTATGTCAAATTCCAGGCACCCCTGTGGATGAGCGAATGTCAGGTGTCCTGGTAGGGTCAGACCAGCTCTCCCCAAGGCCAGGGGGCTGGGTTGGAGACTGAAGGACCCCTATAGGGAGTGCTGGAGTCAGGGAGCTACAATTCTGGGTCCAGGCAAGTCTTCTCACCAGCCCCAGCCTTGGGGTGCTCATCTCTGACGTGGCATGGGAGTAGTAAGAGTTCCGACTGTCCCGGGTGTCCCGGATCGTGGTGGGGATCTAATGAGGAAGGTGTGTCAGGCACTGAGTGCAGTAGCTGGCCTTTGGAAAGCTCTCCATAAATGGCAATTATGGCTTTTGTTGAGATTATGATGATGACTGTTAGTTACAATGATTGGAGTGGACAGAAGGCTTCAGTGCTCCTAGGAAGACCTGGTAACGGCCTTAGCCTCAAATTCTGCCCAAAACACCAAGCACTGGGGCCTTACCTCTTTATACAAGGAAATGGTAATCCAGTTTGCCCAGGACTTTCCTTATTTTAGCACTGAGGGCTCCTCATGCCAGGAAACCCCTCAGTCCTAGGGAAACCAAATCAGCTGGTCACACTATCAAGGAGTCTCGCTGGGAAGTGGAATCATTCCAAAGTAGCTAGAAAGGTTAAGGCAAACCACGTGCCAGCCAATGCCTGGGGCAGAGAGGTCACGGTGGTCAGTGGGCCCAGCCCAAGGCACGAGGACCACTCAATAGAGCGGCATTGTTGGTTCCTGCAGAGAAAGCTGGCCACGCTCAGTGTGGGGTTTGCACCGAGCCAGGGATGGAGGACGGGGTAAGGAGGCTCCTGGGGACAATGGCTGAATTGTTCCCACCAAGAAATCAGTCCGCCCGGAGCTGGCCCCAACTGTCAGAAAGCAGCCCAGAATAGAGGTGCATTGTGAATCACAGGCCACGGGCCACATCGGGAGGGAGAAAGCTGCCGGCAGACGGACTAGAACGTGTCCTCCACCTGCCCCACCACCCCTGGCCAGATCCCTGTTCCTACCCCAGACCTTGGTGGAGCCCCCCAGGTGCTCTGAGCCCTGGGAAAGCTTTGGCTGTGTGGCTTCTGCCAGGACAAGTTGGCTTCTAAGCCTGACTGTCCCCTGAGCATCAGTTCAAGTGCAGCCTGGGGCCTGTGGGCATGGGAGGGCCCGAGTGCCTGGAGGAAAATGTTTTCATGATGCCAGTCTATCTGAAACTACTGACTGACAGGGCTGCAGGGTGCACACTATTGTTTCTGGGTGAGCAGGACCTCACTTTCTATTCTTTGGGACTTTCAGTATCTGAATTTTTCCACCTCATTTCTTGGACTCCTCCCTCCCAAGGGAGGATGAGGTGGGACGTGGTTTCCCTGCCTTCTGTTTGGAAACTATTCAATGAAAACTCCTTCACATCCTCGTAATACAGGTCCAAGCAGTGTTACTGATGGTTACCCATGGTTACTGAGGTTACTGAAGTTACTGAGCCTGTGTCATTTACATTGAACCTGTGGCGTGGGTATCATTATCTCCCACTTAACAGATGAGTAAACTGAGGCTCAGGGAGGTTAAGTGAATTCTCTGAGGCTTGGTTTTTTTTTTTTTTTTTTTTTTTTTGAGATGGAGTCTCGCTCTGTCGCCCAGGCTGGAGTGCAGTGGTGCAATCTTGGCTCACCACAATCTCTGCCTCCTGGGTTCAAGTGATATTCCTGCCTCAGCCTCCCGAGTAGCTAGGATTACAGGCACGCACCACCATGTCCGGCTAATTTTTGTATTTTTAGTAGAGACGGGGTTTCACTGTGTTGGCCAGTCTTGTCTCAAACTCCTGACCTCGTGATTCGCCCGCCTCAGCATCCCAAAGTGCTGGGATTACAGGCGTGAGCTACTGCACCCGGCTCCCTGAGGTTTTATAGCTTGTAAAGCCAGAGAAGTATTTAAACCAAGGTCCCTCTGACATTGGAAGTCATAACCACTAAGGGAAGCACCCTTAGTGAGATTTATAACCAGGGTCTATTTCGGCACATTGTCCCACAGGAGGAGCCATCCCAAGCCCTGGCTTCGCGGTTCATCCACTTATTTCTCACGTTTTAATCAAGCACCTAGTTTGTGCCAGGCTATTCGGCTTATGTGTTCTAACCCTTGAGCATCTGGTCATTAACCATTATCATTGTCGTTGAAAGCACTAAGCTGAGGCTGATTCTGCCCTTCCAGCTCTACAGGGCATAAAGAAATTCCTTCTGGAACTGCATAGGGTCCTACCTCCATGCCTTTACCAATGCAAGTATCTCCTCTCCCCAACACACCCATTTCTGCCAACCCGCAAGGGCATCTCAAAGGCTGCCTTCCTCTGCTCAAATGCTTCCCACCGTGCCTCTTCTGCCCTCCCCACCCTACCCCAAGTAACCAGACTGGATCTCACCCATAGCCGCCGTTATGACGCTTCCCACATCTGCTCCATCTTATCATCAGCTGAGCACTGCTGTTACAGAGGCTGCATTTGGACCACCTCTGTCTCCCCGAAGGTCCTTGCCTGATTCATGTGCTCTCAATCTGCCTGAAAATTCCCCCTTGGTCTCTCCCACAGGGAATGTTGTGGGAGTCATTGGTTCGTTCAGTAGACATTTGTTAAACATGACCATGTGCCGGGCAGGCCCTGGGCCCCACTGGGCCTGTCTCTACCCTCGCACAGGTCACCCACATTTAAAAAGGCTGTGATGAGGCCGGGTGTGGTGGCTCACACCTGTAATCCCAGCACTTTGGGGGTCTGAAGGCAGGCAAATCACTAAAGGCAAGGAGTTCGAGACCAGCCTGACCAAGATGGCGATGAAACCCTGTCTCTGCTAAAAAATACAAAAATTAACCATATGTGGTGGTGGGCGCCTGTAATCCCAGCTACTTGGGAGGCTGAGGCAGGAGAATCGCTTGAACCCAGGAGGCAGAGGTTGCAGTGAGCCAGGATCATGCCACTGCACTCCAGCCTAGGTTACAGAGCAAGAATCTGTCTCAAAAAATAAATAAATAAATAAATAAACAAACAAACAAACATAAAAAGACTGTGATGGAGATGGCAGGTGGCTGTGGGAGCTCCAAACAGAGCCCCTGGCTTTGTCTCTGGGGAAACTGGGCTGGATTGTTGCAAGTGACACAAACCAAGGCCTGAAGGAAGAAGGGACACAATTGTTTCAGGCAGAGGGGAGAGCACAAGTCAAACTGGGAGCTTTCAGGAGGGCAGGAGCCCTGGAGGAACCTATCTTTCCGCCCAGCCACAAAAATGAACAGCCCATGCACTGGCCTTTACACCAACACGGCTTCCATGATATGGAGGGAATTTTTGGTATAATGGGCACATTTATGGTTTGTTTATACAGAGGGGATGAGAGCTCGGGATTCAGAATTCGACTTGAATCTGAGTCCCAGCTCAGCTATTTACTGGCTGTCTGACTTTGGACAAGCCACTCCTCCTTTCTGAGATTGGTTTCCTCATCTGTGAAATGGAAACAATTACATCCTCCCCTGGAACCACTAACTGCTCAGCTGGCAATTTCCTATCAGCCGTTCACGAGAGAGCTTGCTTATTTTATAGATGGGGAAGCCAAAAGCCAGAGAGGGTGACTGTCTGGCAAAGCGCCACACAGCCAGCACACAGCAGTGCTGAGACAATGACAATGACCTAGCCATGGCCATTCTGGTGGCATTTTCTGCTTGTGCTTTTCTCTCTGTCTAGAGGACAAGTTACTTTGCCCTTTTGTCCCCATCGGTGATCCCACCCCACCGACCTCTTTCTGATGCGGGTGGGAGTCTGACGTTGGTCCTTTTCCCTCCAGACCCGTTCTTCGGCCAACGCTATATCCACATCCTGGGCCGGCGGAAGCTCTACCATGTGGTCAAGTACACGGGTGGCTCCGCGGAGCTGCTGTTCTTCGTGGAAGGCCTCTGTTTCCCCGACGAGGGCTTCTCAGGCCTGGTCTCCATCCATGTCAGCCTGCTGGAGTACATGGCCCAGGTGAGGGCTCCAGGCCTCCACCACAGGGGGCTAACCCCAGGGGCCAGGGTGGGTCTCCTACTAGTGGGCCATTCCTATGCTATGCTCCACCCTGCTCAAAGCGCCAAAGGGGTGGGTCCAGGCTAGGAGACCTCGATGCCCCCCAGCAAAGCCTGCACGTGTCTGCCAGGGTCCTCTGAGCCATGCTCCTGGGATCAGTCTCCTTGCTGCTTCTGCTCCCCACGGATTCCCTGTGGGCAATGTTTCCTGACACACTCCACGCCTGTGTCCTGGCCTGCCCTGCTCCCTGCCTAGGTCTAAGGCCCAGAGTCCTGCTGATTAGCGCGAGGCTCTAAGCAGCCACCCAGGTGGGGTTTGCTGACCACCTACTGCGCGCTCTGTACTTCCTGCCCCACTCTGACCCCTCCCCCAACTGTGGGTTATACCAACTCTGACTGCAGGCTGAACCCCAAATCCCAGTTTCAGGTTGTGCCCTACCCTGGGGCCAGGCATCTCAGCCAGCCTTGCTCTTGCTTTGGGGAGAAACTGGATGAGGAGAAGAGGTCCTGTCCCTCTAGAGAAGCCCCCATCACTGAGGGCGTGCTGTGCTCACAAGAATCTCTATCACAAAGACCTTTCATCCCCAGACCCTAGCCTCTCAGGCCCACCCTGTTTCGCTCAGAAAAAAAGGGAAGGACCTGGCTGCTCTCGCAAACACAAGAGCCCCTCATTTTTATCCCCAGGCCACTTTGGGAAAGGATACAATGGGTGCTATAGAAAGGTGAGGCTGGATCTAGCTGAGATGTATGAGAATGAGCCCTGGCAGCCGACTGCCCAGGTTCAACTCCTGGTTTAACCACCACGAGACACTAGGCAAATGAATTAAACTTCCTGTTAATTTCCTTAGTTAAGGGTAGTTTGCCATAGTTTCTCCATCTGTAAGACAGAACGTCCAAAAGTTTCTGCTGCCGGGGGTGGTTGTGAGCATCCAAACTTGTGAAGTTCTACTTACAAAGCACCCTCAAGCTCCCTGGGAAGTGGAAAAGGCAAAGCTAACAGGATAGGGGACGGGGATGGGGCTTCTTATGGCACCCATGCCCAGGGCAGCCTGACCCCCAGGATCTCTCAGGCACCCGCAGAGACTCAAAAGGCAGACCACGGCAAGCAAGGCAAGCCGTGCAACAGTCCCACCACCCCCGCACCTCCCCACCAAGGATGGGGTCCATTTCCTATATCTTTTGAAAGCCAGCCCCACAAAGGAACCCTGGAATCAGACCTCACTTTCCCTTGGGTTCCAGGCAAGCTGCTTGACCATTCCTTAAAACAAAACAGTCTGGACATAGCAAAACTGACCCAAAACAACGCGAAAATGCCCACATACAGAAAACGGCAAGGTGCCAAGGGCAAAAACAGAGGAAGGTGGGGGGCTGGCTCAGCTGTTGCGTGGGGCGATTTCAGGAAGAGAAGTTTGATGGGACAAGATAGGACAGTGGTTAAGAGTGTGACCTCAGCAGCTGACTGCCTGGGTGTAAAGCCTACCATGTGGTCAAGCACACGGGTGGCTCTACCACTTACCAACCATGTGACCTTGGGCGGTTAACAGCCCTGTGACTCGGTTTCCCCATCTGAAAAGTGAGGATCATAGCAGTATCTACCTCCTGCGGTGGTCGGAAGGCAGAAAAGAATTGGCACATGTGAAAGTACTTAGCACAGGCTTGGTGCATAGCAAGTCCTGAGGAAATGTATTCACTGTCATCAGTTTCACCCGCTTTGAAAGGCAGGCAAAGAAAGCACCTGACAAAACCTTTTGATCCCCCACGCCTTGTCTCCCACACCCAGGACATTCCCCTGACTCCCATCTTCACGGACACCGTGATATTCCGGATTGCTCCGTGGATCATGACCCCCAACATCCTGCCTCCCGTGTCGGTGTTTGTGTGCTGGTAAGGGGTGACCCCAGCCTGGAGAGGCAGCGTGGCAGAGTGGCCAAGGGCCGAGTCAGATGGACATGAGTCTAGTTCCTGGCCCCGTCACTTACCACTGTGTTACCTTGAGCAACTCTCTTGGCCTCTCTGAAATGCCCACATCGTAGAGTCACTGTGAGAATTAAATGAGATGAAGCAGGCAAAGCATTTATCCAAGGCCCAGCACACAGGGTATGCTCTAAAAATAATAGCTGCCATTCTGTTCTCTTGCTTAACCCTCTACCAGGCAGTTAGCAACCTCCTATGCAGTGGAAATGCAGCTCATCTGACTCATTCATTAAACAGACTTTTATTGACCACCTATTATGAGCTAGGTCCACAACAGCAAGATGAGAACCAAGGGAAAAAGTGCCTGTGATTAGATGGCTAGCAACCCAAAAGGGACCCTTGGGGTCCTCACGTCCATCCCATCTTCATGCCAGGCAGAGCTCTTCTTTGAAAATCTGTGGAGTCAGAGGTGTAAGGCATTGGGACAGGTGGGGGTGAGAGTTCCCCCCCTCATTTTATTTGTTCATGACCTTGACAAACGCCACATGAGTGGGTGGGTTTACTTGGCCTTTGATTCCAGCGGCCTTTATAAAGGTGGCCGTGAGCACAGGTGTAGACTGATCTGCCCGGCACAGCCCAGAGATACCAGCTGCTGTCACCATCTCAGGGAGATGACTCTGGCCCCTCCTCACCCTTTCTCCTGGCCTCTCCTTCTTCCCCCAACTTCTCAGCATGAAGGATAATTACCTGTTCCTGAAAGAGGTGAAGAACCTTGTGGAGAAAACCAACTGTGAGCTGAAGGTCTGCTTCCAGTACCTAAACCGAGGCGATCGCTGGATCCAGGTAAGGAGCCCAGGTCCAGGCTGGGAAGGACATGGCCCCCGGGTCAAGCAAAGAAGAGTTGGCTTCATGTGAACTGCCTGGCACCCAGCAGCTCTGCAGATGGGGATTCTTCTGTCAGCTCATATCTGCACATGTGCACAAAGACATAAACATACAAGTGCACTACAGTGCTGCTTCTTGTAGTAGCAAAAGATTGCAAAGCAACCTAAATGTCCATCTGTGGAGGACTGAGTAACGGCCTTCCCGGAAGTTCTGTGCAACCGCTAAAAAGGATGAAGCCAGTCTCTCAATATGGATACAGGATGTGCTTCAAGTTAAGTTGTTACTCAACGGAAAACATATTCAGGATGCTGCTTGCTATTTGTGTGTTTTGTTTTGTTTGAGACGAGGTCTCGCTCTGTCACCCAGGCTGGAGTGCAGTGGCATGATCTCAGCTCACTGCAACCTCCGCCTTGCGGGCTTAAGCAATCCTCCCACCTCAGCCTCCCAAGTAGCTGGGACTACAGGCATGCACCACCACGCCTGGTTATTGTGTTTTTTAAAATGAGGTCTAGGCCACGCGTGGTGGATAATACCTGTAATCCCAGCACTTTGGGAGGCTGAGGTGGGAGGATTGCCTGAGAACAGGAATTCAAGACATGCTTGGGCAACATAGCAAGACCCTGACTCCACAAAAAAAAATTTAAAAATTAGCCTGGCATGGTAGTGCACACCTGTAGTCGTAGCTACTCAGAGGCTGAGGCAGGAGGACCGCTTGAGCCCAGGAGTTTGAGGCTGCAGTGGGCCATAATCATGGCACTGCACTCCAGCCTGGGCAACAGAGTGAGACCCTGTCTCAAAAAAAAAAAAATGGGGCTGATATCGGTAAGAAACCTGCCTGTGATGTGCAGAGACTGCCTATGGACACCTGTGCTGCCATCATCAGTGTGAGGGGAGGAGGATGGGGGACCAGGGAATGGGGAACAAGACAGACGTTCTTCTTCCTTTGTGCTCTTGTGTTTCTCGAGTTTTCTGCCCATGTGCACAAATTGTCCCCTGGATTCGTCTAACAGTTCTCCTTGGTGTCCCTGCAGGATGAAATTGAGTTTGGCTACATCGAGGCCCCCCATAAAGGCTTCCCCGTGGTGCTGGACTCTCCCCGAGATGGAAACCTAAAGGACTTCCCTGTGAAGGAGCTCCTGGTAAGATGCTGAGGGCCACTTGCGGGTGGAGCATGATCCTGGAGATTCTCATAAGACAGAGTGGTCAGGAGACCCTGGGCCGCCTTGACACATTCATCTGCTGCCCAGAGCCTCTGTTTCTCCTCTGCAAAATGAGTCCACTTGGGATAGCTGCCTCTGAGGTCCTTTCCTGCTCTGATAACTGATGTTTTTCCAAAACATAGAGAGTTTTCTAGTGGGAAATGGGAACTAAGGGAAATAGAGTTAAGACCTAGTTCCAGAGGCCCTGGCCCCTGCTGCTGCCCTTCCCCTCCAAATTGCAGCAAAATGAGTTAAGTTTCAAAGAGGAAAAAAACATAGTTATGCAATTGTCAAAAGTCATGGTTCCAACTTCCAAGTTCATCAGCACTTTGAGGCTATGGTTTTTGGTGCGTGTGTATGTGTGTGTTTGTTTTTGTTTTCTGAGACAAGAGTCTTGCTCTGTCGCCCAGGCTGAAATGCAGTGGCTCACTGCAACTTCCATCTCCCAGGTTCAAGCAATTCTCCTGCCTCAGCCTCCCAAGTAGCTGGGATTACAGGCATGCACCATCATGCCTGGCTAATTTTTGTATTTGTAGTAGAGATGGGGTTTCACCATGTTGGCCAGGCTGGTCTCGAACTCCTGACCCCAGATGATCCACTTACCTTGGCCTCCCAAAGTGCTGGGATTACAGGTGTGAGCCACTGTACTCAGCCATGTTTTTTGTTTCTTTGTTTGTTTGTTTGTTTGTTTTTAAGTCATCTGACTCCTCCCATTCTGGAAGCCATTCTCAGTCCCCTTTTAGGCCCTTGACAACCTAGTGTGTGAAGTTAGAACCGAAACCAATCTTTCTTTTGTCTGCACTCTTCTGCCCTGAACAGGCTGGGGGAGGTTTGAACAGGGCATGAAACAAGAGACTGGAATAGATCAGGGGACTTTTCCCAAGGTCACATGCAGGACAGCATTCCTGTCAGACGCCAGGGCTGCCCAGAGCTGACCCTGTGCCAGGTTCACACCTGTTCTGCCCCACATTCCTTACCCAGTGCCCTGTTCACAAGGAGATGCTAGAGCCAATGGTGTCAGCACAGAGCTTTGGAATGTCAGGTGGACCCGGTCTTGAGTCCTAATTGCACCTCTTAGCAGCCATGTGACCTTGGGCAAGCAATTACCTTCCACGAGCCTCAGTTTCCTCATCTAAAATGGGGATAGAAATGATATCAGTCTCACAGAATGTTGTGAAGATTGAAGGCGTTGTATAAGGCATCAGTGCCATGTCTGATATAATGACCATTATTAGCTGTTGTTATGGTTATCATTCCCCGGGCCCTGTCCTTAGTGAGCTTATTGTCCACTTTCCCTAACACTATGATGAGTAGAGTCAAACCAACCACCAGCACCAGTTGCCACAGGCATGAGAAGCGAGGCCTTTCCAGGTCACCACCTGCCTTCAGTATTCCAGGCTGGCCTGGTTCCAAGGCCCCAGGCTGCGTTGTTCCTTGAGGCCCAGGCCAGGCCCGGCTTTGTGCTGCATACCTGCCCACCTGTATGGTGCTGCAGAGCCCCAGCACCCCAGCCTTGGCAAGCTCCCATGTTGCCAGCTGGGGCCCCAAGATGAGAAAGCACTAGGCTGCTGCCATCTACCCCATGGGCTCAGCTGTCCCTGGAGCCTCTCAGCTGAGCCAGGATAAGCCACATCCTCCGACTCCACTGGATTTTGTAAGGCAAGCTTCATCCCAACCCCAGTGCAAGCTCCCAAACAAGATTCCTATATTTGTACCCCAAAAGCCATGAGAGGAATGTTAAAATTCAGGGGCCAATGGGGTTATGACTTGCGGGCTAACTCCAATTTTTTGGAGCTCTGTGTGAAGAAGGGTTCTGAGGCTTCCTCTGGGCTCAGTGGCAAGTCTGGCAGGTTGAGACTGGGTTGAGATGTCATGTATATTCATAGCTGCCACTTTTGCATGTATTGGTCAGCTTCACCAAGTAACAAACCAACCCGAAATCTCCATGACCGACAACAGCAAAGGCCTGTGTCTTGCTGGCATTCCATGTTGATTGCTGCTGGTGGTCTGCCACTCTGCTTCTTTATGCCTTCCTTACTCTAGCGCTCAAGGTGCCAGAGCAGCCCCAGTCTGGGAAATGCCATTCTCCTAGCACAGGGAGAATTCAAAGAGTTGGCAGACACACGTGGGGGCTCCTGTGGCTTCTGCTGTTCACTGGCATGCATCCCTTCTGCTCACATTTCATTGGCCAAAGCAAGTCACGTGACCAAGTCTGACACTGGGCAGGGAAGTATATTCCTTTTGCAGGAAGATGCCAGAAGTCACATGGCAATGGGTCAGGATGCAAAATTCTCTTACTGCGCAGAGGGTAGCAAATCTCTGGAAATAATAATACTAGCTGCTCCCCTTCCTCAGGTTACCTAATCTGGTAACTCTCTTATAGATGGGGAAACGGGCTGGGCGCAGTGGCTCACCCCTGTAATCCCAGCACTTTGGGAGGCCAAGGTGGGTGGATCACTTGAGGTCAGGAGTTCGAGACCAGCCTGGGCAACCCAGTGAAACCCCATCTCTACTAAAAATACAAAAATTAGCCAGGGGTGGTGCTTGCCTATAATCCTAGCCACTGGGGAGGCTGAGGCAGGAGAATCACTTGAACCAAGAGGCACAGGTTGCAATGAGCTGAGATCATGCCACCGCACTCCAGCCTGGGCGACAGAGCAAGACTCCATCTCAGAAAAAAAAAAACAACAACAGATGGGGAAACTGAAAGTGCATAGCATAAAATGCGGACTAATTCTGAAATCACCAATATGTATCTGTGCTTGGGAAATAGAGGCATACACAGGAATGCAGATGCCCACACACTCACATTCACACTCACACTCACTCTCACACTCACTCTCACACTCACTCTCACTCGCACTCTCACACTACACCGAGATGCTCACACACTCAGCCTCCCCATGCCCAGGCCCCTGCTCTTTGTTAATCATAGGAAGACCGTGGACAACCCACCTGGAAACTGGGTGCCCACAGACCCAGACTGAAGGTGATAAAAGAGGGTGGCTGGCTTGGGGGCTGAGGACCCTGGCTGCAGAAGACTAACGCAGGTGTGTGCCCTCTGCCTAGGGCCCAGATTTTGGCTACGTGACCCGGGAGCCCCTCTTTGAGTCTGTCACCAGCCTTGACTCATTTGGAAACCTGGAGGTCAGTCCCCCAGTGACCGTGAACGGCAAGACATACCCGCTTGGCCGCATCCTCATCGGGAGCAGCTTTCCTCTGTAAGAGAAGCCAGGCTGGGGCTAGGGGCTGTGGGAGTGGGGAAGTCACTGTTTCTCTTTTGGGGTGGCCTGGGTTGCTCACACATGGAGCAAGTGGCTGGGGGAATTATTCCCTCCCACGACTTCCTGTTAAGAGGCCGACACTCTTGGAAAGAAAATCAAGCTAGCCTTTATATCTTTGTGTGATTTAGGATCTAATATATAACTAAATAAACAACTCTTTTCCCCAAGTGGAAAGGTGTATAATGAGATTATAAATCAGCTGGTTGGTGGGGCACGGTGGCTCTCACCTGTAATCCCAACACTTTGGGAGGCCAAGGTGGGCAGATCGCTTGAGTCCAGGGGTTTGAGACCAGCTTGGGCAACATGGCAAAACCCTTTCTCTACAAAAAATACAAAAATTAGCCAGGCATGGTGGCATGCATCTGTAGTCCCAGCTACTCAGGAAGCTGAGATGAGAGGATCGCTTGAGCCTGGGAGGTGGAGGTTGCAGTGAGCTGAGATCACACCACTGCACTCCAGCCTGGCAACAGAGTGAGACCTCATCTCAAAAATAAATAAATAGATAAATAAATAGGCTGGGCACAGTGGCCCATGCCTATAGTCCCAGCACTTTGGGAGGCCGAGGCAAGCAGATTGCTTGAGACCAGAAGTTCGAGACCAGCCTGGACAACATGGCAAAACTTTGTCTTTACTAAAAATACAAGTATTAGCAGGCATGGTGGTAATCCCAGCTTCTTGGGAGGCTGAGGCATGAGAATTGCTTGAACCTGGGAGCCAGAGGTTGCAGTGAGCTGAGATCATGCCCTGCACTCCAGCCTGGGTGAGAGAGAGACTCTGGCAAAAAAAATCAGGCCTGGTGCGGTGGCTCACGCCTGTAATCCCAGTACTTTGGGAGGCCGAGGCGGGTGGATCACCTGAGGTCGGGAGTTTGAGACCTGCCTGACCAACATGGAAAAATCTCGTCTCTACTAAAAATACAAAATTAGCCGGGCGTGGTGGCACATGCCTGTAATCCCAGCTACTCAAGAGGCTGAGGCAGAAGAATCGCTTGAACTCAGGAGGCAGAGGTTGCAGTGAGCCGAGATCGCGCCATTGCACTCCAGCCTGGGCAACAAGAGTGAAACTGCGTCTCAAAAAACAAAATAAAATAAAATAAAATATTAAATAAATCAGCTGGGGAAGGGATGGAGGAGTCCAGAGAAGGAAAACTGACAGGTATGAGTGGGAGCGTACCAATGAATCCTCAGGGCTACCATACTTAAAAGAGGTATGAGCAGACGTGGTCCTGCCCCAGAAATGTGAGTCCCTGGCTCCCTGGCCTGTCCATGATTCTCCTCACTCCCTGCCCAGTTGACCCACCAGCCAGTGAAAAGACAGATTCTTCCTTGTCAGGGCAGTCGCTGGGGAAAGAGTGAATACCTTAGGTTCTCACGTCACAAAAGGGCTGCCAGGAGCCTGCACAGATGGGGTCAGCCAGGATTTGGCCGCCAGTTTCCTCCGAGCCACATGGGATGCTCAGCCTTCTGCGGGGAGGCCACTGGCACAGCCAGCGACTGTTTGCCCACTTTTGCCTCCTTCTCCCTCCACTCAGTGGCCACTCATTCACTCAGCAACCATTTCCTGAGCACCAGCCAAGTGCCAGGCCCTGTGTCAGGCACAGGGTCCCAAACAGGAAGCCCAGCCCCTGCCTTCAAGGAGATAGCAGAGGTCTCAGGCATGCAAATAGACCCTGATGAAATGGAGGGACTTGCAACGATAGAAAGAATAACAGGGAGTCAGGTCAGCCCAGGGAGTGGCCCTGAACCCCCTCGAGGAGCTCAGGGGCGGCCCTTAAAGACAAATATTTATTGAGAAACTACTCTGTGCCAGGCACTATTCTAGGCTCTGGGGATACAGCGGTGACCAGAACAGATGAAGTCCCAGCTCTCCGGGAGTTTATAGTTGGGTAAGGGCAGTACAGAAAATAAACATGGAATCAAGTAAATCAATTAGATAATTCTGAATGCTGATACATGCAATGGAGAAGATAAAACAGGGTGACATGATAAAACATTCCTGGGGACAGGGGTGCCTTAGCTGTTGTTTTTTTGAAGATGTGACTAGAGTTGAGGCTTGGATGTTAAGAAGTAGGCAGCCATCAGGAGATTGTAAAGGAAGCGCATTCCATACAGAAGGAACAGCAAAGGGAAAAGCCCCAAGGGATAGCAAGTGTAGCAGGTGGCTGGAGCAGACAGAACCGGGGGAAGGGAGGGAAGCGAGGGAGGAGGGCTGGCCAGGAGCCAGATCAGAAAGGAATTTGTTGGCCACCCTAAGGAGCTAGGGTTATCTTCGGAGGATAATGGAGAGATTGCAGACCTTGGGGGGTCTAGAAATGAGGAAGGGCTGGCCGGGAGCGGTGGCTCACACCTGTAATCCCAGCACTTTGGAAAGCTGAGGTGGGCAGATCACGAAGTCAAGAGATCGAGACCATCCTGGCCGACATGGTAAAACCCCATCTCTACTAAAAATGCAAAAAAATTAGCTGGGCGGGGTGGTGGGCACCTGTAGTCCCAGCTACTTGGGAGGCTGAGGAAGGAGGATCGCTTGAACCAGGGAGGGAGATATTGCAGTGAGCTGAGATCATGCCACTGCACTGGTGACAGAGTTAGACTCTGTCTCAAAATACAAAAAACAAACACACACAAAAAAAGAAATGAGGAAGGGCTTCCTGGAGGAGGTTTCTCTTGAACTGATTAAAGATTAAAGTAAGTCCAGGCACAGTGGCTCACACCTGTAATCCCAGCAGTTTGGGAGGCCAAGGAGGGCGGATCATGAGGTCAGGAGTTCAAGACCAGCTTGGCCAACATGGTGAAACCCTGTCTCTACTAAAAATGCAAAAATTAGCCGGGCGTGGTGGCACACGCCTGTAGTCCCAGCTACTCAGGATGCTGAGGCAGGAGAATTGCTTGAACCCGGGAGGCAGAGGTTGCAGTGAACCAAGATCATGCCACTCTACTCCAGCCTGGGCAACATAGCAAGACTCCATCTCGGGGGAAAAAAAAAAGATTAAAGTAAGTAGAAGTTAATGTAGCAAAGAGGCACATGGATGAGGGCAGATTTTGGAGCCCTCCTGTGCCCTAGCCCCGTCCAGCAGGCCAGGTGGGACTCCCGCACACAAAAGGTAGCCTCTGCACACTCACTGGCACCCTCAAGGGCTGAAGCCTGGGCTCCCTGCCCTTCACACAGGCCGCAGCTGCAACTCACACCTACTCTTTCCCCTGGGACTCAAACGCCTTACTGCCTGCGCCAGGGTCTCTTAACCCAACCTAGTCTCCTTCCTGGGACTTCTCTGCTGATGTCACTCTGGGTCCGAGGTGGGTCCCAGAGACCAAACTCCTCTTGCAGGCCCTCTGGTGCGGTGGGTAATTTGCTGAAACTCCTCTTCCTCCCTTCTCCAGGTCTGGTGGTCGGAGGATGACCAAGGTGGTGCGTGACTTCCTGAAGGCCCAGCAGGTGCAGGCGCCCGTGGAGCTCTACTCAGACTGGCTGACTGTGGGCCACGTGGATGAGTTCATGTCCTTTGTCCCCATCCCCGGCACAAAGGTAAGCTAGCCTCCCGAGGCTGGAGTGAATGGGGTAGCAGCAAACCAATATATTACCCGCCCCTGCCAGCAGAGGGCAAGAGCTAGAGGAACTCGACAGCATAAAGGAAGGAGGAAGTAGGCTGAAGCTGGTTTGCATGTTGTTGCTGTGGCAGGTAAAATTTTAACCCCATAAATCCAAAATGTTAGCATTGCAACACATAATCAGCCTAAAAATTATTAACGAGAGATTTAAATTCTTTTCTCATACTAAATCTTCAAAATCTGGCAAAGATTTTACTCACATGACACACCTAAATTCAGACTAGCCACAGCTCAAGTGTTCAATAGTCACATAAGGCTAGTGGCTATTGTGTTGGTGGTAATGCTCTAGAGAGAAATAGGTTATGCACCTGTGGCACTGGAAAGAGGTTCTTTCATTTTCTTATGGGTACAACTTCATACCCTGGAAATTCTCTGCAAATTGTGTGGCTGCTTGGCAACTTGGAGATGTCCTGTCCAAGTCCACCTTTGACTCTGAGCCTTGATCTGGTGACATTGCTGAGGTAGAGGAAAGGTGAGAAATATTCCTCTGAAGCAGAGAACACCCTCCCCGTCAGCCTTTGCCACTCGGCATGGGAGGCCTGAGGCAATGAGCAGGCAAGGCACTGGGTCCTCAGCGCAGGGCCTCCCCGTGCTCCTTGGGTGCCTTCCCACTGCTGACTCTGTCCCTCTGGACTGTCTCTTGCAGAAATTCCTGCTACTCATGGCCAGCACCTCGGCCTGCTACAAGCTCTTCCGAGAGAAGCAGAAGGACGGCCATGGAGAGGCCATCATGTTCAAAGGTGAGTGGCCACAGGGCCTTGACAGGAAGTGGCGAGCTGGAGGCCCCAGAGAGACCCTCGGGAGGGTGGGGCAGATAAGCACTTTGTCCCTGAGCACCCAGCTCCACTTCCCTGGGTGTCTGGCCCGATCGGGGGTTTGTGAGGTCGCCATGCTGGGAAGCACCTCTGGCCTCCTGTGACCCTTGCTGTGGCTGGGTGGACTGTGAGCTGCCCACAGCTCCTTAGTGTCACCAGCAGTGCATAGCGCATCTTCAAGCCCTAGCGTATACTTTAAATGGCACCAGACCCAGTGGAGGGTTAAATGGTTGAAAACTGACATGCAGCTGGGTCTGGTGGCTCATGCCTACAATTCCAACACCTTTGGAGGCTGAAGAAAGAGGATCACTTGAGTCCAGGAGTTCGAGACCAATCTGGGCAACATAGTGAGAGCCCCATTTTTATAATACTTTTTTTTTTTTTTTTTGAGACAGAGTTTCGCTCTTATTGCCCAGGCTGGAGTGCAATGGTGAAATCTTGGCTCACTACAACCTCCGCCTCCCAGGTTCAAGCGATTCTCCTGCCTCAGCCTCCCAAGTAGCTGGGATTACAGGCAGGCACCACTATGCCCAGCTAATTTTTTTTTATTTAGTAGAAACTGGGCTTCACCATGTTGGTCAGGCTGGTCTTGAACTCCTGTCCTCAGGTGATCCACCCGCCTCAGCCTCCCAAAGTGCTGGGATTACAGGCATGAGCCACCACACCCAGCCTCTCTATAATAAAAATTTTGAAAAAGAAAAGGAAACTGATGTGCAATCTGCATTCAAGGAGCTTGTATTTTAGAAAGAGAGATAGAAAATAGATGCAATACAATTTAGGGACAGGAAGAAAAGTGGACTTTAGTGGGCAAAAGGCATGGTCAGACATCGTGGTTGTCAGTCCAGAAGTGAGACATTATCTTCTACGTTTAGACATTCACATAATTGGGACAGACATAGTCGGGATGAGGTTTGCATTTGAATTAATCACGGAAAGAGGGAAAGATGATCAGGTGGAGACAACCAGCCAGGTTAGAGACACCATGCCAATTCCTCATACTTCTTTTTTTTCTTTTTCAACTTCTATTTTAGATTTAGGGGGTACATGTGCAGGTTTGTTACCTGGGTGTATTGTGTGATTTGGGGTATGAATGATCCCATCACGCAGGTACTGAGCATAGTAGACAACAGTTAGTCATTCAACTCTTTCCCTCCTCTCTCCCTCCCCACTCTAATAGTCCCCAGTGTTTGCCATTGCCATCCTTATGTCCAACATGTTTTTTATTGTGATAAAATATACCTAATCTAACACATTTGTTATTTTAACCACTTGTAAGGACACAGTTCCGGGACATTAAATACATCTACAATGCTGACTAACCATCAGCACTCTCTATATCCGTTATACTTTTTTTTTTTTTTTTTGAGACACAGTCTCACTCTGTCGTCCAGGCTGGAGTGCAGTGGTGCCATCTCGGCTCACTGCAAGCTCCGCCTCCCAGGTTCAAGCCATTCTCCTGCCTCAGCCTCCCCAGTAGCTGGGATTACAGGCGCCCGCCACCACGCCCGGCTAATTTTTTGTATTTTTAGTAGAGGTGGGGTTTCACCATGTTAGCCGGGATGGTCTCAATCTCCTGACCTCATGAACCACCCGCCTCGGCCTCCCAAAGTGCTGGGATTACAGGCGTGAGCCACCATGCTCGGCCTATTTTTTTCTTAAATTACTTTTGTCACTTTTCAGGTTGGTATCCATAATATATCTCATGCCTGAAAGCCTGAGTTCCCGCAGCTGGTTGATACTTACATGACTGCCCCTCAGATCCAAAGACAGTGTTCCTGACTGTCACTGGTGTCTAGGACAGACAAGACCAATTTAACACCACCACCCTTTTTAAATTCCCCACTGATGGGAAGTTTGTTCTTGGATTGGCAAGCTTGAGTCCTGACTTCCTGGAGGCTTCCTCTCTAATATTAAACATACCCTCAAAAACTACCCATAGGATATAGGGACCATTATTTTTGTACAAATAGGGGCAAGCAGTGCCCCAGATTTCTCTTTGTATTTTAGAAAGAGAGATAGAGAGAAAATAGATAGAATACAGTTTGGGGACAGGAAGAAAACTGGACTTTGATGGACAGAAGGCATGGTCAGGCATCGTCATTGTCAGTTCAGGAGTGAAACATTATCTCCTGGACTTAGACATTCATGTAATTGGGACAGACAGAGAGAGGATGCGCGGATGTGCAGTCAGCAGAGAGTAGAAGCACATAGGAGACCTGGGGAGGAAGGTGAACCAGGCAATGCCAAAGAGCCAAGATCTCCGCTGGACCAGAGCCCACAATGTTTGGGGAAAACACATCCCTTTAAAAGATGATAAAAACTACAGACTTGCCCTCCAGAAAAATGCTTATATCAATCTATCTCCTGAACTTGGATCAGTTTTAGAAAATCACAGATCCCTAAAGTTTTCTGTTTCTACCTGGACCCTCCCTTCTGAGTCCCTAAGCCTCAAAGATTACATCCGGCTTGTAGCTGGGCATCTTTACTGCTGTCCAGTTATAAACCTGGGAAGTGCAATGGACCAGCAGTCTCTTCCCAGATGAGGCCAAAATAAATAAACAAATAATAGGTTAAGAGCATAGGCTCTGGAATCAGACTGCCTGATCTGCACACCAACTCTGCCGCTTGCTAGATGTAAGTCCTGAGACAAGTCACATAACTTCTCTGTGCCTCAGTTTCCTCATTTTTCAGGGTAGTGACTACCCCATAGAAATGTGGGGAGGATCCATGAGTTAATTCAATGTAAAGCGTTTAGAAGAGCGTCGGCCACATAGTAGGTGCTCATTGAGCATTAGGCATTACTAATCAAGCTGGAAGCCACATAAGCCATCGTGTGGTACAGGAGGAAAACGCAGGCCACTCCAGAGCAGCAGCCAAGATGAGGCAGCTCTGGAAAACAGGAAGGGTGTCCCCTTTGGCCATGCTGCTTCTGCCACATTCATGCTGGTCAGCTGCTCATCCTTAGGAGTAGGCTGTAGGTGGGAGAACCAGGGGGCTACTTGTAGCACCCCTGATCCCACTGGCCAAAGCAAGAGCAAGGCAGCTGCCACCACTGTCCTGGCTCAGATGTCATGGTCAACTCTGGAGAAAAGAGTGTGTGCTGCCCTCCCCAGACAGAGGGGGGCCTGATTTTGCCTGGGAGTGCCCTCCTGTGATCCAGCCTCTCCCCAGTCCCATCTCCCCAGTCCCAGTCCAGCAGTTAGCCCAGGCCTGGAGGATCTTGGCAAAAGGGGAACACTCAGCCTGGGTATCTAAAGCTTGACCATCCCCTGTCCTTTGAACCCCACAGGCTTGGGTGGGATGAGCAGCAAGCGAATCACCATCAACAAGATTCTGTCCAACGAGAGCCTTGTGCAGGAGAACCTGTACTTCCAGGTGAGGGCAGGGCAGGGGTGCAGGGCCAGAGGGCCCCTGGGAGGGATGAGGCTCAGGCCCTTACATCCTTGGGGCTTCCGTAGAGAATGGCCAAGGGCTCAGGAGCTCCTGACCCCGAGCACAGCAGCACAGGGAAGAGCCTCCACCAGCATCCAGCCAGCCTCCTTGCTTTGCTCCTGGGCTAAAGTCCCAGGGTTAAAGAAGTGCCAAATTGTGCCGCCCCCTCACTTGGGGAGGTAGGACCATGGGCAACTCACTAAGGCTGTCTTTGGGTCTCTCATCTCTAAAAAGGGGATAATGGGGGCCAGACACAGTGTCTCATGCCTGTAATCTCAGAACTTTGGGAAGCCAAGGCGGGAGGATTGCTTCAGGCCAGGGGCTTGAGACCAGCCTGGGCAACATAGTGAGACACTTGTCTCTACAAAAAAAATAAATAAAAACTTTGGCCGGGCCTGGTGGCTCATGCCTGTAATCCCAACTCTTTGGGAGACTGAGGTGGGCAGATCACCTGAGGTCAGGAGTTCAAGGCCAACATGCCCAACATGTTGAAACCCCATCTCTACCAAAAATACAAAAATTAGCCTGGCGTGGTGGCAGGCGCCTATAATCCCAGCTACTTGGGAGGCTGAGGCAGAAGAATCACTTGAACCCAGGAAGTGGAGGTTGCAGTGAACCGAGATCGTGCCACTGCACTCCGGCGTGGGCAACAGAGTGAGACTCAGTCTTAAAAAAAAAATTAAAAGGGAATAATAATAGCATCTATATTACAGGGCTGGAGCTTAAATAGGCAATCTATGTAATGCGCTTAGAACAGTACTAAGCACATGTACGCATTAGCTTTTGTTATTACCAAAATCATCAGTGTTATCCTCAGCTCATGGGGTGGCCCGAGGGGTCACTGAGGTGCTGTGTGGGAAGCACTTAGCACAGGGACCGGCTCTAGTGAGTGCTCAGGAAATGGCAGCTGCTGTTCTGGCATCTGTGACCTTCCTCTGTCCTATTACGACTGCTGTTCATGAACCCCGGTGGACAGGGCCAGGGAGAGGCTGCAGAGGCGCCCGCTGACTGCTAGAAGTCTCTCTGGAGTGCCGGGGCCCCTGGCCTGGTGCTGCAGACAGGGATGGGGTTGACAAGGTGGCCGGTGTGTGTCCCCCTCACCTGCATGCCCTCCATCCTTTCTCCTACCCAGCGCTGCCTAGACTGGAACCGTGACATCCTCAAGAAGGAGCTGGGACTGACAGAGCAGGACATCATTGACCTGCCCGCTCTGTTCAAGATGGACGAGGACCACCGTGCCAGAGCCTTCTTCCCAAACATGGTGAGGCCCTGCAGACCCCAACCCTCGCCCCATGCCAGTACAGGGCAGCCAGATCCAGAAGGACCCCTCAGCTGAAGCTGTCCAATGGGGAGGCCCAGGTCCCAATCCTGGCTGAGCTGCTGTGTGACCTCACCTCAGGCACTTGCCCTCTCTGGGCCTCCATTTCCTCCTAGGAGTGATATGCTCATCCTAGCTGCTTCACTGGGATACTGGGAACCCTTTTCCTTAACAGATAGGAAAGTGCTGTGCAAAAGATTAGAAGTCCTTTATGTACAGGAGGGATTTCTGTTACATAGAGGGGAGTCTTCTATAACATAAAAAGAGGTTAGAACAATACATATGCACACATGGACACATATATACACACATGAGCACACATAAACACATGTGCATGCATGGACACATATATACACACACATGCACACAGAAACACACATGCACGCATGAACATATATACACACATGCACACACAGAAATACACATGCACACATAAATGCATACATACCCATACGTGTGTGCACATTCATACACATGTACATGTACACACTGATGCATGCATATATAGCCACATATACATACATGTACAGACATATGTGAATGCTTTTGCACACACATACATACAGAGGCAGATTGCCTGGTTTTCCACTTCAGCTCTGCCATTTGTGAGTGACTTAGCCCCACTCCGTCCCTATCCAATCACAGTTACTACTTCACAGGGTTGCCGTGAGGGTTCCATGAGCTTAGGATAGGCATGTGTGTACTAGGTGCTCACTAAATGGAAGCTGTTGCCATCGCAATCCCCCGTCACAGGTGAACATGATCGTGCTGGACAAGGACCTGGGCATCCCCAAGCCATTCGGGCCACAGGTTGAGGAGGAATGCTGCCTGGAGATGCACGTGCGTGGCCTCCTGGAGCCCCTGGGCCTCGAATGCACCTTCATCGACGACATTTCTGCCTACCACAAATTTCTGGGGGAAGTCCACTGTGGCACCAACGTCCGCAGGAAGCCCTTCACCTTCAAGTGGTGGCACATGGTGCCCTGACCTGCCAGGGGCCCTGGCGTTTGCCTCCTTCGCTTAGTTCTCCAGACCCTCCCTCACACGCCCAGAGCCTTCTGCTGACATGGACTGGACAGCCCCGCTGGGAGACCTTTGGGACGTGGGGTGGAATTTGGGGTATCTGTGCCTTGCCCTCCCTGAGAGGGGCCTCAGTGTCCTCTGAAGCCATCCCCAGTGAGCCTCGACTCTGTCCCTGCTGAAAATAGCTGGGCCAGTGTCTCTGTAGCCCTGACATAAGGAACAGAACACAACAAAACACAGCAAACCATGTGCCCAAACTGCTCCCCAAAGAATTTTGAGTCTCTAATCTGACACTGAATGAGGGGAGAAGGGAAGGAGATTCTGGGATTGCCAGTTCTTCCAGCAGCCATGCTCTGAAAATCAAGGTAGAATCCATGGAAAGGGACCCCAGGACCCCGGGACCCTAGACGTATCTTGAACTGCCATCGTCATTTCAAATACATCTCCCTCAGGGTTTCCAGGTGGCCACCCCCAATTATTCATTCCTTACCAACCTCTCAAATCCTCTTGGCTTTCTCTCTGCAGTGTGGACACTGTTGGCTAGTCCTCCCCACTCCCTGAGGGTCCAGTAAGTTAGCTTAGAACCTTCCTGGAAACATTTCATCTGAGCAGGTTTCCCCACGTGTGGGATGCTCCTTTTGCCTCATCTGTCTCAGGGATGCAGGCTCCCCCGCATGCATGGGGATTTCTCCCCAGACCAGCATACTTGTGACCTGAGAGTTCAATGCGTAAAGATGCCCCTGGTCAGCCATATCCATCTTCTCTTGCCTGGTCCTTGATTCTCTGGCCGCTCCCTGACCTTCCTCCTTCCACTGCCTTGACTTTCTTCCTTTTTATTCCTGGTGCCATCTGTCCAGGCAGCTAGACAAGAACTTGTTCGCCAGCAGCCAGATTCAGGCCTTCCCAGGGGCATAATAAGTGACCAGCCCCTCCTCTCCGGACATCAGATCCAACACATAAGGACCCTGGCCTACCCTCCAGCCCAACAGCCAGTTCTGGGTCAGCTGCCAACTTAGGGGTGGTTTGATTATCCCATTGAAATTCACCAGTGCCTTTGCCAAAGACCCTCTCATTTGGACATACCCAGATTCATTCCCTGGCTCCAACTGAAAAGACTCAGTTTCAATCGTTAAAAGTTCCTTTAGGGCCAGAAGAATAAATGAATTATAATCCCATTTTGAAGAACCGATTTATAACCAATGAAAAGGTTATAATGTAATTTATATTCTTGGAGGAACAAGATTTTCATTTGGGATTATTTCCTTCAACCATTCAACAAACATTTGTTGTATGCCACTAAGCGCCAGGCACGGCGTTGGGCTCTGCAAACACAGTGGTTAGTAGCAGTCTGGACCTGGTCCCTACTGGCATGGAACCCATCACTCCCCAACATGCAAAGCCCACATTTAAAGGCCAGCCTCTGCCCCTTCAGTGATGCGCTCTTTAGAAATGCCAGTCCACTATATTCAGAAATCCGCAGGGCACAAAACTTCCAGCAAGTCACTGTTGTGGTGAAATGGGCAGTGGGGGTGGGGGGTCTTCTTTAAACAGGCCCCCTTCCCATCTACCTAGCCAGTACCCATCCAATGAGTCCCCAGAGCCTCCAGAAGCTGTTGTCTCCTCTCTGGGGACAGCAGCTCCTGCCTTTGGAGGCCAAAGCCCCAGATCTCTCCAGCCCCAGAGCTGAAAACACCAAGTGCCTATTTGAGGGTGTCTGTCTGGAGACTTAGAGTTTGTCATGTGTGTGTGTGTGTTTGGTTAATGTGGGTTTATGGGTTTTCTTTCTTTTTTTTCTTTTTTTTTTTAGTCTACATTAGGGGGAAGTGAGCGCCTCCCATGTGCAGACAGTGTGTCTTTATAGATTTTTCTAAGGCTTTCCCCAATGATGTCGGTAATTTCTGATGTTTCTGAAGTTCCCAGGACTCACACACCCGTTCCCATCTCACTTGCCCACCCAGTGTGACAACCCTCGGTGTGGATATACCCCCGTGGACTCATGGCTCTTCCCCACCCCCACTTTCTATAAATGTAGGCCTAGAATACGCTTCTCTGTTGCAAAACTCAGCTAAGTTCCTGCTTCCACCTTGATGTTGAAATATCTTATGTAAGAGGGCAGGGGATGTCGTGAAGATGGCAAGAAGAACACAGTTTCAAATTTCTGGAAAAGAGCCTGTGGTGGAGATCTAAAGATGTTTAGGGAAGAGCTCGACTAAAGAACAATGAAATAAATGGTCCAAGGGGAAGTCATATGGCTGTTGGTGTGATGTTCTTTGCTGCTTCATAGACACGGCCTGGAGTGAGGCAAGCCACACACTGGGCCCTCCTGGTCCTGCAGCCCTTGCTGTTCTGGGCACAGGGTCTGGGCTCTCAGCATAGGTATCTTGAGGGTTCGGAATCCCCAACACACTCAGCAACTGCATATTACATGGCCACCACCGAAGGTCAAGACCAGTACCCGCAATAAAGTCTGACTATGTTGTTCTGATGGGGTTCCCCAGGAGCAGAGCCTGAGATGAGCATTCAGGAACAAGTGATTTATTGAGAAGTGGCCGGCGCAGTGGCTCATGCCTGTAACCTCAGCACTTTGGGAGGCCAAGGCAGGAGGATCCCTTGAGCCCAAGAGTTCCATACCAGCTTAGGCAACATAGTGAGACCCCCATCTCTATAAAAAATTTAAAAAATTAGCTGGGCATGGTGGCACATGCCTGTAGTCCCAGCTACTTGGGGGGAGGCTGAGGCAAGAGGATCAACTGAGCCTAGGACATGGAGTCTGCAGGGAGCCACGATCGTCCCACTGCACTACATTCCAACCCACATGATAGAGCAAGACCCTGTCTCAAAAAAAAAAAAAAAAAAGGAGCCTCCGGGGAAACCAAGATGGTAACTGGGGGAGCAGGCCAAGGAAAGGGAAGAAACCATACAAGAGTGTGAGGTGAAGCCTCAGACCGATCCCTGGAGAGCTCTGGAGCATAAATGGCACCTCTGAGCTGTCCTGTCTGGAGGCTGAGTCTTTGTCCGCCTGCACCAGTCATTGGCTCTGGGGACTCTGGCCCTCTGAATGGGCGAGGGGGCACCAGGAGCTCATAGGCAACCATCTAAAGATCACAGCTGGGATTAGGAACAAAGTCACAAGCTTGTGACAAGTTCTGCCGCAACCAGAAGAGGGAACCGCAACCACGGCAGGGAATCAGCCTTGTCCATTGCTCTGGGTGATGTCGTGTCCTTTTAATCAACAGCTACTACACACAAGTATTTGTGATTTGACCCATGGTATGAAAATCCATACAACATAACCATGATCTAACAGGGTCTTTGTGAACAAACTCCTGAGGCCCTAAAATGGAGTCACCTGATTGGTTGCTGAGTCTAGAAGCTGCTTCCAAGTTCTTTGGGAGACACCTGGGGCCCTTCTCACTCCTTAGTCCCATCTTGAGCTTCTGGACCAATGTCTTGGTGCCACTATTTTAAAGGGGCCACTGCAAAATGAGAATCACTGGTTCACTCACTCCCAGGCTTAACCCAGGGGCCCAGGCCTCTGAAATCCCCTTTTTTTGGTTTTGTTTTGTTGTTTTTTTGAGACGGAGTCTTGCTCTGTCACCAGACTGGAGAGTGCAGTAGCATGATCTTGGCTCACTGCCACCTCCGGCTCCCTGGTTCAAGTGATTCTCCTGCCTCAGCCTCCAGAGTAGCTGGGATTATAGGCAAGCACCACCATGCCCAGCTAATTTTTGTATTTTTAGTAGAAACGGGGTTTCATCATGTTGGCCAGGATGGTCTCGATCTCCTGACCTTGTGATCCACCCACCTCGGCCTCCCAAAATGCTGGGATTATAGGCGTGAGCCAGCACCCTACCGAAATCCTCTTTTATACCCAACTAATGTGGTCCAAGCCACTGCAAGGCCAATCTTTCATAGATTTCCTGACCCATCTAGTTCTGCAATTCCCCAAGGGATGCTGGGATGTTCAACAAGTTCATCCTGGTGATGTTTTCACATCTTGGCCAATCACCCACCTCAGGGTCGCTGAGTGTTACCTTGAGACTTTTGAACAGCACTTTCCAATAGAAATATAATGCAAACTACATAATGTGATTTTGAATTCCCTAGTAGCCACATTTAAAAAGTAAAATGCAGGTGAAATTAATTTTAATAATATATTTTCTTTAGCCCAATCTATCCAAATAATTATCATTTCAACATGTAATCTAAAGTGTAAAATTTCAATGAGATATTTTACATTCTCATTTTTTGGTAGTAAGTCTTTGAAATCTAATGTGTATTCTATACTTATATCACACATCTATTCAGACTAGCCACATTTTAAGTGCTCAATAGCTACAAGTGGCTATCATATTGGAAGGTATTGTTCTAGAAACTTGTCTGCCAGGCTGAGCGCCAATTGTGGAAATAGGCACATTCCTTAAACCCCCAGAGTCCACTAGTTTGACTGCAATGGTTAATAAAAGTTTATTATTATTATATTGAAAAGAGAAATGTAAAATAGATACGAGCCATCACTGGCCTTGGTATGCAGACCCTTGCCCTTCCAGAAAGTCTTCTTGTCTGAACCATGGCTGCTGCCAAGTTACCAGGACCCCCCTCTCTCTCTGCAAGGTGATTGCCTTTGGCCAGGTCCCCTCTGCCCACTGTCAAGATGGGAACCCCCACCAGGTCCTCTTTTTCCCCTCACTCTTCCTGTGGATACAGCCTGGTTCTACATTTAATCTAAAATGTGTACTTGGAGTCCCAGGTGAGAGCAGCTCGTTATCTCAGATTCCTCCGGCATTCCAGATGGGATCAGAGCCACACCTTGGCATAGCCAAAACCCCACGGAAGTGGTTGGGGGGAGGTCTCTCCTCCGAAACAAAAAGCAGCCAGGAATGAATCTGCCTCTCCAGTGAGATTCATGTAGGATCCTCAAGCAAGTGGTATCAGGTCCAAGGGGCTGATGGAAAAGTTATTAGCAACTAAATATAGGAGTGACATCAAATGGCAGCATGTAGGATCCCTTCTCCAGCTGGACATGCAGAAAAAGAATGCTCCCAGACAGAAAGCCCAGCTCTGCAGCCTTGTCTCAAGCCTGGCTGATGTGAAAGACCTTCACCCCATCCCCCTGGCCAGCTGGGCTCTTTTTCAGCCCTGATCTTTGAAAAAGCAAAGGTCTTCTCTGGGTAGTCTCTAAGCAAACTGCTGGGTTCAGGCCACGCCAGCTTGGCCTCAATCCCTCACCTTCCACAAGCAAAGGTCTGCTTTCTGACAGCCCTGGTTATACCCAAAGATGACTAACAGTCTCTGACCAGCATGCTAAGGCCCCATGCGCAGGCTACTGTGTTACTGAAGAGCTGAAGAGATACGTTCAATCTTTAAAAGGAATGTTTTCCGGCCAGCTACAGTGACTCATGCCTGTAATCCCAGCACTTTGGGAGGCCAAGGCGGGCAGATCACCTAAGGTCAGGAGTTCGAGACCAGCCTGGCCAATATGGTGAAACCCAGTCTCTACTAAAATACAAAAATTAGCCAGGTGTGATGGCGAGCACCTGTAATCCCAGCTACTCAGTAGGCTGAGGCAGGAGAATCGCTTGAGCTCTGGAGGCAGAGGTTGTAGTGAGCCGAGATTGCACCACTGCACTCCAGCCTGGGGGACAGAGCGAGACTCCATCCCAAAAAACAAAAAAAAAAGGGAATATTTTGTTTTCCTACTGATGGCAATTCCTGGCACATAGTTGATGCTCAGCAAATGTGTTTTGAATAAAAGAAGGAAACATCTGTTCAGCTAGGCAATGGAAGCAGAAAAGTCAGCCCAAACATTTCTTAAACATTGATTGCATTCCTACCAGGTGGAACTATATGGAATCCCATTTGGAAGGTCAAAATGGTCAAATAGAGGCGATTTTTGTTGGTTCAACCTAATGCTTTGCATTCGTCATCTCATCTAATTCTCAAAACTAAGCTGTGAGGTTGTTATCCCCACCTTACAGATGAGGAAACTGAAGCTCAGAGACAGGAAGTGACTTGCTCAAGATTACTCAGCAGGAAATGGCAGAGCTGGGATTCATACCTGGGTGGTCTGGCTCCGGAGCCCACCCACTGAGCGCCTGCTCTTGACTACATCTCAGAAACAGCTTTCTAGCCGGGCGCCATGGCTCATGCCTATAATCCCAGCACTTTGGGAGGCCAAGGTGGACAGATCACTTGAGGTCAGGAGTTCAAGACCAGCCTGGCCAACATGACAAAACCCCGTCTCTACTAAAAATACAAAAATTAGCCAGGCGCGGTGGCACACATCTATAATCCCAGCTAATAGAGAGGCTAAAGCAGGAGAATCACTTGAACCCAGGAGGCAGAGGTTGCAGTGAGCCAAGGTCATGCCACTGCACTGCAGCCTGGGCAACAGAACAAGACACTGTCTCAAAAGAAAAAAAAAGAAAAGAAAAAAGAAACAGCTTTCTAACCCAAGTTTAGCATTCTTTCATTCACAAATGTTACCTTATCTTTGCACCAGTTTTTAGCATGTCAGGTGTCCTATTAGAAGAATCTTATCAACAAGATATCCCCTCTACCTGCAAGCAAGATGTCTGGAGATTATAGGATTCCTACAAACCCCTCTAAGGCAATAAGGCCCATAATGAAATGACCTCTACGTAGCTCAGTATGTGCTCTCTCTATTCCTCAGCTCGGAGTAAGATGGCATGTCTAAATCGTGAAAAGCAAATTATATTCATTCATCCATCCATTCACTTTTCTCCATTAACATTTGCCAAGTGTCTACTGTGTGTAAAACCAGTGATCCCACAATTTTTCATCTAAACCAGGGCACTTCTGAGATCTCAGAGGAGCCCTGCAAATAATTCCATCAGGGCAACAGAAGAATCCGGAACTATGCTCGGCAAACCAGGGTGTTTGTTCTCCCTGGAAAGCCCTGTGCATGAGACATGATCTAATCCCTCAAGGAGCTGACAGCTGAGTCAGGGAGACAGACAGGAGAGCAGAGAGGCACACTGATGGAATAGGCACCTGATAAATACTTGCTGAATGGAGGAATGAATAAGGTACAAAAATCTGTGTACACACACACACACCTTTCCTGCTGGGAGAATGACCAAGGATGGCCTGGTGTTCATTTGTCCTAAGATGAATGACTGCTGAGTGAATGTAGAAATGAATGATTAGGCAAAGAGGGGAGGAGGGGTTGCCAAGCTGAGTAGAGACACAAAGAGGTCCAGGTGTGTAATATGTCTGGGAAATTGTGATTATAGTGAGTAGCTAAAATATAGATTGCAGTAATGCTGGAAACACTAGGGTTGGTGCCCTGGAAACCGTCTGAAGGTTTGAGGTCACTGCGGTCACATGATCAATCCTGTATTTTAGGAAGCTGACAGTAACATATTTCTTCACTGATATTAAACTCATAGGGAAAACATTTTTAAGAAATTTCCTGAGGGATAAGCAAACCATGGTACAGCCCTGCTTTTAAATATTCTGCAGCATATATGATGAGACGGATCTATGCATACTAACATGGAAAGACCTCCAAGACACAGCACTTGACGAAAAAATGGCAGCTTGCAGAACATGTATGTTATCGTTTGTATTTTCTAAAAATAAAAATGGCCGGGTACAGTGTCTCACACCTCTAATCCCAGCATTTTGGGAGGCTGAGGCAGGCAGATCACAAGGTCGGCAGATCACAAGGTCAGCAGTTCGAGAACAGCCTGGCCAACATGGTGAAACCCCGTCTCTACTAAAAATACAAAAATTAGCCGGGTGTGGTGGCACACACCTGTAATTCCAGCTACTCAGGAGGCTGAGGCAGGGGAATCGCTTGAACCAGGAGGCGGAGGTTGCAGTGAGCCGAGATTGCACCACTGCACTCCAGCCTGGAGACAGAGCAAGACTCCATCTAAAAATAAAATAAAATAAAATAGAAAAATAACAGCAAGCAAAGCCATGGATTTCTGTAGAAACATACATATGTAAATACATACAAAGAAAAAAATCTGGAAGCAATCCCATGAAACTGACAATAGCAATCACCCCTGGGAAAGGAAGTGTGACTGAGGGGATTTAAGCTTTATCTATATTGCTTGAAATTTTTACATAGTGAGAATTTAATTACATATGTACAGTATTCTAAAATAATTTTTTAGAGCTGCCTGAAATCCTTGACATTGTATGTATGCTGAAGTCTTCCCATTCTGATAAGCATAATCTATTTCCCCTAATAAGGCACAGTTATCTTTTACCTCTTTCCTTTCCCCAGCTGGGCTCTCCACTACCAATTTAAGATTGATGGCTCCCTATAGACACTAACTCATTTAATTCTCCTCCCTGCAAGGCGACTGTTTCTTTTTCACCGTCTTACACAATAGGAAATGAATGCACAAAGAGGTTAAGGAACTTGCTCAAGATCACAGAGCAAATGGCTGATATAACAGGGTTTCAGACCCCTAAAGGCCTGCACACTTAACCATTCTACCTACCAGCCTCCCTAAGAGGTCAAATTGCCTTTAACGTTCTGCAGCTCTCTGACTTTTGTTTCCAGTCGGCTGGCATCTCGCCGCTACGCATGAATATTTACCCACTATTCGTATTTGCATTTCATTTGCATGGCTGTGTCTCTGACAGAAAACAGTGCTCAAAAGCCAGATTCGGCTGGAAAGGGCGTTTGATCATGGCATTATACGGTGTTTGCAAAGTGCTCACCCACACACATCCAGAGGAACAAACTAACTGCTCATTTGAGAGTATGCTGGTGACGGCAGGCATCTGGGAATGAGGCAGAAGTTAGCAGGGTGGGTGAGCTCCAAATGTATGTGTGTGTGTGCTGCTATAGGGCCAGCAGCATGACAGTCCCCAGAAGGCCTTGGACCACTTGCTAAGTCCCAGCAGCTGAGCTGACTTCAGCTGTGTGAAACGCAGCCCCATCTGGAGTGGGGGTGGCTCATGACTTTTTTGCTCCGGGAGTTCCATAGAGGCTGCTCTTGAAATTGGAGAAGCCTGTAGCCTATGATTGTCCCCATCCCACTCGAAGAGAATATTTTGAGAAGTCTAATTATATGGTGGGGTTTGCATGGGATGAGGGAAGAGAGTTTAGATAAGGCCTTTCTAAGGGCAGGTTGGCAAGGTCCAGTAGGGAGCCCTGGGTAGTTCTGTGAGGCAGCAGCACCCTCTGTGGGTAGACCAGAATGGCTGCAACCACCATGTTCCCACGAGCCTTAGGCGCACGCCTGCAGCCCAGCCCATCTACCTAACAGAAGAGGCTGACCTACTTGCTGGGTGACCTGCGGTGAGTTGTTGACACTCTCTGAGGCTCAGTTGCATCAACTGTAAATGAAGAATAGTAATCCCTACTTTGTGCCGTTGCTGAAATGATTACAGAGAGGACATGTACCCAAAGTGTTCTGCATAGGACCTGGTACACAGTACCAAATGTGTCCTCCAAATGTGGCAGTTACCATCATTAGTCACCCCAATAGCCCCATGACCCTTAGTATAGATGACCACCGAGTGCCCTAGCATAAGGGACAAGGCTTCTCTGAGAAAAATCATAGATGGGACTGGGGTGGGGGCTAGAAAGGATCTGTGCCGCTGGCTGGTTGACGTTTTGATTTGCCAATTCCGTCTATTCCAATTCTGGGAGTCCTTGACATCGGTCATGGGAGGCTCTGACAATAAATACGTTCATAAAGAATTAAAAACAGCCCAGGCGCAGATGCACAGTCCTGTAATCCCAGCACTTTGGGAGGCAGGAGGATTGCTTGAGCCCAGGAATTCAAGACCAGTCTGGGTAACATAGGGAGACTCCGTCTCTACAAAAAAAAAAAAAAAAAAACTTTTTTTTTTTTTTCAGACAGAGCCTTGCTCTGTCGCCCAGGCTGGAGTGCAGTGGCACGATCTCAGCTCATTGCAACCTCAGCCTCCTACGTTCAAGCAATTCTCTTGCCTCAGCCTCCCGAGTAGCTGGGATTACAGGCTCCCACCACCACACCCGGCTAATTTTTGTATTTTTAGTAGAGACGGGTTTCACCATGTTGGCCAGGCTGGTCTCGAACTCCTGACCTCAAGTGATCCACCTGCCTCGGCCTCCCAAAGTGCTGGGATTACAGGCACAAGCCACTGAGCCCAGCCTACAAAATTCTTTTTAAAAGTAGCTGGGCATGGTGGTGCATGCCTGTGGTCCCAGCTACTAGGGAGGCTGAGGTGGGAGGATCACTTAAGCACTGGAGTGCGAGGCTGCAGTGAGCCATGATCATGCCACAGCACTTAAACCTGGGTGACAGAGCAAGACTCTGTTTCAAAAAAAAAAAGAATTAAAAACAAACTTGCAGATAGCAATAAGTTATATGAAGAAAATCAAATAGAGTCAAGTGGGTCAAGCCCTCAAATTGCCCATAGTCTGGGGAGGCAGACATATTCATGGGTCATTGTTAAAACAGGTGTTGCATGCATGGATGGCATATGCAGAGGATATTTTGATAGGGACAATCAAGGAGGGACTTCCTAAGGGAGGAAAAAGTTGGAGCTGAATCTTCAATGATGACAAGTCAACCACATGAAGGAGGAGGAAAGGACACTCCAGATCCAAGACACGGACGTACGCAAAGGCTTGGAGGTGTGAAATGAGGCGGGGAATAGAGCAGGCTGTATTACAGGGACAGAAGTAACTGGAAGGGCCCGCGGGGGAGCCGGGGAGCCTTGGAGCTATGGTGGGAGTTGATGGTTGATTGGATATGGGGTGGGGAGAAGAATCAAGATGACATCGAGTTTCTGGCTTGGATATCCGGTAGATGGTGGTGCTAATAAGACAAGTATAAACTCCTCAGGTGAGATGTACCGTTTGGGATAGGTTGGGTTTAAAGGACCATTGGGACGCCCAGATGGAGATGCTCAGGAGACAGCCAGGGAGACGGAAAGGACGAAGCCCACTGGCCAAAGGCAAATAAAATCCTAAATTTTGGCTGGGCGCAGTGGCTCATGCCTGTAATCTCAGCACTTTGGGAGTCCGAGGCGGGTGGATCACGAGGTCAGGAGATCGAGACTGTCCTGGCTAATACAGTGAAACCCCATCTCTACTAAACAAAATACAAAAAATTAGCCGTGCGTGGTGACAGGTGCCTGTAGTCCCAGCTACTCGGGAGGCTGAGGCAGGAGAATGGCGTGAACCCGGGAGGAAGAGCTTGCAGTGAGCCGAGATCGTGCCACTGCTCTCCAGACTGGGCAACAGAGTGAGGCTCCATCTCAAAAGAAAAAAAAAATCCTAAATTTTAGATGAGAAGGCCCCAGAGCTCCACCACAGCAATCTGTTGCTGTGGGTTTTTCCCAGAGGCAAATGAATCTCCCAGGCAACATCTGATATTTCCTCCTAAATCCAACCCTCCTTCACCCTCTGGCTGGCAGAAATCATCCAGGTTGCCCTAAATTACAAGACACCAGACTACAATTGATTGTACAAATGACAGTTGATACAACATAATGCTTTTTTATTTTGTTATTTTCATTTTTTTGAGACAGGTTCTTGCTCTGTTGCCCAGGCTGGAGTTGCAGTGGTGTGATCACAGCTCACTGCAGCCTCGACCTCCTGCACTCAAGCAATCCTCCCACTTCAGCCTCCCAAGTAGCTGGTACTACAGGTTTGCACCACCATGCTTGGCGGATTTTAAATTTTTTTGTAGAGACAGGGTCTCACCATGTTGCCCAGGCTGGTCTCGAACTCCTGGGCTCAAGGGATCGATCCTCCCACTTCAGCCTCCCAAAGTTCTGGGATTACAGGTATGAGCCACTTTGCCCAGCTGGTTTTAATTTTCAATTCTGGACATGATTTCCAGCTCTTAGGGGAGAAAGACCTCCTAAAGCAAAACGCTCACCTAAGGCTGCTCAGTTTTCCTGCTGTCCAAAGACTGAGAGAGTCTGGAAAACAGGAGCAGCTTTTCCAACCCAAAAGTGTGGTTATGAGGACTAAATGAGACTGTTTATGTAAACACCTTTGCAAGTGATAAAGTTCAGTATAAACATAGTGTCTAGCAGACTGTCTGGTGAAAAGCAATATGTCACTCTCTAGACGAATGGAAATAAACCAAAAAAACCTAGGGTCTTATCATGAGGACATCTTTGGAAAATATGTCAGGATCAGGCCATGAAAATTTCTAAGTCCTTCTGCAGCTGTGACTTTCTGGCATCCCAAAGTCCAGGGCGGAGGTACAGCCGCCCAGGAATTTATTCCTCCATAACTTTGAGCTCCCCAAATCCCCACGAAGCCCAGGAATGATGTGACTGCAGGGCATGTGGGCCCATTGGCACCAACAGCCCCTCCATAAATCAAGGTCTCACTTATGCTGGCCTCAGACTGCTTTTTCCAAGGTGACCTGGGCAAACTGAAAGGGTAGTTGCTTATCTAGGGGTGGCATCTGCCTTTGAGATGAAAGAACCCTGAAAATGCTAAGAGGACCAATTCTCTAGAAATACATTCCTTTCAGGAAGAGCTTTCTTCAGCTCAGACGACAATTCAGTTAGGAGTTAGAGACAGAGCGGCAGTCTTCCCATATCTCAGCCAGTTTGGGTGACCCAAGAGGCCCCATGGGGCAGACCAGAGGGGCCCTGTTCCAGTCCTGGGTCAGCACCAGTGAAAGTCAAGGTGACCTCAGCATTGTTACCAGTTATCCACAAGACAGCCACGTGAATCACAGAATCTTAAATCAGAGGGCCCAACACCCTAATGGTTCAGGCAAGGAAACTATAGGTCAAAGATGGGGAGGGGCTTATCCAAGGTCACATGGCCTTGAAGAGAATATTCCAGGTTAGACCTAGAGGTTCAGGCCTCACTACACACCCCCTTTAATGAGGCCACACTGGCGGTATAGCGGGGTTCCAGTCAAGGACTCCAGAAACAGCCCATCCAGCCAATTGACCTGGCCATCTCAATGTCTCCAGTAGCATCCACATCAGCTGTGAGAGTGGAAACCAAAGACTATAGAAAGGCGCCCTTCACATGTCCAAAACAAGCAGACAGAAAGGGGAAAAAAAAATCACTCCTACGAAACCCCGGGACCTGCAAGGTTAACAATCTACACAAACGCGTGGAGTGACTGAAGAGGCAGGTGCCTTGGAGGCTCCAGGCCACTCCTGCCCAAGGTAAGTCCCAAGAGTGAGGCCAGCTCTGAGCAGATCCATGGAGGGGGCTGGAAAAAGAAGCTGAGATGTCTAAAATGGAAACTCAGTAAAAAACAAAACCAAAAAACTTTCTTCACAGAACTGCTGTGGGGATTAAGTGGGATAATGGACCATAATGTTTGGCACAGAGTAGAAATGGTTTCTTATATTAAATGGCTAACAAAGCCACCAAGGACTGGGTGTCCTTCTCTGGGCACACCCTCTCGTACAGAACAGAGCTCACAGTGTCTAGCTGTCTGCTCACTTGCCGTCTCCACCACTAGAGAGTAAATTCAATGAGCAGTGACCACCTGGCTTGCTCATTCCCTGCAGCATCCCAGCACTTGGTGCCTGCCACATAGTAGCCACTCCATTCGTATTTATGAATGAATGAATGAACGAACAAAAGAATGGCACCTTTGCCAGCCACCCTTGAAATCACCTCAGCTCATTCACCAACTGCCCAGTTTGTTTGGGACTCTCAGTGCAGAAACCTGGGCAGCCTCGGGCAAGCTGCACGGTATGCGACAGAAAGGGCTGACTCAAGCCAGTAAGCGTCAGAGATGAATAATAAGACTGACAAATTCTTAGGGAGGCTAGGTGTGGTGGCTCACGCCTGTAATCCCAGCACTTTGGGAAGTTGGAGCAGGATGATTGCTTGAGCCCAGCCTGGGCAACATAGCCAGACTCCATCTCTACAAATAATTTTTTAAAAAAATTATCCGGGTGGCCGGGCGCGGTGGCTCATGCCTGTAATTCCAGTACTTTGGGAGGCCGAGGTGGGTGGCTCACGAGGTCAGGAGTTCAAGACCAGCCTGGCCAAGATGGTGAAACCCCATCTCTACTAAAAACACAAAAAAATTAGCCGGGCATGATGGCGGACGCCTATAATCCCAGCTACTCGGGAGGCTGAGGCAGGGAATTGCTTGAACCCGGGAGGCGGAGGTTGCAGTCAGCCGAGATCGCGCCACTGCACTCCAGCCTGGGAGACAGAGCGATACTCCATCTCAAAAAAAAGAAAAAAAAAAAAACTACCCGGGTATGGTGGCTCACACGCCTGTAGTCCCAGCTACTCTGGAGGTGGGAGGATCGCTTGAGCCTGGGAAGTCGAGGCTGCAGTGAGCCAAGACTGCACACCGGCCTGGGCAACAGAGTGAGACCCTGTCTGAAAAAAAAAAAAAAAATTGGCCGGGCGCAGTGGCTCATGCCTGTAATTCCAGCACTTTGGGAGGCCAAGGTGGGCGGATCACGAGGTCAGGAGTTCAAGACCAGTCTGGCCAAGATGATGAAACCCCGTCTCTACTAAAAATACAAAAAATTAGCCGGGTGTGATGGTGTGCGCCTGTAATCCCAGCTACTCGGGAGGCTGAGGCAGGAGAATCGCGTGAACCCGGGAGGCGGAGGTTGCAGTGAGCCAAGATCGCGCCATTGCACTCCAGCCCGGGAAACAGTGCGAGACTCCATCTCAAACAAACAAACAAAAATTCCAGGAATAAAGAGGTTGAAATCGGGGCAGGGACCCGGATAGGATGGCTCCGCCCCATCTAAGTCTTAGCCCCACCCCCTGAAAGTCGCCCTGCCTCTCAGACTCCTCCCCTTTCTGAGAAGGTCACGGGGGAAGCCAAATGGGCATGCGCCGCTACTGCGCTATTGCGCACGCTCGCTGTGCTTGCCCCGCCTTCCCTCCGCCCACCCGGGAAACCGGAAGCCGCCTCCCACTTGGTTGCTCGTACGCGGCTAGTGGGTCCTCAGTGGATGTAGGCTGGGCGCCGCGATGTTCGACGGGACACCGGCGGAGAGCGACCTCGGGGTTAAGGGGTGGGGCTGACGTCAGGAGCCAAGATGGCGGCGGTGGTCGCCCTCTCCTTGAGGCGCCGGTTGCCGGCCACAACCCTTGGCGGAGCCTGCCTGCAGGTGAGTCCTGGAGCCTCAGAGAGGGAAAAGTCAGGAAAGCCACAGAGACTGCCTGGAGCTGATGGGGCTGCGGAGAGACTGAGGAAGCATAGGGCAAGGCCTCAGGGAGATGGAGGACCTCCTCCCCCTGGTGCAGTGCTTTGGTTTGGCTTCGAGCATCCCTGTCAAGTTATCTTTCTGCGCCTCGCAGCAGCTTGTGAGTTAGGGCACGGGCAATTTTTTACAGCTAAGGGTGCGGGGGGGGGGGACGTTCAGAAAGGGGACTTGAATTGCTCAAGGTCACATGGCAAGCGAATGACTGCTGGAACCAGAATTTGAATCCAGACATTGGAGTTCCAAGCCCTTTTTCTGCCACCAAACTATCGCCTCTGTAGAAAAGGGAGACCTGCGGGGTGTGAAGGATGGGAATTGGGAAGCGAGGTAATTCCTCAAGGGTGCGAGGTTGAGGACCGGGATGGGTGAGGAAAGGACATGTGAATTGTTGGGGACAGGGCAGGGGAAGGGAGAGATGGAGGGAAATGCACCCAGCCCCCTACCTCGAAGGATCCCGGAGGTGGGTGGTGGGGGTTGCAGGAAAGACTGGGTTCCTTAAAGCAGTGTCACCACAGTTTCACTAGTATCCTCTCAGTGTTTCTGACTCTAAAGGTCATATAATAATACGGACCTCATAGAGTTGACATGGAATGACAGGTAGAGGGCTTGGCGCTGTTCTTGTTTATTACTATGCCGTGTGCAGTAACAGATTTTCCCACGCCCCTTGTATGGCCAAGAAACAACACATTTCTGACCTGCCTTCTAAGTGGGAACATTTAGAAGGGGAAGGGAAATTGCTTTTGTATACATAAGGGACTAAGGATTTGCAAATCCTTTCTAAGTCTGTTCCTCTTCTGGGATTCTCAACAACCCCTTTAAGGTGGGCAAGCAAGAATCCTTACCCTCCTTTTTGGAGCTTTGAAAACTTGAGGCCCCCAGAAAGAAAATTTTTGGCTTGCTCAAAATATCACATTCCCAAGAAGCAGACCTGAGGCAGTTTTTTAACATGGTACCAGAAAAACTCCTTAGCATAGATCTTGGGACATGGTTGGTGTCCAAGAAATTTTAGTTCCTCTTCCTCTCTTGCACTTAAATGAGGACATCTTTCATCTTAAGTGCCTGCTATGGCTGCATAACACAGTACATATTGCCCATGTTCCAATCCTGGTTCTATCCAGCATGCTGTGTGTGAACTTGGATCCACTCTGTCTGCATCAGCCTTTCTGAAAAGGGGAGATAGAGGAAGAAGACAGCCTACCAGAGCCTCAAGCTGACATCCTCTCAGTATTAAATTGATGATTGATAATGAGCTTGTTTACCTGTTCCTTTTATAGTTGCTGAGCAAACAATTAAATTGTGAGAGCCCCACTAACGAGAGAGTTCCAAGCCCCTCTTCTAAGAATGCATTGTAGAAAAGGCTAATTTCATAGGTCATTTTTGTAATTCCAGGCAAGGTCTTTGCAGGGCCTCCTGAGGGCAACAGAAAATAGAAGAGCCCCAAGGCCTCCCCTTCCTTGTGGGAATGTACATGTATACCCACAAAAGCCACCTCAAAAGAATTCAGTAATGAGCTTGGTGTGTTACCTGTGGGTAACATTCAGGTTCAGGTTCTGAATTCTTTTTATGCTTATAGTCTGACCACTGAACCACAATTCTGCCTGTAAGTATTTGACTGTAGTATATTAACTATTGTTTGTGTTGCCTTATTTCTTCATCTGGACTATGAACTCCTTTAGGACAAGAACTACCTACTTAAAAGTGTGTATCTTGCCAGGTGCAGTGGCTCATGCCTGTAATTCCAGCACTTTGGGAGGCCAAGGTGGGTGGATCACCTGAGGTCAGGAGTTCAAGACCAGCCCGGCCAACATGGTGAAACCCCGTCTCTACTAAAAAAATAAAAAAAAAATTAGCTGGGCGTGGTGGTGGGCGCCTATAATCCTAGCTACACAGGAGGCTGAGGCAGGAGAATTGCTTGAACCTGGGAGGTGGAGGGTGCAGTGAGCTGAAATCGCACCATTGCACTCCATCCTGGGCGACAAGAGCGAAACTCAGTCTCAAAAAAAAAAAAAAAATTTAAAAAATGTGCATCTTGTTCCTTAGGCTGGCAGGGCTAGGATACCTATTTACAAATCAGAATAATACAAAGACTGATAAGGTTGCCAATCTTGTAGAGCAAAAATTTTTTTCTGGGCTATGCTAGAAACTTGACCCCCCCTCCCCCGGGTTATCTTATGAGGCAGATATTAATACTACCCACCCTTTACAAAGGAAGAAATAGAATCCGAAAAGCTAATAATTTGCAGAAGAATACACAGCTTGTAAGTGATAGAGCTTGGATTTCAAGCATCACCAATCACACTTTTCAGCAAGCCTGCACCTTGTATTTTACTCAGGCTTATCTTCATACAGTCCTTTTTGCTTTCTTCCTCTCTATTTCCCCACCTTCTTCTCTGGCCTCCAAATCTTTATCCACTCCATCCAACTCCAAGCCTGCACCCTAAGGACACTTTACTGGAGGAACAACAACCAGCCTTCAGCACCATTCAGAATTCACCCTTCTCAGTTCAGTTGTTGCTTACCTTGCTTAAATTATAAACTATGAAATTCATACTATCCAAGATTTCCTAGGAATGTACTTTCTGCCTTGAATACTCATTAGTCTTTAGATTAACGTAAAAATGCTTTCAAGGGGCCCTCTTTCCTTTTGGATTTGTAGTATAAATTGCTGGGCAGGTAACAAGGGGAAAAAAATCATATAGTCTCATTGTATGATTAGAGCAACAACTTCTTTTGTTCCTTGGATCTCATTGTGAAATGGAATTATCTTTTTGCACTGTTGCGTTTTATGTTTGCGTTTTCACCACTGGTTATAATGGCTAAAAGGTTGGATTTTTGAATCAAGTGACCTGTGTTGCTATATGATCCTATCCTCGTCTTTTAACTGGGAACAACAAAACATTTTTCATAGAGATGTTATAAAGATTAGAGATTATTTGGCACCGTGTGTGACAGATTATAAAGGTTCGATGAATGAAATCTGGCAAATTTTTAGATATATGTATTCAACGAATTTTTTGGTGGAACACAGATAACATAATCCTGAGAATTAACTCTTTGTACAGACCTCAAGATGAGCAAAGCTCTATCACTTTCAGAACCATGACCACTCTGGTGATTTTGATTTCAGAATCTTCTTTCATTCTGGTAAACCCCCTTTGCCCCACCAAATATTGTATGAAATACATTTTTTTTTTTTTTTGAGACAGAGTCACGCTCACGTTGTTGCCCAGGATGGAGTGCAGTGGCGGAATCTTGGCTCACCGTACCCTCCGCCTCCCGGATTTCAAGCAATTCTCCTGCCTCGGCCTCCCAAGTAGCTGAGATTACAGGTGCCCGCCATCGTGCCTGTCTAATTTTTTTGTATTTTTAGTAGAGACGGGGTTTCACCGTGTTGGCCAGGCTGATCTCGAACTCCTGACCTCAGGTAATCCACCTGCCTCGGCCTCCCAAAGTACTGGGATTACAGGCATGAGCCACCACGCCTGGCCTATAAAATACATTTTTGACACAAAACAAATTTAAATTAGTTGTACTGAAAAAAAAAAAATGATGACATTTTGGGGCACTCCAAAACTGATGTTGGGATATGTCGACTTAGATATTCAGTGTAGTACATCCTGGCATTGCTCTTATTTCACATCATTCATATGATAAGACTTTTTAAAAATTTAAATTAGCTCTAATACAAACTTAGTCTCTTTTGGAAAGATAATACGTGATCAATTATCCGTGTAGAGTGGATATGAAACAGATATTTAAATGTTATAAAGAAATGTTGAAGGGAAAACCTCATTGCAGGTAACCACAGTCATCCCACAGGCCTTGTGGTTCTGATACCCAGCTTGATAGAGCCTAATGCCTGTTGCCCACTGACAATACTAAATCAGGCTTTAGAACTAGGGGGTTATGCCTGGCACAGTGGCTCACACCTGTATGTAATCCAGCACTTTGGGAGGCTGAGGCAGGTGGATCACGACATCAGGAGTTCAAGACCATCCTGGCTAAAACGGTGAAACCCCATCCCTACTAAAAATACAAAAAAGTTAGCCGGGCGTGTGACACGCGCCTGTAATCCCAGCTACTTGGGAGGCTGAGGCAGGAGAATTGCTTGAACCCAGGAGGCAGAGAGATCTCGCCACTCCACTCCAGCCTGGGTGACAGAGTGAGACTGTCTCACAAAAAAAAAAAAAAAAAAAAAAAAAAAAAAGAACTAGGGGATTATGCTCCAGTCCCAGATTCTGTTTAAAGCCCGGTTAGGGGCCAGGCGCGGTTGCTCACACCTGTAATCCCAACACTTTGGAACGCTGAGGCAGGTGGATCACTTGAGGCCAGGAGTTTGAGCCCAGCCTGGCCAAATGGCAAAACCTTGTCTGTACTAAAAATACAAAAATTAGCTGGACTTTATGGCACATGCCTGTAATCCCAGCTACCCGGGTGGCTGAGACAGGAGAATTGCATGAGCCTGAGGGGTGGAGGTTGCAGCGATCCAAGATCGCGCCACTGCACTCCAGCCTGAGCAACAGAATGAGACTCTCCAAAAAAGAAAAAAAAAAGTCCAAGTTAGGGCCAGACACAATGGCTCACACCTGTAATCCCAACACTTTGGGAGGCTGAGATGGGAGGATTGCTTAAGCCCAGAAATTCCATACCAGCTTAGCCAACATGGCAAGACCCTGTCTCTACAAAAATTAGCTGGACATGATGGTGTGCACCTATAGTCCCAGCTACTTGGGAGGCTGAGTCAGGATGATCGCCTGAGCCCAGGAGTTAAAGGCTGCAGTGAGCCATGATCTCCAGCCTGGGCAATAAAGCTAGACCATGTGTCTATAAAAATAAAAAATAAAGGCCGGGCAAGGTGGCCTGTACCTATAATCCCAGCACTTTGGGAGGCCAAGGCAGGCGGATCACCTGAGGTCAGGAGTTCAAGACCAGCCTGGCCAACATGGTGAAACCCCGTCTCTACTAAAAATATAAAAATTAGCTCGGCGTGGTGGCAGGCACCTGTAGTCCCAGCTACTCAGGAGGCTGAGGCAGAAGAATCACTTGAAGTCGGGAGGTGGAGGTTGCAGTGAGCCGAGATCGCGCCATTGTACTCCAGCCTGGGGGACAAGAGTGAGACCCCATCTCAAAATAAATAAATAAATAAATATTTTAAAAAATAAATGAAAAATAAAAGTGTCCAAATTAGAAGTAAAAACTTGAAGTAGCCCCATTTTTTAAAAGGCATATTGTCCCACTTACCCTACTATCTGCCTCAGGCACAGCAGCCACCCACTCTGGAAAATAGTTTTGTCAGTTGCTTAAAAAAAACTAAACTTGTAGCTACCATACAGCCCAACAATTACACACCTGGGTGTTTATCCTGAGAAATGAAGATGTAACGTTCACACAGAAATTTGTCCACAAATGTTCATCTCAGCTTTATTCATGTCACCAAAAATTAGAACACCCCCAATGTCCCTCAGTAGTTACATGGTTAAGCAAATTGTGGTACATGATACCTTGGAGTGCTACTCAGCTATAACAAGAAAAAAGCTATTGCTGTACACAGCAACTTGGATGAATCTCCGGAGAATTCGGCTGAATAAAAAAAGCCAATTCCAAAAGGCTACATACCAGATGATTATATTGATATAACATTCTTGAAATGACCGAATTTGAGAAGTAGAGAACAGATTAGTGATTGCTAGGGCTTACGGAGTACAGGGGAGGTAGGGTGGGAGGAAGTGGACAGGGCTATAAAAGGGCAATGTTAGTGATCCTGTGCTTATGGGAATGTCCCCTATCTTGACTAGCACTGTCAGTATTCTGGTTGTGCTGGTGTGCTACAGTTTGCAAGATGTTCCTGTTGGGGAGACTGGGTAAAGAGTATGTGGGCCCTGGCATGGTGGCTCATGCCTATATCCCAACTCTTCGGGAGGGCCAGGCAGAGGATCACTTGGGGCCAGGAGTTCAAGACCAGCCTAGGCAACACAGTGAGACCCCTATCTCTACAAAAATAAATGTAAAAAAACTAACTGGGCATGGTGGCGCATGCCTGTAGTCCTAGCTACTGGGGAAGCTGAGATGGGAGGATCGCTTGAGTCCAGAAGGTTGAGGCTGCAGTGAGCTGTGATCATGCCACTGCACAATCAGTGACAGAGCAAAACTCTCTCTCTTTTTTTTTTTTTTTTAGCTTGAGTTTCACTTTGTCACCCAGGGTGGTATACAGTGGCACAGTCTTAGCTCACTGCAACCTTTACCTCCCAAGTTCAAGCCATTCTCCTGCCTCAGCCTCCCTAGTAGCTGGGATTACAGGCACACGCCACCACACCCTGCTAATTCGTTTTTTTGTATTTTTAGTAGGGACGGGGTTTCACCATGTTGGCTGGGCTGGTCTTGAATCCCTGATCTCAGGTGATTTCCCAACCTCAGCCTCCCAAAGTGCTGGGATTACAGGTGAGAAGAGTATGTGGAGTCTCAGTATTATTTTCTTCTTTTTGTTTTGTTTTGTTTCTTTGAAACAGCGTCTCACTCTGTCACCCAGGCTGGAGTGCAGTGGCGCAATCTTGGCTCACTGCAATCTCCGTCTCCCAGGGTCAAGCGATTCTCCTGCCTCTGCCTCCCGAGTAGCTGGGATTACAGACATGTGCCACCACACCGGGCTAATTTTTGTATCTTTAGTAGAGACGGAGTTTCACCATGTTGGCCAGGCTGGTCTTGAACTCCTGACCTCAAGTGATTCGTCTGTCTTGGCCTCCCAAAGTACTGGGATACAGGTGTGAGCCACTGCACCTGGCCTCAGTATTATTTTCTATAAATGCATATGAATCTATAATTATTAAAAAATAAAAAGGTTGGCCAGGCACGGTGGCTCACGCCTGTAATCCTAGCAGTTTGGGAGGCCAAGGCAGGCAGATCACCTGAGGTTGGGAGTTTGAGACTACCCTGACCAACATAGACAAACCACATCTCTACTAAAAATACAAAATTAGCCGGGCCTGGTAGCACATGCCTGTAATCCCAGCTACTCGGGAGACTGAGGCAGGAGAATTGCTTGAACCGGGGAGGCGGAGGTTGTGGTGAGCCAAGATTGCACCATTGCACTCCAGCCTGGGCAACAAGAGCAAAACTCAGTCTCAAAGATAAATAAATAAATAAATAGTTTAATTTTTTAAAAAAGCATTTAACTATGGTTATATGCAGTAACATATGAATCTCAGAAGCATTATGTTGAGTGAAAGAAGCTAGACATGAGACTACGTACCGTATGATGCCATTTATATGAATTCTGTAAAAGGCAGACTCGTGATGATAGCTGATCAGTTGCTAAGGGTAGGAAAAGGGGACTTATGTTTGCCATCAAGGGCACAAAAGACCTTTTTGGATGGAAATACTCTGTTGTAATTGTGGTAGGATTACATTGCTTTGTCAAAACTCATTATACCCTTAAAATTAGTGAATTTTATTATAATGAATTATACCTTATTAAATCTCACAGAAAAAAGACCAAAAAAAAAATGGGACATTAAGCAAGCAAAGTCCACTGGAGTTGATACCTTCAGGAATCTTTCCTCTCACTTCCTCCCAAATACCACAAGGTGGCATTAGATGTTCATGTCAGTTTACAAAATGGGGTTCCCGGTGAAAAACATTTGTAGAAATGGCTTTCCTTTTGTTGATGATTTTAGCCAGCTTGGTGATAAGGTAAAACATAGCTTTCATCTTAACTTTCATTTTCTTCATATATTTTCTTCTTTTCTACTGTTAGCTGATGTTTGTATTTTCAGCTTCAGTTAATACGGGACACTTTACCAAGAAATAATGTTACTGGTAGACGGTCTTGACCACAAGTCGTCAAGGTTTTTAGCATGTTGAACAAAAAATTGGACAAAACACACAAGCAAAGCAACAGAAGACGAAAGCATAGATTTATTGAAATGAAAGTACACTCCATAGAGTAGGAGTGGGATTGAGCAAGTGGTTCAAGAGCCCCAGCTGCACAGTCTTCTGGGATTAAAGTACCCTGTACGGGTTTCCTATTAGTTACACCCTATGCAAATGAAGACTTGGCCCGAGACGAATCAGAGGCTGTAGTGAAGACTCCCTGTCTCTAAACCCTGTTCTCCTGCCTCAGTAATAAACACCACTGCATCTTTTTGTAATTAGTCAATTAACCTTCCGAGTTTTTACTTTTCTATATCAGTTTATTTTAAAAATTAGCAGTCCTGGAGTATAGTCTTTTCTTTCTTTTTTTCTTTTTTATTTTGTATTTTTGAAAAAGAGTCTCACTCTGTTGCCCAGGCTAGAGTGCAGTGGCATGATCTTGGCTCACTGCAGCCTCAACCTCTCGGGCCCAAGCAGTCCTCCCACTTCTGCCTCCTGAGACGCACACTACGACACCCAGCTAATTTTTTTATTTTTTGTAGAGATGGGGTTTTGCCATGTTTCCCAGACTGCTCTCAAACTCATGGGCTCAAGCAATTCTCTCACTTCTGCCTCCCAAAGTGCTGAGACTGCAGGCATGAGCCACCACCCTCAGACCACACCCCACACTCCTTCCCCTTAATTCTGGTTTGTCAAGCCTCCACTTAGATGACATGTGAGGAAGCCTTCTCTGACTCTTCACTCATTGAAGTCTCTGCTGTATTCATCCAGAGCTCCCTGTACTTTCCCAACAGTATCGCTCTTTATATTCATCGTGAATGTTTAATTTAACTCTTGTTCACTACAAAGTAAGTTCTGTGAAGATGAAGGTTTTTGTGTATTAAGTGCTGTGTCACTAGCCCCTAATACCATGTCTGATATATTAGCATATGATAGGTGCTTAATACTTGTTGGATATTGAATGCCTGCCTTTTCTAAGAAGATTATGTGTCAGTAATGTGTGAGTTTATATCCAGCGTTACATCTGTTGTGCCAGCAAAATGGAATTATCTTGTATTTCTAATTTTTTTTTCCTTTTTGTGAACTTTAAAAAATTTCAGGCCTCCCGAGGAGCCCAGACAGCTGCAGCCACAGCTCCCCGTATCAAGAAATTTGCCATCTATCGATGGGACCCAGACAAGGCTGGAGACAAACCTCATATGCAGACTTATGAAGTTGACCTTAATAAGTGAGTATCTCTGTGAAAGCCAGCTATTGAAGGAGAGTTCTTGATTTGATTTAGGGACATGCTTTTCACATCCTTGGAAGGCTTAAAAATCTGAGATCATCCGATGGCTCTGTTTTTAAAACAAGAATGAGCTTGGGCCGGGCACGGTGGCTCACGCCTATAATCCCAGCACTTTGGGAGGCTCAGGCGGGCAGATCATCTGAGGTTGGGAGTTCAAGACCAATGTGGCCAACATGGTGAAACTCCCCTCTCTACTAAAAATACAGAAATTAGCTGGGTATAGTGGCTCATGCCTGTAATCCCAGCCACTCAGGAGGCTGGGGCACAAAAATTGCTTGAACCCAGGAGGCAGAGGTTGCAGTGAGCTGAGATCATGCCATTGCACTCCAGCCTGGGCAACAGAGTGAGACTCTGTCTCCAAAAAAAAAAAAAAAATGAGGTTGTTACCTGATTCAGAAGAATAATACCAAAATAATTCCCAAATGAAAGTATGACAAATTTCTAGAAATACTGGTATAATTAACTTTATGCACAGTATTTAAAGTCATTTAATATATTACCATTTTTTTAATGCTGAATGTATTGATTATATCTTATACATCTGGACCTGTGTTTTCTATAATAATAACAGAACCGCCAGAAACTTGCCTTGAATGGACAAGGTAGGGATGTGGTTAAAATGTTAAAAATTGGACTGGCGTGTTAGTTTTCTATTTCTGTCAGAGCAAATTACCACAAACTTAGTGACTTAAAACAACCTAAATGTATTATCTTATAGTTCTGTAGGTCAAAAGACTGGTATAGTCTCATCAGACTAAAATCAAGGTGTCAGCAGGCTGCATTCCTTTCTGGAGCCTAGAGGAAAATATTTTTTGCTCATTTGCGCTATTGGTGGAATGCAGTTCCTTGTGGTTGTGAGCCCGAGGTCTCTGTCATTCTGCTGACTGTAAGCTGAGGGCTGTTCCAAGCTTCCAGAGGCTGCCGCACTCCTTGGCTCTTGGCCTCTTCTTCCATCGTCAAAAGCAGCAGCAGCAGGTTGAGTTCTTCTTCACATCACATCTCTCAAAACCACTCTTTTTCCAACATCTTTCACTTTTAAGGAACTCCACAGTTAGCCAAAGAAAAGAAAGAATCTAGCAAGTTAGTCTCTAGCCTCCTGCTGCTCCACTCCACGCCCCCATATAACCAGAACTGTTCTCTGATCTGTTTTATGTGTAAGTGAATAAGTGTTTTATTTGTTTCAAACAAAAGCTTCTGTGGCACCAAAAAAAAGTTTGAATACCACGAATACTCTAAATGCTTACTTTGACTTTCTGTGGTGACAAGTAAGTGCTGTTAATGAGGTAGCATTAATTGATATATAACCTTCTTAAATAGACAAAATTTTCAAATACTCAGCAACCAAAAGTCCCTAGCAAAATTCAAAGGAATAGAAATTGCACAGACCACAGTTTTGGACCGAAATACAATAAAACTAAACTCATATTAAAAATATAAACAGGCCGGGCGCGGTGGCTCATGACTATAATCCCAGCACTTTGGGAAGCCGAGGCAGGTGGATCACTCGGGGTCAGGCATTCAAGACTAGCCTGGCCAACATGGTGAAACCCCATCTCTACTAAAATATAAAAATAAGCTGGGCGTTGTGGCAGGTGCCTGTGATCCCAGCTATTTGGGAGGCTGAGGCATGAGAATCACTTGAACCTGGGAGGCGGAGGTTGCAGTGAGCCGAGATCGTGCCACTGCACTCCAGCCTGGGTGACAGAGCAAGACTCTGTCTCAAAAAAAAAAAAAAAAAAAAAAAAACTCATAAAACAAAAAACCCTACTGCTTAGAAACTAAAAAAAAGTACACTTCTAACTATTTGATCAGGAACACGTAAAAAATATTGCCAGATACTTAGAAAATAAAGACGTTGCAAATCAAAACTTAGAGAATGTCAGAGAATGTGGCTAAAACTGGAAGAGTTAAATTCCTTTTTTTTTGAGTCAGGGTCTCGCTGTCACCCAGGTTACAGTGCAATGGCATGCTCACGGTTCACTGTAGCCTCAACCTCCCAGGCTCAAGCAATCCACCTGCCTCATCCTCCTGAGTAACTGGGACTATAGGCACATGCCACCACACCCAGCTAAGTTTTGTATTTTTTGTAGAAATTGAGTTTCACTATGTTGCCCAGCCTGGTCTCAAACTCCTGGGCTCAAGCAATCCACCCATTTTAGCTTCCCAAAGTCCTAGGATTACAGGCATGAGCCACAGCACCCAGCCCATAACGATTTTTTAGTGATAAAAAATTTAAAGAATCTTTGGGTTTACTTCCAGTTTTGTCACAGTAGCTCTCATCAGACTAACCCTCCTACAAATAACAATGATCAACTCCGGAAAAAAATATAAGAAACAACTGCCTGAACAGTAGAGAAGGACCACGAGTGGGCAGACATTGGAGGGGAGTTGATACTTGGAAGAATGAAATGGCATTGGACAAATTACCATTTTACTCTTACATGATTTTGCTGAGGACAAGTCCAAGTTGGTATGGGAAGTAACGGGACTAACAGTTGGATGGAAAACCACAATCCGACTGGGTGCATTGGCTCATGCCTGTAATCCCAGCACTTTGGGAGGCCAAAGCAGGCCGACATGGTGAAACCCCATCTCTACTAAAAATATAAAAATTAGCCAGGCATGGTGGCACATGCCTGTAATCCCAGCCACTTGGGAGGCTAATGGGGGAGAATCACTTGAACATGGGAGGCGGAGGTTGCAGTGAGCCAAGATCACACCACTGCACTCCAGCCTGGGCAACAGAGTGAGACTCTGTCTCAAAAAAAAAAGAAAAAAAAATCTTAGCTTGAATAACGAGAAGACACATTTTGGGCCTTCCACAACCACTAGGAAATGAGGGGGAAAGCCTAGAAAGAAGAGAAACACAGAGGAGGAGCACTAAATGCTGTTCATGAACTCTGCCCACATCTTGCGTGCAGCCATATTAATTGCCTGTGTAAAATTTTAAAATCCACACTTTTCAGAAAAACATAATGCAATCCAGATTCTCTACAGCATATTAATTTTTCTTTTTTTTCTTTTTTATTTTTTTATTTTGAGTCTGAGTTTCACTCTGTCACCTGGACTGGAGTACAGTGGTGCGATCTTGGCTCACTGCAACCTCCGCCTCCCGGGTTCAAGCGATTCCCTTGCCTCAGCCTCCTGAGTAGCTGGGACTACAGGCGCGCGTCACACACCGTCTAATTTTTGTAGTAGAGTTGGGGTTTCGCCATGTTGGCCAGGCTGGTCTTGATCTCCTGGCCTCAGGTGATCCACCCACCTCAGCCTCCCAAAGTGCTGTGATTACAGGCATGAGCCACCGCGCCCAGTGGAATTTAAAGAATTTTTAAATTTCCTCATAGATAAAGGAAATTATGCTCATAATGAAATAGGAAATTTCAGTGGAGAAGTAGAAACTATTGAAAAGCCAAATGGAAAATCTAGTACTGAAAAATATAATATTTGAAAAGGAAAATTTACCGGATGGCCTTAACAGCAGATTGGAAATGGCAATAAGAAGAATCAGCAAACTTAAAAATATTAATAGAAATTATATAGTTTTTTGTTGTTGTTTGTTTGTTTGTTTCTTGAGACGGAGTCTTGCTCTGTCATCCAGGCTGGAGTGCAGTGGCGCAATCTTGGCTCACTGCAACCTCTGCCTTCCAGGCTCAAGCGATTCTCCCACCTCAGCCTCCTGAGTAGCTGGGATTACAGACGTGCACCACCACGCCCAGCTAATTTGTTGTATTTTTAGTAAAGACAAGGTTTCGCCATGTTGGCAGGCTGGTCTTAAACTCCTGACCTCAAGTGATTCACCCGCCTCGGCCTCCCAAAGTGCTGGGATTCCAGACGTGAGCCACCATGCCCGGCCGAAATTATCTGTTCTTAAGAAAAAGAAAGATTTTTGAAAAGGGAAAGCGCTCCTGTGATCTATGGAACAGCATCAAAAGGTCTAGGGCAGGCATGGTGGCTCATGTCTGTAATCCCAGCACTTTGGGAAGCTGAGGCAAAAGGATCACTTGAGGCCAAGAGTCCAAGACCAGCTTGGGCAACCTGTGAGACCTTGTCTCTACTAAAAAAATTTTTTCTTTGAAAAATTAGCCAGGCGTGGTGGCACATACCTGTAGTCCTAGCTACTTGGGATGCTGAAGCAGGAAGACAGCTTGAGCTTAGGAACTTGAGGCTGCTATGAGCTATAATTGTGCCACTGTACTCCAACCTGGGCAGCAGAGTAAGACCATGCATGGGTGAGTGGATGGATGGATGTAACACACATGTAATTGGACTTCCAGAAAAAATGGAGAGAAAGAAAAGGCAAAATAAATATCTATTTGAAGAACTCATGGCCAAGAATTTCCTGAGCCCATGAAAGACATAATTCACATATCCAAGAAGCTTAGTGAACCCCAACTAGGTAAATAAAAATAAAACTATGCCCTGTTCCATGAAGTCAAGTTGCTGACGACCAAAAATAGGAGAAAATCTTGAAAGCAGCTGGAGAAAAACAACATGTTACATACAAGGAAACCAGGTGAAAAATTGCTGACTTCTCATCAGAAACTAGAGGCCAAGAGACAGTGAAATACCATCTTTAAAGTACTAAAAGAAAAATTGTCAGCCTGGAATTCCACGTTCAGAAAAAAAGATTCTTCAAGATGATTATGAAATAAAAACATTTTCAGGTAAACAGAAAAGAAAAGAATTCATGGCCAGAAGACCAGTACTACATGAAATGCTATAGGAAGTTAGTCAGGCTGAGGAAAAATAATACCAGGTGGAAACTTGGCTCTTAGAAAAGGAATGAAGAGCGCTGGACATAGTAGATATAAAAGGATTTTTCCTCTTAATTTTGTTAAAATTAATATGACTGTTTAAAGCAAAGTTATTATATTATATTCTGTAATATATAACTCACATAGATGTAAGGCATATGATAACTATAGCGTAGGGGCTGGGAACAGCAGGTAAATAGACCTATAATAATGTAGCAGGATTCTTGCATTACATAAAGTTGCACAATAGTAACTCTAAACAGGTATAAAGAGTTAAAGATGTAAATTATGTAAAGTATAATTCTAGAGTAACTTTTTTTCTTCTTCTGAGACAGGGCCTCACTCTGTCATCCAGGCTGGAAGGCAGTAGCACAATCATGGCTCACTAAACCCTCCCAGGCTCAACCAAGCAATCCTCCCTCCCTGAGACCTCCTAGGCTCAAGCAATCCTCCCACCTCAGCCTCCCATGTCCCTGGGACTACAGGCATGTACCACTATGCCTGGCCAATTTTTTTTTTTTTTTTTTTTTTGTAGAGACAGGGTCTCACTATGTTGCCCACACTGGTCTCCTGGGCTCAAGCAGTCCTCCTGCATCAGCCTTCCAAAGTGCTAGGATTACAGGTGTGAGCCACCATGCCCAGCCAAGAGTAATTATTTTTTTAAATGCAAAGAGATATAGCTAAAAAGCCAATATATAAATTAAAATTGATTTCTAAAAATATTTACTTAGTCTAAAAATATTACTTAGAATAAGAAAAGAAGAAGAGAACAGCAGCAAAATGATGGAACAAATAGTAAAATGATAGACCTAAATCCGGCCACGTCAATAACTGTATTGAATGTAAAAACTATTAAATACTCCCAGTTAAAAAGCCAACAGTGTCAGAATAGATTTTTTTAAAAAAAGCAAAACCCAACCATATGCTGTTTTAAGTGCAAGAAAAAGCGCAAGAAAAAATAAAGAAATACATTTGAAAATCAATGTGATTCACCATATTAACAGAATAAAGGGGGAAAACCCATTTGATTGCTTTAATATATGCAGAAAAGCATTTGGCAAGATTCAACACTCATTCATGATTTTTAAAAATGATAATGGGTTAAATAATTTTCACAGTGTGTATATTTTAACAGAATAAATAAATAAAACTATAAGGAATTTGAATTAAAAGGAATAGTCCTAATTTTACTTAAATAATAACTGCTAATAGGAAAAGAAGGGAACTTCATCAGCCAGATGAAGACTGTGAAAATCACAGCTAATAGCATACTTTATTGTGAGATATTGAACACTTTCCCCATAAGATCAGGAATAAGGAAGGTTGTCCACTCTGTATTTGAGTTCAACATTGTACTGAAGGTTCTAGCCAGTCCATGAAAGGCAAGTAAAAGAAGTAGAAGGCATATGTAAGCTTGGAAAGGAAGAAATTAAACTAACTGTAGTCACAGGTAACATGATTGTTTACATAGAAAATTTCAGGGAGTCTACAAAACTAAAAGAATAAGTAAATTTAGCAAGGCTGCAGGATGTAAGGTCAATATGCAAAATACTATTTGTGTGTGTGTGTATTTCAATGGCTACAGATAATTCTATTTATGCTAACATCAGCCATTCAAAATTTTACTGGAGGCTTAGCCAGGGAAATTGGGTGAGAAAAAGAAAGAAAAGGAAATTGGAAAAGAAGAAGTAAAACTGTCTCTCATAGATAACATAATCTTTTACACAAAACCTTGGGCAGGCTCAGTGGCTTGTGCTTATAATCCCAGCATTTTGGAAGGCTGAAGCAGGAGAATTTTTTTTTTTTGAGACAGAGTTTTCGCTCTTGTTGCCCAGGCTGGAGTGCAATGGCACAATCTTGGCTCACCGCAACCTCCGCCTCCCGGATTCAAGCAATTCTCCTGTCTCAGCTTCCCAAGTAGCTGGGATTACAGGCGCCTGCCACTACGCCCAGCTAATTCTTTTGTATTTTTGGTGGAGATGGGGTTTCTGCGTGTTGGTCAGGCTGGTCTCGAACTCCTGACCTCAGGTGATCTGCCCACCTCGGCCTCCCAAAGTGCTGGGATTGCAGGTGTGAGCCACTGTGCCTGGCCTGAAGCAGGAGAATTGCTTGAGCCTGGGAGTTGGAGACCAGCCTGGGCAACAAAATGAGACCCCCATCTCTACAAAAAAGCAAACAAAAAATTAGCCAGGCTGGGTGCGATGGCTCACGCCTGTAATCCCAACATTCTGAGAGGCCAAAGCAGGCAGATGACTTGAGTCCAGGAGTTCAAGACCACCCTGGACAACATGGCAAAACCCTGTCTCTACTAAAAATACAAAAATTAGCCAGGCATGGTAGCACACACCTGTAATCCCAGCTTCTTGGAAGGCTAAGGCACAAGAATTGCTTGAACCTAGGTGGCAGAGGTTGCAGTGAGCCAAGATCACGCCACTGCACTCCAGCCTGGGCAACAGAGCAAGACTGTGTCTCAAAAAATTTGCCAGGTGTGGTGGCACACTCCTGTAGTCCGAGCTACTTGGGAGGGTGGGGTGGGAGGATCACTTGAACCCAGGAGGTCGAGGCTGCAGTGAGCCATGATTCCATGCCCTACACTCCAGCCTGGGCAACAGAGGGAGACGCTGTCTCAAAAAAAAAAAAGAAAAGAAAATATAAGACATTGCCCCCTAGGAACTATTAGAACTAATGAACAAATTCAGCAAGGTTGGAGGACACAAAACTGGTATACAGAAATCAAATGTAGTTTAGTTTTTTATTATGCATAATTTGTCCATGTTTATTTCAACCTATGTCTGTCAGTCTTCATTTTATATTGTACCATGTTTTAATTATAGTTCTATTTCCTTCTAATCCGACTCTGAAACCCTACTTTGTAGCTATGTATACACACACAAAAAATAGCTATATTCTTTCATTTTCACAACAGCATAATTCTTTTTCTGAAAATACTGGCGTGTAGCAGATATTAGCAGATAAATGTATTTTTCTAGGCTAGGCATGGTGGCTCACACTTGTAATACTAGCACTTTCTTTGTGAGGCCAAGGCAGGAGGATTGCTTGAGGCCAGGAGTTTTGAGACCAGCCTGGGCAACAATAGCAAGACTTAGTCTCTACAGAAAAAATGTGTGTGTGTGTGTGTATACATATATATTTATATATGTATTTATATTTATATATTCATATTTATATAAATATTTATATTTATATATTCATATTTATATAAATATTTATATTTATATATTCATATTTATATAAATATTTATATTTATATATGTAAAACCCTGCTTACCTAGAAAAAAGCCTGTAAGTACTGTTAAAAAAACAAAAATTGGATTTCTATACACTAGCAATGAACAATCCTAAAATGAAATTTAAAAACTATTTTCCATATAACAGCATCAAAAAAGAAATTCTTAGGAACAAATTATATGGGCAATAAGACAAAACCCCATCTCTACAAAAAAAGTTAGCTGGGCTTGATGACCTTCCTGTGCCTATAGTCCCAGCTACTTGGAGGCTGAGGTGGGAGAATCACTTGAGCCTGGGAGGTCAAACCTGCAGTGAGCTGTGATCACAACACTGCACTCCATCCAGCCTGGGCGACAGAGTGAGATCCTGTCTCAAAAATCAAATAAGTAAAAGACTTATATGCTGAAAAACTGTAAAACATTGTTGAAAGAAATTTAAGAAGACATAAATAAATGGAAAGACATGCCCTGTTTGTGGGTTGGAAGACTTAATGTTGTTAAGGAGGCAGTGGTCTCCAAATTGATTTCCAGATTCATTGCAATCCCCATCAAAATCCCACCTGCCTTTTCTGCAGAAGTTGACAAGTTGATTCTAAAAATCTTATAGAAATGCAAGGGACCCAGAATATCAAACAATTTTGGTATCTATGTAAAATCTGAGAAAATTTATGTTGTACTCTTTAATGAGCCCTACCTATTAGGAAATTTAGCATGAAACAGCTTAAAGAGAGGACTTTGACTTTTTAATATTTTTCTCTGTCCCAGTATGATCTGCAGGATTACTTTTTACCTTTGATTTGAATTTATTTATTTATTTATCTATTTATTTATTTATTTTTTTGAGACAGTCTCGCTCTGTCTCCCAGGCTGGAGTGCAGTGGTGCGGTCTCGGCTCACTGCAACCTCCGCCTCTGGGGTTCAAGCAATTTTCCTGCCTCAGCCTCCCAAGTAATTGGGACTACAGGCACGTGCAACCACACCCAGCTAATTTTTTGTATTTTTAGTAGAGACGGTTTCACCACGTTAGCCAGGATGGTCTCAATCTCCTGACCTCATGATCCACCCGCCAAGGCCTCCCAAAGTGCCTCCCAAAGTGCTGGGATTACAGGCGTGAGCCACCCACCTGGCCAATTTGAAATTTTTATAGGCTGCAAATATTAGCCTTTGTAATGTAAAAAAAACAAAGATGTTGTTGTCATTTAAAATATGCTAGGACAAGAACAGGCAGATCATTAGAATAAAAATGTAGCAACAAAACAGACTCAATTTTATCTAAGTTCCCAGTATTAAATATGGGAGAAAGGTATTACAAATAAGAAGCAAAAGAGGATTTAGTCAGTGATTTGGGACAACTGATACAGTTTTTGCAGTTTTAGGGGAGTAACTTAAAATTTTTTTTAAGTAGAAAAAAATGTAAAGTATTTATCAGACCTCAGGAAGGGCAGTGGTCTGTTTAGGCTTAAAAGTGATAGATAATGTTATAAAAGAAAGAATAGCCACCTTTATTAATGTAAACATTTAACTCATGTATGTTTAAAATTCTGTTACCAAAATTAGAAGTCAAATAGCACATTACTATTGGCAGTGAGGGAGGAAGCAGAAATGGCAACAGATATAATATATAAGAGCCTCAGATCATGAAAAAGAATTTCCAAGACCCTGGTAAACAGAGGCAAAGAATGTGGACAGACTGAGTCTCTAGAATGAGTCCTCTGGAACAGAGCTTTGTGCGGGCAGGTGGTATTCGTCTCTTTTATTCTCTGCTACATCCCCAGCATCTAGAACAGAACCTGGCAGAGTAAATGTTCAATAAATAATTGGGAAATAAAGAAAAATTAGTAAATTTATGACAAACATTCAACCTATGTAGTATTCAAAAGTCTCGATTTAAAACACTGAAAACAATAACACTTCTCCAGTATCAGAATAGCAAAGGTTTTTAAAGCTTCCAATTCCCAGTGTTAGCAGAGGTCCAGCAGAAAGGACGTCTACATAGTGCTGATACAAATACAGATAATGGGCCAGACGCAGTCGCTCACACCTGTAATCCCAGCATTTGGGAAGGCTGAGGCAGGTGGATCACTTGAGGTCAGGAGTTTGAGACCAGCCTGGCCAACATGGGAAAACCTATCTCTACTAAAAATACAAAAATTTGCCGGGTGTGGTGGCATGCACCTGTAATCCCAGCTACTCGGGAGGCTGAGGCAGGAGAATCGCTTGAACCCGGAAGGTAGAGGTTGCAGTGAGCCGAGATCGCACCATTGCCTCACACCCATAATCCCAACACTTTGAGAATCCAAGGCAGGAGGATCACTTGAGTCCAGGAGTTAGAGACCAGCCTGGGCAACATGGCGAAATCCCACCTCTACAAAAAAATACAAAAATTAAGCTGGATGTGGTGGCACATACCTGTAGTCCCAGCTACTGGGGGGCTGAGGCAGGAGGATCTCTTGAGGCTGGGATGCGGAGGTTACAGATCTGAGATCGTGCCACTGCACTCCAGCCTGGGTAACAGAGCAAGACCCCGTCTCAAGAAAAAAAAGAAAAAAAATGAAATACAGATAGTACTAAAGGAAATGACGTATTTTTAAGTATATTTTTAATCTCATGCATAGAAAATTAGTGAGTGGAATGGGGGCAGGGTGGCAACCAGAAAATAGATTTGTGGAGCACTTACTGTATGCCAGGTACTATGAAAAATTACATATTTTTATGTAATTTTCACAGTAACCCTGTGGTGTAAATATTAACTCTACAGATAAACTGAGGTTCAGAGAGTAATTTCCGTAGAATCACAGTTTCTGCATGATGATTATTATAGTTAAACTATGATTTATATGTCAGATGCTGCTGTAAAGATCTCGTGTGTATTAACTCACCTCCAGCAATCCTGTGGGATGCAGGTGCTGCTCTCTGCACTCAGTGGATTAAATGCCTAGGCAGAAATTAAATCATTTGCCTGCAAGCTGGTAAGTGGCTCAGCCATGGTGCAGACCAGTCTCTTGGCTGCCAGGCCGGCACTCCAGGTCCCACGCCCAGGGATGCTCCGCTTAGTACCATGTCACTGCCCTTGTATGTTCTAGGAGGCTCACAGTGATTTGACTGGGGGACTGTGAGTGATTGGGTGTCTTTTATTCTCTGTACTATGTCTTCTCTTATGGTTATGTATTATTAATTACTATTTAAAACTATTGTCTACATCCTAAAAATCAAACTAAAATTTGAAATAAATTATTTGGAAAAACTTTGCAGGGAGCTTCAGAAGTAAAAAACAAAAACTCGGCCACTGTATGGAAGTTGTGTCATACTTGTCTACTACTACTTTAGCTTTCCATTTCCTAGAAATGTGTTTGCACTGTGATCATCAAAATAGAACTGTGCAGTACTTAAAATGTAAGAATCTGCAAAAACAAAACTACAGAACAAATTCCGAAGGTGACCTGAGAAGACCAAATGGATAAGCTAATACATCCAGGTGTCTCCGATTATATTATGATAAAGTGTAGGGAGGTTGAACGTTACATAAATACCACTGGATATTTTTCTTTGTTAGATGTGGCCCCATGGTATTGGATGCTTTAATCAAGATTAAGAATGAAGTTGACTCTACTTTGACCTTCCGAAGATCATGCAGAGAAGGTGAGCATTTCATTCCTGTTGGGCTCCAGATACTTGTGGTCTTCCAAAGAGGCTTGGGCTGGCCAAAGCTGATAGAGACATCTGGAAAACAGCTGCAGCTCTCTGCTGGGTGAACTTGCTGTGCAACCTAATTCCTTTTCTTGGGTAAATGCATCCAAAATTCTAACCATGGTGCAAGTTCTGGTTTCTGAGTTTACTTTCCTTCAGGAGCATTCTATCCTGTGGTTACTGCATCTGGCGGTCCCTGTGAGCTGCTCCACGCTTCAAGGCCTAGCTAGGACCTGCTGGCTGGCACCTTCCATGCTGCTGAGCTCTTTTATTAAGGGAGCAGTGGAGAGTTTCTGTCTGGCACTTATGCTTGTCCAGCAGGGGAGATGTGTGAGTCTCCCTCAGCTCCCAGCATGACATGTCCTTGGTAGCTGTGTTCTGGATTGGCTGGTACAGTGTCTCCCTCAGCATGTGGTTACTTGTGCTGCTGGTGCCACATGAGCCCATTTGAGGCAGTGTGCAGACTAACATTTTCTACATGAATAGCAATGTATTCATTTTCTGTATTAGAAAAATATAATTACTGCCGGGTGCGGTGGCTCACACCTGTAATCCCAGCACTTTGGGAGGCCGAGGCGGGTGGATCAGCTGGCGTCAGGAGTTCGAGATCAACCTGGCCAACATGGTGAAACCTTGTCTCTACTAAAAATACAAAAATTAGCCGGGCGTGATAGCGGACGCCTGTAATCCTGGCTACTCGGGAGGCTGAGGCAGGAACCCGGGAGGTGGAGTTTGCAGTGAGCCAAGATCACGCCACTGCACTCCAGCCTGGGCAATAGAGCGAGACAGTCTCAAAAAAAAAAAAAAGAAAAATATAATTACTAATGATGGTATAATAGGGATATAAGTGGTTTTTTAATGTGAATTTAAGCAAAACAAGTTAAAGAAAACCCAAGAGATACTTTAAAGAAAGTTGATTCAGGTGGTTCTCAGGTATAGCAAAAATTGCACAGGGTGCAGTGAAGACCGACTGGCCTGATGTCCGTGGAGCCAGACTGTGTGCCCGGCTCTGTTCTGTGCACTGGACATGAGGTAGATGACTGTGCTTATTATCTACCTTCAATTTAAAGGTGAGGCCCAGAGAGGGTAATGGACTTCCACAAGGACACATAGAGAGTGACTTGAGAGCCGGGAGTCAGCCAAAGCTGTCAGACTCCAGACTCCAGATCTGCTCTCTCAGGCACTGACTTGGCTTGGAACACCTGGGATAAAACAAAAGCAGAGAGTAGCTTGATTCTGTGAGGACACTGAGCTTTTTTCTAAGAAAACCTTAAAAAAAAAGGAAAAGCCAGTATTGATACCGGCCCATGGCTTTTTATCTGTTCAGCTGTACATTTCAAGCATTTCAAGTCTTTTAAGACATCTGTTTTGATTCAGCTAATCTTATTTAGCGTTGCAAATGCTGATGGATATTATGATAGTTCGGCTGAGTCCTGCTGTTCAGGGAACATTCTGCGGCAGTTAAACAGCAGCCTTCCCCATTAAGTCCTGGCAACACAGGAAAGGTAGATGCTTTTCAGTAACCTTTCCCTGTAGGACTCTTTCAGAACCAAGAACATAAGGTGTGACCCATCTGGACTAAAAAAAATAAAGCAGAATTGTATCAATTGCTACTCCTTTTTATTCCCATCTTGTTTTTCTTATTTTTTTTTTAATTCCCATCTTGTAAGAGAATTCCCAGGGAGCCTTTTTGAGAGAAAGTTCATTGGATTTATTTTTTTAATTTTTATGCCATTTCTTGTAAAAGCAAACTGCTCTAGTTGGATGCCAGGTATACATAAATGTATTGATAATATCCAGTCTCTTGGGGAACTCTAGGAGTATTTGCTTAAGACACATCTTTGGGTTCCCTTACACTCTTTCTAAGATTTACAGGAGAAGGAGAGTCTTACTGTCTTTTCTAGTCTTATGAAAGTGATAACCGACTGGGCGCAGTGGCTCACGCCTGTGATCCCAGTACTTTGGGAGGTCTAGGTGGTAGGCTAGCTTGAGGCTAGGAGTTTAAGACCAGCCTGGGAAACATAGACTCCCTTTCCATTAAAAAAAAAAAAAAAAAAGGTGAGGCCAGGCATTCAGAGGCCGAGGCGGGCAGATCACAAGGTCAGAGTTCGAGACCAGCCTGACCAACGTGGTAAAACCCCGTCTCTACTAAAAATACAAAAATTAGCCAGGTGTGGTGGCGGGCGTCTATAATCCCAGCTACTCAGGAGGCTGAGGCAGGAGAATCACTTGAACCCGGGAGGCAGAGGTTGCAGTAAGCCGAGATCGTGCCACTGCACTCCAGCCTGGGCGACAGAGCAAGACTCCATCTAAAAAAAAAAAAAGATGATAACCAGTGCAACTTTCTCAAGCAATCAGGTTTCTCTGACCTAATGATCTTCAAAAAACAGCTTCAGAGGACTGGCACTAGAGGTTTAGAGTACATAATCATTTTTAAATTCCAAAACACCCAGGAAATTTCCATATACAGGAAGTAGGTCCAGGCTAAGAAAATTCTCATGTCGGGGTCCTGGGTCAGCACGTTTTTTGTTTAGTTTGCTTTGCTTTGCCTCAGTTTCATATTAGTTCATTCTTCTCCTCTTTGGAAAGTCCATGCTGAGTCAGCTTTTGTGGATTTCATAGCCCCAGGGTACTATGCTGCGTATTTTATGAAGACAATAGAAGAAGCCTTACCTCTGTCAAGTGTAGTGGCTCAGGCCTGTAATCCCAACACAGTGGGAGGCAAAGGCAGAAGGATTACTTGAGGCCGTGAGTTAGAGACCAGCCTGGGCAATATAGTGAGACACCTGCTCTACAAAAAACAATTATTTTTTTCTTTTTTTTGAGATGGAATCTTGCTCTGTCACCCAGGCTGGAGTGCAGTGGCGCGATCTCTGCTCACTGCAACCTTCTCCTCCTCAGTTCAAATGATTCTCCCGCCTCACCCTCCTGAGTAGCTGGGATTACAGGCACCCACCACGACTTATATTTTTAGTAGAGACAGGGGGTTACCATGTTGGCCAAACTGGTCTCGAACTCCTGACCTCAAGTGATCTGCCCACCTCAGCCTCCCAAAGTGCTGGGATTCCAGGTGTGAGCCACTTCACCCAACCTACAAAGAATTTTTTTGAATTCGCCGCACATGGCGGCATGTGCCTGTAGTCCCAACTACTCAGGAGGCTGTGGTGGGAGGATCGCTTGAGCCCAGAAGTTTGAGGCTAAAGTGAGCTACAGTGAGCTATGACTCCACCACTGTACTTCAGCCTGGGTGACACAGCAAGACTCAGCCAAGAAAAAAAAAGAAGAAGAGCTATCTCTTAATAATCTGTATCCAGGTCACTTCAACCTTAAGATGACCAAGACAATGTTGATTTACTTTACTTTTGGGTATTGTGTCTGTTAGATTTGTGTTCAAATAACAGTGGCTTTAAAAAATCTAGGTTTCCAGGCGTGAGCCACCACACCCACCCCTACTCAGGAGGCTGAGGCAGGAGAATCACTTGAACTGGGGAGGCGGAGGTTGCAGTGAGCCAAGATCGCGGCATTGCACTCCAGCCTGGGCAACAAGAGCAAAACTCCTTCTCAAAGAAAAAAAAAAAAAATAGGCTTGACGGGTGTGTGGTGGCCCAGACCTGTAATCCCAGTGCTTCGGGAGGCCAAGGCAGGCAGATTACTTGAGCCCAGCAGTTCAAGCCCAGCCTGGGCAACATAACAAAACCCTGTCTCTGCAAGTCTCGTCTCTACAAAAAATACCAGAAAATTAGCTGGGTGTGGTGGGCTACTTCTGTAGTCCCAGCTACTTAGGAGGCTGAGGTGGGAGGATCACTTGAGCTCAGGCATTGAGGACTGCAGTGAGCTGTGATTGCACCACTGCACTCCAGCCTGGGTGACAGAGTGAGACCCTTTCTTTAAAAAAAAAAAAAAAAAAAAAAAAAAAAACAGGCTGATTTTTCTTCAAAACACGTGACACATGGAGCTAGAACTGCTGTGGAAACTCCATGGTGCCAGCAGCGCCCAGGCCTCTGGCCTCCTCCAGTGCCATACTTGGCATGTGGCTTCTAACCTCAAGGTTGCCACATGGTCATAGAGTAGTTTTTGGAACTCAAGCCATTAGAACCACATTCGAGGCAGGAAGAAGGAAGGAAGGGAGAAAAGCCAACAGGCACCTCTGTCAGAGGAATGTTGCATGTCAGTGCTGCCCCTGATGGCACAGCAAGGAGGATCCAGAAGAAAGTATTTGGGGCAGGACTGATTCCGGATATGGGTGAGGATGTGTTAAATGTGTGTCTCTTTCAGGCATCTGTGGCTCTTGTGCAATGAACATCAATGGAGGCAACACTCTAGCTTGCACCCGAAGGATTGACACCAACCTCAATAAGGTCTCAAAAATCTACCCTCTTCCACACATGTATGTGATAAAGGATCTTGTTCCCGTGAGTTTCTGCATCTCTCTGGTTTTGTTTTTATTTGCATGGGGGGCAGTGCTATGTGTGTTACGCTATTAGTTTTTCAGGGCAGGATTTGTTTGAGTATTTAAGGCTCCTCTTCTAGTCAGATAGTAAATAGATGGGACTGTTTCCTATATTATGGCAGGAGGAGGACCACAGTGTCACTGAGAGATTAGGAAAATCTCCAGATCTGAGACAGTGTGGCCAGAGTTTAATTAAAGAATTTGAATGGCAGAAGATAAACGCCTAGAAAATCCTCCAGCAGCTCATTTGGTGAGGTTTGTTTGAGAATAATGGGGCACAGAATTTTAGAATTGGAACATTCCCAGAAATGAATAATTTGGCCATAACTACAAAGAAATCATGTGGAAAATGCCAGTTGGGAAAGCAACAGCTGTTTATGAGTCCCACTTTAATTTCTACCTCCCTATATTTGAACACCTTTGCTGACGTGGTGTTTTCAAGGGCAGAAAGGACTGTGGGATTGGCAGGTTTCCCAAGTAGGTGAGGGAGAGGTTTCCTAACCATGCTTAACATTGTGACCATTTTTCCTTTTGTAATCTTTGCATATATTCATGACAAAGGAAAAGAGTCTGGCTTCTGCCTGGCATAGAGTGGACGAGTAGTCAGTGTCCAAGAAATGGGGTAAATAAAGCTGAGGTGATGATGGAATCTGATCCTTTTCTTCTTCTTCTTCTTCTTCTTCCTCTTAACCACAGGATTTGAGCAACTTCTATGCACAGTACAAATCCATTGAGCCTTATTTGAAGAAGAAGGATGAATCTCAGGAAGGCAAGCAGCAGTATCTGCAGTCCATAGAAGAGCGTGAGAAACTGGTCATTAGTCCCTATTTATTGTTTCAATCTGAAGAATTTATTGCAAAGATGATTGCCAGGAGTGTGGCTTGGCAGGGAACATAAGCTGATGCAAGCCATTTAGTGTATTCTGGAGAGGAACTGGCACAAGGGTGGGGCACTCATCCTCTTAGGGCCGGGTGAGTAGTGTGAACCCGTGAATGGCCCAGAGTGGACCAAGGAGCTAGAGCCCTGTGCCCCGCCTGCAGGGGCGGGTGGTTGCTGTGTGGCTACTCCATCTTTTTCAAAAGAAACCAGTATGTAAATTGCCTGGGCTTTAAAAAGTGACCACTAAGTCAGAACTGTTCCCTCACTGGGGGCAAAATGAAACACATATGCTGGCCAGTTGTAACTACCACCGTCCTGCTTTACAAATGGGAGTGAAATGTTAATGGCAAAACAGAGTCATCGATATTCTTTCCTGACACCATACTTCTGGTGATCTGTGGGGTGGGATTATTCCTGGCCTGCTCACTCTCTGGGAGTTGCCATTCCTGTGTACAAGCTGTAAAATCTTAAAGCGGAGGCATCATTATCAAGTTTTCAGTCTTTCTTCTTCTACACTACTTCTACTCCTCTGCGAAGAAGTCTTCTCTGATTTGCATACTCCCTGCATACTTGTGGACGTGAGGTAGGAAGGGGACCAAATGGAGACAGAGCCCCACCTGCAGGTCTGCACAGGGCCAAGGGCAATGGCTGTGTCTTCTTCCTTTCTGGATCCCTAGGCCCTGGCGCATGTTATTTTATCCATAAATATTAGTTATGTAAATACTGTAAAAATATATATAAATTTTTTAAAAGGCCAGATGCAGTGGTGCATTCTGATAGTCCCAGCTACTCAGGAGGCTGAGGTAGGAGGATCACCTGAGCCCAGGAGTTTGAGAGTCTGAGAGTTTGAGGCCAGCCCGGGCAACATAGCCCAGGTTTTGTCTCTAAAACATATACATATATGTGAATATATGAAAAGTATCAGTTGTATGAATGAATAAATTAATTCTACCTTTTGAGACTTGGTAAATATTTAGCATCCTCTCCTGTTGCCCATAAAACGTTAAGAAAGGGGAGTCCGGCCAGGTGCAGTGGCTCATCTGTAATCCCAGCACTTAGGGAGGCCGAGGTGGGCGGATCACTTGAGGTCAGTTGTTCGAGACCAGCCTGGCCAACGTGATAAAACCCCATCTTTACTGAAAATACAAAAATTAGCTGAGTGTGGTGGCTCACACCTATAATCCCAGCTACTCAGGAGGCCAAGGCAGGAGAATCTCTTGAACCCGGGAGGTGGAGGTTTCAGTGAGCCAAGGTTGTGCCACTGTACTTCAGCCTGGGCAACAGAGCAAGACTCCGTCTCAAAGAAAAAAAGAAAAGAGAAAAAGGGGAGTCCTAGTAAGTGTGCCCAGTCTGTCACCATCAAGATAGTGAGGGTCAGCACAGTGGCCTGCAAGTCAGAGTAAGCCTGGGATGAGACTTCAGAGCTGCTCTTCTCAGACTGCAGCTCTGCTCCTCAGTTTCTACCTCCCAGAGTCTTGTGCATCCCAGAGTCCAGGCTGAACCGGGCCCTCTGGCCCAGCGAGTCCTTTGCATTCCTAGGCAAGGCTGGTGCGTAGCTAGTGAACATCTCCCTGATGTGGTATTATTAGGGATTGAAGAGTTCCCCTGAGCATGTTTGGTTTTCTAGATACAAGTTGAGTATTCCTTATCCTAAATGCTTGGGTTTCAGTGTTTGGGGTTTCATATGTTTTCAGATTTTGGAATATTTGCCTTACACTTACTAGTTGAGCACCCCAAATCCGAAATCTGAAATCCATGCTCCAGTGAACATTTCCTTTGAGCAGCATATTGGTGCTCAAAAAGTTTCAGATTTTGGAACATTTTGGATTTCAGATTTTCAGATTTGGGATGCCCAACCTGTAATAGAAATTTACTCATTTACTCATTTACATACCAAACATTTAACATTTTTTGGCTTCCTTAAATTAGTATGCTGAACTTAATAAATAATTGGAAAATGTGGAGAAATTTATGTATGTATTTATTTTTAATTGGGCAGCCCCCAAACCAAAATAGGTTCAGAGAGGCTCCATCATTTTTTAAATAAGCTATAATTTTCAGCCTGGGGAACATAGGGCGACCCTGTCTCTACAAAAACTTTAAAACTTAGCCAGGCATGGTGGTATGCACCTATAGTCCCAGCTACTCAGGAGGCTGAGATGGGAGGATTGCTTGAGCACAAGAGTTCCAGGCTGCAGTGAACTGTGATTGTGCCACTGCACTCCAGCCAGGGGCACACAGCAAGACCCTGTCTCAAAAAAAAAAAAAAAAAGAATTTATAATTCCACCACCAAAACATAATCTCTGTTAATATTTATAGTTTCCTTTGTTTTTTGTTTATTACATTATATTTTTATGTAGCTGGGATCAAAATGTAAATATGCTTTTATATCCTGCTTTTTTCACTTATGTTATTGTGAGCATTTTCTTCATATTCTTAAAATTGTTCATAAGCATTAACTTACACTTTGCTTTCTACTGCTTCAGATGTATGCACCATGCGCCATAAAACCATTTCACTGTTGCTGGACAATGAAATTGTTTCCAATTTTTTACTGTTAGAAATAAGGCTAGATGAACATCTTTATCCTTCAAGTTCTGCCCAAAACATTCTAATTTCTTATTACAGATTTTTCTAGGAGTGGGTTAAAGAATATGACTATTCTTAAGGCTCTTAATCCTGTGACCTTATGCCTTCTAGACCAGTGGGGCCAGTTGACACTCCCACCAGCTGTCTGGACATAACATAGATTTGGTTGAAGACTCATGGTTCAATCACAACCATCAGTTCTGTCTCATCTGTTCTCAACTGTCACTTCAGGTGTCAGTGGGCCCCTTTCATTTTGCTGTTTTTAATCCATTTCTGTTGTTTCCAAACTCAGAAAGTCCGGTTTGTGTTTGGGACTTGTTGGGCAGATTGACCCAGTGTGGCAGGTGTGAAAGTGCAGGAAGCCAGAGCCAGCTGCCGGGGCCACATCCTGGTTCTGCTGCCTATAGTGGCACGTCCCTGGGCACATGGCCTAACTCACTCTCCTCGCCTTGGTTCCTTACCTGTAAGTGGAACTTGCTGGAGTCACCTCACAGGATTACTGTGATGATCAGTTAAGGAAAGCGTGTAAGGCGCAGGGCCTCCGTCAGGATTGGCAGTGGCAGTCACTGGGGATGATGTTGATGTTCCCAGTGAAAACCTGAGGGCCCTTCTGCTGAGCCCAGGGCAGAAGCAGCTACAGACTCTTGCTGCTTCAGCCCCTAGGCTTTTGAATCTCTCCCGTCTTGACCTCATTCCAGGAAGCTGGAATTTATGGGAGTTGTTTTTGTGTTCTTGTTTTCTATTTCTTTTTTAGACAAGTGAGAGGTTCTTGTTTATTAAAGGGAAAGTGCACTATACGTGGATTTAAGAACCCTGGGCAGATGTTTACATTTCACTTGCAAGATCTTTATTAATCTGCTAAATATCTGCAAATCACCCCTTGGATTTTGCTAAGAAAATTCACATGCAAGTAGGCACTTTGTTCATGCACTGACCCCAAAGGTAACATTTAATCAGCTGAAGACATAGCAGAGTCTCTCCCGTCACAAGCTCCTGCCTCTCTTTTCTCCCCATACAGGACGGGCTCTACGAGTGCATTCTCTGTGCCTGCTGTAGCACCAGCTGCCCCAGCTACTGGTGGAACGGAGACAAATATCTGGGGCCTGCAGTTCTTATGCAGGTGAGGTGCTCCTTAATTGCTTTAAGAGAAATTGAAACTCAAGCATCCAGAAGTCCAAGAGGACAATAGATTGCTGTAAGCCAGCCATTCTGAGGGGCCTGGTTTCCTTCATTGCCATCCAGTCCAAACAGGGTAATTGGTTGCATTGTATTCACTTGCTTTCGGTAAATCTGGGGCCTTGTCTGCAAATTGCCTTTGTTTCAGTGCAGTGAGGGTCACCCCAAAGGGGTGCAAACCATGCCTTGCAGATGTTTAAAATGTATTTCCGTTTGCCTGGTGGTCAGAGGCTCCCCCTCTCCCTCTCATAGGATTTGTAACATAAGACTTGTAGCGAGCAAGCAGGGGAGAAAGCAGTGTCTTTGAAGGGCAGCTGCCCAGCTATGAGATTGGAAGCTGTTTCCCAGCTAATGAAAGCCTGGATTTAGGGGTTGCTTAGAAAGAAAATAGTATTGATGTTCACTGCAAAGAAAGTCACTGTCTTTGTTCCCAGAAAGCTTGTGCTTTTTTAGATACGTGCTTTTCACAGACTCTAGGCAACTCAAAAACCAACTTCTCTTTCTCATTTTCCCACAAAAAGAGAAGTTACAGGTTTGTGTGACCACATGAGCAATATTGATTCCCAGCCATGTGAAGATTGGATAATGAAGTACACTCATACTTGTCACTTTTGCCAGCTGCTCCGAGTTGGGGATGTAGAGGTCCTCTAAGTAACACTGCTAGAGCAGGCCTATGGTCATGTGATTAACTCGTTTCAGCCTGCTGATCTCAGGCTGCTGAGAGCGCTGTGTAAGTTCAAAGAATCATTAAGTGGGACAAATACTATCTGTAGACAGGTCTGTTAAATCATTCCTTTACTCAGAGACAGCAAGTCCAGCATGGGTAGGTGCCATGAAGACAGATAAGAGTTATATGATACAGTCCCTGCCTTCACCAAATTATAAGCTGGGTAGGAAGCTATTGAGCAATGTGAAATAATTAGGAGATGATACCCAGTGTGTATAATTAAGCACCCGGGTACCAGGTGCAGTATGGATCAAAGGTTTGCAGGGACCATTAATCAAGTGAAGCTACAAGTGTTGGGAACCTTTCCTTGAAAGATGGACAAGAATTAAAGAGTATGGAGATGAGGCATCTAAGCTGAGTGAATTCCCTTTCCTCTGCACTCCCAGAGCTTTGAGTTGAGCCAGGGTGCCGCTCTGGCCTGTTGATTGGCAGCTCAGCTAATCATCCCTGGTTTTCCAGGCCTATCGCTGGATGATTGACTCCAGAGATGACTTCACAGAGGAGCGCCTGGCCAAGCTGCAGGACCCATTCTCTCTATACCGCTGCCACACCATCATGAACTGCACAAGGACCTGTCCTAAGGTACGTGGGGCTGGTGACCCTCAGCTCTGCCTCAGAGCTGACACGCCAGAAGTAGCATGTGCTCACAAAGAGGTGATTGGCAGAGAGCAACCCTAGTCATTTGAGAAGGAAAGGGACCAGCATATGCCTGTCCTTTCAGTGTGAGCCTAGGGGCTAGTTTGGCTCTTAGTTGCAAGGAGTAGACTGACTCGGGCCACCTCAGGAGCAGGCTTTATTTGTAGGCTACACAGGGACATTGTGGGAGTTAAGGATGCACAGGAACCCATGAGCAGGTACCTGCGTTCAACCTTCCCAGGAAACAGAAAGCGAAAGCCGTTGGAACGTGGGCAGCTGTGAGGACTTCATTTCTTCTCCATCTTTCTCGCGATGTCAGCTGCTAATCTGCTCTGCTCTCTAGCAGCCTGTTCTTTCCTTCGGCTCTGTGGAGGTTTTCTCTGACTCAAAGCTCTGGCTTTCGTTCCTCTTCCTGCTCGCATTTGCTGCTGCTTTTGGCTCACTCTGGCCTGGATTTTGCCTCCCAGCACACTTCCAGCTTCAGCCACCCGCCTGCCTCCCAGCACTTCTCAGCACAGTTTCCTGAGAGGGTGTCGCATTGGCCCAGCTCACCTTCTCATGCCTGCACATCAGAGGCCACAGCTGGCTACAGACCGGCTGCCCTTTGGCCAGGTTCTGTCTCAGTCTGTTTTGTGGTACTATCACAGAATTTCAGACTGGGTAATTTTATAAAGAAGTTTATTTGACGCACAGCTCTAGAGGCTGGCGCCAGCATCTAACAAGAACCTTCGTGCTGTATTACCCCATGGCAAAAGGCAGAAGGGCAAGAGAAAGGGAGCCCAAGCTCAGCCTTTTTTTTTTTTGGAGACAGAGTTTCGCTCTTGTTGCCCAGGCTGGAGTGCAATGGCACGATCGATCTCAGCTCACCACAACCTCCGCCTCCCAGGTTCAAGTGATTCTCCTGCATTCGCCTCCCGAGTAGCTGGGATTACAGGCAGGCACCACTCATGCCTGGCTAATTTTGTATTTTTAGTAGAGATAGGGTTTCTCTATGTTGGTCAGGCTGGTCTCGAACTCCCGACCTCAGGTGATCCACCCACCTTGGCCTCCCAAAGTGCTGGGATTACAGGCGTGAGCCACCGCGACCGGCCCCTCTCATCTGTTTTTTTTAAAAGACAGGGTCTCACTGTGTTGCCCAGGCTGGGGTGCAGTGGCGCAATCATAGCTCACTGCAGCCTGGAACTGCTGGCCTTAAGTGATCCTCCTACCTCCTGAGTAGCTGGGACTACAGGCACACACCACCACACCTGACTAATCCAAACTCATCCTTTTATCAGGAACTTACTCCTATGATAATGGCAATCCATTTGTGAGGGCAGAGCCTTCATAATCTAATCACTTCTTAAAGGTCCCACCTCTCAATACTGTTGCATTGGGGATTAGGTTTTCAACACATGAGCTTTTGGGGACACATTCAAACCATAGCAGGTGTCAGCCCTGGTCCAGTCAGCCTTGCCCAGTGGGCAGGGAAGGGCTAGGGCTGTGTGGTTCAGAACACGGCTGCCCTCCGAGCAAAGACTGTGGGTGATTTCACTCAAAAGTTGCAGTGAGTCAGTGGGCGGCAAGGTGGAAAACTGTAGGGTGGCCAGTTAGCCGTAAAAAAAGATCACACTGTGTGTTTGAAAACATGAAATCCAAGCTGTAGAATTCACTTATTTTTTGCCTGGAAACCCTCTGTGTTTCCAGTGGCCTCGCTGGGGGAGCCCACAGGCTTCAGCTCCCTATTGCCTGGGCTTCCATCTGGGTCCTGTCCCCAGGACTGTGGTTTACCATGATTGTGCCTGTGAATAGCTACTGACCTCTGAGGCAAGTTATGCTATAAAAGTGCTTGGAACAGTGCCTGGCACATAGTAAGCACCCAATAAATGTCACCTTATGTTATTTTTTAAAAAAACATGAGTACTGGGCTTGTTTGAGACAGAGATAGCATCTTCAGTGGTGGGGCCTGGCTGTGTGTTTCTTCAGAAGCTCTGCGAGTGACTCTAAGGTGCATTCCTGGTCACAAACCTGTGCATGGAGGGGATGGGTGCAGCAGACAACTGAGACAGCCAAGAACAGGTTCTCTGTGCCTTGCCCTCCCTTCTGTAAAACAGGGCTGGAAGTTGGGACTGAGACATAGACATAGGCCGATCATGAAACTGGAAGGGACTTGAAAACCATCAAGTTTAATCCCCTTATACAGATGGGGAAATTGAGCCCCAGGTGGGGAGGGGAGTGACTCGCCCCAGATCACTGTCAGGTCAGTGGGAAGGTAGGACTAGAGTTAGGCCGTCTGCCTCCCCATCCAGTGCTCTTTCTTCCTGCATGGATTGGGTATGTACCAACCTTCTAAGTCTAAACACCCTTACTGACCCTGTGGGGACCGGAAATACACAGGTAGATCCAGATTCAGAAGGATATACAGTGAAAATTCTCCCTCCCACTCCACCCAGCCACCTCCCTAGAAGTCAGATTCTTGTGTGAACTTCAGAGGTGTTTTATGCTGCACACAAATGCATATGTGTCCTCTTCTGTCTTTCTTATATCACATTTATCTGTATTTTTTCACCCACTATATTTTGGAGATTATCCCATGTTGGTATATGAAGAGTGTCTTTTTGACCAGCCTGGACAACATAGTGAGATCCCATCTCTACAAACAAAATTTTTTTTAATTAGCCAGGTGTGGTGGCACGCACCTGTAGTTTCAGTTACTTGAGAGGCTGAGGCCGGAGGATCACTTGAGCCAGGTGTTCCAGGCCACAGTGAACTATGATCACACTTCAGCCTGGATGACAGAGCAAGACCCTGTCAAAAAAATATATATTTTTTCTTTCTCTTCTTCTCTCAAGATCTCTTTTCTTTCTTTCCTTTTCTTCTTTCTTTCCACAACACTTTTTTAGGGGGGTAGACTTATCCTTCTAAAATGAGGGGAACCTTCACTAACGTCAGATGAGTACTTGTCTCATTTTACCAAGTACTTGCTTGGTAAAAGCAAGTACTTGGTAAAGTACTTCCTACTTTCTACTTCAATGAAGCTGGCATTCAGTGGGTTTAATTATTGTGCCTCCTGCAAAGCAGATGTTAACAGCTGTAGGGGCAAACTGCAGCTAATACCAATGGTATTGGCCAGTTGAAATCATCATGGTTTTACAAAGGGTTAATAGAGAGGGTAGTTTCTTCCACATACTTTTGAGAGCTGGTATATGCTGATTTCTGCTGCTGCCTATTTAATAATGATGATGTAAAAGATTTAGAGATGTCTGGCTGATTTTGACATTGGCCTGTAGTCCTAGAAGAGACACTACCCTGAGTGTCTTTGAGCAGTCAGAGAGTGCACCTCTGCCCTGGGCCTGTTTACCTGTTAGAGTGAGCCACACAAGAAGGAATTCAACGTGGCAGAGCTCTTGCCAGAGGGAGCTGACCATCTTCAAATGTTAAAAAAGGTAGACAGAAGAGAGCCCTTAGCCCAACCCCTATGGTTTTGAGGGACTTGATTTGCATTCACCTTGCTTGGACACTGAACCAGCTGAGGAAGGAGTTTCACCCAAGATTGTGGGTTTTCCCTTTCAGTTTCAGTTATCATTTGTTATTGATTCTTTTCTCTTTTTTCAAGGGTCTGAATCCAGGGAAAGCTATTGCAGAGATCAAGAAAATGATGGCAACCTATAAGGAGAAGAAAGCTTCAGTTTAACTGTTTCCATGCTAAACATGATTTATAACCAGCTCAGAGCTGAACATAATTTATATCTAATTTGAGTTCCTTTAAAGATCTTGGTTTTCCATGAATACAGCATGTATAATAAAAATTTTAAGAAATAAATGTTATTCTACTTTATTAACAAAAAAAAAAGAACCTGTTCCTTTACTTGCCGCAGGGGAATGTGAAGGTGCCAGGAGTCCTTGTCCTTGGAGAGATGGACAGGGCTTCAGAGCTGAGCGGGGGTGGGGGTACCCTAGCTGGAAGGAGGTGATGAGCCGTGGAACTGACATCAGCAGGGCCTGCAGCTTGTTCCCAGCTTTGCCACTCACCAGCTAGACAACCTTGGACAAGTTCCTTCACCTCTTTGCTGCTCCATTCGCCCATCTGTAAGATGGGATCCATAATTGTGCCTACTTCATTCATCTGGTATGAGAATGCCTGGCACTTATTCTGAACACTCAGTTAGTGTTAGTGTTCTGTATCTTCCCAGTTTCTATAGTTTTCAGTACCAGAATTACTGAAAACCAAATCTTGGTAAGTCTTTGGATACGTCGGTGAGGCCAGGTTTGAGATTCCTCCAGCACAGAGCAATGACCCTGGTCAGTTGTGAATCCAGTTAGTTCCACAAATGACCTCGTGGGGCCTCTCACTGCAAACATCAACTCCACAGCACTGCTGCCTTGGCTGGCATGCTCACTGCACAGCCGGGCGTGGTGGCTCACGCCTGTAATCCCAGCACTTTGGGAGGCTGAGGCGGGAGGATCATTTGAGGTGAGGAGTTCAAGACCAGCCTGGCCAACGTGGTGAAACCCCGTCTCTACTAAAAATACAAAAATTAGCTGGGCAGTGGGTGTGCGTGCCTGTAATCCCAGCTACTTGGGAGGCTGAGGCAGGAGAATCACTTGAGCCTGGGAGGTGGAGGTTGCGGTGACCGAGATCACACCGCTGCACTCCAGTGTGAGCAACAGAGTGAGACCCTGTCTCCACAAAACAAAAAAGCAATGCAAAAAAGGAGAAAGGGGGAAAGTAAAAGTGGAAGCTCCTCCAAACTCATCCCGTTGATAGCTTAGACATTTCCTTCCACACTCTACGTTATTACAGTTATGCAGCATATATAAAACTTTCTCCCTTCAAAAGTAAGGTACCATAGAGCCAGGAGCTGTGGCGTGTGCCCCTAATCCAGCTACTCAGGAGGCTGGGGTGGGAGCATCACGTGAGCCCAAGAGGTCGGGGCTATGGTTTGCCATGATTGCGCCTGTGAATAGTTACTGCGCTCCAGCCTGGGCAACATAGTGAGACCCCATTCCTTTAAAAAAAAAAAAAAAAAAAGCCTGGAACAGTGGCTTCTAGCACTTTTGGGAAGCCAAGGTGGGAGGATTGCTTGAGGCCAGGACTTCAAGATCAACCTGGCCAACATAGTGAGACCCTGTCTCTTTTTTTTCTTAACATACCAAAAAAGATTTTAAAAATAAAGGGGTATCCTATAGTCTGCCAGCAGCTATTTTTTTTTTTTTTTTGAGACGGAGTCCCAAAAAAAAAACTGCACTCCGCCTCCCGGGTTCACGCCATTCTCCTGCCTCAGCCTCCCAAGTAGCTGGGCCTACAGGCGCCCGCCACTATGCCTGGCTAATTTTTTTGTATTTTTAGTAGAGACGGGGTTTCACCGTGTTAGCCAGGATGGTCTTGATCTCCTGAACTCGTCATCCGCCCGTCTCAGCCTCCCAAAGTGCTGGGATTACAGGTGTGAGCCACTGCGCCCGGCCTCTATTTTTACCTCACAATGTAGAAGGGATTTCAGTGCTAATAAAGACCTACCTTTTTGTTGTTGTTGTTTTGTTGTGTGTTTTTTTTTTTTTTTTTTTTTTGAGACAGAGTCTCGCTCTGTCGTCCAGGCTGGAGTGTGGTGGCGCGATCTCGGCTCACTGCAGGCTCCGCCTCCTGGGTTCACGTCATTCTCCTGCCTCAGCCTCCAGAGCAGCTGGGACTACAGGGGCCCGCCACCACGCCCGGCTAATTTTTTGTATTTTTAGTAGAGATAGGGTTTCACCGTGTTAGCCAGGATGGTCTCGATCTCCTGACCTCGTGATCCGCCCGCCTCGGCCTCCCAAAGTGCTGGGATTACAGGCATGAGCCACCGTGCCCAGCCAAGACCTCCCTTATCTGTGTGTGTGTGTATGTAAAAATTTTTGGAACTCCTGCTTAAGAGCACTGTGGCATGGGTGTACCCTTATTTAACCATTCCCCTACTAAGGCACATTCGGGTGGTCCCTATTCACCTTTTCATCCAAGGCTGCTTTTTTAAGTCGTAGCTGGAAACCTCTGGATCATCCGGAAAACAAAGGTTTCATGCATCCTGAGGCAAGCAGCTGAGAAAACGTGTGACTCACCGAGAATGAGCCTTAATGAGCATTTTCTGGCTTAAAGGGCTGATTCAACAAGCATCTGTCTCAGGCATTATGGAAGGTGAGGTGCTGGGGACAAGGATGAACAAGATTTGTTGCCTGCCTGCCACCTAGGAGCCAAGGTCACAAAGGAAAAAGGAACAAACATCAGAAATTTCAAGAACAGGGCCGTGTGCCCCTCCCTACAGCATCTTGGAATTCTTGACTATCTCAGTGAGACACACAGTACATGGCCCTGCGGCGCTGAAGCCTAAGATTGTGGAGTGCACTGGCTTCTTGAAAGACAGTGGAACTTGAACTGCGGGCCATGTCTGTGGATAGCTTCTGTTCCCCAGCTCAGACCTAATGGCTTTCTATCAGCCTGGGGAAAGGTCACATTCCTTGGATTCATGGATAATTTGACTTGGCTTCTAATCTCCAGATCTGTAGGGAAAGATGGGTTTTTCTCATGAATGACTTTTTTTTTTTTTTTTTTTTTTTGGAGTCTCGCTCTGTCACCAGGCTGGAGTGCAGTGGTGCAATCTTGGCTCACTGCAACTTCCGCCTCCCAAGTTCAAGCGATTCTCCTGCCTCAGCCTCCCAACTAGCTGGGGTTACAGGCGTTACGCAGCTAATTTTTGTATTTTTAGTAGAGACAGGGTTTCACCATGTTTGTTGAGCATACTGATCTCTAACTCAAGCGATCCACCTGCCTCGACCTCCCAAAGTGCTGGGATTACAGGTGTGGGCAAGCACACCCTGCTTCTCATGAACAACTTAATGCTTTGTAAAGATGGGTCCGCAACAACTGATAAGAGGCAGGGTGTAGCTTAGGAGTCGCCACTTCAGATCAGCGTCATCAGAGGCTGGGTTGACTCTGATGGTCACTCTCCGCAGTTGAACTCCAAGTTAAATTGGTATATGTTATCAACTGATAGTTTAATTTACTGCTTAATCTTTCATTGAATTGGAGACAAATGTTCTATTGCAACAGTCACAAAGGCTTTTCCAGTAAAACTGCAGACCTGTGTGGGGAACAGTATTTTGTCCTGTATGCTACTTCTGTGCCCAGTGTGCCTTCATTTACAAGATAATACTTCCAGCCTGGCCCTGTGGCTCACGCCTATAATCCTAGCGCTTTGGGAGGTGGGAGGATTGCTTGAGCCCAGGAGTTAGAGGCTGCCGTGAACTAGGATCGTGCCTCTGCACTCCAGCCTGGATCACAGAGCCAGAACCTGTCTCTAAAGAAATTAAAAATAAAAATAGAATTTCGTAGGACTGAAGCCAGCCATCCCTTCTTACCTAGCTCTGGACATGTTGAACATCTGTGACTCTATTTTCCTATCTGTAAAATGGGAATTAACAGCATTCCCCTCTCAGAATTATGGTTGAAGTCTAAAAGTAAATGTGAAAGCATCTTGCCTGCAGTAGAGTAAATGCTCCATAAACTCAAGTGAACGGATTTGTCTTGAGTACCTACTATGTGAAAGGCCCTCGAGTGAATGCTGGGAGGCTGCAAGAGTAATTCCTTCCCAACCCTGAGTTGACAGCTGGCATGTTTCTGACATGACTGGCCAGAGCTAGAGGCCTCCCTGTTGGGAGGATGGTTTTTCCGTGCAAGGCTAATATTGCTTATTTCTCATCTCTCCCGTCACACTGCTCAGGTCAGGGAGGGACTCCCATTGGTCAAATTCTCTTCAGGCCCCTTCCCTTCCTGGCACCAGGATAACTACCATACAAAGTGCTGAAACTCGGCCAGGCACAGTGGCTCACTCCTGTAATCCCACTTTGGGAGACCAAGGTGGATCTCTGAAGCACAGGAGTTCGAGACCAGCCTGGGTAACATGGCAAACCCCATCTCTACAAAAAAAAAAAACAGAAAAATTAGCTGGGTGTGGTAGTGCTCACCTGTAGTCCCAGGTACACAGAAGGCTGAGGTGGGAGGATCACTTGAGCCGAGGTGGGAGGATCACTTGAGCCCAGGAGGTCGAGGCTGCAGTGAGCTGAGATCATGCCACTGTGCTCCAACCTGGGCAGCAGAGAGAGACCCTGTCTCAAAACAAACAAACAAAAAAAACAAAAACAAAAACTGAAACCCCACTTTACTGTGTGTCTAGACAGCCATAATCCTACCAACAGGGTTTGTTACTAGGTGAAAAAAATCCTCTTTTGTTGCAAAAATCTAGTGAAACTAGAGAAGTCGAAAAGTAAAGCAATGCTCTGGAATAAACTCGCCCAAATTAGTGATTTCTCAAGCTTTTTGCCACTGGGACCAGGCCTATTACGCCCTCTCCGTGGGTTCCCAAGAGAGCCACAGCCTAGAAGGGAAGCTGTTCAGTCGGTTCTCACCCACGTGGGACTGGAAATTTCAGACACGGTTATCCGGGAAGACAGCCTGGGCCACAGACCTCCTCGATGACCACACACCGAGAGCCACTTCCCCAAAGGTAACCCCAAGCAGATGGCAAGGCCTCCCACATGCTCTGTGGTTTGGAAGGAAGCTTCCTCTGGCCTCCTCCCTCATTAAGGAGAAGGGACGAGCTGCAGGTGCGGCTCCTTCCCAGCTGGCTCAGGGAATAGAGCCCCTTTAAGGCCAGGCAGCCTTAGCAATAAAAAGAATGAAGGGGGCACCCTTGCAAGGCAGTCCCCCATGCAGTCCCCAAGCCCTCTGCTTTTATTTATTTATTTATTTATTTATTTATTTATTTATTTATTTTAGAGGGAGTCTCAGTCTTTCACCCAGACTGGAGTACCTCTGCTTTTATGAAGCCGCTAATCCAGTGCCAGGATCTAAAGCAAGCAGCTGGCTTCTACCAAGTTCCTGCCATCTCATTTCATCCTCTCCATGCCTTCCATTTTGTAGGTGAGGGGAAGGAGAGCCTTAGAGAAGGAAAGTGACATTTTAAAGCTCACACAGCTAGAAAGCAACTCATGCATCCATGTCTTTCTGATGCCAGAACCCAGCCCCTTGCCACTGTACCATACTGCCTCTTGCCAAGGCCACCTGGGCTAGCCATTTCCAAACCCAGCCTTCCTGCTGCCCTGGAGGCTGGGTTCCTGCCAGAAATTGAGCTAAGCCCTGGGGGAGGACATGGGAGTTCTGAAAAGTTAAGCAGCCTGCCTCCCCTGGAAGTGTCACCGGAAGATGAAAGAACTCTTGTCACCTGACCCAAGGAAGCCAGTCCCATGGCCCAGGTGGTCAACAGGAATGACCCGCAACTGGTTGGCTCGGGCAGCCTGCCCCAGCTGAGTAAATGGCTCCACTGGCACCCAGCTGCTCAGGCCAAAACCCTGGGGAGCATCTTGAATTCCACACATTCCTGCACCCCCACATCCTATCCACCAGCAAGTCCTGCCAACGTGTGTTCCTGTACCAAATGTTCACTGGGATCTTGCTATGAATCAGGTGCTGCTTTCCCTCCTGGGGTCTATCCCCTACCCACACCCTCACCACCATCACAGCTGTGTCTCCTTCCAGCCCCTTCCACAATAGGGATCGTTGGAGTTTTCCTTTCCTTGACTAGGGCTACTTCCCAGTAGACAGCAGTCTCCGCAGGGACAGGGGCATCTCTGTTTTGTTCACTCTCACGTTCCTGGCTCCCACAGTGGTGCTGGCACTCCATAAATTCATACTGGACAAATGACCAGTGATCCTGCCCACGTCTATCCTTGGCCCTAACGTGAACCTTCCCTTGTTTGCCCTAGGATCTCACAGATCCACTCTCCCCTTTGGAGCTCCTCTGTCCAGAGGTCCTGGAGACAGGGAACACTATGCCTGTGCCGGTCACTATGGGGTAGCAGGATAAATGCTGCACGCAGGTAAGACATCTCTGGTGCCTTTCAGGGGTCTTCATGAATCCCCCCAGTGCAGGTGTGTCTGCAGGTCACGCTGTGAGGCTTCTCTTTCTCTGGCATTTCAAGGCCTCCAGTGCATCATGGCAGACTCTCCCTGGGTCTCTGTGGGCCCACATCTGACCCTGTGAATCTCTGGGCAGGTGTGTCTTCCTTCTTTGCATTCATCAAGCAGCGCCAGGCACTGTCTCAAGTGCTTGATACGCATTTTCTTTTTTTTTTTTTTTTGAGACAGAGTTTCGCTCTTTTTGCCCATGCTGGAGTGCAATGGCATGATCCCGGCTCACAGCAACCTCCGCCTCCTGGGTTCAAGCGATTCTCCTGGCTTAGTCTCCGAGTAGCTGGGATTACAGGCATGCGCCACCACGCCCAGTTGACAAGCATTTTCTTGTGTGATCCTCGCAGCAGTTCTCTGTGAAGCAGGCATTGCTATCCTACAGGTTGGGAAAAGAGGGCCAGAGAGGATCAGTGACTTGCTCACGGTCGCGCGGCCTGGAAGACATGGAGAGCTGGACCAGCACGCACAGTCCCTAACCACTGGGACGTGCTGGCGGGGGCTACCTCCGTGAGGTGTGTGTCTCCGGTCGCCCCGCCCCCGGTGTGTGCGGAGGAGCAGGCGGGGACTACAAGTCCCGGCAGCCCCGGCGCGGGCGCTGCGAGGGCCGCAGAGGGCCGGGCGGGGCTTGCGGCGCGCACGGAGGGACTGCGGCAGTGTCGGAGCCGCGCCGAGCCTGGTGGCCCAGGTGCCCCGCCCGCGTCAGCCCTGCTCCAGCCCCGCGCTAGCCCAGCGCCCCTCGCCCCGGGCCGTCCGGACCGCGCCCCCGCCCAGGGCCTTGCGCACGCCGGGGCCCAGGCCGAGGGCCGCAGCGCCGGGGCCGGCGATGAGCGCGAGGAGCCGGCATGAGCGCAGGTGAGTGCGGAGTCCGGGTCGGCCCCGAGCCCGGCGCGGTCCCCGGCCCGCCAGTTGTCGTCACCCCTTGGAGGGAGAGGGGAGGCGACGCCCCCCACCGCGGGGTCGCGAGCCCAGGAAGCGGGACCTGGTTGGGGATCCTGGCCCGTCCCCTCCCTTTTGACGGGGACTCGGCCCCGGTTTCTTCCCAGAGACGCCGGGGCTGGGGATGGCGCCGCCGCTCGCAGCCGGTCCCTCCCCTCCCCTGCACCCCTCAGCCGCGGGATTGGAAGCCGGGCGCTTGTGCAAGAGGGTCCTGGGGCCGTGCGGGGACGGGGAGGCCACCCCACGCCCACTTAATCGGATCCCACCCCGAGTGACGGATGTCCAGGTGGGGGAGACGGCTGCATCCTCGGGCCTCTGGGCAACCCCTCTGGGCTGAATGAATGAATGAATGGCGTTGGGGGAGTCGGGACTCCATTTCCTGGGTAGATGTCCTGGGCCACAGCGCCACTCCTGACCTCCTGCCTCAGACCCCAGAGAAAACCCGTCACACCCAGGGCCAAGGGCCACACCCTCCATGCAACCCATCCCTGGCCAGATGTCCTACGCCCACTCCTCCAGGGTCTAATTTAAATCCCACCTGCCGGGAATGGGGCCAGTCCTCCTCCCCTATCCAGAAAGGTCTCATCTCAGTGTCTGTCACTCAGCCCCCAGCCCCACAGCCTAGAGTGCACCCCCCGGCGAGGGAGGGGAAGGAATGAGGAAAGACAGCCCCTAGAATCCAGATCCAAAGATGGGAAGATGGTTCACACACACTCCCGCCTCAGCCTGGCAGAAGACAGGAGCTCCCCGCCGCCGGGAACCACAGCCAGGGAGGAGGCAGCCGCCCTGGGCCGCTGCCAGGTCACCAGCAGGAAGCCAAGGCTTCCGCAGGAAATAAGAGGTCCCAAATGGCTCTAGCCCCTCTGATCCACAGTGCTGGTGACACTGCCCCGAGCTGTGACCTCAGACGAGGTTCAAGTCCAGTCTTGGCCCCTCATAGCTGTGTGACTTTGTGCTTGTCAATCTACTCCTCTGGGCCTCGTTTTAAATGGGAATCCTAATCTGTACTTTTCATGGAATGGCTGTGGGAAAGAATGTGCCCATTCAGACACACTCATTTCCAGCTTCTCCCCTTTCAAGCTCTATGACCCTGGACAAGGGATTCACATGCTGTTCCTCAGTTTCCCCAGGTGTACAATGGGGATAATAATAGTCACTACCCCAGAGGGTTGTGTGTGAAGCTTCATTGAGTTAGCACACTGAAGGGCTTCCGCAGGGCATGGTGAGCACTCCATGGGAGCTGCTGTTCATCAGAAGAGCAATGACAGGCCAGGCGTGGTGGCTCACGCCTGTAATCCCAGCACTTTGGGAGCCTGAGGCAGGCGGATTACTTGAGGTCAGGAGTTCAAGACCAGTCTGGCCAACATGGGGAAACCCCGTCTCTACTAAAAATACAAAAATTAGCTGAGTGTGGTGGCATGTGCCTGTAGTCTCAGCTACTTCAGGAACTGAGGCAGGAGAATTGCTTGAACCTGGGAGGTGGAGGGTGCAGTGAGCTGAGATCTCTCCACTGCACTCCAGCCTGGGAGACGGGCAGGGGGGAAGGGGGGAACGGGGGGGGAAGACTCCATCTCAAAAAAAAGAGCAATGCCATCATGAAGGTGCTCTCGCCCCCCCACACAGCCTGTGGGTGCCTGTTCTGGGCTGGTCTGAGCCCACAGAAGCCCTGGGGAGACTGGGCTGTGGCTGGGGATAAACAGATGTACTGCAGGAGAGAGTGCCCTGGGCTTGATCCCTGCAGGGAGGGGCTCTGGAGGTTTCCACAGCTGTGACTTCCTCCCTCAAGTTCCACTCCCCTTTTCCTCTTTGCCAAGGTTGACTGAGAGAGTGTCATTGTGAAGTGACAGTCATACGATTGCCATGAGGAAGAACTTCCCAGGGGGACCGCTGTTTACATACTGGGGACTCTGCCCTCTTTTTGAAGAACCTTTTCTTCATAAAGAGTCTTGAGGCCGGGTGTGGTGGCTCACACCTGTAATCCCAGCACTTTGGGAGGCTGAGGTAGGAGGATCAGCATGAGGCCGGGAGTTCAAGATCAGCCTGGGCAACAAAATGAGACCCTGTCCCTACTAAAAAAAAATTAGCCTGGTGCAGTGGCACCTGCCTGTAGTGCCAGCTACTTGGGAGGCAGAGGCAAGAGTACCTCCTTTAGCCTAGGAGGTCAAGGCTCCAGTGAGCTAGGATCATGCCACTGTGCTCCAGCCTGGGTGACAGAGTGAGACCCTGTCTCTTTTAAAAAAAAAAAAAAAAAAAAAAAGGAAGAGGCTCAAGCCCCTCCCCCCAACTCCCAGCACCTTTGCCTTCAAGCTCTGTTGTGTCCAAGAGACAGACATTCATTCATTCAGTCAGTCGGTCAATCAGTGTTTCCTGACCCCTGAGCACATGGCAGGTACTGTGAGCAGTAAGGGCAGTGACACCCATCTGAGCCTGATGCTGAGGGGAATGTCAGGAGTAGATGTGCTGGGCAGAGAGGACCTGGGAGTAAGGCCAGCCCTGTTCCAGCTTTGAGACAAGTCTGAGGGCAACTGCCCCAGAGGCTCAGTGCTCTCGTTTGTCAAACTGGGTAAGAGAGCCCACCTTGTGGGTTGGTGCGGGAGGAAATCAAATCAGCACCGCAGGGATGGCTCCTTTCCCATCATCCCTGAGCCCGCTGGGCTGTTGGCCTGAGGGTTTTTTTTTTTTTTTTTGAGTCTTGCTCTGTCACCCTGGCTGGAGTGCAGTGGCGTGATCTCAGCTCACTGCAAGCTCCACCTTCTGGGTTCACACCATTCTCCCGCCTCAGCCTCCCAAGTAGCTGGGACTACAGGCGCCTGCCACCACGCCCGGCTAATTTGGTTTTTATATTTTTAGTAGAGACAGGGTTTCACCGTGTTAGCCAGGATGGTCTCAGCTAGTCTCCACCTCCTGACCTCGTGATCCGCCCCCCTTGGGCTCCCAAAGGGCTGGGATTACAGGCGTGAGCCACTGCGCACGGCCGGCCTGAGGGTTTTAAGGTACAAGGAGCAACTGTTGAATGGGCCTAGGGAGCCGTGGGACAGCCAGGGCTTCAGACAGGGTGATGTGAAAGGAGAAGAGAGCCTGGGAAATGGATAAGCAGAAGCCACGCCCCCCTGACCTGGGAGCCGGGTCCTGCCCACCTGTCCACGCAACCCCCCCAGGAACTTCAAATGCTTCTACCTCCCTGTGTGCTGGATGCTTCGGGACTATCATCCTAGAGATGAGAAATGGAAGCCCAGAGAGGCAAAGGCACTTGCTGTATGAAACACAGCATCAAAAAAGAAATTCTTAGGAACAAATGATGGGCAAAAAGACAAAACCCTGTCTCTACAAAAAAAATTAGCTGGGCATGGTGGCCTGTGCCTGTAGTCCCAGCTATTTGGAGGCTGAGGTGGGAGAATTGCTTGAGCCTGGGAGGTCAAGGCTGCAGTGAGCTATGATCGCAACACTGCACTCCAGCCTGGGTGACAGAGAGAGACTGTCTCAAAAAAAGACTTATACACGAAAACTGTAAGCTGGGCATGGTGGCTCACGCCTGTAATCCCAGCACTTTGGGAAGCCGAGGCTACAAGAGTGATAAGTAAATAAATGAATGAATGAATGAATGAAAGGACATCACAACCGAGGTTACCTGGCAGGGTTGATACGTTAGCCATGTACCCTGTGCACAGTGAGCCCTCTAGGAGTGTTGAAGCCAGAGTGCTTGGGGATGGGGCTGCTCAGAGGCTGGGGGTGCTGTGCCCACAGCAGCTGCCTGGGGCACTCTGGACTCTTTGGGTAGAAATTTTAGAAGGGCTCGCCGGGCGCTGTGGCTCACGCCTGTAATCCCAGCACTTTGGGAGGCCGAGGCGGGCGGATCACGAGGTCGGGAGATCGAGACCATCCTGGCTAACACGGTGAAACCCCATCTCTACTAAAAATACAAAAAATTAGCCGGGCGTGGTGGCGGGCGCCTGTAGTCCCAGCTACTTGGGAGGCTGAGGCAGGAGAATGGTGTGAACCCGGAAGGCAGAGCTTGCAGTGAGCCGAGATCGCGCCACTGCACTCCAGCCTGGGTGACAGAGCGAGACTCGCTCTCAAAAAAAAAAAAAAAAAAAGGAAAAATTTTAGAAGGGCTCAGATTGGGGGATGAAGGAGGGAGCCCAGAAAATCAGCAGCCTACCCCGCACCCGCCCAGCTTTTCCAGCTTAGTGAGCTTTTTCAGAGGCTCTTGTGAAACCACAGATGCCTAGCACCATCCCTACCCCGGCCTGAGGAGTTGATCCAGCCAGTCTGGGGAGGGCCCTGGCATCTGCATATGTAAAAGGTGCTCCAGGTGGTCTGGGACCGTAGATGAACCCTGACAGAGGCTGTCCAAGGGTGGGGCTGGTGAGCTCTACCCGCTCTGGAGCCCCAGAACATCCACTGGCTGCCTGCCCTGCTAAGGCCACAGCTCTACAGCACAGGAGGAAGGAGTGAAAAGAATGTCTGTGGCCGGGCGCAGTGGCTCAGCCTGTCAGCCCAGCACTCAGGGAGGCAAGGCGGGTGGATCACCTGAGGTCGGCAGTTTGAGACCACCCTGACCAGCATGGTGAAACCCCGTCTCTACTGAAAATACAAAACTTAGCTGGGCGCCTGTAATCCCAGCTACTCGGGAGGCTGAGGCAGGATAATCGCTTGAACCTGGGAGGCAGAGGTTGTAGTGAGCCGAGATCATGCCATTGTATTCCAGACTGGGCGACAGAGCAAGACTTCATCTCAAAAAAAAAAGAATATCTGCAATAGAACCACCTGATACCATTCCCCAAGTCTCAGTTTACCCATCTGTAAAGATAGGCCTGCAGGGCTGACCGTTTATTAGTCCAGACTTGACTTTGCATCTCCTCACTGCCAGACCTGGGCTGGGCACGGGCATGGAATGAAGATAAGCATCCCTGACCCCTGCCCTCAGGGTGGGGACTGGATGAGGATAGAAAAGTGAGACCCAGAGCTCCAAGGAAGCTAATGGCTGGATGCACGAGCACCATGGGGGCTTGGGGCACTGTCCAGGCCCCATTCTCCAATTCTGGGCCATACCCAGCAGAAAGACCGACACACGCAAGGAAACAAGACACTACTGGCCAAGCACGGTGGCTCATGCCTGTAATCCCAGCACTTTGGGAGGCCAAAGTGGGCAGATCACTTGAGGTCAGGAGTTCGAGACCAGCCTGGCCAACATGGTGAAACCCCATCTCTACTAAAAATACAAAAATTAGCTGGGCATGGTGGTGCATGCCTATAATCCCAGCTACTCGGGAGGCTGAGGCAGGAGAATCGCTTGAACCTGGGAGGCAAAGGTTGCAGTGAGCTGAGATCAAGTGACTGCACTCCAGCCTGGGTGACAGAGTGACACTCCGTCTCAAAAAAAAAAAAAAGATACGGTAAGTAAGAACCGACGGAAAGAAGAGCCAGATAAAGGACACAGGAAGACATGAGCTTTGGGCTCTGTCAGACCAGGTGCTTACTGTTTTGTGTTTTGTTTTGTTTAGTTTTTTGAGATGGAGTCTCACTCTGTTGCTCAGGCAGGGGTGCAGTGGTGTGATCTTGCCTCACTGCAACCTCTACCTCCCAGGTTCAAGTGATTCCCCTGCCTCAGCCTCCTGAGTAGCTGAGATTACAGGCACGCGCTGCCACGCCCGGCTAATTTTTTTTATTTTTAGTAGAGATGGGTTTCACCATGTTAGCCAGGTTGATCTCGAACTTCTAACCTCAGGTGATCCACCCGCCTCGGCCTCCCAAAGTGCTGGGATTACAGGCGTGAGCCACCGCGCCCAGGCTGATGTTTATTGTTTTTAAGGAAGCAAGAGGAGAAGGTGCCTCCCCAAATGACCTTTCTCTTTTCTGTCCACAGACAGCAGCCCTCTCGTGGGCAGCACGCCCACCGGTTATGGGACCCTGACGATAGGGACATCAATAGATCCCCTCAGCTCCTCAGTTTCATCCGTGGTAAGTGGGCAGAGTGGGGTGGGGAAAAGCTGCAGGGGGTGAATGCCCAGGCCCACCCAGACACCCCAACTTCCTACTCCAGCCCCGTTCCCACCCCGACCTGGGCCCTCTCTCGCTGCGTTCGCAGAGGCTCAGCGGCTACTGTGGCAGTCCATGGAGGGTCATCGGCTATCACGTCGTGGTCTGGATGATGGCTGGGATCCCTTTGCTGCTCTTCCGTTGGAAGCCCCTGTGGGGGGTGCGGCTGCGGCTCCGGCCCTGCAACCTGGCCCACGCCGAAACACTCGTTATCGAAATAAGAGACAAAGAGGTGAGAGTCAGGCTGAGCCTGGGGCTAGAGAAGCGCAGTGAGGGTCAGGGTCGGGGGTGGAGGATGCTTGGGTGCCAACCCGGCCACTGACTTTCCATGGGACATTAGGCAGGTCCCGCTCTTCTCTGGACCTCAGCTTTCCCATCTGAGCATTGGGCAGAAGGGACGGGTCGGGTGGTTTCTGGAGGGCTCTCCATAGCCTTGATTTCTGCCTTCTCCAGCAGGGGCCGCCTGGCTGTAGGACAGGGCCTGGGAGGGGAGGGGACTCTTCTGAGACTGAGTCCATACCTCTGTGTTCCAGGATAGTTCCTGGCAGCTCTTCACTGTCCAGGTGCAGACTGAGGCCATCGGCGAGGGCAGGTGAGGCAGCCCCATTGCCCCTTCCCAGAAGCCCCTGCTACCCTGGCCTCCCCAACTTCCCCAACCCTCGGCCCCCCCATAAAGGCTGACTCTGGCGCCTCCCATCCTAGGGAGGGAAGATGGCTCTGTGAGCACAGGGAGGTGCCAGGGCAGCTCCCAGAGCTCGAGAGTAACCCTCACCTGCTTCCCCAGCCTGGAGCCGTCCCCACAGTCCCAGGCAGAGGATGGCCGGAGCCAGGCGGCAGTTGGGGCGGTACCAGAGGGTGCCTGGAAGGATACGGCCCAGCTCCACAAGAGCGAGGAGGCGGTGAGTGTCGGACAGGTGGGTTCTGAAAAAGTCCTTGCCCCTCTCTCGGCCTCGGTTTCATGATCTGTGCAATGGGAGAGTCAGACTTCATGTTCTCCCACCACCTTTTAGTTCTGTTGTCCCAAACATCCAGGATGCTGTCTGAGCACGTTTACACTTTCAGGCCTCTCCCCACCTCTCTGTCTGGTGACACCAGTCCCTGCCCCCTACCCCCATCCCTCGGCTCCCAGCATAAGCACACTGCTTCTGGGGCCGGGGCCAGCTTCCAACCCATCCTCTCCTCTCTCCCACCCAGAAGCGGGTGCTGCGGTATTACCTCTTCCAGGGCCAGCGCTATATCTGGATCGAGACCCAGCAAGCCTTCTACCAGGTCAGGTAGGAGTCAGGGCCTGTGTGGCTCATGTCACCTCCCAGAGTGGCACTGGTTTGGGCACAGACGGTGGCATGGCATGGCCTGGGCTCCCCTCTCAGCTCTGATGCTTTTGCTGTCTGAAACCTTGGGCAGGTTACTGAGCCCCTCCAGGCCTGGGATCTCTGTCTATAAATAGGGCATGAAGATAACTTCTGCCTCCTAGGATTGTTTTGATGGTGAAATAGATAATAATTTATGTAGAGCTTGGCACCGAATGTGATCTGAGGTTGTGACACCACTGTGAATCAGACTATCAGCTCTGTACTCAGACTGTCTGCTTGGGGTTTAGTCACTGCTCTGCCACCTACAAAAGGCTTAAGAAACATGAGCTCAGGCTGGGTGCGGTGGCTCACCCCTGTAATCCCAGCACTTTGGGAAGCCAAGACAGGTGGATCACGAGGTCAGGAGTTCAAGATCAGCCTGGCCAAGATGCTGAAACCCCATCTCTACTAAAAACACAAAAATTAGCTGGGCGTGATGGCATGTGCCTGTAATCCCAGCTACTTGGGAGGCTGAGGCAGGAAAATCGCTTGAACCTGGGCGGCAGAGGTTGCAGTGAGCCAACATCGCGCCACTGCACTCTAGCCTGGATGACAGAGCATGACTCCATCTCAAAAAAAAAAAAAAAGAAAAAGAAACACAAGCTCACCACACACCTTAGTTTGTGTGTATGTGTGTGTGTGTGTGTGTGTGTGTGTGTGTGTGTGTGGTTTTTTTGGTTTGTTTGTTTGTTTTTTAAGATGGAGTTTCACTCTTGTTGCCCGGGCTGGAGTGCAATGCCGCATTCTCGGCTCACTGCACCTCCGCCTCCTGGGTTCAAGCGATTCTCCTGCCTCAGCCTCCCGAGTAGTTGGGATTACAGGTGCATGCCACCACACCCAGCTAATTTTTGCATGTTTTGTAGGGACGGGGTTTCACCATGTTGGCCAGGCTGTTCTCAAATACCTGACCTCAGGTGATCCACCCGCCTCAGCCTCCCAAAGTGCTAGAATTACAGGCATGAGCCACCGGGCCCTGCTCACACACTTTAGTTTGAATGCCGCAGAAGCAGACCCCCAGACAAGGGCTCAAGGGCAGGGAGTTTGTTTTGAAGCTGATCCCAGGCAGTGCTGGGGAAGGGATGGAAGCACGGAGGGAGGTTATGCTGGCTGCCACAGCTGTGGACACCCGGACTTCAGTCGCCTGGGGATCTCCTTGGGCCAGCGTAGACCACACACCTCTGGGCGACCTCACACAGGGAGTGAGGACAGTTACCATCAAATTCCCTGCCATTATCAGTCACGGGACACAAAGTCTTCCACGCTTTCCGGGCTCACAGGCAGGGGATTCACATGCAGCCAGAAGGCCTCAGGTAAAGACAGGTGTTTTCAGGGTCCAGCTGTCATGTGGAGGTGAGGCAGAGGGGAGATGGGGATGGCAGCAACAGCCTCTGCTGCATGATGGGGATAATAGCAAAAATCACCCGTGCATTCATCACTTAGCAAGTGGCAGGCACGTCCAAAGCAGTCCCCGAGGCTTGCCCCACTTAATCTACCCATGGCCCTATGTGGTAGGTGCTGTCACTGCCCCCATTTTGCAGATGAGAAAACTGAGGCACAGAGAGGTTAAGTGACTTGCCCAGGGTATCATCAGTGTAAATAGTGCCCTTATCACTAAATAACAGCTACTCTTTTCACTGTTCATATTATTAGCATCATCTCTCGCTGTTCTCCTTCTTCAGTGACTTGGTTTGGAACCCAGTGAGAGGAACAAAAGGGCAAAGCCAAGCCTTGGGTTCAAGGGGGCTTACTTGCTCCCAGGAGCTCAGTGTGGCAGAACGGGGATGGGGGGCCTAGAGCCCATAGTCTCCAGCCTGCACAGGGTGGGGGATGCAGACCTCAGGCCCCATGGCCCATGCGTGTCCCCTCGCACCCACCCCCAGCCTCCTGGACCATGGCCGCTCTTGTGACGACGTCCACCGCTCCCGCCATGGCCTCAGCCTCCAGGACCAAATGGTGAGGTCAGTGCTGCCCTGGACCGGGGTGCCCTGAGAACTGGGGCTCCTTGTGTTGCCCCCCAATGTGGTTGCCTTCCAGTCACCTGCCTTCTCTGGGCCTCAGTTCCCCCAGCTGAAAGTGGGGAGCTCCTTCACCCCGGGAGGGTCCAGCCACAGCTCCTCCTTCTGATGGCTTGGCCTCATCCCCTCTTCCAGGAAGGCCATTTACGGCCCCAACGTGATCAGCATACCGGTCAAGTCCTACCCCCAGCTGCTGGTGGACGAGGTAGGGCTGTCCCTGGGTCTTGCCCCAGCCCTGCCTGGCGTGCTGTGTGACCTTGGCCCAGGGCTTGCCTCCTCTGGGCCACTTTACGGTGGCAACCAGACCAGCTGTCCCCTTCTCCATAGTGGATCGTCATCTCAGAACCTGCCGCAGTCAGCCTAGCCAGAGAGACCAGGTCCAGGAATTGGAGGTTCTGCCCAAGGCTTGGGTCACAGATTGGGGCCCCACTCATAGGGATTGGAGGCCAAGAGGCAAATCCACGCAGCCTGAGCATCTATGGGGTCCCCAGAGACACGCCCTAGAGCCTGGGTCCTCTCTGTGCGTCCTCCACTTTCATGCTCCCAACAGTCCCGTGGGTTGGGCCTGGGACTGCACTGTTCACACCTGAGAAATCCAAGCTTCAGTTGGAGGCTGTGACATGGCCAAGGTCACACAGGGACAAAGAGAAGCCAGTGACCTGGACACAACTAGAATAAAGTGTGAACATCCCAGCCCTCTGATCGGGGGCAGGCACCATGAAAGAGATCTTTGAGTCTGGCCCCATAGAAATCAGTCTGTCACTTAGAAGCTATGTGGTTTTTTGTTTTTTGTTTGTTGTTTTTTTTTTTGAGACAGAGTTTTGCTCTTGTTGCCCAGGCTGGAGTGCAATGGCGTGATCTCGGCTCACTGCGATGTCCACCTCCTGGGTTCAAGTGATTCTCCTGCCTGAGCCTCCTACATAGCTGGGACTACAGGCGCCTGCCACCACGCCCAGCTAATTTTTTTTTTTTTTTGTATTTTTAGTAGATACGGGGATTCACTATGTTGGCTAGGCTGGTCTCAAACTCCTGACCTCAGATGACCCACCTGCCTCGGCCTTGCAAAGTGCTGGGATTATAGGCATGAGCCACCGCACCTGGCTGGAACTATGTGGTTTTAGGCCAGTGGCTTCACCTGTCCATGCCTTGGTTTCCTCATCTGTAGAATGGAGCTAATGGTGGTACCGGCCTTGTAGAATTGTCATTGCCATTGTATGACACTTAGATAAAGCACTTGGCGTGTAGTGGGGGTTCAGTAAATACCCTTATCCTATTTATTTATTTGTTTATTTTTTTTGAGACAGGGTCTCCCTCTGTCACTCAGGCTGGAGTGCAGTGGCGCGATCTCAGCTCACTGCACCCTCCACCTCCCCAGCTTAAGTGATCCTCCCACCTCAGCCTCCTGAGTAGCTGGGAGCGTAGGCACAGGCCACCCCATCAGGCTAATTTTTGTATTTTTTGTAGATATGGGGTTTCGCCATGTTGCCCAGGCTGGTCATAAACCCTTGTCCTCTTTAGAGCGGAGAAACTGAGGGCCCTGGGGATGTCTGGTTGGGTGGGGATGGGATTGACCAGGAGAAAGGCCTGGCTCCAGTCCTTTGGCAGCCACTGGGCCCTCTGCTCCCATGGGCACAGGAGACCCAGCCTGTGGCTGGGCTGCCCTGGGGGACGCGGCCCTGACGCTGCCTCCCGCCCCTCCCCCAGGCACTGAACCCCTACTATGGGTTCCAGGCCTTCAGCATCGCGCTGTGGCTGGCTGACCACTACTACTGGTACGCCCTGTGCATCTTCCTCATTTCCTCCATCTCCATCTGCCTGTCGCTGTACAAGACCAGAAAGGTGAGTGCCATAAGGTGGGTGGGGACGGGACAGGTGGGTCCCCAGGGGCCCCCACCCACTCACGGCCCTCTTGTCCCCTGCCCACAGCAAAGCCAGACTCTAAGGGACATGGTCAAGTTGTCCATGCGGGTGTGCGTGTGCCGGCCAGGGGGAGGTGAGGAGCTAGGGCCCAGGGGGCGGGGGCAGGAGTGGGAGGGTGGGGGGGCATGGCTGGGGCTGGCCCCACCTAGCTGAGCTCCTCTCCTGCCTGCCTGCAGAGGAAGAGTGGGTGGACTCCAGTGAGCTAGTGCCCGGAGACTGCCTGGTGCTGCCCCAGGAGGGTGGGCTGATGCCCTGTGATGCCGCCCTGGTGGCCGGCGAGTGCATGGTGAATGAGAGCTCTCTGACAGGTGAGCCCCCAGCCCCTGGCCTGCAGCTTCCTTCCTCCCCTGCCATCCAACCCTTTGCCCTGCGGCAAAAGTTTTCATTTGAGTTTCCTTTTCCTTTTTTGTTTTTTTGTGAGACGGAGTTTCACTCTGTTGTCCAGGCTGGAGTGCAGTGACATGATCTCAGCTCACTGCAGCCTCCACCCCCCAGGTTCAAGTGATTCTTGTGCCTCAGCCTCCTGAGTAGCTGGGACCACAGGTGCATACCATCACGCCCAGCTAATTTTTTATTTTTAGTAGAGATGGAGTTTCACTATGTTGCCCAGGCTGGTCTTGAACTCCTGACCTCAGGTTATCTGCCCACCTCGGCCTCCCAAGGTGCTGGGATTTCAGGCGTGTGCCAGCGCTCCGCCTCCTCTTCCTTTTTCTCTCAAGCAACAATCCCAGCTTTAGGACTTGCTAACCTCACACCCCTGGGCCGTTACCACGTATCATCTCCGTGCCTCAGTTCCTTCTTCTGTAAGATGGCTGTCAGTCACTCCTCCTGGACAGAGTTGTGCAAAGTGCTTAGGAGCGTGAGAGGTGCAGCATAAATGGCCAGCCACCCAGTGCATCTGGGCTATTTCTCCTTTTTTTTTTTTTTTTTTTTTTTTTGAGATGGAGTTTCACTCTTGTTGCCCCGGCTGGAGTACCATGGTGCGATCTCAGCTCACTGCAACCTCCACCTCCTGGGTTCAAGCGATTCTCCTGCCTTAGCCACCCAAGTACCTGGGATTACAGGTGTGCGCCACCATACCCGGCTAATTTTGTATTTTTAGTTGAGATGGGGTTTCACCACGTTGGTCAGACTGGTCTTGAACTCCTGACCTCAAGTGATCTGCCCGCCCCAGCCTCCCAAAGTGCTGGGATTACAAGCATGAACCATAGCACCTGGCTGCATCTGAGCTGTTTCTATACCAGTGCCCACCTTCAGGTCATAAAGATTCCAGATGGCACAGGAGAGTGGGAAGCCCTCTCCCAGAGTGAGAGACTGCGGTCCCCATTCACTACCCCACAGTCCCCTTCCCTTCCCCTCCCCAGGGCAGCCACTGTGAAGGGTGTGAGGTGTCTTCCACGCCTTTTTCTGCATTACGTGTGTGCACATGGGCTGATTTGCCTCTCCTTTTGTTCTGAACGTGGGATTGTATGCTGTGTATTGTTCCATACTTTGCTTTTTCTCCTGGCATCCTTCCACAAGCACGGATGGCCCCACCTCATGGCTGCATGAGAGTCCACAATACGGATGTATCGTAACTGACTCAACCGGCCCGCTCGCCATGAGTATTTAGAATGTGATTTTCCAGCCATTGCAAAGGACGCCACAGGAGCAGCTTTGTCCTGTGTCTCTTGATGTGTGCAAGTATTTCTTTCTCTGAGATGTGTTATATTTTGGTGGTAGATACTGGAGAGAGTTTACTAAAAACCACAGGATAGTGGTTTTTTTCCAGGGAAGTTTTCTGGCTGGCATTGTATTTGTATCACAAATCGTAGGCCAGGCGCAGTGGCTCGCACCTGTAATCCCAACACTTTGGCAGGCAGAGGTGGGTGGATTGCCTGAGGTGAGGAGTTCGAAAACAGCCTGGAAATCATGTTGAAACCCCATCTCTACCAAAAATACAAAAAATTAGCCAGGTGTAGTGGTGCACGTCTATCGTCCCAGGTACTTGGGAGGCTGAGGTGGGAGGATCGTTTGAGCCTAGGAGGTGGAGGTTGCAGTGAGCCGAGATCGCACCACTGCACTCCAGCCTGGGTGACAGAGTAAGACTCCGTCTCAGAAAACAAAAAAAAAGTAGTAATTGTGATCAGTATGATTTGTGGGCACACGCCCTGAGCCCTGCCCTCCACAAACTGTCCACACATACTTCATCTGCTCATCTCTTGTGAGGCAGACATGGCAGGATTGTCTGACTCCCTTGCAGGAATGTGCACACAGTAGGTGCTCAATAGTCCCAGCCTGCAGGCATTCAGTAAGGGAGTGCCACTGTTTGCTAGGCAGCCTGCCCAGGACTTCACAGGGCCATGGCGAGCATGCAGTGCTTTTCTCACTCCAACTCATGGAAATATTTGCCCCCTCCATGTAAATATTTCTCTCCCCTCCCCCTCCTCCTTCCCCCTCCCCTTCCTTACCCCATCCCCTCCCCTCCCCTCCTCTTTTGAGACAGAGTTTCACTCTGTTGTCCAGGCTGGAGTGCAGTGGCACGATCTCGGCTCACTGCAACCTCCGCCTCTCTGGTTCAAGTTATTACCCTGCCTTAGCCTCCCAAGTAGCTGGGATTACAGATGCCCACCACAACACCCGGCTAATTTTTGTATTTTAGTAGAGACAGGGTTTCACCATGTTGGCCAGCCTGGTCCCGAACTCCTGGCCTCAAGTGATCTGCCCACCTCAGCCTCCCAAAGTGTTGGGATTACAGGCGTGAGCCACCGCATCTGGCCCCTTGTAAATATTTCTGTTGGTTGGAGTTAGAAAAGCACTCCATGCATGTTATAAAATAATTCCAGCAGAAAGAGAACGACTCCCCCACCCTGCCCCACTGCACACATGATGCCCACACATGCTCTGTCTGACCCACCCCCCCCCGCTGGTTCCAGGGAGCTGGCTGCCACCTGCTTCCAGGAGTGTCTCCCTGTGCCTTTATATCTCCGTCCTCTCTGAGCCTCAGTGTTCCTCTCTGTAAAATGGGGCTGTGATTTCTTGTTCACACCTGGTTACAGAGTTAACTGAGACTTAGAGCTTGTGGGACAATTCTACACAGAACTCCTGGTTTGCTGGTGGGAGGGAGGGGTGTGGAGTGGTCCTCACACCACGTTCCCCACCAGGAGAGAGCATTCCAGTGCTGAAGACGGCACTGCCGGAGGGGCTGGGGCCCTACTGTGCAGAGACACACCGGCGGCACACACTCTTCTGCGGGACCCTCATCTTGCAGGCCCGGGCCTATGTGGGACCGCACGTCCTGGCAGTGGTGACCCGCACAGGTATGAGCCGGGAGGCTGGGCTTGAGAGAGATCCCGGGCTCAGCACCCTTGGGAGAGGTGGAGTGAGGCAGGGTGGGACCTGGAACCCTGGACCCCACGCCCACCTCTGCTGCTGCCCTGCTGTGGGACCTCGGGCCAGTTGCCCCCCATCTGGGGTCTGAGCATTCCCATCTTAGCAGAAGTTGGGCCAGACTAAGGCCAAGCATTGCAAGATCTGGAGGAGCCGCCGGGGTTACAGTGCTGGAGCGGGCAGGGATGTAGCGGGCAGGCAGGAGCCTTCCCTGTGTCTGGATTTTCAGTGGAACCACCCAGTGTTTAGATGCTATCCACTAGTTCCTTGTTTAAAGCCCTTAAAAAGCCTACAAGAGCCGGGCCAGACCTGTTAGGACTCCACACTGCTGATGGCTAATTTCACAAACATCATGTCTTGCAACTCCAGAGGCACGGGTCGGGAGGGCTAGGGGTGGGGAAGGCCTGCCCTCACCCTGGCTTCCCTGCCTTGGGGTCCCCGCCTCCTCCCCAGGGTTCTGCACGGCAAAAGGGGGCCTGGTGAGCTCCATCTTGCACCCCCGGCCCATCAACTTCAAGTTCTATAAACACAGCATGAAGTTTGTGGCTGCCCTCTCTGTCCTGGGTGAGTGGCCCCCTGCACCCTCCTCTGCCCATAGCCCCCCCCACCTGGGTCCCAAATCCCACTCAGTCCTTCGCTGTCCCCACAGCTCTCCTCGGCACCATCTACAGCATCTTCATCCTCTACCGAAACCGGGTAAGCCTTGGGGGTGGGGTGGGGGGTGCTGCCAGCAGGGCCCAGGGGCCAACCAGCCAGGTGCTCACATTCATGGTGCCCCCTGCCAGGTGCCTCTGAATGAGATTGTAATCCGGGCTCTCGACCTGGTGACCGTGGTGGTGCCACCTGCCCTGCCTGCTGCCATGACTGTGTGCACGCTCTACGCCCAGAGCCGACTGCGGAGACAGGGCATTTTCTGCATCCACCCACTGCGCATCAACCTGGGGGGCAAGCTGCAGCTGGTGTGTTTCGACAAGGTGGGGCCGCAGGTGGGGTTGGTGCAGGGGAGCGGGACAGCCACAGGCGCCCCAGTGAGGCCTCCACACCCGCGTTATTCTCTCAGCAGCACCCACAGGATGCCAGGTCCTGTCTAGGGATGGAAACCCCCAGAGGATCCACCCCATCCCACTCCTGCCCTCACTGGGCTCACGGTCTGGCAGATGAAATGTCTAGAATCATGTATTCATGTGTTCAAGAACTGGTGGGGGGCCGGGCGCGGTGGCTCACGTCTGTAATCCCAGCACTTTGGGAGGCTGAGGCAGATACATCACTTGAGGTCAGGAGTTCAAGACCAGCCTGACCAACATGGCAAAACCCCGTCTACTAAAAATACAAAAGTTAGCCAGGCATGATGGCACATGCTTGTAATCCCAGCTACTCGGGAGGCTGAGGCAGGAGAATCGCAGAGGTTGCAGTGAGCCAAGATCATGCCATTGTACTCCAGCCTGGGTGACAGAGCAAAACTCAAAAAAAAAAAAAAATTACTGGTGGGGACCTGGGGCCCTAGTGTGCATCCCGTGCTGCTCCCAACCCTTGGGGCCCAGCAGTGACCAACACAGGCATCCTTGTGGTCACTGGAGTGTGTGTGTCCCCCACCAAAGTAAGTGATCCAGGAGTGCACAAAGGAGCTGCTGGGGCTGAGGAGTGGGCAGTGGGTTTTAGGAAGGAAGCCAGTGGGATAGCTTGATGGGTTCTAGATGGGGACACTTCCTTAGAGAGAAGGCAGTCAAGGAAGCCCCCTGAGCAGGTCCCTCAGTGACCTCAGTGAGGGGCAGGTCGAGGAGAAGCAAGGGTAAAAGGTGGGAGTGTCATAGCACAGATGTACCGTGTGCCTGGGGCACAGGGAGTGGCGTGGCACAGATGTGCTGCGTACCTGAGCACAGGGAGTGGTGGAGCAGGACAGGGCCGGGTAGGCAGTGGCCTGGTTGACAGAGGCTAGGTGACATTCAGAGGCTGTCGGGGGCCACAGAGCGCTTTTAAACTGGGGAGGGGGCCCAGCGCAGTGGCTCATGCCTGGAATCCCGGCACTTCGGGAGGCCGAGGCGGGTGGATCATGAGGTCAGGAGTTCAAGACCAGCCTGGCCAATATGGTGAAACCCCGTCTCTACTGAAAATATAAAAAATTAGCCAGGCACGGTGACATATGCCTGTTGTCCCAGTTACTCGGGAGGCTGGGGCAGGAGAATCGCTTGAACCCGGGAGGCAGAGGTTGCAGTGAGCTGAGATCACACCACTGCACTCCAGCCTGGGCAACAGAGTGAGACTCCGTCTCAAAAAAAAATAAATAAACCGGGGAGGGGGATGACCAGATTCTTATAGTTCCCAGGCTAGCCAAGGAGCCAGACGCGTACTTGGGCAGTTAGAGTCTAGGATGGGGAACGCAGGCACTGACTCATGCGCTCATTCAACAGATATATTGAGGCTGGGCGTGGTGGCTCATGCCTGTAATCCCAGCACTCTGGGAGGCCAAGGCGGGTGGATTGCCTGAGGTCGGGAGTTCGAGACCAGCCTGACCAACATGGTGAAACCCCGTCTCTACTAAAAATACAAAAATTAGGTGGGCGAGGTAGCGCGTGCCTATAATCCTAGCTGCTCGGGAGGCTGAGGCAGGAGAATCACTTGAACCCGGGAGGTGGAGGTTGCAGTGAACTGAGATTGCGCCACTGCACTCCAGCGCGGGCGACAGAGCAAGACTCCATCTCAAAAAATAAAAATAAATAAAAATAAAAATAAATAAATAAATAAATAAATAAATGAGAGAGAGAGAGCGAGCCAACCGTGGGCCGGGTCCTTAACCACAATGCACAAGTGTGGGGAAGTGAAGAGGCCATGGGTAGGAGCCCAGAGCAAACCACCTGCCCTAACTTGGGAGTTAAGGAGGAAGACACCCTGGAAGAGATGATGCTAGACAGAGAGACGGTGGGGGCTGGGGAGGGGGACCCCAGCAGAGGGAATCACATGTGCCAAGGACAGCAGTCAAGAAAGGTCATCTTTTGGCTCCAGCTCGAGTTCCTGGGGTTCCCATAGGGTCCGCCGGGCCTGGGGTTTGGAGGCCCAGCTCAGCAGGGTACCCCCATCCCAGGACTCATCGCTGCCCCACCCACCTGTCTCCCACAGACGGGCACCCTCACTGAGGACGGCTTAGACGTGATGGGGGTGGTGCCCCTGAAGGGGCAGGCATTCCTGCCCCTGGTCCCAGAGCCTCGCCGCCTGCCTGTGGGGCCCCTGCTCCGAGCACTGGCCACCTGCCATGCCCTCAGCCGGCTCCAGGACACCCCCGTGGGCGACCCCATGGACTTGAAGATGGTGGAGTCTACTGGCTGGGTGAGGAGGCCAAGCAGGTCAGCCCCCTGCCTCTGGGCAGTGGGGCCTAACGAATCCCACCCTGTCTTCCCTCTCCATCTTTCAGGGTGGTCTCTTATTATGCCCACCATTAATAATAATAGGCCAGGCGCAGTGGCTCACACCTGTAACGTGGCTCCCGGCGCTTTGGGAGGCCAAGACGGGAGGATCACTTGAGCCCGGGACCCCAGCCTGACCTACATGGCAAAACCCCATCTCTGCCAAAAATACAAAAATTAGCCGGGCGTGGTGGTGCATGCCTGTAGTCCCAGGAGGCTGAGGTGGGAGGATTAATTGAGCCCGGGAGGGCGAGGCTACAGGGAGCTGTGATCACGCTACTGCACTCCAGCCTGGGTAACAGAACGAGACCCTGTCTCAAAAAATAATAATGATAGGCCAGGTGCAGTGACTCATGCCTGTAATTCCAGCACTTTGGGAGGCTGAGGTGGGCAGATCACCTGAGGTCGGAAGTTTGAAAGCAGCCTGGCCAACATAGTGAAACCCCGTCTGTAATAAAAATACAAAAATTAGCCAAGTGCGGTGGAACATGCCTGTAGTCCCAGCTACTTGGGAGGCTGAGGGCAGGAGAATCATTTGAATCCGGGAGGCAGAGGTTGCAGTAAGCCGAGATCACACCACTGCACTCCAGCCTAGGTCACAGAGTAAGACTCTGTCTTAAAATAAAAGTAACATAATAATAATGGCAAGGCCTCAGGCTGAGTGCCTACTATGCGCCAGCGCACGGCCACAGAGGCCTGGTCTCATTTCCTCTTCCCCAAGCCCTAGCAAGCAAGCTCAAATGTTGCTTCACGGATGCTGAGGCTGGGAGATTTGGAGTGACGTATTCCAGGTCACCCAACAGCTTGTAAGTAGCAAAGCTAGAGTTTGAATTTGAGTCCACCGGGCTCCAAAGCCCACATTCTTAACCCACCATTCAGTCTCCCATGAAGGAAGTCTTCCCTGAGTCTAGCTCAAATCTCTCTGTGAGCCAAAGCCCCCAGACACCAAACTTCCCTGCCTGCCTGCCAGGTCCTGGAGGAAGAGCCGGCTGCAGACTCAGCATTTGGGACCCAGGTCTTGGCAGTGATGAGACCCCCACTTTGGGAGCCCCAGCTGCAGGCAATGGTGAGCTGAGGGGGGCCTGTTGGGTGCAGGGCAGAGGGGTGGGCTCCCCAGCCAGCACCTCAGCTGCCTCTCCAACCCTGCAGGAGGAGCCCCCGGTGCCAGTCAGCGTCCTCCACCGCTTCCCCTTCTCTTCGGCTCTGCAGCGCATGAGTGTGGTGGTGGCGTGGCCAGGGGCCACTCAGCCCGAGGCCTACGTCAAAGGCTCCCCGGAGCTGGTGGCAGGGCTCTGCAACCCCGAGACAGGTGCAGGGGGAAGCCCCTGAGTCCCCCTGGTTGGGCATTGGCACAGAATGGGGTGGGTACCCAGCCTCTGTCCCTGCCATCCCCTCCTTGTGACACCTGCCTCTCCCTGGCAGTGCCCACCGACTTCGCCCAGATGCTGCAGAGCTATACAGCTGCTGGCTACCGTGTCGTGGCCCTGGCCAGCAAGCCACTGCCCACTGTGCCCAGCCTGGAGGCAGCCCAGCAACTGACGAGGTGGGCCTGTCTCCTGTCCCACCCACTCTGAGGACTAGGCAGAGGGAGGCTCTCACGCAGGCAGAGCCCAAGGAAGATGCCCTGCCTGGTGGCTGGGAGAGGGGCCCTGGCCACTGCATGACCTCTGATCCAGGTCTGCCCACCCTCCAGGGACACTGTGGAAGGAGACCTGAGCCTCCTGGGGCTGCTGGTCATGAGGAACCTACTGAAGCCGCAGACAACGCCAGTTATCCAGGCTCTGCGAAGGACCCGCATCCGCGCCGTCATGGTGACAGGTACAATGGCATGTAGGGGCCCGGGCTAGCAGGGCAGAATCCGCCCCTTCCTGGCAGAGAAGAGGGGCACCAGGGATTCCTTTTTGGGGCATCTTTTTGGGCCCTTGCTTCAGGCCAGGTCCTTTTTAAACATTTCGTGAATCTTCACAATATCCCCCCCGCAAGTGGTAATTGTCACCCCTGTTTGACAGATGAGGAAACTGAGACTCAGAGGAGTGGAGTGACTTCCAAGGAACCCATGTGCGCTGTCAGACAGCCTGGGTTCCAGGTGGCACCTCTGAGAAATGGGGATAATGATGTCAGCCTCAGAGGCTGTGACAAGCTCAAGGAGCAGGAAGAGAAAGATTCTGGCCGGGCACGGTACTTCATGCCTGTAATCCCAGCACTTTGGGAGGCCAAAGGAGAAGGATGTCTTGAACCCTGGAGTTCAAGACCAACCTGGGCAACATGGCAAAACTCCGTCTCTACAAAGAATACGAAAATGGCCGGGCACAGTGTCTCACGCCTGTAATCCCAGCACTTTGGGAGGCCGACGCGGGCGGATCACTTGAGGTCAGGAGTTCGAGACCAACCTGGCCAACATAGTGAAACCCCGTCTCTACTAAAAATACAAAAAATTAGCCAGGTATGGTGGTGGATGCCTGTAATCCCAGCTACTCGGGAGGCTGAGGCAGGAGAATCACTTCAACCCGGGAGGTGGAGGTTGCAGTGAGCTGAGATCACGCCATTTCACTCCAGCCTGGGCAACAGAGAGAGACCCAGTCTCAAAAAAAAAAAGATTCTAGCTAGGGTGAGACAGCAGGAGCTAAGAGGTCTGTGTCCTTGTCCTCCCCGCCCCTGCACACACACATATGTGCACACACATTCATGGGCACTTGGCAGCAGAGTCACACAGCAGTAAGGAGTATATGTAGCCTGGGCACATGGCTCGTGCCTGTAATCCCAGCACTCCGGGAGGCCGAGGCAGGGGGATCACCTGAGGCCAGGAGTTCAAGACCAGACTGGCCAACATGGTGAAACCCCATCTCTACTAAAAATGCAAAAAAAATTAGCCTGGTGTGGTCGCACCCTCCTGTAATCCCAGCTACTCAAGAGGCTGAGGCAGGAGAATTGCTTGAGCCCAGGAGGAAGGAGGTTGCAGTGAGCCGAGATCAAGCCACTGCACTCCAGCCTGGGCCACAGAGAGAGACTCTTGTCTTAAAAAAAGAAAAAAAAGGAGTATATGTGGAGCTCCAGCCCACGGCTCCAGGTTCTCCTAAGACCCTTCAATGCCTGGATCTACAGATGAGAAAACTGAGGCAAAGGGATGTTGGTAACCTGCCTCAGCTCACTTGGCTGGTGGTGGCAGACGGATTTCATCCAGCCTGTTTTCCCATCTGTAAGGATCAGGATGAGGATGGCCTCCCCGGATAGCCTCAGACCCTCACCTTGCCCCATAACCCCCAGGGGACAACCTGCAGACAGCGGTGACTGTGGCCCGGGGCTGTGGCATGGTGGCCCCCCAGGAGCATCTGATCATCGTCCACGCCACCCACCCTGAGCGGGGTCAGCCTGCCTCTCTCGAGTTCCTGCCGATGGAGTCCCCCACAGCCGTGAATGGCGTTAAGGTGAGGCTAACCCAGAGTTCCAGCTGTACCTCACCCAGTGACCCCACCCCTGTGTCACCTGACCCAGGCCCCAACTCTCCAGGGTGGGCAGGGGGAGCTAAGCTGAGCTTCCTGGGCCCCCAGGATCCTGACCAGGCTGCAAGCTACACCGTGGAGCCAGACCCCCGATCCAGGCACCTGGCCCTCAGCGGGCCCACCTTTGGTATCATTGTGAAGCACTTCCCCAAGCTGCTGCCCAAGGTAGGGCCGCCCCCAGCTCCCTGGCCGCCCTGCGCCTCCCCTGCTCTGTCTCCTTCCTCACGGCTCGCTCTCCCTGGTGGGTGCCTCAGCCCTCCCCCATCTCCCTGTGCTCCCAGGTCCTGGTCCAGGGCACTGTCTTTGCCCGCATGGCCCCTGAGCAGAAGACAGAGCTGGTGTGCGAGCTACAGAAGCTTCAGTGAGTGCTCGGCAGAGGGTGTGGGCAAGGGCCTGCGGAGACTGAGCTTGTCCGTTCGTCTGTTCATCTGTCCTTCCCCAGGGCCCTGTCTCCCTCCTCAGGCACCAGAGAGCTGTCACCCCTCCTCACCAAAAGCAGGCAGGCTCTCCCAGGTCTTTCATGCTAAAAATAATAATTGTAGGCTGGGTGCGGTGGCTCATTCCTGTAATCCCACCTCTTTGAGTGGCCGAGGTGGGAGGATCACTTGAGCCCAGGAGTTTGAGGCCAGCCTGGGCAACAAAGTGAGACCCCATCTCTTATTAAAAATTTAAAAATTAGCCAGGTGTGGTGACACACCGGTCATCCCAGCTACTCAAGAGGCTGAGGCAGGAGGGTTGCTTGAGCCTGGGAGGCTGCGGCTGCAGTGAGCCATGATCACACCACTGCACTTCAGCCTGGGCAACAGAGCGAGACTCCGTCTCAAAAAATAGTAATAGGCCAGGCGCGGTGGCTCATGCCAGTAATCCCAGCGCTTTGGGAGGCTGAGGCAGGCAGATCACCTGAGGTCAGGAGTTCAAGACCAGCCTGGCCAACATGGTGAAACCCTGTCTCTACTAAAAATACAAAAATTAGTTGGGCATGGTGGCGCACACCAGTAATCCCAGCTACTCAAGAGGCTGAGGGCACTTGGGCAGCAGAGGAGGTTGTAGTGAGCAGAGATCACGCCACTGCACTCTAGCCTGGGCAACAGAGGGAGACTCTGTCTCAAAAAATAATAGGCCGGGCACGGTGGCTCATGCCTGTAATCCCAGCACTTTGGGAGGCCGAGGCGGGTGGATCACCTGAGATCAGGAGTTTAAGACCAGCCTGGCCAACATGGTGAAACCCCATCTCTACTAAAAATACAAAAAATTAGCCAGGCGTGGTGGCGGGCGTCTGTAATCCCAGCTACTTGGGAGGCTGAAGCAGGAGAATCACTTGAGCCCAGGAGGCAGAGGTTGCAGTGAGCTGAGATCATGCCATTACACTCCAGCCTGGGCAACAAGAGTGAAACTCCGTCTCAAAAAATAATAATAATAATGATAATAATAATAATAATTGCATCTATTCACTGAGCGCCTCCTGTACACCAGGCACCATGTGGCATTAGGGGCCCAGCTGTCATCATATTCTGCCAGCCCACCCATGGGGTGGTGGGGTAATTCCCCAGGCCACACCTGTCCACACCTCTCTTCAGGTACTGCGTGGGCATGTGCGGAGACGGCGCCAATGACTGTGGGGCCCTGAAGGCGGCTGATGTCGGCATCTCGCTGTCCCAGGCAGAAGCCTCAGTGGTCTCACCCTTCACCTCGAGCATGGCCAGTATTGAGTGCGTGCCCATGGTCATCAGGTAAGGCAGGCAGGGACCGGTGGGTGAGGGCTCAGCAGGGCTGGTCAGCCAACCTGGGTCCCCTAATGTCCGTGCCCTGCCACCCAGGGAGGGGCGCTGTTCCCTTGACACTTCGTTCAGCGTCTTCAAGTACATGGCTCTGTACAGCCTGACCCAGTTCATCTCCGTCCTGATCCTCTACACGGTGAGTATCTGCAGAGCTCCGTACCCAGAGCCGTCCCAGGACTAGGGAGGGGACACAGCCCTGTGCCTTGGAGCTGGCAGGTCCCAGAATAGATGACGTGGGCCCAGATCCTGACCCTGCCACTCTCCGGCTGTGTGGTTGGAGAGGTGGCAAGGCTTGGGGGAGATGAGAAAAACACCAGGCACGGAGCCTGGTACCCACTAGGTCCTCACAAATGGCAGCAGCTGTCATGGGCTAACATCTTGACCGCAACTCTGGGAGCTCCCCAATCTGCAGGGAAGACTGAACGGAGGCAGGGCCAAAACCCTCGCCCCCGCCCCATCCCCACAGGTCTGCCCATTTCCCCAGATGCACTTGCTTTGCCCCATACCTTGGCTGTACCTCCCACACCCTACTTGGAGGAGCTCTCCCCTCCCCTGCTCTGGGCATGGCCTGCTCACCCCCAGCGAATGAGGTGACACTGCAGGGCGGCGCACATCTTATACTTGGGTCTGTCCCTGTGTCTGCCTGAAAGCGAGGAGCTCCCTGAGGGCAGGAACTGTGCATGCCCTGGTAGCTATAGGGACTCCGCAAGGCAGAGCCGAAGCCTCCCCTTCGGGCCGGGAGTTTGTTACAGGGAGGGAAACCTCCCCTCAGATTTAGGCCCCCAAGGTCAGCACAGGTGCCCTTTCCATCAGACCAGGGGTTTGTCTCACATCAAGAGCGGCACCTCCTCCGCTGGGCTGGCAGGAGAGTACGGCCCCCATTAGACTGGGGGATGCCTTACCCATCAGATTCCTTCGGGGCAGGGGTGGGGCCTCTGCTATCAGACTAGGGGCTGCCAGGGCCAGGTCTTAGTTTCCCCTCTGTCCTCCCTTCCCTGTGGCAGATCAACACCAACCTGGGTGACCTGCAGTTCCTGGCCATCGACCTGGTCATCACCACCACAGTGGCAGTGCTCATGAGCCGCACGGGGCCAGCGCTGGTCCTGGGACGGGTGCGGCCACCGGGGGCGCTGCTCAGCGTGCCCGTGCTCAGCAGCCTGCTGCTGCAGATGGTCCTGGTGACCGGCGTGCAGCTAGGGGGCTACTTCCTGACCCTGGCCCAGCCATGGTGAGTAGGGAGCTGACTGACCACCCCCATCCCGCCCCTTCCCTGTCCACCCCACGTTCGTTCCCTGACCCCCATCCCTGTACCCCCAGGTTCGTGCCTCTGAACAGGACAGTGGCCGCACCAGACAACCTGCCCAACTACGAGAACACCGTGGTCTTCTCTCTGTCCAGCTTCCAGTACCTCATCCTGGCTGCAGCCGTGTCCAAGGGGGCGCCCTTCCGCCGGCCGCTCTACACCAATGGTGCCACTGCGGGCGCGGGCGGGAGATGCTGGCGGAGGGAGGGAGGAGCCCTGGGGTGCTGGGGAGGCAGATGGGAGAGAGGTGCCGGCCGAGTGGAAGACTGGCGTGCACACGTGTGTCTGTGGGTGCCGGGGGGGCGTGGCTCCTGCCTGAGAGACTCTCCTGCTCCCAGTGCCCTTCCTGGTGGCCCTGGCGCTCCTGAGCTCCGTCCTGGTGGGCCTTGTCCTGGTCCCCGGCCTCCTGCAGGGGCCGCTGGCGCTGAGGAACATCACTGACACCGGCTTCAAGCTGCTGCTGCTGGGTCTGGTCACCCTCAACTTCGTGGGGGCCTTCATGCTGGAGGTGGGGCCCGCCCTGGGTCTCAGCAGCGGGAGAGAAGGGAGGTGGGGGTGCATTGACCCCAGCTCAGCCCCGGCTGCCCCTGACACCCTCCCTGCCCTTTGCAGAGCGTGCTAGACCAGTGCCTCCCCGCCTGCCTGCGCCGCCTCCGGCCCAAGCGGGCCTCCAAGAAGCGCTTCAAGCAGCTGGAACGAGAGCTGGCCGAGCAGCCCTGGCCGCCGCTGCCCGCCGGCCCCCTGAGGTAGTGCAGGCCCACGGGCACCCCAGACACTGGAACTCCCTGCCTCTGAGCCACCAACTGGACCCCTCTCCAGCAACACCACCGCCACCACCTCCCACATCCCTGAGGTTGGCGACTGTCTACACTCCTCCCCCGAGACCACCCCCACCCTGGGGAAGCGTTGACTACTGTCCCCTACCTTGGACCATCCCGCGTAGGGGTGGCAGCCCCCAGCTCCCCTCAGTGCTGCTGTCAGTGTAGCAAATAAAGTCATGATATTTTCCTGGCTCTGCTGTGCCTGTCTTGTACCTGGCACCATAGACCCTCCCACCTGCCCAGGAGGAAATGCACATACCCCCGGGTGCCCAGCTGGCAGCCCCTGCACGTGTCTGCCCCTGGAACCCCCTGGGGGGCTGGTTTTTCAGGCTGGTTTTTCAGCCTGACAACCCCCTGGAACCCCCTGGTTTTTCAGACTCCATTGGCCAACTCCCCTCTCTGGGCCTGTGTTCCCTCATCTCACAGTAATAATGTTTCCTCTGTGTCCAGCATGTGCCTGGATATTCCGTTTAGCTTTTTTTTTTTTTTTTTTTTTTCTTGAGATGGAGTCTTGCTCTGTCACCCAGGCTGGAGTACAGTGGGGTGATCTCTGCTCACTGCAACCTCCGCTTCCCAGGTTCAAGCGATTCTCCTGCCTCAGCCTCCCGAGTAGCTGGGATTACAGGCATGTGCCACCACGCCCAGCTAAATTTTGTATTTTTAGTAGAGACAGGGTTTCGTCATGTTGGCCAGGCTGGTCTCGAACTCCTGACCTCAGGTGATCCGCCCACCTTGGCCTCCCAAAGTGCTGGGATTACAGGCGTGAGCCACTGCGCTTGGCCCCATTTAGCATTTTACACACATTGTCATGTCATCCTTCCAACAACTGTGGTACTATTCCCATTTTACAGATGAAGAAACCAAGGCTTAGAGGTTACACAAGTAGTCAGAGTGGGGCCGGATAGCTTTGACTCCAGCTTCGATGTTCCTAACCCTCCTACCCTCCTTTGGAGGACAAGGAGATGTAGGCTTGCCTGGGAGGCATTTGCTAGGGGGCAGCTCCCTCTCTCCCACCTTACCCCCTCCCCGTCCCACCCCAGCATCCTGGGACATGTTTGTGGGCAGTTCCTTCCTCAGATGAAATCCAGGCTCGGAGCCCACATCTCCCAGCCAGAACCACGCGCATCATCCCTCAGGGAAGGGTGGGTGCCTCTGAGCTCATCTCACCAGCGGGCCCCTGGCCAAGCCCCTCTGCTCTAGAGAGGCAGCTTGGCCGTCTGGCTCATCTGGGCAGGGGAGAACAGGAAAGACCGGCTGTTTCCTGCCTTCCAAAAGCCCTGGCCAACCTCATTCCTGGAACCCCTGGTGCTATCCCCAGGCCTGCCAGAGTAGGGGCTGAGAAAACGTTGAATCATGCTGGGGAGAAGGGATGTGGGTGTGAAGATGAAAGTCCTGCCAGGAGGCACATCACAGTGGACCTCTGCTCCTGGCACTGTGTTGCCAGCCAGCGACGGTTCAGGGTGGTAGATGCTGTTTAAGAGGAAGCCACAGAGAGGCCTGGGTTCAAATCCCTCCTCTACCCTTAGCTGATTATTCATGAATCTGTTGGACAGGTGTGTGCCAGGCACCAGGACTAACTCAACAAACTGAATAAAACGGGACAAAAACATGGTCTAACCCTGCGAGCAGTTCACCATCCAGCGTGAAAGCCTGGCAGGGAAGGAGCACATCTCCAAAGACGTAGTGGGAGCACAGCAACCACAGCCCCATCCCCTCCCCTGCCCAAAGAAACAGCCAGGGGAATGGGTAGAAGCAGCAGAGAGGACATGGGAGCCAGGACACGAATTGTCAGCTTTAGCCCCTCAGTTTCCCAGTTTTTCTTTTCTTTTCTTTTTTTTTTTTCAGACAGGGTCTTGCTCTGTTGCCCAGGCTGGAGTGCAGTGGTGCAATCGTGGCTCACTGCAGCCTCTACCTCCCCAGGCTCAGGTGATCCTCCTACCTCAACCTCCTGAGTAGCTGGGACTATAGGCCAGCACCACCACACCCAGCTAATTTTTGTATTTTTTGTAGAGATGGGGTTTTGCCATGCTGTCCAGGCTGGTCTCAAACCCCTGGGCTCAAGCGGTCCACCCGCCTTGGTCTCCTAAACTGCTGAGATTACAGGTGTGAGCCACTGCACCCAACCTCCCTCCTTTTTTCAAGGGTAGGGGACAGCATTTCTGCTGGGTGAGTTCCTCTCTTTTGCCAGTGGGATTGCTCCTGGCAGCAGTGGGGTCTAAGGGCAGGCAGAGAGGGCTGGGCTGGCCTGGCCTGAGGGCCCACCTCTCTCCAGGTGACAAAAGTCTCTGCTGCCCTGCAATAGACACTGGGGGGCGGGGCATGGGAATGAAGGAGGCACAGGGCATATTTACTCCCTCCCTAAGACTCAGAGTCTAAGGGAGGTGGGGGAATGACTGGCGATGAAGAGATCAGATGGCAAGGGTCTAAATCAGGGGCCATCCTCATCTCCTCCCAGCCCGCAGCCCCTACAACTCTCACTCCCGCCTCAGGCCTAGGCTCCTGGGCAGGGCTGAAGGCTGCCCCTCACGCAGAGGATCTGCACCCCCAGCCAGCTTCTCCGGGAAGAGTTTAGTGTACAGTTCACTCATTCATTCCACCAATGTTTGCTGAACTGCTGCTCTGAGCCGGGCTCTGAACTTAATGAGCAAAACTGAAGATGAGCAAAAACAGCCTTGGTCCTGGCCTTCACGGGGCAAGATGACAGTCTCATCGGGAAGAGGGACAGGGCTCAGATGGTCACAGACATAGGCCAACAAGACAACTGCAAGCAGTAAAGCTAGAAAGCACAAAAAAAGGAAAAAGGGAAGGCCCCTCTGAGGAAGGGAGGGTTTGATCTGTGACCCCATGGAGGAGACCTCAGCCAGTGCTCGGGAGGAAGAAACGCCTCAGTGTGGGAGGGAGAGGGGTTTGGGAGAAAACCCCCAAAGGCCAGTGGCTGGAGGAGGAAGAGGAGGCAGAGCCAGGCTGCCATAAAGGGCCGGGGCCCTGGAAGCCACAGGGAAGTTGAGCCTCTAACCTGAGTGAAAGGCGATCAGTAGAAGGGGCACGATCTGCGGGGGTGAGGGAGGCAGGACCCACGTGGGAGAGCCCAGAGTGGAGGCTATCGCAGAGCCCAGGCAAATGATGGTGGTGTCAACTAAATAAGAAATCAGCCTTTTGACCAGGTGCAGTGGCTCACGCCTGTAATTCCAGCACTTTGGGAGGCCAAGGTGGGTGGATCAGCTGAGGTCAGGAGTACGAGACGAGCCTGGACAACATGGAGAAGCCTCGTCTCTACGAGAAATAAAAAAAAAAAAAAAAATAGCCAGGCATGGTGGTGGGTGCCTGTAGTCCCCACTACTCTGGAGGCTGAGGCATGAGAATCGCTTGAACCCAGGAGGCAGAGGTTGCAGTGAGTTGAGGATGCACCACTGCACTCCAGCCTGGGAGATAGCAAGACCCTGTCTCAAAAAAAAAGAAAAAGAAAAAATCCACCTTTTGGCCAGGCACAGTGGCTCATGCCTATAATCCCAGCACTTTGGGAACCCAAGGCAGGCGGATCAGCTAAGGTCAGGAGCCTGGCCAACATGGTGAAACCCTGTCTCTACTCAAAAAAAAAAAGCAAAAATTAGCCTGGCATGCTGGCATGTGCCTGTAATCCCAGCTACCCGAGAGGCTGGGTTGGGAGAACCTCTTGAACCCGGGAGGTGGAGGTTACAGGGAGCCGAGGTCACACCACTGCACTCCAGCCTGGGCAACAGAGTTAAACTCCATTTCAAAAAAAAAAAAAAAATCAGCCATTGAAAAAATTAAAGTTAGTTTTATTGAGTCTTACTGAGGACTGCACCCTGGGAGAGGGTTTCAGAGAGTTTCTGTTAGACTGCGCCAAAGCAGCATTTCAGCCCACAGTTTAGATACAGAGGCAGGCGGTTCTGTGTGTGCTCAGAAGCTATGGTCAGGCACGGTGGCTCACGTCCGTAATCCCAGCACTTTTGGAGGCTGAGGCGGGTGGATTGCTTGAGCTCAGGAGTTTGAGACCAGACTGGGCAAACACGGCAAAACCCCTTCTCTACAAAAAATACAAAAAAAAAAAAAAAAAAAAAAAATTAGCCAGGCATGGCGGCTCTTGCCTGTAGTCCCAGCTACTTGGGAGGCTGAGGTGGAAGGATCACTTGAGCCCAAGAGGTGAGCTGTGATGGTGCCACTGCACTCCAGCCTGGATGACAGAGCGAGACCCGGTCTCATTAAAAAAAGAAGAAGAAAAATTTACATCAAATGTCTTCAGAAGCTACACTAGTGCAAATCTCGCCAAGGTTTGGGTTCGAGGATGCACCTAGTTATATAGATTATAGAGGCATAATCGTCAATCCTGTCAGGTGCTATCTTATGTACAGGAAAAGGCACAGCCAGGATCATTTAACTTATATTTTCTAACAATGCAGTGATTCAGGCAAGAGGCGTGGGAGCCTGTGTTCTGCCCTGCCTGCCATCTTCAAGGCATCCTTCCGTTGGGCTGCCCCCAGTCACTGAGTCAGGGCTTTGTCAGCTTCTGACAAGCAGAAAGAGCAAATGCGGTTTCTTGGGATTGCAACTTGGTCTCACAGTGGCTTAGGCCAGGGTGGGAGCAGTGAACGGAGTCACAAAAGAAATTTTTCAGGTAGCATTCACGGGTGGGTGCTGGATTAGATGCAGGGCTAAGGGCAGGGGAGGAAGCCTGGGTAATGGAAGGCTGCGGGGCCAAGGGGGGACTGGGAATCCTGGAGGGCCAGGTCTGGGGGAGAGTTAGGAGGTCGTGAATTTGGACTTGGATGCTTGTTGAAGCTGATGCATCTTGAGGACATTTGTGGGACACATAGGCTGGGTCAGGGCTGAAAGAGGTGCTGGTTATGGCCGGGGGCAGGGACTCATGCCTGTAATCCCAACAGCCCAGGAGGATGAGACAGGAGGAATGCTTGAGGCCAAAATTTCGAGGCCGGAAGTTCCAGACGAGCCTGGGCAACACAGCAAGACCCTGTCTCTAGAAAAGGAAAGAAAGAACCGCTGGTTGTGGAAGCCAGCCATGGCCCAGAGCTCAGCAGTGTAGGAGAGGAGGGTGCGGGCCTGAGAGAGGCAGCAGGCTTGGCTGGAGAGGCAGAAGGAAAACCAAGGCAGGAGAGTGTCCTGGAAGCTGGGAGAAGGCAGAGGGAGATCGAGGCTTACTTTCTGGCTGAGGGGCCTAGGGTGAGTCACTTTGGGAGGCTTGATTTCCTCCTCTGTGAAATGGGCAACACACCTACCCTTGCCCACCTCACCCCCCTCACCCCGTCGACGTCGAGTGAGGAGCAGCTGTGAGGAGGAGGAAGCTTTGCACAGACGTGAGGACGGCCCCGGGCGCCTCTACCCCGGGGACACCCCCCCCCCCAGGAGATGGAACCCCGAGGGCACGGCGTGGCGGCCCATGCGGGCAGCTCGCGTTAGGACCCAGCGGCTCCGGGGCTGGAGGGCGGGCGCCAGCCCCGTCGGGGGCCCGGAGGGGGACTCGGAGCGGGCCAAGGGGCGGCTCCGGCGGGCGGACTCGGAGCGGGCGGCGGAGTGACCCGGACAGGTAGGCGCGGGCCTGGCGCTTGGGGGCCCCGGGGGGCGGTCAGGGGCGTCGGCGGGTCCCCCGGCGCGGGGGCGAGGGTGCCAGGCTCTCTGGGTCCTCGATCCTGGGGCAGCCGCGGAGGTTCCTGAACCCCGCGCCTTCAGAGCGGAGGCCAAGGGGGCACCTGGAAAGTTTGGGGTTGCTCTGCAGAGAGAACGCGAATTGGGAAGGGCGGGGAGCCCGAGTTTGGGGGGAGCCAGAGGTGAGGTCGTCGGGGGATGGGACATCTTTTGTTCTCCCGGGGAGGTTGGAATGTGGCGGGTGGGGTGGGGGGGGGGGGTCCGGTGGGAATGGCCGAGACAGAGACGCAGAGAGACAAAGAGAGATCAGAGACGGGAGCGCGAGGGCGCGCGGAGCAAGTTTCCGCGGCTGATTGTTCCCAGCTGTGCGGCGCTGCAACATCTGGGTTTCTCCCGCCGGGACCCCTCCCCCTGAGCCCGGCTCTGGAGCCGGCAGAGCCCTCCCTCCGTCTGATGTCTGAGCGAGCGTCGGGGCCCCCTGTCCCCCACCTCCCAGGACGCAGGGGAGTCGGGGGTGGGGGAGGCCGCAGCTGTGGAAGAGGCCAGAGGTGGGGGTGGGGCAGCCTCCCAGGCAGGTCCTGGCCTCCCGCACGCCCCAAAACCCCTTCGTCTAGAAGAGCTCGGAGATGTGGTCCCGTGGGAGGAGTTCATGAACTCCACACTGACTTCTCTCTTTCCTGCCTCCCCGCTAGCCCGTGGGCCTCCTTCCCCCAATAAGCCTGGGTTCGGGGGCCAGTCCTAGGGGAGGAAGACTCCCCGCAGGGTACCGACAGGCATCCCCCAACACCTTGCAACCCCTCTTGCCCCAATTCAGCGCCTTCTGCTGAGCAGCGGGGGCTCCGACCGACCTGACGGATGGGGAGAAGGGCAAGGAAGGCTCTCTGGGTCTTTTCATCCCCCTCCCATGAGGAGGTCAAGGGTTTTCAGAATGGGGTGTGGGGAGCCAGCTATCCCTCGCCTCTGGGGCAGCTTGGTCCTGAGCTTCGTCTCCCGGCTCCCACTCCACCTTAGTGAGGTGCCTAATGCATGAGAGGAGCCAGGGGGTCAGGAGGCCTCAGGATTGAGAGGAAGGAGGGAAAGACCTCCTGCTTTCTCCCCTTTCCCTCCCCTCTCCCTGGACTCCCAGTGGGGAAAATAGACCAAAGTTGGGGTTTCCAGCTAGCTCTCTGAAAGGACTTCCTGGGTTGCAGCCGGGAGGGGCCCTCCTGGATGGACCCCGCCCTCGCAGCCCTCCCTACAGAAGGCTGACGGACCTGAGGTGGCCCTCCACTGAGCTGGGGCTGGATGTGGGGAACCGGAGGCTCCCCCAAGTCCCACCGTGTAGCCAGGACTGGAGGCTGGGCTCTTGAATGTCAGGAGCCTGATGAAAGCCACGGACCCCATGCCCTCTCCCTCCAAATGACACACACACTTGCCTACAGTGTCAGGGGGTGCAGAACCCCCAGCCTGGGTGATGTCACGGCCCCTTCAGTGCTGCCTTTCTGGGATCCAGAGGAGCCCCCTCAGGCTTCACTCTCGTGCTTCCTGCTGCTGCAAATAGCCCGGGTCTCGTGAGCCTGTGATGCACACAGCCAGGTCTTGCGAGGCCTGGAGGCCTGGCAGGAGAGGAGTCTTCTGGGAGCTGGGAGCCCTGCCCGGCCTGGCCGCTCTGGGGGCCGGGCAGGCCCATGTGTATGTGGTTTCCTGCTGAGCAGGATGCTTAGGGCCCAGGGGCTAATTGGGAGCAGGTGGTGGCTTGGCAGAAGCTGCTGAGTCCAGGCGGTGATGCCGGCTGGCCAGGGCTGGGGTCCCAAGGATGGGCCTGGGTTCAGTGATTCACGCAGTCAGTGCCTTGGACACCCAGGGAGCCACTGGGCCAGAGGGCTGAGCACGGGTGTGGGTGAGGACAGAATGGCCTGGGCTGGGAGCACATTAGGAATGTCCCCTTAGTGAGCAGGGCAGGGTCCGCCCTTCCCTGACCACATCAAGTACACCCACTACACGGGGTTTGCTTGTCAGGATCAGCCCTGGAGCTGGGTTGGAGGCCTTGTCCCTTGTGACCTGAACACCTGGGTGGGCCAGCAGGGACTGGGATGTCCCTCCACTCCAGCCCTCCCATGCCTGGCTTCTATTCTGGGTGCCACCTTCTCCAGGGCGAAATCAGGGGATCAAAGGTGAGCTCTGCTGTCCTGGGTGTGGCCCTGGGTAGAGCTCTCCCACCGGTCTTTCCCCAGCTGTCCTCTCTGACACCACCCCGGCCTGCCTCTTTGTTGCCATGAGAGCTGCCTACCTCTTCCTGCTATTCCTGCCTGGTAAGTGGCTCCTGGGGCAGGGGGTAGCTCCTCTTATGTGGGGCTGAGGAGTAGGGTTAGTAGGGGGAATTCATAGTGAGCCTTTGTCACGACTTATGACCAGAACTCAGCTCCCCAGCTCCCAGGGCCTTCTGCCTGCTTGGACCACAGACTGGACCAGCCAACCCTGGCAGCATCTGGAGGCAGCTCCTGGCCCTTCCCCCAGCCTTCCACAGCAGCAGGCAGGCAGGGTTCTGGAGGGCACGTCCCAGGCACAAGGACTCCGTGGGCACAAGGCACAAGGCCTCTCTGGGAGCCGATGTGCAGGTGCAGGGGCACCCAAGGCAGGGAGTCCGGATGCTTGAGTTCTAGATCCATTCAGGGCCCTTCTGCTCTATACAGTCCTGACCTTGTGGGGGTCCCTACTGGCCAAATGAAGAGAATCAATGAGGACCACAAAAGTCCTAGCAGGGCCAACATTCATTCATTCAGCAGCGATGTGTTGAGTCCCTACCACGTGCCAAGTGCTGGGCTAGGCCCTGGGGATTCAGCGATGAACCAGGCAGACACATCGTTGCTCCTCATCATGCTGCCAGTCCAGGGAAGGGAGACAAATAGGAAACAAGCAGACATGAGAAACTCCAGCATGTGCTGAGTGCTGGACAGAAATCAGCAGGAGGGCTGGTGGGCTGGAGGTGGGGCGGCATCTTGGCACAGCTGAAATTCCAGGGAAGACCTGAAGGAGCTGAGCAGGCCTCACAGGCCCAGGGAGTGTCAGGTGCAAAGGCTCTGAGGGAGGCAGGAGCATGTGGAGTCCTAGGAGCAGCCAGGAGGCCAGCAACAGGAAGGGGCAGGGTAAGGTCAGGGAGGTGACCCATGACCAGGGTGGGGAAGGGTCTTTACCATCGAAGAAGAGTCTGGATCCTCTAGGAATCTGCTTGTGGGGTCCTAGGCTCTTATGGGCCTGACCTTGTGACCCCCGCCTCCACTCTCCAGAAGCGCCTCGGGCCCCCGTTGCCCCTCCCGATGGGGTACCCTACATGCTTTGCCTCCCCACAGCAGGCTTGCTGGCTCAGGGCCAGTATGACCTGGACCCGCTGCCGCCGTTCCCTGACCACGTCCAGTACACCCACTATAGCGACCAGATCGGTAAGGGCCTTGCCGGGTCACCGAGGCCTGGCTGCTCAGATGTGCCTGGCTCAGCCAGGGACCGCACTGGACACGCTGATGGGAACTCTGGGGGTTGGTCCCTGGCTCAGGAGGGAACTTGTTTGCCCCAGGGGCTGGGGGATTAGCCTTACTCCCACCAATTCCACTTTCATCTTTGTTTGCAGACAACCCAGACTACTATGATTATCAAGGTAACGGGCTAGGGGTAGGATAGGACGGGCCGGCAGCTGGGGTGGGGAGACCCCCTGGGAGGGGTAGAGGGAGCAGACCCCCTTATCCTCCCCTGGCTGCAGAGGTGACTCCTCGGCCCTCCGAGGAACAGTTCCAGTTCCAGTCCCAGCAGCAAGTCCAACAGGAAGTCATCCCAGCCCCAACCCCAGGTAGGCCCCAGACCCTGCTCCCACCCGTCTCAGCTCCTGCCTCACCCCTCCCCACCCTGTCAACCCTGGGAGTGGGGGTCTGCCAGGGCTGGGAGAGGTGACTCCCCTTGCCCTGAGGAGACCCCTCCCAGTGATGTCTGCCTACCTCTGTCTCCACACCAGAACCAGGAAATGCAGAGCTGGAGCCCACAGAGCCTGGGCCTCTTGGTAAGGGCTTTCTTGACAGCTGGAAAAATGGAGGCACGCCCTGAAGTTGGGGTGGAGTAGGGGGTGGTGCTGGTGGGCTGGAGGTCTTTGGCCCTTGCCCATGTGGGCTCTTGGCAGTGTGGGCAGTATGACTGCCGTAGGCTGGCATCACCAGGCCCCCCAGGCAGCTCCAGGAGGTCCCACCTGTCCCCAGTGTGCCTGGCTGGAGGCTAAATTGGCAGCCTAGGAAGGCCCCTGACCTCACAGATACTGGGAGGGGCAGGGAGTGTGCTGGGGGCTTCCTGCCAGCCAGAGAGACTGAGTGGTGCACATGTGGAGGCGAGGAAGGGCCAGGGAGTGCAGGCTGGCTGAGCGGTGCCCTCCGGCTGCCCTAGCTGAGAGCTTGAAAGAACAAGGTGTGTGTGTGCAGGAGAATCCGTGTGCTCACTCTCGTGTGGGTTGGTGTGAGCGCTCCTATGTGGGCTTCTGTGAGCGTGGGCACGTCTGCTCGGGAGTTGGTATGGGCTTTTGTGGCGATGCATGGGTGGGTGCAAATTTCTGTTTGAACTTAGGCTTCTATAGTAAGTGCGGTTGTGAATTGATACGTGAATATTACAGCCCTGGGAAGTCTGACAATGCTGCGTGGGTCTATGTGGGCATGTGTAGGTATGGGTGTCTGCACGGGGCCTGAAGGTACAGGGGGGACTAGGCCCTGTGAGCCAGCCTCAGGTGGGTGAGGCTGGGGGCCGCCCCCCACTCTGGGCTCCTAGTCTGACCCCACCTGTCACCAGACTGCCGTGAGGAACAGTACCCGTGCACCCGCCTCTACTCCATACACAGGCCTTGCAAACAGTGTCTCAACGAGGTCTGCTTCTACAGGTGAGCACAGATGGGCAGCTGTCGGGAGGATTCCGGAGCATGGGGGGCTAGAGGGCACAGGGGACAGCTCTGGCCCGCCAAGGTGGGAGTTGGAGGAAAGATAGTGAGTCCTTAAGTTGAGCTCAGTTCTGTGGTTGAGCCTGGGCCAGGGACCTCCTCCACTCCTGGGCTCCAGTGCCAGGTTCTGTCCGGGCTCCCGTGCCAGGTTCTGTCCGGGCTCCCGTGCCAGGTTCTGTCTGGGCTATCCCAGTGGGATTGGGTGGAAGTGGGGCTGAGACCTCCCGTGCCCTGTCCCCGCAGCCTCCGCCGTGTGTACGTCATTAACAAGGAGATCTGTGTTCGTACAGTGTGTGCCCATGAGGAGCTCCTCCGAGGTAGGAAGGCCACCTCCCCAAGACCTCCCCTGTCCCCACACCCGCATCATTATCTGGCCACCTAGCCACCCACCTGATGTTTATTCAACACATATTATCCACCAGGCCCACTTCCAGGACACCCTGAGCTCCCCTCCTTGCTACTTTTCATCCTCAAAACACTCCCATCACCAGAGTTGGGGGAGGGGCAGCGGTTCCCATCACCCAGCTCCACCCTGACCCTGCCTCCTTCCTGCCCCCAATAGCTGACCTCTGTCGGGACAAGTTCTCCAAATGTGGCGTGATGGCCAGCAGCGGCCTGTGCCAATCCGTGGCGGCCTCCTGTGCCAGGAGCTGTGGGAGCTGCTAGGGTGGTGCTGGCATCCTGAGTCCTGGCCCTCCTGGGATCTGGGGCCCTCGGGCCCTGCCTGACCTGGTGCTTTTTTCCCCATCCCCATGTTCCTTTTATTCTGTAAAAAGTTAGTGGACTGCAGCCCTGGGGGTTGCAGGCTGCGGTGCCTCAGGCCCCTCCTTCAGCCTGTGGCCACCTCTGGGGCACAATGGGGGCTCCCCACTGCCCAGTCTGCCCCTCGGGTTGGGGGAGTATCCCAGGCCTCTCTGTGGGACCTGGGCCCCTGACGGGCCTTCTCAGCCCGTTTTGAGGACAGACAGTCCCCCGAGGTAGGCTACATCCCCCCACCCCAGCTGGTCTGCTTGGATTTCCTACAGCCCCCGTGGGCATGGACCACCTTTATTTTATACAAAATTAAAAACAAGTTTTTACAAAAGATCAAGTCACTTTTTCGGTGGAGAGCACAGAGGGGCCAGCCAAGTGCCCCCAACGCGGACTGTCCTGAGAGGCTCCTGACCCCTTGGAGTGAACGATCTGCTCAGGTGCCCTGTGCTTCCGCAGTCCCAGCCCCACCGCCTTACCCGCCGGCTCCAGCTCTGCCCTGCCCAGAACGCTGCGTCATGACAGTGTACGCGCGCATGCGTGTTGTGGGAATTGCACGGGAGATGGAAGGCTTCAGGGACACAGCTTTCTGATGACCGGGGCTGCTTGGTGAGCACATTGAGTTCCCATCACCAGAGGAACACAGCAAAAATGGGAGGCCGCCCATGGGGTGGGGGGGGCACAGGGTCAAGGCAGGCGGACTGACATCCAAGGCCTTTGTTTGGGAAGTTGGGGAGATGGGTGCCATTAAGAGGGCAAAAAAAGCGGGGCACAGGGACTCACACCTATAATTCCAGCACTTAGGGAGGCTGAGGCGGGCGGATCACTTGAGGCCAGGAGTTCGAGACCAGCCTGGCCATGGCGAAATCCCGTCTCTAGTAAAAATACAAAAAAAAATTAGCCAGGCGTGGTGGCGTGTGCCTGTAATTCCAGCTACTCAGGAGGCCGAGGCACAAGAATTGCTTCAATCTGGGAGGCGGAGGTTGCAGTGAGCCGAGATCGCGCCACTGCACTCCAGCCTGGGCGACAGAGCAAGACTGTGTCTCAAAAAAAAAAGGGCAAAAACAAGCAAGCCATTGTAACACCTCCCTCCAACCAGCATGTGGGGCCTGGGCTCTGTGTGTGAAGGCTCACACACTCCTGTTTAGCCGTCCGAACAGGCATATGTGGTGGATGCAATTCATATCCCCTTCTTAGAGACAGGAAAACTGAGCCCAGAGACGTTAAGTAACCCACCCAAGGGTCCCACCCACGGGTCCACAGCTATCAGTGGCAGTGCTGTGGCTGAATCGGTCAGCTGGACTCCAGCAGGTGAGGATGAGTGTTAATTTCTCCTTCGGACACTGATTGAGCACCTCCTATGTGAACTTCCCCAGAGCCACCCTATGCGGTTAGGTTCCCATTTTACAGATGAGCAAACTGAGGCTCTAAGAGGTTAAGCAGCTTTGCTCAGGATCACTCAGCGGTGCCAGGGCAAGACCCCACGTTCACATCCAAACCTGCACTTGTTTGCCATGCTGCCTGGAAGGCCTGTCACTGTCCCGAGGGTGGGCTTGGATCTAAGGAGGGGCCAGAGAAAGGGGCAAGAAAGCATAGGCTGGAAGGAGTCGAGGTGCACAGGCTGGGCCCAGTCCCAGGCCTCAACAGCCCCATCTGTTCCATGGGCCGGGTGACCGAGTACCCCAGAGGCCTCCCCATCTGACATTCTGTGAGGCTGGTAAGTTCCCTTCCCAATACCGGCCTCTCTGCTCTCCCTGCCGCCTCCCCAAGCACCCCTCCCTAGAGGGCCCCATCCCTCTTGCCCCAGACCCTACCTGTCTCCCCCCGACGTCTCCTCCAATTGTCTAGAAAAGGGACACAGCTGTACAAACTTTTTTAAAAACAAGGTTTTGTTACAAAAAACAGTTCTGAACAGTTAACATTGTAAAAAGGTATAAAAATACAGGGACTCTGAGCACTCTGAGGAATTTCCCGACACATGCTCTTAACTAAGGCGGAGAGATCTCTGGGAAGCCGAAGTCAGGGCCTGGGCCTCTGACCCCTGCCCTGGGCCTGGTCCCCCTCCTCTTTCCCACGATCCCATGCTCCAGGGCTGACCAGAGACAAGGGCTCTCCCCAATCCTGGCTACGGCTCAGCCTCTCAAGGAGGAACTTTAATGATCTACAGTGGCTCATCCTAGAAGAGGGGGGCTGGACTGCAGGTGTTGCTGGGAAGCCTCTCCAGGCCTGGAGCTGGAGTACCCGTCCTCAGCACTGCCAGCAGAGCGCCTCCTCATCCCACCCCAGCTTGAGGCCCCCAAGGGACCGGGCTCTGGGTGGGGGGGCTGTCCAAAAGAAGGGTCCTCCCCTGTCCCAGGCACAGGGGTGTTCTCCAGATGCCAGCAGGAGCTCATTTCTCTGGGGGGCCGGAGGGTGGGGAGAAGGGTGCTGAGCTCCTTCGAAGCTCCTGCTGCAGCTGGCCCTTCAGTGTGGACACCTGGGGAAGAAAGGGAAGGTAAGGCCAGCCAGGTCCTCAGCCTGGCTTCAGAGAAAGGGAGGCAGCAGGGAACCCGGAGGGACACAGTGCCACAGTTTCAGGAAAGGTCTGGTCTCACTGAGAGCCAGGGGCTGTCCTGCCTTTCTCATTTTGTTCCTTATAGCAGAGTCAGGCGTCTTCTGACTGTTGGGCACCTTTGAGGGCAACTCCACCCCCATTCTTTATCCCCATCATCACTTGGGTGGGCGTGGCTTCAGCCCAGACCCAAGGGGTGGACATGTGACCCAGCCCGGCCTAGCAGAGAAGCCTTGCCCGGCCGACAAGGCTGGCTCAGGCATGGTCAGGAAGGGGTATGTGATCTGAGCGGGCCAGTGAGGGACAGCCTTAGGACTTCTGCCCCTGCTCTCTTCTGAGATGACAGATTGCTGGGAGAACCTGAGGCTGGAGCTGCTGAGGCCACCTGGCCACCCAGGGAGAAGGCTACCCTGAGCATGGAGCCAGGGGGAACAGAGCCATGGCAGGAGGCCTGGGGCCCAGGAGCATCCCGTGGCCCCGGTCTGGTCTTGGCTGACACCAGCGCAGAGCCAACCCCACCCTTTTCGGTTACGGGAGCCATCGACTGCCTATACCCACAAGGTCTTGATTGGGTCTCTCCTCTTTCTGCAGCCCCACACATCCATCCTGGCCCAGCCTTCTAAGGGGGCCTGCACACCTGCTCCTCCAGCCCACGCACCCTCTGGCGGTGGGCCCGCTCCCGAGCCTCCAGGGTGCGCTCAGTCTGCGCCTGGGCGCTGCGCAGCCGCTCCACCTCCTGCTGCAGCTCCAGCTGCTGCTGCTGCGCATCCACCTCCAGCTGGGCCGGGCTGTGGCTCTGCTCCAGCACCACCACCTGCGCCTGCAGGGAGGGGCTGTGGTCCGCGTTCTGGCCCAGTGTGAGTGTGTGTGTGCATGTGTGACGGGTTGTCAGGTACCTCCCTGGGACACGGCCAGTGCAGAGGGGGAAGGCAGGAGAGATCCTTGTGTGTCTTCCATCCTGCTGGCCCTGACAGTGAGCCTGCGAGCCCAGGATGAGTGCACCCAATGACCCCCACTCAGGCAGGTGCATGGACACACACACACACACACACACACACACACACACACACACACTCAGACATCATACACACAGGCACAAAGGCAAGCATGTAAATACCTATCTGGACTCACACAGGTGCATGTGTATGTGCAAAGGCCCAACTCCCCCATGCATGAAAACATCTGTACACAAACACATATTCATAATACCTAGACACGCCACACCATGCACAAGATTCATGCTCCATACACAAGAATCGTCACATGGATTCTCACACTGCTGCATGGCCACAACGTACATGAACCCACAGGCTCACGTGCAAACAGGCCTTTCGTGTCTTTTCTGTACACCTTAGGGAGAACCCATCCCTCCATGGCCCGCTGGGTCACTGGAAGGCTCAGGGCTCCTGGGGGAGGGGGTTATGGGCCCTGGGCTGGCTGGGCCATCAGCTCCACTGGAATTGCTGAGCACTCATACTAGGGATGAAGTTGGGGTCCCGGACTGGGTGGGGTCAGACCTCCAGCTGCTGGATCTGCCTCTGCGCCTCTGCCAGCTCCAGCTCAGCCCCCGTGAGGGTGCGGTCCAGGCGGCCCTTCTCTGCGCTCAGCCGCACTGTGTCCTCATGGCTACGAAGCTTCTCCCGCTCCACCTAGGCAGGAGAGCCACAGGAGATCAGGGTGCCAGGAGGAGCTTACTGAGGGGGCTCAGGTTCCTGAACCCTGATGGAATAACCTAACCCCACCAGAGGTAGCAGACCCTGGGGATGTGCAGTGGGATCCACCACGGTTAGGCCCCAGAGGAAGTGAGGGGAGAGCCTGGGGAGCAGCCTACCTTGTCCAGCGTCCTCCTGAGGGCTACACGGTCCTTCTCCAGCCGCAGGGCTGAGCGCTCCACCTCCCGCTTCTCAGCTTCCAGCTGAGCCAGGGCGCGCTGCAGGCTTCCCAGGCGCTCCTGCAGCAGCCGCCGCTCGTCTTGCAGCTTCTGGACGGTGTTCAGGGCTGCAGCCTCACCCTCCTGCCGCTGCCGCAGCACCTGCAACAGAAGCCAGGCAGGCCCCGAATCCCTCTGGGCCTGAGCATACTTATCTGAAGCTTGGGGACAATGAGGCTGGCCCACTCACAGAGCAGGCGACGGTGAGGCCCACATCAGAGAATTGTCACCTGAAGCCAAACCTGTCTCTCTCAGTCTGTTTCTCCATCTGTATAACAGGACTATGCTCTGAATGAACCATGTTTCCTTACTGGAGGCTGCACCAGGGTTTGGGATGAGGTTGAGATGGGTGGGAACGTCCCCACCCTATCCTAGGGCCTCACAGTCTTGGGGACAGAGGGGGCACACCCTGGCCCTCACCTCCCGTAGCTGTTGTAGCTGGCCCTCGGCCTCCACCCGCTGCAGTTCCAGGTCAGCCACCTCGCCTCGCAACGTCTGCACCTGCTCGCCCAGGGAGCTGCTCTGCTTCCGTGCCTCAGATAATGCCTGCCGGGCGGCATCCAGCCGTTCCTGGGGGACAGGGGCTGATGGTGCCTGGCTGGCCTGGGAGCCCTAAGGAGTCCTCTCTATTCTGTACCTCTGGACAGGTCCACAGAGCATAAAACAGGCAGTCATCTCACCTGGAGGGTGGGGTGCACACCAAACCCATCCACGGCCTATCCACTGACCTGCATAAGGTGGGACCCACTCAGACCCCAACTCTCCCCAATAAACCCTGCCCCTGGGTCCCCCCAAGTCTATACCAGTAGCCTTGTCTTCTTACGGGACATACCCAGAGCCTCTTCTCCTTGGCTGATGGTCTACTGGGCCCACGCCCTCCCTTCAAAGCCTGCTCTCATTGGCTCCAACTGACTGCCCCATTGGCTGGCTCTCTACCAGGGCCCCCCTCCAAGCCTGCTCTTACTGGCTGACTCTCTCACTGGGCCCACCCCAGCCAGACCCTGGGCCCGAGACCTGGAGTACTTGGCGGTCATGTTCACAGGCGGTCAGAGCCTTCTGCAGATGCAGGTTCTTGTCCCGGGTGCTGTTGAGGCTGGCACTGCTCTGGGCCAGGGCCTCTGTCAGGCCCCGCACCTTGTCCCGCAGGGCCCCCTCGCTTTCCTCCACCTTAGCCAGGGCCCCATTCAGCCGCTCCACGGTCAGCTGCAGGGTCCCTGCCTTCACCTCGCTGTCGGCCACCTGGCAGGAGGACAGCCAGAACAATCGGGGCTGTTCCCATCTGGCCTCTATACCTCTGCTCCCACTGTGACCTCCACCTGGCATGCCCAATCCACACCCTTCCCACTTCTCTCTGGGCCTCCATCATTGAGACCCAGTGTTCCTAAGCACTCCTGCTGGCTCAGCCTACTGCCACCTGGGCCCCATCCCATTGCTGGCTAACTACTAGTGCCCAGAGTGCCATCAACCTAGTTGTCTCAGACTCCCTGGTCTCCTCCCTGTCCTCACTCCTCTCTCCTCTCTGCTGTGGAAGAGAAAGGGAAACCACCACGACCCTAAAATTTTTTTATTTTTGACCTTGTTGGGTGTTCAGGCAAGGCTAGCCGTATTATTTAACATTCCAGTTAGAGCTGAGCTTCCTAGCAGTCAAGGCAAAAAGGGAAATGAGTGAAACCTACATCTCTAACTTGTCCCAGATGACTCCTATGTATGCAGATGCTGTCATCAAATAGTCCTGAATTCTAATTTTGGCTCTGCCTCTTACTAGCTATGGGATCTTAGACAATGACATCACCTCTCAGCCTCCATTTGTCCATCTGTGAAATGGGGATGTGGGTAATACTTGCCTCACAGGGTTGTTGGGGGACTGCGTAGTGCCTACAAAGCTCTTGGCACAGGGCATGTGAACACTGTGGCTGTGATTTGGGGAGGGGCCCACCTGTCTCTGCAGGGAATCCACCCGATCCTGGAGGGCCTGGGCTTGGGCCTCGCGGTCACTGAGGCCCAGGCGGCTGCGCTGCAGCTCCCCCTCAAGCGAGCGCCGCTGCAGCTCCAGCTTGACAGTGCGGCTCTCGGAGGCGTCCAGAACCTCCTTCAGGCGCCGCTTGTCGCCCTCCAGCTTTGTCTCATTGGCCTTCATCTTGCTGATCTTCTCCTGCAGGTGGCATGGGGCTCAGGCCCAGACGTCCAGTGCACCCCGCAGCCCTCCCGCACACGCCCTGGGGCCCTTAGGGGGAAAGTGGGGAGCAGCCTCGAAGGGTGACCTACGTGACCTGGGGCCGGCCTGGGACCCTCTGGGGTCCTCGGTCTCCCCATGCGTTCCCAGGATGAGTGGACGTGAAGATCCCAGAGCCCACCTTCCAGTTTTAGCCCAGGCCAATGGGCTGTGGAACCCAGGACTGCCCCTTCGCGCCCTATGGCCCCATTTCATATCTGTACAGTAGGGACACTGGATTGGTCCCAGGGTACCACAACCTGGGTGCTCACAGGAGCCCTGAGGAGGGGCTGTAGAAATGCAGATTCCAAGGCCCTTCTCCTGCCCCACTGACTCGTGCAAACTGAGCTGAGCCGGACAGTTCTGAGGGGGCCCTGCTGTTCTAGGGTTTCAGGTGGTGATTCCCCCTCCCCTGCCCAGGGTCAGCCAGTGAAAAAGGCCTGGGGAGTGGGGATGGGACAGGAAGGCAGACTAGGGGTCCTCCCATCCCTGGTACTATCCTAGAGACAGGGTGGATCAACAGGGGGTGTTATTAGAGCCTCCCCAGCCCCTATCCTGAGCCTGGCCCCTCTGCCACCCTGCCCAGAGCCCCAGCCCTGCCCTGTCTGGGGCCCCCACTCTGGCTCCTGCCCAGCTTTGTTCCTGGCCTCCTCCTGCAGCCCCTGCGGCTGGGCCCATGGCCAGGGTTGAAGCCGCAGACACAACAATCCAGCTAAGCTCGGCCCCAGGCCAGAGGCCTTGGGGGCGGGGGTGGTGGGGGGAAGCAGTAATAGAGGGACAGGCTGGGGAGGGCAGAGGGGAGCTTTGGCTGCACTGTCACCACCAGGGCCTGAGTTTCCTGCCCGACAGACGCACATACACACTGGCACACATAGCTGTCCCCCAAACACACATAAAAACCCCAGAACTACAGAGACATAAAACAGAGGCCCCCTGAGTACCACCTGTGATAAGAGCCTGTGTGTGTCACCCTGTGACGTAATCACTGCTCCTCCTTTTACAGATTAGGAAAATGAAAACCAGGCAGATGACAGCCCAAAGCCCAAGCTCTCTTTCTTTTCTTCTTCTTCTTCTTTTTTTTTTCTTTTCTTTTTTACAGGGTCTCACTCTGCCTTGCTAGAGTGCAGTGGCATGATCACAGCTCATTGCAGCCTCGACCTACCGGGCTCCAGTGATCTTCCCACCTCAGCCTCCCGAGTAGCTGGGACTACAGGCCCACACCACCATGCCCAGCTAAGTATTTTTCATAGAGACGGGGTTTCACCATGTTGCCCAGGCTGGTCTCAAACTCCTGTGCTCAAGGGATCCACCTGCCTCGACCTCCCAAAGTGCTAGGATTACAGGCATGAGCTACTGCACCTTGACCAAGCTCTTTTTTCTACAGCCTAGTGACCACAAGTGACATGAGAGGATGGAGTCTGAACATGGTTTCACAGAGTCACAGGCTGGTCACCTCAGTGGGTTGCAGAGAGACTCAGGCAGACAGACACAGGGAGACACACATAAGAGTTAGACACTCACTCGGGTACACAGATTCCCCGTCGCCCCGCTGGCCCTCAGCTCCTGCCCACCTGGCTGGCCCGGAGCTCGCTCTCGGTGGCCTGCAGGCTCCTCTCCAGTGTGGCCACCTGGTCCAGCGTGGCCCGGCGCTCCCGCTCACTGCGCCGCACACTCTCCTCCTGCAGCGCCAGCTCCGCCTGGACCCCGCTCAGCCGCCCATCCACACTGCGCCGGGCTGTAGCCACCACCCACCCCGTCAGGCATGGCCAAGCACAGCCCCGAGACCCAAACCAGGTCACAAAATGTCCAGCCTGCACTCCACCCAGTGCAGGGCCAGACTGTCTGCACCCTTCGTAGTATGCGGGCCTGCACACAGGTGAGGCTGTCCAAGGAGGGTCCTCTTGGAGACAGCCCCGAGTCAGGTCATGGGGGCCACGGCAAGGTCAGAGGCCAATCCCCCGGCTCCTGCCTCAACTGCCCAAAACACAGGAGAGAGAACAGGGACCCCGAGGATCAGACTCACCTTCCTCACTCTCAGCCACCGCCTTCTGCAGCTGCCTGGCCCTCGAGGTTGCGCTGTCCCTCTCAGCCTCCATCTCGGCCAGCTGGCGATTCAGGGCACTGGTCTGGGTCCGAAGTTCGTCCTGTAGCCCCGACATGGGGGAACAAAGACAGACCCCTGCTCTGACACCCTGCAACCTCCCCAGGGCCCTCCAGGTTCCCCATCCAGCCATGCACACCCAGGCTTACCCGTTCTCTCTGGGCACTCCGCAGCTCTTGCAGGAATTCCCGGAGGGCCCCGCGCACTGCCTCCGGGTCCAGGTCTGGAGAGGCTGGGGAGGTGGCAGGTCCTGGAGATGGTGGCTGGGACCCAGGGCTGCATTCTAAGGTGCTGGGGCTGTTGAGCCCTTCCCCGCTTCCTAGAAGAGAAAGAAGACTTGCTCAGTGATGCAGAAGCCACGGGCCTCCCACACATCTCACTCACTGTCATCCCTGCCTTTCCCAACAGCCCTCAGAATCAAGCCCAACTTCTCTGCTATAGCTTAGGGGTCTTCTTGCCCATCCCAGCTGAAACCCTCTCACCCTTTACAAACTGGCCACCCTGCATCTCCCATGTTCTAGAACATTCTTTGTCCCAGCTCCAGGGCCTCTGTACATGCTGCTCCCCTTCTCCCCATGGCCTCTCTTTGCCTGGCCCATCCTTTAGGGCCATCCCTCTCCCTCAGAGGCCTCTCTGGCCACAGGCTGGATTACAGTGAGCTCATCCCACCCTCAGCGGGGTCTGATGTCTGCCACCCCCACCCCGACCAGGAGCACCATGAGGGCTGGGCCTCGTCTCTTCCATCCACCACTGTTCCCAGGGCCCAGTGCAAGGGTGGTTGCTGCATCACCTCAAGTCTCTCCATACTGAGTGCCCACTGTGCTAGGCACTTCATCTTCACAACAACTTCCTGACAGGTAAGGAACAATTTACCCTCTTCCCAGGCAAGGCTGGCACAAAGCAGTTAAGTGATTTGCTTGTTCTGTTGACTGGGTGTGGTGGCTCACACCTGTAATCCCAGCACTGTGGGGTCCGAGGCAGGCGGATCACTTGAGGTCAGGAGTTCAAGGCAAGCCTGGCCAACATGGTAAAACCCCGTCTCTACTGAAAATACAAAAATTGGCCAGGTGCGGTGTCTCATGCCTGTAATCCCAGCACTCTGGGAGGCCAAGGCAGGTGGATCACCTGAGGTCAGGAGTTCGAGACCAGCCTGCCAACTAGTGAAACCCCATCTCTACTAAAAATACAAAAATTAGCTGGGCGTGGTGGCATGCACCTGTAATCCCAGCTATTCGAGAAGCTGAGGTTGGAGAATTGCTTAAACCCGGGAAGCGGAGCTCGCAGTGTTCCTAATCGAACCGCTGCACTCCAGCCTGGGTAACACAGCGAGACTCCGTCTCAAAAAAAGAAGAAAGAAAAGACTGGGAGCAGTGGCTCACACCTGTAATCCCAGCACTTTGGGATGCCGAGGTGGGCAGATCACGAGGTCAGCAGTTCGAGACCGGCCTGGCCAACATGGTGAAAACCCGTCTCTACTAAAAATACAAAAATTAGGTGTGGTGGCGGGCGCCTGTAATCCCAGCTACTCAGGAGGCTGAGGCAGGAGAATTGCTTGAACTGGGACCTGGGAGGCAGAGGTTGCAGTGAGCTAAGACTGCACCATTACACTCCAGCCTGGGCAACAGAGTGAGACTCGGTCAAAAAAAAGAAGAAAGAAGAGGAAAGAAAAGAAAAGAAAGTAAGGAAGGAAGGAAAAGAAAGGAAAAGAAAAGAAAAGAAAAGAGAAAAATTAGCTGAGCATGGTGGCCCACGCTTATAGTCCCAGCTACCTGGGAGGCTGAGGTCTGGAGGCTGAGGCAGGAAAAGCACTTGAACCCTGGAGACAGAGGTTGTAGTGAGCTGAGACTGTGCTGCACTCCAGCCTGGGCAACAGAGAGAGACTCTGTCTCAAAAAAAAAAAAAAATAAAGAAAAAAGAAAAGAAAAGAAAAAGAAAAAAGTGGGCCCGGCACGGTGGCTCAGACCTGTAATCCCAGCACTCTGGTGGGAGGCCGAGGCGGGCAGATCACCTGAGGTCAGGAGTTCAAGACCAGCCTGGCCAACATGGTGAAACCCCCATCTCTACTAAAAATACAAAAAATTAGCTGGGTGCAGTGGTGCACGCCTGTAGTCCCAGCTACTCAGGAGGCTGAGGCAGGAGAATCGCTTGAACCCAGCAGGCGGAGGTTGCAGTGAGTCGAGATCGCGCCATTGCACTCCAGCATAGGCAATAGAGCGAGACTTGGGCTCAAAAAAAAACAAAAACAAAGTGATTTGGTTGTTCTCAATGCTGGGAAGTTTCAGGGCTGAGATGGGAATCCAGGCAGCCCGACTCCCTGGCAGCACTCCTGCTTGGAGTGATGGCCCGGGGAGGTGGAGGGGGCAGGGCGGGTGGAACCAGGGCACTACCTGGAGGCTGGCACTGGAACTGCAGGACACGGGTCCTGCCATGAGCATCCTGCCTTGGCCGCAGAGGGACACCAAAACTGCTCCGCAGCCATGAACTTGGTCACCACCCAAAAGGCCTCGCTCAGAGGTTCCCAAAGAAGCAGGCCTGCCCCTGGGGGCCTCCAGCTCTAGAAGGTCCCATCGTCTCAGGGTAAAAGTCCCCGTAGAGGCCTATAATGTCTATTGGAGCAAGCCCTTCGTCCCCAAATCTCACCCCCCTGCTTGATGCTCTGGGACTGCTGGCCCCTGCTGTCCACAGGACAGGCGCACCTCCACTCAGGACCTCCCTACTCGCCCCGAGTCCCCCTCCCAGCTGCTCGCTCACGTTCTCCCCTTACCCATCACCTCCTCAGTGAGGCACCTGCTGCCCCCGCATGAACTGCCCTAGCCCCTACCTTGGCTTTGCCCAATTTTTTTTTTTTTTTTTTTTCTGAGACGGAGTTTCGCTCTTGTTGCCCAGTCTAGAGTGCAATGGTGCGATCTCGGCTCACCACAACCTCTGCCTCCTGGTTTCAAGAGATTCTCCTGCCTCAGCCTCCCGAGTAGCTGGGATTACAGGCGTCTGCCACCACACTTGACTAATTTTTTGTATTTTTAGTAGAGACAGGGTTTCACCATGTTGGCTAGGCTGGTCTTGAACTCCTGGCCTCGAGTGATCCACCCGCTCCGGCCTCGCAGAGTGCTGGGATTACAAACATGAGCCAACGTGTCTGGCCATTTTCATCATTTTTAAGTGTACAACTGAGCGGCATGAATTACATTCACACTGTTGTGCAGCCATCACCATCATCTGTTCCCAGATCATCCCGACTGGAGGTCAGGAGTTTGAGACCAGCCTGTCCAACATGGTGAAACCCCATCTCTCCTAAAAAAAAAAAATATACATATATATATATGTATATTTATATACACACACACACATACACAAAAATTAGCCAGGTGTGCCGGGCACAGTGTCTCATGCCTTTAATCCCAGCACTTTGGGAGGCTGAGGTGGGCAGATCACGTAAGGTCAGGAGTTCAAGACTAGCCTGACCAACATGCTGAAATCCTGTTTTTTTTTTTTTTTTTTTTTTTTTTTGAGACGGAGTCTAGCTCTGTCGCCCAGGCTGGAGTGCAGTGGCGGGATCTCAGCTCACTGCAAGCTCCATCTTCCGGGTTCACGCCATTCTCCTGCCTCAGCCTCCCGAGTAGCTGGGACTACAGGTGCCTGCCACTGTGCCCAGCTAATTTTTTTTGTATTTTTAGTAGAGACGGGGTTTCACTGTGGTCTCGATCTCCTGACCTCGTGATCCGCCCACCTCTGCCTCCCAAAGTGCTGGGATTACAGGCATGAGCCACCGCGCCCAGCCTTGAAACCCCGTCTCTACTAAAAATACAAAAATTAGCCAGGCGTGGTGGCACACGCCTGTAGTCTCCCAGCTACTCAGGGGGCTGAGGCAGGAGAATCACTTGAACCCAGGAGGCAGAGGTTGCAGTGAGCCGAGATCGTGCTACTGCACTCCAGCTTGGGCAACAGAGCAAGACGCCATCTCAAAAAAAAACAAAAAGAATAATTAAAAACAATACAGTGTAACAAGTGTAAGATTTCCACTTAGCTGTATTTGGTATCCTAAGTAACCTAGAGATGACTGAAAGTATGTGGGAGTATATGGCAGGATGGAAGCTCAGAAAATCAGATAAGGAGTCAAAGGCATTAAGAGCCCTCCAGCCCCCGGTCCAGGAAAGGCACGGTGGCTCACGCCTGTAATCCCAGTGGGAGGATCGCTTGAGTCCAGGAGTTCAAGACTAGCCTGGGCAATATGGCAAAACCCCATCTCTACTAAAAACACAAAAATTAAGCAGACATTGTAGTGCACACCTGTAGTCTCAGCTACAAAGGAGGTTGAGGTGGGAGAATCACTTGAGCCCAGGAGGCACAGGCTGCCAAGGCAGAGGGAGCCAAGATCACACTACTGCACTTCAACTGAGGTGACAGAGTGAGATCCTGTCTCAAAAGTTGAAAAAAAAGAATCACCCCACTTCCCCAAAAAAATAAGTGGCCTAGACCGGGTGCCGTGGCTCATGCCTCTAATCCCAACCCTGAGAGGCTGAGACAGGAGGATCGCTTGAGGCCAGGAGTTTAAGACCAGCCTGGGCAACATAGTGAGACCCCGTCTCCACAAAAACTACAAAAATTAGCTGGGCGTGGTGGCACACCTGTAGTCCCAGCTACTCAGGAGGCTGAGGAGGGAGGACCACTTGAGCCCGGGAAACAGATGAGGCCTGGTCTAAAGAAAAAAGAAGCGCCCTTGAGAAGCACAGATCAGTGAAGGGAGGGGTCTCGGTGAGGGGACGGGGCTAAGAAGTGGACCTCAGTGGAGAGGTGTGGTGGGCTCCTTGAAAAAAAACAAAAACAAAAACAAAAACACCCTGCCATGTGGGGGCGGGGCCTCAGTGCGGCCCGCCCACCTCCCCCCTTCCCTGCGCGCGGCACTGCCCTTACCTTCTGCGGGTGCGTCCCGGGCAGGGGAACCGGGCACTGGCCGCGGGGCTGGGCTGGGCGCGCGACCGAGGCCGAGGCCCCGGCGCAGAGCCGAGCGCAGGCCACCCAGCTGGGCCTCCGCCGCGCGCCGCTGCACCTCCACGCGGGCCAGCTCGGCCTCCAGGCCTTGTGCCCGGCCCTCGGCTGCGCTCAGCCGCAGGCCCAGCTCTGCAGCCTCGGCCCGCGCCGCCTCCAGCTTCAGCTCCAGGCCGCGGGCGTGGTCCAGCTGCTGCTTTTCAGTGCCACGCGCCTCCTCCAGGGAGCCCAGCAGGCGTCGCTCGCGGGTCCGGAACTCGCCTTCTTGTTCCTGCAGCTTCCGCTGGGCTACCTGGAGCTGGAGTGATGCCAGGAGGTGGAGGTCGGCAAGACCTCTCCCAACCCGACGCCCCACCCCTAAGGCCCAGACTGGAGCCCACCATCCCTGACTGTGTGGTCAGTACAACCCTTTCTCCTTTAGTGCTCGCCACTCAAGCAGGCGGTGCAAAAACATCCCCGTGGGAGGAAATACTAGAACTTGTTTATTAATCTCTTTATTCTTTATACAAGCCTTGTAATGCCCATAGTTTATTAGTAATAACAGCTGGCATTTGAATACATAGGGCTTATCAGTGCCAGGCACTAAGTAACTTTCCAAAAAATATTAACTCTAATTACTACTCTATGAATCGATCTCACTTTACAGAAGATGAAACAGGCACAGAGATGCTAAGTAACTTGTCCAAGGCCAGAGTTAGTAAACTGCAGAGCTGGGATTCAAAGCCAGGCACTCTAGCTCCAAAGGCTGTTTTTTTTGTTGTTTTTGTGGGTTTTTGTTTGTTTGTTTTTGGAGACAGAGTCTAGCTCTGTCACCCAGGCTGGAGTGCAGTGGGGCAATCTCAGCTCACTGTAACCTCTGCCTCCTGGGTTCAAGTGATCCTCCCACCTCAGCCTCCGAGTAGCTGGGATTACAGGTGAGCACCACCATGCCCAGCTAATTTTTGTATTTTTAGTAGAGACAGAGTTTTGCCATGTTAGCCAGACTGCTCTCGAACTCCTGGCCTCAAGTGATCTGCCAGCCTCGGCCTCCCAAAGTGCTGGGATTACAGGTGTGAGCCACTGCGCCCGGCTGTTTTTGTTTCTGTTTTTTTTTTTGTTTTTTGTTTTTAATAGCTTGACAGCAGCTTATTAATCACATGTACTCACAGCCCTGGGGGGTGGGGGAAAGGCGGGGAGGCATACCACACGGGGCCACACGGGGGCTGTGGGCTGCACTTGAGAACACAGTGAACAGCCAGGAAGGTTAAGTGCCCACTGGTTCCAAAGGGAGCTGTGTCCAGAGGCTGTTCCCTTAACCACTAGGCTACATTGCCGCCCTTGCCCATAATTTATCAATAAATTTGCACACAATGGGGGCATGCACTAAAATATCATTTCCTGATGGGATGCATGGTCACACAGACACAAAGCCACCCCTGCCATTTAGAGAGTCAACCTCTCACGGTCACCAGTTTCACTGGAAACCCATCTACTGAGCAGCTGGTTGCCAGGACCTGTGCCAGGGCCCTTCATACATGCTCGGCTGTGCTAGCCCATCTCTCATGAGCGCTCTGAGGCACAGAGATGACGTGACTTGGTTCAGGCCACACAACAGATTCATGGCAATGAAACAGCCGGAAAAGGCAGAGCGGGTAGCCTGTGGGCTTTGGAGTCAGACAGACTTAGGTGGCTGTGTGACCTTGGGTAGATCCCTCGACCTCTCTGAGGGCTCTGTAAAATGGGGCTAATGGTAGGAAGGGTGTGGTGGCTCACACCTGTAATCCCAGCACTTTGGGAGGCCGAGGCAGGTGGATCACCTGAGGTCAGGCGTTTGAGACAAGCCTGACCAACATGGTGAAATCCTGTCTCTACTAAAAATACAAAAAATTAGCTGGGCGTGGTGGCAAGCACCTGTAATCCCAGATACTCGGGAGGCTGAGGCAGAAGAATTGCTTGAACCCAGGAGGCGGAGGTTGCAGTGAGCCGAGATGGTGCCAGCGCACTCCAGCCTGGGCGACAGAGTGAGACTCCATTTCAAAATAAATAACTAAATAAAAAGGGCTAACAGTACCTACCCCATAGGGCTGCTGGGGAAATCAAACAAGGTTGTATCTACAGGGCCTCTCCCTACCCATTTTGTGCCGGCACACAGTAGGCCCACTGTTCTTTGGGTTGTTGTTACTACAACTGGGGAAGAGTCTCAAGGAGTGGGGGAAGGAGCAAGCCCTAGGGAGTGGCCTTTCAGAATGGCCCCAGCATTGGGGTGCCCACCTGCTTCCTGCTGGGGGAAGGAAAGATGCACCAGCCTGCCCGCCTGCTCAGTTACCTCCTGCCGCATCACCTCCAGGCTGGCCTCGCCCTTCAGCAGCCTCTGCCGGAGGCCCAGGGTCTCCCGCCTGCTCTCCTTCTCTGCCCGCTCGCCCAGCGCCAGGCGGCCCTGCAGCTCCGCCAGCTCCCGGCCCAGTCTGGTGTTCTCACTGTCCAGCATCTTCATCTGTGAGAGCACGGGAATGGCAGCAGGTTCAGCTCTGCCCCTGTACCCTCCCAGTTCTGGCCCAAGGCCACTTGGTACCTACTGCTGTAGGGACACATGTATCAAATACCACCCCACATCCACTGGGAGCCGGCCCCTACACAACCACACTGAACTTGGGCGATGCCAGGCACTTGGGCACCAGTGGCCTGTTTACCACTTAATCAATGGGCCAAAACTACCTTTCATAAAGGGGTGGGTATAATAGAAGGAGGGCTCAGCCCTTAGCAGACCAGGAGTTCACAGGCAGGAACCACAGCTCCCTGGGTTATCTTTCCCCTCTACGATGGCGATGAACGTTTTTGGAGCGCTTACCATGTGTCCAGTCCTGTTCTAAGCACTTCAGTTATATTAACTCGTTTAATCTTGGTACAATGCTATATGAGGTAGGTAGTAACATTATCCCTATCTAACAGATGAGAAAACTGAGCCTCAGAGTGTCAGAGTAACCTCCCCAAAGTCACACAGCCCACACACACCAGACTGGGATTCGATCTGAGACAACGGCAATGTTCTAAGCCCCTATTTCCCCACAGGAGCAGGGAGGGGTACTGCCTACCTCCCCCATGTGCTACAGCAGGGGTAACAGGAGAGGCCGTAGCATGCAACGCGTCCAGCAAAAGCTGGCACGCAAATGCCAGCTCCTTTCCGGGAGTCTTGTGGTTTCTCAGGAAGGGGCCTGGGTGAAGGGGGCTGTGGTATCTCTGGCTATCAGAGTATCAGAATATCTCTGGCTATCCAGTTGTGATCTCTTTTTTTGTAATTAAAAACAATTTTTTTAATTAAAAAAATTTGGGGGGGCCAGGCATCGTGGCTCATGCCTGTAATCCCAGCACTTTGGGAGGCCAAGGTGGGTGGATCACCTGACATCAGGAGTTCGAGACCAGCCTGGCCCACATGGTGAAACCCTGTCTCTACTAAAAATACAAAAAAATTAGCCAGGTGTGGTGGCGGGCATCTGTAATCCCAGCTACTTGGGAGGCTGAGTCAGGAGAATTACTTGAACCCGGGAGGCGGAGGTTGCAGTGAGCCGAGATTGCGCCACTGCACTCCAGCCTGGGCAACAAGAGTGAAACTCCATCTCAGAAAGTAAATAAATAAATAAAATAAAAATTAAAAGTTTAAAAACTTTTTTTAGAGTCAGGGTCTTGCTTTGTCGCCCAGGCTGGAGTGCGGTGATGCGATCACAGCTCACTGCAGCCTTGACTTCCTGGGCTCAAGGGATACTCCCACCTCAGCCTCCCAAGTAGCTGGGACTCCAGGAGCGTGTCACCACACCTAGCTATTTTTTAAATTTTTTGTAGAGACTGGTTCTCACTATGTTGCCTGGGCTGGTCTTGAACTCCTAGGCTCAAGCAGTCCTCCCAACTTGGCCTCCCAAAGCATGAGATTAAAGGCATGAGCCATCACAGCTGGCTAATTTTTCGTATTTTTAGTAGAGACAGGTTTTCACCATGTTACCCAGGCTGGTCTCGAACTCCTGGGCTCAAGCAATCCACTGGCCTCCGCCTCCCAAAGTGCTGAGATTATAGGTGTGAGCCACTGCGCCTGGCCTGGTTGTGATATCTCTGGGTGAGGCAGCGCCTAGGGGCTGAATGAGGCCATTTCCTGTTCTTTGCATCTTCTAGAGTGAGAAGCCTGAACCCACAGTGTCCAGGCCAGTGCCCAGTAGACAGCAGGTGCTTCTTCAATACATGCTGCTGTTGAGTTTGCAGATCATCGAATTCACGGGTCAGCGAACTACAGCTCACAGGCCAAATTCAGCCCATCTCCCGTTTCTACAAGGGTCTGAGTTAAGGATTTTTTTTTTTTTTTACATTTTTAAATCATCGAAAATGGATCATTTCTAAAGGAAGAACAACATTTCTTGACACATGAAAATGACAGAAAATTCACATTTCAGTGTCCCTAAACAAAGTTTTACTGGAACCCACACCCCTCTGTTCATGCACTGTTTGGGACTGCTTTCTCACTACCCCAGCAGAGTCAAGTAGTTGCAACAGAGACTGTGTGGCCCGTAAAGCTGGAAATATTGACCATTTGGGCTCTTTACAAAAAACCATTTGCCAACCTCTGACCTAGTTCACAAAATCTGTACCTTTTGTTGTTTGCAGATTCCTTTGAGAACTGGACAAGGACACCAGCTCCTCTCCTTGCAGAAATGTGAGCCTGAGTGTGCACACAAATGCACGCAGACTTTTGCACAGTTTCAGGGATTCAAGGACTCCTCAAAGCCCATCCATTCACACCAAGGTTAGGTGAGAGGGCTTGTCATAGTTCAAGCCCCTGGTTTTACATAGGGGTAGAAACGTAATTCCAGAAAGGGGGAGCTATTGGCCCGGGGCACACAGCAAGCCCCAGGCTAAGGGGTGGCACAGGGAGAGTACCTGACGCCGGAGCTCCTGCAGCTCCCGCCGAGCCTCCAGCCGTGAGCGCTCCACCTCCTGCAGCCCAGTTCGCAGCTCCCCGGCCTCCTTGCCCACAGCTGTCCGTGCCTCCTCTAGGAGTGCCAGCTTCTGCTCCTTGTCCTCATTGGCAAGCTTCAGGCTGGAGAGGGCAGAGGTCAGGGGCTGCCCTGGGTCCTGGGAGTAGTCAGTGGCTCTACACAAAAGCCGTCTCCTCCAATTTCTGGAGTGGATCAGGCACTGCCTGCCCATGTGGCCTCTCTGAAGAGCTAAGCCCTGAGCCCTGCAGGGCTGGGGCCCAGGCCCTCGGCTGGGAGGGGTAGACCAGTGACTCCAGGAGGGGACCTGGTTTCCAGGGTGATGACGGTGGGTGGGTCTGAGTCTGGACCCAAAGCTGCCCACTGCCCCTCTGCCCCTTTCCCCAATCAACAGGGAGGAAACCTTCCTAAAATCACCCAGGTGCCAGGCTCTGCTTAGGAGACAGAGGATCCGTATCTGGGCAATTTCCCCAGAACGTTGGGGGTGAAGTTAGGTTTCAGGGATGGGATCCCATGAGGACTCAGGACTGGTCCTCCTGCGACACCCCACCTGATGCGCTCGCTCTCTGCCTTCTTCACAGCAGACCGAAGCTCCTCATTGGAACGCCGCAGGGCCTCGCGCTCCTTGGCACCCTCGCCCAGGCTGCGTCGCAGCTCGCCTGCCTCCTGGCGCTGCACCTCCCGGCCCTCCTGGCTCTCACGCAGCTTGCGCTGGGCCTCCAGCAGCTCCCGCCGCAGCCCGTCACGGGCATCCTCCAGCAGACGCAGCTGGGTCCGAAGCTCTTCTGCCTGTGAGCACAGCAGGTGTCCCCAGGGCAGCGGTCAGGGACCCCCCCGTCAAGCTGGGTCTTGTACCCCAGATCCCTGGACCCAGGGAGCCTGCCCCATCCCTCTGCAGTGCTCAGACCGCAGGCTGTGAGTTATCATTTGAGCAAGGCGTGCTGTAATCAGTAATGTTTTGACCTGAAGTCACCATCAATCAGGACTGTCCTGAGCACAACACCAAGAGGGCAGAGACCCCACTCACCCCTCCTTGAGGCCAAATCCCACCTGTACACAACAGGTGCTTCGTAGTGCTTGCTGCCTCCTTTCTAAGTTGCTATTCATTGGTCCTCAAATGCAGGGAGGAATCTTACACTCTTCTGGGGCCCTGGGGAACTAGGCCCCCAGGCACACAGTGCCATTTAGGGTATGCTGCTTGGAAGAGGGGGGCGGCTGCTCACCTCGCGAAGACAGGAGTCCCGCTGCTTGCCCAGGTCTCGGGCCTGCTCTTGCAGCCTCCTCACCTCCTGGGCGTGGGCCGCAGCAGCCTCCTCCCGCTGGGCCCGTAGGTCCCGCAGCTCAGACGTCAGAGCGTTCACGGTGCTCTGGGACAGAGGGGCTCCTCAGACTTGGTCCTGCTGTGTCCCCCAGCCCCGGGCTGCTCCCAACCCGCTCAGTGCACTGTCCACTTTTAGCTCTAAACACGGCCCCTCCCGCTGGCCTGCCGGACCCTCTGCCAACCCCTGGATGCATAGTGAGTGCTGCCCGTGTAGCCAGCCTCTCCCTCACGCCAAAAGGATTCATCAGGGCAGGGCTGAGCCACCTCCCTCAGATGGGGGCTCCCAAAAGAAGGGCTAAACCTCCTTTCCCACAGCCTGGAAGCTTCTCCAGGACAGGGCCATGCCGCCCCGTGGTGGGGGCTCCTCAGCCAGGGATGTGCCTCTCTATGAGACAGAGGCCCAGCTGCCCAGCCTGCCCTACCCGGTCCTGCTCCTGCCGGCTCTGGGCATCTCGTTTCTGCCGCTCCATCTCCAGGGAGATGGTGGCCAGGCTGTGCCGTGTACCCATCAACTTCTCTGACAGCGCCGTCTTCTCAGACTCCTTCAGAGACAAGGCCTGGGCAGAGGCAGGGGACAAAGGGCTTGGGGGATGGGCTGGTCCTGGGGGCATGCTCAGGCTTCTTGCTGCCTAGGAAATGTGCCCACTGGGGGCTTAGAGGCCTGAGTGTGCCACTGCAGGTGGACCCAGGGCAGACATGCAGCCCTGGAAAAGGGCACAACGGCAGTCACAAGAATCCCGGACGTGGATACCACTCATAGAGCTCACTAACCCGCCACAGCACCCTGACTGCAGAGTCTTTCTTTCTACCCATCTTACAGATGAGGAAACTGAGGCTCAAGGAGGTAAAGTGACTCGCCCAGGTACACAGCTGGTGAGGAGAGGAGATGGGCACAGTCTGCCCTGTCTCCGTTACATTATAGGAAAGTTAGGGATTTGTTATTTGGGGGGACACGTCAGCTGATGCCTGTGGGCATCGTGGGGACTGCTCAGAAGGCAGCCATGAGGATCCATGCCCAGCGTGGGGTGGGACGAGGCATGGGAGAATATGGAACAGCTTTCCTGGTGTCACGACTGTCACTGTCACTCAGTAAGTGCTCACTGTGTGCCAGGCATGGAGCACAGCAAAGCCTCACGAACCCCCTTCTAATCCTCCCCTCCTGCAGGTAAGGAAACTGAGGCCCCCAAGAGGGCAGTGGCCTGCCCCAGGGCTCCTAGCTGCCAAGTGGCAGAGCAGGGCCCGGCCCCAGAACTGGAGCAGCTCAGAGAGCAGCAGAGGCCATGCCAGGGCTCACGAACCTGCTGCTTCTCACTCTCTGCTAGGAGGAGGCCCTCGTCGCGCTCCTGCTGCAGGGCAGCAATCTCCTCACTCAGCTCTTCCTTCTCAGCCTCCAGCCGGGCCAGCAGCTCCTCCTGCTCACGCTGCAGCTGACTCTGCAGCTGGGCCCGCTCGGCCTCCAGCTCCCGCCATGCTGCCTCCTAGGGGGCCAGGACCGGATGCCTGTGACACACCAGGAGGGGGCCCAGGCAGACCCCCCAAAACATCAGGGCAGCAAGAGCCATCTGGCCCCCATACCCTCAGAGATGGAGGGTGACCAGGTAAATACAAGGGAGTGATAAGGGCTATGACGGGGACACGCCAGGGCCGTGAAAGTGCCAAGGAGCAGCAGTGGGCTGGCCTGGGGGTCCGAACATGGTCCCCTGCGGAGGGACAAGTAACTGTCAGCCAGGTAAGGAGAGAAAAGACCACCCCAGGCCAAGAACACAGCCCCTGGAAAGGCCTAGAGGATGCAGGGTGCAGAGGGGAACGGGACATGGTGAGTCACAGGGCCAGAGCCCCAGGCAGGGGTGGGGCCAGGACAGGCCGTGTGGGCCATGGGGATTCTAAGGACAGTGAGGGGAGTGGGAGAGAGGACTCGAGCCAAGGTGACAAGGAGCAATCTGATTTTTAGCTTAGGGGATGTTCCGACAGCTGTGGAAGAGGGATTGGGGTTGGGATGGAGGGGAGTTAGGACTGGCTGTGAGGAATGAAGGGGGTCAGGGGTTGCCAGAGGAGCTGGAGAGAACACAGATTTGGGGACATTAATGAGGCCAAGCCAGGCAATGCAAAGGGCAAGAAGAGCAAGGGGGAGGTCACAGGAGTTCAGATCCCTGGGGACTGGACAGGCGGGCAGGCAGAGCCCACAGGCAAATAGCAGCCCACCTGGGGAGCCTGAGGGCAGGTGCCTGCCTCAGCACTTGCCCCTAGCAACTCTGTGAGAAGCAGACAGAGCTGCCACTTCTTTTTTTTTTTTTTTAGACGGAGTCTTGCTCTGTCACCCAGGCTGGAGTGCAGTGGCGAGATTTTGGCTCACTGCAACCTCTGCCTCCCAGGTTGAAGCGATTCTTCTGCCTTACCCTCCCAAGTATCTGGGACTACAGGCGCGTGCCACCACGCCCAGCTAATTTTTTGTGATTTTTAGTAGAGATGGGGTTTCACTGTGTTAGCCAGGATGGTCTCGATCTTCCGACCTGGTGATCTGCCCACCTCGGCCTCCCAAAGTGCTGGATTACAGGCATGAGTCAGCACGACCGGCCAAACCGCCCCTTCTTTAAGATCTTCACCGTAGCTCATGCCTGTAATCCCAGCACTTTGGGAGGCCGAGGTGGGCAGATTACGAGGTCAAAAGTTCGAGACACCCTGACCAATATGGTGAAATCCCGTCTCTACTAAAAATGCAAAAATTAGCCAGGCGTGGTGGCGCGCCTATAATCCCAGCTACTCAGGAAGCAGAGGCAGGAGAATCGCTTGAACCCAGAAAGTGGAGGTTGCAGTGAGCCGAGATTGCGCCACTGCAATCCAGCCTAAGCAACAGAGCAAGACTCCGTCTCAAAAAAAGAAAAAAGAAAAAAAAAAAAGAGCTTTACCGCCACCTCCTGGAGAAGCGTGGTAACAACCACCCAAGGCCAGGGGTACTGCAGGGTGAGTGGCATGCCCTGGAGCCATGCAGTCATAGCCTGCACCTCTGTCAGAGGCAGCCCTGTCTAGGATTTGGTGGCTGAGGGCCCCTGTCCCGAGGGCCACTCTGGAGAGCATGTCAGTGCCAGCAATCATAACTTATGGAGCATTTGCTAAGTACCAGTCACTATGCTAAGCCCTCTATGCAGATGGTCTCAGCTCATCTTCAATACCTTTCACTATCCTATCCCTATTTCTACAGGTGGGGAAATGAAGGCACGGACACCTTGGGTAGCATCACCAGTAAGCGACCAAGATTCGATTCAAACCCAGGCAATTCAAACCCAGAGTCAGTGTTCTAGTAACTTCCCTGGCCCCTTGCCTTTCTATATGCTGAGGTCTGAGTGGCTCTTCATATGCAAACAGTACTTCTTAGCAAATGAAAGTGCTTTCCTGCTGTACATTAGGTCAGTATTTCCCAAATGTGGTTGTGGACCCTCTGCATCAGGATTACCAGGGCTGGACCAGATTTGGGACCTGGGAATCTGCATGTCTAATAAGAACCACAACCTCCCCATCCCCCCAGTCCTCCTAGCTGTCCCCAGGACCTCCACAACAGAGAGGAAGTCCCATTTCACAGATGTAGAGACCGAGGCAGAGCAAGAACGATGATGAAACACTGGCTCAGAGTCCTGCCCACCCCTCCCCAGCTGCCTGAACCTTTTCACGCTGGAGTCGCTGTAAGTCCTCCTCGTGAGCTGCCCGCTGCTCCCGCAGAGAGGCCTGGGCCTCCCGCTCAGCCTGCACCAGCTTCTGGGCCATCAGCTCCTTGTCTAGACTGGCTTTCTCCTGTGTAGCTATTATTTGCTGCCGCAGGCCCGCCAACTCCCCTGCACGAGAGGAATGGGGGAAAGGGCAGGGTTGGGTTGAAACTTTTCCTTGGGCCAGCAGACTTAGGCCAGGTGAGCCACATGGGCAAAATCCCAGAGGCAGAGGGCCTGCCTGGCATCTAGTTTGGGTCCTCTTGAAGTGGCTTGCCCTCTCTGGGCCTCAGTTTCCCTATATGCTACATGGGCCCACTGGCCCTGACCCCTTTCCTGCCTACCTAGAATGGCATTAAAGGCATAAAATGACTGATGAGAAGGCCTCCCAAATGGGACGGATGTCAAACATATAACAACCCTAGGTCAGGTGCCTTGGCTCACGCCTGTAATCCCAGCACTTTGGGAAGCTGGGGCAGGTGGATCACCTTAGGTCAGGAGTTCAAGACCAACCTGGCCAACATGGTGAAACCCTGTCTCTACTAAAAATACAACAATTAGCCAGGCGTGGTGGCAGGCGTATGTAGTCCCAGCCTCAGGGAGGCTGAGGCAGGAGAATCGCTTGAACCCAAGAGGCAGAAGTTGCAGTGAGCTGAGATTGCACCACTGCACTCCAGCCTGGGCAACAAGAGTGAGACTCTGCCTCAAAAAAACAAATAGGCCGGGCGCAGTGGCTCATGCCTGTAATCCAGCACTCTGGGAGGCTGGGTCAGGTAGGTCACCTTAGGTCAGGAGTTTGAGACCAGCCTGGCCAACACAGCGAAACCCTGTCTATACCAAAAATACAAAAATTAGCCAGGCATGGTGGCGGGCATATGTAGTCCCAGCTACTTGGGAGGCTGAGGCAGGAGAATCGCTTGAATGCAGGAGGCAGAAGTTGCAGTGAGCCGAGATCGCACCATTGCACTCCAGCCTGGGCAACAAGAGTGAGACTCTGTCTCAAAAAACAAACAGGCTGGGCGTGATGGCTCATGCCTGTAATCCCAGCAGTTTGGGAGGCCAAAGCGGGTGGATCACCTGAGGTCAAGAGTTCGAGACCAGCTTGACCAACATGGCGAAACCCCGTCTCTACTAAAAATATAAAATTAGCCAGGCATGGTGATGCATGCCTGTAATCCCAGCTACTTGGGAGGCTGAGGCAGGAGAATCGCTTGAACCCAGAAGGCAGAGGTTGAGGTGAGCCGAGATAGTGCCATTGCACTCCCGCCTGGGCAACAAGAGTGAAACTCTGTCTCAAAACAAACAAACAAAAAACAACCCTATTCCTGACTGAGCACTTACTATGGGTCAAGCGCCCAGCTAAGTATTTTAGACATAACCTCATTTTGTCTTCATAACATGCCTATGTAGTTTATCCTCATCCCCATTTAACAGATGATGAAATGGAGGCTCAGAGATCAGCAGCAACTTCCCACAGCTGCACAGCTACACATAAAGCATCTCCTTTAATGACTGACATGAACATACCCGTCAAACGTTAACTATTTATATTAATGGAAATGACTACAGGGAATGGAAATGGTATAGCTACCATCTAAAAACCATCTCCCGGGTTGGAAACCCACCAGCATTTCCCTTCCTGGTTCTGTCTGGCTCAGGTGTACATGGACAGGAAAATTAATTTCCATGACCCAAGTAGGTGCTTAGTTAATGTTAGGTGAGCAGAAAGAAGCCCTGAGTTCAGAGACTGGATGGGAACGGTGCAGGGAAGTGGGGCTGGGATTCTGGGGCCAAGAGAGTCATCTGAAAAGCACAGAGAACTCAGACTAACAGGCCTGATGACCGATGAACGGCAGTTACTGTTGACTCAGCCAGGCACCGTGCCACGGCCTTACACGCTTTTCCCACGTCATCCTGGCAACAGGCTTAGAAGGTGGGCATTGCCACCTCCAATCATCAGCTGAGGAATCTGCAGCCCAGAGAGGAAAGGGGCTTGCTCAAGGGAAGGTGAGATCTAAGTGGTGGCACAGGACTGGAACCCAGGCCAGCCAGACTCCTACTCCAGTGCTCCCAACTTCTGTGAGACCCCAGACCTTGGGAGGCTGCAGTCTGGGCTGGAACCTGGTGTTCCCCCCAAGTCCCCAGCCCCTCGTACCAGTCAGGGTCTCCTTGGCCAGCAGCAGGGCCTGCCCCTCGGCTTCCAGCTGCTCCCGGCGGGCCTCAAGCTGGGCCAGCTGCCGTTGCACCTCAAACAGGCTGCCCTCCAGGGCTTCCTTCTCCAAGCTGCAGCACATACAGTCCCTGAGGCCCTGGGACTCAGCCTCCCTGGCCCCAGGAAACTGTGGATCTCAGGGAGTGGCCAGGCATGGGCCAAGTGCCAATCTACCTGCCTGGCCAGGCCCACACTCCCTGGGGAAGCCTGAGCCACAGCTAGGACGAGTCGGCAAGCCAGACTCCTTAGTAACTGCCCCTGGGGGCCCGTGCCTGCGTGTGGCTGGTCATGGTGTGGCCCCAGGAGGACCCCCCAGGGCGGGTTGGGCAGAGCCCAAGGCCTTACCGCAGGCGTGTGGCCTCCTCTGACAGGGTCCTGCCTTCACGCTCCGCAGCCACCAGCTGCACAGCCAGGCCAGCGTGCTCCTTGGCTAGCGCCTCCTTCTCACGGGCCGCTCGCTCCAGCGCCTCCACTTGCCGCTGGGCCTCCCGCCGGGCCTGCTCCAGCTCCTGCTCCCGCCCGCTCAGCTGCCGGGAGAGCTGGCCCCCACCCAGAGACTGAGTAGCACTCCCAGCGTCCCCCAGCTTGTTCATCGTGCAGCACCCCAACTCTGGGCCTAACCCAGTCCTGGCAGAAGGCCTGGGTTTGAGCCCAGGGTCTGCCCTGATGTGCTACATGTACTTGGGCAAGTCATGACCTTCTCTAGATCTGCAATGCACGTGTGTACAAAAACCAGGGCCCAGCCAGGTACGGTGGTGCGTGCCTATAATCCCAGCACTTTGGCAGGTGGATCACTTGAGGTCAGGAGTTCAAGACCAGCCTGGCCAACGGGGTGAAACCCTGTCTCTACTAAAAATACAAAAATTAGCCGGGCGTGGTGGTGCACGCCTGTAGTCCCTGCTACTTGGGACGCTGAGGCAGGCGAACAGCTTAAACCCTGGAGGCGGAGGTTGCAGTGAGCCCAGATCGTGCCACTGCATTCCAGCCTGGGCAACAGAGCAAGACTCTGTCTGGAAAAAAAAACAACAACAAAAACAAAACAAAATGAAACAAAAAAAATGAGGGCCCTCACTCAGCTCTGGGAGTAACAGAACCCTTGTATTACTCTAAACTTGCAGAGAAGCTGAATATATAAACCAGACCCAAGTGCAGCTGCTCGGCAGGCCTCAAGGTGGAGACCTGCACCCTGCTTCCTGCACCCCCTACCCCATCCTCTAGAGGCCCCTCCCAGAAACCTAGGCGCTCCAGGATAGACCTTGCATGAAGGTCCCTGGATCCCTGAAACATTAAGGTCTCTTCCAGATGTGATGTTCCCAAAAGTCTAAGATTCCAATTCTAAAAAGTCTCCACCTATTATTAATCTGTATCATTATTATTATTATTATTATTATTATTATTATTGAGACGGAGTCTTGCTCTGTTGCCCAGGCTGGAGTGCAGTGGCATGATCTTGGCTCACTGCAACCTCTGCCTCCTGGGTTCAAGCGATTCTCCTGCCTCAGCCTCCCAAGTAGCTGGGACTACAGGCGCGTGCCACCACGCCCAGCTAATTTTTTGTAGAGATAGGGTTTCACCGTGTTAGCCAGGATGGTCTTGATCTCCGGACCTCAGGTGATCCACCCGCCTCGGCCTCCCAAAGTGCTGGGATTATAGGCGTGAGCCACTGCGCCTGGCTGGCCCCATGTTATAGATGGGGCAACTGAGGTATGGGAGATTGGGCAGCTTGTCCAAGGTCCCCAGCTAGCAGAAGTGGGGCTGGATTTAACCCAGAAGCAGGCTCCAGTGCCTGTGACTTAACCCAGGACTGGATGCAGGGGGCTGGGAGCCCGGCCTGCCCCACATGCTCTCCACACCACCCCCACACACAGCTTTGCCCACCTGCGCTAGCTGCTCCTGCAGCTGGCTGCGCTCATGGCGCAGCGTGGGGAGCTGCTGCTCCAATGCCTCCTGGGCCTGCTCCGCCACTCGTAGGGAGCCCTCCAGGCCCTGCCGCGCCACCTCCTGCTCCAACCGCAGCTCCTCTAGCCGTTCCTGCTCTTCCCGCGCCACTGTGGCCTCCTGCTCTGCCTGCCGTTGCCGGCCCTGCAGGGCGGACTTTTCTTCCTCCAGCTGGAGGCCAGGTAGGAGTGGGGCCTCGTGAGCAGGGCGTCCCTCCCAGGACCAGGACGCCTCCTCCACCCACCCACCAGCAACAATAGCCCAGGGGAGGCTCCCAGGGAATGAGGGACAGTGCCCTTGGGTGTATGGGACACTGGGGAGGGGGAGATGAGGAGGGCCCATGGAACTTCTGTGCTTTGACGCCTAGAGGGGATAGACAGACAGACAGAGAACCAGAGACAGACAGAGAACCAGGGACAGAAAGGGAGGCAGGGGCCAAGACAGGTACAGGGCTGGGCCCGGGGTGCCTCACTGAGTGGGGAGGATGGGTGGGCAAGGCAGGTGGGCCCGCAGGTGCACAGCGTACCTGGGCGACAAGGCGGTTCAGATCCAACTTGTCCTGAGCAAGGCTCTCGTTGAGGGCGCTCAGCTTGGACAGGGAGTCCTGCAGGGAGGCCTCCTCTGCCCTCAGCTTGGTCATGGAGAGCTCGAGCTCCACGCGGCCAGCCTCAGCCTGCAGGGTCAGGCCCCGAGAAATGAGGAAAGGCAGAAAGGTCGGGAGGAGGTGAGGAGGCCCAAGAAGAGACCCAGAGAGATGGACCCTCAGAGACAGGGTAGGGGAGACAAGGAGGGGACACAGTGTGAGATGGAAAAAAAAAAATCACCGCAGAAAGCCTGCTGCTTATGAGCCATTTAAAAGCCACACACCACAGAGCTGTGCAAAAATAGCTCAAGCTGCAGGGCAGGGCCAGAGTTCAGAGGATCCCCTGAGTAGGGTCTAGGGATAGCACTGCTCAGAGCCCAGGCTGCAGCGGACAGCGCAGGCCCCCCTGCCAAGGACCCTCTGCGCTGTGGCCACAACTCTCAGACCCCAGGAGCTGAGTCTCAGGCACTGGATGACCCTGAGCTATAGGCATTGCCCCCAGGAGCATCCAGAAGAGCAGGGATACGGCCATAAAGAGAGGTCAGTCCACTTATGGCTGGGACCAGAGGTCCAGAGGTCTGTGGCCTGTGACAAAGATCAGCCTGTATCCAGAAGGAAGGGGTCAGTCTGTGACCAGGCTCAGAGGTCTGCCTGACACTGGGACCAGTCTGTGCCAGAGTGACAAGGCTTGGGGCTGGGGGTCAGAGGTAGGTTTGTGGTTGTGCAGCAGACAGGGACCCACCTTGGTCAGCGCCTCGGCCACCTCGGCCTTCTCGGCCTGCAGCATGTCCCGTTGCAGTGTGGCGCGGCTCAGCGCCTCCCTCACCTCCACCAGCTCCTTGGCCAGGACTGAGCGCTTCCCTTCCAGCTGCTCTAGTTGTCTATGGCTGTGGGACAAAGGGTGGGTGGGTGGCCCATGTCACTTTCCTGCCCCGAACCTCCTGTAGCCAGCGAGATGCTGGGCTGGGGACCAGGCCTGAGGCAGGAGTTTGGAGAGAAACAGCCTGAGCCACAGGGCAACCAAGCCCACTACCGCTTAGCTCCATGACCCTGGGCCTCCGTTTTCACATCTGCAAAATGAGGTAACACTTACCTCGTGACATTGTTTGTTTTTTTGAGACACAGTCTTGCTCTGTCACACAGGCTGGAGTACAGTGGTGCGATCCTGGCTGACTGCAACCTCTGCCTCCCAGGTTCAAGCAATTCTCCTGCCTCAGCCTCCCGAGTAGCTGGGATTACAGGTGCTCACCACCACGCCTGACTAATTTTTGTAGTTTTAGTAGAGACGGGATTTCTCCACGTTGGTCAGGCTGGTCTGGAACTCCTGACCTCAGGCGATCTGCCTGCCTTGGCCTCTCAAAGTGCTGGGATTACAGGCGTGAGCCACTGCGCCCGGCCTGTTTTAAGGATACAAACTTCACATGTGCTTAAAATAGTGCCTGACACATCTCCCCAAGGACCTTCAGAAACAAGAATAACATGCTCCACCACAGTCTACTAAACATCATCATCGATCACGTCCCTGAGAGGTAAGCAGCGCAGTGGTGAAGAGGTTAACTCTGAAGGCAGAATGTCTGGGTTCAAATCCTGGCTCTTCTGCTAACTGTGTGACCTGGGGCAAGTGACATGGCTTCTCTGTGCCTCAGTTTACCATCCACAAAATGGAGATAACCGCTTCTATGTCACAGAGTTATCATGGAGTTAAATGAGAGAACTGAATTGCTTAAAATGGTATCTGGCACTTAGTGAAATTAGTAAGGATATTATTATTCTTCTAACTAAATTTTTAAAATACTACTGCTAATATTACTACTGTTATTTTAATTATTCTTGTTATTATCATCCAAGTTCTACCTTTTAACTAGTTCTCTGACTCCAGGTAAGTGACTATACCTCCCTGAGCCCCAGTTTCCTGAAATGGGTCTGGTTAGAAAACCCGACATCGGAGGGGTCCAGACGGTAGGAGGCCCAGGACCCAGTGGGTGTCACCTAACCCCAGGGGGGCACTGTCAGGGGACCCGAGGCACATCTGAAGGGTCCTGGCAGGGTGGCGAGATGCTGCTCACCTGCGCTCAAGCTCCCGGCGCACCCGCGCGCCATCCTGCACTGCGTCCTCCTGCTCTTCCTCCAGCCGGTCCCGCTGGCGCCGCAGCTCCTCCTGGGCAGCCTGCAGCTTCTCCCGCTCCTGCCGCAGCTCCTCGGCCTGCTGCTGGGCCACCTGCAGGCTGTGGGCCAGGTTGCTCTTCTCCCTTCAGGACAAGGGGAGGGGGAGCAGAGGGGATGCTGGGGCTGCTCTCTGCAGGGAAGGTGGCTGGCTGCTCCTCTAGCCATGAGCTACATCCTCCAGTCTTCCAAGGCACCTGCCTCCAGGAAGCCTTCCCTGACCACCCTGTCCATGGCTGACTCATTTCACTCACACACTCCAGCAGAAGAACCTGGCTTTCCTTCTCTCCAGTCCGCCCACTTGGAGTGGATGGAGGTGCTGGTGTGATCTCCAAGCACCCTACCAGGTAGAAGAGGCCGAGCTAGGCTCCTGGGACACACGGCAATTGTGCCACCAGCTCTGCTAGGCCATGTGACCAGGAAATGTCCCCTATAACACCCCATGCCCCTCAATTCTGGGAAGCCTGATAGAGCTGAGTCTGCAGATCCCACAGCTTCCTGCTACACAGGCACATGGTGGCCACGGCAGGGGAGGGAGGAGAAGGGAACAACTGGGACCCCAAAGACTTGCCATGAGCTGCCACGTTCCCCACTGGCCATAGGTGCGAAAAAACTTCACAGCGTGATTTTGTTTTATTTTTTTTTTTTGAGACGGAGTCTCGCTCTGTCCCCCAGGCTGGAGTGCAGTAGCGCAATCTCCACTCACTGCAAGCTCCGCCTCCCGGGTTCACGCCATTCTCCTGCCTCAGCCTCCCAAGTAGCTGGGAATACAGGCGCCCGCCACCATGTCCGGGTAATTTGTTGTATTTTTAGTAGAGATGGGGGTTTCACTGTGTTAGCCAGGATGGTCTCAATCTTCTGACCTCATGACCTGCCCGCCTCGGCCTCCCAAAGTGCTGGGATTACAGGCATGAGCCAATGCGCCCAGTAATTTTTTTTTTTTTTTAGACGGCATCTCACTCTGTCGCCCAGGCTGGAGTGCAGTGCACGATCTCGGCTTGCTGCAACCTCCACCTCCAGAGTTCAAGCGATTCTCCTGCCTCAGCCTCCCAAGTAGCTGGGATTACAGCCATGTGCCACCACGGATGGCTAATTTTGTATTTTTAGTAGAGACAGGGTTTCTCCATGTTGGTCAGGCTGGTCTCGAACTCCCGACCTCAGGTGGTCCTCCTGCCTCGGCCTCCCAAAGTGCTGGGATTACAGGAGTGAGCCACTGTGCCCGGCCAATTTTTTTTTATTTTTAGTAGAGATGGGGTTTCGCCATGTTGGCCAGGCTGGTCTCAAACTCCTGACCTCAAGTGATCCACCCGCCTTGGCCTCCCAAAATACTGGGATTACAGGTGTGAGCCACCTCGCTCAGTCGACAATGTGCTGTTAAGTAAAAATAGCAGAATGCAAAATGGGATGTTTGCTGTGAACACAACTGCTTAAAAAGACCTTCTCCTTTCCAGGCATGGAAAGCTTGGGTTTACTCTCACATGGACCTGAATTCCAGTTCCCACCCTGCCACCCCCAGCCACACACGCTGTATGAGTCTGAGCCAGTCTCTCAAGCTTACAACAACAGAGTTCCGAATTGCATGAGTTTGACAGGAAGACTAAATCACAGAGTACATACAAAACACTCGGCCAAGAGCCTGGCACACAGTAGGTGTGCAGGAAACGTTTGCTATCTCACTGCCAGGCAACACAATGGGAAGGAAAACCAGTGCCCTAAATGAATTAGGATGGGCAGATGAGGCTGTGAGAAGGCGCTGTCTTTTTATTCCTATTTTTCAAACTTTTCATTAGATGGTTACATTTATGAAGAGAAAAACCAAACAACAAAATATCAAAAACAACCTGGCAGCTAAGAAGTGGATAATTTCTTGTCTTAAAAATCTTCAGGGTGCCTGGCGTGATGGCTCACACCTATAATCCCAGTACTTTGGGAGGCCGAGACGGGCTCAGGAGTTAGAGATCAGCCTGGGCAACATGGCGAAACCCTATCTCTACAAAAAACAGAAAAATTAGGCAGGCGTGGTGGTGTGTGCCTGTAGTTCCAGCTACTCAGGAGGCTGAGATGGAAGGATCACTTAAGCCTAGGAGGTGGAGGTTGCAGTGAAATGAGATCGCACCACTGCACTCCAGACTGGGTGACATAACAAGACCCTGTCTCAAATTAAGAGAAAAAAAAAATCTTCAAGGCTAGGCATGGTGGCTTATGCCTCTAATCCCAGCATTTTTGGAGGCCGAGGCAGGGGAATCACTTGAGGCCAGGAGTTTGAGACCATCCTGGGCAACACAGCAAGACCCCATCTCTAAAAAAAACTCCAAGAAATACAGTCCAAAATAGTGCTGGCAATAGAACTCGCTGAGATGACAGAAATGTTCTATGGCCATGTATGGTTGATGAGTGCTTGAAATGTGGCTAGGGCAACTAAAGAACTGAATTTTTTCTTTTTTTTTTTTTTTTGAGACGGAGTCTTGCTCTGTCGCTCAGGCTGGAGTGCAGTGGCGCCATCTCGGCTCGCTGCCAGCTCCGCCTCCCGGGTTCAGGCCATTCTCCTGCCTCAGTCTTCCAAGTAGCTGGGACTATAGGTGCCTGCCACCACGCCCAGCTAATTTACTTTTTGTATTTTTAGTAGAGACGGGGTTTCACTGTGTTAGCCAGGATGGTCTCAATCTCCTGACCTCATGATCCGCCCGCCTTGGCCTTCCAAAGTGCTGAGATTACAGGTGTGAGCCACCGGGCCCAGCATTATTATTATTATTTTTTTTTTGAGATGGAGTCTCGCTCTATCTCCCAGCCTGGAGTGCAGTGGCACGATCCTGGCTCATTGCAACCTCTGCCTCCGGGGTTCAAGTGATTCTCCCACCTCAGCCTCCTGAATAGCTGGGATTACAGGAGCATGCCACCATGCCTGGTTAATTTTTGTATTTTTAGTAGAAACAGGGTTTCACCATGTTGGCCAGCAAGCTGGGTGTGAGCCACCACACCCAGCCTGAATTTTCACTTTTTAAAAATTTTAATTAAATTTTAATAGAGCCAGGCACAGTGGCTTATGCCTGTAATCCCAGCAATTTGGGAGGCTGAGGTGGGAGGAGTGATTGAAGCTAGGAGTTCAAGACCAGCATGGGCAACATAGTGAGACCCCCATCTCTACAAAAAATTTAGAAATGTTGGCGGCTTGTCTACTATCCTCGAGGCTGAGATCAGAGTTGCCCAGGAACCCAGGGAGGTGAGGGCTCAGAGGGTGGTGAGGGCACAGAGGAAGGGAGTGGAAACCTAACTCTCAGGCTTCGGTCCCATATCCTTCCCCAGGCCAGGCCCAGGCCCCCAACTAGGGGCAGTTGGGAGGTAGAGGTGGGAGGATCGCTTGAGTCTGGGAGTTCCAGGTTACAGTGAGCTGTGATGGACCAATTGTGCCCCAGCCTGGGAAACAGAGCAAGAGTGTGACTCAAAACAAAGCAAAACAAAACAAAACAAAACAAAACTGAATACTAAAAAATAAATGTTGGCCGGGCGCGGTGGCTCATGCCTGTAATCCCAGCACTTTGGGAGATGGACGCGGGTAGAACATGAGGTCAGGAGTTCAAGATCAGCCTGGCCAAGATGGTGAAACCCCGTCTCTACTAAAAATACAAAAAAAATTAGCCGGGCGTGGTGGTGGGCACCTATAATCCCAGCTACTTCAGAGGCTGAGGTGAGAATTGCTTAAACCCGGGAGGAGGAGGATGCAATGAGCCAAGATCGCGCCACTGCACTCCAGCCTGGGCCACACAGTGAAACTCCGTCTCAAAAAAAAAAAAAAAATTAGCCCGGCATGGTGGCAGGGGCCTGTAGTCCCAGATACTCGGGAGGCTGAGGCAGGAGAATGGCGTGAACCCAGGAGGCGGCGCTTGCAGTGAGCCGAGATCGCGCCACTGCACTCCAGCCTGGGCGACAGGGCGAGACTCCATTTTAAAAATAAATAAATAAATAAACGTTAATAGGCACATGCAGCTAGTGGCGACCATATTAGTGCAGAGCCATACGCATAAGGCTTGACTGGTGTTATGCCCAGACGGTGACTTATTCTTCAGTACCCCCCAGCTCAGACCTCCCCGGCACCTGCTCAGGAGCTCGTTGGCGCTCCGCAGCCGCTGCACCTCGCGCTGGGCGTCCTCGTGGGCCTGCATGGCGCCGTCGGTCTTGTCCCGCAGGCGCTGCAGCTGTTCCTCTAGGGCCCGCCGCTCGCTCTCGCTGTCGCTAAGCTGCTTCCGCAGGGTGCCCAGTAGGTCCTGGCTTGCCTCATAGCGCCCACGCATGTCCTGGGGTGTGGGGGGTCACAGAGTCTGGGGGGGCCTGAGAGGCCTCCAGAGCCACCTACTCTCTTCTGGTTCCAGGGATACACACTAGCCTACGCTAGGCGGGGTCCAGGGCCTGGACCTGGCCTGGGGCAGGATAGGGGCCTAGGCCTGAGAGCCAGGCTTCCGCTCCCCTCCTATGTGCCCTCGCCACCCTCTGAGCCCTCACCTCCCTGGGGTCCCGGACAACTCCTATCAAAGCCCCCCGGATGCCAGACAAACCCCCAGGCACACTCGTCTCCTGGGTTCTGATCCCACCCCCAGGGCTCCTAGGCTCCTCCCCCTTGCATCCTGGTTCCACTCTCAGACTCCTCCCTACCCTGGCTCTGCCCCTAGTTCCCAAGCTCTGATTCCCCTTGCTAGACCTTTTCCCAGGGTCCTGGCTCTGTATGACCAGGGACCTGTCTCCCTCTCTACCAGGACCCTAACACTGCCGCAGCCTCCTCCCTCCACCAGCTGCCCAAGCACCCACCCCCAGCTGCCCAAGCACCCCCACTTCTGGGCTCGGCTTCACCGCAGAGCTCTCGGCCACCTCCTTGGGGGTCCTGACACCCTCAGAAACTATTTCTCAGGGCTCTGGCTGCACCCCAGGGCGCTCAGACTCCTCCCTCGGACCCTGGCCCCGGACCTGCCCCCGCCCCCGCCCCCACCCGGAGGGCGCGAGCCCCTCCCCCAGGCCTCTGGCTGCGCCCAGAACGCTCAAGCCCCTTCCTACCTGGACCTGCAGCTGGCGCTTGTGCAGGGCGGAGTGGATCAGGGCGAGCGTGGAGGAGTCTGAGCAGGCCGGGGAGGGGCCTCGGCGGGGTGAACGGCCTCGGCCGGGCGAGGAGCGCCGCGGTGGGGACGGGGTCCGCTGGCCCGAGAGCCCCCGCAGGCTGCCGTTGGAAGCATCCGCGGTGCGCTCAGAGCCGCTCAGCTGGACGCCGCTCTCAGAGTCTGACAAGACGGCCTGAGGGTGGGGGAGGGAGGCAGAAGGAGGCTGCTGAGTTAGGAACCGCGGGGTTAGCTGGGCAAAGACGCCCAGGTGAGGCTGGGGGCTGCCTCATTCCAAATGCTGCCTCTTACAAGAAGCCTTCCTGATTTCACCTCCTCCACTAGCTCAGTCCTCGGCTCGCCGCTGAGGCCTCCCATTTATTGGGAAGACATCATTTGGCCTTGCTCACAGGTGGGCTCCCAAAGGGTCGTGCCTCCCCTCTGAGACTGGGGGCTCCCCAAGGCAGAGGCTGGGTGAGCTAGCAGGGGTGCTGAGCAGCTACAGCCTGGGTCCCAGGCCCCCACCCATTTGCAGTTCAGTCCCAGGTCACCGAAAGACGTGGCGGGGGAGCCTGGGACTGCCTGGCAGGGCGCTGTCTTCCCGCCTCTCTGGGCTCACACCTGTGCCAGGTCCCTTAGGGTCTGCTGTAGCCCCTCTCCATCCTCTGTCTCCAGGGCCGCCTGCTCCTGTAGCCGCAGGGATTCCTGGAGTGCGGTTAGGGAGACAAAGGGTGGTTGGGGTTCTGTCTTATCTGAAACCTCCCCTTTCCCTCCCTACCTGGCCCACCACTGACCAGGTGGCCTCTGAAGCCATGTCCATAGGCCAGCCACCTGGTAGACCCCACAGCAGGCCCGAGGCCCTCACTGAACAGACCAGGCCCAGAGAAGAGCTATGTCCTGCCCCAGGTCACACAGTCGATTGCAGGAGAGCCGGACCTAGAACCCAGGCCAGGCCCCACACAGAGGGGTGACCAAACCAGGCTGTACCCTGGGGGAGTGAGTGTCCCACTGGTGGGGGTGGGGGGCAGCTAGGTTGCCAGAGGCCGCATCTGGACCTGGAGAGCGTGGATGGGAGTTCAAGTCCCGACTCTCCCGCTTAGTGGCTCTGAGACTGGACAAGCATTACCCCTCTTGGGCCTCAGTTTCCCCATCTGTGTTATGAGGATTATGCTACAGGGCTGCTGGGAGGAAGAAATGGGATGGAGGTGAGTGTGCTTCCCACAAAGCCTGCACACCTGTGAGGGCTGAACCTGAGTGTGAGTGGGACGCTGGGGGTGACCCAGGCAGCCCAGCCCTAAGCCTGCGTCCATGGATCTGGCCGGTACCCCATCTCACCCTGCCCCATCTCAGGGGCACCTGCAGCTCACCAGGGCCTCAAGCTTCTCAGTGAGGTCCTTGTTGACCTGATCCTTCTCCAGATTCTGCTTCTCAAGACGCTTCACTGCCAGGCCCAGCTCTGTCACTCTGGAGTTGGGGGAGCAACAGAGGTGAATACGGGACCACCCCAGCTTCTCAAATCCACTAGCTCTGTGTCCACCATGCTTCTCCAAACCCGAGGCAGGGACCCTAACATCCACCTCCCTGGCTGTGTGACCTCAGACAAGTCCCGGCTCCTCTCCAGATCTCACATTTCTCATCTGTGAAATGGGAATGAGGTTCCCACCAGCTTTATCTCATGGGAAAGCAGTTGAGGACTTGTCCAGGTGGCAGGAGTAAGGGGCACGAGTTCTTTTTTTTTGTTTTTTTTTTTTTGAGACGGAGTTTCGCTCTGTCATCCAGGCCGGAATACAGAGATGTGATCTTGGCTCACTGCAACCTCCACATCCTGGGTTCAAGCGATTCTCCTGTCTCAGCCTCCCTCGTAGCTGGGATTACAGGCACGCGCCACCACGCCCAGCTAATTTTTGTATTTTTAGTAGAGACAGGGTTTTGCCTGTCGGACAGGCTGGTCTTGAGCTCCTGACCTCAGGTAATCCCCCACCTTGGTCTCCCAAAGTGCTGGGATTACAGGTGTGAGCCACCACACCCGGCCACAAGTTCTGCCATAGGAGGCTAAGCTGTTTATGATAAACACTGGGCAAGTGCCTTCGGAACCTCAGTGCATGGGAAGACTGGCTGAGCTCACAGAGGAAGGCCCTTCCCCTAGTGAACAGATGCTCCCTTCTCCCCAACTCTCCAGTTTTACCTTCTGCAGGGACGCCTGCCTCGTGCGGCATCCACCAGGTACCCACCTGGCACTGAGGTCAGCCTTGTCCAGGTCGCTTTGCATCTGCTGCTGCGCCAGGTCCTTCTCGCGGAGCACCTTGTCCCGCAGCTGCTCCTCCAGCTGGGCCTGCAGCAGGGCCTGTTTCTCCAGGGCTGCCTCGGCCCGGCTCTCTGCCAGCCGTAGGCCCGTGCTCAGTCCCAGGCCCGCCTCCTGGACAGCTCGTGATGTCCGGGCCAGCTCCCCTCCCAGCTGCAGCAGGTCCCTTCGGGAGAGAGCACAGGCTGGGGATGGATGGGGCTTGCTCCCAACTACAAATTAAAACTATGCTTGGGCAGGGCGTGGTGGCTCACACCTATAATCCCAGCACTTCAGGAGGCCAAGGCGGGCAGATCACGTGAGGTCAGGAGTTCGAGACCAGCCTGGCCAACATGGTGAAACCCTATCTCTACTACAAATACAAAAAATTAGCCAGGCATGGTGGCGCACTTCTGTAGTCCCAGCCGCTTGGGAGGCTGAGGTAGGAGAATTGCTTGAACCCAGGAAGTGGAGACTGCAGTAAGCCGAGATCATGACACTGCACTCCAGCCTGGGTGACACAGCAAGACTGTGTCTCAAAATAAATAATAAAATAAAAATAAAACTATACTAGGCTGGGTGCGGTGGCATACACCTGCAGTCCCAGCTATGCGGGAAGCTGAGGCAGGATTGCTTGAGCCCAGGAGTTTGAGGCCAGCATGGGAAACATAGTGAGACTCCATCTCAAAAACTAAAGAGGAAGAAAAAAAAAACCCTACACTGGGATGCCATTTGTCCACTCTCAGATTGGGGAAAAAAAAAGGGATACATAATACACAAGGAGGGGCTCTGGGGGTAACAGGCCCTCCCCTACTCAGCTGGTGGGAGGGTGATACAACCACAACGGAGGGCACTGAGGGAGAGCTCTGAAAACTATGCATGCATAGGACCTTCCCCACCGGCTCCTCCTCTAAGAACGTATCCAACGATATACCCCAGCACAGAGGAGATGGCTTGTGGACAAGGAGGTTCACTGCAGCATTGCTCATGTAAGAAATCCTGGTGACAACCTAAATGTCTATCAAAAGGGGACTGCTACTAAGTACATGATGGTACATCCATTCTGTGGAACACTCTGTGGCCAAGAAAAAGCAGTGGAAGGCCAGGCTTGGTGGCTCACGCCTGTAATCCCAGCACTTTGGGAGGCCGAGGAGGGCGGATCACGAGGTCGGGAGATCGAGACCATCCTGGCTATCACGGTGAAACCCCGTCTCTATTAAGAATACAAAAACAAAATTAGCCGGGTGAGGTGGCAGGCGCCTGTAGTCCCAGCTACTCGGGAGGCTGAGGCAGGAGAATGGCGTGAACCCAGGAGGCGGAGCTTGCAGAGAGCCGAGATTGGGCCACTGCACTCCAGCCTGGGCGACAGAGTGAGACTATGTCTCAAAACAAAACAAAACAAAACAAAAAAACCAGTGGAGAAGTTCTTCCTGGCCTGACACAGAGCCACCTCCCAGTTATAACTAGTAGGTTAGGGAAGCATCTTCAAGAACTGTGAAGATGAAATTTTACCAGGCGTATATGCAAAAAAGTGTGCATGTGTCTGTGTGTCTCTGTGTGTGTGTGTGATCTGCTTTATTTGATTATGTAAGATAACCCTGGAAGGTCACTTAAGAAACTGATAGGCCAGGCGTGGTGGCTCATGCCTGTAATCCCAGCACTTTGCGAAGCTGAGGCAGGAGGATCACCTGAGGTCAGGAGTTCAAGACCAGCCTGGCCAACATGGCAAAACCCCACCTCTACTAAAAATACAAAACTTAGCGGGGTGTGGTGGCTCATGCCTGTAATCCCAGCTACTTGGGAGGCGGAGGTGGGAGAATCGCTTGAACCTGGGAGGTGGAGGTTGCAGTGAGCCAAGATCGTGCCACTGCACTCCAGCATGGGAGACAGAGCAAGACTCTATCTCAAAAAAGAAAAAAAAAAAAAAAAAAGAAACTGCTGATAATGCTTCTCATGGTAACTTGGTGGCCAAAAAAAAAAAGAAGAAGAAGAAGCAAAAAAGAAAAAAGAAAAAATCTGTATATATAAAAAGAAAAAGAAGCTGATAATGCTGCTTGCCTCCAAGGAGGGAAGAGGAATATCTGGGGTCAGAGGTGAGAGGGAGCCATTTTACTGTGTACCCTTTTGAAATGTGAACCTTGTGAACATGTGACTTAATCAAAAGTAAAATATAAAAATTTTAAAGGCTACTTAAAATTTTTGGTTTTGTTTTGTATTTTAAGGCCAGGCATGGTGGGCCATTTCTGTAATTCCAGCACTTTCGGAGGCCAAGGCAGGTGCACTGCTTTAGCCCAGGAGTTCAAGACCAGCCTGGGCAACATGGCAAGACCCTGTCTCTAAAAACAAACAAACAAAAATTAGCTAGATATAGTGGTGCACACTTGTAGTCCCAGCTACTTGGGTGGCTGAGGTGGGAGGATCACTTGAGCCTGGGAGGTCAAGCCTAATGTGAGTTGTGATTGTGCCACTGCACTCCAGCCTGGGCAACAGAGAGAGACTGTCTCAAAAAAAAAAATGTATTTTCAGTCCATAATACAGGTTAAATCCTTTCCTTTCCTGAATGAACAGTACCACTGGTTATCTAATAGTAAGGAGAGAAAGTGCCTCATTCCAGAATTCTAATTAATATACACAGGAGTGACTAAATGAGAAGCTCACAGTTTTGCAGCCTTTGATGAGTGGGTTGGATCTTGAAAAGAGAGACAGCTGGCATAGGGGCATCCTGCTGGAAGAACACATTCTACTTATGGAGTCTTGATCAAACAAAAAAGCAAGCAGAAGAACCTGAATCTGACCTAGCTTTAGATCCAACATCCAATTTACAGGAAATACATGGGATAAAGAAACATGTTAATTGACACCATAAGGATGCAACCAGCAAAATCCAGACCATGAGAATCTCCAAGGACAACTAGCCCAGTTTCCTGAACAAATAAGTTAAAAGGGACTTAAAAGACAAAGCAGGGGCCGGGCACAGTGGCTTGGGCCTGTAATCCCAGCACTTTGGGAGACCAAGGTAGGTGGATCACCTGAGGTCAAGACCAGCCTGGCCAACATGGTGAAGCCCCCATCTCTACTAAAAATACAAAAGTTAGCTGGGCGTGGTGGCGCACTCCTGTAATCCCAGCTACGCAGGGGGCTGAAGCCATAGGATTGCTGAACCCAGGAGGGAGAGGTTGTGGTGAGCCAAGATCGTGCCACTTCACTCCAGCCTGGGCAACAAAGCAAGACTCCATCTCAAAAAAAAAGAAAAAAAAGACAAAGCAAACATTTACGTTTTGTAAATGTCTATGGATCGAGATTCAAACAAATTGTAAAGAAAAAACTAAAGCAAGACTATCTGTGACTTTTTTTTTCGAGACAGAGTTTCACTCTGTCACCCAGGCTGGAGTGCAATGGTGTTATCTCGGCTCACTGAAACCTCCGCCTCCTGGGTTCAGGCGAGTCTGGGGCCTCAGCCTCCCCAGTAGCTGGGATTACAGGCATGTGTCACCACACCTAGATAAGTTTTGTATTTTTAGTAGAGATAGGGGTCTCACCATGTTGGCCAGGCTGGTCTCGAACTCCTGACCTCAGGTGGTCCGCCCGCCTCGGCCTCCTGAAGTACTGGGATTATAGGCGTGAGCCACTGCACCTGGTCTATCTGTGACATTTATGAGACATATGGAAAATTTAGACACTGGCTATTTGATGATATTAACAAAAGATTATTAAACCAGGTGTGGTTGCTCATGCCTGTAATCCCAGCATTTTGGGAGGTCAAGGCAGGAGGATCACTTGGGCTCAGGAGTTCAAGACCAGCCTGGGCAACAAAGTGAGACCTCGACTCTACAAGAAATAAAAAAATCAGCAAGCCTGGTGGCATGCACCTGTAGTCCCAGCTGCACAGGATCTGAGGTAGGAGGATTGCTTGAGACGAGGAGGCTGAGGCTGTAGTGAGCCATAAAGAAAAGAAAAGATTACTAACTAAAATGTTTTTAACGCACTAAATGAAATACCTTGGCCTCCTGCCTTGGGGCTCTCTCCGCAGCCTCCCTGACACTACTGTTGAGCTGACTGCTCACACGGATCAGGCAGGCCCAAGCTCCCCCGCTGAGGCAGGCTCTCCTTTCCCTGTACCAGCTCTTCATTGCAACCCCCCTGGCTGCCATGGGCTCCCACCTCCATGCCTTTGCTCATGCCTTGCTCCTGCTTGGAGCGCCTGCTGCTCTGCTTCAACCCTACCCATCCCTTGAGGCTCTGTGCAAATTCCATCTCCACAAAGTGGTTTTTCTGACCTCCCCACCCCTCCCATCCTTCTGAGCCTCGAGGACATTCCCTCTGTTCCACGTACATATCACTGACCACTCGCTTCCTCAGTCTAGAATTTTATTTTACTTTTTTTGGATGGAGTTCTGCTCTTGTTGCCCAGGCCGGAGTACAATGGCGAGATCTCGGCTCACCGCAACCTCTGCCTCCCAGGTTCAAGCAATTCTCCTGCCTCAGCCTCCCGAGTAGCTGGGATTACAGGCATGCACCACTATGCCCGGCTAATTTTGTATTTTTAGTAGAGACAGGGTTTCTCCATGTTGAGGCTGGTCTTGAACTCCTAACCTCAGGTGATCCACCCGCCTCGGCCTCCTCAAGTGCTGGGATTACAGGCGTGAGCCACCGTGCCCAGCCTAGAATTTTGGGGATCTACATCTTTTCATCACAAGAGGCTGTGAGGTCCTTGGTAGCAAAGCTGAATATTCTAGTGGATTAAAATCAGGAACTTCGGCCTGGCGCTGTGGCTCATGCCTATAATCCCAGCACTTTGGGAGGCTGAGGCTGGCTGATTGCTTGAGCTCAGGAGTTCGAGACCATCCTGGGCAACATGGTGAAACCCCGTCTCTACTAAAATACAAAAAAAAAAAAAAAATTAGCTGGGTGTGGCGGCATGTGCCTGTTATCCCAGCAACTCAGGAGGCTGAGGCAGGAGAATTGCTTGAACCCAGGAGGTGAAGGTTGCAGTGATCCAAGATCGTGCCACCTCACTCCAGCCTGGTGACAGAGCAAGACTCCGTCTGAGAAAAAAAAAAAATCAGGAACTTCAAACTCTGACTCAGCCACTTATGTACTACTGTGTGACCTCAGGAAGATCACTCAACCTCTCTGCGCCACAATGTCCTCATCTGTAATATGTGAATGAACACAGTTCCTACCTCACAGGGAAGCTATGAATATTAGTTGAAATGAAATATACAATGAGCCTAGCCCAGAGTAAACATCTAATAAATGCTGACTGCCACGACTGTGGTAATGGTTATTACAAGTTGCCTCTGTGTCCTCACCGGCCCTTGTGCACAGTAAGTGCGTTGAGTTGAACTGAAATTCAACTGAGTTCAGTTGGACATAAAGAGCAGGGCTGGCTCTCAGCTGCTGCCCCGTCCCCGGCCAGGCCTCACCTCTCAGTGAACATCTTCACCTCGCTGACCAGCCGCCGGAACCCCACCACCTGCCTCCAGAGGAGGAGCAGGCGACTGTGCTCGTTGCTGAAGTAGGCGTTGAAGGACTGGAGGGAAGACATGCCGAGGGAAGGGTTGGTGTGAGAGCGGGTTTACTCCCTCCCACTGCTTCCCTCATCTCCGACCATCCTGGGAGGCACCGTCGTTCAGGGATTGGGTCTTCCTGTGGGTCTGTGCACAGAGCTGTGTTGCAGCGGCCATGCTCAGCCTCCCAAGCCTCATGGCTCCCTCCTGCACAGGGACCTGGGTTTCAAGTCCTCTTTTGGCTGCAAGAGGCAGCAACGAAGGGCAAAAATGCAAGGGACCTAGCTTTGCATCCCAGCTGCCAGTTGCATGACTGTGGGCAGGTTACTTAAACTCTCTTTATTTATTTACTTATTTGGAGACAGAGTCTTGCTTTGTTGCCCAGGATGGAGTGCAGTGGCACGATCTCTCAGCCTCCCAAAGTGCTGGGATTACAGGCGTGAGCCACTGCGACCGGCCTTAACCTCTCTTTAAAATGAGGAGAATGATAGCACCTACCACATGCAGTTATCATGAGGAATAAAGGTCAACGCACACCGTGCACGTGGTACATGCTACACACTGATAAAGACCAGCTATTGTGATGACGGCTATTTACTTCTGCTAACAGGCTCCCTTGGACAGTGCTCCCTCTCCCTCTCCAGGCTTCTGAGTCCTCCCTCCTCTGCAGTGCCCCTTCCTCTTGGGTCAGGCTGGCCTCCCTGCACCCCCATGCCCACCTCCTCCTCGCGCCTCCACGCCGCCTCCCGGTGCTCCAGCTCCTTGCGGCAGCGTGTCCAGTCATTGGTCACCTTTCGTATGTCCTCACTCAGAGCCTGGTTGGCCGAGCCTGCCTGGTCCAGCTGTTCTCGGAGCATGGCATTCACCTGGGCCAGGCTGGCACTCCTGAATGGGGCACAGGGGATCAGTAGGCGCTCGCGCAGGGGGCCATCCTGCCAGCCCTGGCCCTCCCTGCTGCGCCCTCACCTCTGCTGCTCCTCCTCCAGCCGGATGAGGGCGCTTTCCAGGTCTTGGCTGTGCTCTGTGTCCTGGGTGGGAGAGAGGTTAAAGCATCAGGTTGGGCAGGTGGAGGGCAGGGCCTGCCCCTGCCCCACACTGGCACCCACCCTCAGCCGCTGCTGCTCCAGCTCTCCGGATCTCTCCAGCAGCTGCTGCTCCAGCTCCGAGCACCTCTTCTTGTACTGGAGAATCTGGGGATGGGGAGCTGATGGTGAGCCCCAGGGGTTGGGGCGGGGCAAAGTGAACAGGTGGGAGGACAGGAGCAGGAGTGGGTGGTCCTGACCTTGCCCTGCAGCCGCTGCACAAGCTGGGCCTGCCGCTGCTGGCCCTCCTGGTAGGCCTGCAGCTTGCGCCGGTAGGAGGCCTGCTCCTCCTGCAGCTGCCTCCGCAACTCCACGCTCTGCCGTACCAGCCCCCTGGGCTCCTGCGTCTCCAGCTCCCCAGGCTCCAGCCGCAGAGCCTGCTCCAGCTGCAGGGAAGGGCCCTGGGTGAGAGTCCTGGGCCTCCTGGGAAGGCAGGCTCAGGCTTCTGTAGGGCGTGGCAGGCTGGGCCCAGACCCACAATGCCTTGTAGGCTGATAGCCTGGCGCCCTGGGGAGCAGCACATGTGGGCAAGCCCAGGGGCAGTGCACGTGTGTATGGGGTGATGCAGCCATGCACGGGCACGCAGACGGGGCATGCATGGACACATGCAGGTGAGCCCACAAACCCAAACCACGCAGGCAAAGCTCAAAGGTGCACCTGGGTCAACCTCAGGGGCCTCAGTACACCATGTGCCTCTCCTCCAGAACACTTAGCCCTGTCGTGGTTTCTGTTTATTACATTGATGCCTGTGTCTTCCCACCATGCCCCGACCCCAATGTGAGCTCAGGAAAGCCTGGATTTTTTGTTCCTCATTGTATCTTAGTACTAGAATGGTGGCTGTGGAATGGCATGGCTCACGCTCAGTAAATATTTGTTGCGATAGTGAATTAATGGGATGAGCTCATGGGAATACATTCAAAACAGAGGTGTCAATCTGTCTATGCATATCTGACCTTAAAGATATGCACACACATAACACATACAGGCAACCTCAAACATTCCCGGAGGACACGAAGGAACCCCCTCATATACACAGCATTAAGATTTGTAAGAGGTGCACACAGGTGTTGCCCTATACGGCGCCTGCATATTAATGCCCCCTTCTGGCTGGGTGCAGTGGCTCATGCCTGTGATCCCAGCACTTTTGGAGGTCAAGGCGGGTAGATCACTTGAAGTCAGGGGTTCAAGACCAGCCTGGCTAACGTGATGAAACCCCGTCTCTACTAAAAATACAAAAATTAGCTGGGCGTGGTGTCATGCACCTGTAATCCCAGTTACTCAAGAGGCTGACGCAGGAGAATCACTTGAACCTGGGAGGCGGAGGTTGCAGTGAGCCGAGATCGTGCCACTGCACTCCAGCCTGGGCGACAGAGCAAGACTCCATCTTTATTTATTTATTTTTTATTTTATTTTATTTATTTATTTTTTTGAGACAGAGTCTTGCACTGTCTCCTGGGCTGGAGTGCAATGGCTCGATCTCGGATCACTGCAACCTACACCTCCCGGGTTCAAATGATTCTCCTGCCTCAGTCTCCCAAGTAGCTGGGACTACAGGTGCACGCCACCACACCTGGCTAATTTTTTGTATTTTTAGTAGAGATGGGGTTTCACTATGTTGGCCAGGCTGGTCTCGAACTCCTGACCTCGTAATCCACCCGCCTCGGCCTCCCAAAGTGCTGGGATTACAGGTGTGAGCCACAGCATCCGGCCCAAGACTCCATCTTAAAAAAAAAAAGGTCCCCTCCATCCTCACTGCAGGAAAGCCTCTGTTGCTGCTGCCCTTCCTCCACCCCCAGGAAGCTTCCATCCCGCACATCCTCAGACCCCTGTGGGCTCTGGCTGTCCCTACCAGCCATAGAACCCTCTCAACTCCCTTAAGGCACCTGCTGGCCCCAGGTGGCCCCTCATCTTCCCCAGCTGTTGGGGGAAGGGAGGTGAGGGAGGAGCAGGGCAGTGGGAGAGCACACAGTGGGTCAAGGGCACCTGGCAGCGACAACACCCCAGCCCAGCTTACTCTGATGCTAGCCCTGCACTCACCATCTGCATCCTCAGGACCTGGCCTGCTACAGCCCAGGCAGGGCATTCAAAAGCCCACCCGTGCAGGGCCACGCCAGCCACAGGAAGCCAACAGGAGGGCAGCTGCTCTCACCCACGCTCATCTCGGGTCTTGGGTCCAGGCCAGGTTAGCGGTAGGGAAGGTGCCCTCCAGGCCTGCATTGACCCCATATGCTGAGAGATGTTCTATGAGCCACAGACAAAGCAAGGACATCTCTACCCACCCCACCCCCGGGACACGTGCATGGCAGCCCCACCAATAGGGAGGAGCTAACTGTGACTACTTGGGGGCTTCCCCCTGAGTCTGGAGGAACACAGTCCAAGGCTGTGCAGGGGAGGTGGAAGTAGGGGGTTTCTGCCTGGATGGCGGCTGCAGGCCTGTCAAGCGTCTGTGCCAAGCCCACTGAGGTCAATGGTGAGCGGTGTCCACATCTGTGTGTGGTGGCGGTGGCCTGAGGCAGCCACACAGGCTGTGCACTGATGTTGGTGGCTCTCACTAGGTGCGAGTGGGGTGTATTTTGTCATTTGTCTCCACGCAGGACACTGTGTGTGTAGTGTGTGGGTGCTGAGTTCACGTCGACTGTTTGGTGCATCTGAGCCTTCCCGTGAACGGCTAAGGCGGCATCTGTGGCTGAAGGTCTATGTTGTGGCGCGGGTGTTGGGCCTGGCTGTGTGTATCAGGGTATATGTCTGTGTGTCGGTGAGGCAAGTGTACAACCGCATGTGGGTGGGTCTGGGGGGTGTGCCTGGGCTCCCTGGTATGTGTGATACACACTTTGTGCATCTGGGCATACCTTTGTGGGCCGATTGGTGGCTGTGTTGAACTGTATGCTTTTCCTGTCCGTGTGCACCCATGAGGTGGGAGATAGCGTGCTGTGTCATCTGCATATGGTTGTTATAGGTCCCCGGTGGTGGGGGGACTGTTCTGTGCCTGTGTGGGGTTGTGTGGCATCTGGCTGTGTGTGCGGCTAACACTGTGCATATTCTGTGAATTGGAGTGTTTCTGTGTGGCCTGGTTTTAGGGTCTCACTATGTTGTTTGTGGAATGTTTTGTGCATCTGTGTGTCTGTGTGGGGCCCAGTGTAGCCCATGTCGTGTACACACTGCATATCTGTGTGAAGCAGGTGCTGTTTGCCTCTGGGACACAGAGGGGTTCAGGCCGTTGCTGGGTTCTCCTCCCCCTTCTCCAGTGCTCAGAACCAGAGCCAGGGCCCTCTCGGCCACACCTCACCCCTTTCCACAAACTTCACCGTGAGCAAAACAGCCTTTCAATTTTACTTGCAATTCAAAAGGGAAGGAGGCTGCCACTAAGCCAGAGATGAAAGAAGTTGACTGTCTCCCCTAGCAACTGCTGCCCTCAGACCGCCATTCAATTTACTCTTTCCAGGTTGCTATGGACACGAGGGAGCCCAGGGGGTCTGTCCTCTGGAGCCAAGGGAGGCGTGACCACTCCCTCCTTTCCATTCCCAGCTGCGCCTACATCTGCTTCTCAGGGACAGCAAGAAGGGGGGACCCCCATGGGGGCCCTGAGGTCCTCTCTCTCGGCTGGGAGGTGGCCTCTGGGAGTGCCTCAGTTTCCCTGCAGGACATGCAGTTAACAGGACACAGACCTGACCCTCCCTCCGCTCCCCATGCCAGGGGTGCTGCAGGGTTGGAAAGATCAGAACAATCTCGCTGACTGCCCACCAACCCAGCCCAACATGCCAGTGAGGGCCACAGGGGCAGGCACTGCCACCTGTGGCCATGGGGACAAGGGGGTGGCAGGGAAAGAGAATGTTGCCCAACTGCAGAGCCCTGGACCAAGGGTCTCATCCCAGGACCACCACTGACCTTGGGCCTATCATGCCCCTCTCCCGGACTTACTTTCCCTATCTGTGATGAGGTGATCTCTAGGCTCTGAAGTTCTCTGGGGACCCACCCTCCAGGAAAGGCCTTTGAGGTCATTCCTGTTCCACCCCTGCCTCCAGGTGGGGCCTCATTCAAACCATGGTGGATAGAGGACAACTGAAGCAGCGGGCGCCCTCTGCGTGCCATTTGGGCCCCCACTAACCACAGGAGGGAGCTTTCTAGACTAACCCAGACCCCCTGTGCTGCAGTCCCAGCCCCAGCAGCTGTGTCCCAGCAGAGGAGGAACCTGCTACCTCCCACCTCTTCCCTTCCCTGCCAACCTGGGGGCAGGGCTAGCTTCAGAAGGTGGCATTTAAGAGGCGGCCCTGGGGGTGTGGCACTGTGCCATGCATGGACCAAAAGAAAGGGGTGCCTGGCTCAGGGCCCCATCACCACCCACAATTCATGACTGGGGCCAGCGTGCCCTACACACCCGCTGCAGACCCTGGGGAAACGAGCTCTCCACTGTCCTCATGCCAGGGGCCACTGCGGGCCGCCTACTCTGCTCCTCTACAAGTCCCAACTAGTCGTGGGTTTGTCCAGCCAGGCAAATCCCAGGACACGGGCACACCCCACAGTCATACACAGGAACACACACCCTCCTGCCAATGCGGGCTCCAGCCTGGACAAGTCCAGCTCAGGGGTCCCATGCCAACCCTAGCTCTGCCACTACCACACAGGGGACCCTGGGCCAGCCCCTGCCTCTCTGGGTCCCTTCCAACTTTGTGGGGGCCAGCTGTGCCCTGAAATCCCTAGCCCAGTGTCTCTTCCCATACACAGGAAATGAAACTTCAGAACTTTGTTTCTAGACTGGGTTAGTTTAGAAACCAAACAGAGCCCTGGGCTGGGAGTTGGAAGACCTGGTGTCTAACTTTAACTGGCTGTGTGCCCCCAGCATGGTGCTTCCCCTCCCTGAGCCTCTGTTTTCTCCTCTGTTACATGGGCATCATAATGGTCCCGACCTTGGTGTATTAAATGTGAAACACTCAGCACGCGCCTGGCACATAGTAGGCACTCAATAAACAGTAGCTACTGTTAATACGTTATTGCCACCTGCATGCCTCTCATCTGCACACATACACTCTGTCCCAGCTGCGAGTGTCCCTTACCAATCTTCAGCCACCACCAACTTCCCAGGGCCACCTCCCGGCCACCCGGAGGCCCAAAGCAGACAGTGCATCAAGAGCATCCCGCACCCCTCGCACCGGCTCACACCCAGCTCCCGCCCCACACCCTGGGACCCCCACAAGCCTGCAGCACGGGTGATGTGAATCCTGCCTGGACATGAAGACAGGCCTGCTTCTCCTTCCTTCCCTGCCTGGAACTCATTCCAATAGGCAGTGGCGGCAGGTCTTGTGGCTGCCCCAGATGGGCTGCAGAACACCGCGGGTGCCCACACCAGCCTCGAGCCAGCATCCAGCCACCGCCTCAACCCCAAGGCCCGTGGCAATGGGAGATGCCCAGAAACTCAAGGGGCAGGAATCTTTAGGGATCTCATTCTCCGTGTCCCACACCCCTAACAGGCCTGGGACAGATGGGAACAAAATACCCCTGGTGCCAGGCACTTTATTCTATTATCTCCTTGATTCCTACAATTCCACGTCCCATTACAATCCCCACTACAGAAAACAGGCTTAAAGAGCATAGTGATTTGCTCAACGCCACTCAAGGTGGCAGAGCCTCAATCCAAGCCCAGGCCAACCTGACTCCAGGGCCCATCTTTTGCCCCGTGTGTGGGCCTGGTCTAGATGCCTCCCTGCCCTTGAACGAGGGGAACCCTGGCCTAGTCCACCACCTGGGCGGCACCCACCCTCTCGCTGACCGCATTGTACTTAATGGCGAGCTCATCGCGCTCGGCACGGCTCTGGGCCAGCAGGTCCTCCACGCGGGACAGCTCCTGCTGCAGCAGCTGGTTCTCCTCCTGCAGCGACAGCAGCGATGCCATCTCTGTGGCCGGCAGCAGGACTGGCAAGGGACAGTGGGCACATGGTTGGCTTCTGGGTCCAGTGGGACATCCTCCCCCCAACAGGGAGGGCAAGAAAACCATCCAGGCCCCTGGGAGGAGTCCAGATGGGAATGGCTGCAGCACCAGGCCTGCAAACAGAGCTGAGAACAGGGAGGAAGGCAAGGAGGGGATACAAAGCTGGACGTAAAGTGAACACAACTCCAGCTAAAGTGTGGCCCAGCAGGTTTGGGAGGTGCAGGAGAGACACTCAGTCTAGGAGCCAGGAGACCCCTGAGTTCTTGCTCCCTCCTTTTCCAATTAGTCTTCTTCTCCGGGGCCTCAGATTTACTTATCTGTAATATGGGTGGGGCGGGCACGGACTCACGCCTGTAATCCCAGCACTTTGGGAGTCGAGATAGGAGGATCACCTGAGGTCAGGAGTTTGAGACTAGCCTGGCCAACACGGCGAAGCCCTGTCTCTACTAAAAATACAAAAATTAGCTGGGCATGGTGGTGTATGCCTGTAGTCCCAGCTACTTGGGAGGCTGAGACAGCAGAATCACTTGAACCGGGGAGGTGGAGGTTGCAGTGAGCTGAGATTGCGCCACTGCACTCCAGCCTGGGCAACACAGCGAGACTCTGTCTCAAAAAAAAAAAAAAAAAAAAAAAAGGTAGAATAGTAGTAACCAGATCCTCCCAGAAAAGCATCAAAGCCTCGCTCAAGAGAAGGGCTTCATGGAACTTTAAAGGCTAGGGCTCAGGAGAGCATAGCATAGGTCAGGTTGTGAGGAGAAGGAGAAAGAGAGAAGAGGGAAAGAAAGGCCAGCGGGAGAAGCGGGGTTGTCCACCTCCTGTGGGTTCCCCTTCTACCCTGGGAGAACTGGACATACACCCCAGGTGTCAGGGTGAGGGCCCTCTGAGTCTCTCCCTGTCTGGGGCTCCAGGGCGCCAACATCCCTGGCGCTCCCAAGGAGGGGGCCCGTCTGTAGCTTGGGAGTTGAACACAGACAATGGTTAGAGCACCAAAACGCCACACGCCAGCACACCAGCTGCAACTGAGTGTGCCTTTCCCAGATCCTCAAGCCACATAACTACACCGTGTGCGCCACCCACTGAGAGGAGCAGGGACCATCCGCCTTCCTGCCCACGTGGGAAACGGATGGACGGCGCCATCCACTCAGACTTCCGCAAAACCCTGGTCTGAGCTGAGCTGCCCTCTTCCTGTATCTTGGGTTCAGCCAGCTCACACCTTCCCCGGGTGGGAATACGGGATTTGGGGTTCACATCTCTGCAGCAGGCTACAGGCAAGCACGCAGGAGATGCTCGGCCCTTCCTTCTAGTTGCACCACATGCGGAATAAGTCTGGACAAATTACATCCCTGAGCCTCTGTTTCCTCATCTGTAAAATGGGTTCTTCTGTCATAAAGCTGTGCCTGCCCCACAGTGAGTTACAGTCATGATCATCATGGTGACTGCTCAGGAAAGGGACATGAGAAGAGGTAAAATGTGGGTGGTGTTTGTGGAGGGGAGCGGATGGGGGTGGCACCTGGGCTCTCAGGCTGGGAGAGGTTGCGGGTGACAATCTCCCTGATAAGGGCAGGCAGGCTGGTGATCTGAGCGTCCTGGGCCAGGTCCCGCGCGCCCAAGCCTTTCTCCTGGCACAGGACGCTGCTCTCCAGTGTCTGTGGGAAAAGCGAGAGGGTCTTCAGGGGACATGGGACCCGGGGCTCCCTGGCCTCGTGGGGAGAGCCACAGAATCCTACTGCCCAAGATACAGGTCCCCAGGAGCCCCCTCAAGATGGAGTGAAGCCTGGGAGTTAGAATCCAAAAAATCCCCATGCAAAGAGCCTCTTGTGTGCTCACTGCCCCAGGAAGAAGGCCCAGGGCCAGAGATGAGAACCAAACCCTACGGGTAACTCCCAAACCCCACTGGAGGCAGTCCAGTGTTGGGGGCCCCAATCCGGTTCCGACCCTAGATGGATGAGGATCTGGCTATGCCAGAGGTCCCCCAAGCCCTAAAATCTGGCAGTAGAGACCCCCTTCTCCCAACCCAGGGCACTGGGATGAGGGAGCCACAGCAGGTGCACCCTGTGTGTACCTCTGCCCCCCATCTTGCCAGGAACTGCAAGCGGGGGGCCCCTGTATACCCCACCACCACCACACCTCTCCCACCCCTTGATCCCCAAGACGCACACACCTCTCACCACTCCTGTTAAGTCCACGCTGCCCCGCCCCAGACAGGGTGGGCACAGCCCCCAGGACCCACCTGGATAACCGTCTCTAGTGTCAGCTCCACCTCCTGTGCCCCCGCCAGCCCCAAGCTCATGGGGGGGAGGCTGTGGGCATGCCTCCAGCCCCCTTCTCCAGGACCCCAAGACTAGCTCAGTCAGCACGCGCCACAGCCAGGATGCTGTGCTGAGCACCAGGCAGATTAAGCTTAAATCCGGCGGCGCCCCCATGTGACCACCGCGGTGGGAGGAGCAGGATGTGGGCTGAGGAGGGAGGGGATGGGAAAGGACAGGAGAGGAGGGAAGCAGAGGCAGGGAGCCAAAGGAAGAGGAAGGATGAAGAGAGGGGAGGAGAAGGGAGAGAAAAGGAGGGAGGAGAGAGAAGAGGGAATGGGAGGAGGAAACAGGGGAGACACCTGGAGGTCAGGACCTCACACACTCTTCACCCTGCGCAGGTTGCTGGGTCCTAGAGCCCTCCAAGCCCAGGGGGTGGGGTCAGTAGCCATGCGGCGGGAAAGGCCAGAGTCCTAAGTATTTGTGACCATCTTTCTGGCCCAGAACGGGAGTCACATGGTTAGCTAAGAATGAGAGGATTTACAGCATGCTGGGAGTATGTTTTCCCACAACAGGTGTAGGGCAAAGAATGCAGGCTGTGAGATCACCCAGGCCAGGCTTGGCACTTAGTTGGGCATGAGCGGTCCAGCCTGGACTGATGAGCATTTATGCAACACCTGCGGCATTCCTAGGTCTGACCTAGACACAGTGGTAGAGCCTCGAACTACAAATGCCCTAGCCTTGCCCTTCAGGCACTTATTGGGAAGCTTCTGGCCCCTTCACACCCACCCCAGCCCCCACTAGCTGGGTGCACCAGGGACACTGACTTTGCCTCTCTGAGACTCAGTGTCCTCTTACGTAAGATGTGATAATATTGGTACTCATCTCTCGGAGCCGTCCGGGGATGAAACAGTATCGTGTGTGCATACCCAGCACATGACATGGTGCTGGGGGGTCACGTGGCCAACACTCAAGAAATACTCATTTCATTCATTTGAAAATCCAGAAGGTACAGTCCCAGCCAGGCGCAGGCACTCATGCCTGTAATCTCGGCATTTTGGGAGGACAAAGCGGGTGGATCACCTGAGGTCAGGAGTTCAAGATCAGCCTGACCAATATGGTGAAACCCCGTCTCTACCAAAAATACAAAAATTAGCCGGGTGTGGTGGTGCACACCTGTAATCCCAGCTACTTGGGAGGCTGAGGCAGGAGAATCGATTGAACTCAGGAGGCAGAGGTTGCAGTGAGCCAAGATCGCGCCATTGCACTCCAGCCTGGGCAACAAGAGTGGAACTTTGTCTCAAAAAAAAAAAAAAAAAAGGCACAGTCCCTATATCCCAGGGCCCTGAGACCCAGAGGTCACCCACCACCTCCCATTGTTCTTTCCCTGGGGCAAGGAGGCTATGTGCTCTAGTGCTTAGGCGCACAGCTCTGGAGTCAGTATCAGGTCTGAGGTTGCATGTGAGACTCAGCTCTGTCACTTGCAACTATGGTGTTCAAGACAGTAAGACCTTGAACAGGTTACCTCCCTGAGCCTCAGTTTTCTCATCTCTAAAAGGAGACTAAACCAGGCCAGGTGCAGTGGCTCAAGCCTCTAATTCCAGCACTTTGGGAGGCTGAGGCGGGCAGATCACTTGAGGTCAGGAGTTTGAGACCAGCCTGGCCAACATAGTGAAACCCCATCTCTACTAAAAATACAAGAATTGGCCTGTAATCCCAGCACTTTGGGATGCTGAGGCAGGCGGATCAGGAGGTCAAGAGATTAAGACCATCCTGGCCTACATGGTGAAACCCCGTCTCTATTAAAAATACAAAAATTAGCTAGGCATGGTGGTGCACACCTGTAGTCCCAGCTACCTGGGAGGCTGAGTCAGGAGAATCGCTTGAACCTGGGAGGCAGAGGTTGCAGTGAGGCGAGATCATGCCACTGCACTCCAGCCTGGCGACACAGTAAGACTCCGTCTCAAAAATATAAATAAATAAATAAATAAATATAAAAAAAATTAGCTGGGGCGTGGTGGCATGTGCATATAATCCTAGCTACTCAGGAGGCTGAGGCAGGGGAATCACTTGAACCCAGGAGGAGGAGGTTGCAGTGAGCCGAGATTGTGCCACAGCACTCCAGCCTGGGTGACAGGGCAAGAGTCTGTCTCAAAAAAATAAAATAAAATAAAATGAGACTAGACCGAGTGTGGTGATTCAGGTCTATAATCCCAGCACTTTGGGAGGCCAAAATGGGAGAATCGCTTGAGCCCAGGAGTTTGAGACCAGCCTGGGCAACATAGCGAGACTCTGTCCTACCAAAAACAACAAAAAAATGCGACTGATAGTACCTACCACACCTGGCAGGTGGTGAGCTATTAGCCAATGGGGGCCACTGTTCCTATTGTCATTAGCATCACGTGTCTGGGCTCCTGCCCTTAGAGTTGTAAGCCCTAAAAAAGGACAGGAATTGCTCACTCGAGGAGCTCGGCTTTTAAGACACAAGTCTCCTGAAGTTCCCAGCCGAATAAAGTTCCTTCCTTCTTTAACCTGGTGACTGAAGAGTTTTGCCTGCGGCTTGTCCTGCTACACTGCTATGCCTCAGCCCTCCGTCCCTGGGTGCCCTCTGCTCCATGCTGTGCCCCAAAGGGGGCATATTCACATTATCTCATTAAATCCTTACTTCAACCTATTTCCAGATGAGAAAACTGAGGCTCAGAGACATTGGGCTCTCACCTATTCAAGGCGACATGCTTCAGGGAAGTGGTGAGCCCAAAGCTCATTCCACTTAGACCAGCAGCCTCCCAATGAGTGACTGAAGGGCAAGGCCGAGGCATTTGCGCTTTGAGGCTCTACTTCTGTATCCAGGTCAGACCCAGAATGCCACGGTGCTGTATAAATGCTCATCAGTCCAGGCTGGACCGCTCACGCCCAACTAAGGAAACTGCCCTGCAAATGGAAAACCAAGAAACAGGTCTGAAAAGATAAATGTTGCCAAGTTGCAATGGCAAGCAAGCCAGATTTGGGCAAAACTAAACCAGCTACTGGCCAGGTGCAGTGGCTCATGCCTGTAATCCCAACACTGGGATGCCGAGGCAGGTCGATCACTTGAGGTCAGGAATTCTAGACCAGCCTGGCCAACGTGGTGAAACCCCGTCTCTACTAAAAATACAGAAATTAGCTGGGCATGGTGGTGGGTGCCTGTAGTCCCAGCTACTCGGGAGGCTGAGGCACAAGAATCACTTGAAACTGGGAGGCAGAGGTTGCAGTGAGCTGAGATCGCACCACTGTACTCCAGCCTGGGTGACAGAGAGAGACTCTGTCTCAAAAAAAAAACAAAAACAAAAAACTAAACCGGCCAGCAGATAGAGCTGCCACTACAAACCCCAGGGACGCCCACTCTTCTACCTCTAGGCAGCCTCCAAAAAATCCCCTCTACAGGCTGCACACCTGCCCACCAGAACAGGGGGGAAGCCAAAAATACCCCTGGACCAGCATGTCCAGCCCTGCATGCCCAGCTCAGCAGAGGGGGCCCCAGATGTCCTTGAGGGACTGAACTGGATTATTCTGTGCCTTCTCCTGACCACGGCCCTAAGGGTTGGAGGAAGGGGACAGGATGTCAGCCCCTGGCACCAGGTGACATTCACCCTTGGCTCCATCCCCAAAGTTCTCCCCCAGAGTCCTGCTGGGTTCTGTGGGTCCCAGGAAGTCATATCTGAACCTCGTGTATGTGTCCACTGCTTCCACCCAATTCTCCAAAAAAAAAAAAAAAAAAAAAAAGACTGAATTCCTCTTAGAAATCTGGATGCTAACAGCTTCAGCATCTGGCCACCTGGACTCCAATCTTGGCTCACCAGCCCCTCACCAGCTGTGTGACCCTGCACCAGTGTCTTCACTTCTCTGAGCTTCAGTTTCCTCATCTGCAAAATGGGATAATAATGGTGCCTGTTTCTAGCATGAGCATTAAATAAAATACTCCGTGCTAAGCTATATGCCTGGATATGGTGTGGCAGAAACTGCAATGTGCTCACCACAAAGCATTTCCGATTCCTCTTAGGAATATGGCTAAAAGCCATTTCCCAGACTCCCTTGCAGTCAGATACGGCCATGTGGTCAAGTTCTGGTCCATAGAATTAAGACAGAAAGACAGCGTGCCACTTTAGGCTTGGTCCATAAAATTATTTCTCTCCTTCCTGGTCCATCAGCTAGAAGGAAATAACTCCAAGGTCCTAGGGGATGCCGCAACCACAAGACAGAAGGGATCTCGGTCCCTGGGTCGCCACATAGAAAGCCACCTGCCAAACACCCAACAGGGCTTTTCATGAATGAGAAATAAACTTCTATTGCGCTAAGCCTCTGAGAATTCAGGGTTTCACTATCACATTAGCTAGTGTTACCTTAATTACTACCTGCAGTTCAACAGCGGGTAAGTGTTGGCTATTACTACTGTTATCATTACTATCATGAGTATTATTGGCTCTTTCTAGTCCCCAAGCTAGAACCCTGTGCCTTGTTCTAGATGCTGAGACATTATTTGGTGACCAAATACAGAGGAGACACCCTTTGTACCCTTCCCTCCCCACTACCACCCTCCAAACTTGCCTTTTGCCAGGGCTAGCGGCAGGAACTAGCCAAAAAGCCCCTCAAAGATTACTCGTTTCAAACATAGCAGCTGCTCTTATCCGCTTACCCCTTCGTTATCCTCCTGCTGCTGACTAGAAATTATGACAAAAATATTGAACCAACCACGAGCCAGGCCCTGTGCCCAAAACGTTACATCTGTCCCTTACCTGCTTTAACACTCCTGGCACCACCCTACTCACTTTACAGATGACAGCGTGAAGTCTCAGCGAAGTTAAATAATTGGCTCCAATGCACCCAGCCACAAAGAGCTCAAGTCACAGCCGCGACCTAGGTGTGCCTGATTCCAAAGGGTTTTTGTTTTTTGTTTTGTTTTGTTTTTGAGATGGAGTCTGGCTCTGTCACCCAGTCTGGAGTGCAATGGCACGATCTCGGCTGACTGCAACCTCCGCCTCCTGGGCTCAAGCAATTCTCCTGCCTCAGCCTCCTGAGTAGCTGGGATTACAGGTATGCGCCACCGCGCCCAGCTTATTTTTGTATTTTTAGTAGAGACAGGGTTTCACCATGTTGGCCAGGCTGGTCTCAAACTCCTGACCTCAAGTGATCTACCCGCCTCGGCCTCTCAAAGTGCTGGGATTATAGGCATGAGCCACTGCGCCCAGCCCAGAGTTTTAAATAATAACAGCAAGCCGGGTGCACTGACTCACACCTGTGATCCCAACACTTTGGGAGGCCAAGGTAGGAGGACTGCCTGAGCCCAGGCGTTTGAGACCAGCCCTGGCAACACAGTGAGACTCCATCTCTGCCAAAAAAATAAAAAAAATTGGCCTGGCATGGTGGCATGCACCTCCTGTAGTCCCAGTTCCTTGAGAGGCTGAGGCAGGAGGATTGCTTGAGCCTGGAAGGTTGAGGCTGCAATGAGCCGTGGTTGTGTCACTGCACTCTAGCCTGGGTGACAGAGCAAGACCCTGTCTCAAATAAACAAAAACAGTAACAGCAATGACTTCCATCCTGCAGCGCCTGCTGTGTACCTGGCACCACCCCAGGACGCCGATGTGTATTATATAAGCCACTGCCTGGACTGCTGAGATGGCTCCCCGAGGGTCTCTATGCTTCCCTGCTCATCCCCTCACCCACTCAAGTTTCACACAGTAAAGGTCATACCCCTCCCCTACCCAAGGCCCTCTACTAGCCCTTACCACACCTAAAATGAAGTTCAAAGTCCTTCCATGGCCCACAGGGCCCACCAGATCTGGCCCCACTCCACTTTTCCCACCTCATCTCCTCTCTCCCCTTCTCTCATGGCCTTTTTTTTTGAGGCAGAGTCTTGATCTGTTGCCCAGGCCTGAGCTGGAGTGCAGTGGTGCACAATCTCAGCTCACTGCAACCTCCACCTCCTGGGTTCAAGCAATTCTCCTACCTCAGCCTCCCGAGTAGCTGGGATTACAGGCATGCACCACCACGCCCAGCTAATTTTTGTATTAGTAGAGATGAGGTTTCACTGTATTGGCCAGGCTGGTCTTAAACTCCTGACCTCAAGTGATCCACCCACCTTAGCCTCCCAAAGTGCTGGAATTACAGGCATGAGCCACCACACCTGGCTGCTCATGGCCTTCTTGATTCCTCAAACACCAGGCAGGCACCCACCTCTGGGCCTTTGCACTGCCACTTTCTCTGCCTGGGACGCACTTCCCCCTTCTTTTGCACAGCTGACTCCCGCTTGTCGGCCAGATTTTGGCTCAAAAATATCACTTTCTGAGGGAGCTACCCCGACTCTCAGCTAAAGAGGTCCCTCCAGTGGCTGTTCCATTTTCTCCAACATGTATGTTGTCTGTCTCCTCCTTTTTTTTTTTTTTCTTTGAGACAAGGTCTTGCTCTGTTTTCCAGGCTGGAGTGCAGTGGCAAAATCATGGCTCACTGCAGCGTTGACCTCCTGGGCTTAAGGGATCCTCCCACCTCAGCCTCCTGAGTAGCTGGGACCACAGGTGCGTGCCACCACGTCTGGCTAATTTTTTACTTGTTGTAGAGATGAGATGTTGCCCAGGCTAGTCTCCAACTCCTGGGCTCAAGCGGTCCTCCCACCTCAGCCTCCCAAAGTGCCAGGTTGGCTTAGCTCACTGTCACTTCCACAGTGCATGGGCTAAGGCCAAAGCTCCATGAAGAGCTGCTGAATGAATTAATGAATGCTAAGAGCCAAGTAATAACATAGGATGTTAAATGGAAAAAGAAATGATTCCCCTTGGCTCTGGCTGGGGTCATGTTGGGCCACAGATGGTGTCAGCCACAGACGGGGATCACGGAAGGACACCAGCGAACACATATCCAGCCAGCATCTGCCGCATCCCAGAAGATCAGGGTGAAAACCAGGCAGTGACCCCCACAGGGGCCACTTGGGTGGAAAGGGCTGAAAGACTTGGGGAGGGGAGGGTTAAGTCAGGGAAATGTGCGCGGGTGGGGAGCCTCCGAGATCCAGGGGTTGACTCCTGGAGTCTTGCCTGAACCTCGCTGTCGTCTGCTCCCGCCACAAGATCTGTTTATTAAGCACCTGCTGTGAGCCCAGCGAAAGAAAACAGAAATCTCTGTTTTCTGGCGTAAACAGACAGATGGCACCCTGAAGTCCTCCTCCCCAGGGTCCCCATTCCCCAGTCAATCGTCTTCCCAAGGGAGCTGTGACCTGGTCACCAGAGGGGCAGACATCCGCCCCAGCATGGTCGTCAGGCTTAAGTCTGTGTGAAAATCAGGAGGGAGCTCGTTCAAAATGCCCACTCCAGAGACGCTGCCGGGCACAGAGGCCTGAGGCCGCATGGTGAGAGGCGCAAGGGGTGCAGGGCCCCATCCCCGCACAGCATCCGGCGGCCCTGCCTCCGTGGCCAGCCCAACTATGCGCTCTGGGCCTCAGTTTCCCCATCCGCACAATGGAGATGCTTCCGACTCGGCAGGGCTGCAATGAAGACGAAACCGGATCCCACACGAGGAGGGCAGTGCAGGGCGGGGCCCGCACGCAGGAGCTGCAGAGGGCATCTGCGGGGGGCAGAGGCCGTCGCGAGGGCCTCCCACGGCCGCCCGCGGAGCGAGGGGACCCCGGCCGGCGGAGGGACGGCTGCGCCCTGCAGGCCCCAGTCTCCTGTCGTGCCCCCGGCCCGCGACAATCCGGGCAGGATGGGCGGCAGGACGCGGCGGGGCATCCGCGGAGCCTGTTGGGAACGCTCTCCTGGCCTCCGGTGCCGGGCCGCGGCAGTCGCGGAACACACAGCGCCCCCAGCCCCGGTACGTGGCTCCAGCCCGCCCCCAGGCGCGCGGCCTCCTCCGCCGGGAGCGCGTCCGTCCCGCCCCCGCGCACGCGCGCGCCCCCGGCCACCTACCTTCGCGCGCCTTCGCCGCAGCCGCTGCTGCCGAGGCCGAGCGGGCCGGACCGGGCGGGGCGTCCCCGCCACGGGGCGGGGAAAACTGGGGGCGGAGCCTGCGCTGCGCGGTAGTGGGGCGGAGGCTGGGGCGGGGCCGGGCGCCGGGAGCAGCGCTTCTGCAGCGCTTACAGGGGCCGCCCTGGGCGGACACGCTCCGTGCGCCCTCCCTCTTGCCGCCTGGCACCGCCCGGCAAGCCAGGCGCCTCCTACACGCACGAACGAGGATACCAGGCGAACGAAGCACGACCCCCAAGTCCTCGCAGTTGCAAGGCCGCAGCGCAGGATCGAAACCCCGACCCGGCTGCAGAGTCCCCCTGCGGTCTGGCCGGGCCTTAAAGGCCTGAAACTCCTGAGCACTGACCCATCGCCCAGCCAGACAGAGGGACGTTTCATGCCAGCCCCGTCACAGCCCCCAGCGACGATCCCGAGGCTTCGGTGATTTGACCTGTCGGAGAGAATGCTTTTTTTTTTCCTGACTGACGTGCAGCCCTGGGGAAGGCACTCTGGCCTCAGTTTGTTCGCGAGACTCAACCCGGTGGCGCGCCTGTCTCGTGTCCTTTCCACTGTGACAGTATGTTCGTTCCACCCTCTCACTGGACTTGGACCTCCTTCTGTTATTGAAGGCATTGGATGAAATCATGCTTTTTTTTTTTTTTGAGGGAGTCTTGCTCTATTGCCCAGGCTGGAGTGCAGTGGCATGATCTTGGCTAAACGCAACCTCTGCCCCAGCCTCCTGAGTAGCTTGGACTACAGGCGCCCGCCGCCACGCTCGGCTAATTTTTGTATTTTCAGTAGAGACGGGGTTTCACCATATTGGCCAGGCTGGTCTCAAACTGCTGACCTCGCGATCCACCCGCCTCAGCTTCCCAAAGTACTGGGAGTACAGGCGTGAGCCACTGCACCCGGGCGAGATCATTCATTTTCAAAGGGAGAGGCAGCTCTGAATCTCCAGGGCTAAGAGAGGGATGTGTTTGGTTTGAAAAAGCATGTTTAAGTTAATGATTTTGTGCTTTTTCCAAACACAGTACCCAGAGAGAACGGCCAGCAGGCCCTCGGCTGATGGTTGCTTCTGTGTTTCCTGCGTGGTAGGAGGGAAGCAGTGGAAGTTCCATCTTCGTCAAAGAGGAACCTGTCTGTGACATCTGAAACACTGCACTAAAGGCTGCCAGTGTGCCCTTCGGGCTCTGAAACCCGGCCCGGTGCAAGCAAGACTGTGGCCTGGACCAGGGCTGAGAGCTGTTTGTCAGGAGAGATTCGGGCCATTCCCTGGGATTTGGGGTGGAAGGGTGATGTTACCAAGATTGGAAGGAAGGTCACAGTTTCCCTGAGGTGTCCCTGGCCCAACTGCAGGAGGGCTGACTGACATCTGCCAGTATGCACAGCCAGTCCCTGGATGCCCAGCATGGCCCAGGTCTGTGTGACCCTGTCTGGAGTCCCCAGACTTGCTATGTCCCTACCCAGGCCCTGGTGGGCTCATGACCTCACTAGTCCAGTTCTGATGCTGCCTGTCCCTGTGAAGCCCACTCCAGTGTTCATATCACCAGGGCTGGGCTCAGGCCTGTGTCCTTGCCACTCCCTCCAGGGCACCTTGGGTCTCCCTTGGTGACAGTACCTGCACCCTGCAGGCAGCCTGCGCTGGCTGTGAACCACACTGCCGCCTACTTCCTCTTCTATGTTCCCGCTCTGTCTACAGTCCCCTCTGAACACTCCCGTGAAGCAGGTTCTAGGATCATCTCCATTTTATAGAAGGGGAGATTGAGGATCAGAGACATGTAGTCACTTGCCCAAGGACACACAGCAGGAAGTTCAATGGCTTCCAATCCCATGCTCTTTCCTCTCTACCATGCTGCTTCACTTGAGGTTTTTAACAGGGGGTGGCAAACACAGCTCCTCTCCCCTTGACCCTCTCACTCCCAAAGCCCACAGGACCCTGCCGCAGGGTGGCACATACTCATCTCCTTGGGGGGTCCTCCAGCTCCCTTCTCTGTGAAGAGCCTAGGTTCCTTGCTGTGCTGAGTCCTTGGCTCTGCTCAGCTCAGCCTGACCGGGCTGCGGTCATTTGAATCCCCAGTGCTGCCACCCACCGGTCACCCTGTCCTGTCACCAGGTGGTGACTGGCCCAGTGACCCCCAGGACCACTCACCAGAAAAGAATCATGCCAGGTGCTCACCTGCTCACTGCAGAGGGCTCTAAATCTGCAACTCAGGTAACAGGGAAACAAGTAACTGATTGGAGTTACCACCCTCAGGTTGCTAAGGCCAAGTGCCTGCCAAATCCAGCGGCTCGGCTGGGGTGGACTCTGCCCACCATCAGCAAAACCACATTCACCAGGAGGCTTAGAGGACAGTGCTCTGGTTAACTGGATTTGCTGGGCATCTGAAGGCTAACTTGCAGAGTCTATCATGCCAGACTTTAATAGCAAAAAGTTAGAAAGACCTAAACGTTCAGCAGTAGGGGACTTGTATAATAAACCATGGGTTATTCATATAATGGGATACTATGATATCATTCCAAATGTTATAGAAGAACATTCAATGACTGGAGAGATGGTTACGATATATTAAGTGAAAAGTTCAGAAGAGTAATACAGGGATAAGCCCATATTGTAGAAATAATAATGATTTCTTTCTTTTTTTTTTTTTTTTTTGGCTCTTGTCACCCAGGCTGGAGTACAATGGCACGATCTCGGCTCACTGCAACCTCTGCCTCCTGGGTTCAAGCAATTCTCTTGCCTCAGCCTCCCAAGTAGCTGGGATTACAGGTGCCCGCCACCACGCCTAGCTAATTTTTGTATTTTTAGTAGAGATGGGGTTTCACCATGTTGGCCAGGCTGGTCTGGAACTCCTGACTTCAAGTGATCCACCCATCTCGGCCTCCTGAAGTGCTGGGATTACAGGCATGAGCCACCAGCCCAATAATTCACTCCCAACACAATAATTTTTTAAAAAAACATTTTGTAGGCCGGGTGCGGTGGCTCACAGAATACTACATTTGTAGACATTTTGGTGCCTTAATGTCAGCAAGGGTTGCACAAGTTTTGATAAGCACGTATTCCAGAGATGTATAGAAATTCTAGTTACTGGCCGGGCACGGTGGCTCACGCCTGTAATCCCAGCACTTTGGGAGGGCGAGTCGGGTGGATCACGAGGTCAGGAGTTCAGGACCAGCCTGGCCAAGATGGTGAAACGCCGTTTCTACTAAAAATACAAAAATTAGCCGGGTGTGGTGGCGGGCACCTGTAATTCCAGCTACTCGGGAGGCTGAGGCAGAGAATTGCTTGAACCCGGGAGACGGAGGTAGCAGTGAGCCGAGATTGCGCCACTGCACTCCAGCCTGGGCAACAGAGTGAGACTCCGTCTCAAACAAACAAACAAACAACAACAAAAAAAAAACCCCAGAAATTCTAGTTAGTTATAAATTTTTGGGAAAGAAGCCTGGAACTAGATTCTTGCTTTAAATAATAAGGAAGTCTAATTGCCTCTAAATTCCCCAGATAAAGAGTTTTGCCTCTCGATGGTCTGCTTTGCAGCCACCAGGTGATTTTTGCTTGCCTCCGTGACCTTTTAAGTGTACGATTTTTTTTTTTGAGATGAGTCTCGCTCTGTTGCCCAGGCTGGAGTGCAGTGGCATGACCTCGGCTCACTGCAACCTCCCCTCCTAGGGTTCTAGCAATTCTCCTACGTCAGCCTCCTGAGTACCTGGGATTACAGGCACCCACCACCATGCCTGGCTAATTGTTTTGTATTTTTAGTAGAGACGGGGTTTCACCATGTTGGCCAGGCTGGTCTTGAACTCCTGACCTCAGGTGATCAACCTGCCTTGGCCTCCCCAAGTGGTAGGACTACAGGCGTGAGCCACCATGCCCAGCCCTAGGGGTGGGCTTTTTTTTTGAGACAGGGTTTCACTGTCGCCCAGGCTGGAGTGCATGAAGAGCAGTTGTTCCAGCATAATGATTACATGGTTTTTATATCATTCCATTTTCTTTCCTTTGTTGGCTTATTAGCTATAACTCTTTCTTTCTTCTGGTCTACCGCTCCCCGACTTCTTTCCCTGCTTTTGCCTTTTCAGTGAGGGCTTCAGGGTTTCCTGAATACACCTTTATCAGTGCCATCTAGTGGCATTATACCTCCTCTTCTGGCCATTATGCTAGTGTTGTCATGTAACTTGATTTCAGACATGTTATAAATCCCAGAATCCATTATTATTGCTTTTTTTAATTATTAAAAAAAGACTTAAATCATAAATAATTTAAAATAAATAAATTATTAAAAAAGATTTAAATAATAAGAACATATATATTTAACTATGTACATACCGATTTGCAGTAGTCTCCATTTCTTTGTGTAGATCCAGATTTCTGTCTGGTATCCTTATCTTTAGGCCTGGAGGACTCCTTTTGCATTTCTTGTAGTGTGGGTTGCTGAATTCTTTCATTTTTTATATGTTTTTAAATGTCCTTATTTCAGTCATATTCTTGAAAGATTTTTCACTTTGACATAGAATTCTAGGAAAACTTTATTTCTTTCAGTACTTTAGGATGTTGCCACTTTGTTTTTGTAAAACTGGCTGAAAGTGGGCTTCCTGTACTTGTTATATAATTTTGGGAATGTGTATTTAAATTAAAAACATTAAAATGGGCTGGACGAGGTGGTGCATGCCTATAGTCCCAGCACTTTGGGATGGGGAGATAGGAGGATCGCTTGAGGCCCAGAGTTGGAGACCAATATGGGCAAGATTGCAAGACTCTGTCTCTCATATATATATGAGAGACATATATATATGTGTGTATATATATATATGTGTGTGTGTATATATATGTATACATATATGTATATGTATACACACCCACACACATACATACATACATCGTGAATGTCTTAGATTCATCTTAAGTTCCACCGACAGTGAACTTAAAGTAAAATGTGCCCAACCTGAGGGTCAAACCTACCTGCTGACATGTAATTTGTGTTTATGAGACATTCTCAACAGCATTTGCTTTCCCTAGCATAGTGGTTTTCATGTTTTCCTCACACCTGAGTGTCTTAAGTGCAAAACCTGTCAGAAATCATTTCCTTTGCCAAAAGATACTTTTTTTTTTTTTGATATCAGTTCACTGCAACTTCCCCTTCCCATGTTCACAGGTTTCTCTTGCCTCAGCCTCTCGAGTAGCTGGGACTACAGGCCGGTGCCAACATACCTGGCTAATTTTTGTATTTTTCGTAGAGACAGAGTTTCGCCATGTTGGCCAGGCTGGTCTCGAACTCCTGACCTCAAGTAAAATGCCCACCTCTGCCTCCCAAAGTGTTGGGATTACAGGTGTAAGCCACCGTGCCCGGCCTGAAATACTCTTACTTTAAGGAAAAGTGCATTAAAAACAAACTTCTCAGTTGCATCTCTGGAATCCATAGAAAGCCAGGGAGAGACAATCAAGTGCTACAGGATCAAGTGCTAAACAGGGGAGGACAAAGCATGGCTTCCTAACTAGGAGTCAGGGCAAAGTTACCTGCTTTGGTTTCCAATGGAGACCGGAACTCGGTTCACCTGCAACAGGAGGACGCGGCCCAGAGGAGGCGGACTTTCTCTTCATGGTGCCTTCAGATAGGAAATCTCCTAGGATTTCTTTCTTTCCCTTTGATCTACTTCCAACGCTCCCTTTCTGTTTCTTCAGATGTTTTTTGGATCCCTAATGCGCAGGACCTAAGGGGCTGGTGCCTTTCCCTACCCTCCCTGCCTGGGTGTCTTCAGCACCCAAGCTCACCCAGAACATTACTGCCTGCCAGAGACAGTGAGGGGACCAAGGAGAGTGGCAGGTGCAGTGGGAACCACAGAGTCACCGTGTACCTGTGCTTTGTAGGCTCCTAGCAAATTGAATAAACGCCCCCTGAAGCTTCTCTGCAGGTCACAGGGAAGGGGAGGGTTGTTGCCCACCCAGTGGGAGAAGCGTCAAAAAGCATCAGGAGTATCTGGCCCTACCCCTGTGCCTGGAAGACAGACCTGGCTAGGCTGATTTTAATGGTTAGGCCCAAGGAAAAGGCCCAAGGGCGGCCCAAACCCCGACCCTGAGATTAAGGCTTTCAAATGTCTGATCGTTTTGATGTTGGTCAGTAGAATCCATCCCACCTTTATCAGGAGACTCCTTTGCCAAAATTCAGAGATCTGGGATTCCTGCTGGTTGCCACAGAGAAAGCCAATCACCGAGATGATTATTGCCAAGGAAGGCGCTTTAATAGGGTGCTGCAGTGGGGGAGATGAGAACTCAGTCTCAAATCCATCTCCCTGACCAACAAAACCAGAGGTTTATATGGCAGGGAAGAAATGTAACAATGTGTAAGAAAACAGGAACTAGGGAGGAGCAAGGAAGCAATCATGATGAATGAGGGGTCCCAGCATCTCATTGTCTGGATGAATTTCAGTTCTTTGATGGCTTTTTTGAGAGGCCTGAAGGTTGTTTCCTGAGGAAGGAACTCAGACGAAACAAATATTAAGTTTCAAGCTTTAAGACCAGCAGGGTCAATTTCTAGGTTTATCCAAAAAAGCTACATATGGGACTACTGGGTGGTTTTCAGACCAAGAAAGAAAAAGACTGTGCAGACCAAAGTCTGCAGTTAACCAAAGAAAAAACATAATTTTCTGACCAATAGGATGTATGGGGCCAGAGAATGACCAGCCTATAGAAGAACTGTTTTTTGTCCTGAGCATAGGGGAAGGATGAAGTTGCACCAACTAAGGTGGAATTAAGCTGCAGATGGGGAAAAATCTGGATTTTGGTTCAGAGCCCTGGGGTCTTCCTCAAAAGTCTCTTTCCTTGAAAGAGGAACCCTGTCTCGGTTTCTGCATCTCTCTGAGTCCTTTTGGAGGTTGAGGATGCTGAGGTCTTGGTGCTTGGCCCCCTCTAACCCTGAGTACTTCCCCTCCTGTGGGGTAACCTGGCCCAGTACCCAGGCCCCAGCTCTGGCGACCATTTCCCCCTACTTTGCTCCTAGCAAAGGCCATTTCTAGGTCAGTCGTGAGGTACAGGCAGAACGGGCAACTTCTTCTGAGATTTTTGGCCCTGGAAGGCCTTGAGCCCTGTGGTCCTGCAGAACTGCTGTCTCCCTCTTTTGGAGAAAGCAGGGAGGAAATGACCTGTGTGGGGGGAATTGTGAGCTGCACCTGCACAGAGGAGCTGAGGCAAGCAGGGCAGTTCTGGTCTGTCAATGTAAAGGACATTTATCATTCAAGAGGTTGGGCTGTTATTATTAATTTTGAATTTTGTCAATACAAACTGAAGGGAAATTTGTCTTCTTACTTGTAGGAACCTCACAAGACCACCCATCTTATATTCCAGGGAGAATTGCTGCGTATTACACAAACTCATAGGTGAGACTGCCGTTCTGACCTGCAGGCCTGGATGCCCTGCACAGGGGCACAGAGCACTGGCAAAGCCCTTCCCATACAAACAGCAAGCATGTTATGTCTACAACCCAACGGCACCAGTTCCAAGTACAATTTCTACTTGGCTGTATGAGCTGAGTACACGTTCCCCCCAGCACAGAAATCCTGCAAACTCCCATGAATGCTATAGTGAAAAGCAGGGGCTGGCCAGGTGTGATGGATCACACCTGTAATCCCAGGACTTTAGAAGGCCAAGGCAGGGCGGATTATTTGAGTCCAGGAGTTGGAGACCAACCTGGGCAACATGGTGAAACTTCAACTCTTAAAAAACAAAACAACCACCACCACAACAAAACCAAGAACAGAAATTAGCTGGCTGTGGTGACTCGTGCCTCTGCTACTCCAGAGGCTGAGGTGGGAGGATCGCTTAAACCAAGATGCTACCAGATAGAGTGAGACTCTGTCTCGGGGAAAAAGACAAACAAAATAAGTCTGTGTAAGAGGTGACTCTGGGGACAGTGGAAAAACACTAAGGTTTTCAAGTGGTGGTAAAAGCCAGTAGGCCTTGGGGACCATTGAGCAGTCTACAAAGCAGGGAAGCCTAGATCCCTGAGCTCCGCCTGCCAAGTACCACCACAGCTAACATGAGAGACCTCTGCCACAGAGACTGAAATTTGCCTCCCAAGGAAACAAGTGACTACAGACATCTGTCCCAGGACAGTAAACAAGGTCTCACAAAAACAAAAACAGCTGACCACACCATAAAATCACTGAGACCGAGCCTGCGACTATAGGCGAAAAAAAAAAGGCTATTATTCATACCGTGAAAGACCAGGGGAAAGTGCAGACACAGTCCCCTACTACTGTTGTGGGAATCAGGAGAACAGAGAGACCAATGGGTGGAACAGGAGGATTTTATTGAGTGCCCTCAGGCCCAGAGGATTAAAATCCAAAGGCTGAGCCCCGAACAAAGACAGGGTTTGACTTTTATACACACTTCAAAAAGGGGGTTGGCTAGTTTGAATGGCATGGTGGGACTATGATGGCACCAAACTCGCGGGGCAGGCAAGAGGGCTTACAGAAGCAGAACAAAGGCAGCTAGTCAAACTGTGACAGGTCTCACGAGGCAAGAATAGCTGGTGACCTTGCAGCTGCACTGAAGGGAAATCAAGAACTTAACAAAACTTGAATAGTGAGAAATGGTAAAGGGAAAAGAGAAGGTAATAAAAGCATTTGCTGTTTCTTGCTCTTATCCTTCCTAGGGATAACAGACTGTTAAGAGAGTCTCCAGAACTCATTTCTCAGCGATGTGGTTTTTCAGAAACTATCTGTTCCTGACCTTGCAGCCAAGCAAGTACAGGAAAATACTTTTTCTTTTTAATTTCTACCTTATTACTACAAGTTACAAAACAGAGGTTTCCACGTTTGGAAAAATAAGAGACAACAACATAGCCATAGAATGCATAGCCCTCAGCCTTACAGTAAACCACTTTGATAACCATAACATGTGCTCTACATACCACACATGTGAACTTCCGCCCCGCCACAGCTCCATACGCCTCACCCTTTACACGCACGGTCACTTGCCCCGAGCACCACCCCAGCCAATCCCCAATCACCCTGAGCCCTCCTAGCCCTAACGCACAGCTAGGACGCTCACGTCCAGCCAGCGGTCCCGGACTTGCTCCTACAGCACGGGAAATCCTTCATGGCGAAGCAGCAGCCCCTGCGCTGCCTCATCTACATAGAAACGCCCTATCGGTGATGTCACCAACAGTGCCTTTCCCAGTCCCCTTCTGTTCTTCCGCCCCACCCTCCTCCACTCAGCCCACCAACCCGGTGCCGCAGCCGGCGGGGGAAGTGACGTCCGCCTGTCCCTCCTTTCTGTCTCGCCCTTGTCTTTTGGGGAGGTGCGCCGAGACCCTGCATCTAGTCTCCCCCGAAGAAGTGATTACTTAACCTGTGTCCTGCGGAGGACCCTTCTGGCGGGCAGCTGGAAGCCTGTGCACCCGTCTTCAAATAATGGCTTTTAATAGCAGACTGGAACGTTTCGGATTACAAAGCAAACCGGACCCTTTCAAACCTGGTTATCTTTGTGAAGTAGCATTCCACTTAAAATTGGGAGCCCTTTAATAACAGAGAGAAATCATGTCTATGAAACTAGAGAAGCTGCTCAGATAACTGCAAACCAGCCATCCTTACTGGTTTTACGAGTAGTAGTGTTATAAAGAAAGTTGTCCAGTTTTATGAGTCTTGTAGGTTTGTTTTTTTGTTTTTCAAATACAGTAGTGTACAAAAAGGAAGCAGAATGTGGTTGCTGTCTCAATGTAATGCCTCGCTGGGCCTGAGAATTTGAAAATAAAAAAGTTCTCTTCTTTCCCCATTCTCCCTTTAGATGAAAAGTCTTTCTTGGCCGGGCGCGGTGGCTGACGCTTGTAAGCCCAGCACTTTGGGAGGCTGAGGCGGGCCGATCACGAGGTCAGGAGATCGAGACCACGGTGAAACCCCGTCTCTACTAAAAATAAAAAAAAAAAATTAGCCTGGCGTGGTGGCGGGCGCCTGTAGTCTCAGCTACTCGCAGAGGCTGAGGCAGGAGAATGGCGTGAACCCGGGAGGCGGAGCTTGCAGTGAGCTGAGATCGCCCACTGCACTCCAGCCTGGGCGACAGAGCGAGACTCCGTTTAAAAAAAAAAAAAGTATTTCTTGAAAGCATTGTCGATCAAAAGCTGTGTCCCTCCTTGCCAGAATGGCTCATTCCCAGATAGTCCTGTCCCACACGGGGGTCAGGGGAGGGAAGGAGACCTCTCTTTTTAACAGCGTCCAAAAGCTGAACTGGTGTGGCATCACAACATGGAAAAAAAAAAAAAAAAAGAGAGAGAGAGAGAGAGAGAGATATCTCGGCCAATTCTATAGTTGCTGTCACTTGTTGAATCATCTCTAGTTTTCAGAGTACCATGAATTTAGTTTCTCAAAAGAAGTAAAACAATGAGAAATACATAACATTAATAATTTGAGTAGTAGAAATATAATGCATACAAGAATGATCATCACAAAGAGAATCTGTATCCTGGAACAGTAAGGGAACCAGGGAACTGGGATTTGATGTTTCAGCCAACTGAAAACATCAGGGAAAACATCAAACCCCATTTCTTCTTTAGTGATTTCTTGCAGCCAAGTGGCTTCTTTTCTGATTTTTTCTAGAGAAGGTTCTACTACATGGGAAATGTATATGTATATGCAACAAAAGGTATTTGCCACCACACATCTCCCTGCTCAGCTAAATGTATCACCTAAAGTGATGTGATTATCTAGTACAACCTTAGCCAGTGACTAAATACCTTTTTATAGAGCTGCAAAAGAGGCCGCAGTTTCATCAGCAATGTTTTTCTTTCTTTTTCTTTTTCTTTCAGAGACAGTGTCTGGCTCTGTGGCTCAGGCTGGAGTGCAGTGGCGCCATCATAGCTCACTGCAGCCTCAAACTCTTTGGCTTAAGTGATTCTCCTGTCTCAGCCCCTGAGTCACTGGGATTACAGGCCAGAGCCACCATGCCTGGTTTTCATCAGCAATGTTTCCTGAGGTTACAAAAAGATTTGTAATCCTGGGAGGAAACACTCCCTTGAAGCAAGTGTTCTCCCCAAAAAAATGCAAGGAGCTATCTTCTTGATAGCCAGGCAGATAATTCTCAGGTTTTGCCCCACAGAATCTCTATCTAAAATAGAGCAGTGGTCATGCCTAGTGAAAAGTTTGAGGGAACTCGCCCAATGTTGGGTTTCTTCAGAGCCATATATATAGATATAACCAAATATCCTAAAAGACACTGCCCTTCATCATTCCATGCCGTTAGACATTTACAGGACCATGGATGGTGATCTCCTCCAGACAAAAATAAATGCTGGTGCAGAACAGGTAAGTGTATTATAATTTGAGTACATCAGCTTTTGGGCATTTTAAACCATGGGTCAGACATGTTAGAGCAAGAGGGCAGGTTGATAGCAAGAGGGAGTGTTTTTCTTTTAATTTTCCAATAGCAAAGTGATGTTTGCCACTGTCATTTCAGAGTGAGGTGACAATTTGTTGTTGTTTGGTTTTGTGGGTTTTTTGTTTGTTTGTTTTTGAGACAAGGTCTCACTGTCACCCAGGCTGGAGTGCAGTGGCATGATCAGGGTTTACTTCTGCTTTGACCTCACATATTCAAGCAAACCTCCTTACTAATCCTCCCGAGTAGCTGGGACTACAGGCACGTGCCCCCACACCCTGGGGTGTGAACTGGGATTTGATGTTTTCAGTTGGCTCTCTAATGGAATAGGTTCCCTTACTCTTCTAGAATCAGATTGTCTTCATGATTATCATTCTTGTGTGCATTATACTTCTACTACGCTGCTGATTTTTTCTTTTTTTTTTTAATTTTTATTTTTGAGACAGTCTTTCTCTGTCACCCAGGCTGTATTGCACTGGCAGGATCTTAGCTCACTGCAACCTCTGCCTCCTGGGTTCAAGCGATTCTTTTCCTTCAGCCTCCTGAGTAGCCACCTGGCTGATTTTTGTATTTTTAGTAGAGACAGGGTTTCACCATGTTGGCAGGCTGGTCTCGAACTCCTGACCTCGAGTGATCCGCCCGCCTTGGCCTCCTATAGTGCTGGGATTAAAGACATGAGCTACCACACCTGGCTCTCAAACCATTTTAATTAAGCAAAGACAGATTTGTCTGGCTTTTTAGTACAATGCTGAATTATCCTCCAATCTATATTTTTAGGAAGGACCTGGGGAGTGGCAACATGGAGATATTTGGTGAAAATGTGAACCTTTCATGTTCTGCTTCAGTCCCTTTTTGAAAATCCTTCCAATTTGCCTTTGCAACCAGTTAGTGGCCTTGCCTTCTTCACCAGCATGTGAATTGATTGATAAAGGTCAGAATATTTGGGCTCAAAGGTTTCAACAGTTAAGTCAAATTTTCTGCCAGAGCCTATAGAATCTCGGAGCCTGCTTTAGAAACAGAAGAGTGAAATGTATTTAAGTTTAGATCAGGGAAGTCCTTTATAATATTCTTAATTCACGTTTTGGTGAAGTGGTATACACAATGGTAGGCTCCCCTCTTCCTGTGGGTTTGGGTTTTACCTTTAAAGGGGCTGTCAGAACAGAAGTTTTGGGGAAGTGGCCAGAGCCCTGGGGACTTTCCCCAGGTGGTGGTGATGGAAGAAGAAGCAAGGCAGGACAGGAAGGCTCAGGTAAGAAAGACTATGCAGGTGCAGGGGCAGGAGGAGAAGGAGCAGCTGGAGGTGAAAGAGACAAAGCCTCCTCAATATTTCTCAATTCAGAAAACATGACAGTTTACCTCCTTCAGCTTACTTCCTCAATGGAGGCAATTTTCTCAGTTTTTTTAGAAATTTTAGAAATTTAGAAATTTCTAGGTCTCACTGGAAGTAATCTCCCATTTAATTTGTCTGGTTCTAAAACCAAATTTCTCTGTTTTTATTTTTATTTTTTTGAGACAAGGTCTCACTATGTCACCCAGACTGGAGTGCAGTGGTGTGATCTCGGCTTACTGCACTCACCGCTTGCTGCATGACGGCCAATAAGTCCAGGGATAAGGTGTAGGGGCAGGGAAGGTGACTTTATTCCAGAGAGCCACCAAACTGAACAGATGGTGAACTAACATCCTAAAGAACCATCTTAAATTAATATGATTTTCAGGTTCCTTGTACGTTAGGGAAGGGAGGAAGAAGGAGGCGGTTGAGGTGAAGAGGTCTGACAATGACAGACATATGGGCTGCAGTGAGAGCCCAAGGGGATGGTGAAAATTCTTTGTCCTTTGTCAGGTCACACTGCTCTTATAAATCTTCAACAACCTGCCTATCTTCTCAGGAGTTAGTTTGGGGAAAGGATTATTATCATCTGTGCTTTAAAGTTAAACTGTAAGCTAAATCCCTCCCATAGATAGCTTGGCCTATGTGCAGAAAGAAGAAAAAGCAGTTAGCCTGAAAGACATCACCACAGGGTAGGAAGGGTTAGGAGCAAAATGCAGTCAGTCATGCTGGGCCTCCTTTTCATTGCCATATATTTAATTTACTTGAACACATAATTTTAATTTTTTATACTTTATTTTTATTTATTTATTTATTTTTTGAGACCGAATCTCACTTTGTTGCCCCCCCAGGCTGGAGTGCAATGTCGCGATCTTGGCTCAGTGAAACCTCTGCCTCCCGGGTTCAAGCAATTCTCCTGACTCAGCCTTCTGAGTAGCTGGGATTACAGGAGCCCCCCACCATACCCGGCTAATTTTTGTATTTTTAGTAGAGACAGGGTTTCACCTTGTTTGCCAGGCTGGTCTCGAACTCCTGACCTCAGGCTCCCAAAGTGCTGGGATTACAGGTGTGAGCCACCATGCCCAGCCTAACCAAGATTATTAAACCATTCTAATTTGTCAAAAGAGTCACACTGACTTTTAAAAAATAACATAATAGACCAGATGCAGCGGCTCACGCCTGTAACCCCAGCACTTTGGGAAGCCGTAGCAGGTGAATCATGAGGTCAGGAGTTCGAGACCAGCCTGACCAACATGGTGAAACCCTGTGTCTACTAAAAATACAAAAATTAGCTGGGTGGGGTGGCGCACGTCTGTAATTCCAGCTACTCACGAGGCTGAGGCAGGAGAATTGCTTGAACCCGGGAGGCAGAGGTTGCAGTGAGCCGAGATTGTACCACTGCACTCTAGCTTAGGCAACAGAGTGAGACTATGTCTCAAAATAAATAAATAAATAAATAAATAAATAAATATAATAATGTAATGAACTTTTTCATGTCTTTATATATTAAATATTACATTATTTAAATTGTCCAAAAGCATCAAAAATTCCTCTCTGCTATCAACTTCATTTCATTTATTTTATTGTACCAAACTATCAAGACCATTAATTTAATCTACAGCTAAATCTATTATTTTTTCATGTTAGAAATTCAACAAGAAAATTTTTCCCTAATGAAACCTCACATTTCAAGCATAAGGAGCCTGGGCGAGGTGGCTCACACCTGTAATCCCAGCACTTTCGGAGTCCGAGACAGGTGCATCACTTGAGGTCAGGAGTTTGAGACTAGCCTGGGAAACATGATGAAACCCTGTCTCTACTAAAAACATAAAAATTAGCTGGATGTGGTGGCGTGTGCCTGTAATCCCAGCTACTCTGGAGGCTGAGGCAGGGAAATAGCTTCAACCTGGAAGGCAGAGCTTGCAGTGAGCTGAGATGGCACCACTGCACTCTAGCCTGGGCTACAGAGCAAGACTCTGTCTCAAAAATAAATAAATAAATAAGCATAAGTAGTAAAAATAAAATAAAAAATAAGACACAGGGTCTTGCTGTGTTATCCAGGCTAGAGTGCAGCAGGGCAATCATAGCTGACCAACTTGGAACTTCTGGGCTCAGGCAATCCTCCTGGCTCAGCTTGCCTTGTGTTTTTTTAGAGATGAGGTCTTGCCCTGTTCCCCAGGCTGGTCTCCAACCGCTGGCCTAAAGCAATCCTTCCGCCTCAGCCTGTTGAGTTGCTGGGAGTACAGGTGCAAGACATGCAGCCTAGCATTGTAGTAAAACAATTTTCAACAAATTCTATATTTTCTTTTCTTTTTTTTTTTTTGAGTTGGGAGTCTCACTCTGTCACCCAGGCTGGAGGGCAGTGGCACAATCATAGTTCACTGGAGCCTGCCTCAGTCTCCCTAGTAGCTGAGATTACAGTCATGCATTATCATGCCCTGCCAACTTTAAAAAATTAGCTAATACTTAAAAATTTGTAGAGACAGGAGTTTCACTATGTTGCCCAGGCTGGTCTCCAACTCTTTAAGTGCTGGGATTGTAGATATGAGCCACCATTCCTGGCTTAATTTTCTTATTTTAATTTTATATAAGTGATTATTATTGTTCCTAAGATAATGGAGGCAGTGACTCCTTTAACATTTTAGAGACCTAATCGGTCTAGTCCCTTCACTGAAAGAGTACGCCAACTTGTTTCATGAGAAAATATCCTATATTTATAAAGCAGGAAAATTCCTTTCACTAAACTAGGGGGCATTCTAAAGAAATGAATTGTGCTAAGTAACATCACTTAAAGTGAAAACAGAGGCAATGGTATCTATTAACAATGTTTATCAGTGAAGGAAATAAACTGAAAATATGAGTATCATTAGATCCTTGGAGGGCCTTCATTGCTGAAAATCTGAGTAATATTGTGGTACCCTTTTGAGTCCTGCAGGGCATTCTCTTTCCAGGGCATGTAACAGTGGGTGAATAATTTCTTTTCATTCATTTTCATTAAGGGCTGAACTTCCTTAATGTTCTGGAGATTACTAAATTTGATTTATATAGTTGTGAAAAGTGCTCATATTGCTGATTCCATTGCTTATATGTGATCATATAAATCTTTTCTCTTCTTTCTGTAGTGTAGTTTAAACTTAATCCTTAAAGGACATGTATTTGAATTTTTCAGCTGGTTAGAAACCTGAATATACCAATCAAAGAAAACTGCTCCTTACATGCTACAGATTTAGTTTTCTTCCTGTACTAAGATGTCTTTTAGATACAGTAAATTCGTTAAAGCCAAGAGCCCCTAGGAAATGAAGTTGGGTGGGAGGGGGGACATTGAGTAGTAAGATCACTCTTGTAATAGAGATGCCACTCTTGCAGATATTGACAACAATTGGGCCTATAAAATTTTTACCAAACATTGGAAAGACAAGATCTGAACAACTTATCATTGCTGCAGTCTCAAATTTCAGGAAATACCATTATTCTCAGGACAATAAATAGACAATAAAGAAGACTCACAGACCAGATTAGCTGTCATGTATCACCAAACAGGGACTGGATCCTTGTCAACACGACCCAACAGAGATTGTCCCCAGAAATTCACTTCATAGCCTCAAAACCAAAAACCCACACTGATGGCAAAAAATAATGATGCAAATAATGAGAAAGAGAGAGAGAGAGAGAGAGAGAGAGAGAGAGAGACCTGTCCTATAGCCATACTCAGTGGGTAAAAGCCAAAGAGCTCAATTTCTGCTCATGATACTTAATAGAACATAGGGAACATGAGCCAATAGCTCAATGGGTTCAGATCTGCACCAAGTGCCTGTTGGATGCAGGATTCTACTGTCTCCAACAACAATGTCTCAGATGGACTAATTTTTTTTTTTTTTTTTTTGAGACAGAGTCTCACTCTATTGCCCAGGCTGGGGTGCAATGGCACGATCTCGGCTCACTGTAACCTCCGCCTGCCGGGTTCAAGCGATTCTCCTGCCTCAGCCTCCCGAGTAGTTGGGATTACAGACCCACACCACCATGCCCGGCAATTTATTTTTATTTTTATTTTTAGTAGAGACGGAGTTTCGCCATGTTGGTCAGGGTGGTCTCGAACTCCTGACCTCAGTTGATCAAAAGTAGGTGATGTCAGAAAACATACCCTGGGAGAGGCTGGCACAATGCCCAGAACCGCCATCGCTAGGCCTGGGGTTTTCCTCTGTAGTGGAATACTAGTATTCATGTAGTTCAGGGACAAAACCAATTAGATACTTCTGGGAGTTAAAAAGAAATGCATTTTCAGTGCCATTTGAGAAAGGGTATTAAGGAATTTGTCAGGGTACTGACGCGTGTCAGGTATAAACCGCAGGTTGAGAGAGAGCTAAGTATTTTCTGTCCATGAAGGTGATAAGCGAGGGCCTGAAGAAAGAGGGACTGGGGAGGACACTGGCACCAGAAATAGGAAACGGCTGCTTGGGGGTGGGAAGGATGGGTCTGGGTGCTATCTAGAAAGTTGCCTGGCAATGGATGTAGGATGTGGGAGCGAGACATCAAACAAGAAGCTGTCGCTTAAATAAAGTCTGAAGAAACACTAGATATATGAACTGCCGGAGATAGTAGGGAAACTGTACCTGGCTCCTCATAAAACTTCCCGCCTTCTATCTCCGGGAGGATCGCAGGGCATTTCCGCCAAGACAGGTGAGACTGCGGTTCTGACCTACGGGCCTCCATGAATATGCGCGAGGGCACCTGGGGGCCGGCAGAGCCGTTCCCCTACGCAAAGTAAGCGTGTTATGTCTACAACCCAACGGGGACACTGAGAGCCCCAAAGGCCCTGCTTTCTTCCTGGAGAACAGCACCCATCTGCGTAGTTTCTACCTGGCTCTATGAGGTGAGAACACACTCCCCGCTAGCACAGAAATCCTACAAACTCCTGTGGGGGCTGCGCTTGGAAGCAGAGGCTGTGTAAGAGGTGACTTGGGGGGTAGGGAAAAACAGGAAGATTTTCACACAGGGTGAGAACCCAAGAGACTGGAGACCACGGACCAATCCCTGCAAAAAGCAGCCAGGGTAGAAAGGGAAGAGCTGAGCGGACTTCACGATAGCTAATTTGTGTTACAAAGCCGATACGGCTGATGCTCGCTTTTTCTCCTATGGCGTGCAGGCGACATGTTACTTCCTATTCGCCAGCCCTCCACTGTAGGATTAACATTTAAGACGCCAACCAAGACACAAACCAAAACAAAAAAAGATATGACCCTTAGCGTACAGTCTACTTTTAGAAACTCCAGAAAGTCAGGGGAAAGCGCGAACGCAGTCCCCCACTACCACAAATTATGCAGTCGAGTTTCCCACATTTGGGGAAATCGCAGGGGTCAGCACATCCGGAGTGCAATGGATAAGCCTCGCCCTGGGAAAACCACCTTCGTGATCATGGTATCTCCCCTGCCAGGTAAGTATGAGATCTTCGGGCTCTGCCCCGACACAGCCTCATACGCCTCACTCTTTACACACACGGTCACTTGCCCCGCGCACTCCCGAGCCCTTTCCAGCCCTGACACACAGCTGGGATTCTCTCTTCCGATCCGCGGTCCTGAACCCGCTCCCAGGGCAGGGGAACTCCTTCGTGGCGAAGCAGCAAGTGGCGAAGCAGCAGCCTCTGCGCTGCCTCATCTACATAGAAGTCGCCCTGTCCGTGATGTCACCGACAGTGCCTTGCCCAGTCCCCGTCTGCTTTTCTGCCACTCAACTGACCAATCTGCTGCCAGAGCCGCCAAGAGGAAGTGACGTCTGCCTCTCCCTTTTTCCCTCCCGCCCCTGCGTCTGTTCTCTCCCAAAAAAGCTGGTCCTTAGCCTGTGTTAAGGAGCAACCTTTCGGTGGCCAGATGGAGCCGGGGCATCCTTCTTCAAATAATGGCTTTTAATTCGCAGACTAGAATGTTTCGGATTACAGAAGAAACCGGTTCTCTTCACATCTTTATCCCTGTGATGCAGCATTCCACTTGCAATTGGAAGCCGAGAGAAACCATGTTTATGAAAGTAAAGAGGCTGCTCAGATGACTGCAAACCAGCCTTCCTTACTGGTTTTATCACTGGTAATGTTATAAAGACAGTTGTCCAGTTTCATGAATCTTGTAGGTTTTTTTTTTTTGATTTTTTTTCCAAAATCAGTATTGTAGAAAACTATGCTGCCCCAGAAGAGATGATTGGACACTCTCAAGCGTGGTGCTGGACTTTGTCATCTCTTGCACAGCCATCTCCACACCTTAGTGCTTACCTCATGTTAGTTTTTTATATTCTGCAAAGACGAAATCAAAATAATCCAAATTTGACACAAATACCTGGGCTACATCTTATTTGAGATGTTTAACAATGTCTGGATCATCTTTTCTTATATATTACGCAGGAAACACTGTGAAGTAAGCAAAGTTGGAATGCCCAAGTGAAAGACCATTTGAATATTTACAAGTAGATTTCAGACAGGAATACTACAGGGTGGTCACAGGATAACAAATTCTAGGCAGCAGATTTACATGACTTGAGGCTGTGGGCTGTTAAGACGCTGAAAAACCAGGGTGTGGACCAAGCTGGCTAAGGCTGAGTGGACCCAATGTGGTGCTGGATTTGACGGAGGTTTTACCTAGGCCCTCATTATATGCTCATTAACATACTAAATCACACACCCGCCAGTGCCATGACAGTTCTGAGACCAATATTTGATGTAAAAATGGATGGCACCACAGTTCCGAGAAATCTCCACCTTTACCCAGGAATTTTCATGAACATTCCACTCCTTGGTTAAAGAAACCCATCAAGATGAAACCCCAGAATCCATTGTTCTCTCTTGGGTATGCCTGAACTCCCCTTTCTTGAGTGTGTACTTTTTGCTTTGCAATAAATCTCTTCTTTCACTATCTGCTGACTCATCTTTGACTTTGTTCTCGCGATGGTGTCAAGAGCCTGGACACCACGGCTGGGGTCGAGATCCCACCAGTGTCCGGGTACCTCCCCCAGCCCACCAGTATCAGATTCTATTCCATTGCTCAAATCACAAAACATCAAGTAGAGAGTTCTCCTTGGAGACCATAAAGATTCTGTGGCATGGTGGCCAGTTAGGCCACTGGAAGGCATGGCAAGATATTGAAAATGAGGGATTAGGTGACAGTGTAGTAACTGCTGAATACTAAATACTTGATCCAGGCCCCATTCCCTGGAGATTGACAGGGAGACACATTGTCCAGGTAGTAGTGGAGAAATGTTTTCTGGGTATCTGACCAGCCTTTGTGGAAAGAACTGGCACCATCCTGCAGATGTAACTACCTGATGGGTTCTTCCTGCCCAATGTACACACAAAATCAATTCATGGAGACCATGGCACTGCAGGAAAGAGTTTCACTGACACAGGCCAGCCACGACATGTGGGAGACAAGAGTTATTACTCAAAGCAATCTCACTGAAGGCTTGGAGGTAAGGGGTTTTTCAAAGATAGTTTGGTGGGGAGGGGGCTAGGGCTTGCGTGGTGCTGATCGTTGGGGATGAAATCACAGGGGCATGGAAAATGGCCCTCCTGCATGGAGTCAGCTTCTGGGTGGGGGCTAAGGGACTGGTTGATTTTCGGGCCAAATGGTGCCATCCAGCAGTCAGAAATGCCAAAGCCTGAAAAGACATCTCAAGAGGCCAATCTTAGGTTCTACAATAGTGATGTTCTTCACAGCAGTAACTGGGGAAGCTGCCAATCTTGTGACTTCTGGAATAATGGCTGGTAATTATTTAAGGAGGCATACATCTTACTAGAAATCAGGCCGCTTTCATCCTTCTAACTTGGTGGCCTTTCATTCATTTTACAGGGGTAATTTAGTTTTGGGGAAGGTTATCATTTAAACCAGATTTTTGGCTGTCCCCAACCTTTTTGTCACCAGGGACTGGTTTCATGGAAGACAATTTTTCCATGGAAGGGGGTGGTGGATGGTTTCCAGATGAAACTGTTCCACCTCAGGTCATCAGGCATCAGTGGCATCAGTTACAGTCTCATAAGGAGTGCGCAATCTGGATCACTCACATGAGCAGTTCCCAATAGGGTCCGAGCTCCGATGAGCAGCTAATGCTCATGCTGATCTGACAAGAGGCAGAGCTCAGGCGGTAATGCTCGAAAGCCTGCAGCTCACCTCCTGCTGTTCAGCTGGGTTCCTAACAGGCCATGGACCAGTACCTGTCTTATGGCCCTGGGGATTGGGGAGCCCTGATTTAAACTATAAACTCAATTTTTCCCAAAGATAGCTTGGGAGAAATTGCACAGGAATGAGCAAAGACAGCAAGCCTGTGAGGCTAGAACCAAGATGGAGTCAGCCATGTCAGCTTTCTCTGATTGTCATAATTTTGCAAAGGTAGTTTCTGAGGGGCTGCACTGGACACGTGTATTTGAGGTTGAGCCCAGAGAACTGGGCTCAACCTCAAATACAGCAGGAGGAGTTGAGGATTATAGCCAATTGGCAAGATAAGAAAGTCAGTGGATGGAAAATTACTAAGAGGAACTTGATTAGCTATCAAAGGTGGTTGCGAGGACTCTTGCTAAACTAGACTCAACAGGATTCTTTCCTAAAGCTGGACTTGGCAGGCCAAGAAGTAACAGAGAAAAGGGCTCAGAGGAAACTACTAAGGTTTGGTCAAAGATTGGAGTCCTTGTCAACTCTACATTGAAGCTTCTGCAAATAAACAAAGACCAACCAAATGAAAAACAGCAAAGGCTATTTACTGTGAGCTTGGTATAGCAGGGAGTCAGTCACTGTTACTTGTGTTTTGGCAGAGACTTGAAGGCAGTCATAAAGGTGGGAAAGCTTTTTAAAAAGAAAGGTTTCAGGGGCCGGGCGTGGTGGCTCACTTTGGGAGGCCCAGGTGGGTGGTCACGAGGTCAGGAGATCAAGACCACCCTAACTAACATGGTGAAACCCCATCTCTACTAAAAAATATACAAACAATTAGTCTGGTGCGGTGGCAGGCACCTGTAGTACCAGCTACTCCAGAGGCTGAGGCAGGAGAATGGCGTGAACCTGGGAGGCGAAGCTTGCAGTGAGCCGAGATAATGCCACTGCACTCCAGCCTGGGTGACAGAGCGAGACTCTGTCTCAAACCAAAAAAAAAAAAAAAAAAAAAAGAAGGTTTCAGGTATGCTTGGATTGGAGGCTGCCAGCATGGTGAAGCTGTAGATAGATGAAGAGAATCAAAATATTTTACCCCAGAATGTATTTCTTTGGCATATTTTAAGATGGCTGTCAGAGAACCAGCAAACAGAAGGAACTCTGCAAAACTGTCTTCTGTAGGGGAAATTTACACCTGCAGAGAATCTGCGTTAATCCAGCCTTACCTTGTCAGGATTGAGAAATGAAAATAAGCCCTAGTCCCTACAGTCAACTGCGGACTCCCTCTTGGCTGACAGGACCACAGAGAAACCTTGAAAGCAGTTTCTGGATGTGGCAGGCTAGGAGGTTGGACATGCCACCTCAAAACCCCCGCTCACTAACTGCCATTATGAGGCAGGAGAACAGCAGAGGGAATTGGAAGTTGGATAAAAGGCAGAACGAGTAAAAGCAGAAACAGAAGCAAGGTGATGGGGTGGGAGAGCAAGAAGCAAGATAAAAGGCAGAAGTTGAGCAGCCAAAACAAAAAGTAAGATTTAAAAAAGCAAGCAAGGCCGGGCACGGTGGCTCATGCCTGTAATCCCAGCACTTTGGGAGGCCAAGGCAGGCAGATCACCTGAGGTCAGGAGTTTCAGACCAGCCTGGCCAACATGGTGAAACCCCATCTCTACTAAAAATACAAAAAATTAGCTGGGCGTGGTGGTGCACTCCTGTACTCCCAGCTACTTGGGAGGCTGAGACAGGTGCATCGCTTGAACCCGGGAGGCGGAGGTTGCAGTGAGCCGAGATTGCATCACTGCACTCCAGACTGTGCAACAGAGCGAGACTCTGTCTCAAAAAAAAAAAAAAAAAAAAAAAAGAAAAGCAAGCAAGGACCCCATGGCCAGCGAGATCCAAACCAGTAAAGGGGCAGCTCCTCAGAGATAGGCATGTGCATGAGAGAAAAAAAGTATCCTTAACATGACTCCGTATGATAATCAGCTCATTAAAACTCATGCATATGGACTGCACATCATGCATGTACTTAAAATTATGGGATGGAGCCAATGTGCAAGCACACAAGGGCCAAAGTAACTAAGCAACCCACCTATCAATCAAAAGGCAAACACTGGCTAACGATTAGGCATCCTTGTGAAGAGAAGAAAAAAAAACACACATAAAACGACCCAAAGTACACCAAACTAATACTTATCTTACATCCCAGAGGTCAGTCCACTCTCCCCACTCTGAGAGTGTTACTATGCTTAATAAACTTTTGCTTTGCTTTGCTGCTTTGTGTGTGTCATGTACAGTTCTTTGTTTGGGACACCAAGAGCCTGGAAATGCATGGCACCATCTGGCAAGAATTAGGATTTTTTTCCTAAGGGTTAACAAACCAAGCCTTTGGAGAGACTTGCTTCACTACTGTTATCAACCAACAGCCTGATGCTTTCCCTCCCTTTTGTGGTTTTGACAAAAAAAGCAAGCAGCATTCCCTCCTGATAAGAGACCACCGACCCAGGAATGATTCTGGCCAGACTACGGAGGATGTACAGTGAGGGTTTTCATGTCCATTGCCTCAGATTTTGACGTCAGAGGGCCACAAACTCCACTCTCAGATGATTGCTAACGCCACCATTTTATGAACATGGGCCCCATGGAGAGGCATGCAGCTCAACTGCACATCTGCACATTTTCATTTTATAAATATTCATATTGGAATATTATTTGGTACTGCTCCCGTGAAAGACACATTTGCAGAATGGACTCAAATTAGAAGCATTATATAAGCACTATAATGTAGCAATGGCGCATCCAGCTCTCTACACTATAGAAATGTCTGCAGTGTAGACATTTCCACAATGACCAAAGATATCTGTACAAGAATGGTGACTGCAGCATTCTTTGTAATCCTAAAACCATGAAACCAACATCATCTCAAAAACATTTTTTTTTTTTTGAGATGGGAGTCTCACTCTGATACCCAGGCTGGAGTGTAGTGGTGCAATCTCAGCTCACTGCAGCCTCCACCTCCCAAGTTCAAACGATTCTCCTGCCTCAGCCTCCTGAGTAGCTGGGATTACAGGTGTGTGCCACCATGCCTGGCTAACAAAAACATTTTGAAAAGGGTTAAATAAATCATGCACAGACTGAGGAAAAATACTGTTTTCAAAAATGATGGAGAGGATCACTATCATGATGAAAGATTCCACTGGTCACATTATTGATAGAGCAATCAGGAAACCCAGGCACATCCTGGAGGTAATACTGGACTCCTATTACTAAAATATGAAAAAATGGAGGCACGTGAATTACTTGTTTAAGCGTATAAGGGACTGAATTAGAATTTTATCACACCAGAAGTGGGTTCCTAGGTCTCTGTTTCAGGATTCCTAAGTTACACAGGTGTAAACCCGGCATTTCAGGAGATAGCCGGTTAAGAATCTGGTCGGGGAGGTGGGCGGCCCTTGACATGGATCAGTCATAAATGAGTGGCTTGGGACTTCGGGAAGATAAAATCTTCCCCATTTACCTAGTGATTGACAATGCATGAATGCTTCAAAAGTTCCAATAAGCGTCCCTGGGTGGGCTCGAACCACCAATCTTTCGGTTAACAGCCGAACGCGCTAACCGATTGCGCCACAGAGACAAGCGCTTCCGCTTCTACTGGTGATATGGGAAGGGCCCACTCACTGAACTAACTCCCTTCCCTCTACTCCCAGAGCCCGCCCGGCAGGACCACCGAGCAAGGCCTTGGAAAACCAGAGAGATTAGAGCGGTGAGTCGCGCCGGTCACGTTGGACGCCTGCGCGTTAGGAGATTCTGGAGCCAGAACAGCGGAATTGCCTTCGCCCGCCCTGCCCCTCGCCTGCTTCAGAAGCTTCCAGGAACTCCCGGGTCGGCGACCCAGCCCGAGCCGCCTGGGGCCCCAAGGGAAGCTGAACGCCCTGTGGGCTCCTGGGATGGTTCTTCCCGTTCTTTGCGCCGCCTTCACCCATTGAAGAGCCTGTGCCCACCCTGCCCAGTCGCTCTCGGGGCCGCGGAGGAGCTTCCGCTGCCATCTTCGGATCCTGTGTTCCGCACGGGGGCTCCACCAGGGCAGGGATGGTGGTGAGGGTCGCTCGTGGGTCCCCTCGGGGGGAGCAGGGTCTGGCACTCACCAGGGCTCACGACTAGGACTTGTCGAATGAATTCATTGTCGCCTTTAGCTTTTAGTCCTTTGAAGAGCCCTGAGAGCGGAAATCAACAGATTTTTTTCCATGGGGAAGTTCTTTTTACAAATCGTTGATTTCTCAGTACCCTGCAGGGCGGGAAACTGGCAGGGCCTCCGGCGCACCTTCTGCGCGGTGGAGCCGCGGGGCTCAGCTGGGCCGTGGTCCGGCCCTGGGGCCGTAGGGCGAGAGCAGGTAAAGGGAAAAGCAAAAGCTGGGAAAGAAGCCCGGGAGCGGTGGACCAGACATCCAGACCTCCTGAAAGGCGCATGCAGAGGCACAGGCGGGATCTTCTGGAAGTGAGAATTGTTTTTGTTTGTTTATTGTAGCAGAATGGGGAAATGGAGAGAGAACCTGAAAGAGCCCCAAACTCGAGGACCTATTGCTCCCCAAGAATAACATCTTCCAGAAGAACTAGACAGAAAACTAGGCGTCTGGGAACTCTGAAATCCTTGGAGGAGTAGCATCATCATGACCCTCTGTGTTCCTTTTGGCAAAGGACTTGCTCCCATTGTTTGCTTGTTCCATTGTCTGTCTGTTAAATAAATAAAACCCTTTTCATATATCTTTAAACTTACGTTGGTTTTATCATTTTATGATTACAAGTAATGCTGCAGTCATCATTCTTGTACACTCTCATTGGCCACTGGTGTATTTCTATAGGGTGGAGGCCTGGAGAGTAGTTGTTCCAGCATAGTGTTTACATAGCTTTTATTTCATTCCGTTTTCTTTCCTTTGTTGCTTTATTAGCTATAACCCTTTTCTTATTTAAGAGGCTGCTTTAGGGTTTCCGGGATACATCTTTAATTTATCATAGTCTGCTTTCTAGTGTCATTATGCCTCCCTTTCTGGCCTTTATCCTAGTGTTATGTAGTTTTACTTTATGCACTATAAGCTTTGTGATTCATTATTACTTTTATTTATTACGTCAAATATTTTTTGAAAGATTTAAATTATAAGAAAACGTGTAGTACATGTTTTCTAAATGCCATTTCCAATATTCGTTTCTTTGTGTAGGCCCGCATTTTTATCTGGTATCCTTTTGCTTCTGCCTGGAGGACTCTTAAGATTTCTTGCAGCATGGGTTGGTGAATTCTTTTAGCTTTTGTATTTTTTCAATGTCCTTATTTCACTCACAGTTATGAAATTTTATTTTTGCATAGAATTCTAGATTAACTTTTTTTCTCTAGGTACTTTAAAAATGTTGCCATTTATGAAGCATTGTCATTTAAAATATCATCTTTCTTTCCTATGTTTGTAAATATGGCGTAAAGCCGGTTTCTTGTGCTGGTTATACAATTTTCAGAATGTGTATTTAAATTTAAAATATTAAATTGTACTAAAAAACTAAAAATATTAATCATGAATGTCCTAGATTCATCTTAAGTTCCAACAGTACACTTAAAGTGTGCCCAACCTGAGGGTCAAATCTACTTGCTGACATGGAATTTGTGTTTGTGAGAGCCTAGTGATTTTCCTTACATCTGAATGTCTTCATTGCAAAAGGAAACGTTTTTCTTTGCCAAAATACTTTAAAATATTCTTACTTCAATTAAGTGCATTAAAAACAAATTTCTCAGTTGCATCCCTGAAATCCATCAAAAGCCCGGGAGAGACAATCAAGTGCTTCAGGATCAAGAGCTAAACAGGGGAGGACAAAGCGGGGCTCCTTCACTAGGAGTCAAGCCAAAGTCAACTGATTTGGTCTCCAATGGAGAACAGAACTTGGTTCACCAGCGACGTGAGGACGCGGCCCAGAGGAGGCGGACTTTCTCTTCATGGTGCCTTCAGATAGGAAATCTAGGATTTTCTTTCTTTCCCTTTGATCTACTTCCAACTCTCCCTTTCTATTTCTTCAAGAACTTTTTCGGATCCCTAGCTGGGAAGGACCTAAGGGGCCAGTGCCCTTCCCTACTGGTCCCTCCTTGACTGGGTGTCTTCGGAGCCCAAGCTCACCCTGAACATTACTGCCCGCTTCAGACAGTGAGAGGACCAAGGAGGGCGGTGGGTGCGGTGGGAACCACAGAGTCACCGCGCACCTGCATCCGTGAGCTCCTAGCAAATTGAATAAATGCCCCCTGAAGCTTCTCTGCAGGTCAGAGGGAAGGGGAGGGTGGCTGCTGACCCGGCAGGAGAAGCTTCAAGAAGCATCGGGAGGACCTGGCCCTGCCCCTGGGCCTTGAAGACAGGCCTGGCCAGACTGATTTTGATGGGGAGGCCCAAAGAAAAGGTTCGAGGGCGGCCCAAACCCCTACCCCGAGATTAAGGCTCTTAAGTGTCTGACGGTTTTGAGAATCGTCAGTAGAATCTATCCTGCCTGTATCAGGAGACTCCTTTGCCAAAATTCAGAGACCAAGAAAGAGAAAGATTGGGCAGATCAAAATCTGTAATTAACCAAACAGGAAACATAAGTTTTCTGACAAATTGGATGTGTGCTGTGAGAAAAAGACTAGCCTCAAGGAGAACCTGGTTTTTTGGCTTGAGTATAGGGAAGAATGGAGTTGCCACCAACAATGTTGCATTGAAACGGCCGATGCATCAGGCTGTAGATGTGAAGGAATTAAAAATATTTGACCCCAAACTACATTTCTTTGACATATTTTGAGATGTCTGTTCAGAAAGCCAGCTGCAGAAGTAGCCCTGCAAAGTTGTCTTTTGTTGGGGAGATTTGCATCTGTAGGGAATCTGCATTGATACAGCCAAGTCTTTCCTTGCCCAGATCTAGGAAAGATTAACTGAGAGTCTGACACATGTAAAGGTCTGAAAGAAATTTTTAGGGTTTATTCTCTCTGAGAGCTGCTAACTGTAGGGTTTCATTTACATATTAAGACCACCTTTGCTAGCCAAGCCTCCTCTTCTCTCCCTACCATCACTTATCTTGTCCACAATAATTGGATATACCTCTGACTCTGATTGCACCTGGTTTTGGCCATGCTTTGAGCCCTCATTCATTCTGTTACCTCAAGATGGTATATAAGCTTCTGCATCCCATTGTGGGTAGGGGAGGGTAATCACTCTGTGACTCTCCCCATGCACATGTTAGTACATTTTATGCCTTTTTTCCAATTAATCTGCCTTTTGCGACTTGATTTTTGAGTGAAACTTCAGAGGGTTAAGAGGGAGGGTTTCCATTGGCCCCTACAGTTTTGGAGCTGTAAGCAGGATAGGAAAGCTCTGCTCTTCTGGAAGCTGCAGTGAAGAACCCAGGATCTGATCAGCTGTCATAAGGGTAAGAATTTTTTTACCAGCCAGGCTCCTGGCCTCCTTCTCTGTGTGGAATCTCATCAAGTGGACAGTAAAAATCACTGTTTCTTTCTTTTCCCTCTCCAAAATCTTGATTAATTGGAGAAAAGGATTTGTGTGACTAGTCTTGGGTGTAGTGACTCTGGTGTGCTTTTTGGTACTTTGTGGTACCAATTCCTATTGTTTAATCCCTTTGTTCCCAGAAATTGTCTGTTCCTTTGTCTTTGTCTCTATGTGTTATTCTGTCATAAAAGGGGGTACCGGTTGAGGTTCCTTCTCATCTTATTTTATGTCCTTGAGAGCTTGACTTGTGAGCAAGTGGGAGCGCTTTCTCTTGGTTTCCACTATCTGGAAAGAGGCAGTAACTATCAGGTCATACTAGGTGGCCTGTCTGAAAATGGCTGGGAACCCCAGCACACTTTTTGTTCTGACCATGTCAAGCTCTTGGGGTTTGTCTTAAGAAGTCCCATCCCTTTGAGGCTTTTGTCATCTCAATTCTTGTTGCCTGGTTAGTCCTAGGAAAGCTCAATCCCAAGAGGGCCTACCTGGTATTATAGATTCAGAGGTCTGTGACTGGAAGCCCCCATAAATATCTGGGTTACTGGAGGCCAACATCATCCTTACCCATCTGTGGTCTACTCCTTGCATTGAACTTTTTTCTTGCAGGGGAATCTTTGGGATTGCTTCTTCTTTGCCCTTCCCAGGAGGTTAACCTGGAAAATGACATCCTGGGCTTTCCACAAAGGGGCTATTTGGTTGAATTGCTATTGCAATAATTACACCATTGGAAATTCTACTTGCCAATGGCCTGAAGATGGATCCCTTAAATTAGACACCTGAATTAAAAAAAAAAAAGATTTTAGAGATCTCTTATTTTAACAGTTCATAGGAAGATCAAATTAAAACAAACACACATAATAGTGTCATGGCTACCCTTAAAAATTCTCTTGACAATATTATGTGTGTTGTGTAGGGAAAAAAAATTCTCTTAACTAAATTAAAGAGCAAAATTTGACCCGAAACAAAGTTAAAATTCTTCATAAGCTCAAACTGCCTGCTCTGGATCCCTTCCAGGATGCACAATAAAGTCTGCTCTACCTTGCAGTTCAGTGCTTAAAGTTCTGTGTTTTGCTGCCATAGCCTGGGGTCGATTTCCAGTCAGGAAACCAGTTTATTTTGGCTTGATATTTGTGTGACTTTTGACTTTTTGGAATACCCATTTATTGATCCTTTTCCCTTTCACGGGCAGCTTTTGTTTGTTTGTTTGTTTATTAATACAGAGTCTCACCCTATCACCCAGGCTGGAGTGCAGTGGCGAGATCTTGGCTTACTGCAACCTCCGCCTCCCAGGTTCAAGTGATTCTCCCACCTTGGTCTCTCAAGTCGCTGGGATTACAGTCACCCACCACCACGCCTGGCTAATTTTTGTATTTTTAATAGAGACAGGGTTTTGTCATGTTGGCCAGGCTGGTCTTGAGCTCCTGACCTCAAGTGATCTGCCTGCCTCAGCCACCCAAAGTGTTGGGATTATAGATATGAGCCACCCCTCCTGGTTGTTGGCAGCTTTTGATTTCCTGTCCTTCCAGCTTCCAAAGTTTCTGATGAGAAATCTGTTGATAATCTTATTAAAGATTTCTTGCATGTGACCAGTTGCTTTTCTCTTACCAATTTAAAGATTCTCTTTGACTTTTGAAAGTTTGATTATAATGCGTTTTGGTGTAGGTCTCTTTAGGTTTATCTTACTTGGAGTTTGTTAGGCTACTGTGTTTGTATTCATGTCTTTCATCAAATTTGGGAAGTTTTCAGCCATGATTTCTTCAAATATTCTCTATTGCCCTTCTCTCCCTCTTCTTTAGAAATTCCACAATGCAAGGCTGGGAGCAGTAGCTCATGCCTGTAATCCCAGCATTTTGGGAGGCCGAGGCGGGAGGATCACCTGAGGTCAGGAGTTTGAGACCAGCGTGACCAACATGGAGAAATGCCGTCTCTACTAAAAATACAAAATTAGCCAGGCATGGTGGTGCATGCCTGCAATCTCAGCCTCTTGGGAGGCTGAGGTGGGAGAATTGCTTGAAACCAGGAGGCAGAGGTTGCGGTGAGCTGAGATAGCGCCATTGCATTCCAGTCTGGGCAGCAAAAATGAAACTCCTTCCCCCCTCCCACCCCCCAAAACAACAACAACAAAAAAGAACTTCCACAATGTACATGGTGGTCCACTTGATGGTCACTTAGGCTCTGTTCACTTTTCTTCAATCTTTTTTTATTTCTGTTCCTCAAACTGGATGATTTCCATTGCCTTATCTTCAGGTTCACTGATTGTTTCTTCTGCCTGCTCAGCTTTCTTCAAATTTGACTTTGAATCCATCTAGTTAATTTTTTACCAAAGCAGCAACTATTTCGGAAAAGCCTCCTTCATATTGCAGCCATTGGACATGATAATACATGGGATATGCTGCCATTTGTTGAGAATCATGTGAAAATTAAGCTTCTGCCCCATCACACTAAAGTTCCAGCCCTGAGTCCCCACGGTTTTCTCCCTAGGCTAAGATAGAAAGGAAGAACATGAAATGTGCAGAAAGCATTCTCTTAAGCAAACATGTATAACTTGCCTAAATTGTAATTATTTCCCGGAACAGGATGCACCTCTAACCTCTACAGGCAGATCATAGATTCCATTGTCCAGCTGTATAATGAATTCTTCTTCTCAGAGAAGAATACCAGACACTCTCCCTGGCTTGCCTGAATCAAATTTCCAGAAGTAATCGGTGAAAGGCCACAATATGAAGTCTCTCTCAGATGAGTTCCTTCTCTTGTCACATCCCACAGTAGAAACAAAAGAGGACGGGGAGGCCAGAGCTGCTCAAAGCCTTATAACCCACAATTCTCATAGTTATTCTCAACTTAGAGAGGGCTGCTTTCTAGATGCTCCCCCTCCAGGCCTGCAGACTGCCAGGCTCCAGGAATAAGTAGCTCTGAGAAGTCTACTATTTAGCTGCGAGCCACACTCCCCTATTGCAAATTGGAGAAAGGAAGGACAAACTTAAAAGGTGAAAAGATTTAAGAGAACAACATGGTGAAACCCCATCTCTACTAAAAATACAAAAATTAGCCGGGCGTGATGGCATGCGCCTATAGGCCCAGCTACTCGGGAGGCCGAGGCAGGAGAGTCATTTGAACCCAGGAGGCGGAGGTTGCAGTGAGCCAAGATTGTGCCACTGCACACTAGCCTGGGTGACAGAGCAAGACTCCATCTCCAAAAAAAGAAAAAAGAAAGAAAGAAAGAAAGAAAGATTTAAGAGAACAATTATTTTAACTGAATACATTTTGTCAAGATTAAATCAACTTTCCCCTAGAGTACTGAAAGAATAAGCAATCATAATTTAGATTCTAAGTTACTGGTCTTTGAGAAAGTGTGAAAACCAAAAAGGTGCCACAAGCCAAAAAAGGAGCAAAAGTCCTAATTTTCAAACTGATGAAAATAAAGTACTAAAAAATGGAAATCATCATAGTTCATCTTGATCCTTGGCAAAATACAAATGTATCGATTCAAATTATAATATCTTAGCTACCCTATTGTGCGTAGCTCTTACCAATGAGGAGAAAAACCAAACCCAAACAAAAGTGTGTTCAAGTTGGCAAAAATGTTTACAAGCCTGCAAAATCTCTTCAGCCTATCCCTTAAACTCCAGACTTGGTATTTATTAAGTTCTGCTCTGTACAATACCCACCTTAATATCCATTCTTGCACAAGTTCTGTTAGGTATAAGCCAAGATGACATGAGATTTTTTTTTTTTTTTTTTTTTTTTTTTTTACCCTCTCATGCCTATGTTTGCTTTTGCTTCCAAAGACCCTTCTGAGTAAGGACTATCCTCAGACTACTGGAGTCATTTAGTCACAAGCTTGCCTGAGGCTCAGAGCTGGCAATACCTGGGAGTTTACGTCAATCCCACAGCACCCAGCAACCCTGCCTGCAAAATATTTACCATGATTGACAGGTGCAGGTGTATGAAAGCCCAGCTCCTTGACTTGAGGGGCACCTTTGTGGTGAATTAGGTTTGGGAAAAGGGAATCCAGAGGCCAACTTTGTAAAAATGCAGATAGATAAATAGAAAGAAATCTTTGCCTTGGAAGTCCAGTTGAGAAAGAGAGTGATTTACTTGAGACTCTGAAAACAGAGACTAAAATCTTTACTTTCTCATGGGAAAGAAGCCTATGGTGAAAGAGAAACAAAGAGAAAGGTAGGAAATAGGGTGGGTCTACTCCGTAGCTTTAAACCACTCTGTCATATTATAAAGCCTGGTGAGGTTTTAACTAACACAAGTGCCTGGACTCTACACATAGAGATTCTGATTTAAATGCTTCCAGGTGGGTGGAAGCCACTAGTAGTCTTAAAAAGCTCCCAAGTAATTTTACCATGTGGCTAGAGATGAAAAGGACAATCTGTCTACTAGAATCTCAAGTAACCAGTATTGAAGTGCCCCAAATGTGCAGCTACCTCATAGAAAAGGCTTAACAGCACCCATTGATGGAATTTGCCTTCCTCTCTCCGTGGTCTTGTCTGCATAGCGTGGAAATAGAGAAGAGATAAAGAGGTAGATGGAGAGATTGGACCTGTAATTTGCCTATGTAGAGTAGTTTCTCAAACTTTTCTGACCACAAGACGCAGTGAGAAATATACAATTCTTTGTGATCAGTTTTTTTTTTTCTTTTTTTGAGATGGAGTCTTGCTCTGTTGCCCAGGTTGGAGTGCATTGGCGTGACCTTGGCTTACTGCAAGCTCCGCCCTCCCGGGTTTACACCATTCTCCTGCCTTAGCGTCCTGAGTAGCTGGGACTACAGGCACCCACCACCATGCCCAGCTAATTTTTTTTTTTTTTATTTTTAGTAGAGACGGGGTTTCACCGTGTTAGCCAGGATGGTCTCAATCTCCTGACCGCGTGATCCACCTGCCTCAGCCTCCCAAAGTGCTGGGATTACAGGCATGAGCCACCGCGCCTGTCCTGTGATCAGTTTTTAAAAAATCTTTTACTATGTGTAATCCACCCTACCTAGAATTTAAATAAAGCCTGTAGTAATAAGCAGTCCACTATATTGATTTCACAACCCCTAAGTGGTTCAGAATTGCAATTAGAAAATTTTTACTTTTGGCCGGGTGTGGTGGCTGGAGCCTGTAATCCCAGCACTTTGGGAGGATCACTTGAGGTTGGGAGTTTGAGACCAGCCTGACCAACATGGAGGAACCCTGTCTCTACTAAAAAAAAAAAAAAAAAAAAAAAAAATTAGCTGGGCGTGGTGGTGCATGCCTGTAATCACACCTACTTGGGAGGCTGAGGCAGGAGAATTGCTTGAACCCCAGGGGGTGGAGGTTGTGGTGAGCTGAGGTTGCACCATTGCACTCCAGCCTGGGAAACAAGAGTGAAACTGTCTAAACAAAAAAAAAAAAAAAAAAGAAAAGAAAAGAAATAAATTTTTACTTTTGCTCAGCCTTTTTATCAAGCAAAATCCCAAAAGAACATTTACTATAAACATCTTTCTGTGAATCCTTATTTCTGTCCCAGCCACCATGACCCAATAATCTCTAGAGCCTGTTAGTGTTCTCCAGATTGAAGCCTTCCCTCTAACTGCTCCTAAACTCTGTGATGTAGTGGAAAAGGTTTGAGGACTTGATTCCCATCCCAGATTTTTCACCTACAGATCATACGGCCTTAACCTCTTGACACCATTGTCTCCTTATGGCCAAAGATGGAACTGTACTTGGGTGGTATCTGAGCACCCTGTTGGCTTTGACATTCTAGGGCTCTTCCCTTGTCACCACTCTCTTATTTAAAAGGAATAGGATGTGGACTTAGGAGGGTTATTTCTCTGCAAACTATCCTCTCTTTCTTACGACAAGCTATTCCTGAATGTGCATATTTGAGGCTAAGCAAATCCCTTCCTGGGAGGTTGAAAGACCCTTATTTCTCTCCAGAGGAGTATTATGGAGAGTCAATTGATGCTGAGGAGGTGGTAGAGACCTAGCGAACTCAACTGCAGTGGCTTTGAGCAAGGCTCTTAGAATCATAAGGTGGGTGGGGTCCTGTGTCCTACACCACACGCCAGCTGGTTCACTTCAGGAGACTTTTTTTTAATCTATTATTACTATCTTCTTCTAGACTGTAGTTCACTACTGGAGATTATCCACTTAGTTGCACTCAGTTTGCACCTGGCCTGTATCACCAGTCAGCTCTCACTCCAGCCTCAGGTATCAGCAAGACCTCACCAAAGATTATTGTTTAATTGTATGTGTGTGTGTTTTTGTTTGTTTCGGGTAACAACTAATGTTGGAACTATGAAAAACTCTTCTCTACTTTTAACAAAGCTTAGTCACAAACAGTTCCCCAGTTGATGAGAAAAACTAAAACAACAGAACAATTGAAAGTCTGAATCTGCAAGTTCATCTCTGAGAACCGAATTTTACAGCCACTCCAGATTTGTACTCCAAATGGATAGTTTGACTGTAGAAATCACATCCCTTCAGTCTGCCAATGTGATAACTGCCCAAGAGAGAGTGATGCCTACATTCATAGATAATCCCCTTTCCCCCATCCTATATATAACTGGAGTCAACAGCAGCTGGAGGAAAATGGCAAGAACTTGGAATCAAGATTAGCTTAGAATAACACTGCTGTAGACGGTTTATCAGCTCTTCAGCATATGTCCGTTTTCCTTGAAGGATGAGCCTTTAGAAACCTCTGACAATAAAGTTTATTTTACACCCATTCCCTTGCCTATGATTTTTTTCATACAAATCACAATTATTAAACTTTCTTGCTCCAGCTAAAAGCAGGAAACTCAATCAGAATGTGTTCACTAAATATATACCACAGAATGATAACAACCAGTCTGAATGCATCACTTGATTCCAAAATTAAATGTTAGCCCTCAGGGGTGCAACTACATGTATCTCCAACTCTGGAAGCCACAGGCAACATATTCCTGTTTCCTTGCAGGGAAACAGATCTATAAGCAGGGCGGCAGTCTGACACATGTACATTCCTGGGAAACCCAAGGAAACAATGATAGTGACGCAGGGCAGGCAAGCCCCCAAACTGAAAGAGTTTTGCTAATGTCGCGATTGGCTTTCTATGTTATTTGAAGACTGAGATCTCCATGAGGAGTGAAGATAGGTAATGCCTAAGGCTGAGGCATGACCTCACTGGGTCACCTTAGCTGTGAAGTGAGGTCAGTTGTCACCTTGCAAACCTTTTGGTAATCCAAATCTTGGAATGATTTCTTTAAGAATTTAGACACTTCCAGTACTTTTCCTGTCCTTGTGGGGAAAGCTTCTATCCACCTGGTGAAAGTGTCTATAAATACTAGCAAATCTTGTACTCCCCTGTAAGGTGGCATCTGGGTTAAGTCTGTCTGCCAGTCTTCACCATGGTATGTTCCTTGGTGTTGTACAGGTTTAAGCAGGGATCGGGGTATGGGGTGGCTTCCTGAGTGGTAACCCTTTTTATAGTTTGGAACAGTCCCTTCCGCAAGAATATTTAGGAAACTAATTTAAATGGAAAATCCTGTCCCAAATGTGAGGAATCATGAAAATGTTTAATTATTTCCCATTTGTCAGCCTCAGGAATAGAGTTTGTTCTTTTCTAGCAACCATCCAGAGGGGTCTCCCTGGAAGCCTTTTACTCAGTCCCTTTAATTTCCTTAGGGGTATAGTATGGTGTCACTGACACGGATGCAGTACCTGGTAGTAGCGCAGCAGCCTGAAATACCAGGGTTTCCTTAGCTGTGGCCTTAGCTGCTCTTTCCACCAGGGAATTTCCTCTAATAATAAAAGTGTCTCCCTTCTGGTGTCCCCTGCAGTGAGTAATTGTTATTTCTTTGGGAGTTGGACAGCATCTAAAAGTTCCAAGATCTGAGTAAAGTTGTGTGGGGGATCCCTTGGCTCTTGATAGTCCCCTTTCCTTCCCTATGGCTGCATGAGCATGGAGCACCAGGAACCCATATTTAGAGTCAGTCAACACATTGACTCTTGAGGTTTTGGTTTTCTTCTTCTTTTTTTGAAACGGAGTCTTGCTGTGTCGCCCAGGCTGGAGTGCAGTGGCATGATCTCAGCTCACTGCAATCTCAGCTCACTGCAAACTCAGGGATTCTCATGCCCCAGCCTCCCAAGTAGCTGGGATTACAGGCGCACCCCACCACACCCGGCTAATTTTTGTATTTTTAGTAGAGACGGGGTTTCGCCATGTTGGCTAGGCCGGTCTCGAACTCCCAACCTCAGGTGATCCACCCACCTTGGCCTCCCAAAGTGCTGGGATTACAGGCGTGAGCCACCGTGTCCAGCTTAAGTCTTTTCATGGTTGGAAGGCCCTAATTAGAGCAGCTAATTCTGCTTTTTGAACAGAAGTCTGAGAAGGTAAACCCTTGGCCTCAATGACTTCTTGTTGGCTAAGCTTCCTTTCTTACTCCCTCATGAATATAGCTATTTCCATCTCTAAACCACTCAACATTTGGGTTAGACAACAGCTTGTCTTCAAGGTTGGGCCTTCTAGAGTAGAGCTCTTCCGTGGTTTCCACACAGGAGTCAATGAGTTTGGGATCTGTTTCTTGAGATGTGAGGTGCAGCAACAGAGTAGCAGGGTTTCAAAATCAGGATACTTTCAGGGTAACATCTGGGGTGTCAAGCAGAAGGGTCTGATATTTAAGTAACTGGCTCCCTGTTAGCCATTGGTGTACTTTTGCCTCTAGGACCCTCTGTACTGTACTTCATGGGGTGGCAGGGGGTGGGGGTGGGGTGGTATGGCATGTAATTTTTGTCCCAAGGTAAACTTACTGGTTTCTTCTAACAATAAAGTGATGGTAGCCACAGATCTCAAGCTTCCTAGTCACCTAGCTGCCACCTGGTCTAGCTGTTTAGAGAAATAAGCCACTGGTCCAAAGCAATTCCTCAGCCTTTGAATTAGAACATTTGAAGCTGTCCCTTGTTATTCATCCACATAGAGGGTGAAAGGTTTTTCTAAGTTCGAGAGTCCTGAGGCAAGGGATGTCCCTGGCTTTTCTTTTAAGGCTAAGAATGCCTTTTGACAGGTTCCAAGCTCCGCCTCCTGGGTTCACACCATTCTCCCGCCTCAGCCTCCTGAGTAGCTGGGACTACAGGCGCCCGCCACCACAGCCAGCTAATTTTTTTGTATTTTTAGTAGAGACGGGGTTTCACCGTGTTAGCCAGGATGGTCTCGATCTCCTGACCTCCTGATCTACCACCTCGGCCTCGCAAAGTGCTGGCATTACAGGCGTGAGCCACCGCACCCGGCCAACAAGTTTTTTTTTAAATGAACAGAGCATCAGTGAATGACAGTGCAAGTTTAAGACACCTAATAGACAAGTTAAAGGAGTCCTCCAGGCAGAAGGAAACTGACACCAGATGAAAATCTGGATGAAAAAAAAAAGACACTAGAAATGACATGTACATAGGCAAATATATAATTTTAACATCTGACTGTTTAGCCGGGCACGATGGCTCACGCCTGGAATCCCAGCACTTTGGGATTCAAGGAAGGTGGATCACTTGAGGTCAGGAGTTTGAGACCATCCTGGCCAATATGGTGAACCTTCCTCTCTACTAAAAATTCAGAAATTAGTCCGATATGGTGGCCCAAGCCTGTAGTCTCTGCTACTCAGGAGTCTGAGTCAGGAGAATCGCTTGAACCCGGAAAGCAGAGGTTGCAGTGAGCCAAGACTGTGCCACTGCACTCCAGCCTGTCCGATAGAGTGAGACTCGTCTTAAAAACACCACCACCAGCAACAAAAAAACAAAAATAAACAAACAAACAAAAACACATCTGACTCTTGAAACAAAAGTAATAGAGATGGATTGTAAGGTTTATAACAGGTGTAAAGTAAAATGCATGACAATAGCATAAAGGCAGGGGGAGGAGTCATGGGAAGAGGTATGATGCCACTTGAAGGCAGACTGTGATGGGTTAATTTTTGTGGAAAGCAAGGCAGAATTTTTGAAGTTTGTTCCTTCAAATACTTTCCGTTTCCCGTACATACAAGCTAGTTTGTTCTGCAGAGATCTCATTTTCTAGGAGGCTTGGAGGGGGACCTTCTGCTGTCTGTCCTCATGGGATGCACAAGACACAAGGGAACAGTCTTTCACTTTTAAATACATTGAAGGGTCTGAGGAGATAGATACAACTGCATTTTTTTTTTTTTAAATGAGGTGGGATTCTCACTGGTCTTGAACTTCTGAGCTCCGTGGAGGCTTCCCCTACTTCAGCCTATCAAAGCGTTGGGATTAATAGACGTGAGGCACTGCGCCTGGTCACAACCAACATTTAAAATCACGTCCCTGGGTGGTCTCTAACCACCAACCTTATGGTTAACAGCCGAACGCGCTAACCGATTGCACCACAGAGACAACCTCAATCGCTTGCTTTCATCTCTATATAGATTAAGCAATCACTAAACCCTAGGAGTTGCCATTCGCTTTCTGCGGGACAACTGTGCAGACTACAAAGCTTCAGAAAACCGGAGAGGCTGAGTCGACTAATCGTCTTGCTGCACGTTAGAAACGCGTGCATTGCGTGACTCTGAAGCCAGAAGGGCGGCCGAATGGCCTTCACCCTGCGTTCACCCTCGCCTGCTTCAGAAGCCAGTGCCTCTGGAAATGCCTGGATCTGCGACCCCAGCCTGAGCCAAGTAGGGCCCAAGGGAAGCTGAACTCCCCGACGGCTCTCACGGTAGCTCTTTCTGTTCTTTTGCGCCGCCTTCAGGCAATCATCTGTTCCGCTTGCTCTCCCTTCACTCAACTCGGCTTCAGTAGATGGGGTCGGTGGGGCGGGAGCGGGAAAGAGGCAGGGGAGTCAAAAGGGAAAACGTGACAAGGAGGAGGGAGAAGCAGGGGAGACCAGGACTAGACAATGGGACAGCCCAGGATGCCCGTGCAGAGGGCACCGGCTGGATGCAGAGAAGATGGGACATGTATCAGAATGGAGAGGGGGAAATGGGGAGAAGATGTGAGAGAAAATCACAAGAACCTGTAGCTGCCCAAGAATAAAGAAGTAAAAATCGCATAATGTTTTTACATTAATAAAAAAAATCGGGGGACCAGGGGCGGTGGCTCACGCCTGTAATCCCAGCACTTTGGGAGGCCGAGGTGGGTGGATCACTCACTTGAAGTCAGGAGTTCGAGACCAGCCGGGCCAACATGGTGAAAGCTCGTCTCTACCACAAATACAAAAATTAGCTGGGCGTGGTGGTGCACGTTTGTAGTCTCAGCTACTTAGGAGGCTGAGGCAGGAGAATCGCTTGAACCTAAGAGGCGGAGGTAGCAGTGAGCCGAGATCGTGCCGCTGCCCTCCAGCCTGGGCGACAAAGCGAAATTCTGTCTCTCAAAAAAATATACAAATAAATAATAGAGGGGTGGGGAAGCAAAACGACGGGCAGTAGGTGTGGGGCGCCTTGGGATTCTCTAGTGGTTAGTAGTCTGCGTTGTGCCTGCAGCAACCTCTGTTCTAATCGGAATCCTGGTACAGTCAGACTCTATCTTGGACCCACTGGGGCGAACCCACGTGTCTTTTGGTTTGCTTTTGATTCCTGCACCAGCTGAGGCCTTTATCTGCAGCCAGAAAGCCGGAAAGCAGGGTTTACCCCTGGCCCCACAGCGCCATACTGTCTGGGGAAAAGAAGGAAACCCAAGAGTACACAAACAGTGGCCCAAAGAGAAACCTTCCAAGTGCTCTATGCCTCACCGTTTAGCAGAAAATATCAAGCAACTCTCAATCTAGCTGGTCTGTACCTTCCACGAATGAAATAATGTATTTATTGCAGTCTTTCTGGTTGAGATATTTCAAATATTTGGTGGAGCTTTTACTGAGAGAGAGAGACACTCTCGAGTGTGGAAGAAAAAAAAGAGGGGATGTGAAGATGAGGCGACTTTAGGACAGAAAAAAAAAGAGACAAGGAAGCCATGTAAACGTTTTCGGGTGGGCGTGAGGCGTTGTCAGTCTTGAACCCCGTTATGTCAGGTAAAGAGCGCAGCCTCTTCTAGCACAAACACCGTTTCCCACATGGAGGAAATCACAGGGATCAGCAACTCTAGAGTGAGATGAAGAAGCTTCACTCTGGGAGAACCCCCTTCGTGACCACGGTCTCTCCCCTGCCAGGTAAGTGGAAATGAGCACATGGCCTGCAGGGACAGCACAGCCTCCTCGCCCTGGCCGGTCGCTCAGGGTCACCACCCTCCCCACTGCCGCCCCTCGCCATTCTTCCAAACCACTCTCCACCAAAGATTCCACCGACAGTCACCCCACAAGACAACCCAGGCCGCCTCTCAGCAGCGGCTCCCGCCCCGCAGCCACCGCGCCCTCTCACCCCCCCGCGGTTCTGCCCGCCGCCGCTGCCGAGTCTGCGCACTTCACCTCCCTGGCTCCCGCTCTCCCCTGAGCTTACAATGGACTCGGGGTTCTTCCGAACCCCTCTTGGGAGTACTGAATGGAAAAGGGGGAGCGTGCGCAAGTGCTTGGTAGAGTGTAGACGTCGTGGGATTTGACTGTGGTACCATCGCTTCGACGTCCTAGTGCTGATTTTTCCACCTGCCTTCTGCTTAGGGCACCGGCAGCAGTTTTCCATCTGTGCCTACTCCACCTGCTGTCCTTGTTGGGTCAGCGAACATCGCCTCCGTCTACCGCTCAATCAGCAAACGGGACCGCCCTCGAGGACCTCACCCGCCGCTTACCCCCCTAACAAATTCGCGGGCATCGCCTCCGGTCGCCTCTTCCCAAGGCCTAACGAGCGCCTTCGCTGGCAACGGAGGTGAGGAGGCTCCGCTGACTGGCTGGTGCCCGTGTCCGGGGCTGCCACAAACGCCACGACTTGGCTTGGCCTCTCTCTTAGTTATTCGCAGCTCAGCCCGATGGGCGTCTCCGGGGTGGCGACGGGAAAGAAGGTGGGCTTATTGGGTGCAGCTCCACGGGGGCTGGCATCTTTGCCGGGCTGTGTACACCGGAGCGAGACGCTCAGTCGCTCTCTAAAGCTGCTCCCGCGGATGACGGACACTGAGATAAACAGGAACGGTGTGTCGTGAGAGGTGGTCCACCAGCACTTGCCCTCCTTCGCCCGGCTTTAACCCCGCTGCGGAGACTGTTCTGCTTCTGGCCCTTGGAGCAGGCCGGCTGACAGCGTAGTGAAGGAAGATTCCTGCGGGAGGGCGGCCAGTGTAAAACAATTCCCTGGCCGGGAATCGAACCCGGGCCGCGGCGGTGAAAGCGCCGAATCCTAGCCACTAGACCACCAGGGACACACAGGAGGGAGCTTTGTCTCCCTTCTTCTGTCAGAAGCGACAGCTTCCCTGAGCTCTGGGAGGACTTGGGCCTTGTGAGGGTCGCTCTTTGCTCCTGGAGTCTCTCACAAGGCCATTCCCTCCCTGCTTTCTTCAAAAAAAGAGCCTGCAAGCGACACACCGAGGGCTCCGCGAGGGACACCGAGGCCACGAGTCCGGAGGCCTGGAGCGAGTTGCAGCGACCCGGCCGCAGCTCACCACTGAACTAGAGATGCGCCTTTGCGAGGTGGCAGCAAGTGACCAGCCGGTCGTGGGTCGCCAGGTCCGGAGCCGCGCACCAGGTTGCCAGGAGGAGGCGGGAGCGCGGAGGCGCCCAGGGTGAGACGGGGGCACCCTCTGCATCATAAAGGACCCAGACGCCAGCACCCTCAACATCATAAGGAATCAGACGGATGCGGAAACCGAGACGGGCTGGATGGGAAACTCTTTCCAGGAAGGCTCCGGGGCCCTCAGCTGGTCTCCGACCTTCCCCTGCAACCTGTGACACCTGCCATTTTCCCATCTTAGGCGATGGCAAAGCCACCCTTCCGTTTGCTCCGGGCAAAACTTCGAGAGTTCCCTCTGACTCTGGAGTTTTTTCCTCAGATCCAAGAGCCAACTGGTCATCAATTCGTAATTTCCCATCGGCTAAGTGCGTGGGCATTGAGCTACACGAGAGTCTCTCCACCTCTGCGGAATGGCTACTTCGGGGTAGGGGAGGGGCCCTCCCGTGGATTGTAAGGTGTTTAGCAGCAGCCGTCGCCTCTGCTGACTAGATACATGCCAGGGGGTTAGCATTCTCCCTCCCCGCTTCCCCCATTCGTGACCTAGTGTCCCAGCGTGGAGGTGAGAGGCGTGTAAGGGCGAAGTTGCCCCCTCTTGAGAACCACTGATGCGCGTTGTCCTGCTGTCTGAGCTTGTGCAGAGGACTCTCCAGATGAAGGCTCAGGGGTCCATCCAGCTTGAGACCCCCTCGCTCCCCCGCACAGTCAGACCTTAGGATTGGAGGCTTTTAACATCTCTACATCATGAGATTCGAAACCTTTAGGTCTTTTCTTCCGTTCTGTCCTCCAAATCAGCCTCTTCCGAGCCTGTTGACCAGGGCCAGCCAGGCAGAGGGCTGGGTTCGCTCAACGAGGCTCCTCTCGGCCCTCCTGGAGCTTCAGGCCTCTTTCGGTTGCAGAGAAGCTTTATGGGCCACTTCCTTCGGCATCCCCGGGGGCAGGTGCGCGGTGCCCGGGGAAGAAGAGGGTTTGACTGCGGTTCTCGACCCCCGGCGACCAACCTCCACCCCGGTGGGCGCGCTCTTCCAGGCTCCTGCTGGTCCCACTGGCCGGGAGTCAGGTCTCGGGTCAGCCTGAGCTCCAGAGACGCCCAGGCCCGGAAGGACACGTAGGGGAAACCAGCTGCTCACTTTGGTCTTGTCCGCAACGGACCTCTTGCTGCCAGGAAAGAAAGGCGTCGAGTCCTGTCCTGTTGGGTAGGCGGAAGAGCGATCAAAGGGAAGACAAGAAATATCCTGGGAGGTTTCAGGATCTAAAGTTACCATGAAGTCAACCTAACCTCCTCTGGAGGTCCTCCCAGTCCTCCCGTGGCTGGCGATGGTGAATCGAGTTTCCGTCTCCAGTTTGCCAAGGCAGACAAAGCCGACACAATGGGCCTGTCCACTATCTTCTTTCATATACACAAAATGTCAGCTCTTCCTGTTTCTAACTGGCAACATCCCGCCTGATGACCAGCTTAGCAAATTAGAGACTCTCCATGGGATTCCATCTGTGTCTTAGTTCGGGCTTCTCTAACACTGTACCATACATAAACTGGGTGGCTGATTCACAACAGAAATTGATTTCTCACAGTTCCGGAGGTTGGAAGTCCGAGATCAAGGTGCCGACATGGTAGGTTTATGGTGAGGGCCTTTTGTTCTGGTTGTAGACTGCCACCTCCTCATTGTATCCTCAGGGGGCAGAAAGAGGGCGAGAGAGCTCCCCGAGGTCCCTTTTATAAGGGCATTAGTCCCATTCAGACTAATGGGACTAAATCCAGACTCTGTGCTGAGTGTTGTGGATTTTTTGCATGTTCATCCTCCCCGCAGGCAACTGGAGATGTATTGTCCCCAGAGGGTACAATAGAGAATCTTCCGTCACAAGTCAGCAACCAGCATATGTGAGTGACAGCATGTGTCCCACTCAGAAATGAGAGTGTATTAGTCCGTTTTCACGCTGCTGACAAATACATAACATAGTCCGGGACGAAAAAGAGGTTTAATTGGACTTACATTTCCATATGACTGGGGAGGCCTCAGAATCATGGCGGGAGGCAAAAGGCACTTCTTACAAGGCAGCAGCAAGAGAAAATGAGGAAGAAGCCAAAGCAGAAACCCCTGAGAAACCCAGCAGATAGTGAGACTTATTCACTATCAGGAGAATAGCACAGGAAAGACCCGCCCCCATGATTCAATTACCTCCTCCTAGGTCCCTCCCACAACACATGGGAATTCTGGGAGATACAATTCAAGTTGAGATTTGGGTGAGGGCACGGCCAAACCATGTCAGAAAGGGATGAAGTGACAGCATATCCTGATGTGTGTGATGGTTTTATGAGTTATTACCTATTTCAAAAATTATTGCAATGTGTAAAAAAGAACAAGGACTTGTACTATCTGACTTTAAGGTTTACTATAAGCTATTACAGACGAGGCATCAGGAGTGACAAATAGATAAACAGACTGAGTTAAGAGACTTGAAACTGATCCACAGCTATACGGTCAATAAATGGGTTTTCAATAAAAGCAGTTCAATAAAAGAAAATAAATCATTTCAATTAATGGACTTTTATATGAATGTGGGGAGACCAACAATGTTATTCTCCCTCACACTACACACAAAAGTAATTTCAGGTACATTACACACCAAAACGTAAAAGTTAAAGATATAAAGCATTTCAAGGATAGTTTGTGACTTGTTGGTAGGCAAAGATCACCCTACCAACAAGCAGGACACAAAAAATACATATATAAGAAAGACATGATAAATGAGACTTCATCAACATTAGCCACACCTTCTCATCAAAAGATACCACTAAGAAAGTGAAAAGGCAAGCAAGTCACAGACAGAGAGAAAATAGCCACAAAACGTGTCTGACCTCCACACCCTGCAGTTATAATTATAGTGGTCTGGTACACTGCACGCAGTTTCTGCTGAATGGAGTATTTTCTGGGTGTCTCTAATGAGTAAGAGAGGGCCCCATGGGATATTCCTTCAGTTCCCAGGTGAACAGTGGGAAAGACTCCACGTTGACCAACCTCGGGGGCCTAAAAATCCAGGTCCTATAGGAGGGTAGAGTATACCTGGACCCTGACCCAGACCCCTGGATGGGCTGTGCCAAGAGACCCAGCAAGGGAAGGGATTTCCTCCTGCCTCAAGTTCTCTGTCCTTCTGTGGTTAGACGACCTGAACCCAACTCCCTCCCCAAGCACTGGAGATGGGCTTTTCCAAGGGCTGGGGATCTTGCTGTCCTGAGAACAGCTGAGCAAGGGGGTCAAGGAGGAGCTTGGGTGGTGGAGGAGAGGAAACCGGGTAAGATGCATGAAGCCGTTGGCTATACCAGGCACAGAGAGGACCCACTGGGACCCAACGGCCTGCATGTGAAGCCAGGCCTTGGGCCACCTCGTTCCTCAAAGGGGTGCTGACTTCCATGGGGTGTTCAAAGGGACTGTGGAAAGAGAGGCCTTCAGCCCACACCTCTGAATGCTTTTCGACCACAGCATGCCCTGTGGCCTTTATCCTGCTGGTGTGGAACAGTCAGAGCCCTGCAGGGCTGCAGAGCTTCTGTACTGGGCGGCATCCCAGCCTGAGTGTCAGAGCTCAGAGAGCAGGCACCGGAGCAAGTAGAGAGGAGGGCACCTTTGGACACAATGTGTGGGACAAGAGCGACGGCTCATCCATTCAGGTTCCTCAGAAAATGAGAGTCAGGAAGATGAGGGCGCAGACCTGATTCCCTACACAGGGCTGAAAGCAGACAACCGGAGGAAGAGCAGCACCTGGGCCAATGAGGTAGAAGACAGAAGACCACAGTGTACTCCTGCCCTCAATCTCACCCCTTCCCACCCACATCCTCCACGCCCCCTGATCACCTTCCTCAGAAGTGTAATAGGAATCCAGATTCCCCCTGGCCTGGTTGCTGCGGGAGGCACAGTGGCCTGATGGAGCCTGAGGCAGGTGTGGGAAGATGTGGATTGTCTAACTGGAGGTTGGGAGTTCAGGGTGAGGAAGGAGAAGCTTGGAGTGCAGGATTTGGTGGTATGTATGTGGCTGTAGGCAAAAGAAAGAGACAACTATGCCACTTGAAATACCATGAGAATTCAAATTTAGAAAATTCCCAGGGAAGTATGCATGCAGGCACTCATGAGATCCAAAAAACAGCTGCTGCTTAACTGCGTGTTGCAAGCAAGCCCTAAATTGCTGATTTTGAAACAGCCTGATGGGTTCACAAAGACAATTTCTGAATAGTCTTAAGAGCAGAGGTGCACTAAAGCCACTGTGCCCCGCAGCTCAGGATCCCAGAAAGTTCTTTAAGGAGTAAGTCTTACTTCCATTTATGGAAGATTTTTGGAGTTGTCCTTAGTCACCCCCAAAAATGTTTTGGTTAGGAGTAGAATTTTAGATGTCATCAATTTAAAAATTAAAACTGAAACTCTGGAACTCATAGAGAGATAAAATTAAGAGAATCCATTCACATCCTGAGTAGAAAGATTTTTATAGAACATGACGGGCTTTAAAAATAAAGAAAAAATATGGCAAAATTTCATCAAATTAAATGCTTTCAGAACTAAAATTAAAATCTGAAGCCACCCAACTAGCTGGACAGATGGCTTCTTTGCCAAGGAGACCCCAGAGAAGTCTTAAATACTGAGTTCCTGGCCAGTACTTGGAAGCTCAGACACCTCTCCTTATACTCTCTCCCTTTGTGGTTTAGACACAACTGACCAGCATTATTGTTAAAATAGAGATCCTAAGACTGACAGAACAGACTCCTTGCAGTAGTAAGATATGGTATGATAAACGAGACCTAAGGCCACGCCAGGCAAGGTGGAGTCATGCACCCCTCAACTTAAAGAATAAACTATGTTCCAATTGCCACAGGTTTTTTTCTTCTTCCTTTTTTTCTCTAGCTAAACAAGCACTGGCCTTGAGATAAGCAATGCTGAAGCACTTGCAGCTCACCCATTACCATAAACTGACTGAGCCCTCCCTACACAAGCCATAACTACAGCTTTGATTGGACAAGAGACTGATTTCAGTAACTTCCCCTTGATAAGAGAGCACTGGCTGTGGACGGGTTCTGGACGTTTTACAGAGGCTGTGCACTTGACTGCCTTTGTGTCCCTGCTTCCCCTTTTGAAGCATAGGGACTAATTATAATGTATTTAAATGTCATCTCCACCCCAAAGTGAACATGGGTTGCATGTAACAGGCTTGTTTACTCAGCATGCATGCAGCACGATCCCTTCATGAATATTCAGAGCTCCTCCTATTCCCTGTTGAATATGCATATGTGGCCCACCAGATCAACATAAATCCCTGTTCCCCCCTCCCCTCCCTGGAAACCTACTTTTCGGTTTCAGCAGGAGGGTATGCCTCCCAGTCTGTGGGAATGGCCACCTTGCAGGCTGTAACCATTTATAAAAAATAAAATCTCCCTTCTAAATTTATAAATTGTGTGATTTTTCAGTTGACAGCTTTCAGTCAGACTTTTCACTGACTGGGAAAATTCATTTGCAATATATTTATTTTAAAAATGACTCCTCAGCATACAAAATTCTTGTGCAAAGATCACAAGCATTCTTATACACCAATAACAGACAAACAGAGAGCCAAATCATGAGGGAACTCCCATTCACAATTGCTTCAAAGAGAATAAAATACCTAGGAATCCAACTTACAAGGGATGTGAAGGACCTCTTCAAGGAGAACTACAAAACACTGCTCAACAAAATAAAAGAGGATACAAACAAATGGAAGAACATTCCACGCTCATGGGTAGGAAGAATCACTATCAGGAAAATGGTCATACTGCCCAAGGTAATTTATAGATTCCATGCCATCCCCATCAAGCTACCAATGACTTTCTTCACAGAATTGGAAAAAACTACTTTAAAGTTCATATGGAACCAAAAAAGAGCCCGCATTGCCATGTCAATCCTAAGCCAAAAGAACAAAGCTGGAGGCATCACGCTACCTGACTTCAAACTATACTACAAGGCTACAGTAACCAAAACAGCATGGTACTGGTACCAAAACAGAGATATAGACCAATGGAGGAGAACAGAGCCCTCAGAAATAATGCCACACATCTACAACTATCTGATCTTTGACAAACCTGACAAAAACAAGAAATGGGGAAAGGATTCCCTATTTAATAAATGGTGCTGGGAAAACTGGCTAGCCATATGTTGAAAGCTGAAACTGGATCCTTTCCTTACACCTTATACAAAAATTAATTCAAGATGGATTAAAGACTTAAATGTCAGACCTAAAACCATAAAAAGCCTAGAAGAAAACCTAGGCAATACCATTCAGGACATAGGCATGGGCAAGGACTTCATGTCTAAAAGAGCAAAAGCAATGGCAACAAAAGCCAAAATTGACAAATGGGATCTAATTAAACTTAAGAGCTTCTGTGCAGCAAAAGAAACTATCATCACAGTGAACAGGCAACCTACAGAATGGGAGAAAATTTTTGCAATCTACTCATCTGTAGATTCATCAGAATCTACAAAGAACACAAACAAATTTGCAAGAAAACAACAAAGAACCCCATCAACAAGTGGGCGAAGGATATGAACAGACACTTCTCAGAAGACATTTATGCAGCCAAAAGACACATGAAAAAATCCTCATCATCAGCGGCCATCAGGGAAATGCAAATCAAAACCACAATGAGATACCATCTCACACCAGTTAGAATGGCGATCATCAAAAAGTCAGGAAGCAACAGGTGCTGGAGAGGATGTGGAGAAATAGGAACACTTTTACACTGTTGGTGGGACTGTAAACTAGTTCAACCGTTGTGGAAGTCAGTATGGTGATTCCTCAGGGATCTAGAACTAGAAATACCATTTGACCCAGCCATCCCATTACTGGGTATATAAATCATGCTGCTAAAAGCCAAATGATTATAAATAAATTATATATTTATTTGATTTATATGATTATAAATAAATGATTATTATAAATGATTATAAATGCCAAAGGATTATAAATCATGCTGCTATAAAGACACATGCACACGTATGTTTATTGCGGCACTATTCACAATAGCATAGACTTGGAACCAACCCAAATGTCCAACAATGATAGACTAGATGAAGAAAATGTGGCACATATACACCATGGAATACTATGCAGCCATAAAAATTGATGAGTTCATGTCCTTTGTAGGGACATGGATGAAGCTGGAAACCATCGTTCTCAGCAAACTATCGCAAGGACAAAAAACCAAGAACTGCATGTTCTCACTCATAGGTGGGAATTGAACAATGAGAACACTTGGACACAGGAAGGGGAACATCACACACCAGGGCCTGTTGTGGGGTGGGGGGAGGGGGGAGGGATAGCATCAGGAGATATACCTAATGTAAGTGACGAGTTAATGGGTGCAGCACATCAACATGGCACATGTATACATATGTAACAAACCTGCACGTTGTGCACATGTACCCTAAAACTTAAAGTATAATAAAAAAAGTCAAAAAAAAAGACTCAATTCTTGAATATACAAGAGAACTTTTGTAAATCAGTAATATAGAGCTAAGCCAAATAAAATAGGGCAAAATATTTGAATAGGCCTTTGCAAAGGAGAGTTTCTTATATGCTGGAAGCCACAAGAAAGTATGCTTCATAGGATTGCTCATTAGGCAAATACAAATTAATTCCACACTGAGATAGCACTAACTACTCACCAGTGTATGGCTACTTTTTTTTTTTTTTTTTCTGAGACAGGGTCTCATTCTGTCACCCAAGCTGGAGTGCAATGCTGTGATCTTGACTCACTGCAACATCCCCCTCCGGAGTAGCTGGGACTACAGGTGCATGCCACCATGCCCGGCTAATTTTTGTATTTTGAGTAGAGACAGGGTTTCGCCATGTTGGCCAGATTGGTCTGAGAGCATAGCTACATTTAACAAAGTTCGTACACCAAATGCTGACAAGAATTTGGTGCCACTTCAACTGTCATCGCTGGTGAAAAAACATTCTAGAAGACTGGCAATTTATACTGATGTTAAACTTATACTCAGGTCATGACCCAGCAATTGAAGGACTTCCATGAATCTCAAGTGCACACAAAGACTGTTATAAGAATATTCAGCACAAGAAATCAATAACCCCAAAATTGAGAAGTGATCTATGAAACTACATGGATATATCTCATGAGTATAATGAATGTAACTGCAGAAAAAAGGCCAGACACAAAACATGTACATTCACTCATGTGAACTTTAAGAACAGGCAATTGTAACCTGTGGGAATAGACATCAGAATAGTGATAACTAAGAGGACACAGGGTGGGAATCACCTGGACAGGGGCTCTAACAGGCCTTTCTCAGATGATGGCAATTTTCTATAACTTGAGCTGGGTGGTGATAACATTGATCAAAACTAAACAAATTGCACTAAAGATTTGTGCACTTTATGTGAACTGTAGTTTCTTTACTGTTCTCATTGCTTGAACCTGGGAGACAGAGGTTGCAGTGAGCCGAGATTGAGCCATGACACTCCAGCCTGGGTGACAGAACAAGACTACGTCTCAAAAATAATGATAATAGTAATAATTTACTGTTCTCATAAAAATTAGCAGATGGGGAATGGAGGCAAGCCGGTGCAGACCATGACAACTAGTTTAGATTTTATTGTCAGCTCATTAAAAACTCGTTCTCGTTTTGTGTTTTTAAAAAATTCCACTGATACAGCCGTTTTCTCTACCAGAAAAGACTATAACCGCATTATTTCATCAGTGGAAGCTACAGACAAAGGGCCCTTGAGAGGCAGCATCTTCACCTACGGGAATTTTTCCTGCTCAATTGTGAGACAAAGAGCATGTCCAAGTTTTCCTATCGGCCAGGCCGCCCCCTAGTTTCTGCGCTGTGGGCTAAACTCCAGAAGCTGGCGCCCTTCGGGGCCAGAGGTTTACTCTGCTCTCTGGAGGCTGCTAGGATTAAAGGCAAAGCAAACGACAGGTCTATTAGCCACAATCGCAGGCTAGAAAACACTACTGTGACTCAGATTAGAACCCAGGTTGTGGCAACCACAACTACAAGTATTAACCACTACACGACCACAAAGCCTGCTGACAAGCATTGCACTTCTTCTATTTTTTGAATGTAAAAACACTCACACTATTTTATCTGCTTTATTCTTGGACGTCCGCAGATTTTCGTGCTTTTCTGTCTTTCATGCGCTTCTCCCTTTCTCTCCCCATTCTGCTACATAATTAAATAAAAAATCTCATCTCTCAGGATCCGGCCACTGCCTCTACAACAAGCCTCCTGGGAGGTCTCTTTGTCCCATTGACATCTCTGCCTTCTTTCGCTCCTTTTTTTTTTTCTTTTTTTTTTTGACGGAGTCTCGCTCTGTCGCCCAGGCTGGACTGCAGTAGCGCGATCTTGGCTCACTGCAACCTCCGCCTCCTGAGTTCAAGCGATTCTCCTGCCTCAGCCTCCCAAGTAGCCGGAATAGCAGGTGCATGCCACCACATTTGGCTAATTTTTGTATTTTTAGTAGAGACGGGATTTCTCCATGTTAGCCAGGCTGGTCTTGAACTCTTGACCTCAAGCGATCCATCCGCCTCGGCCTCACAAAGCGCTGGGATTACAGGCGTGAGCCACCGTGCCCGGCCAAATTTCAGGCCAACACCTGTTGACACACATTGCCAGACACACGGAATTTCTCGGGGAACACCGATGGGCCCACAAAACACGCGGAGGCCGCGGTCGCTGACGATGTTAGCAAATTCGGTTCACGGTGTCTGGGGTACAGCCCTGAGGGTCTACTGGCCACCTCTGCGCAAGGACCAGTCTCCGCCGCTCCCCTCATCTCCACGCAGACTCTTGCCCACACACCACCCCTTTCTTTGGGCCGCTGACGCCTCTTGGACCTCTGAGGTGACTGTCCTGCCCGCAGCTTCTCTCCTTCCAAGAGCGTCATTTCTTGATCCTCTCCATAGTGGCTCAACGGTAAGCCCAAGGTCCAGCACGCGAATCAGGAACCTGATGGTTCTTCGGGTTTGCAGGGATCCTTCCAGTGAATAGATGAAAGTCACAGGTACCAGTATGAAAACTGCAGTGACTCACCGGAAACACTTCATGCTTGTCAGCTTGCTAAGCTGTTTGAGTCCAACAACTGCATGGGGTCCTGAGTTAGTCTCCTGAATGTCTCCTGCCGCTACTTTCGTGAGTGTTGTCGTCACTTTACCTTGTGGTGGCCAAGCCCCTAAATGCACTATTAGGTTATGCAGTATGATTTTCAGCGTAAAAGACAGATAAAGAGCAACAGCGGGGTGAAAAAGACCCTTTTGCATTGGCCGGGAATTGAACCCGGGTCTCCCGCGTGGGAGGCGAGAATTCTACCACTGAACCACCAATGCCTCTGCGTAACTACCGCCTGGAGGATAACAGAAAAGAGTATCCACAAAGACTTAGAAACCGTTCCAAGCGGTTTTTTCAAGTGTCGACTAAAAGCTAACAAAGACATCCAAACCAAATGTGTTTTTACAGGAAACTTTTACTAGACAACGTTATAAATATCAAAATAGCTCATTTGTCGGATCAAACTCTTAACTCTGAAAAAGGTCCTTCTTTCTACCTGCATTACAAACCCCTATAATAAAACATCAGAAATTCATTCACGTTTCTTTTTTCTAATCCTAAATCTTCCATCGTCAACCTCAAACTGCTGCCTTAGAGGTTCTAAGAAGGTAACCTAACTGGTAGTTTAGGTAAGTAAAGTTCAAATCCAGGGAGGAAATCAGTAGCAGAAGCAGAATTAGAAGAAAGAGGAAATAAAAGGACAGAACCAAGGTAGAGAAAATGAAGAAATAAAGGTTGGTCCACTAAGTTAGTCTTTTGTCGCTGGTTTTTTTGGCAAAAGAGTAACGATCAGTCTCGTAATCATTATAATACTATTATTTGTCTGCTTGAAGATGTATAAAGCATTTGAAGGAAATGTGATATGAAAAGATGAAGAACGCTTGCCGTCAATGTTTCATTGTTTGGGAGAATCCCATTTCCTAAGTTAATATGCTTTGATGTATTAGCTATGTAAGGAGTAGACTAGTTTAAGGAAATATTGACGGTCAAATATTAGCATATTAGTCTTTTGATGAAGTTCAAATAGTAGAGAGATTTCTTTCCTCAATTTTCTCTGGAAACATTCAACTGAAGAGACAAATCCAGAGTTTTCTCCATATGTTGGGTCTGGGAGTCATTATGACTTTTTCAAAGACAGGAGCTGTGACATGGAATCATGCTTCTTCTCTAGCTGAGAAGCCAAGCTAGGTCCAGGCTGCGTCATAAACTTGAGCCCACCAAGGAAATCACCCTTCACATTGACCTCGCAGAGCTTTGGCTGTTCTCTGTTCTTTGCCCAACACCCAAGACACAAACCAGCTCTGGCCAACAAACCTTAACATATGATCTATATCCACCAGAGCTATATTTATTCCCAAATCTCCTTCTAAAATACAAACCTGTACTTTCTACTCTTAACTTCTAAATTTACAAAGGCCTCATATGCATCTCAGAGTCACAGATGCTAAAACTTAACCGGTTTTCTGAGGATTATTTGGGGAAGGGGTATGCATGCAAATGTATACACATAATTCATGTGATTTAGGAATATTGACTCTATGACTTCCAGATGCAGATTTAGAACCTTTTTAAAAAATATTTTGTTTTTGTTGTCTTGCAAATCAGCCAGATCTGCAACTTACCAGAGTAAAGCGAAGCCAAGCGGGACCCTTAGGAAATGCACTAAGATGTCATCCACTTTCAGTGTCAGCCTGTGAAAATACAGGCGATAGAAGAGAATGAAGAGAACCTGAAGGAATTTCTGGAACCAAAGCTAATATTAAGCAGGCCTCTTGCTGGCAGACCAGTGGAAACTGTAGCCTGGTCAACGATCTGTCTAGATTGAGGAGGTCTAAAGTGTAGCCACAGGTTCAACTACTTTTCTGTTTGTTTCCCAACCTCGATTAAACTCACTAAATTTAGGGACAAAAAAACAAAACAAAACACGATGTTCCCACGCAGTCTCGAACCAGAGACCTTTCATATGTGAAGCGAACATAATAACCACTACACCACAGAAACTGCATATACACCAAAAAAGGCAAAATATCATCATGAAAATCTTAGGTCAGCCATTTCTATTATCGTTTCCAAAGTAAGAAATTCAACTGCATTTCGAAATTCGACTGAAAAAAGCCCAATAAGCACCAGCCATCAAGAAGACTATGGCTCCCAATAGGCCCAGGCTTAGCGTTCCGCGCCCACCCCCAACACGAAAACCATGGGGACCCACACCCGGGCTTCGGGGACACATACCCGGGCTTCGGGCTCCCGCATCCTCCCCTGGGTATGCAGTTCCAGAACTAAGCGCCGTGTGCGGGATCCTCCCGGCTGACACTCTTCGGCTCCCAGAAGCTGCAGGAGCCGGCGGGCTTTGAGCGTCCGAGCCCTGGGCGCCCCGTGCCTCTCAGGAGGGTGGACGCCGCCCTTCCAGGGATGCGGACCCCGCCTCGGGGCCTTTTCCCCGGCGCCGGCCGTCGGGGCTCTTGGCTCTTCTCGTCCTCCCAGGAACCGTAGGACTCTCCTTGCCCTCCCTCCCGTAGGCCGAGGGGCGCGAGCTGCGCCTGTTTCCTCACGGACCCTTTGGCCTCAGCGCCTCGACGTCTTGCAATTGTTAGCTCACGGCTCTTCCTCCTATAACAAGGCCCTTCCATGTCATGTCCCCTACTCCCTCTTAGCACCAGAGAGATGCCGCCCCTGCCCCACAGGTCACATTCCATGAGTGGTGAAGTTTCTAGAGTTGTAACCATGGCATCTCCAGCCCTGTGTGTTCCTCTCCATGCTCCCCATTGAGCAGTCTTGATCCTGTATTAGCCCCAGGAAATGAAATAGAAACAGGACCCTACGTTAAAAAGTTGCAGTGGAGATGTGGTGGCCACCAGGGGCTGGAACTGTGGGGTGACTGAGAGTATCCAAAGCCCTGTGGCCAACCTACTGGTGCTGAGTGTGCTGGTGAGCCTCTCTGTCAGCTGGCTTCCCCGGGCCAGTTGCTCCCGGAAGCTCTGTCCCAGGTAGTAGTCAATGTCATTGCTCCTTAAGAGATCCTCAAAAGATTTTACTGTATCTTTTGCATGCTGGGTGAGAAGATAACAAACACCTCTCCCTTCTCGTATTTTTTGCCGTAGGTAAGACAGTTCCCGGGGCTGATCCTGAATCAGGGAATCATATTTCCTAATGCAGGACAGAAGAGGAAAGGGTGGATGATAAGTTATGGGGCTTCTGTAGAGATTTCTATGAGAACATCTCTAAGGAACTCCCCCAAACTGAATTCTGGCACGTAAGCCATAGGAGGTATTTAAGAGTAAATTCTACCCTGATAAATTATTGCACTAAAAATTTAGTATGGGCCGGGCGTGGTGACTGACGCCTGTAATCCCAGCACTTTGGGAGGCTGAGGCAGGCAGATCACAAGGTCAGAAGTTCGAGACCAGCCTGGCCAATATGGTGAAACCCCCTCCTCTACTAAAAACACACAAAAAAACTAGCTGGGCATGGTGGCACATGCCTGTAATCCCAGCTACTTGGGAGGCTGAGGGAGGAGAATTGCTTGAACCTGGGAGGGAGAGGTTGCAGTGAGCCGAGATGGCACCACTGCACTCCAGCCTGGGTGACAGAGTGAGACTCTGTATCAAAACAAAACAAAACAAAAAATTTACCATGCCACTGTTCTTCAACTGTTCTATATATGTTAATTATATGTCCCTAGATAAATCGTAAGGTCTGTGAGAATGAAGATAGTTCTGCGTTTCACATCCCTTACAGCACCAGCATCACAGAGATTCACAGCAGATACTCAATGAATAATTAGACTCATCTCATCCTAAGTCTAGATAGGACCTTTCATGTCTTCTGTTTTAACCACCACCTGATGTCTGAATTTCTTCTGTGTTGTGATACTGTGGCTGACTGTATTTTGCAATCATGGCCATCACATAAACTCTCATGCCATCAACTGATGAGACCCAAAACAAGAGACCCTAAGTGAGAGCCACCCAGCTGAGCCCAGTCAAACCACAGAACCATGAAGCATAATAAAGTACTGTTTGAAGTCACTAAGTTTTAGAGTGGTTCTTACTTAGCAGTAGATAACCAGGACGCATACCAAGATGAATGTCTGTGTTTTCAACACAAAGTGTCAATAACACTGATAACTATGGCAAATAGCATTGAGAGCTTAATGTATGCTGGGCACCATTCTAAGCACTTGTACTAATTTTTTTTTTTTTTTGAGACAGAGTCTTGCTCTGTCACCCAGGCTGGGGTGCAGTGGTACCATCTCGGCTCACTGCATCCTCCACTTCCCAGGTTCAAGCGATTCTCCTGCCTCAGCCTCCTGAGTAGCTGGGATTACAGGGGTGCACCACCATGCCCACCTAATTTTTATATTTTTAGTAGAGACAGGGTTTCACCATGTTGGGTAGCCTGGTCTCGAACTCCTGACCTCGGGTGTTCTGCCCACCTCAGCCTCCCAAAATGTTGGGATTACAGGCATGAGCCACCACACCTGGCCAGCACTTGTATTAATTCATTTAAACCTAATATCCACCCTTTGAGATGGGTTCTGTTATCATCCTCATTTAATAGGTAATGACAAAGGCTCAGAAAGGTTAAGAAGGTTGCATGGGTAGTAAGCATCAGAGCTAGGCAGTCTGATTCCAGTATTACCACTATACTATGCTATACTATACTATACTATACTATACTATACTATACTATACTATACCATATGTACTATTACTTTACTGATATATCCCTAAGAGGAAATCCCTGAGATCTGGTATCTCCCAGATACTGGGACATCATCCTATGCCCTCCTGCTTGCCTACCTGTCTTTTCCACAGACCTATATCTACCATTTAAATCAGTGTCCTTGTGAATACCCAGACATGTTGTTTCTTCCAACTGCCTGAGCTACCCTACACCAAGCACAAACTTACACATTTTCAATCCAGAAAGTGCCCAGACAGTGCCATCCTTACCCAGGCCATGAGGCTGATCTCAGCTCCTCAGCCAGCTTCCCTTCTAGTCAATTTTTTGGGAGCTGGGCCTCCAGCTGGGATACTCTCTGGATGAGACTCTTCAGGTCCTTTTTGGCCTGAAGTCCTGGAGAGTAGAAAGCCCCAGTGCCATCAGACAGCCACACCTCATCCTCATCAGTGACACTATGAGGTGAAGACCCCTCCAGGGTGTCAGGAGCTCTCAGCTTCCAGGGTCTTTCCAGACTAGATGAATAATCACTTGTAACTGAGAGGGACTGGACCTGGCTCTTGAAGTTTTGAATGACCTTGTTGGCATTCTGCAGCTGGGCCTTCAGATCTTTGATGTCCTTTCATAGGACCCAGATGTTTTCTGACTTTCCATATACCCAGAACTCTTCCTGCTTCCCTAGTTCATTCTCCAAGGGCTTCCTCTCAGAGGAACTAGCCAGCGTTCAGCCCCGGCGCCCCTGCTCAGAGCACAGCCCCTCCACCAGGACCATTTCCTTGCGGCTGCTGTGCTCCTCATGCTCTGAAAAAAGACAAAGATGTCTTCCTGAATAAAAGTTGGATGTGCTGTTGTGGCCACTGCCTTTGAGAGGAGGCAGGTTTGGTCATGAGGATAATAATTACTAGGGAAAAAGGTGAAGTCGTACTTTATTCAACCCTGACACTGTACTAGGCATTCAAATACAGTATTTCTTATCCTCCTTATACCCACAAGTTAGGTTTCACCACTCTCTATTTTACTGACTGGGGAAACCAAAACTTAAAGAGAGGTGGTAAACCAGCTTGTTCTAGATCACTCAAACTAGCACGTGGCAGAGCCTGAATTCAAATCCTCCAACATCCTGTGTTCATTCCACACACACTGATGTTTCTCAAGACATTATTAACATGGCCTTATCTAGTTAGGATAGCCACAAGAATGTAGGACAAGCTATTTCTGCATGCTGCAAGTTTAATGCTCTCTAAAGTTTACTATAATTTAAAAGTTTATTGGGTTATAACTGTGTGAAAAATAGGCAAAGGAAAATAAGAGTTTGAATAAATATATCAGCATGTTAACATCAGTGTATTGGGGCAGTGGTAGTCAGAATGAGAACTAATCCACAGCATTTTACCCGATGCCAGACACTGTTCTAAAGCATTTTATAAGAATTTACTCATTTAATTGACATTAGTACCTGATGGGGTAGGTAGTTCCTTTATTACTATTTTAACATTTGAAGAAACTGGAGCATAGGAAAGTTTACAAATTGGGATTTGAAGCAACAAGTCTGACCCCAGGATCTTTTCTCTTAACTGCCACAGTACACTTCCTCAAGAATGAGAGAGACTGTGTTTTTCTTCTCTTCTCGTTTTGAATGTGGTGGGTGGCCCTATAGTTGTAGTCCTTTTATAATGCAAACCAAAATTATTTTTAACTTATGGTTTGCATGTTTCCAAAACCTCATGTGGTCTCTAAGTAGGCCTTAGTATTTCTATAATAATCAGTTGGATAGAACTTCATATGATTATTATTATTATTAGCAGTATGCCACAAACTCATTGTAGAAATTCAAACTTATACTCAGCCTCATTTTGGGTAAGAGTTCTCCTATTAACCTCCTGTCCTCCTCTTCCCCACTACTTGTCAGGTGTGGAATTGGCCAACAGCACCCAAATGTGACAGCTGACTCCAGGGAGGGAAGGTGAGCCCCACACCCTGTGCTCTTACCGGGACTGGTGGATTCCTCCTGTTCAGCCTCATTCTTGCTTTGACCACAAGTCTCATAGCCCAGGTCGTGGAGGTCCACCTGGACCTGCTTGCTGTCCTGCTTCAGCAAGGGTTCACCTGCGTGGGAAGAGACAGCAGGTGTTACAGAATGTCTGAATTTCCCACATATGCCCTGAGCCCCAATGGCACATACCCTAACCTTGTGGGGCAGGGAGGGCAGATCCACAGTGCGAGAGAAGCTTCTTTGAACTGGTGGGAGAAGAGACCACCAGCTCCAGGAAGCAGAATTTCTTTCCACAGGAGGAGCCTGCATTTGCCATTGATAATCTCCCCTTCAGATAACCTAGGCCTTAGTTGGGACAAGGTATCTGTAAGTCAGGGATTGTGTACTCTCATCTCTAGCAGACCCACTGAAGCTGGCAAGTGCTTTATCAGCAGGGGTTCAATAAATGTTGAATGTAAAACATGGCTGATTACTTTTTATTTTCAATCCAACAAATCTCCATTTCTGGTGAGAAAATCTTGCCATAACCAACCAAGCAAATGCATAAAAGTATATCAAAAAGAAAATGAAAGCTTCCCTGCCTCCCAATCCCACTTGCTTGGTGTCAGCTATTATTTATTACATGGAGGAAGGGGGCGAGGCACCCAGGAAGGCCCAAGTCCTGTTCTGACAATCATCTGGCCTCCCTGGGCAAAGGGAAAAGAGGGAAGGCAAAAAGAATATAACATTACTGTTTGCAGAAATTTCCCCTTGGTACAGGAAACTCTGGTAAACTGAGAGAGTATGTTTTCCATGAGGGAGGCCTCAAGGGCTCTTCTCTGGCCCTAAGCCCAAACTGGATTTTGCCTCATTTTCTAAGATGCAAAGGAAATGGTAAAAGTTGATCAAAGGAGAGGGCAGAGAAAGAAAGAGGACGACTCCTCCATCTCAGGTCCACCTTCCTCGGTGTTGCTTGAGGGATCAGAGGAAATACATGAACAGAGGTGCGTGGGAACTACGGCTGCTCTGTGAACTCAGTGCCCTCCAGTTACGAGCTATTGTGAGGTTCCATGATGTAATGGTGAGCGCTTTGGACTCTGAGTACGGTGATCAGCGTTCAAGTCTCAGTGGGACCTTTCTGTATAATGCCAATGATATTCCTATTGCTCCCTAAGCGGAATGGGGGAAATTGCCCCAGTCATGGTCACCCACCGTCCAGGCCACTGGCTGTGTGCAATTGGAGTCCTAGACCCAGCGACCCAGCAAGACCCCTCCCCTCTCAGGGTGACCCTGGGCCTCCAGGTGACAGGTCTCCTCCACTGAAAAGGCTGCCTCCCCTCAATCCTAGACCCTGAGTTTTCTTTTATACATGTCATTGGGCCATTGCCCTGTGTCTCTTTGGAAGAAATGACCTATATGAAAAACTTTACTTCCGGGATTCCCTAATTCCTTCATCCCTTAGGACGGCGCGGTTTTTCAGCTCCTGGTCTTGGCTCCAGTTCTAATGCACACGTTTCATTTTATTGTCATGGGATCCCCTCCAACAGGCTACCACTGGATTCCTGTCCTTGGGGTCTCCGTGGATGGCAACCAGATGCTGCTCTTGTCCCAGATCCTGACACCTCTCTCCAGGGAATTGCCTCCCTTAGCCTCCTAAATCAGCCAATATTTAGATTTGGGCCTGGGATCGCAGCAACTGTGGAGAACAGAGGTTCCCGATCCCTGGCCAGCCTCCCGCAGTGAAGGGGAGAGGAGCACAGCAGCTGGGAGGGGCAAGTCTGGGGCCCTGGGCAACCCCCTTCTTCCTGCCCAGACTCTGCTCCAAGGAGCAGTTGCCTTAGGACCAGATCAGATGGAAACTCTTTTGTTCTCTTCTCATCAGCAGAAAAATTTAGGCAAGAGCTCTGGAGGACGTTCCTAGCTCCTAAAAATGGTGTGGCCAAATCTCTCCAGTTTTGGAAATGCCCAAGGTTACCAAGTATTTTGAGGGCTCACTTTGGAGCCTCTGAAAAGGAGGGGTGAGGGCCCATGGAAGGTACCTGAGGGATGCAGGGGAGAGAGGGGAAAGAGCAGACAGGAGGGAGGAGAGAAGGAAGGAAGGGGAGAAAGGGCGTGTGAGGGCCAGGAGCCAGGATTCACCCTGACAGTTCAGTGACTGCTCCCTTCCAACAAGCTTCCCACTGTGGCACCTTCTAGCAGGTGGTTTCCATCTCTTATTGATGTCCTAAGACCTTGGCTCTATGGAACGGTTCTGTTCTATTTGTCTGGCATGAGTCCTGGCAAAGTTTCTTTTTCACCATTTGGGGGATGAGATGGGGGTATATAGGTTTGCAAGTGACTAGGAGCTAAGTCAGGAACTTGTGGAGCCACTCAGAGTCAACTGTCAAGTAGCCTCCTTCTCCCATTCCCCTGCAGGACGATTGCCTGCAAGACAGGGCCTGGAGAAGGCCAGGGCACCCAAGGCCACAGAAATGCCCAGGGATGAGTCCCGGCTGGAGATGCCTTGGCTGAACTCACTGTGTACTTCCAGGGTGCACAGGGCAGGTACTCTGGGGGTCTGGCCGGGAGACTGAGCAAGGGGACCAGGGAGGTTGTGTAGCAGGCTTCTGCACAGCAAGGCAGACATTCTTCTTGGAGCCCCCAACCCAAATCAGGTCTTCCACCTCCTCTTCCTAAAGACCCTTTACTGCAGTCATTCTTTTACTAGAACTGCAAGTTTATAGAACATAGATTTCAGTGTGCTCATCTGGCCAACCATCTTCAGTGGCCAATGCCCAAGGTAACCTCCCTCCCTACCAAGACCTGAACTCAGAGCCTTACCTAAGGAGAAGATGTCCTGTTCTTTCTTTCCCACCAGAACTGCCCTGGCCCAGACCCCATTTCTGTCTGGTGACCAGGACAGTCCCCTCACCAGTCTCCCAGGTTGGGGAGGGCAGATTCTCCTCAGCTCCCTGCCCCTGAGAGACCCCAACAGCCTTGCGTGGCTCCAGCCCACAGAGGGCTATCCATGGCCCATATCTCTCAAAACTCTCCCCTCCCACTCTGAATCCACCCTCTACTGCATGCTCCCCTCACAGAACAGACATGGGTTTTTTTTTGTGTCCTCGTTTTGCCTACCCATACCCCAGATTGACTTTTCTGTCTCAGAACTACCTGTCCCTCTTTGGACAGTGTCTTCTTGGTACTACACATGAAGATGTCCTGCTCTCCCCTTCTCAAGGAGAGAGTGCCTGACCTGAGCTGGGCCCATCAGATCCAGTACTTACCCGGAATAGGAAAAAGATGGAGAGGGTGACCAAAGATTACAAAAATCTCTGAAGCTTATCCACTTGAGAGAGAGTCCCTGAAGATACTGGCCTTTCATTTCCTGCTATGTATATCCAGTGTGACTGAACTCTGAATAACATATACAAGTTATAATAATGTAGTAGTTGGCCCTCAAACTAGGACACAAACATGTTAGAGGGTAAGGTAGTGAGAGGCATGTTTGGGGGTGGTGGTGATGAGCAAGTATGTGAAGGAGAGATAGTGCCTACGCTTGAAAATCAAAAAGGAATAATATCTATTTAGACATAAGGAGATAAATAACTAAATACTTGCTTCTATGTGATGAAACTCTGGGAGTACACAAGGGGACTGCTGTTTTACTAAACAAATTTTCCAGTCTATATAACTTTGATAAGGTATCCAAATAAAAAAATTCCTTTCCCATATATGTATGTGTATATATATGTATTTGTATACACATATATGTTTGCATTTTTGTATTTTGAATATAAATTTTTATAGAGTCCTGTGAACCCCTCTTTTCAATTAGGATTTGAGTTTGATGTCATGCATGCAATGTGATCCCACTGTGTGACTACAGAAATGTTGGCAAAAGTAAGTTCAGAGGAAATGGTAGGCAAGTACTTCCCAGTTTTGGCCAGAAGATGGAGAAAAAAAGAATTCTCATAAAATATTAAAAGTATGACTTGTTACAGCTTCTTTTCATAGTAATTTGGATAGAAATTAGCAAAATCAGAAATGTATAAATACTTTGGTCTGACAATTCCATCTCCAGGTATCTACGGAGAAATAGACAAGTGATGCACGACAGATACATGTGTCAGTCTGGTCTCTGCAGTTGTATTTGTAATAATACACATTGGAACAATGTCATGGCCATCGGTTAGAGAATGTTTGAAGAATGACCCATTCATATCAGGAAGGACGTTTCAAAGATCAAAGCCTGATGGAAATGCTGGAGGCCGTGACGCTGATAGGAGCTCATGCGTGTTGACCAATTGCTACGTGACAGGCATTGGCTCCACGCTTTTCCTGCACTGCTCGTTTAAACATTGGACAAATTAAGTGTTCTGATTTAGCCCATTAGACAGATAGAAATGGAAGCACAGAAAATTAATGGGTTTATCTTTAAACGCGAGCAGATTAGGTTTTTCACCCAGGGCCTGTGGCTTCACCATAGGTGTGATTCAGGTTCTGTTGTTCTCCACTTTAGGAATTCCCAGTATTCCAAATATGAGAAGCTGAGAAAACAAACAAACTCAAAACTCTAAAAACCGGGATAAGTAAGGGTAGATGTTTGCTGGGTGTGGATTAATAATGAACTTTTTTTGCCTCAAGCAACAAAGAGGCACCTTGGAAAATAGACAAGAGACAAGAAGAGGAGAAGCTTGAAGATATATTTGGTCCAAGGAAGAGACTCTTCAGATGGAAGGTCACATCAGCTAGAAACATTAATGCGACTGGATGGGCTCAAACCACCGACTTTTCAGTCAACTTCCGACAGCACTAACCTAGTGTTCCAGAGACCCTGCTTGTTAAACAGTGAAAGCTGTTGCTCAATTATGTCATCCATAATTGTCAAATATTGTCATTTAGTAGCACAAGGAAGTATTCTCTGTTGCCAAGCTAGAGTACCCATAACTCTTCTGTTTTGTTGAACATTCTTCCCCACCACAAACCCTCTTTAGAAGACTGGTGGCTCCTAAAACATTGAGGCCAACAGTCCTGTCCTTGTGCATGTTTGGGCATTGATCCAGGGCCAAATCAGTGGGAGACTCCTCCACGCACATGCCAGGTCCCCAGGTGACAACTGCAGTCTCTGGATCTGAGGTCATCCACTTTCCCATTCCTAGCTCACCTCACCCATCATGAAGCCTGGTCAGGATTGCCAGAGACCCGAGTGGGCAGGTGCCCGCACTAAAGACAGAACCTGCTGTGTGCCCACTTTGCTGATCCCTCCATCTTTCTAGACAAGGCTTTGTGAGCCAAGGACTTTGGGTTTGCTCACAAGGCAGCCCCTCACCTAGTAGGCATTAGTTCATTATGTATAGTATACGTATATGTATATGTATATGTATATGTATATGTATATGTATATGTATATGTATATGTGTATGTGTATGTGTATGTGTATGTGTATGTATGTGTATGTGTATGTGTATATGTATATGTAGTCCTCAGGTTGTATTCCTTAAATATATATAATATATGTAATTCCTTAAATATATAATTTTAATACAAAATTTTTAAAAGATTCCTTTCATAAACATTTACAATAACACCAAGAAATATAAACTACATAGCAAAGATGTGAAAGCCAGCCAGGCTCAGCTTCAAATCCTAGCGCTTAGGAAGGCCGTGGCAGGAGGGTCGCTTGAGCTCAGAAGCTTGAAACTAGCTTAGGCAACATAGTGAGACCTCATCTCTACTGAAAATCAGAAAAATTATCCGGCTGTGGTGGTGTGAGCCTGTAGTCCCAGGTACTCAGTGGATGAGGCCCTAGGATGTCATCGGCCTGAGAATTCCATGCTGCAGTGAGCTGTGTGATCTTGCCACTGTACTCCAGCCTGAGTGAAAGAGTGAGATCGTGTCTAGAAACAAAAGAAGAAAAAAAAAAAGGTGTGAAAGCCTGTATATTGAAGATTACCACGTATTACTGAGAGCAGTTAAAGACCTTTGGAATAGAGAACGTTCCTTCTTGCATTTCAAGATTGCTTTTGTTTTGGGGGGACACTTGCTGTTTTTTAGGAACATGAAGTTCTTCTCAGGCATTCCTGTAAAAAAAGCCACTTTTTGATAGGATTGTATTGAGTCTGTGGATTGCTTTGAGTTGTATTTTTATCTTAACCATGTTACAACTTCCAACCCGTGGACACAAGATGTCTTTCCATTGATTTAGGTCTTCCTTAGTCTCCTCGAACAATGTTCTGTAGTTGTCTGTGTACAAGTACTGCACCTTCTTGAACAAATTTATTCCCAGGCATATTATCCTTACAGGTGCTATTATAAATGAAATCATTGTGTCAGTTTACTTCTCAGATAGCTCATTGCCATCACAATGAATTGTTTGCTGAAAGTTTGCTGAATTC